>NC_000001.11:92053835-93303835 GCF_000001405.40 Homo sapiens
CTTTTGGGTGATACCTTAGATATTCAAATACACCGTTGGGTAGTAGGGTCTGGAACTCAGAGGAGAGAATCTGGGATGAAGATATATAAGATCTGGGAGTCACTGACGTAGAGACAAGCTTTGGTTTTAGAACATATTGTCTGGGGAGAAAGTATAGAGTGAAAGATAAGACATGGATATTTGTCAGTTTGGGTCTGTACTTAGGGAAAAAAATGAGATTCCATTTCTCTTAAGAATTAGGAGCCACAGCTGGCCTTGAATTTGAGGTTTAGGGATTTGAATTTGTGCTACCTCCATGATTCTGGAATTCTCAGGGCAGAAATTATGTGTTAACATGCCTTAGGCTGTTAACATTCCCCAGGAAGCCTGGCAGAAACAAAGACAAAACTTCTCCAGGATACATCTCAATTCAGGCCTCACAATATTCCCACAGATGAAGTCCCCTAAAGATGAGTTCATAATCCAAATTTAAAAATATCAACCTGGGCCATGCCTATAATCTCAGCACTTTGGGAGGCTGAGGTGGACAGATCACCTGAGGTCAGGAGTTCGAGACCAGTCTGGCCAACATGGCGAAACCCTGTCTCTACTAAAAATACAAAAATTAGCTGGGTGTGGTGGCACATGCCTGTAATCCTAGCTACTCGGAGGCTGAGGTAGGAGAATCGCTTGAACCTGGGAGGCGGCGGTTGCAGTGAACCGAGATCACGCCACTGCACTCCAGCCTGGGTGACAGAGAGAGACTCCATCTCAAAAAAAAAAAAAAAAAAAAGTAACCTACCATTAATAGCAGTCAGAATACAGTCACAGCCAAACTCCTACAACTTTCAAATAATAGAACTAACAGGGACTATAAAGTATGTTTAAATAATTAAACATAAGAAAGAATAAAAAATATGAGAAAAGAATAAGGTAATATCAAGACAGGCTGGAAAGAGCTGAAAAAGAACTTCTAGAAAATGAAAAATATGGTCATTGAAATCTAGAAGTCTATAGATGAGTTAAATTGCAGATCAGACAAGCCAAAGAGAATTATGAATTGAAAGATAAATCCCCCCAAATTACCCAGAATGTAGCTTAGAGAGATAATGAAGTAAAAATGTAAAAAGCAAGTTGTAATTTTTATGGAGGATAGAATTAGAAATTGCGTATGTATATATATGCTAATAATTTTTTGTGATAAAATAATAGAAATAGAATAGTATTATTTTCAAACCAGTAGAGGGGAACAAGAAAATGATCAGTTAAAAACTGTCAATAAAAAAATTTAAAACTATCAAAAAGGCAGAAAGGGAGAAAAAGAAGCAAAGCAGGGTAAATAGAAAGCACAAACTAAAATGACAAAACAATTTCAATATGTCAGCATGCACAACCAGCATTTATATATTAATATTGCCAGTTACAAAACAGAGAATATCAGATTGGATTTTTAAAAGAATCCATCTATATGGTGTTTGCACAGTTACAATTAAAGCACAAGGACACAAAATGGTTGAAAGTAAGAGATGGAAAGTTACAGCAGGTATTGATTTAAATAAAACAAAATCTTTCAAACTCTGTGGAATCCAAAGGGAGTCATGAGATTATATGAATGAGGGAAGAAGAGGTAAATCCAAATCTTTTTTGAATAACAAGAACAAACTTACAAATATATATATATCTTTGGCAAAACAGAGATGTTAATTTAAATGGTCTTTGTAGGTAACAGTTTATCAAGCAAGGCAATGGTTAGAAAGGCAGATAGATTGCAGAGGCTACAGGTTATATTTTATAGGATATAGCAACAATGTCTGAAACAACAATGTCTGAAGTTCACGTATTCTTGTTTGTTTTTGTTTTTTGTTTTCTGTTTTTTTTTACAAATAACGTAAAGAGAAAATAGAATGGCACATTTTCAAACAAGTCTTTTTTTATATTCAAGAAAAAAGATTTAAAATCTTAATTTTGGATAGGAGACGAGAATGACAGTTTTCAAACATGTTCTCAATTTATCTTTTTATCGCACTTCCTTTGAGTTGTAGAACAGTACGTTGTAAGTATCTATAAGGAAAGAGGGAAAATATTCTCATCTTTCTGAGATTCTTTTACTAATAGTTGTTTATTAGGAGGACTTGCATTCCCAAGAGAAATCACTGGAATCCTGTTAATTAGCAGAGAGAGAGAGAGAGAGAGAGGGAGAAAGAGAATGAGAGCGAGCAGGCCTATAAACTTCAAAACAGTTTTATCAAGGCAAAAGATGGAGTTTTAAACTAGTTGGTTGTAGGTTAAATCTAGTTGGGGGAGAGTTACATTAGACCTCTAGAAGCTCTCTGACCCCCCTCTGAGTAATTCTTTATATAGATAAGCAAAGCTGAGTATATCATTAAAAACAGGGCTATTAAAAACAGGCACGTTAAGACTACAAATAAGGTATAGTACATTATAGTCAGGCATGAAAATAGCCCTCATTTATTACCCTAAGCCTCCTTGGGACTATGTCCTCATCCAAAGACTTGCCAAAATTTGGAACTGAGGAACCAGGATGAACTAGGAATAAGACTAGCTATAGAACCTGTACTGCAAAAAGATAATTCTAAACGTATAACAAAACATCAAATAATAAAGCAAAATGTGACAGTCTTACAAGAAAAAATGGACAAATCCATAATTACTGTAGGAGATTTTAACCCACCTCTCTCTGAAGTTGATCAATCAAGCAGAAACAAATTAACAAGGGTATGGAAGATTTGAACAACTCTATTAATATCTTTGATCTGATGAAAAATTTTACAACTCTGCACATAACAATTAGAAAAATACACATTCTTTTCTTTTTTTTTTTTTTTAATAGTGGTGAGGTGTCACTATGTTGCCCAGGCTGGTCTCCAACTCCTGGGCTTAAGCGATCCTCCCACCTCAGCCTCCCAAAGTGCTGAGATTACAGGTGTGAGCCACCATACCCAGCCTATTCAAACATGTAAAGAATATTACAAATATTGATTACCTACTGGACTACAAAGCAAATCTTAACCAATACCAAAAAATATTACATAGATTATTTTCTCTGAACACATTACAGTAGAAATCAATAACAATAGCAACAAACTTTTAGAAAACCTCATATATACAGAAATTTGACTTCTGAATAACTCTGGGTAAAAAATCTATGGAAATTAGTAAAAACTTAGAAAAAATGATATTTCAAAACATGAGGAATAGTTAAAACAATACTTAAGAAGAAATACATAGCTTTAACGGTTATATTAGAAAAGAAGATTGAAAATCAGTGAGATAAGAGTTCAACTTAAGAAGTTAGAAAAAGAACATGTAAACAAAAATAAATTAGAAGACAAATAATTTAAATTACATATATAAAGCAAAAATTAATACAATAAAAAACAAAGACACAATAGAGATAAGTGGCAAAACCAAAAACTGATTATATGAAGACTACTAAGATACATAAACTATTGGCAAGAATGGTTAAGAAAAAACAGAAGGCACAAATAAACAAAGTTAGGAACCAGAAAGCAGTAAAAAAAATAACTATTAATACAAATGTAACAGACATTAAGGTATAAATGTTTAAGTTAACAAATTTTAGAACTTTGACAAAACAGGCAATTTTTAAGAAAAACATAACTTATCCAAAACTACTCATGAAGAATTCAAAAACATGAAAAGACTTATAGCAAACCAATATGAGTTTAAAGCATATCTATAATAACACACATAGACATACAAATACACACCCATACATAGAAGCCTAGATGGTTTTACAGGTAAGTTTGTTTTTTTTTTTTGAGACGGAGTCTTGCTCTGCCGTCCAGACTGGAGTGCAGTGGTGCAATCTCGGCTCACTGCAACCTCTGCCTCCCAGGTTCAAGTGATTCTGCTGCCTCAGCCTCCCGAGTACCTTGGATCACAGGTGTGTACCACCGTGTCCGGCTAATTTTTGTATTTTTAATAGAGATGGGGGTTCACCATGTTGGCCAGGCTGGTCTCGGAACTCCTGACCTCAGGTGATCCACCCACCTCAGCCTCCCAAAATGCTGGGATTACAGGTGTGAACCACCGGCACCCGGCCTACAGGTAAGTTTTACCACATAAAATCCCACTGTTAAATACTCTTTCAGATATTATAAAAGGAAGATATGTTTCAGCTCATCTTGTGAGGCTAATGTAACTTTCACACCAAAACAAGGATTGAATAAGACAGGCAAATTATAGGTCAATTTAAGTTATAAACATAGATCCACACATTCAAAATAAAATATCAAAATGAATTCAGCATGCATTAAAAAATTAAACCAAGGATGAGTTAGCATTAAAAATCAATTAATTAGGCTGGGCACAGTGGCTCACACCTGTAATCCCAGCATTTTGGAAGGCCGAGGTGGGTGGATCACCTGACTTCGGGAGTTCAACACCAGTCTGACCAACATGGAGAAACCTCACCTCTGCTAAAAATACAAAATTGGCCAGGCGTGGTGGTGCATGTCTGTAATCCCAGCTGCTCGGGAGGCTGAGGCAGGAGAATCAGTTGAACCTGGGAGGTGGAGGTTGTGGTGAGCCAAGGTCGCGCCATTGCACTCCAGCCTGGGGAACAAGAGCGAAACCCCGTCTCAGAAAAAAAAAAAAAAATCCATTAATTTGATTACCACATTATCAGATTAAAGGGGAAAATATGAACAGCTAAATAAAGAAAAAGCGTTTAATAAAATTTAACGCACATTCATGCAACGATTCTTAGTAATCTAGAAATAGAGGAGAAAGGAGTGGACCTCAGAGAGGTGGGATAAGCCTGCATCTGCTGAAGGGGTATTTCTGGGAAACTGACCTTTGCTTTACTCAATTGTCCCAGAAATAATAATAATAATAATAAAACATCAAGGGTGTTTTGCACTGGTTATTTGCACCTGGAGAGCTGGCAGGCACAGAAGATTCTTCAGAAGTTGGGGCCAAGGAGATACAAAACCTCTATTAAAATGGTATAATACTTGCTTTGTATTACAAAGTAAGTAATACGTTTGTAGTACTCTCCACAGTTGTATTTCCATGGGAAACTTTGGAGGGCCTGGAAAGTTCTACTGGTATCTGAGAGAGTAATATATTATCTCCTGCTTTATGAAACCATCTTTGTAAGTTTCTTTTTCCTTTGTCATTAAACTTTATATTCTCTGTGTCAGTTGGTGTCTATCTGTTAATCATATTACAGTTCCATTACCACAGCAATGAGGAAGGGAACTTCGTCTACCAAAAACCTATAGTAAACATCATTTTGTGATGAAACACTAAAAGCATTTCTTTCAAAAATAAAGAATAAAGATAAACTCGAGGGCCAGGTGCAGTGGCTCACGCCTGGAACCCCAGCACTTTGGGAGGCCAAGGCAGGTGGATCGCATGAGGCCAGGAGTCCGAGACCAGCCTGGCCAACATAGTGAAACCCAGTCTCTACTAAAAATACAAAAAATTAGCTGGTTGTGGTGATGGGCGCCTGTAATCCCAGCTATTCTGGAGGTCGAGGCATGAGAATCGCTTGAACCCAGGAGGCAGAGATTGCGGTGAGCCCAGATCCGTCACTGCACTCCAGCCTTGGCAACAGAGCAAGACCCTGTCTCAAAAAAAAAAGATAAACTTGACTACTATAACTGCTTCTATTCACCACTATATTATGTCTTAGCCAGCATGTAAGATAAGGGAAAAAAAGTGAGAATTGGGGAAGGAAGAAATAATAATTCATAGATAATGTGTTTATGTATCTAGAAAAAACAGGAGAATCTACAGAAAAATTATCAAAATTAAAACAGCTCAGCAAAGTTGATATATAAAAGTTCAAGATACAAAATTATGGTCTCACAAATCAGCAACAATTATAAAACATTTATTTATTAAACAGATGCACCTGCAAATGCAACAAAAAATTCTAAGGCATATAGGAATGACTCTAACAAAAGATGACCTTTATGCATTATCAAAATTTATTCTAAGACATTAAAGAATATGGGCTTAGAGCAGTGGCTATTTACCAACCAGTAGAGAAGTTTTTTTTTTTTCTTTGAGACAGGGTCTCACTTTGTTGTTGCTCAGACTGGAGTGCAGTGGCATGATCACACTTCACTCCAGCCTCGAACTCCTGGCCTCAAAGGACACCATCTCAAAGTGTTGGGATAACAGGTATGAGCCACCCTGCCCCACCGAGAAGTATTTTAATAATTTCACAATTGATACAGACTTGCTGGTATAAACTACTGAAAACCAGCTCTGGTTTATCATGTTCATGAGTGGAAAACTGCAATATCATAAGGTTATTGGGGCCAGGTACAGTGACTCCCTGTAATCCTAGCACTTTGGGAGGCTGAGGTGGGAGGATTGCTTGAAGCCAGGGGTTACAGACCAGCCTGCAATACAGTGAGACAATGTGTCTAGAAAAAAAAATTTTTTTTTTAATTAGTCAGCTGTTGTGGCATGCCTCTGCAGTCCCAGCTACTCAGGAGGTTCAGGTGGAAGGATCACTTGAGCACAGGAATTCAAGGCTGCAGTGAGCTATGTTGCTCACTGCATCATGATGATGATGATGGAGTGCCAGTGCACTCTAGCCTGGGTGATACGTCAAGACCCTGTCTCAAAAAAAAAAAATAGTTTTTAAATTAATAATTTAAAAATAAAATAATTAAGTTATTGGATTCTCCCCAAATTATTCTATAAACTTAATGCAACTTCAGTGAAAACCATAAGAAAGTTTTTAAATGAAACTTGACAAGCTAATTTTAAAATTTCTATGGGAGAATGGCCGAGATCATTTTAAAGAAAAGAATAGGTAGCCGGGTGCGATGGCTCACACCTGTAATCCCAGCACTTTGGGAGGCCAAAGTGGGTGGATCACATGAGGCCAGGAGTTCAAAACCAGCCTGGCTCTTTGACTAATGGTCTTTTAAAACTCCCCTTACTTTACTAATTCAATTGTTCTGTGCACCGATATTGCTAAACCATGCAGATAACTGTTAGAAAATGGTTTGGTTTTGAACATTATTGTGCTCTAGAATGTAAGTGGCTTTAAAGTTTGTATTCTTTTTTTTTTTTTTAAGACGGAGTTTGCTCTGTTCCCCAGACTGGAGTGCAATGGTGCGATCTTGGCTCACTGCAACCTCTGCCTCCTGGGTTCAAGCGATTCTCCTGCCTCAGCCTCCCAAGTAGCTGGGATTACAGGCGTAAGCCATCACACCCGGCTAATTTTTGTATTTTTAATAGAGACAGGGTTTCCCATGTTGGCCAGGCTGGTCTTGAACTCCTGACCTCAGGTGATCTGCCCACCTTGGCCTCCCTAAGTGCTGGGGCGTGTGAGCCACCGTGCCCGGCTCTAAAGTTTGTATTCTAACCCATCAGTTAGTAAGTATAAAATACACTTTTCTATCAATTTACCCATTTACAAAGAATTTAATTTTTAGGAGTATTACAACCAAATGGTGGCTACTTGCATGGTGTCAGAAGTTAAGTCCATGGTGGGCATGTGTAATATCCTGCTGTCAACTCTGAATTGCCACAAATCAGGCTTTTTTATTCACTAGTAAAAATGTGACTCAGTGCTAAACAGTTAGATGTTCATTTTCCTTCTTAATCAATAGGAGTATAATTAATACCATCAACTTTTCTGAAAAACAGTAACAGAAGATGTCAAAAGCTTAAAAAATATTTGTTCCCTTAAGCTCAGGAATTCTACTTCTAGGCTATAGCTCAAAGGGATTATCAGAAATGCCAAGAAAAATCTGGGCATAAAATGCTTATTATAGCATAATTTAAAACAAGGAGAAATACCACAAAACCTAAATATTCAATTATAGGGGAATAGTCAAGTCATTTATGAGTTATGCCATAAACTAGTATCTTTTACAATTATTTTTGAAAAATGTTATGAAATGAGAAAATTCTTGGTATCATTTAATGTGAAACTTGCATACGTGTACTGTGTATAAATTGTCTATATTGCATTATATTTATAGTATGGTTTCAAGAATATGCATAGAAAATGCCAAAATATTACCCTTTTGATAATGGAATTATAAATGATTTTATTTTTGTTATTTATATTTTTCTGTACTTAAGAAAGTATAGGCCATGTGTGCTGGCTCATGCCTGTAATCCCAGCACTTTGGGAGGCCGAGATGGGAGGATCACTTGAAGCCAGGAGTTTGAGACCAGCCTGGTCAACATAGCAAGACCCCATCTCAAATTAATTTTAAAAACATATATATACACAACAAAAACTTTGTTTTAAAAAATAATCTTCTTGCAAAATATAGTATCATGTAATATTAAAGCTCAGTTCAAATATAGTTTTTGAGTTTTCATCTCCAATTTTCACATAAAATGCATCAGATTATCTAGGAACAATTTAAAATAAAGCTAAACAGTAACATATAAATAGTTTAAATCTCTCTTTCATTACACCATTCAGTAATTCTGGTATCCTTTTGAAACAAATTACTCCTGGCTGGGTGCGGTGGCTCACGGCTGTAATCCCAGCACTTTGGGAGGCCGAGGCGGGTGGATCAAGAGGTCAGGAGTTCAAGACCAGCCTGGCCAAGATGGTGAAACCGCATCTCTACTAAAAATACAAAAAATTAGCCAGGCGCATTGGCAGGCACCTGTAGTCCCAGCTACTCAGGAGGCTGAGGAAGGAGAATCATTTGAACCCGGAGGGTGGAGGTTGCAGTGAGCCAAGATCGTGCCATTGCACTCCAGCCTGGGTGACAGAGTGAAACTCCATCTCAAAAAAAAAAAAAAAAAAAAAAAAAAGAAACAAATTACTCCTCATAGTGATGAATTTCCTATTTAACTTACAGCTTTTATTATACATTTTACTAGCCTCATCCAATTTAAATTTTACTGGGTCTTTTCTTAAATAGCCTTTTAAATATTTTATAGTAAATGTTGATTACTTAATGCATTGTTTCTCAATCACTTTTTCATTATCACTTTCCTAAGGAGCCTTTTTAGACTTTTTTTTCCCTAATCACCCCCACCCTGTGAAATTTTAGTATCTGTTTATGTACTGTATGTATATCCATGCTTTATATATGCAAAGGGTAAGATTTTTTTCACCCTCCCAAGAACACAATTTTCACCCTTTTAGAGGCAAGATTGCTCACTTCAAGAATGTATGACCTACTGGGGCACTATAGGAAAATGTCATTTTAACTTTGACAGTGAATCTCAAGCCCATGTATTTTGTTTTTATAGCTGCCTGCCTCTCAAACATCACATGGTGACCACTCCAACACTACTACTGTGGGGAGAGAATGACGCATTCATGGAGGTTGAGATGGCTGAAGTCACAAAGATTTATGTTAAAAACTATTTCAGGCTAACTATTTTGTCAGAAGCCAGTCATTGGCTTCAGCAAGACCAACCTGACATAGTGAACAAATTGATATGGACATTTCTAAAAGAAGAAACAAGAAAAAAAGATTGACTTTTCTTTATCTTCTATGAAGGGTCTGTAATGAAATCTCTAAATAATTTTTAAAAATTGTTCATCAACTTCTTTATGTTTTATTAGAAAAAAACTGTTTTAATGTGCTTTATCATAAATAAATATCCTGACAAATGGTATTGAAAAAAATCTGAGATCATGTGAACATATAATACAATGTTGATTTTCTTCTGGTGTATTTTGCACAGACAAGCATCTGCCTTAAAATATATACACTTGTACAAAAAGGAAGTTTGGAGTAAGTGCTTCCATTTTGGTTTCTTGCTTTTTTTTACTCTGTTAACATATGGTGCCTTTTACAAATGTATATTAAAGATTAGCTGTGCCATATTATAAGGCAAACCTGAAATAATATAAATTTTCATTCTATTGTTCAAAAATTCTTTTTACTATTTTTAACCATTAAAAAGTTATATTATCGAATCTCTTTGGATTTATAGTATATCTATTAGTTTGAAGGCAAATATAGCTAAATGAATATGCATTTTTAAAATGGGCCATATACTATTTATACTGGGAACATTAAACCATTTTTTAAAGCTGACATCTTGGCTGGGCGTGGTGGCTCATGCCTGTAATCTCAGCACTGTGGGAAGCCAAGGCGGGAGAATCACTTGAGACCAGGAGTTTGAGACCAGCCTGGCCAACATGGTAAAACCTCATCTCTACCAAAAATAAATAAAAAATAAAAGTGGGCAGGCGTAGGCGTGCACACCTGAAGTCCCAGCTACTCATGAGGCTGAGGTGAGAAGATCGCTTGTGTCCAGGAGCTTGAGGTTGCAGTGAGCCATGATTGGGCCATTGCACTCCAGCCTGGGCAATGGAGTGAGACCCTGTTGGAACGGAAAGGGAAAGGGAGAGGGAAAAGGAAGGAAAGGATCCTTTTACCCCATTCAATGCAACGAGAATTGAATATTACACATCTTATATGCACTAGAATCTAAGCTCCACAGGGCAGGGATTTTTTTGTTGTTTTATTAACTGATACATATTCAAGTCTAGACTAAGGGCCTGGCATATTGTAGGCACTCAAACATTTGCTTAATGAATAAATAATATATCTGGCACACTGCTAGGCACTGCGGGGGGGTGGGGAATATAAAAGAAAGATAAGGTGGTAACATAGAACTTTCCCATAAGAAGCCTTAAGGGCTGGGTGTGGTGGCTCATGCTTGTAATTCCAGCACTTTGGGAGGCTGAGATGGGTGGATCACCTGAGGTCAGGAGTTCGAGACCAGCCTGGCCAACATGGTGAAACCTCATCTCTACCAAAAATACAAAAATTAGCCGGGGATGGTGGCAAATGCCTGTAATCCCAGCTACTTGGGAGGCTGAGGCAGGAGAATTGCTTGAACCTGGGAGGCAGAGGTTGCAGTGAGCCAAGATTGCACCACTGCATTCCAGCCTGGGCAACAAGAGCAAAAAAAAAAAAAAAAAAAAAAAAAAAAAAAAAAAAAAAGACGCATACATAGAATGCAGTCAAATTAAATAAAGGTTCAAGAGTAGAAATGAACATTATAAGTAAGAGTTGAAAAGAGTTACAGAATAGAGAACAATACCAACTCAGGGGACTACTACTCATTCTTTTGGGTTGTTCCCCTTTAACATGGGAGGCAACCAGTAACACTGCCAAATCACATCACAGAACAAATAAGCCCTAAATTGGTGAAAGGATTGCTTCCCTCATTAAGCATAGTTCTGATCGTGACAGAACAAAGGAGAATGTCCCTAAGAATTCTCATTACTGTATCACAGCAAGTTGTATTTACAACAAAAATCCAATTCTCTATACAACACATTGCTTCGTAACAACATGCAAGGTAGGTATCACCAATTTATAAATAGTAAAAATGTGATTTAACGTGTAACTTTGCCAATGCCCATAGTGTAAGTTCTGGAGCTAGGATCTGACCTAGAGCCATCTGGTGGTAAAGCCCATGATCCCACTTACACCAGATACCATTTAGCAGACTTGTGGTATCCACGCCACTCTTCCTGTTTCAGCAGTAATCTGGTGTGTTTCAATAGATGGCCATATCTCTCAGGAACCTACAATTTGACTTTTAATTTTGGGAGGGAAAAGGAATTCAAATTAGCCATTAGTAAACATAGGAATATTCTATAGAGCATTGTCAGAGTTGCAAATGCCACAAGGTATAGAAAAATCCTGGTTCATACCAACTTGTTGCTTCCCTCTTGATCCCTCCAGAAGGGCAGCAACAAGGGAAAGAATGGGACGTGTTGACACAGTAAAGTAATCCTGACTTATTTTAATAAAAACCTGTTACTGACAAAGGTGATTTTAAGATTTGTTGTTGTTGCTACTTATGTCAGTTTAGGAAGCTGACAAGTTCATGTGGACTAATTTTAAGAATTTATCAATCAAACATTCCATGGGCAATTCCGGCCTATTACAATGAATGTACTCTAATTTTTAATAGATATGGAAAAGTACTTGTAACAGATATAAAGCCTCAAGGGTGCCATCTTGAGTTAAACCTCTTAGGATAAACAGTTATTACTATCTCTGTAGAAATCTATTGGTAGGGCAAGTAAGTGAATTTGATTTACTAGCTGCCAAAGCAGCTCACAGTAAATAAAAACAGGTAATGGCACCTAAATTAAAAGTTGTAATTATTAATAATATTCATCTATTCAAATTAATATATCCCTAGTAGTATATAATATATGCCTAATTTAACATCAGAAATTGCTATGTGAAAATAATTTATTAGGCATATGTCAAAAGCAAGATGTTTGCAAAAAAAGAAAGAAAGAATGTGCTGTTGATATGATTCAAATTCTCCTGTTACATCATTTACCATCTTTGATTTTTCTGATTTTAAAGGTAATGCAGCATTTTCTATTAACCTACAATTTCCTCTAACAGTTCTAATTATGTGCAAACAGAAAAAGCAGTTGGATGTGGGGAAGGGTGCATGTCAAAGGCTGCCCCCAAATCCAGGCTACACACAGCCTGGGTCTGCTAAGTCGGTTTCACGGCTCTGCATCCACAGACTCTGAGTTGGAGGCGAAGGAGTCTGGGATCACGCAGGAGCTAATCAAGTCCTTGTATCCTCAGCAGACACGCCTCTGTGCATGGTGCTGGACCTGCATCATCCTCGTGGGTACGAATGTCCTGCATCGCCTTCCTCTTCATCTGGCCAGTGGCCATGCTTTCCACCTTTGGCTATCCTGCTCAAATCCTGCAACCCTGCCAAGAGTTGGAGAAAAAAAACTGGTGAAACCAGTACTCAAGCTCATGCTTCAGGTGGCTTTCTTTTTACTTGGGTTCCTGGCTAAAGTGAAAGGGAAAAAGGCAACCCAAGACAAGGCCCCTATCTTCGTTACAGCACCACGGTCCACTTTCTTTGACTCAATCCCCTGTGTGGTGGCAGGGTTACCCTCAGTGGTCTCTGCAAGTCAAAATGTGCAGATCCCATTGGCTGGGAAATTCCTACTGTCAACACAGCTGGTGCTTGTGATTTGAGAAGACTCCCATTCCAGGAAGAATACTAAGGATGAAATCCTGAAGTGAGTGACATTTGGAAAGAAGTGGCCACAGATTCTGATTTTCCTAGAAGGTGTGTGCATCAATCGCTCCCGTCTAGTCACTTTTAAACCAGGGGCCTTCTGTCCAGGTGTTCCTGTGTAGCCAGTGCTGCTCAGGTACCCAAACACCCTGGACATGGCAATCTGGACCTGGCAGGGATTCACAGCCTTACAGGCCTGTATGTTGACACTCAGTCAACTCTTCACCAGGGTAGAAGTTGAGTTTATGCCTGTTTATATCCCAAATGATGAAGAAAAAAAAGACCCCATCCTTTTTGCCAATACAGCACACATCAACATGGCAAATGCTCTAGGGGTGCCTGGGACAGGGCACACTTACGAAGGCTGCAGAGTGATGATCTCCGCAGGTAACCTTCAACTACCCGTAGAAGCTGGTTTGGTGGAATTTACAAACATTAGCCAGAAGTTGAAGTTAGACAGGGATAACATTCATCAGCATTTGGATGAATATGCTGCAATTGCAGTTGCCTCAAAAGGAGGGAAGACAGGAATTGAAGAATTTTCAAGTTATTTAAAACTCCCAATTTCAGAGCCCTTGAGACAACCCCCTGCCCACTTCGGCAGGAATAATGATGGCAACATAGACTTCAGAGAGTATGTAATAGGTCTGAAAAGAGTCTGCAAATGTCCTTTAAGCTTTTTGATCTTGATGCGGATGGTTTAATAACAGAACAGGAGTTCGCTGCTATACTTTA
This sequence comes from Homo sapiens, assembly GCF_000001405.40. Lineage (NCBI taxonomy): Eukaryota > Metazoa > Chordata > Mammalia > Primates > Hominidae > Homo > Homo sapiens. The sequence goes on from NC_000001.11 coordinate 92,067,576, forward strand.
GGCAGCTTTTGGAGTGCCAGATCTTGATGTTTCCAGGCTCTTCAGGAAATAGCTGGACAGAAATCAGTGTACATTTCATATGAGAGATTTAAGAAATTTGCCCTGAAGCATCCAGCATATCCCAACTTATTTAATTCACACCTAGACCTCCAGGCAGCCTATATATATTCATTACCCCAAAAAGTACAGTTTTAATCACTGTATTCAAATGTTACAAGTTAGCCCTGAAAACAGTGAAAGTATCTTCTAGGTAGAAATGATGATTGAAGTAAGAATTACTCTTTGAGGAAAAACTCAATAGTTTTCACTCTAAGAGGCATAGACAATTATGATATTTAAAATATGCTTGAGGAATATTTCAGTTAGATTTAATAGTATCTATTTTTCTTCTTTCTTAAGATAGCATTTGTTTTAATGTGACCTAAATGTAGAAGAACAAGTGATCTAGTCATAAACCTTGTTCACCCAGCAGGGTTCTAGTTAGTGCCTTTATTGTATTTAATGCTAAAATAAGGCCAGAGGAACATTAAAGCCTATCACCTGTCCCTCACTGTTGCAGAAAAAAATATCACATTAAGAGCTACACTTGGGCAAGCATGGTGGCTCACGCCTATAATTCCAACACTTTGGGAGGCTGAGGTGGAAGAATCGCTTGAGACCAGGAGTTTGAGACCAGCCCAGGCAACATGGCAAAACCCCACCTCTAAACAAAATACAAAATTAGCCTAGTGTGGTGGCGTGCACCTGTAGTCCCAGCTACGCAGGAGGCTGAGATGGGAGGATCACTTGAGCCCGGGGGGCAGATGTTGCAGTGAACAGATATTGCACCACTGTATCAGCTTGAGCGACAGAGATCCTATCTCAAAAAAGAAGAAAAAAAAAAAAAAGAGCTACACTGACAGTAAATAAAAACATTAAATTACCATTTGCATTTCCTCCAAAAAAAGAAAAGAGCTATATAAATACCTCTTTAGTCATTTGAAAAGTAGCCTCAATTTTCTTATTTTTCTTATTTATTATTATTATTTTTGAAGCAGAGTTTCTTTCTTGTTGCCCAGGCTGGAGTGTAATGGTGCAGTCTTGGCTCACTGCATCCTCTGCCTCCCAGGTTCGAGGGATTCTCCTGCCTCAGCTTCCCAAGACTCCTGGGATTACAGGCATGAGCCACCACACCCGGCTAATTTTATATTTTTAGTAGAGACGGGATTTCTCCATGTTGGTCGGGTTGGTCTTGAACTCCCGACCTCAGGTGATCCACCCTCCTCGGCCTCCCAAAGTGCTGGGATTACAGGCGTGAGCCACCGTGCCTGGCCACATTTTCTTATTTTTCAAGATAAAATAAATATTAGGAAGATATAGTGTGGGGAATACATTGCAACAATTATATATGGTATGCCTGTTCCCTGCTTGCCTTTTTAAAGTATAGAAGTGATTATTTAGAATGAGAAATCACAACAGATTAAAATTTCTGAAAACCTGTAAAAATATCATAAACATAGGTCATAAATATAGGAATTTTGACAAATTTCATTCTGTATGACTTTAATCAAAACACAAAAAAATGTGTTTATAATTAACATGTTCTGCATTACTGAAAATATTATTTTTGTTCCAATAAGGCATCAATGAGAATTGAAGCCTCTACTTATTTACACATTTATTTCCAATACCTGTCACTATGTGACATCTTCACATAGTGATGTGACCCTTGGGCCCTACCCCTTCATGTCACCATGCAGGATGAATCAGCAAAGTATTCCTGGAAACCATTCCCATACCCAGACAGGGAGCAACAACCTATCTAGACATAGAAGTGAATGTGAACTGATAAACATACTCCACCAGCCCTAATCACTGAATCCCCTACTTAGTTTCACTGTGACTGAATCTTAAAGATGGTTGTAGCTACTCAGTAGCACCAGATATGAGGTAACATTTGACCAAAGTTTGCCAACTTTACAAAAACATAACCAAGTAAACACATTTTTAGGGATGCTACTAGAACCCTAGAAGGGGCTTATGGAAGTGGGGCACCTAAAGCTTTAACTTCGTCAGTTTCCTGATACTTTCAGAAGGTAGAAAGAAAGAAGAGAAGAATGGGAGAAAAGTAAGGAGATGAGGAAGGAAAGGAAAAGAAAAAAAAAATCAAATATTATTTTGAGATAATTTCCATGCAGTTCTGCCCTGAAAAAAAAAAAAGGATTTGGATAAGCGATCTTTCATAATCCCCATCCGGTGCAATATTCCCATGATAATAAATGCATATATATATATAGAATTCAAAACAATGATTTGTTTAAGTGTACTGAAAATTATTCATTTAAATAAGAGCTTTCACTTAAAAGTAGTTATCAAGCAATATCTTTATTCAAACAGTAGTAGTGCAACTTAAACATTTGTAGAACTCTTTTAAGGTTGTTTCTCATTAGATAGTGAGCTATTCAAAAAAGCAGGGTCATTATTATACTCTCTACATTTTAACCTCAAATGTTTAGCTGGGTATGGTGGTGCATGCCCATAGTCCCAGCTACTCAGGAGGCTGAGGTGGGAGGATCGCTTTAGCTAAGGAGCCACAGGTTGCAGCGAGCTGAGATCACGCCACCGCACTCTAGCCTGGGCAACAAAGCAAGACTCTCTCTCAAAAAAAAAAAAAAAGTTTAACATAGCTTTGTTTAAACCCTCTTTAACACTTAACACTTAAATTTTTTTTATTTTAAAATAAATACAGATACAGAAAACGATATCAGGGAAATCTATAGCTAATAATTATTTTATATTATAAATATCTATATTTCATATTCTAAATATAATCTGTTTTAAGATGAATACTCTTGGCCGGGCGCGGTGGCTCACGCCTGTAATCCCAGCACTTTGGGAGGCTGAGGCAGGCGGATCACAAGGTCAGGATTTCAAGACCAGCCTGGCCAATATGGTGAAACCCTGTCTCTACAAAAAATACAAAAATTAGCCAGGCGTGGTGGCAGGCGCCTGTAGTCCCAGCTACTTGGGAGGCTGAGGCAGGAGAATCACTTGAACCCGGGAGGCAGAGGTTGCAGTGAGCCGAGATTGCGCCACTGCACTCCAGCCTGGGTGACAGAGGGAGACTCCATCTCAAAAAAAACAAAAAAAAAAAAGATGAATACTCTTGCAACCAACACTCAGATTGAGAAATAAAACTTGTCCAGCCACCTTACAAGCTCTTGCATACCCCTATCATAATTACAAACTCCCTCTTCCTCTCAAAATTAAGCTCCTTTCCTGACTTGGATAGCTTCACTTCCTGTATTTCTTTACTTTTTAATCATCTAAATGTGCATATTTTGATACCGTGATGCTTAATTTTATGTGTCAACTTGGCTAGGCCGTGGTACCCAGATATTTGGTCACAGATTACTCCAGATGTTTCTGTGAAGAGATTGTTTACATGAGATTAACATTTAAATCAGTAGACTGTGAGTAAAGCTGACTGCCCTTCATAATGTAGGTAGGCCTCATCCAATCAGTTAAGGCCTTAATAGAAAAAGACTGACCTACCCTGGAGAGGGAGGAATTCTGCCAGCAAACTGCCTGTAGACTTAATGTGCAATTCTTCCCTGGGTCTACAGCCTGCAGGCCTACCTACAGATTTGATGGTTGCCAATCCTTTACAATTGTGTGAGCCAGTTCCTTAAATCCTGCCCCCTACCCCATACACACACACACACACACACACACACACACACACACTCCCACCCACCCACCCACAGAGTTCTCCAGAGAAACAGAACCAATTGGATATTGGTTCCAATTGGATCTATCTATCTATCTATCTATCTATCTATCTATCTATATCTATCATCTATCTATCTATCTATATCTATCTCCAGAGAAACAGAAAACTCTAATAATAGATGCTATTCCTAGACCCTATAGTTTATTCATGCGCGTTTTTGACATTGGATGTTTTTTCTCCCTACATTGTAGCCCATGAAAGATATTTTTTAGGCCTTTTAAAATCTACAGATTTCCCTTCCATCCCTTATTTTGCTTATACTTTTTCTATTGCAGAACTTAGGCTGTTTGATCTGTGGAATTTCCCATAGTCTGCATTTTGCCAAGTGCATATTTATGGTACAAATCAGCATATCCTTCTGCTGATTGTATTTTCTGCTGATTGGAATCCAGAGGCTTGATCAAATTCAGGTTTGATTCATTTGGCAAGATCATACATGTAGTGTGTTTTTCATCAGAAAGCATATATTGCCTGGTTTTCTTTTTGTGATTTTTGCAGCTATTGCTGTTCATCACTTAGATCATTGAGGGTTGTAATACGGTGCTATTCTGATTCTGTAATCGCTTTTCTTTTTCGAAATGGCTTTTCCAAATGGCTGCCTATTCTTAAATATGATGGCAGGAAGAAATCAAAATTACAACTTCCCTGTACATGAAGACCTTCAGTGGTCATCATCACTATCACCTTTGTAAACCCACCACATCCACTGGAGCTAGTAAAACTTAACTGCTAGGAGGAAACAAACACTAACAGCAAAATGACATTGCCTATTTGAATGGAAGACAGTGTGAGGGGAAAGGTAAAACTCTAAAGAGTAACCTTCAAAACTACTTTGTGATGATAAGTCATAAGCTAATAATGCACAACATAGCAGAATTTTACATGGATTATCTCATTTAGTCTTTCTAACCACCACATGAGGTACCCTTATCCCCATTATAGGGAAACTGAGGCTTGGAGAGCTTCATGGATCATCACAATAGACTAAAGCTCAATAGACTTAGACTATTAGACCAGTAGGCTAGGTCACACAACTAATAAACAACTTAAATTGGATTCAATATCATGATTCTAAAGTCTATGCTTTTAACCATTACATACATGCAGGGAAGAGTCCAGAAACAGTATAAGTGAGGTTTGTGCAGGATTCTCAGCTTTATCAGTTCTTTGTGTTGCTGTTAGCACTGAGAGGACATTGAGCAGATTAACAGTTGACCAATACTAAGGCAAAAAATTACTGCACCCTCACCCTTGGGCATAGAACATTCAGCAATTTATTTTTATTTTTTATTTTTTGAGACAGGATCTTGCTCTGTCACCGAGGCTGGTTTGCAGCAGTGTGATCTCAGCTCACTGCAACTTCCACCTCCTGGGCTCAAGTGATCCTCCTGCCTCACCCTTCAGAGTAGCCAGGATCACAGGTGCACACCACAACCCAGGGCTAATCTTTCTTATTTTTGATAAAGACGGGGTTTTGCCATGTTGCCCAGGCTGGTCTCAAACTCCTGGACTCAAGTGATCCACCCACCTCAGTCTCCCAAAGAGCTGGGATTACAGGCATGAGCCACTGCACCCAGCCAGTAAAAATTTTTTTAAAGCAATGTATATAAAGCCTCTATAATTAAAACTGTGATATTGGCACATGAATAGATGGCCTGAACAATGTGATAGACTAGAAAGTCCAGAAATAGAACTAAGGGACAAAACAATTTAGCATACGATAAAAGTGGCATCTAAAATGAGAAGGGGAAAAGCTGACTTTTAATAAACGGTATTGGGATAACTAGATAGCCACTTGGAAAAAAAGGAAATATACAATTGGATCTTTTCTTCATACCATGTAACAAGATAAATTCCAAATGAATTAAATAGCTAAGTATAAAAAGTGAAATCACACATTATTAGGGGAAAGCGTATGAATTCTTTTACAATCTGGAAGTCAGGATAATCTTTCCACCTATGACTCAAAGTCCAGAAAAAATGAACAAAAAGAAAGAATAAATTTGACTACATTAAAACAAAAACACCAGGGGAAAAAAAAAACCCACCAAAAGCCAAGCCAAGTCAGAAGACAAATGACAAATGGGAAAAATATATTTGCAAATTATATCACAGACAACACTAATATCTCCAACATCTAAAAATAGAGAAAAGACCAAAAGCAAAATGGACAAAGGATATGAATAATCATTCAAAGAAGAAATTAAAATGGCAGCTGAGTGAAATGTAGTGGAATTGCCGTCATAATAAAAAGAAATAACAAAGACCTGCATTCGTATGGCATAACCTCTAGGATATACTGTTTTTTTGTGTGTGTGTGTGTATGTGTATACATTTACTTTTATTGTAACAAAGCAACTTGTACACTTTTAATGTTTAAAACTGAGCATCATCTTCCCTTTCCAGCGAAACAAAAAGAAAATTTAAAAATAAACAGGAACAAAATTACAATAGAGAATGTCAATTCCAAATAAGATCCTACAGGTTCTGCTGATTCTCCCATTGAGTGGCAGGGCTCAAGTCATCATTAGGAGGGAATTTATTTTAAAAGTGTCATCTTAAACTGCAAGGATGTCTGTCAAATATCACAATTAAACATGCCAAAGGAGAAGCCATGTTGTCAAAATGCCCACTTAACCCACCCAAACATCTCAAATCCACACTTTGCTGACCTTCTATAACCCCATTTTTTTAAGTTTTTTTTCTTTTTTTAAACACGAGAAAGTAGACAGATATGTGTTGGTAAATGCTAACTGTCCATATTGTCCCTTTGACCTACATAGAGACACAGTGTACTCTCTGAACCCAATATACAGAGAAAGGAGGAAAAAAGCTAGAATTCTATGCACTACTATACAGGGGCCTAGCATCCTCCAGCTTCCAGCAGAGCGAAGGGAGCAGGTTTTTCTTTTTCCCCACAGAGCTCGGTGGTGTTGATTCCATACAGTTTTTGTTCAGACAGGAAGGGATAAAAATGAACTTCGAACAGAAAAGGGTAGAGACTCTTTTCCCATTGTATTCTGCTCAAGGTATTTCCCCCCAAATAAGTTGAGAACCATGGAGTAGAGAAAAGAGAGCTGAAGAACAGGGTGACTGAGCACAAGAGAAAAAAAAAAAGACTGCAACTTGCTCCCAGGGCTGGAGAAAATTTTAAAAAAGGAAGGTTGGAGTCCATCAGTGTTCTATTAGTCATCTTCTCCTTCATCCTCCTCTCCTTCCTCCCCTTCATCATCATCTTCATCTTCTTCACCTTCATCCTCATCCCCTTCATCAATATCTTCTAATTCTTCCTCCCCTTCATCACCATCATCATCATCATCATCATCATCTTCTCCTCCTTCTTCATCATCCATATCAGGAACCAAGTAATACTGTAATGGGTTTGGCCAAATATCATCTTTGATGACCTCTTCTAACTCATCAGCACCTGCATCAGAATGATCAGTAAACCAGGTAAAGAAGCTCTCTGGTTCCTCATGCTGCCTCTTCCTGCTGGCTTTATTCTGCGTTTGACTTGAACGTTTCGTCACATCCTTTCCAGATTTCCATTTGATTTTGGTGGACTTTGAAGATGGATCACCACTCTCATTCAGATGAAATTCTTTGGAGAAAACTTTATTTTCAAAGTAAGGATTTTCATCAAAATAAAAATCTATTCTGTAACCTGATTTAATATCTTCAAATTCTGTCACTTCAACTTTAGTCAAATAATGCAGTGCCTCTTCGTCCTCCTCCCCAAGCAGTGAAGACACTTGTGGATGGTTGACAAATGTTGTTACCCCAAAATTTGGGATTTTGGCGATCAATTCTGACCTCTTCTGAAAAAATGGTTGGCGGAGTTTGTTATATTTCTGTTCTACTTTCAAAATCTCCTCACTGTCTTGTTCATTAAGTCTGTCTATTTCATTTTGTACTTCATCAATGTGTTCAATTGCTTCTTGCTGTTCTTTTTCTCCCTTCTTCGGCAAGCCTGCAGAGGCCGATGTCTCCTCCAGTCCCAGAGCAGGAGGTGGTCTTGGTTTCTTCTTTTGAAGTGGGAGTGGAGACTGGCGTTTAGGGGCCATGCTGTTAGGGAAGTCCAAGAACCAGACCATGAGTCTCCTTGCTCGTCTGGAAGCAGGCAGAACACTGTAGGATGTACTGTTAAATGAGGAAAAATAAGATGCAGAATACTAAATATAGTATGCATGTTACCTTATGTTTAAGAAGGGGTCATCTGAGTACATGGAATATATGGAATACACACATACATATACACATGCATTCTTTTTTCCAAGGTAATAAAGGAATTTACCCACTTTATTTCTAGTAGTATGTAGTTTCACTTTTTATATTTAGCTGTCTTATCCATTAAATTTTTATATATAGTTCTTTTTTCTTTTTTTTTGAGATGCAGTTTCACTCTTGTCACCCAGGCTAGAGTGCAGTAGGTTGATAATCGGCTCACTGCGACCTCCACCTCCCAGGTTCAAGCAATTCTCCTGCCTCAGCCTCCCGAGTAGCTAGGATTACAGGCCTGCACCACCACGCCCAGCTAATTTTGTATTTTCAGAAGAGACAGAGTTTCACCATGTTGGCCAGGCAGGTCTCGAACTCCGGACCTCAGGTGATCTGCCCACCTTGGCCTTCCAAAGTGCTGGGATTACAGGTGTGAACCACCATGGTCAGCGAATTTTTATATATAGTTCTTAAAAACAAAAAACAAAAACAAACACAAAAAAACACCACTCAGCTGGGCATGGTGGCACATGCCTATAGTTCCAACTACTCAGGAGGTTGAGACAGGAAGATCACTTGAGCCCAGGAGTTCAAGGTCAGCCTGGAAAACATAACAAGCTCTCTTGCTCTCTCTGAAAAGCTTTTTGCTTTTTTAAAAAAATTTATTGAGATGGAGTCTCCCTCTGTCGCCCAGACTCAAGTGCAGTGGCGCCATCTCGGCTCACTGCAAACTCTGCCTGCCAGGTTCAAGCAATTCTCCTGCCTCAACCTCGAGTAGCTGGGATTTGAAATTTTTCATATTAAAACTTTCATTTTTTGTTTTGAAACAGGGTCTCACTCTGTCACTCAGGCTGAAGTGCAGTGGCACGATCACGGCTCACTGCAGCCTCTAACCCCTGGTTTAGGCGATCCTTCCACCTCAGCCTCCTGAGTAGCGAGGACTACAGGCATGTGCCACCACACCTGGCTTTAATTTTATTTATTTATTTATTTATTTATTTATTTATTTATTTATTTATTTAGTAAGTAAGTAAGTAGAGACGAGGCCTTGCTATGCTGCCTAGGCTGTTCTTGAACTCCTGGGCTCAAGCAATCCTCCCACCTCAGACTCCCAAAATGTTGGGATTACTGGTGTGAGCCACCAAGCTCAGCCTAAACATTTTTAAAGAGGGAGAAATAATGCATCAAAAATGGGTTTGCTTTCATGAGATTAGAGTTCTTGAAAGAAGTTTTTCCTTCCAAGGCAATTTTACCTAAATTTACTTTTCTCACATTAAGATCACAGTTAAAGATGACCCTAAACCAAATTAGGAGTTTAGCCACGTTTACCTTCACAGCTCCCACCGCTAGTTCCTTAAACTCTCTTTTCCTCCTGATCAAAAATTATTTCAGGAAGAACATCTGAAAACCTCACTCACATTAAGGGATAAATGACTATAGAGATGAATTAAAATAAAAATAATGCTTTAAGTTAAATTATCTAATGGTAGAATGTGAAGCATCAATGACAAGTTTTTTTGTTTTTTTTTTTTTAGAGACAGTCTTGTTCTATTGCCCAGGCTAAGTAGTGCAGTGCTGCGATGTGATCATAACTTACTGCAGCCTCGAACTCCTGGCTTCAAGCAATCCTCCCACCTCAACCTCCCAGTGTTGGAATTACAGGCATGAGCTACCATGCCCAGCCATGTTTTGTTTTTTAAGGGAGTATTTACTCATTCTTTAATCATTTCACATAGCCGCCTAAGCTACCTTAAGTTTTTTTATTTTTATATATATATTTCTTGAGACGGAGTCTTGCTCTGTCACCCAGGCTGAAATGCAGTAGCACGATCTCGGCTCATTGCAACCTCTGCAGTGAAATGATATAGTTAAGTGATTCTCTGCCCCAGCCTCCCAAGTAGCTGGGACCACAGGCATGCACCACCACACCTGGCTAATTTTGGTATTTTTAGTAGAACCGGGGTTTCGCCATGTTGGCCAGGCTGGTCTCGAACTCCTGACCTCAGGTGATCTGCCCGACTCGGCCTTCAAATGTGCTGGGATTACAGGCATGAGCCACCAAACCCGGCCTAACTTAAGTTGTTTTAAGATAAAACATGAACCAGGAATCATTCTGTCACCCATTTCCAACCAGAGAGTAGCCTAGTTGTTACTTTATCAGGTGATAAAGAGGCCTGGTAGAAATCTGGCAGGGCTTTGAAGGGAGTCTGGTGCTAGACTACCTGGGTGGTTTTTTGATTTTTTTTTTTTTAACATGTGGATATTTAAGGTATACAACATGATGTTTTGACATACATAGTAAAATGATATAGTCAAGCACATATCATCATCACACAGTTACTGTTTTCCCTCTCACCACACATAGTTACTTTTTTTGTGGTATGATCACCTAAAATCTACTCGCTTAGCAAATTTCTAGTATACAACAAATATTATTACCTATAGTTCTCATGCTGTACATTAGATCTCTATACTTACTCATCCTACATAAATGCAACTTTGTACCCTTTGACCTACATCTCCCCCAACCACCTTTCTGTTTATGTACTTTTTAAAAGATCCTACATATGAGAGTATGCAGTATTTGTCTTTTTTCTTTTTTTTTTTTTTTGAGACAGAGTCTGGCTCTGTCGCCCAGGCTGGAGTGCAGTGGCAATCTCCGCTCACTGCAAGCTCCGCCTCCCAGGTTCACACCATTCTCCTGCCTCAGCTTCCTGAGTAGCTGGGACTACAGGTGCCCACCACCATGCCTGGCTAATTTTTTTTGTATTTTTAGGAGAGACAGGGTTTCACCGTGTTAGTCAGGATGGTCTCGATCTCCTGACCTCATGATCCGCCCACCTCGGCCTCCTAAAGTGCTGCAATTACAGGCGTCAGGCAGTATTTGTCTTTCTGTGCCTGGCTAATTTTACTTAACGTCCTCCAGCTTCATCCATGTTGTCACAAATGGCAGGATCTTCTCTTTTAAGAATGAATAATATTCCATTGTATATATACAACATTATCCGTTAATCTATCCTAGGGACAGTTAGGTTGTTTCCATATCTTAGCTATTGTGAATAATGGGGCAACAAACATGAAAGTGCAGATATCTCTATGAGGTGCTAATTTCATTTCCTTTGGGTATATACCTGAAGAGGGTTTGCTGGGTCATGTCATAGTCCTATTTTTAATTTTTTGAGGAACCTCCATACTGTTTTCCATAATGGCTGCACCAATTTACATTCCTACGAAAAGTATATGTAAATTGACTAAATTTGCCAGTCAAAATATAAATACTGCCTGGGTTATAATACACCATTATTATGGTGTAACACACCATATATTATAGTGTGATATATGACATTGTGTGACCTTGGCCAAGTTTACCTATCCTTTGTATGCCTCAGCTTCCTCATCTGTAAATAGGTCTGAAGACAGTACCTAGCTAAATGGTTGTTGTAAGGATTAACTGAGTTAAAACACACAGAGCAAATAGAGTAGCGTTTATCACATAATAAGGATTCAAATATAAGCTACTATTATGTTATCTTTGACACCCCTCGTTTCTACAGGAATAATTAAGAATCAATTATCCATCCAAGCATTTGGGAATTAATTTTAAAAAATCAATTATCCAGTTATATTTTTCAGAATTAAGATGTCTGAATATTTGAGAGGGGGCATTATCTGAAGAAATGGTTACCTCTTGGCCAATCTTATGGTACAAATACAAAGTCCATATATTCCCCTCCCCGCCTCCTTTTTTTTTTTTTTTGTTTGGTAGAGACAGGGTCTCCTTATGTTGCCCAGGCTGGTCTCTAATTCCTGGGCTCAAGTGATCCTCCCGCCTTGGCTTCCCAAAGTGCTGGGATTACAGGTGTGAGCCACCGCAACCTGGCCAATGTATTTTCCAAGCAATTACTATTCTTCACCTTGTGTGTAGAGTTTGTGAATGAAACAGATTTTTTTTTTTTTTTTTTTTTTTGAGACAGGGTCTTGCTGTGCTGTTCAGGCTGGAGTGCAGTGGTGCAATCATGGCTCACTGCAGCCTCGACCTCCCGGGCTCAAGCCATCATTCCGCCTCGCTTCCCAAGTAGATGGGACTTGCCCGGCCCGAAGCGGAACTACTGAGTTTCCTTATTTTGGAGGCAGTAATCAAATAAAAAATACCAAAACCTTAAATGATAATCAGTTTGCTACTTTATTTGGGACAAAAGAGAATTCTATATTTCATCCATCCATCACTTCACTGCTCAAAGACTTTGCCCCTTACCTATTTCTCCCTTCTTGGTCATAAATGTTAGGGCTTTATATGCAAAGCCCTGTGCTTTCTCCGATCAAGTCCAAAAGCTTGTATGAGCCACTCCTTGGATAAGAAGGGGATGGGGCCTTCTAGATGCTGTAAGTATCTCTTATATTGAACTCAGAATTGTTCTGACTGGCAGTTTATGAAGTTCTTCCCCTACTCCTCCCATCGCCAATTTTTCTTGCCCCAAACATTTATACCTCAGGGTTAAGAAGCCAGGTAAGTGAGGGGGTGTGACTCGCCCAGTCTTTCGTTGGAAAAAAGTGTAGACCTGTCAGGAAGACACAGCATAGAAAGGCTGCATGTGCTGATTTGAACTCGAGCCTCAGTAAAACATTGAAATGAATGAACACCAACCGGAAGGGAAAGAAGAGGGGAGGGGATAAGGAGCCTGAGGATTGGTTTGCCCCGCGGGATGGTCCGCGCCTGAGCCATGGGAGGCGGGGTGCCCGCCGGCAGAAGTAAACAGAGCGAGTACGCCTGCGCACGCTCTTCCTGGGTCAAGAGCCGGCTCGGTTCTGGGATTCTGAGGCTCCCCACCGCGGTCCGGCTTCTCTGGGAGACTGTCTACAAACCGACGAGAGGCGTCAACCTTTTACCCTAGGGGGCGGATTTGGGTAGGAGCCGAGCGTTCGGTCGGAAACGCCCCCTTCTTCCTCCTGGGCGGGGCAAGTGAGGCCAAGTACTGGGCCTCCAGGGCGTCGTACCTCTGTGAGACATGGCTCGCTGTGGGGAAGGCAGTGCGGCCCCCATGGTACTTCTGGGGTCCGCTGGAGTTTGCAGTAAGGGGTTGCAAAGGAAGGGGCCGTGTGAGCGGCGCCGGCTGAAGGCGACGGTGTCGGAGCAGCTCAGCCAGGATTTGCTCAGGTAGGAGGAGGCGGGAACTCTGGCTGCTTCAGTTCCTAAATCGCCCACCTCCGCCCCGAAGCTGAGGCTTCTTTCGGCTCTGCCTCCCCCTCCCTCAGCACTTGGTTCTCCTCGCCTCAGGCGACTGCGGGTCGTTAGCCAGTCTCCCCACTATTCCGAAAAGTGGCTTCGCTCGCCCTGAATAAACAATCCCGAGCACCTCGACACCATGTACCAGATTCAAAAGGAAAACAAAAAAAGCTTAGTCGTGTGCAGCACTAGTTTGCTAGAAATATCTCAACACAGGCACGCTTAGTTGTTTCCAATCACTAAGGTCGGGTGGATCCAGGTCCTGAAACTTACACAATTTTTAAAATAAGCTTATACTATTTTAAGAAAAATAATAAAATTAGGAAAACGATTATTTGAAATGAGGAAAGAACAATACTATAGTCTTGGAGGTCTCTTCTGAGGTCTCTTTAAACAATTTACCAGAAATGCTTCCTGATTGCGACCTGGATTCCTCTCTCCACCTAGAGCTCTCTGTAGCTCCCAGCAACTCTCAGCTCCTGTGAGGACCAAAGCAAATGGAGGGTCTTCCTGACATTTAACCTTTGTAAGCCTCATGGATATCCTTCTCGGGTTATTGGGAATCCAGCTAAAGTAATTTCAGCTTACAAAGAAATTGAAGCTTAGAAATATGACCTAGCTAATTTACATTTCCAGCAAGACATTGATTCTTAAACTTGGGTGGGCATCACTGAAATTTTCCATTTCTAACAAGGCCCCAAGTGATGCTAATGCTGCTGGCTAGGGTGACTATGAGAACCACTGAGGTAAACATAATTACTAATAATTAAAAGTTGTGCAGCATTCTACTTTTTTTTTTTTGGAGACGGAGTCTCGCTCTGTCGCCCAGGCTGGAGCGCCGTGGCGCGATCTCGGCTCACTGCAACCTCCACCTCCCGGGTTCAAGCCATTCTCCTGCCTCAACCTCCCGAGTAGCTGGGATTACAGGCACGCGCCACCACGCCCGGCTAATTTTTGTATTTTTAGTAGAGACGGGATTTCATCATGTTGGCCAGGCTAGTCACGAACTCGTGACCACAAGTGATCCGCCCGCCTCGGCCTCCCAAAATGCTGGGATTACAGGCGTGAGCCACTGCGCCCAGCCAGGATTCTACATTTTGAAGTGCTTTCTGTCAAAAACTCACCCATACTTAAGGCTCCGATAGCTATAAACAGAATTTATCAAAGTAAAAAAAAAATCCCTTTAATTTGGGACTATCTACTGGGGAAGCTACTTTGTCTCTACCAGGGAGGGACTGATGAAAAAGATGGAAAAAATAATACTAAAGTTGTTAACGTTTCTAGGGTAACACATCTAATTTATATGAAGAAAATGAGGTTAAAGTATTGCTAGTGAACAATTTATCCTTATCTTAGTTACAACTGAGGGTAGGACTCAGAACTCTCAAATTCTTATTATAAACAAAGAAAAATAGATGTAGCAAGGTTTTTTTTTAAAACAAAACAAAACAAAATGCTCACCCAACCACCTTAAATGCTATACTAAATTAATTTTCTCCAAGCATAGCAATGTCATTTATTTATTCTACAAATACTAATGAAGTATCTAGCACTGACCACGTACCTAGCCCGGTACTAGGTCTTAAGTAATAAACGTTAATAAAACATTGCTTTGTTGTTTGTCCTTACACTCTAGTGAGAGAGGAAATGGCTAAATAAAAGTGATAGTTGTGGTGGGGTGAGTTGGGAAGACTTTATAGGGTGACATTTGAGTGAGCTCTTAGGGATTGGTTAAGAATTGATTAGGTAAAGATTGGGAAGGGAGAGGTAGAGGATATCTAAACAAGGGGAATAACTTTTATGGAAGCACAGAAATTTGAAAGAGCTTGATTGATTTTGAGAAAGCAAGTCGTATTAGACTCTGCCAAATAGTAAGGAACAGAGACACTCCTAGGTTACCTGACGTGACAAGATATGTAGAGAAGTGAGGAAAAGTGGGAGACAGTTTTAGCTGTCAAAAAGCCAGCTCCAATGTAGAACTGGAAAGTTGTTTGGGATATGGTAACAGTCATACAATAAGACCACATTGACAAATGGACTGTTATTCAGGGCAGTGGTAAAAAAAAAACACTAATACTTATTGCCATCCTACTATTTGCTATACACTGGGCTTACATGAAATGTTTTACTTACTTCTCTCATGAATCCTGTGAGGTAAGTCTTGTTATTCTCATTTAACACAAGAGGAAACTGAATGTTAAAAAAGAAATGATGGTGGCACCTATAGTCCCAGCTACTTGGGAGGCTGAGGCAGGAGAATTGTTTGAACCGGGGAGGTGGAGATTGCAGTGAGCTGAGATCAAGCCACTGCCCTCCAGTCTGGGCGTCAGAACAAGACTCTGTCTCAAAAAAAAAAAAAAAAAGTGGTGGAGTCAGAATAAGAACCTTGGCAATCTGGCTCCAGAGACTTTCAAATGACTTGCCCAGGGTCACATAACCAGAATATGAACCCAAGCAGTCTGCCTCCTCTACAGTAAACTGATCTTCCAGTTAACTTTGTACCTTCATCTCCTCTTCTCTCCTTACCCATTTCTTTTTCTACCATAGATTTGCTTAAGAATGCTCTTCAGTGCCATCAGTTGGTTCATGTTTATTATAGAACATCTTTGCTCAAGTTCTCCTGCTTGATTACTGCATTGGCCAGTGGCTAACCTTGGTTTAGCCCATTGTCCATTCAGATGTGATTAGGATGTAGGGGCATGTGGTACAAACCAGGGCCACATATAAGTAATAAATAAATTTGGTAGCTTTATTCGGAAGGAGATTGCATGGCAGGCAATCAAAGTGACAGTAGGTAAGGGTGAATGGGTAGACTAAGACTGGATCACAGGGGCTTTCTTTCTCCAGTGAAATGTTTGTGATGTATCTAGAAGGAGTGGAGAACCATCGGTGTTTTTAAAATAGGGAATTAACACATTTTGAATCTGGAATTTAAGGAAAGGAAAATTGGAAACAAGGAGACCAGCTGGGAGATTTTATAGTCCAGGGATACATAATGGCAGTGGAAATGGAACAATTGATAGGCTTGGTGACTGATGACATGCTGGGGAACAGGGAAAAGGAAGCATTGAAAATGGCCCCAAATCTTAGGACATTTGAAAGGGAAACATGTAGGCTACTACCATACCACCCTGAACAAGCCTGATCTTGCCTGAAAGGGAGGTGTATAATGAATGTCCAGCAAGCTATATCCAGGAAACAACTGGAAATATGTCTGGAGTAGAGGAGGGGAGTTTGACTAGCAGATTGGTAGTATCACTAGCACCTAGTTATCCAAATATGAGAAAGAGCCAAGTTATTCCTTCCCTGCCAATTTTACCAACTCGTGCCAATTTTATTACGTAAATATATTTTAATTTTATCCCATCTTTATCACCATTGATCCTCTCCTGGCTTCATTCATCTGTGCGGTAGTTTTCTCATCTTCATTCTCATTTTCATCTAACTCCTCTTCTACACAAATTTATATATTTTGAAAAATAAATTTGCCATTGTTTCAAACCATTTGCAGGGCAAACACACCTGATAGCAATAATGTAGGCATACACTTAAAATGACCCTGTATGGTGGATGTACCTGCGTGTGTTGCGAGCTAGGGAATCTGGGAGTCGCCATCCCAGAGATTCGTTCCTTGTCTGTGAGGAACATCTGAGCTCCTGGGCCCATACTGTGGAACACAGGCTGTAAAGGGGATTGAAGCCCTGGGTTAGGGTTGTATGAAGGTTGCCAGGTGGAGGACATTAAAGGAAGGGGGTTAAGTGAAAATGCTGTATAAACTTCCATGCTGTTTGCAAGGGTTTGCAGTTTTCCTGCTCAGTCCACCACCACTGGACTGTAGGTAAGGTGGATATCTTGTCCAGCCTGCCACCACTGGACTCTCTCCCCTGTATGTAAGCCCCTAATAAAAGCCCATATCTTGTTTGCTGGCTCTGGGTCTCTTCAGCCTCTGGAGCCTGGTGCCTTCCCTACTGAGGTTAATAGAGGTTCAGCACACACAATTTTATGACTCCTCTTTCACTGTAGGGTACAGTTAAGCTCTTTGCCTCTTATTCATCTTTATCTCTGCAGCTTCATCTGCCACTTCGCACCCTCTCAGTACTCTGTGCTGACCAACATATAGTTCCACACTCACACATATCTTTGTAAGGAACATGGAGCCAGGCACTTACTTACCTTGCCTTAGTTCCCTAACCAGCTCTTACTCAGTCTTTAAAATCCCATTGGGTTTTCATGCCCTCTGTGAGGTCTCCTCTTTTGTCTGTCCCTGAACAAAATTTACTTATGCTATTAAATATATCACACACTTTAATTTTCAGACCTGGCTTCCCTACTATACTATAAACTCCCTGAGGATAGGTATTATGTTTTAGTCATCTTTATGTTCCCAGTGCTTAGTACATAGTATGTGCTCAATAAATGTTTAGTGCTGAGTTTTATCGGCAGTGTAAATTGCTTTAGATAAGTTATGCTATGGTTTGAATGTTTGTCCTCTCAAAACTCATGTTGAATTTTACAGGCCTGGCTGGGCACGGTGGCTTATGCCTGTAATCCCAGCACTTTGGGAGGCCAAGGCGAGCAGATCACTTGAGGTCAGGAGTTTGAGACCAGCCTGGCCAACATAGTGAAACCCCATCTCTACTAAAAATACAAAAACTAGCCTGGCATGGTGGTGCGCACCTGTACTCCCAGTTACTCAGGAGGCTGAGGCAGGAGAATCGCTTGAACCTAGGAGGTAGAGGTGCACACCTGTACTCCCAGCTACTCAGGAGGCCGAGGCAGGAGAATCGCTTGAACCTAGGAGGTAGAGGTGCACACCTGTACTCCCAGCTACTCAGGAGGCTGAGGCAGGAGAATTGCTTGAACCCAGGAGGTAGAGGTTGCAGTGAGCCAAGATCACGCAACTGCACTCCAGCCTGGGTGACAGAGTGAGACTCCGTCTAAATAATAATAATTTACAGGCTAGGCAGGTGGCTTATTCCTGTAATCCCAGCACTTTGGAAGGCTGAGGGGGATGGATTGCTTGAGCTCAGTGTTGGGGTGATCAGACCCAACACCAGGCCTTTGGGGCTACAAAGTTCGGCAGAGTCAAAGGAATGAGACGACATAAAGTGGGACCAGGGGGCCAATGCTAGTATGGAGGCTGTGAAGGCCCTGAGCTCTGGAAGCCCACGCTGTTTATTGGTGATCAAAGAAGCAGGTAGTGAGGATGTAGGGGTTGAAAGAAAGTGGTGTATCAAGCGCATGATCTACAGCTGTGATGGTTTAGCATTTTCTTTGAAGCATATGGAACATGTTCTGCTATTTGAGATAGTGGGAAACATGTTCTTCTGGTTTAAGATACAATTGATCTATGAGCCTGGGAGTGCTAGAAGCAAGGAGCCAGAGACCACAAGGGGTTTTATGCCCTGAGCCCCGGATTCCATCCAAGCCACTAGGGGTTTAATGCCCTGGGCTTATATTGTGGTGCGGCAGGGCAGCCTTCCACCCTTTGGCACAGAGCTTGGTGTTCCAAAGGCCACAAGGGGTTTTAGACCCTGGACCGCAGACATGTTCCAAAATCTTTTACATTATGTCAGACGTGCAAGCCCTGCCTCAGCGTTTTTCCCAACACTCAGCTTTTCCCCAACACTCAGGAGTTTGAGACCAGCCAGGGGAACATGGCAAAATCCTGTCTCTACAAAAGATACAAAAATTATCTGGGTGTGGTGATGCATGCCTGTGGTCCCAGCTACTTGGGAGGCTGCGGTGGGAGGATCCCTTGAGCTTGGGAGGTGGTGGTTGCAGTGAGCTGAGATGGTACCATTGCACTCCAGCCTGGGCAACAGGGCAAGACTCTGTCTCAAAAAAAAAAAGGAAATTTGATTGCCATTGTAGCAGTATTAAGAGGTATGACCCTTAAGAAATGATTAAGCCAAGAGGGCTCCACCCTCATGGGTGCGAGTGGTAGTGTTATAAAAGGATGAGTTTGGCTCCTTCTTGCTCCCTTTTATCCTCTATCCTTCTACATGTGATGACTTAGCAAGAAGGCCCTTGCAGATGCCAGCACCTTGATGTTGGACTTCCCTGCCTCTGGAACTGTGAACCAATAAATGT
Organism: Homo sapiens; assembly: GCF_000001405.40. Classification (NCBI taxonomy): domain Eukaryota; kingdom Metazoa; phylum Chordata; class Mammalia; order Primates; family Hominidae; genus Homo; species Homo sapiens. Next base: position 92,086,883 of record NC_000001.11, read on the forward strand.
CTGTTCATTATAAATTACCTATCCTGTGGTATTCTGTTATAGCAGCACAAATGGACTAAGATAGGTGAATACAGTAGTGGGCAAAGATATGAGATGGAAAGAAGCTGGGCCTTGGCATCATTGAGACTTCTCCAGTCTGTCCTTCCTCTGGACTTTACTATTCGATGGGCCAATAAACTCCTTAATGTTTAAGCCAGTCTAAGTCAGATTTTCAGATTTGTAACATAACAAAATATACTTGAAACTGATAAAAATGGTTCTATCAAATAAAAAACACTGTATTTTCACATTAACAATTTTATACACACTTTTTTTTTTCCATTTAGCAAGTACTCATGAGCATCTGTTAGCAACAAGGTGGGTTCCCTCCTGATGGTTGTATGGCTACCAGCTGCAGTGCTTCCTTATTCACTTGAGGGGTGGGATGGGGGGAAGGAGGGTGGGAGGAAAGAACAAATTGAGTGTTTGTAGAGTTTCTATTTCAATTAAAGTTTGAGAGTCCAACACATTTTTGTGTAACTTTAAAAATTACTTATGAAAATAATTTATTGAAAATATTGACCAAACTAAGATGCATCTATTTGGCCATTATTTTCAAGGTTCTGAAAGCTTTTATGCTCTGAAGCATTTGTTTTGTCTAGGGTAAAATAGGATCATTTAATAAGAAGATACTGAACTCTTGCTGTATACTGAAGATACAGTTTTTGTCCGTGGGGAGTTCATTGTCTAGTGGGGAGAAAGACATGTAAAAATAATAATGATGCAATGACAGAAATGCTATAATAGAGGTATGTACTGAATGTGATGGGATTAGAGGAAGGAGCCATTAACTTGGTCCTGGGGGAGTATGAATGTCATTGGCTGCTTTCCAAGCTTTCACTGTAATGGGTATCTTTATCAGTTACTTGTACCTCCTGTAGTGTACTGGTATTATTGCCAGTTTTATATATCCTGTAATACAGAAGTCCTCTGAGAATGCATACCTTGCTGATGATATTGCTATAGTGATATGAAGTTTTATTTAATATTTAGAGAGTAAAATAGTTACTGCAAAGAGGCAAAAGATTATATTATGACATTTTCTATTATGTTGATTTCTATTCTTCTATCACTCACGTATACATGTAATCAGTGGGCTTTACAAGAACTATATCTGTACATTAGCAAAGGGATTTGAAAGGATCACGAATCCATCATTTTAATGATAGATTAGAGCATAATTCTATTTGTGGGAGTGGGAGACTGGAAAAGAGAGTAAATGTCACATTTTTGACAGCCACACCTGGATTTCAGACTTGTTAATTAACATTAGCCAGAACTAAGTACCAGTTTCTAACCTGAATTTTCTACTGATATGTGTGGTTTGTTGCTGTCATTAACTATTAACTTTTTTTTTGCTTCAATTTAAGTAAGATTTTAAAAAATTGATTATTTTAAATAATTAATGATCATGTCAACTTTGCATTTTAAAAATAAATCTAAAGAAGATAGTATATCTAAAGGAAAATCAACATAAGTAGCAGAAAATATTTTTTTATTATCAGAAGGAATTCATAAGTAAATATTTTGAAACAGTAGTCTTACTCTTTTAGTGAAATTGTCTTTGTTTTCACTATGAATTTTAGAAAATTAGGCTCTAAGCCAATGTTAAACAATGTTTTTTGGAATGAACTGAGAACAAACTCATTTTTGTATTAACTTTATGTTGCCTCTGTATTTTTTAGCTTATGTGTTATTTTAAACCTACTTTATAAAAATATGTATACGTTTTTTAGTATCACTAATTAAACTATGATTCCTTTTTATTCCTTATAGGCTTCTAAGGGAAGAATTCCATACAGATGTTACCTTCTCTGTGGGTTGTACTTTGTTCAAAGCACACAAAGCAGTCCTTTTAGCAAGAGTTCCTGACTTCTATTTTCATACTATTGGACAGACATCAAATAGTTTAACAAATCAGGAGCCTATTGCTGTGGAGAATGTTGAAGCTTTAGAATTTAGAACGTTTTTACAGTAAGTGCTTTCTTTATCCATGTAAGTCTAATATGTAATTGCTTATTTTTAACATGTATGTTTTTATTTAATATATTTTCATATGTATTTTGTAACCTGATAAGAAAAATCCATTCACTTAAATTCCAAATTATCTTAGTAATTAGTGTTGACAGAGGCTAAGTGTTAATATTAGTACTAGTAGTACTAATATTAGCTTAGTACTGGTAGTACAATATTAGCTTAGTACTGGTAGAGGCTAAGCATTAACCTAAGACTGATCCTGAGAAAAGGGAAATGGTGTGCTCTCCAGTAATTTAAATGAATTATTCTATTCCAGGGTTTCTCAGTAGTGGCACTACTGGCATTTCAGGTTGTATAATTATTTGTTGTGGGGACAATGCTGTGCATTTTAGGATGTTTAGTTGTGACCGAAATGTCTCCAGACATTGCCAGATGTCCTCTGGAGGTCCTAATTGCCCCCTCTTGAGAACCGTTGCTACGTACTCACTCTGTATTGTTGGCATGTGAAACTTTAAAGTATGTATATTTATAAAAATATAACGTCATAACTGTTTTTATTCTCATGGCTTATGTCTTAGTCCATTTGGGCTGCTATAACAAAATACCTTAGACTGGGTAATTGGTGAACAATAGAAATGTATTGATCACAGTTCGGGAGCCTGGGAAGTCCAAGATCAAGGTGCCAGCAGATTCAGTGCCTGGTGAGGGTTAGTTCCTTGAAGATAGCGTCTTCTCTGTGCCCTCACATGGCAAAAGAGATAAACAAACTTTCTTGGGTCTTTTTTATAAGAGCACTAATCTCATTCATGAGGATGGAGCCCTCATGACCTAATCATCTCTCAAATGTCCCACCTCTTCATACCACCACATTGGGGATTAAGTTTCATCATATGAATTTTGGGGTTGGGGGGACACAAACATTCAGACCATAGTAACTTGTATTTGGTCAAATTGTTTTTTGAGAACAGAACATCAATTTGACTTTTTAGTAATTTTGGGGACTCATGTTTGAACTCAGAATTGTCATCAGCTAAATAATGGGAGAAACTAGTTTAAATTAATCTTCATTCTGTACTTTATTTCTTTCTGTTGTTGCATATTATTTCATTGTATGGCTATTCCATATTTTGTTAATCCATTCGTTGCCATTTAAATTGTTTCTATTAATACTTTTTGGCTATGATGAATAATGCTGCTATAATACGTATATACAAATTTTTCTGTGAACCTGTGTTATTTTTCTTGAGTATATACCTAGGAGTGGGATTGCTGGATTATATATATGGTAACTATGTTTAACCTTTTGAGAAACTGCTGAACTGTTTTCCAAACTGGCTATAATATTTTACATTCCCACTAGCAATGTACAAGGGCTTCAGTTTCTCCACATCCTCGGCACATTTGTTGTTATCTTCTGTATTTTTTTATTATTACCCTCCTTGTGGATGTGAACTAGTATCTCATTATAGTTTTCATTTGTATTTCCCTGATGACTAACGATGTTGAGCATATTGTTGTGTGCTTATTTGCCATTTTTATATCTTTGGAGAACTATCTACATCCTTTGCCCATTTTGAAATTGGGCTGTCTTTATATTATTGACTTCTAAGTGTTCTTTATATATTCTGTAATATTAGACTCTTATCACAAATATGATTTATAAATATTTTCTCCCATTCTCTGGGTTGTCTTTTCACTTTCACGATGGTATCATTTATGACACAAAAGTTTTAAATTCTTATGTAGTCAGGCCAGGTGCGATGGCTCACACCTGTGATCCCAGCACTTTAGGAGGCCGAGGTGGGCAGATCACCTGAGATCAGGAGTTTGAGACCAGCCTGGCCAACGTGCTGCAACCCTGTCTCCATTAAAAACACGAAAAAATTAGCCGGGCATGGTGGCGCATGCCTGTAATCCCAGCTACCTGGGAAGCTGAGGCAGGAGAATCACCCGAACCCAGAAGGTGGAGGTTGCAGTGAGCTGAGATTGTGCCACTGCACTCCAGCTTGGATGACGGAGCAAGACTCCATCTCAAAAAAAAAAATTTTTTATTATGTAGTCTAGCTTATGTAATTTTTCTTTTGTCACTGTGCTTCTGGTGTGATGGCTAAGAAACCATTGGCCTAATCTAGGGTTTTGAAGATTTACTCATTAATATGGTTTGGATTTGTGTCTCCACCCAAATCTCTTGTCAAATTGTGATCCCCAGTGTTGGAGGAGGGGCCTAGTGGGAGGTGATTGGATCATGGGGGTGGATTTCCCCCTGGCTGTTCTCATGATAGTGAGTTCTCAGGAGATCTGGTTGTTTACAAGTGTGTAGCACCTCCTCCTTGTTCTCTAGAGCTCTTCCTCCTCCTCCGGCCATGTAAGACATGCTGCTTTCTTCTTCGCCTTCTGCCTTGATTGTTAAGTTTCATGAGGCCTCCCCAGCTATGCTTCCATGCCTTCCTGTACAGCCTGGGGAACTGGGAGTCAATTAAACCTCTTTTCATTATAAATTACGCTGTCTCAGGTAGTTCTTGATGGCAGTGTGAGAACGGACTAATACACTCGTGTGTGTGTGTGTATGTGTATGTGTGTGTGTATGTATATATTTTTTTGAGACAGGGTTTTGCTGTGTTTCGTAGGCTGGTCTCTCTTTTTTTTTTTATTTTTAGACGGAGTCTCGCTCTGTCGCCCAGGGTGGAGTGCAGTGGCGCAATCTCGGCTCACTGCAAGCTCCGCCTCCCGGTCGCCATTCTCCTGCCTCAGCCTCCTAGGCTGGTCTCTTAACTCCTGGGCTCAAGTGAGTCTCCCGAGTAGCAGAGATTACAGGCATGTGCCACTATGCCCAGGTTACTCCTATGTTTTTTTCTAAGAATTTAATGTTTTTATATTTTTAACTCTTACATTTATAGGTCTTTGATCCATTTTGAGTTAATTGCCATGTATTGCGTAAGGAAGGGATCTAGCTTCATTCTTTTGTATGCAGATATGCAGTTGTCACAGCACCAATTTTTCCTCCTCCTCTCCCTTCTTTTCCTCGGATTGTCTGGACACTCTTACTGAAAATCAGTTGCCCATTGCTGTGGACTGCAATTGTCTCCACCCAAAATTTATATGTTGAAGCCTTAACCCTCAGTGTGATAGTAGGTGGAGACTGGGCCTTCAGGAGTTAGGTTGAAATGAGTTCATGAGGGTGGGGTCTTCATAAGGATTAGTGCCTGTATAAGAAGACTTAGGGCGGGTACAGTGACTCATACCTGTAGTCCCAGCACTTTGGGGGGCTGAGGCAGGTGGATCGCTTGAGTCCAGGGGTTTGAGACCAGCCTGGGCAACATGGCAAAACCCAGTCTTTACCAAAAATACAAAAAATTAGCTGGATGTGGTGGTGTGCACCTAATAGTCCTGGCTACTCAGAAGGCTGAGGTAGGAGGATCACTTGAGCCCAGAGGCAGAGTAGTTAGCTGAGATCATGCCACAGCACCAGCGTGGGCCTCAGAGTGAGGCTATCTCCAAAAAAAAAAAAAAAGAAAAGAAGAGGCACCAGAGAGCTTGTGTGCATACTTACTCTATCCCTGCCATCCAAGGACACAGTGAGGCGATGGTGTCTGGAAGCCAGGAAGCCCTCACCAGAACCCAACATACTGGCACTTCATCTTGGTCTTCTAGCCTCCGAAAACTGAGAAATACATTTCTGTTGTTTAAGCTACTCAGTCTATGGTATTTCATTATGGCAGTGTAAGTTAATTCACCCATAAATGTGAGGGTTTATTTCTGGTTTCTCAGTTCTATACCACCGGTTTGTATGTCTGACCTTAATGCCGGTGCCACTTATCTGTTTTGACTTTCATGAGAAGTCAGTTGGATTTTCGGGTTTTTATGTCCTTATGTATCTTTTATATGTCTAAGAAACTTCTGGGATATCTGTCCTTATATCCCAGACATTTTTTGGATGCCAGTCTTTTAGTTATTTGCTAACATGGTTTTTGCCTATAATCAAAATGACATTTACATTAGTATAGAAAATTATCTTTGGATAATTATATTTTAAGTGTATTTATGTGATTGGCTTATTCATTTTATGCTTTAGCAGTTTCTTTAATGACTTTTTTCTTTATTATTTCTGTTTCATGTGTGAAGCTCCTGTGGAGAGCATAAATGGAAAATTGCCTAACCTTGGCTACCTGTGTTCATTAAAAGAACTTAATATACTATAATTTAAGCAGATACTTTAAGTACAACTTAGAAAATCACTATCATTTTTCAGTACAGGTTATATAGGCTCATCATTGAGTTTGAAATACCAATTTTTTTTTTTTTTTTTTTTTGAGACGGGAGTCTTGCTCTCATTGCCTAGGTTGGAGTGCAATGGCATGATTTCGGCTCACTGCAACCTTCACCTCCCAGGTTCAAGCAATTCTCCAGCCTCAGCCTCTTGAGTAGCTGGGATTACAGGCATGTGTCACCATGCCCGGCTAATTTTGTATTTTTAGTAGAGACAGGGTTTCTCCATGTTGGTCAGGTTGGTCTCGAACTCCCGACCTCAGGTGATCTGCCCACCTTGGCCTCCCAAAGTGCTAGGGTTACAGGTGTGAGCCACCGCACCCAGCCGAAATACCAATTTTAAAGTGTATGCTTTTTTCTCCTAGTAGGTGATAGAGAGTTGTTATAAGAACAAGCTTTGTGATGAAGCCAGTTCTACCACTTCTGTATGAACTTAGACTAATCACTTACCATTAGTTTCCTCCTCTGAAAAATGGGCACATTAATAATTCTTATAGTGGTGTTGTGAGGGTTAAATGTGATGGTTATAAAGCACTTAGCGCAGTGGCCTGGGCATGTGGTAAGCACTGAATAAGATTGTTTTATAGGTAGTGACTTCAGATATGGCTCAAATGATTGTCAGTGGAAAGTTGAGCTTGCTTTATTATCTCATGATTATTGTGTTATTCATAGTAGTAGGTGCTATGAAATTATACATTTCTTCAGCTGTTGAATGTATGTTTAAAAGAAGATCCTTGGCATAGATCAAATTTTTATACATTAGAGAAAGGGAGACATTACATCAATGATACCCTTTATTTGTTATCATTAAAAGTGATTGGAAAAGATTGAATTAGACCCAGTATGGGAGAGTGGAGGAAGCACTGGACTTGGCAGTAAGACAGATCTGCCTTCTTGCTGTGCATTATCTTGTTTTATTTTTTTTCAGCCTCAGTTTTCTCATTTCAAAGAAAGTAGTTGGAGTAGCTGGCTTTGTGCTTCATAGCACTTCACAGTGCTCTATTTCAAGCACTAATCATATTCTGTTTTGTATTAGGTTAGTCGTGTGTGTCTGTGATTATGTAAGCTCCTTGAGATTAGATTGTCTCACTGATGTGCACATCTCCATTGGTGCCTCATGTAGTGTCTTGCATATAGAAAGCACTTGTGACGTACCCTTTTTTGGTTTCAAAGCAGATTGTTTTGACATTTGTCTGTATGAAAAGAAGGCAAAAGGAAGGGAGTACAATGGAAAATGTTGACATGAAAATTTCTTCTAGTGAAAATTCCCATAAAATAATTTCTTGAATTTTTGCTTTGTGAAATTCAGTCCTTGTAAGTCTCTTCAGTTCACATCCTTTCTTTTTAAGTAATGGATAAAGATTTTGAAATAGTCTTTTATGTTACTACTTATTGTAGCCCTTTGGTGTGTACTTTGTGCACTTGAGTTAGAGTGTGAAATACAGCCTTTGAAAAGTTGTTTTATATGCAGTGACTTCAGATATGCCTCAAATGATTGTCAGTGGAAAGTTGTGCTTGCTTTATGACCTCATGATTAAAATTCAATTCAGGATCATAAAAATCCTTGATTTCCCAAGAAGACTAACCTGGTTATTGTTGTGAGAGTGTGTGTGCATGTGAGAGGTAAAGAAAAGAGGGAGGACCTTTGGATGTTTAGTTTAACATCAAGAGCTGGGAGATACCAGGATAAAGTCTCAGTCAGGTAAATACATAAAACAGCACAGAACAAAGGATATCATTTCCTCTGCAAGCTTTCTCTGGCGGTAGCCATTGTCTCTCCCACATCCCTTATACTACAAGGATTGAAAGTGGTTGGAATAAGTGTCTTCCTTGTTGTATTTTCTTTCTGGTATCTGGGGTCTTGCTGATGGGGTTGGGGGAAAAGACTGCCCCTCCCAGGTTCGCTAATTCCTAGAGATAGTAAATGACTTGCCTGTGAACCAGCCAATCCTAAGTACATGGACCCACCTATATATCCATTCATATATGCACATTCTCTATCTGGTTCTCATATTCCAGGAGATAACATTCTTTTCCCCTAATCTCCCTATAGCCAAGTACCAGACAAGTAGGGATCACTCCCATAGGCCAGAGCCAGTCAACATTATTCAAAAAATCCAGCCCTGATCCTGTTCAGTTGCTTACCTTGCCTTGCTTATTTCTTCCCTTGAAAACCCCAATAAAGGCTTTTGTCCATGCTTTCCCCTTGCTCCTTCTGACCAACCCTGTTGCTTCCCTGTGTGGCCCTGCATGGTGTGCCCCCTCCTCTTGTAAATTATAACTAACAAATTATCTTTTCAGTGGCAGTTGTCTCCTGATCTGTTGGCCTCACTATACCTGAATAACACCAAAATTTCTGTACATTTTAAACACTCATGAATGTCCTTGCTTCCTTCCTTCTTACTCCCCTATTGTTGAATCTCATTTTACTAGTCTATACCACAGGACAGTCATCAGCAGACTGCCAGTTCAGTCCTCCTTCCATAAAGATTTTAGCTACTATTGTCAATTTTCCTAAGTATATGTGTTAGTAATTGCAATTGCTATGTAGATGATGTTTCCAGTAACTTGGCCTCTCAGTGCCTTCAATTCCTGTCTTCCAGTAATCTTGTTGTCCACTCTACCTCAACTACTCACTGCCATGTCAAATCCTAAATAGTGCTGTTATCAATAACTACAGCCCCCCGTCATCTTGATTCTAAGAATCTTACTCTCTAACTTCTACCTCCTGTCTTTCTAGCTTACTCCCTTTAGGACTTCAACTCTAATAATTCATTAATTGCAGGTCCTGGTAGAGTTAATCTTACTACTTTTTTTTTTTTTCTGAGACAGAGGCTTGCTCTGTCACCCAGGCTGGATGGCAGTGGCGTGATCTTGGCTCACTGCAACCTCTGCCTCCAAGGCTTACGCAATTCTTGTGCCTCAGTCTCACAAGTAGCTGGGATTACAGGCTCCCACCACCATGCCAAACTAATTTTGTGTTTTTAGTAGAAACGGGTTCGCCATGTTGGCCAGGCTGGTCTCGAGCTCCTGACCTCAAGTGATCCAGCTGCCTCAGCTTCCCAAAGTGCTGGGATTACAGGCATGAACCATCAAGCCCAGGCTAGATTTTAATTTTCTTTTATCCTCTTATGTCCTCATTTCCCTCCTTACTCAGCTTAAATGCCTTTCACTATCATTGTATTACTCCCTTTGCATACACCTTCAACTCTGTTGTTCCCTTTGAATTTGATTTGTATGTCAAAACCCCAAATCTTACATTCAACTGTGACCTCTCCACTTCTGCATTCACACAGCTGAATGTGGCTGGGAAAACACACAGTCATGCTAACCACCAGTAGGCACTTAGTGCTGTTAGTCATACTACATGCAATCACCTATATTTCCTTTTTTTTTTTTTTTTAGAGATGATATTTCATTCTGTTGCCTAGGCTGGAGTGTGATGGTGCAATCATAGCTCACTGTAACCTTGAATGCCTGGACTCAAGTGATCCTCCTGAGTAGCTGGGACTACAGGTGCATGCCACCACACCTGGCTAATTTTTCTATTTTTTATAGAGATGGGGTCTTGCTGTGTTGCCCAGACTAGTCTAGAATTCCTGGGCTTAAGCAGTCCTCCCACCTCGGTCTCACAAAACGCTGAGATTACAGGTATGAGCCATAGCGTGTGGCCAATCACCTATATTTCCCTAGTCCTATTTGAGTTCCCACTTTCTTGGAGTATTATTTTATACTTCCTCTTTCCTGAACCTTCAGCCGTTCCTCTTCATTCTCACTTTTGATGACCTGCTTTCTATTTCACTGAGAAAGTCAAAGCAGTGAGAACTTTTACAAACTTCTTCCATATCTGTTCACATACTTGCATCTGTACCTATATGCTTTATTTTCCTCCCTGTTATTACTGATGAACTGTCAGTGCTTCTAAAATCAAATCCTCTATTTGTCCACCAGATCTCATCCTATTCCTTTTCACCTAGTCTGGGACATTGTTCCAGCAGTTTTCATCTTTCCACAGAAATTTCTTCTGTCTTAGATCTCCTCATCTAAACATGGTATTTTCTCCCCCGCCTAAAAAATGACTCTTTCCTGACCTGCCTTCACTTTCAGCTAATACTCCACCAGCTAATACCCTAATGCTCTGCTCCTTTTCACATCAAAGCTCCTCAAGAATTATCTATCACACTCTTGCCAATTCGTTTCCTCCCATCTACTCTTTTTTTAATGGATATAATTTTCACATACTATAAAATTGACCATTCTAAAGTGTATGAGTCAGTGGTTTTAATATATTCACAATGTTGTGCCACCAACATCACTAATTCCAGAATATCTTCATCATCCCAGAAAGAAGCCCCATAGCCATTAGCAGCCACCCCTATTTCCTCCTTCAGCCAGCCCCTGGTGAACAACCTACTTTCTGTCTTTAAGGATTTGCCTATTCTGGTCATTTCATATAAATGGAATCATTCAATATATGGCCTTTTACGTGTGGCTTTCCAAACTCGACATGGTATTTTCACAGTTCATCTATGTTGTGACACGTATCAATACTTTATTCCCTTTATGGCTGTATATTTTATTATATGATAAATCAGGGGTCATAGGATTATCCTCAGGTTTGATGATTTGCTGAGAGGACTCACAGTACTCAGCATATAGTCATACTAAAGGCTATGATTTACTACAGAGAAAGGAAACGGAAAAGCTGCGTGGGGCAAAGTTCATGAAAATCAAGGCATAAGTTTCTAAGGGTCTTCTCCTGGTGGGAGCACAGAGGACATGCCTAATTTCCCCAGCGATGAGTTGTGACAATGCTTCTGAAATGTTGCCAACAAGGGACACTCATCAGAAGCTCAATGCCCAGGTTTTTTTAATTGGGAATTGGTCACGTAGGCACTCCTGCCCACGTGTACTCGAATTCCAGACTCCCAGGAGGAAAGTCTGTGTTCAGCCTAAACTATTGCTTGTATAAACAGTTTAGACATAGTGAGCCACCTTTACATTTAGAGAATGCTAAGAACAGCGCCCAAATCCATGTTTCCAGATATCAGCCAAGGGCCAAGTTTATAAATAAATCTTTCAAGGTATAGCAGTCAGGCCTGCTATGTTACCTATTTTCCCCTACATATAGATATACTGTATTTTGTTTACCCAGTCATCAGATGATAGGCTTTTGGGTTATTTCGGCTTTTTGGCTATTATGAATAAATCTGCTATGAACATTTATATATAAATTTTTTGTGGGAACATACATTTTCAAGTCTCTTGTATTATATACCTAGGAGTGGAATTACTGGGTCATATAGTAACCTTTTCAGGAACTGACAGACTCTTTTCCAAAATGACTGTACCATTTTACATTACCACCAGCATGTACAAAATTTCCAATTTCTCCATATTCTCAACATGTTATCTGTTTTTTTTTAAAATTATACCTATCCTAGTGGCTGTGAACTGGTATTATTGTTTTCATTTGCATTCCCATGGTAGCTAATCATTTGCATTTCCATGATAGGTAATGATCTTGAGCAATTTTTGTATGCTTATCAGTTATTTTTACATATTCTTTGGAAAACTAATCACGTCCTTTGCCCATTTTAAAATTGGGTTCTCTTTAAACTATTATGCTTTTAGAGATTTCTGTATATACTGGAATACTAGACTCTTATCAGACATGATTTGCAGAAGTTTTCTCTCATTCTCTGGGTTCTCTTTTAGGGTATTCTGGAAATCAAACATCTTTAATTTGTGTGATTTCCACTTTATCTTTTCTTTTGTCGCTGTGCTTTTGGAATCATATCTAAGACACCAAGGTCATGAAGATTTATGCCTATGTTTACTTAAAACAGTTTTGTACTTTTAGCTTTTCCATTTAGGTCTTTGATCTATTCTGGTGAATTTTTGTATATGGTATGAGGTTAGCGTCTAACTTCATTCTTTTGCATTTGGATGTTCACTTGTCTCAGCACCATTTATGGGGGAGACTGTTCTTTCCCCATTGTGTTATTGTCTGGACACCCTTGTCAAAAATTAGTTGCCCATAAATGTATGTTCTAGACTCAGTTCTATTCCACTGATCTACATGTCCACCATTCTTATGTCAGTACTACACAGTCTTGATTACTGTAGCTTTGTAGGAAGCTTAGAAAATTGAGAAGTGTGAATCCACCAACTTTGTTATTTGCAAGATTGTTTTGGCTGTTCTGGGCCCCTTGTATTTCCATTTGAATTTGAGGATTGGCTTGTCAATTTCTGCAAAAAAAAAAAAAAAGTCAGCTGGAATTTTAATAGAGATTGCATTTAATCTGTAGATCAATTCAGAAAGTACTACTATCTTAACAATATTAAGTCATCTAATCCGTGAACACGAGATGTGTTTCCATTTATTTAGTTGCTTTCGACATTGTTTTGTAGCTTTCAATGAGTGTCTTATACTTCTTTTGTTAAATATATTCCTGGTATTTTATTTTTTAGAATACGATTGTAAATGGAATTATTTTCTAATTTCATTTTTGGTTGTTCAGTGCTAGTATATAAAAACATAATTTTTGCATGTTGATCTTGTAAGCTGCAACCTTGCTAAACTTGTTTAGTAGTGTTTTTGTAGATTTCCAAGGATTTTATCTATACAAATTTGTCATCTATAAATAAAGATAGCTTTACTTATTTCTTTACCGTGTAGATGCCTTTTATTTCTTTTTCTTGCCTAATTGCCCTGGCTAAAACCTTCTATAAAATGTTGAATAGAAGTGGTAAGAGCAGACATCCTGGCTGATCTTAGGAAGAAAGCTTTCAGTTACCATTAAAGTATGATGTCAGCTGTGGGTTTTTCATGGATGTCCTTTATCAAGTTGAGGACATTCTCTTTTATTCCTAGTTTGTTGAATGTTTTATCATGACAGCGTGTTGGGCTTTGTCAAATGATTTTTCTGCATTGATTGAAGTGATCATGTGGTTTTGTGTACTTTATTTTACTGATATGGTGTATAACATTAATTTTCTGAATTCCTGAGATACATCTGTTTGTCATGGTTTATAATCCCTTTTATATGCTGCTGGATTCAGTTTAAAATTATTTTGTTGAGGGTTTTTTTATTTACACTAATAAGGAATGTTGGCCTATGTTTTTCTTTCCTTTGTCTGCTTTTGTATTAGTAATACTGGCCTCACAGAATGAGTTGGGAAGTGTTCCTTCCTCTCCTGTGTTTTTGGAAAAATTTGTGAAGGATTGGTGTTAATTATTAAACATTTGGTAGAATCTACCAGTCAAGCTATCTGGTTCTGTTTTTTTCTTTGAGGGAAGATTTTGATTACTAATTCAATCCCTTTACTTGTTATAGGTGTACTCAGATACTCTGTTTCTTCTTGAGTCAGGTTTGGTAGTTTGTGTCTTTCTTGGAATTGTCCATTTCATCTAGATTATCTACTTTTTTGGCATTATTATTATTATTATTATTATTTTTGAGATGGAGTCTCACACTGTCACCCAGGCTGGAGTACAGTGGCATGATCTCGGCTCACTGCAAGCTCTGCCTCCTGGGTTCAAGCGATTCTCCTGACTCAGCCTCCCAAGTAGCTGGGATTACAGGCACCCTGTACCACGCCCAGTTAATTTTTTGTATTTTTAGTAGAGACGGGGTTTCACCATGTTGGGCAGGCTGGTCTCGAACTCCTGACCTCGTGATTCGTTTGCCTCGGCCTCCCAAAGTGCTGGGATTATGGGCGTGAGCCACCGCGCCTGGCTGGCATTATTATTTTTTGTTTTTATTTATTTCCATAGGTTTGTGGGGGAACAGGTGGTGTTTGGTTACATTAATAAGTTCTTTAGTGGTGATTTCTGAGATTTTGGTAGACCCATCACCGGAGCAGTATACAGTGTATCCAATTTGTAGTCTTTTATCCCTCATCCTCCTTCCACCGTTTCCCCCACCAATCCCCATTGTCCATTGTATCATTCTTATGTCTTTGCATCCTCATAGCTTAGCTCCCATTTATGAATGAGAACATATGATGTTTTCTAATCCTGAGTTACTTCCACATCACAGGGTAGTTCTCTCTGAGGAATATTCTGAGTTGTCATTTTCAGTCTCATATCCCAAGCTCTGAAGGGCACAAGGATCAACTCAGGCCAGGTGTATGGATACTTGACATTGATGGTTGCTGGACCTTAGCCATTTATGCCCATCCACATGGCTCCAGCCATCTCGGTAAAAGTAATGCCTTCCAAGCAAATCCCCAGAATAATTTTACTGAAGCATGACAAAATTCACATGGAAGAAGACAGCTCCTGAAATATTCATGACAGCTCCCGCAGGCACACTACTCACTGCCCCACCAGGACCCGGGGAACCTCCACCTGCCACACAGTCCCCCAAGGGGAAACAGAGGCATCGAAGGTTCCAGGGGTGAGGTGACACTCACTGTGGGTAGCCAGCAGCAGCCACGAATTCCATTTTTTGGCATTATATATTACTTTTTAACATTTAACATTTTTATAGACTCCTTTTCAAACTTGCTGCTGTTTATTTTTTATTTTTATTTACTTATTTTTGAGACAGGGTTTCACTCTGTTGCCCTGACTGGAGTGCAGTGGCATGATCACAGCTCACTGCAACTTGACCTGCAGAGCTTAAATGATCCTCCCACCTCAGCCACCCAAGTAGCTGGGACTACAGGTGCATGCCACCACACTCTGCTAAGTTTTTAAATTTTTTGTAAAGACGAGGTCTCACTATGTTGCCCAGGTTGCTCTTGAACTCCTGAGCTCAAGCAATCCTCCTGCCTTGACCTCCCAAAATGTTAGGATTACAGGCGTGAGCCATCACACCCGGCTTCTGCTGTTTTATTTTATTTATTATTATTATTATTCTTTTTTGAGATGGAGTCTTGCTCTGTCGCTCAGGCTGGATTACAGTGGCACAATCTCAGCTCACTGCAACCTCCGCCTCCTGGGTTCAAGTGATTCTCATGTCTTAGCCTCCCAAGCAGCTTACAGACACCCGCCACCATGCTCAGCTAATTTTTGTATTTTTTTATTAGAGACAGGGTTTCGCCATGTTGGCCAGGCTGATCTTGAACTCCTGACCTCAAATGGTCTCCCCACCTCGGCCTCCCAAAGTGCTGGGATTACAGGTGTGAACCACCATGCCCAGCTGGCTTCTGCTATTTTAGATTGACCTTTCTACAGTTAGTCCAAATTAAGAAGGTTTAATATTATATATGAAAGTAGCACACTAAGGAAACTAGCATTCTTTCTTTTTAAGAATCACCAATGTTATTTTATTAATATTTTATATTTTGTCTTTTAGGATTATATATTCATCAAACAGAAACATAAAAAACTATGAAGAGGAAATTCTTAGGAAAAAGATAATGGAGATTGGGATATCACAAAAGCAACTTGACATCAGTTTTCCAAAGTGTGAAAACTCATCTGATTGTTCTCTTCAGAAGCATGAAATTCCAGAGGATATCAGTGACAGAGATGATGATTTCATTTCCAATGGTGAGGTATTTTTTATGGAGTTGTATTTATAGCCGTAAAAATAATTATATTCTGATACAGTTAGAGAAAAGCATACTTCAAAAATATGCTTTACTGATTTTTTTTTTAATAAGCATGGAGAACTGAAAACACTAGTATTGTTAACTCCCAGTTTTTCCCAAGTAATTGGAGATAGGGTTATTATGAATAAATCCATACATAACTCACAATTCTCTTTTTAGCCATTATGCCTCTACGTTATTGTCCTTATTATAATCTATACCAATAAAGAAGCTTTGGCAGAGTCAATTCTGTTTCACACCCTAACAAAAATGGTAGCCTAGTTTTATGCATATTAAATGGTTAAGAAATACATAAATACTATAATACATATGGCATTTTACCATGAAAGAGACCTGAAGTTTGCTTGTGAAAGTAGATTTCAGAAGGATTGTGGCTTGTGAGTTATTGCAAATTGATGGAATGAGAAAGTGGATTTCAGAAGGGTTGCAGCTTGTGAGTTATTGCAAATTGATGGAACTCATTTTTTCAAAACAAGTGTTAGAGCGGAATTGATTATATTTGAAAATATTTGTTGGGTTAAAGGATCTTATTACTGGTGTGTAAACCAACAACAATTACTTACGTGATTTATCCTGGTTAGATTCCTGTTATATTACAGTCAACATATCTAATTATGGTGAATGAATAGACATTCTAGGCCTTGAGGTAGATCATTCATATGCATTAAGGATGGAATGCATTAAAGATGGATGCATGTGTAGAGAGAGGTTCTGACAGGAAACCTGAGGTCCCTGGATCAGAGAACAGAACATTTATCATTTGCAGAGCATCTTAGTGCCAGTTCTCAGCTCCTAAACTCCGTGAGGCACTGCAGTGAGGGCCTGATGTTACCTAGCCCATGCAGTGGGATTGCACCACAGAAAAGGAACACCAAAATTAGGAAACTTTAAGCTTCCACAGGTTGTTGGCAGATCTTCCCATTCTCCTCTCTAGAGACAGAAAGACCTTTCTTTGGAAGGTAAATCTTTGGGAGGGGAGGAGAAGGTAGTTTCCTTACCCTGTAATATAAGGAAATGACTTCCAGGGGAGGAATGTTTCTCAATTTTTCTGGAGTAATACATATCTCTAGTTTCCAAGGCATGTTTGCTTTTTAATCATCCTTTAACCAAGTTTACTGGTGCTCTGCTCAGACAGGTCAGACCATGCTAAAACATAAAAATATTCATAGAAAAGTGTCTCCCAATAGTTGGTTATCTGAAGTCAGATGGGAATTTATAAAACCAGATATAGATGGGTGTGTCTCATAACACATGCAGTAAACTGAGGTATCTGGTAGATATTTAGGTGTGCATGTGTGCAGGTGCATGGCTCAGTTCAGCTGAGTGCAGCTTTCTGCAATAACCTGGTGTTTCTCATCTGAATTTTGCACCTAAGCAAATGCGAAATTCATGTTATGCTCAAATTGTTCCCTAATACATGAATTGTATTGGATCAAACTCATTTTCTCAAAACAAGTGTTAGAGCAGAATTGATTGTATTTGAAAATATTTTTTGGGTTAAAGGATCTTATTACTGGTGTGTAAAGCAACAACAGTTACTCATCTGATTTATCCTGGTTAGATTCCTGTTATATTACAGTCAACATATCTAATTATGAGTGAATGAATACACATTCTAGGCCTTGAGGTAGATCATTCATATGCTTTATTTAATTTAGTCTCATAAAACCCTAGGAAGTGTTACAGACTGATGTTATCAATAAGACCCAGATAGGACTCTAAGACTCAGAGAGCATAAGAGACTTTCCCGAGGTCACACAGAGCAATTGACAGAGCTGATATTTGAAATCCAGTTTTCTTACTCTAGTCTAGAGCTCTGCTGTGGCTCTATGGCAACCCTTTAAAATGGCCATATAAGTTGTGAGTTTAAGTGAAAAGAGCTTCTGCCTTTCGACTGTTTTCTCCATCACTCCATGGAAAATCCCCACATTCACCAGTAACCTGCCAGTTGCCAGCTTAACAGACATTTTTTTGCCTACATCTTATAAACCTTTTTGCAGCCTTTCATACTGTTAATACTGCCCTCCTTGAAACTTCTGTTTTCTGTGACACCATGCTTTCCTGATTTTCCTTCTTGGCCATTTCTCAGTCTTTTTTACTGATGTATCATTTTTCTACCCCTTAAATAAATGGTATTCTGTAATTTTTTTGAGCTTCATATCCAACCACTGACTAAACATACCTGTTAAAGTCTACCTTATTATTATTTTTTTTTTTTGAGAAGGAGTCTCACTCCGTAACCCAGGCTGGAGTGCCGTGGCACAAATCTTGTCTCATTGCAACCTCCGCCTCCCGGGTTCACGCCATTCTCCTGCCTCAGCCTCCCAAGTAGCTGGAACTACAGGCACCTGCCACCACGCCTGGCTAATTTTTTATATTTTTAGTAGAGATGGTGTTTCACCGTGTTAGCCAGGATGGTCTTGATCTCCTGACCTTGTGATCCGCCCGCCTCAGCCTGCCAGAGTGATGGGATTACAGGCGTGAGCCACTGTGCCCGGCCCCTTATTTTTTTATTTTTTAAATTTTTATTGTTTTTAATGAGATGGGGTCTCACTCTGTCACCCAGGCAGGAGTACAGTGTCATGATCGCAGCTCACTGCAACCTCTACCTCCCAGGCCCAAGTGATCCTCCCACCTCAGCCTCTCGAGTAGCTGGGCCCAGAGGGCTGACCACCACACCTGGCTAATATTTTGTATTCTTAGTAGAGATGAGGTTTCCCTGCGTTGCCCAGGCTGGTCTTGAACTCCTGAGCTCAGGCAGTCCACCCGCCTCAGCCTCCCAAAGTGCTGGGATTATAGGCATGAGCCACTGTGCCCAGCCAAAATATATCTTAAATATCTCAAATGTAACCTGTCCCAAATTCAACTTGTGGGACTCTGTCACCAGTGACTGATCTTCACCAGAGCTACTGGCCAAAGTTTGTTGACAGGCAAGGTTACGATAAACAGTTGTTAAAAGAAAAACGTTAGATAAAATGAACCTGAGTTTATATGAACAAAGAACAATTCATGAATCATGCAGCACTCAGAACCAGAAGAGGTTCAGAGAACTCTGCTCTACAACTGGCCAGTGAGTATGTATAGACAGAACATGGAAGTAAAGTACAGAAATGGCTTGATTGGTTATAACTAAGTGTTTGCCTTATTTGGACATGGCCAGATAATTTGGCTGCCTGTGATTGGCCAAAGCTCGGCTGCTTATAATTGGCTGAGATCTAGCTATCTATTACCAAAAATAAACACTCCTAAGTTAGGTTAGGTTTTGGTTTGTTTACATACTAAGGTTGCAGTTCCTTAAGTAGGAACTCAAAGTATGGAGGCAGCTTACTTCAAATTTAAGTTAACAGTTTCTGCCTTTGGATTAGTCTCTTGATTGTGAGATTGACCAAAACCTTGGGCATTGATGCCAGTCTCTTGATACCATCATAATGGACTTGTTTGGTCTCACAGTAGAATTTACTGGTCTCCATGTCAGGTCAGTTAAATGATTCTTTACATTCTTGCTGTTTTAGTCAAAGTTAAGACCATTTAATGCACGATGGATGGCAGCATACAAATATTTAAGTCTCCTGAGAGGATGTGGTATACCAGGGATGCTACTATCATGACTATCAGGAGGCTAATACCAAAAGGCAAAAGTGTACTCCTGCCAGGCGTGGTGGCTCACGCCTGTAATCCCAGCACTTTAGGAGGCTGAGGCGGGCAGATCACGAGGTCAGGAGATCGAGACCATCCTGGCTAACATGGTGAAACCCCGTCTCTACTAAAAATACAAAAAAATTAGCCAGGCTTGGTGGCATACACCTGTAGTCCCAGCTACTTGGGAGGCTGGGGCAGGAGAATGGCATGAACCCAGGAGGTGGAGCTTGTGGTGAGCCAAGATTGCACCACTGCACTCCAGCCTGGGCGACAGAGTAAGACTCTGTCTCAAAAAAAAAAAAAAAAAAAAAAAAAAAAAGTGTAGTCCTTTATAGGGGCCCCTACAAACCAAACTGATCAAAATTAATCAAATCAAAATTTAGGCAAGATAGATAGTTCAACAGTATTTGAGTCAAATTGGTCATAGTCTGTTCAGGGAATGATGGTGATTAAGGACCATAGTTTACTGTAGAATGATCTGATTTCAAAAGGTATCCAAGTTTGTGACCAGCCTGGGCAACATAAGGAGACCCCCGTCTATATAAAACATAAAAGTAGCTGAGCATGGTGGCGTACACCTGTAGCCCCAGGTACTTGTGAGGCTAGGGTGGGAGGATTGGATTGCTTGAGCCCAGGATTTTGAAGCTGTAGTAAGCTATGTTCATGCCACTGCACTCCAGCCTGAGTGACAGAGCAAGACTCTGTCTCTAAAAAATAAAATACAGTTTTTTTTAGATAATCCAATATTGTTGTTAGCCTGATAACACAGGTCATAGTAACCTAGAGACCCACAAGAAGAAACATAGAGATTAGAAATTTTTCTAATTTCTAATTAAGAATTAATTAATTCTAATTAAAAATTAGAAAAAGATGCTCATAAAGAGGCTTCATTTTTGGTGTATAATTTTGTGATAATACTACCTATATTTAAATATGTATATTTAAAAGTGTACAGTCATGTGCTGCATAATGACATTTTGGTCAACAATGGACCACATATATGACAAAGGTTTCATAAGATTATGATACCGGATTTTTACTGTACCTTTTCTATGCTTACATACACAACTGCTTACCATTGTGTTACAGTTGCCAACACTATTCATTGCAGTAACATGCGGTACTGGTTTATAGCCTAGGAACAATAGGCTATACCATATAGCCTATGTGTGTAATAGGCTATATCATCTAGGTTTGTGTGAGTACACTCTGTGATGTTCACACAGGAATGAAATCAGGTAACAACATATTTCTCAGAACTGTCATTAAGGGATGCATGACTGTTATTAAGCAATGCATGACTATATCTATATTTACATGTAAGTGGAAATATATATATTTCAAAGGAGAAAGTCTAGATGATTTAAACTTTTTGTTTTATTTTTAATTTACCACTTACATATTCCAACTAATTGAGATAATTATGTGGGAAACCTCTTGATAATAATAGAAAACAATTTTTGGACGTTTGTAATATTAAACTATTTTTTAGTCTTGTTTTTCTTTTTTAAAGATAATTATGACTTGGAGCCTGCATCTGAATTAGGAGAAGATTTATTGAAGCTTTATGTGAAACCTTGTTGCCCAGATATTGATATTTTTGTTGATGGAAAACGTTTTAAAGCTCACAGGTAAATAGACACGACTGATTTGCTGTCTTGGTTGTGGCTGTAGAGTGTGGAAGGGCAGCTGTCTCTTACCAGCACGGTGGTTTTCAAACTCTGGTTTTCACACAGGCCACAGGGGTTCCATGAAGGCCAAAGGGGTTCCACTGTGATTCCTCAGGGGGAGTCCAACAGGGGAAGAGGTTGACCATCAGGCAAGGTTTTCTGCAGGTTTTCACACGTGCATACGTTGGCCTACCCAGACATGTGCATGTATATGTTTCTGCCAGAGCAGATCTCATCTATGTTCTGCATTGGGCATGAACCTAAGATTTTATTAGAAGAAAATGTTCTGTTGCCTAAAATAGATTTGAAAGCCACTGTCATAGAAAATGTAGTTAAATGCAGTTTTTAATTTTATAGGCATTATAGTATTGAGAAGTATTATTTCTACATGAATGACATGTATTTTCTCTGAATGCATTTTGGCTCAGATTCCGTGATTCAAAATAGTTGATACTCATGAATAGCATTGATTAGGAGGTTTAATATTTCAATGTACTTTTTAAAAACCATTGTTCTGCTTCAGAATTGGGTTGCTTAGACATTCCAGGCGTTTAGATTTCAAATTAAAGCCGGTTGCCTGTTTTAGTCAGGCTCTTTGATTGCAAGTAACTAAAATCTGCTTAAAAGCAGAAAAAAATTTAATAAGAAATACATATTATCTTTTGGAACTCAAGGGAAAGAAGTGCAGCTGGGTCTCACTATGGACTAGAATCTGAACCAGAAAACTTAGGAACCCAGCCAGTTCTTCCTCCTCTTTGTGTTTCAAATAGAAGGTTGATAAGAAGTTATTCTGGCGCTACTGAACAGAAAGAGCCAGAGTATTTGCAGTGGCAAGTGGTAATCTTCTAGGTTCAGGGGTGCACAGCCCTTAATGAAATTAGCAGTGGGTTTAGGTTACTGTAATCCACCAAGCCAAATAGTAGTAATATTTGTACTCTTAGAAATCACGCTGGTTTTGCCAGTTGACAGCAATACAACCCAAGGATTGCTAGTCTGAACTAGCTATTTACTATTCAAAATTTGAACTTTTCTCTATGGGACTGTGTACTTTGTAAATATACATATACGTATTTTCCTAATTTTTGTGAAATCTGCATTAAAGGTTGCAAAATTCAGAATATAATGTAGATTGAACATTATATTTTCCGTATCATGGGTATATTTCCTAAATCATGGTGTGGGTGTAGGTGTGTGTCTCTCTGTCTTGTTTTCTTTTTTTTTTTTTTTAACCAACACAATTGTATTTTAAAAATTAATTTTATTTTGTGTCCACGTTTTTCATGAGACCATGTGGGCATCCTACCAAAGTTATAGAGCCCTATAGCTATTGCTGTCATACAGGGAAGGCAGGACCCTGTGACCATTTCCAATATGTCCTCAAACAGTGCCTATATTTGGCCTCTCCCTGTGTGCTGCCTGACAATGAACTAACAGGACTGTGTTTTAGGAGCTGGACCTAGAATATTAGGTTTGTATTCTAGGACAGCTCTTGCTCACATTTCTGGTTTATTTTGTTCACCTAGCAGTAAAAAAGAAATTCATATTAACTAGAAAGACAATAAGTTTTCCTACTTTTTTCTTGCCCTTATGTAAGTTAGAATAGCCAATTTTAAATTATAAGGTTACCTTCCTAGTCCAGACTCAAACATCTTTCTGTTTATAGTACATATTAATTTTATTATGTAGTTTAAGGAATATTGTGTCAGTAGTTCAGATAATACATATTCATCTAAAGCCCAACATTGGAACTTTCTCAATTACTTCTTGTTCTAGATGATCATTGTCAGCATTCTTCTAGTGGTGTGGCTAAAAATCCTTTTGTAATATGGCTACTTTAATTTTTTAATTATACATACTTATATATTAAAAGATCAATACAAGTACTTACAAAGGACCAGGATTTATGACTGGAATTTTATTCAGTTTAGGTATCAACATTTTTAAAACCTTAGTTTGCTAGTTTAATGTGCCCAAATTGGTATGGTCTTCTATTAAGCTAATATTTCATGGTCAAGTTACTTCCTCAGTAACACCCCTCATAACACAGGTCTTCCAAGGTAGTCTCTCCAGTTGCTCTGTCCATTCTTTACCATGATCCTCAGCCCAATCCCCGGAACACTTTCTATGCTGAAAGACAGTCTGATGCCATTCACTTGCTTGTGGTGGC
The DNA here is from genome assembly GCF_000001405.40 of Homo sapiens. NCBI lineage: Eukaryota > Metazoa > Chordata > Mammalia > Primates > Hominidae > Homo > Homo sapiens. The sequence continues at coordinate 92,110,208 of NC_000001.11, forward strand.
ACAACTAAGCCAAAGAAATCATTTCTAACAGAGTGGTTAAGAGTGTGTGGACTGTGGGGACAATCTGCATGCGTTTTAATTCCATGTCCACCATTATTAGCTGTGTGAATTTGAGTAAGTCACTTAACCATTCATTCTGCGTTTCAGCATCCTTATCAGAGATGGGGATTATAACAGTCTCCATCTCATAATGTGATTGTGAGAATTAAATTACAGTTGTTACTGAGCACTCATTGGGCTTACTACCTGATTAGCCTTCATGGATTCCATTAGTTATGTTACTACTTTTCTGAATATTGTATCCTGGGATGCTACTGCACATTACCCCTTGTTGTGGACCTCTGTAACATTATCTTCCTGCCTGAAATGCTCTCAGTTGCCATATGAATACCATCTGGGATCTCGGCTCACTGCAAGCTCCGCCTCCCGGGTTCACACCATTCTCCTGCCTCAGCCTCCCAAGTACCTGGGACTACAGGCATCTGCCACCACGCCTGGCTAATTTTTTGTATTTTTTAGTAGAGACAGGGTTTCACTGTGTTTGCCAGGATGGTCTCGATCTCCTGACCTTGTGATCCGCCCACCTCGGCCTCCCAAAGTGCTGGGATTACAGTCGTGAGCTACCGCACCTGGCTGCTGACTTCCCATTTTTTAATGTAATTTATTATTTTAATGTTTTATGAAAGAAGTTGAATGTTATATTTTTAAGATAATTTGTTGCACTTCTATGTTCCATAATTAAAATTCTCTTATGCTGCCTCGTTGAAAAAGCAGAGCAGTCATTCCTTTTTTTTTTTTTCCTAAGACAAAGTCTTGCTCTTTTGCCGAGGCTGGAGTGCAGTGGCGTAATCTTAGCTCACTGCAACCTCTGCCCCCCGGGTTCAAGGGATTCTCACGTCTCACCCTCCCGAGTAGCTGGGTTTACAGGCGCACACCACCACGCTTGGCTCATTTTTGTGCTTTTTAGTAGAGACAGGGTTTCACCATGTTGGCCAGGCTGGTCTCAAACTCCTGACCTCGAGTAATCTGCCCACCTCAGCCTCCCAAAGTGCTAGGATTACAGGTGTGAGCCACTGCACCTGGCCCCATCATTTCTAACTTGAGCTTTGTGACACTCAAAATCTGGTATATCTTCCAGAATACCTTTCTTATCAATGCCTGATAATATACCATTAGACATTCATTCATTTGGTTAAGATGTCAAATCTTCCTTTAATATCTCTCTGAATATTTAGTAAATTGGCACTGTGTCCGAAGATCATTGTTTTGTATGTCCTTGAAAAAGCTAAAAGTTTTTTCAGAAGTGGTATGATTTAGTAATTGAGAAGTTGGTCTTTTTGCGTTTAGATTATGATCCCACCGCTTATTTTTAAAATTCCACCACTTATTAATTGTTGAGAAGTTACTTAATCTCTCCAAGTTTCAATATTTTTATCTGTAAAAGGAATAGTAGTAGAAATTATAGCATGGGTGGCTGTGAAGATTGAATCAGATAATGCACATGAAGCACTTAGCATAGTACCTGGCACATTGTAAGCTTTCAAAAGTAAATGTTAGTTGCTATAAGTGTGTGATAGATATCTGTAAGACTGGCACATATGTTGCCTGTTCTAGCTTGTCTTATATCAGGGGGCAAACTATGGCCTAAATGTGGTTAAGTGGCCTGTTTTTGTATGAGGCAACAAAAAAGCAGAGACAAGTAATGCCACAGGGACCTGCAAGTCTAAAGTGCCTTTCAAGAGTCACTTGGGTTTGTTCCCAAACCTGCGTATGCCATTTGAATTTATTATTTTGATGACAATGAATATAAGTCAATGATACATAAAATATGAAAGAGAAAAGTTATTGTTCCAGTGAAAACTCGGATGAGTGCTTTGGGGGGATTAAATAAGGGAAAGGCACTTAAAAAATTGCTGTTGTGAACAGGTGCAGTGATTCACACCTGTTATCCCAGCACTCTGGGAGGCTGAGACGAGAGGATCACTTGAACCAGGGAGTTTGAGACCAGCCTAAGCAACAAAGCAAGACCCCATCTCTACAAAAAAATTTAGCTGGGCATGGTGGTGTGCACCTGTAGTCTCAGCTAATCGGGAGGCTGAGGTGGGAGGATCATTTGAGCCTAGGTGTTTGAGGTTGCAATGAGCCAGTGAGTGCCATTGCATTCCAGCCTTGGGAACAGAACAAGACCCTGTCTCAAAAAAAATTAAAATCAAACTAGGTATCATAGTGTATATATGTATTGTTTTTGTGAAAATGAGGCTTATATCAGCAAACCCATGTTAAAAAAAAGATGGGCCTTATGATAAAAGATTTGTGAATTAAATGCATATTTCTTCTTAAGTTAGAGTAAAATTATAGTATACAAAAATAGCTTTTTTAATTCCTCATTTTTTTCAATTAACTAAACAACTATTAGTCCAAATTTTGTCGGATAATAGAGTATCCATGGCACTTAACTTCAGAAAGTCCAGTCCTATGAAAGCTATAGTCAATGGATGTCACAAAATTCTCAAGAGAAGGTTAACTTTGCTTTTACAAAGTTATGTTCTCTAAAGTATTTGATAAGAAGTGACATGGACAATAGTGATTACTCCAAAAATTTAGATTCACCACTCTGGATTTAATCCTTACTCAGTTATGTGGAATTAAAGCAAATAAATAAATAAATACATTCTTAGAGCAAGAATACTTTAAAAATTAGTCCTACTAAAATTTCCTTCTCTAGAGCTTCTCTGCATAATCCAGGCCATTATTCTGCCTGGAGTAGTGAATCTAGTTCAGCTAACATTAGGAAGTATTGAATAGCAGTGTACTAAAGCAGCAGCAAGGCGGAAATTAGGGCATCTTGATAGAGCCAGAAGCAGCATTAACAGTTGAAATTAAACTTAATCAAAAGGAGAAAATAGTTTTTGGCATGTTGGAAAATAACAAATTTGGCAAAGATTTTTAATACACCATACCATCTACAGCATTATTTTTAAACCTGAGGCATGTGTCCTAATTAAGTAGGAATGTTTTCTAAGTTTCTGTTTTAAGGTCAGAGTAATTGTTTAAGCCTCAGATGCTTCTAATTTTACTAAAATGGAAATGGCTGACATGCTGTGTTCAAGTCTTCTGAGAAGTAGACACAAAGATGGGATTAGACTTTCAAGAAATGTATTAGGCTAAATGTATGTGAGAGAACATAGGGAGAAAGCCAGAGAAAACAGAGCTGCTAGACTGCAACGCTGATTTGACTCTGAGTGAAGGAGAAAGAGAAGGAAGTTAGATAGAAGCATCTTAGACTGCAGTGGAGTTCCAAGAAAAGTTGGGCAAGGCCATTATTGGAAAGTTCCCATGCCAAAGGCACCCATCAGAGAAGCGCCTGTTTTCTAGGGCTAGACCTGCCTTATTGTCCTTGCTGGCCTCAGTCATTGTCAGGAAGTAGCTTCTGGTGAGATGACCTTGTGACCTAGGTGGAATAAATTTCCGAGTGCTGTAGCTGAAGCTATCAGTCATTATGCAGTCAAAGATTAGAGGGGTAGGCCCGGTGCGGTGGCTCACGCCTGTAATCCCAGCACTTTGGGAGGCCGAGGCGGGCGGATCATGAGGTCAGGAGATTGAGACCATCCTGGCTAACTCGGTGAAACCCTGTCTCTACTAAAAATACAAAAAATTAACCAGGCGCAGTGGCATGTGCCTGTAGTCCCAGTTACTCAGGAGGCTAAGGCAGGAGAATCGCTTGAATCCAGGAGGCGGAGGTTGCAGTGACCCGAGATCACGTCACTGCACTCCAGCCTGGACGACAGAGTGAGACTCCGTCTCAAAAAAAAAAAAAAAAAAAGATTAGAGGGGTATATTCTCATGACTGCTACACATATAAATCATGACATGCTATGTATTCATATACCTTTACCACTAGGCATAGTCAGATAAAGTAAGAAATAATTGTTAAAAAAAACACTTATTATTTGCTAAGTATTGTGGTGCTGAGATTGGGATTCATAAAGAAATGAATGAAGCACTGAGGATTAAATGGATTATCTATCGATATTCAACAGTGTGAAAGAAAAGACTGCCATGGAAAAAAGTCCTGGCAGATATCCAATAAACTGCTAAAAGTGGTTATTTCTAGGTCATGGAATTGAAGTAAATGAAGAAGCAGGGTGAGAACTTAAAATTTTCACTTTATCCAATTCTATATTGAAGTTTATTACAAACATATTGTTTTTATAATTTAAAAAAGTTTTTAAAATCTGGCTTTCCATTTTTAAGGAAAGAATTACAGACTAAAAATTTTTTATTCTGTGCTTGCTTCGGCAGCACACATAATTTTTTTTATCTGTTCAAATAGGCTCAATCATACTATGAGGTCACTATCTTTGTCCTCTTTTATAGAAAAATAAAAACTATATAGCAAACTTAGTACATTAAATATTCATTTGATTGTCAGGGTCCCTGAGATCCCTCCTTCTTCAGGGGGTCTGGTGTACAAACTGTGAGGAGGGGAGATTCTCAGTGTGTTTGGAGGACTGAGTGTGGCAGGGACTCCCCAACAATTGAACACTTCTCTCTTCCTCTCATGCTCTTGCTGGGGCTGGTGGTCCAGGGGATCTTACTCTTTGGAGGCCATGTGGACCATGAAACCCACCACCCTGTTGCTGTAGCCAAATTCATTGTCATGCTGGGAAATGAGCTTGACAAAGTGGTCATTAGGGCAATGCCAGCCCCAGCACTGAAGGTGGAAGAGTTGGTGTCACTGTTAAAGTTGGAGGAGACAATCTGGTGCTCATTGTAGCCCCAGATGCCCTTGAGGGCCCCCTCTGATGCTGCTTTACCACCTTGATGTCATCATATTTGGCTGGTTTCTCCAGAGAGCAGGTCAGGTTCATGACTAACATGTTGGCAGTGGGGACATGAAAGGCCACGCCATTGAGCTTCCTGTTCGACTTGGGGATGACCTTGCCCACAGCCTTGGCAGCACCAGTAGATAGATGCAGGGATGATGTTCTGGAGAGCCCCATAGCCATCACACCACAGTTTCCCAGAGGGGCCATCCACAGTCTTCTAGATGGCAGTGATGGCATGGACTGTGATCCTGATTCCTCCCATGATGCCAGAGTTGTTATGGATGATCTTGACCAGGGAGCTAAGCAGTTGGTGGTACAGGAGACATTGCTGATGATCTTGAGGTTTTTATACTTCTTATGGCTCATGCCCATCACGAACATGGGGGCATCAGCAGAGGGGGCAGAGGTAATGACCCTTTTGGCTCCACCCTCTAAGTGAGCCCCAGCCTTCTCCACGGTAGTGAAGATGCCAGTGGACTCCATAACATAATCAGCACCAGCGTCATCCTGTTTGATTTTGGTGGGATCTCGCTCCTGGAAGATGGTGATGGGATTTCCATTGATGTCAAGCTTCCTGTTTTCAGCCTTGACGATGCCGTGGAACTTGGCCATGGGTGGAATCATACTGGAACATGTAGACCATGTAGTTGAGGTCAGTGAAGGGGTCATTGATGGTAACAGCATCTACTTTGCTAGAGTTAAAAGCAGCCCTGATTACCAGGCACCCAATATAGCCAATTCCATTTACTCTGGGCTTCACTTTTACCATGATGTCTCAGGGACATGACTGGTGCTGCCCAAGAACGGAAGGAGCAGATGGCAAGGTTCTGTCACTTTTTCTCTTCCTTTTGCTTACTTTAGGTTTAATTTATGCTGCCATTTATACTTTCTTAAGATGGAATTCTAGATCATTAATATGAAACGTTTTTCCTTTTCTACAATAAGCATTTAAAAGCTAAACATTTCCTAAGCACTGCTTAGCTGTAGCCTACAAATTTTGATATATTGTATTTTCACTCAAATAAATGTATTTTCTAATTTTCCTTTTGATTTCTTCTTTACCCATGGGTTGTCTAGACGTATGTTTAATTTCAACTGTTTGGGAATTTTCCAGATAATTCTCCATTATTGATTTCTAGTTTAATTCCATGGTGGTCATAGAACATATTTTATATTATTTTAGTTTTGTTTAAATTTATTGAGACTTTTCGATGGCCCAGAATATGGTCTGTGTTAGTGAATGTTCCACATGTACTTAAAAAGAATATGTGTTCTGTTGTCCTGTGGTGGAGTGTTCTATAAATGAAAAAATTGGTTGATAGTGTTGCTCAAGTTTTATGTATCCTTAGCTGAATTTTTGTCTACCTATCCTATTAATTACTGATGGAGTATTGAAGTCTCCAAGTATCATTATAAATTTATTTCTCCTTTTAGTTCTGTCAGTTTTTGCTTCATGTATTTTGGAGCTCTATTATTTGTTACATACACATTTGGGATTGTTATTTCTTCATAATGAATTGAGTCCTTTTTATTATGAAATGTTGCTTTTTACCCCAGGTAATGTCACTTGTTGTGAAGTTTACTTTGGTTAATATCACCACTCCAGCTTTCTTATGATTAGTGTTTATGTGGTATTCTTTTTATATCCTTTAACTTCTAAACTTTGTCTTTATATTTAAAATTAATTTCTTTTAGATAGCAAATAGTTATGTCTTGCTTTTGCTATCCAGTCTCATAATCTCCTTTTAATTGGAGTAGACTATTTGACTATTTGTAATAATGTAGTTATTAATATGTTTGAGTGTAAGTCTACCATTGTACTTTTTTTTTTTTTATTGGATCACTCTCTGTTGCCCAGGCTGGAGTGCAGTGATACGATCATAGCTTCTGTAACCTTGAACTGCTGGGCTCAAGTGATCCTCTGGCCTCAGCCTCCTGAGTAGCTGGGACTGCAGGCATTTGCCATCATACTCAGCTAATTTAAAAAATTTTTTGTAGAGATGGGTTCTCGCATTATTGCTCAGGCTGGTCTTGAACTCCTGGCAGAAGGGAATCCTTCTGCCTCAGCCTCCCAAATTGCTGGGATTACAGGTGTGACCTACCATACTCAGCCCTAAAATGCTTTGTCTGTTAATTCCATCTTCTCTTGTCATTTCTGGGTCTGATAATATTGACTGATTTTTTCCCTCTTTTAATGTTCACATTTTGCTGCTGCTTCACATTACCTAATAAGTTTTTAATCAAATGCCAGACATTATAAATATTATGTTTTTGAATGTTTGAACTTTATTGTTTTTCTTGAAAAAGATTATTAAAGGTTTTTTTTTTAGCAGGCATTTAAGTTATTGTGGATCAGCTTCATGTTTATGAAGCTTCTTTTTAAATTTTGTTAGGGTGCATCTAGGATAGCCTTTGCTCTAAATGTTGTAAAGCCTTTCTACTGAGGCTTCTGGGATCTTTTCTTAGTGCCCCAAGTATTCAGTTCTGGCCGGAAGGAACTTGAATATCTGTCAGCCATATAGCTTCCTGGCTTTTATTCTTTGCCAGGCTTTGTGTAGTTTTACCTTATGCACACTCAAATTATATTCAGCCAAAGCTCAAGGGAGGGAGTATCTACTCTGATTTCTGCAGTTCTTCATGACTCCCTCTTCTATATTACTGCACCTCACAAATTTCAGCTGACTCAGCTTCTTGGGTCTCCTATATCATCTCCTCAGCTCAGCTAAGCCACAAGGCTCTGCTCGTTTGTCCTTCCTGTGCATTGACTAGAAACTGCTTCTAGGAAGAAAAGCATTGTGATTGTAGAGCTTACTTCATTTGTTTTTCTTCTCTTGTGGATCAGAGTCCTGTACTGCCTTTTTCCATGGTCATATTTTGTTCAATTTTCTAATTATTAAATGGAAGGTAGGGAAGTCCTATACTTATGGGTAGAAGCAGAATCCTAATTTTTTCTTAGTTGGCCTTATTTTTTAGAACAGTTCCAGATTTATGGACAAATTAAAAGAGTACAGTATTCTCGTATACCCCCACACCTAGTTCCTCATTATTAACATCTTATAGTACATTTGTTACAATTGAGTCAATATCAATACATTGTTATTAACTAAAGTCTGTAGTATATTCAGATTTCCTTGGTTTTTACCTAGTGTCCTTTTGTATTTGAGGAATCAATCCCCGATCTCACATTATGCTTAGTTGTCCTGTCTCCTTAGGCTCCTCTTGGCTGTAACAGTTTTTCAGACTTTCTTTTTTTTTTTTTTTTTTTTGATGACATTCCAGTTTGAGGAGTACTGGTCAGGTATTTTATAGAAATTCCCTTAAATGGAGTTTATCTGATGTTTTTCTCACAATTTCATGGATTATGGGTTTGGGACAGGAAGACCACAAAGATAAAGGGCCATTTTCATTATATCATATTAAAGGTACATGTGATCAACATGACATCACTGTTTATGTTAACCTTGATGATGACCTTGTTTTCATCTGGTTTCTCCACTATAAGTTACTCCTCTCCTCACTTCCCATTTCCAGACTCTGCTCTCTGGAAGGAAGTCACTGTGTGTAGCCCATATTTAAGTGATAGAAAGTAATGTTCTACCTCCTTGAACCAGGGGTATTATCCACATAAATTATTTGGAATTCTTCTGCACAAAAAACTTACCTCTTCTCCTCTACATATTAATTTATTCAATCACTTACATATATCAGTGTAGACTCATAGATACTTATTTTGTACTTTAGCTTATAATTTGGCTTTTCTTTCTTTCTTTTTTTTTTTTTTTTTGCTCTATTTGTTACAACTTTAGCTGTGGGAGCTCTTTCAGGTGGCTCTTGTGTCCCTTTTACTCCCTCAGTGTGTGTGTGTCTGTGTGTGTGTGTGTGTTGAGCATTTTCTTACTTTCTGGCACTGAAAGATATATCTGGTATAAAAGACAAACGATACACCTATCTACATGGGGCACTTACTGTGAATAGAACTTGCAGGACTGGAAGTTGCTTTCGGTGAGTCATTGAGTGAGTGGTGGGTGAATGTGAAGGCTCAGTTCATTACTGTACACTACTGTAGACTTTATAAATACTAAGGATACACACGAAATTTATTTTAAAAAACTATCTTCAATAATTAACCTTGGCTTATTGTAACTTTTCATTTTATAAACTTTTTAATTTTTTGAAACTTTTTACTCTTTTGTAATCACACTTAGCTTAATCACAAACATGTATAGCTGTACAAATTTTTTTCTTTTTTTCTTTTTTTTTTTTTTTTGAGACAGGGTCTTGCTCTGTCATCCAGGCTGGAGTACAGTGACGCGATCATGGGTCACTGCAGCCTTGACCTCTCTAGCTCCAGTGATCCTCCCACCTCAGCCTCTTGAGTAGCTGGGACCACAGGTGCACGCCACCACACCCAGCTAATTTTTGTATTTTTTGTAGAGACAAGTTCTTCCTGCGCTGGCCAGGCCAGTTTCACACGCCTGGGCTCAAACAGTCCTCCTGCCTCAATCTCCCCAAGTGCTAGGATTGCAGGTGTGAGCTGCCACATCTGGCTTTTTACTTTGTATCCTTATTCTATAAGCTCTTTTCTTTTCTTTTTTCTTTTTTTTTTTTGAGACGGAGTCTCGCTCTGTTGCCCAGGCTGGAGTGCAGTGGCGCGATCTCGGCTCACTGCAAGCTCCGCCTTCCGGGTTCACGCCGTTCTCCTGCCTCAGCATCCCGAGTAGCTGGGACTACAGGTGCCCGTCACCGAATTTTTTTTGTATTTTTAGTAGAGATGGGGTTTCACCGTGATCTCGATTTCCCGACTTCATGATCTGCCCGAGGGATTACAGGCGTGAGCCACTGCACCCGGCCCTTTTCTTTTTTTTTTTTTTTTTTTTTTTTTGAGACGGAGTCTCACTCTATTGCCCAGGCTGGAGTGCAATGGCGCTATCTTGGCTCGCTGCAACCTCTACCTCCTGGGTTCAAGCAATTCGCCTGCCTCAGCCTCTCGAGTAGCTGGGATTGCAGGCATGCACCACCACGCCCGGCTAATTTTTTGTATTTTAGTGGAGATGGGGTTTCACCATCTCTAACTTGAACTCCTGATCTCAAGTGATCCACCCGCCTCGGCCTTCAAAAGTGCTAGGATTACAGGTGTGAGCCACCGCGCCTGGCCTATACGCTTTTTTCTGTTAAAAAATATTTTTAAGTTTTTAAACTTTTGTTAAAAATTGAGACAGAAGCAAACACATTACTTACTAGGCCTACACAGAGCCAGGATTATCAGTATCAATCCCTTCCGCCTCCACATCATGTCCCACTGGAAGGTCTTCGGGGCAGTAACGGACATGGAGCTGTTATCTCCTAACATGCCTTCTTCTGGAATACCTCCTGAAAGACCTGCCTGAGGCTATTTAACAGTTAACTTTTTTTTTATATGTAAGTAGGAGTACTCTAAAATAACAATATAAAATGTAGTACAATAAAATAATAAGCCAGTAACGTAGTTGTTTATTATCAAGTATGTACTGTACATAATTGTATATGCTAGACTTTTATACAGCTGGCAGCACAGTAGGTTTATTTATACCAGCACCTCCACAAACATGTGAGTAATGCTTTGCACTTGACCTTCTGTCAGCTATGACATCCCTAGGTTGCAGGATTTTTCAGCTTCATTATAATCTTATGGGACCATCTTCATATGTGAGTGGTCTCTTGACCCAAACATTGTTATGTAGCACATGACTGTAAATTTTGGAATCACCTTGTCAGTATTTACAAAATAGCTTTCTGAGATTTAGTGGCAGGATCTCAGCTCACTCCTACCTGCACCTCCCAGGTTCAAGCGATTCTTATGCCTCAGCCTCCCAAGTAACTGGGATTATAGACGTGCACCACCAAGCATGGCTAATTTTTGTATTTTTAGTAGAGACAGGGTTTTGCCACATTGGCCAGGCTGGTCTCAAACTCCTGGCCTCATGTGATCTGCCCGCCTCAGCCTCCCCCAGAGTGCTGGGATTACAGGTATGAGCCACTGCGCCTGGCCAAAATTGCCTAAATTTTTAAAATCCTAAATTGGTGTTGAATTTTGTCAAATGCTTTCCTGCATTGATTTTGATGATCACTTGATTTTTCTCCATTCTTTTGTTAATGTGCTAAATTATGTTGCTTAATTTTTGAATGAAAAAATAATCTTACATTCCTGAAATAATTTCGGTTTGGTTGTGATGTTTTATTCATTCTATTTCGTGCTGAATTCAGTTTGCTAATATTTTGTTTAGGAATTTTGCATCTATGTTCATGAGACAGATCGGCCTGTAATTTTACTTTTTTGTAATGTCCTTGTCAGGTTTAGGCCTCAAAGTTATGTTGACTTTATAAAATGAACTGTGAAGTATTTCCTCTTTTTTATGCTTTAGTTTGAGTAAGATTGATTTTTTTTAAAACTTATGTCGTCCTTAAATATTTATTAGAATTCACTAGGGAAGTTATCTTGGCCTGTTACTTTCTTTCTTGAGTAAATTTTGTTTTCATTCTTTTTTTATAGTTAAGTATATTGAGTTAGAATGCATACACAAACAAATGCACACAACTTAAAGTCCAGTTCTATGAATTTTGACTAATGTATAAACCTGTTTAACTTCCACTGTAAGCAAAATATAGTGAATTTTCGTCAACTAAAAAGTCCCCTTGTACCCATTTACCTTCAGTACCTATCCCTACCCCAGCCACAGGCAACAAATGATTTTCATGTGCTTATTTGCCATCTGTATACCTCTTTGGTTAGTTTTCTGTTTATATCTTTTGCCCATTTATTTTTTTATTTTTTTTTTTTTGAGACAGAGTCTTGCTATGTTACCCAGGCAGGTCTTGAGCTCCTGGGCTTAAGGGATCCTCCCGCCTCAGCCTCCCAAGTAGTTGGGACTACAGGCACACACTACTACTCTTGGTTTGCCTATTTTTAAATCAGGTTGTTTGTTTTCTTATTATTGTGTTCTCTACACTGTAGGATATTCTACCTTTCCTAGAATTTCATGTAAATGGACTCAGACATACTGTTGTGTCTGGCCTCTTTTGTTCAGTGTAATGTTTTTGAGCTTCATCCTTGCATGTTATGTGTATCAGTGATTGATTCAATTTTTATTGCTGCATAGTATTGGATTGTATAGCTATACCACAATTTGTTTATTCATTCTCCTGTTGATGGAATATTGGTTGTTTCCAGTATTTAGCTATTATTATTATTATTTTTTTTTTTTGAGACGGAGTCTTGCTCTGTCACCAGGCTGGAGTGCAGTGGTGCAATCTCGGCTCACTGCAACCTCCGCTTCCCAGGTTCAAACGATTCTCCTGCCTCAGCCTCCTGAGTAGCTGGGACTACAGGTTTGTGCCACCACGCCCAGCTAATTTTTATATTTTTAGTAGAGACGGGATTTCACCATGTTGGCCAGGATGGTCTTGATCTCTTGACCTCGTGATCTGCCCACCTTGGCCTCCCAAAGTGCTGGGATTACAGGCGTGAGCCACCGCGCCTGGTCTTTTTTGTTTGTTTTGTTCTTTTTTTAGACAGAGTCTCACTCTGTAGCCCAGGCTGGAGTGCAGTGGCATGATCTCGGCTCACTACAAGCCTGCGCCCCTCAGGTTCAAGAGATTCTTGTGCCCCAGCCTCCTGAGTAGCTGGGGTTACAGGCGTGTGCCACCATGCCTGGCTAATTTTTGTACTTGTAGTAGAGACTGGGTTTTGCCATGTTGGCCAGGCTGGTCTTGAACTCTTGACCTCAAGTGATCTTCCTGCCTTGGCCTCCCAAAGTGTTGGGATTACAAGCGTGAGCCACCACACCCGGCCAGGGATGTCATTTTTTATAACTAGCCATAAACTTTAGCTTTGAAGTAAAACTATTTCTAGCAAGTGATTCTTACCTGATATTTTTTGTTGTTCTTGCCCATATTTTAATTGGGTTGTGTTATTATGGTTCTCTATGTATTCTAGATTTAAGTTTTTGTATATGGTGTGAGGCAAGTGTCAAGTTTAATTTTTTTTCTACAAACATCCTGTTGTTCCAGTACCTTTTGATGATAAGACTGTCTTTTCCCCCATTGAATTATCTTAACGCCCTCATGAAAAGCAATTGGCCATATGTATGTGGATCTACTTTTGGACTCTCAATTCTGTTCCAGTGATTTATATGTCCACCCTTATGTCAATACCACATTATTTTGATTATTGCTGCTTTATAGTAAGTGACATCATGTTGCCTGAAATCACGTTTTCCACCTTTATTCTTCTGTTGATGGTTGCTTTGGCAATTAGGGGTCCTTTGCATTTTCGTAGACATTTTAGAATCAACTTATCTATTGCTACTAAAAATGCTTGATTGGGATTGTGGTAAATCTAGAAACTAATTTAGGAAGAATGGTCATATTAACAGTTTCAAGTTTCAGATCCATGAGCATATTTTCACTCTCCATTAGGTCTTTTAAAATTTATCCTAGCAGTGTTTTATGGTTTTTACTGTAGAGGTCTTACACATTTTGTTACATTTGTTGCTATGTGTTTGACCTTTTTTGATACTAGTGTAAATGGAAATTTTTTCTTTTATGTTCTAGTTGTTCATTATTACACTAAATCATCTTTGGGTGACTACTAAACATTCTATTGAAAATTTGTGAATGGCGTGAACCCGGGAGGTGGAGCTTGCAGTGAGCCAAGATCGCGCCACTGCACTCCAGCCTGGGCGACAGAGCAAGACTCCGTCTCAAAAAAAAAAAAAAAAAAAAGAAAATTTGTAGAAATAATTTGACACTCAAGGTGATATTTTAATGCAGACAGGATTTCCTTTTGCTTTTGTCTGGCTGGCAGACTAGATGCTGATCACTTTGTTCCAGTCAGGAACCGAGATAATTCAAAACTGGCTTTCAAGTCTAATAAGGGCTTGTCTATTTCCTGTTCACTCTTCTGTTTAGAATGTGGCCGTTCGGGATCCAACTGAAATCCTGGGTTATCTACTAAAACCCCTCCTCTTTGATGGTCCCCAAGTTCCAATTTGTGTGAAGATTGCCAGAAGCTATACTCAGCTTCTCAGCCTTCCAGCTGTTGCTTTTGCTTTCAGATTTGGCAATTGCCTCAATGGAAAAAGTTACCTCAAATACTTGGGTGGCTTCTTTTGTCTTCTGTCTCATAACTTGTGTAACTTTTCTAATCACTGTGGCAGTGTTCTGATGCCTTGAAAGCATGCTTTCCTTTTTTTTGCTTCTTTTCTTAAATATATATATTTTGTCCATCTTTCCTAAGCTGCTTTCAGCAGGAGGGTTGATCTGAGACAACCTAGGAAGCCATTCCAGAAGTGTCTTTCTCTTCTGCCTGTCCTCCACCCTTCATTGGAATATAATATTGTTCCGTGTATCTCATTTACTGCTGTACTCCCAGCACTTAGAATAGTGCGGAGCACAGAATAGAATATCTGTTGGATTAAAGATGAGGCTAGCCAGGAGTTTGAGGCTGCAGTGGGCTATGATTGTGCTACTGCACTCCAGGCTGGGTGAAAGAGCAAGAGACTCTGTCTGTAGTAAAAGAAAAAGAAAGAGTGAGGGTGAGCGCAGTGATTTAACACCTGTAATCTCAGCACTTTGAGAGGCTGGGACAGGAGGGTCACTGGAGCCCAGGTGTTTGAGATTAGCTAGAGCAACATAGTAAGACTCTGTCTCTCTATATATGTTTTAAATTTATTTTTAAAGAATGAATTAATTAGCATTTTATTTGAGAAGATAGAATGGTAATTCAAAAGAAAATATCTTTCTTGTCATTTTTTCAAACCTAAGATATATCCTTTCTTGAACATAATTATGGTGAGTTTTGAACTAGAACTCCGGACCTTTAGAATTGTAAGCTCTTTTTTTAAAATTTAAAAATATTTTTAATTTAGAGTTGTCCCTATTTTTATTTTTATTTTCTAAGATATTGTGGAATGTATTTTTTATTTAAAAATGTTTAATTGACAAACAGTAATTATAGTCTCTTATTGATATTTCCTTAAGATTTAAAGTAACATCTTTGGTCTTTGTTTCTCCATTTGTAAATGATTTATTCCTCTTACTCATGGACATAGTTTCCATTGTTGTTAATTAAAGAGCCTTTGAGAGGCATTGAGGGAGGTTGGAGGCAGAGTAGGGTGGACAGAGGAGCAGAGGAGAGAAGAGGGAAGCTCATGAAAGCCACGTGGAGAGGGAGTGAAGAGCAGAAGAAAGAATAGAGGGGACCTGAGACACTCAGAGAGAGACAGAACCATGGCGTCTGGTGACACTGCTGCCAGAGAGGAGGAGCATAGCCTTTGAGAATGTGAGCTCTACCTCCAGAAGCACAACATTCAGGCACTGCTCAAAGATTCTATTGTGCAGTTATGTACTGCTCAACCCGAGGGACTAATGGCATTCCTCAGGGAACACTTTGAGAGGCTGGAGAAGGAGGAGGCAAAACAAATTCACAATCTGCAGGAAGCAGGCACTTGTACAGAATTCAGGAGAATGAAATCTCTCCTCCTCCACCCAACCCAGTGGTTAAAGATCAGAGGTGACAAGGTACCGTCAGCACTGAAGTCTACATGGAGGAAGATGCCACATCATA
This sequence comes from Homo sapiens, assembly GCF_000001405.40. Lineage (NCBI taxonomy): Eukaryota > Metazoa > Chordata > Mammalia > Primates > Hominidae > Homo > Homo sapiens. The sequence continues at coordinate 92,125,640 of NC_000001.11, forward strand.
TGTTAGAAAGATTATACCAAAAGATTATAAGATTATACCAAAAGCCATTATAAGGCAATGTCTTTAGCCAAAGCCATTGAAAAGAATGTGCTGATTTCACATCTTGATGATAATGAGAGAAGTGATATATTTGATGCCATATTTCCATGTCTCCTTTATCACTGGAGAGAGACAGTGATTCTGCAAGGTGATGAAGGGGATAACTTCTAGGTGATTGAGCAAGGAGAGAGGGATGTCTGTGTCAATGATGAATGAGCAACCAGTGTTGAAGAAGGAGGGAGCTTTGGAGAATTTGTTTTGATTTATGGAACACCTAGAGTAGCCACTGTCAAAGCAAAGGCAAATGTGAAATGGTAGTGTATCAACCGAGGCAGCTGTAGAAGAATCCATATGGGAAGCACACTGAGAATGTGGAAGATGTATGAGGAATTCCTTAGTAAAGTGTCTATTTTAGAGTCTCTGGATAAGTGAAAGCATCTTACGGTAGCTGATACATGGGAACCAGTCAAGTTTGAAGATTGGCAGAAGATTGTGGTGCAGGGAGAACCAGGGGATGAGTTCCTTATTATTCTAGAGGGGCCAGCTGCTATGCTGCAACGTTGATAAGAAAATGAAGAGTTTGTTGAAGTGGGAAGATTGGGGCCTTCTGATTATTTTGGTGAATTTGCATTCCTGATGAATCACCCTCCTGCTGCCACAGTGGTTGTACATGGCCCCTTGAAGTACATTAAGCTGGACCAGCCTAGATTTGAATGTGCTCTTGCCCAGGCTCAGACCTCCTCAAACGAAACATCCAGCAGTACAACAGTTTTGTGTCACTGTCTGAAATCTGCCTCTTGGGCCTCCCTTTTCTCCTCTCCTCAATCCTCTTCACTCATGCAGACCGCTTTATTTTCGCTATTTGCAGTGCCAAATGGACACTGGCATCACAGCTTCTTGTCTGTTTATATATTAAAAGTTGCACTTATTGTACGGTTTTTAATTTGGAGCAGTAATTAAATGCTTGTACACAATTAAATAGAGTTTTATGGAGTCTTTGCTGTTACTGCTTCATTTTGGGCAATGTTAGCATTCAACCTCTGAGCAGTGAGTGCCATGCTTTTGGGTGAAGGCAGATCCCAGCATCAGTTGAATTACCATAGAGTAATGATGTAACAGTGTAAGATTTTTTTTTAACTGACATAACTTTCCGGTTTTAAGCATATTTAGACTGTGGCTATATATGCTGTATTTCTTTACAGAATAAATGATTTCTCATTAAGCTTTAAGGATTAGGAAAAATGGATACAGAAAAATCTTAATATAGTAGAAAAACATCTGCCTGTAATTAAACTAGTTTAACAGTGGAAAAATGCTCATTTTTCCACTCTTAAATTATCAGTGGGTATGATAAGTTTAGTTTCTTTTTTTAACCAGAATTTTTGTTTGCCAAGCTAATTTGCCTGGTTTTGTTTATATCTTGTTATTAACGTTTTCCCTCCAGTTCTGAAATATTTTTAGATGTGGCTATCTATACCTGCCTTTTAAGTTTGGAACCAAATCATAGACTGCGAATATTGGTTATGATTTAACTACATCTGCCTCTGCTCACAAATTCTGATTAGACCTTTATCCAGCTAGTGCCAAATATTGATCATATGCTGAATTGAGGATCAGAATTCGAGGTCTACACTCCTGGTTGTTAATTTAGAGCTTTTGGTTAATGTACCTCCTTCAGTTGACTCTAGTATGATCTCCTATGCTTATCAAGCTGATTCCAGGAGATTGAATTTGCTACAACTAGATTCAGTTGGAACGAAAGTCATAACAGAAATGGAGGTGATATTGCTAAAGGGAGAAGTGTCAAGCTGACAAAGTTCAGTGTCTGGAGTTTTTCCCCACTAAATTCACTGGGACATGAGATTTTGGAAGTTTTTGTTTGTTTGTTTGTTTGTTTGTTTGTTTGTTTGTTTTGAGACAGAGTCTTGCTCTGTCACCCAGGCTGGAGTGCAGTGGTGTGATCTCTGCTCACTGCAACCTCGGCCTCCTGGGTTCAAGTGACTCTCCCGAGTAGCAGGGACTACAGGCACAGCCACCACGCCCAGCTAATTTTTGTATTTTTAGTAGAGGTGGGCTTTTACCATGTTGGCCAGGCTAGTCATGAACTGCTGACTTCAAGTGATCCGCCCGCCATGGCCTCCCAAAGTGTTGGGATTACAGGTGTGAGCCACCGTGCCCGACCGAAGCTTTTTACTTTAGCCTTTGTTCCTTCCTTTTTATTTCAACTAGAATTTCTGGTGGGTTGTGGGTAGGGTATGGTGTGTCTGTGTTTTTCAAATTGGTATAAAAGGCCATCCTGCTACAAGTCCTACTTTCCTATCTGGCATTTATTTCTCTAGCAAACTTTTTAAAAAGTGAACTTATGTTTTGAGTCTGAACTGTATTTCAATATTTTCTAGCCTTACGAGTTACATTATTCCAATGATACCCAACAGTTTATTTTTATTTTTTTTTTGAGGCGGAGTTTCGCTCTTGTTGCCCAGGCTGGAGTGCGGTGGTGCGATCTCGGCTCACTGCAACCTCCACCTCCTGGGTTCAAGCCATTCTCCTGCCTCAGCCTCCCGAGTAGTTGGGATTACAGGCACCCGCCACCACACCTGAATAATTTTTTTTTTTTTGAGACACAGTCTTGCTCTGTCGCCCAGGCTGGAGTGCAGTGGTGCAATCTCGGCTCACTGCAAGCTCCGCCTCCTGGGTTCACGCCATTCTCTTGACTTAGTCTCCCGAGTAGCTGGGACAACAGGCGCCTGTCACCACGCCCGGCTAATTTTTTGTGTTTTTGGTAGAGACAGGGTTTCACCATGTTAGCCAGGATGGTCTCGATCTCCTGACCTCGTGATCTGCCTGCCTTAGCCTCCCAAAGTGCTGGGATTACAGGCGTGAGCCACCGCGCCCGGCCATTTTTTTGTATTTTTTTTTTTAGCACAGACAGGGTTTCATCATATTGGCCAGGCTGGTCTTGAACTCCCGACCTCAGGTGATCCACCCGCCTCGGCCTCCCAAAGTGCTGAGATGACAGGCGTGAGTCACCGTGCCTGGCCTATTATTTTTTAAATAGAATTTCATAGTTCTGTAATGTAGGCATTTATTTCCATTATGATTTACATGTAATGTAGGGATATATTTGGGAGTGACAGCAAGCATTTTTCCATCTGCGTGCAACTGGCTCTGATTATTGGTCACCTCTCCTACCCTTTCCCAGGTCGTTTAAATTGGTCATGGTAGGTTTTTTGTTTTTTGGTTTTTTTTTCATTGATTTGAAAAGGTTTTAGATTGTTACTAAGTATGAAGTGTAAATCTGGGAAAGAGCCTTGATTTACACTTTAGTATGAGATAGAAGGCCACCTTGTTAAAAATTTTTAAATTTCCAAAATAATCCATATTAAATTAGGGTTTGCTGATCAGTACTTTGTCTTTAGCTACCTTTTTATATTTAAAAAATTAAATATCAATTATGTTTTTATAAGCTTAAAAAATTAAAGAACCTTCAAAGAAAAAAAAAGACAGCAAGGGCATTGGAATTAATGTTTTAAACAATCAAAATGCTTAGTTATAAATCCCAGCACTTCAGGAATAGGGGGATTGCTTGAGGTCTAGAGTTTGAGACCAGTCTGGACAACATAGTGAGACCCCATTTCTACAAAAAATTTAAAAATCAAGTTGAGTGTGATACTGCATGCCTGTAGTGTTAGCTTCTTGGGAGGCTGAGGTGGGAGGATCATACGTGAGTCTAGGAGTTCAGGGCTGTAGTAAGCTATGATCACGCCACTGCATTCCAGCCAGGGTGACAGAGGAAGATCCTGTCTCTTAAAACAAAAAACAAAAAAAAAACCCTTAGGTATAAATATAAGCTTATAAGTTTTATTATGTAGTAATCCTGCCTATGAATACAAACAAAACAAATAGATTATTGTGTTTTAATACATAAAGATGAAAATTTTCATAAAAAATTACATTTTGAATAATATGTAAATGTTTACCTGTGTTTCTCCCCCCTCTTCCCTTTAGGGCCATTTTGAGTGCCAGATCTAGTTATTTTGCTGCAATGCTGAGTGGCTGTTGGGCTGAAAGCTCCCAAGAGTACGTTACTCTTCAAGGGTAAGCATATTTTTACAGGGCCATTTGACTGCAAATGATTGTAAATTGTATTTCATACAAAGCACTTTTTATGAATCTGATTTCCCTGGATGTTCAAGGAAATATTTCTCATGTAGAATTCAACAAAGTACATTTTCTGAAACGGGAAGTAATAGAGAGCATTTATTAATAGAGGTATTGTGTTAATCTGCTTATGCTTCTGTAACAGAATATCCAAACTGGGTGATTTAAACAACAGGTATTTATTTTCTCACGGTTCTGGAAACTGGAAGTTCAAGATAAACATGCCAGCAGTTTTGGTGTCTGATGAGGGCTCTGCCCCTGGGTTGCATTCTGCCGCCTTCTTGCTGTACACTCATGTGGCCTTTCCTTGGTGCGTGCACTTGGAGAGAGAGTTTTATGGTATTTCTTCTTATAAGGAAACGAATCCTATCAGATCAAGGACCCATGTGACCTCATTTAACCTTAATTACTTTCTCAGAGGCCCCATCTCTAAATATGACCACACTGGGGGTTAGGGCTTTACCATATGAATTTGGAGGGAACACAGACATTTCAGTTCATAACAGGTAGTTTTTAAATTTTTCTTTTATTTTTATTTTTTTGAGATGGGATCTTGCTGTGTTGCCCAGGCTGGAGTGCAGTGACACAATCATGGCTCAGGAGTTTGAGGCTGCAGTGGGCCATGATTATACCACTACATTCCAGCCTGGGTAACAGAGCCAAACCCTGTCTCAAAAAAAATATATATATATATATATTTACACACACACACACACACACACACACACATATACGCACACACACATATATATACACACAGTATATATTTTATATAACTTAAAGTATCTCCAGTTATCTCAAAAGGATCTTAATTGTTTAAACTGTTAATATGCAAAGCAAATATTTACATTCAATTTCTTTTTTTTGTTTGTTTTTTGAGATGGAGTCTCATTCGGTCACCCAGGCTGGAGTCAAGTGGTGGGATCTCAGCTCACTGCAACCTCCAGCTGCCTCCCAGGTTCAAGTGATTTTCCTGCCTCAGCCTCCTGAGTAGCTGGGATTACAGGCATGCGCCACCACGCCTGGCTAATTTTTGTATTTTTAGTAGAAATGGGGTTTTGCCATGTTGGCCAGGCTGGCCTTGAACTCCTGACCTCAAGTAATTCACCTTGCCTTGGCATCCCAAAGTGTTGGGATTACAGGCGTGAGCTACTGCGCTTGGCCTACGTTCAAGTTTTTAAATACTAATATAACACTTTTAGGAAGGGATATTACAAAATCAAATTAATAGCAGTTCATAAATAAAGAGGTAGAAATCACTGACCTTGCCAGAAGGACTATGCTGGAGACATTTCCAAAGAAGGTTTTCCTCTTTGAGAGAGGAGATCTTCAGAAATATACATTTAGAGACTAGATATACAAATTGGCTGTTCAATGGTCTTTATTAAGTGTATAAAGAGAAATTAAACTCTTCAACCTAACTGAGAAATAAGTGTGCTTAGAAACGTCCAAAACACAAAACATGAAAATACATGGCGTGGGCAATACATAGCAAAGATATGTAACAACAAGAGAAGTGAGTTGTTTTCACTACTTGTATCTACCTTTTATTTGTTTTCATTTATTATTCTATATATGTGCTTTTAAAAAATACATTATGTAGGGCGGGCACGGTGGCTCCCACCTGTAATCCCAGCATTTCAGGAGGCCAGGGCGAGTGGATCACCAGAGGTCAGGAGTTCAGGACCAGCCTGACCAACATGGTGAAACCACGTCTCTACTAAAAATACAAAAATTAGCTGGGCATGATGGCACGTGCCTGTAATCCCAGCTACTCAGGAGGCTGAGGCAGGAGAATCGCTTGAACTGGGGAGGCAGAGGTTGCAGTGAGCTGAGATCGTGCCACTGCACTCCAGCCTGGGCGACAGAGCGAGACTCTGTCTCAAAAAAAAAAAAAAAACCACACACATTATGTAATGATGATCTAATTAAATTCTCTCTTTTTATGTGAGGTCAACATAGGGCCTCAAGTGATCCTCCTGCCTCAGCCTCCCAAGTAGCTGGGACTATAGATGTGTACTCCCACACCTTGCTAGTTTTTATAATTTTTAGTAGAGGTGAGGTCTCATCGTGTTGCCCAGGCCAGTCTCAAACTCTTGATCTCAAGTGATCCTCCCACCTTGGCCTCCCAAAGTACTGGGATTATAGATGTTAGCCACCGGACCCAGCTTAAATCACATTTGTCAAATCATAATTCAGAGTTCATTCTACCACAGTCATTGAAGAAATTTAAAAGTTTTCCGATTGGTATGTGTTCTTGAGCTAGCTCAGACTGCTCTTCTTCTCCACTGTGTAAATCTTTGTCCCACAGAACCCTAAAGTTCCTAGTAGGCACATTAGGAGAAACACATGGCATAGGATTGGGATCTTAGGGGAAGGCCATTTGGAAAGGGATGCCTCTTCAACTTCTATCTGTTTTATATAGTTCAAGGTGACCTCTGAGTTTAGCTATATGAATAAAGGCAAGGGGGTGTCCTTTTTTTTTTTTCAGTCTTCCTTAATCACCCCTCATGAGCTGATGAGATTAAACATTCAAACACTCAGGCTTTTAAAGATGAGGTCTATTTATTAATAGACCAGTGGGCAGAGGTCAGTGGGCAAGAAAGAAATAGTGACATCAATTACTCGTCTCTACTCTTTCACCTGTAATTTTCTGTCTTTAATTTATAATGGAAGTAATGGATAAATAACCCCTTTTGCAGTGTGGCTAGACTCCTGTTGACCAACTTTAGTAGCTTGTTCAAGGGAAAGCCAAATAGAAGTAGCCCAGTTAGTTTCAAAATGTCATCTGAATAAGTAGACCATACACTGTATTAGTGCCAGGCATGACCAGGCTCACCCCTCTTACAGTATTTTCCCTTAACTTTTACTGTAAGCAAGGCTTTGCTTCTCACTGGTTCATTTTACCTAGAGCTGCTTTATTAACAGTGGAGGCTCACCTCTAATTGGCTTATTGACTCCTAATGTTAATGCATTGAAAATGAAGATACTTTTGTTGTTGTTGTTCAAATGCTTTATCTTGCTTGATAAAGCAAGGTTCTGTAACACTAAAAGAAGAATCACCTGGTGGATGCATGGTTTCATCTATACCCTTTATTATTATTATCACACAGTGCTATGATATATTTTGCCTTTCCCTGTTGTATCATGTATCAAATTGATTGTCTCAAATTATTAGCATTGTGGCATATAAAGCTGTTGGAAGGCTAAAGGGGATTAAGGAATTTTACTTTAAAAAATTACATCTTTTAGGAATTTGTATATTGAAACAATACACAAAACAAATTCCAGTTTCCCATTAACTTACATTGTAAACCTGGGCAGATGTTTCCATGAGAAGTGTGGTGTCATAGAAGGATCATAAACCTTGGTGTCCTTACAGGCAGTAGTATATCCAGTCCTAACTTGTTTTATGACTTTGGGGACATTCCTTAACTTTCCTGAGCTTCCTGAGGTGGTTGAAAGTATTAAATGAGATACAGTAAGGAAAGAAACTGGCATAGTATGTAGTGCTCATTAATATTGACTGTTCTTTCTTTCTCTAAATTAGATTGTTGTCATTTTCTAGAGAGAAAAGGGTTCAAGTGAGGGCCTTTCCCAATACCAGGACAGCAATGCTTACTTTGCATAACCAGCAGCTTCTTTTGGAACTGTGCCACTGTTGCATGTCTGCAGGATGTTTTCCATCAATAGATTCGAAGACAATCCTGTCTGTCCTTACAGAAGGAACCACCATATTTTTAGTGAGTTAGTAATTCACCAGATACTGAGAACATAATGCACATAGTATTTTTCAAGAGGAACTGCCTTCAATAATTTGAGTGTGGGGACAGCAGAATTCTATAATCTGGCCGGGCACAGTGGCTCACGCCTGTAATCCCAGCACTTTGGGAGGCTGAGGCGGGCGGATCACAAGGTCAGGAGATCGAGACCATCCTGGCTAACACGGTGAAACCCCATCTCTACTAAAAATACAAAAAATTAGCCGGGCGTGGTGGCGGGCGCCTGTAGTCCCAGGTACTTGGGAGGCTGAGGCAGCAGAATGGCGTGAACCCAGGAGGCGGAGCTTGCAGCGAGCCGAGATCGTGCCACTGCACTCCATCCTGGGTGACAGAGTGAGACTCTGTCTCAAAAAAAAAAAAAGAATTCTATGATCCTAGTTCCATCCATGCCCCAGAGTTGGGGAGTGGAAGGATATAGTTGGAAGGAAATTTTCCTGCTCTAGCAGACAGAAAGGGAAAATTTTCCACATACTATAATGTAAATTGAACCACAGCCAACACTTCTGTGAAGGAACTCCACTTGTTTCATTTTATTAATTAAAAGTCTTCCAGTGGTGCCTGGGCTTTGGAGCATAAATTTGGATTTTCCTATCTCCCTTGAGAGATTCCTGGGATTGCCCTGGCCTTCAATATAAGTTTTGAAATATAAATGAGATGTATTTTCTGTCCTGACTAAAATCCTTCAGTGTCTTCTCATTATAATTATAATTAAACCCAAACTCTTGACCATGACCTGCAAGACCCTCCATGATCTGGCCCCTGGCCTCACTCTAGTTTTGTACCATTCTTACCTGCATTTGTGGATCTTTCCTCCAATAAGTTCATTCCTGCATCAGGGCCTTTGTTTTTTTGGCTTCCTCTGCCTAAGAGTTTTTCACCTAGTATTTTGCATGGCTGGCTTCTTCTCATGCATGAAATCTCAGATCAAGCATCACCTTCCCAGACTGTCACCTAATATAGCTACAGACCAACTCCTCAGTTACTCTCTCTTATATAATCCTATTCTGTTGTCTTCATGGCACTTTGACTATCAAAATTATCTTTTTAATATTGCCCATGTCCTTCCACTAGAATGTTAAACTTCTTATATCTACAAAGTTTAGAATGAGCCTGTCATTCAAAAATATTAATTATGAATGAACAAAGAATGAGTGAATGAATGGAGTCTCTGTGTCCCCTTAGCCCACACACAGGGCTCCACATAGGAGCCTGAAACTTTAGAAAGGACACAATGAAGCAGAGATTTTATTTTATTTAATTAATTAATTAATTAATTTTTTTTTTTTTTAGACAGAATTTTACTCTTGTTGCCCAGGCTGGAGTGCAGTGGCGTGATCTCGGCTCACTGCAACCTCCACCTCCCGGGTTCAAGCGATTCTCCTGCCTCAGCCTCCTGAGTAGCTGGGATTACAGGCATGTGCCACCATGCCTGGCTAATTTTATATTTTTAGTAGAGACGGGGTTTCTCCATGTTGATCAGGCTGGTCTCGACCTCCTGACCTCAGGTGATCCACCTCAGCCTTCCAAAGTGCTGGGATTATAGGCGTGAGCCACTGTGCCCGGCCTTATTTTATTTATTTTTTTGAGACAGTCTTGCTCTGTCGCCTGGGCTGGAGTGCAGTTGCGCGAACTTGGCTCACTGCAATCTCCACTTCCCAGGTTCAAGCAGTTCCCCTGCCTCAGCCTCCTGAGTAGCTGGGATTACAGGCGTGTGCCACCTCACCCAGATAATTTTTTATTTTTAGTAGAGACAGGTTTTCACCATGTTGGCCAGGCTGGTAACACAGAGATTTTAGTAATCTACGTTCATGTTTAGTCTCTGATCTTAGATCTTTGTCCTAAAATCGGTTTTTCTTTTTTCTGAATACATGTAATGTTTTCATCTCCTGTAAGCTTTTATTCTGATTACATTTTAATGGGAATAGTGCTTTAAATCTTTCCATTTAAACTATGGGCTATTGGAACAATTTATTGCTTTTCTAGGTCAGTTGATCATGTCTTATAAACACTTTTAGTAAAAAATACAATACAAATGACTTAAAATATAATGAGAATGCAGCTTAGTAAAACATCTCTCAAGACAGCAGGAAAACTATTTCTTACCCTTTTTATAGTATCATATATATTGATATATAGGTTCAAATGTCTAGATTTTGCTGTTTATTTTAATATGACTTATTTTTATTTAGTCATTATCTTTTGCTTAACATATCAAGTATTTTTTAAGAAACTATTATTTCAACATAAATAGCCAATTCTTATTAATGTTGATAAGAATCGTTCTGGAAATTCTGAGGAAAAGTATAGAGAGTATTACACATTCAAGTAATTATGCTAGGGTTTTAGCAAACTACAGATAATATGCTTAATTATTCTGAGATTAAATCTTGTCATATCTGTAGTACATAAATGAGAACATTTAGATATTTGACTTTATTTCCTAAGTATTAAAGATGCAGAATTTTGAATCAGCAGAAACTAGTACTTAGCCATGGTAGGGATCAGTAAATATTTATTTAATTAATGGAAAAGTGTTTCTGTATTTTCAATTTAGTCTCCCTCTGAAGGTTTGAGAAGATGCTGTAAGTGCCCTAATAAGCCATTTGTTAAACATTTATCAAACATTTATTGAACATATATTATTTAAGGCCATAGAATCAAAGCAAACACCTTTCTGATTCCTTCTGATTCCTGCTTTCTGGGACTCCACTTATTTTCTTCTTTTTTTTTTTTTTCTTTTTATGAACCTGCCATTGAGAACATAGCCATTTGTTTTCTTCTTGCCTTCCTCATTTTGTTTCTTTAGCAGATATTAGGTACTATGCTTAACAAACTGTAGGGATCTTGCCAGCACTGTCCAGATCATGATTCTACTGCAGAGGCCCAGTATTACGTGGGGAAAGGAAATTCTTCTGATCCTGGGGGTATTGAATCATTGCTGACATTCTGCTGTTATCAGAGATACAAGGATAAATGGCACGACCCTGCCCTTGCAGAACACAGTTCAGAAGGAAAGACAGATGTGTTAACAAAAATACTGCAAATCAGTTTGATAAATGTGATAATGGAAGTGTGTGTAGTATACTGCTTCAGAGCCCAGGCTTTGGATTCAGTCTGCCTGGATTTAAATTCCAGTGCATTTTGATCTTGGGCAATTTACTTAATTTCAGTTTCTTCATGTATAAAATGAGACTAATAGTGGTATCTGCTGTAGAGTTGGTATGGTGATTAAATGAGCCAATAGCATTCAGAATACTTATTAGCTCAGGGACTGGCTCATAAGTGCTCAATAGGTGATAATTGTTGTTTTTAACATTCAGTAATTTTTTTTCACCTTGGGTACATTAGGAAACAATCAGGGATAAAAAGCCACATGTCTTGTGTCTGAAAGATAAAATAAGTGGAGAGGGGAAAGCATTTTAAGCACAGTGAACGGTATGTGCTAAGACATGGATGTATAAGGAAGTGTAAGTAGCTCAGGTATAGAAAATGAGTAAGTTTAGTTATCTTGGAACAGCTGCTAGAGAGGGAGAACTGGAGGTCAGATGATAAAGGAATTTGGACTTTCTTTTATGGGCTTTGGAGAATAATTAAGAGTTTTATTAGAGTTTAAAATAGAATAATTGAAGAGTTTAAGCAGGATACTATATCGTATATTCATTTTAGCAAAGTCACCCTAATAGTAATTTGGGAAATGGGATGCAAGTGGAAGATTCCAGGCCAGAAACCTGTATGAGAGGATACGGTCATAGTACAGATGGGAGAAAATAAGAGGCTGAACCAGGGCAATGAAAGAGGAAATAGAGAGCAGAGGCTGAACTCAAGAAATTCTGGAAGGTACAAATGATTGACAGGACATAGTGAGGGAGAGGACTAAGATGAACCTCAGGTTCTGACTTAGGCATATAGATGAATAATGTCTGTTGGAGTCTTCAAGGGGGCCCAATAAATAGCATACTTCCTTCCTGTTCAGAATAAGACAAAATAATCAGTAAGTGAAGTAAGAAAATATTTCCTTTATTACAGATAAAAACTGTTAAAGCAGTACAGATTGAGTATCCCTTATCTGAAATGCTTGGGATCAGAGTGTTTCAGATTTTTTCAGATCTTAGAATCTTTGCATATGTAGTAATGAGAAATCTTGGGACTTGGGGATGGGGATGATGCCTAAGTCTAAACACAAAATTTATTTATGTTTCGTATACACTGTCAAATTCAAAATAAAATATAGAGACAAATCTCTAAATTAAATGTTTTATTTGAGAATCATAGAATTACAATTCAGAGCCTACACACAGACTGTTGTGATCTTCCATATGTCTGAAGAGCAATGAGAGGTTGGGGGTTTTACTTGAGAAACATGTATTGTTTGGAAAGGAAGCTCATTGGCACTAGAGAAGCTTTTGGGAGCTGCAAACTCTGATTTGAGTGAAGGCGGTAGGTAAGACTAGTCAAGGCAGGTTGTTTCAGCAGCTACTAGGTAAAACAGTTCTTAGGGTTACAGCAGGCTGTTTCTGCAGCTGGCGATGTGGAAAATTCAATTCTTGAAGCAGATGCTATGTGCCCCAAGTGCTTTTGCCCCCCACAACTTGACTCTGATTTAGTTGGGTATGAAAAGAATGATCCAATTTTTATAATCAACTTACACAACACCTTATAGCCTGAAGGCAATTTTATAAAGTATTTTAAATAGTTTTGTGAATGAAACAAATTTTGTGTATATTGAACCATCGGAAAGCAAAGGTGTCACTATCTCTCATAAAATGCTAAAATTTTGTAGCATTTTAGATTTCCGATTTTCAGATTAGCAATGCTCAACCTGTAGAATGTGCTCTAATGCAAGAGCCAAAGTTGGCTTGCTTACTGTATCCCTCTAAAACAGCTCACCTGAGAGAAAGTTTGAATCTGCATGGCAGATATACTTCTTCTCCATCATCTCTTCCCACTGGTTCAGCAGAGAAGAAAGGAGAACATATATCAGATTACCTCTTATCTGGAGTTCCTCCCAACTGATAACCAGTTGTTGTCCACCAACCACATGATTCACTCCCTTTAGTATAGAGGAATAGAGGCTGGGGTAAGATGCAAGACGCTATGTAGCAGTGCTCTCAACAAGATGGGAATAACAGAAAGAGGACTAAGTTTGGTGTGGGGAGTAAGAAGAAGGTCATGAATTTAGAGTTTGAGATATGGCACTCAATTGGATATAAAGGTTATCATTCCAAACTACCTCTTAAGTCATGCCTTTTCTTTTTCATTTGTGTAATGAGTACGTTGGCCAATCTTAGAGCCACTGACAGGTGTTACAAATTAAGAAATCTGTGCAGCATAACAAGAATCTTCCTAGTGAATAGATTTGTACATTTGAGTCTTTAAGCAAGACCAGAGGGCGTTTGTTGAAAATGCTGAGAAGAGGATTTCTTAATGAGCCAGAGGTTAGACAGTGAGTAGAAGTGTTTTCTAACTTTAAAAGTGTATGGTAGAAGACGCTCAATAAATAATGATTTGATAACATACTAATAACCTTGTATAACTTATATAAAAATCCATTGTTGTAGTTCTGTTTAAATTAATGGTATACCTGCATGGATGTTATTTGAAGAGTATATTCTTCAGGTAAAAGGAAGATTAGAACATCATCTTGGCTCGAAGTTTATGGGAAAATAGAATGAATCATTGATATCAGTTAAACCTTAATTCTGGATTTGAGTTTTCTTTTATTTTTCAGTATAAGCCATGTAGAACTGAATGTTATGATGCATTTTATATATGGAGGAACTCTGGACATTCCAGACAAAACTAATGTTGGGTATGTATTCCTTTTTAATAATTTAAAATATAAAAGAGTTAGGTTCTGCTTTGTTGAGCTGTGTTGCAAAGTGTTAATGAAGTAGAAACTTTGCTTTTTATAGTCTATTATACTATATCTTCAGTAGGTTTTGAGAACATCTAAAAACAATAAGCAAATCATCTTATTTAGAAGAAAAGGTGACTTATCAACTCACAGTAATAAGATTGAGAACAGTCTTTATTAGACTTAAATTTAGAAGAAGCTATAAATTATGGTTTATAGATCAATAAATTGATTAAACTTTTATCAAACTTTAAAAATTACTACTTTTTAAATTTTAGGATATCTTTTCTAAACAGCAAAAGAAAAGAAAAAACATAGTTAAGAATATAGGGGCTGGGTGCGGTGGCTCTCGCCTGTAATCCCAGCACTTTGTGAGGCTGAGGCGGACGGATCACAAGATCAAGAGATCGAGACCATCCTGGCTAACATGGTGAAACCTCGTCTCTACTAAAAATACAAAAAAAAAAAAAAAAAAAAAAAAAAAAAAAGCTGGGCATGGTGGTGTGCACCTGTAGTCCCAGCTACTCGGGAGGTTGAGGCAGGAGAATCGCTTGAACCTGGGAGGTGAAGGTTGCAGTGAGCCAAGATCATGCCACTGCACTCCAGCCTGGTGATAGAGCGAGACTCTGTCTCAAAAAAAAAAAAAAAAAGAATATAGGGCATTTGCCAGGCGTGATGGCTCACACCTGTAATCCCAGCACTTAGGGAGGCAGAGGCGGGAGGATAGCTTGAGCCCAGTAGATCGAGATCTGCCTGGGACTGTAGCGAGACCCGGTTCTTGGGGGAAAAAAAAACCAAAAAGAATATAGGGCATCCTAAAGACCAACAACTGTGATTTTTAAATGCGCTATAGTGAAATACCATCTAAGCCTCTGAAATCCTACTTGGGAGTGAAATTTCACCTTGCTCTTTTAATTTTCTAGATGTCTTCCATTTTCTTGCTATTCTAACATCAGACAAATGAAAGCTACTTTTTTAATTTTAAAAATTACTTGGTTCCTTTAATTTTAAACTGAATAAACATGTTTTTCAGGAGAACATACCATGAGTCCCAGGATTTACTACTAAGGTTTTGTCCCCTGGCAACCTATACAAAATTTTGTCATTCTTTCAAAGCTTGTAGGCTTCTTAAGTACCTAAAGTATGTGTAGGTGTTCAGAAATACTTGCCAAATGAAAGAAGCAAAAGAAACTCTGGTCATTGGATGCTATCTCCAATCTTAGGGTTATTTGTAGACATTTTCAATATGATCAGACATTAGTGAATTGCCTCCCCGCCCCTGCCAAGAAACTTTTATTATACAAATTTGTTGCAGAGAGTTTTGTAACTTTTACAGCCTTTAAAGCAATTTCTTGGATTTTGTTCTGTATGTCACTTAGTATATGAAGGGAATTTGAGACATCTCCAAATTTATTTCTTGTTCTCTACTAATCAAATCATGTGTCAGTGCTTTCAACTTTTGGCCTATGCCCTGTTTATAATCCATAAAGGGTGTATGTTATGTAAGGCAGAAAATTAGAATTAAAATATTTCAGATTATTCTTTTTTAAAAACAGACTATATATTATCAATAAATTAGTATGTGTTGTGCCTTGATTTTTAAATTGGAGAATTAACAGTGCATCTATTTTTATTTTAGTCAGATACTCAATATGGCTGATATGTATGGACTAGAAGGATTAAAAGAAGTAGCAATCTATATTTTAAGAAGAGATTACTGTAATTTCTTTCAGAAGGTAATTATTGAGCCTCAGAAATCTTTTATCCAGTGCATTGTCACCCATTATTACCTGCTAGATTTTTAACTCTGATAGTAATAGTGCTTTAAATATTTAAAATATTAAGTAAATTTAACTAATGAGAACTCCAGTTGAGAAATAATTCATATGATCTGCTTGTAAAAATCAGAAACTAATTCAAATAATTTTAAGTAAAACAAAATTGATGGGAGGGTAGGTATTGAGTAGGAGTATCCTGTATAATTCAAAGGTGCTCAGAGTTTGGAACTAGGAGAAAGGAAGTTAAGAACTAAGGTTACTTTCCCCATTTATCAAAGGGCTACACAGTGCTTTATTTGTTCTTATTCCTGAAAGTGTAATCCTTCTTTCTACCACTTCTCTTTATAGCAGGGACTTGGGGTGGAATGTAGTTCTCTTATGCCAGTCTCTTCAGGTGACCTATGGATACTAACTAATTTTAATTTTAGTTACTGCAAAGGTAAGTTAAACATCTAAAGAAAGATCTCATACTATGCATTTTGAAGCCATTCATACATTATTCTTAGATTACCCATGGTTTTAATACATTCTGCGACTGTAGGTTATTTTTATTTTCTTATTTATGCTTTTCTATGTTTTTAAAATTTTCTACAAAGAATGTGTATTACTTTTATAATCAATAAAAACAAATCTAACTTTTTACATCATATTTCTCTCTTACTGGTGTTTGAAGCAATAATATGCATTGTATGAATTCTAATTAGGTGGTTTTAATAACGCTTAAATTTAGATTTTTGTTTTGGGTAGGTCTTTTTCTACCTCCCTACAAGTTGTAGCTGCAGAAGCAGCCCATGTGCTAAACGAAAGCCATAAACAACTGGGTCTAGTACCACGAACACTACCAACCCCATAAGGTTTACTGAGAAATAGTTAACCCCTCGGCTTCCTTTAACGAACCATTCACTTCAGCCTCTGTAAATAAGGGCCTTGGAAGAAGGAGGGCAGCTGGTGGTGTCCTCAGCTTTGTAGAAAGTGAGGAATTCTGGTCAAAGGTTCTTCCTTCTTCATATGTCTCCCTCATATTTCCAGCCAAGTGAAAGTTAGGGGGATCCAAGTAAATCACAAAGATTAAAGCTAGAGAATATCTGCAATGAGGAGATGATGTCTTCTCATCCCCTAGATGAACATTAACTATATCTGTAAAACCATCCCACCCTGGAGCTTCTATCAGAGACGAAGAGAAAGTGATAAGAAATTTCTTAGGAGAGCTTGGAGTATGTCTGAGAAGCCAGTGAGAATATACTTGAGTGAGGAGATTTCTAAAGAGAGAAGGCTTGCTGGAGAAGCCAAAACCAGCCTTGGTGTAAGGAACTACAGTTATTGTCATACAGAGAAAAGAAGTATGAGGAGTCCACTCTGCACCCCGGTTACACATGGTCCACAGCGAAGGAGGAGGACCTTAATGGTTTCATGAAAGTTAGAGGAGACTGATACAGGGCTAGATGACACCATGTCCCACTTGGGGAGGTATTGTGCATCGTGAGCCACTTGAAGAGTTCTTATCTACAGAGAGGCCAGGTTGAAGCTTGATCTGCCACTAAAGGAGCCATTACATCAATAAAGGCCTCCAGTATCTGAATTAGAACAAAGCTAAGGACATCTCCCTACTACCATCTTGGTCTCTGCTTAATTAAGTAAGGTGACCAGAGCCATTTATAGTCTTCCATATGAATTTGACCCAGAAAATGGAGGAGCAGGAGATCAGACCATGCTCTACTCTCTATTTCACATCTCAACCATAAATCTAGTCAGCAATGGGGAGGGAAAGATTTAAATCAGATACAATGAAAAGATAGGTGTTAAAATAGTACTGTGCTGAATTTCAATAACAATAGTATCCAGAAAGTACTAGAATCTGCCTATAGTTTCATTAAGGGATGGGAAAAAGGGGAGATTTGACATAGTGTGGTTGAAAGCATTCGTTGGGAAAATAAAAAGTCTCATGTTAGTGTCTTCTCTGAGCTGAGATTCTTCAGTAAGCCAGTTAAAGCTTATTTAAGAGCCTTAAAAGCTGTAAAAATAGTCTTTTATGAGTAGTCTTGGGACCATTGCCTCTATTTTTTTTTTAATATGTGGATGAGTATATGTGGGTTTTATGCAGCTTCTTGTATTTTATTTTCAATAATTCACTTTATTTTAAAAACACAAAAGACATTTTTTATATTATTAATAAAAACAGAAAATGAAGTTTATTTTTAATTATCAGTACGGTATTTTGTTGAAAACTTTTTTTGCTTTTATTTATTTATTTACGTATGTATTTATTTATTTATTGAGACAGAGTTTTGCTCTTGTTGCCTAGGCTGGAGTGCAGTGGTACGATCTCTGCTCACTGCAACCTCTGCCTCCCAGGTTCAAGCGATTTTCTTGCCTCAGCTTCCTGAGTAGCTGGGAGTACAGGAGCGTGCCACCATGCCCAGCTAATTTTTTGTATTTTTAGTAGAGACGGGGTTTCACCATGTTGGTCAGGCTGGTCTTGAACTCCTGACCTCAGGTGATCCACCCACCTTGCCCTCCCAAAGTGCTGGGATTACAGGCATGAGCCACTGTGCCTAGCCACTTATTTTAATATTGTCTATTTTGCTGTGGTAACAGATATTTGAGAGAACAATTTCTGGTTTTGTTGACCTAATCCTTAAAATTTTTGCTTTATATTTCTTAATGTATATTTTTATAAATATACTTTTGAATATATATAATTTTGAACTTTTAGTTCTTTTTTTTTTTTTTTTTTTTTGAGTTGGAGGCTCCCTCTGTCACCCGGGCTAGAGTGCAAGTGGTGCGATCTCAGCTCACTGTAACCTCTGCCTCCCAGGTTCAAGCGATTCTCCTGCCTCAGCCTCCCCAGTAGCTGGGACTACAGACGCGTGCCACCATGCCTGGCTAATTTTTGTATTTTTAGTAGAGACGGGGTTTTATCATGTTGGTCAGGCTGGTCTCTAACTCCTGACCTCAGGTGATGCACCCGCCTTGGCCTCCCAAAGTGCTGAGATTACAGGAGTGAGCCACTGTGCCCAGCCTTAGTTCTTAATTATGCAATTTTTTGGCTGTGACTTAAATATCATAAACTTATAATAATGTTATACAGTAATACAAATATGGGTATAATGTGATGGGCAGTCGGCCCCAGAACTCCTAGCAAGCTAACTTCAATAATTTCATTAGCTTCACAATCCTGCCTTTTACACAATTAAACATTTTGGACTTCATTTATAGGATTTTGGTAGGCTTTACATTTTTTTTTTTTTGTCACCAATTAAAAGTATACTTTAGGCCTGGTGTGGAGGCTCATGTCTGTAATCCCAGCACTTTGGGAGGCCAAGGTAGGAGGATTGCTTGAGCCCAAGAGTTTATAACTGGCATGGGTAACAGAGGGAGATCCTGTCTCTACAAAAAATTTAAAAAAAATTAGCCAGGCATAGTGGGATGTGCCTGTGGTCCCAGCTACTCAGGAGGCTGAGGTGGGAGGATCACTTGAGCCCAGGAATTTGAGGCTGCAGCGAGCCATGGTCACACCACTGCATTCCAGCCTGGGTGACAGAGCCAAAAAAAAAACTACACACACACACACACACACACACACACACACGTATACACACACGTATATATTTTATATAACTTAAAGTATCTCCAGTTATCTCAAAGGGATCTTAATTGTTTAAGTTGTTAATATGCAAAGCAAAATATTTACATTCAATTTCTTTTTTGTTGTTGTTTTTTTGAGATGAGTCTCACTCATTCAGTCACCCAGGCTGGAGTCAAGTGGCGGGATCTCAGCTCACTGCAACCTCCAGCTGCCTCCCAGGTTCAAGTGATTTTCCTGCCTCAGCCTCCTGAGTAGCTGGGATTACAGGCATGTGCCACCACGCCTGGCTAATTTTTGTATTTTTAGTAGAAATGGGGTTTTGCCATGTTGGCCAGGCTGGCCTTGAACTCTTGACCTCATGTAATCCACCTTGCCTCGACATCCCAAAGTGTTGGGATTACAGGTATGAGCCACTGCACCTGGCCTACATTCAATTTTTTTAATACTAATATAACACTTTTAGGAGAGGGGTATTAGAAAATCAAATCAATAGCAATTCATAAATAAAGAGTTGGAAATCACTGACCTTACCAGAAGGACTATGCTGGAGACATTTCCAAAGAAGGTTTTGCTCTTCTCTGAGAGAGGAGATCTTCAGAAATACACATTTAGAGACTAGATATACAAATTGGCTGTTTGATGGTCTTTATTTAAAGTGTATAAAGAGAAATTAAACTCTTCAACCTAATTGAGAAATAAATGTGCTTAGAAACGTCCAAAACATGAAAATACATGGCATGGGCAATACATAGCAAGGATATGTAACAAGAGAAGTGAGTTGTTTTCACTACTTGTATCTACCTTTTATTTGTTTTCATTTATTATTTCTGTGTATGTGCTTTTAAAAAATACCTTACGTAGGCCGGGTGTGGTGGCTCACGCCTGTAATCCCAGCACTTTGGGAGGCCAAGGCGGGTGGATCACGAGACCAGGAGTTCAAGACCAGCCTGACCAACATGGTGAAACCCCATCTCTACTAAAAATACAAAAAGTTAGCCAGGCGTGGTGGCAGGCGCCTGTAATCCCAGCTACTCAGGAGGCTGAGGCAGGAGAGTCGCTTGAACCCAGGAGGCGGAGATTGCAGTGAGCTGAGATCGCACCACTGCACTCCAGCCTGGGTGACAGAGTGAGAATCTGTCTCAAAAAAAAAAAAATACATCATGTAATTATGATCTAATTAAATTCTTCTTATCTGAGATCAATATAGGGCCTCTCATTGCACAATTACTTTAATTTATATTTATACGTTAGGAAGCAGATTAGACCATGTTGTATTGCAATGTGATGTGCTAGAAATTATTATACTACTTTTGCTTTAAAAAAGATATTTAACCTAAAATAAATTAGAATAAAAATCGTGTGCATTCTTGACAGCCAAAGAGTTCAAATGATATGCCATAAAATTAAAAGTTGTTAGTGACACTTGGTTTTAAAAGAATAACAGACTTTAAAAAAAAACAAAACTTAGAGCATTTTTAGTTTCACAGCAAAATTGAGAGGAAGGTACAGAGATATCCTACATACCCACTTTCTTCCACACATGCATAGCTTCCCCCATTATCAACGTCCCACACTGGAGTGGTACCTTTGTTACAACCAATGAGCATACAGTTACACATTATCATCCAAAATTCATGGTTTACAATAGAGTTTGCTGTTGGTGTTGTACATTTTATGGGTTTATACACATGTATAATGACATGTATCTACCATTATAGTATCATACGGAGTGTTTTCAGTGCCATAAAATCCTCTATGCTCTGACTGCTCATCTTTCCCTCCCCATTAACCCCCAGCAACCACTGACCTTTTTACTGTCTCTGTAGTTTTGTTTTTTTCCGGGATGTAATATAGTTGCAATCATACAGTATATAGCCTTTTCAGATTGGCTTCTTCCACTTAGTGATATGCATTTAAGATCCCCCCATGTCTTTTCATGGCTTGATAGCACATTTCTTTTTAGAGCTGAATATTTCATTGCACGGATGTACTACAGTTTATTTATCCATTCATCTAGTAAAGGACAACATGGTTGCTTCCAAGTTTGGGCAGTTATGAAGAAAGCTGCTAAAAACGTTCATGTTTAGGTTTTTGTGTAGAAAGGTGTTTTTAAGGAAAAAAATTAAGAGTCTGACTAGAGCATGTTTGTAGCCTCAGTACCAGCAGAAGTTAATTCCAGATAAAGAGTTAAATATAGAAAATAAATTTTGAATTTATCAAATTTTGAGTTGTATGTGTTCTGCAGTTTAGGTATATAAATTGGATTATCTTTATGAACCAAATATTTTTAGGCTTTGTAAATTGAAAAGGAATAAATATGGTGTTTTCCATCAATTTTAGCCTGTTCCCAGAACATTGACGTCTATACTAGAATGCCTGATTATTGCTCATTCAGTTGGAGTGGAAAGTCTTTTTGCTGACTGCATGAAGTAAGTTATGTTAAGTAGTGCTGATACTATTAATTTAGGGATTTTGTTTTTCTGTTCTTCTAATTTTGTGGGGAACTTTAGAGTTGGCCTGTTTTCTTGGACACAATGTAAGTAAGTAGCTTAGTGCTAAACTAGTTTCACCACTAAGTAGAATATTAATTTAGATATTACTCAAGTTACTTGGGATCATTTTATCTTAGCTGAACCATGGTTAATTATGTTAAAATCTGTGCACATGGATTTAAAATACATGTTTACAGGAAAGAGAATATAAAGTCCATTTTAGGGTTCATAAAATTAATAGTATTAGTCAGGTCATATATATGTACAGTTATGTAATTGAAAACCAAAATATTGACTATTATAATGAAAAACATCTTAATTTCTTTAACGTGGTATTCTTTTATTTTAACAGGTGGATTGTAAAGCATTTTGCAAGGTTTTGGTCTGAGAGAAGCTTTGCAAATATACCTCCTGAGATTCAGAAAAGTTGTCTTAATATGTTGATTCAGTCCTTAGTAAGTATAACCTGAATACTCTTTTGTGTGTTTGCCATTAAAAAGTTTATTCAATTTTGTATAGTACTTTCAGTGGTTGAAATATAAATGTAAAATATTGTAAAAGCAAGAGGCGTGAACCAATTCAGATAACCTAATCCTAAGATTCAGTTCCTTTGAAACCACTCTGCATACCCAGCTCATCAGTCAGGGTTGAAACAGAGAAGCAGAACCACTAGGATGTGTATATTGATTCATGAACAAAGCAGACATGGTGCCACAGAGAAAGGCTTATGCGTTGGCTCAGCAGTATTGACCCACTCACCCAGGTGGATCTGGGTACAACACTGAACTTCTCAATGGTACCATTCTTCAAGGGAATCAGCCATCTACCTGGTGGCAGGTTGATTACATTGGATCACTTCCATCCTGTAAAAGGCCGTGCTTTGTTCTCACTGAAAAAAACATTTGCTCTGGATAGTGATTTGCCTCCCTTGCTCATAATGTTTCTGCCGAAACCACCATCCATGAACTTACAGAATGCCTTATCCATTATCATGATATTCCACACAGCATCACTTCTGAATAAGGTACTCACTTACCAGCTAATAAAGTATAGAAATTGGGCCTTGCTCATGGAATTCACTGGTCTTAGAAAGATTCCAATCATCCTGAAGCAGCTGGCTTGATAGTATTGAGGAAAGGCCTTTGAAGACTCAGTTACAGTGCCAACTAGGTGGCAGTGCCCTGTGGGGCTGGGGGCAGTATCCTCCAGGATGCAATACATGCTGTAAATCAGATTTTGATTTATGCTATTTCTCCTCTAGCCAGGATTTATGGGCCTAAAAACCAAAGTTTGGAAATAGGTGTGGCACCACACACAATTACTCCTAGTGATTCAGTAGCAAAATTTTTGCTTCCTTTCCTCACAACTTTAGGCTCTGCTGATTTATAAGTCTTAATCCCCAAAAGAAGAATGTTTCCATGTGGGGACACAAGTATTGATTCTGTTGAACTGGAAGTTGAGACTGCCTTCCTGTAGCCACTGTAAACCCACTGGCAAAGAAGGGGAATTATTGATAGATTGAGCCTATCAAGAGGAAATTGAGTTGCTACTATACAATGTGGATAATGTAGAGACCATCTGGAATGCAGTACTCCCAGGCTCTATGAGTAAAATCAATAGAAAGCTATAAGAACCCAATTTGGGCAGTGCTGATGATTTTTCAGGAATAAAGTTTGGGCTACCCTTCCAGATAAGAAACTATGAACAGTGAAATACTTGCTGAGGGCAAAGGGAATATGGAGTGGTTAGTAGAAAAAGGTATGTAAAAATAACAGCTACAGCTACATGAGGAGTTATAGAAGTGAACACTGCAGTAGTTCTGATATAAACGTTCATATTCCTTCTTAATATGTTTGTCTATATATTAATCAAATATTTTTGTTTTCCTCCTACTGTCTCATTCCCCGTCATCTAATATAAGACATGTTAATAATAGTTAACTTTGTATCTACGTATTTAAGGTACAGATATCAAAGAAAACTGAATCAGATTGAAGAATGAACATCTCCTAAAAACAAAAAAAGGAACTCATATCCCCTCTTTTAGAAGGAAAGGGTTAGCATATTTGTTGTGTGGAGGGATAGTTGTATCATGTTAGATGGAAGCATGACTGTTACTTTCTCCATTTGGGAACTAAGTATGGTTTTAAGAGATGTATATAGTTGCCAGGTTGACAAGATGTTGACTCTGTAACATGTCAGTTTGACTAGGGTCAACTACACTTCGCAGAATTTCCTTCTTGTATGTTTCTAGTTAGAGTGGCCAAAAGAGACAATTTTGTGTGAAATTTGGAGGATGGGAGTGAAACAGCAGCTATTTTTGGCTTTTACACTAGGAAGGCTGGAACACTACTGCAATGTTCATTTACACTAGGAAAGTTATTTACTGGCTCACTGCAGCCAGATCTGTAACTGTTCTTCCTTGCCCTGTATCCTCCTTCAGCTTCTCTTACTCCGGGCCAGGTATATGTCTAGCTCCACAATGAAAGGCACCAGCATCTCCTGCAGGATACCCATAGCGTCCAGACTGGAGGCAGTAAGACTGACATGAGCCCATCCTTGTCAATTCCAGCTGATTCTCTTGGTGTCAGTTTGTTCTCACTCTCCCCAACATTACGTCCATCTTTCCTCTTCTCATCTGCCTGCCCTGTGGAATTCAAACTACACCATCAGATACAAAGGCTGTTTAAGCAGCCCCTACAGTTGTGTAAGGTCAACTCCCTGTAACAAATTTCTTTATACAATAAGTCTGCACCGATGTCATTGATGGGTCCTTGGAATCTTAGAATCTTGGAATCTAATTTGACGTTAAGCAAAACAATGTATAGCAAAACTAATTTTACTATAGACTAATGGATATGAACAAGAGTTAAGTTCCTATGGCATATTTCTGGTCACAAAAAGATCATCAGCCTTCTAGTAGAGACCCAAGACACTTCTTATATTGAATATTGAAATAATTGTGAGCTATACATACATTTCAGAAATATTAATAAAAACAAGATAAGTACCCAGTTTTTGGTGAATCTGTGAGTGGCAGTAATAGCAATGGTGGGTTAAATCAAGGAATAAATGTTTGCAAAGCAAAAATTGTAAAAAGCACCTCCTGCCACATGCAGTTCCAAAGCAATCACAAATGTGGCAGGTTCATGGAATGTTTTTATACTGCATCGCTTATTGTCATATATTTGTATGGTCACCATATACTTTATGAATTTTTACTTTACAATAATTTCTGTATTCATTCATTTTCCAACATGCTTTTTCTGGTTTCAGTTGTGGGTGGCTGGAGCCTGTCTGCAGCTAAGGACCCAAGGTTGGAACCAACCCTGGACAGGATACCATTCCAGCGCAGGGTGCACTCACAGCACAGAACACTCACTTATACTGGGACATTGTAGAGATGCCAGTTCACTAAATGTGCACATCTTTGGGATGTGGGAGGAAACTGGAGTGTCCAGAGAAAACCCATGCAGACATGGGGAAAACATGCAAACTCTACACAGACAATGGCCTGGCCAGGAATCCTTTTTTCCCTTATCAACATTATAATAAAACAACGGTAATCAAAATGACATTATTCACGAACCTCCTATGTATATATAAATACCTCCTAGTGGTCCCATGAACCCTGAAGGATAACATCAGACTGGGTTACATAGAAGATATGTCAAAATCTAACTGAGAAAATAAGTGTAAGATATCAGCTGGTGAGATACCACTACAAAAAGTAAATGTAAGGCTAGGCATGGTGGCTCGCGCCTGTAATCCCAGCACTTTGGGAGGACGAGGTGTGTGGATCACCTGAGGTCTGGAGTTCGAGACCACCTTGGTCAACATGGTGAAACCCCGAATCTACTAAAAATACAAAAAATTAGCTGGGCCTGGTGGTGCATGCCTGTAATCCCAGCTACTCGGGAGGCTGAGGCAGGAGAATCACTTGAACCCAGGAGGCAGAGGTTGCAGTAAGCTGGGATTGTGCCATTCCACCTCAGCCTAGGCAACAAGAACGAAACTGTCTCAAAAAAAAAAAAAAAAAGTAAATGTAAATCTGTGTTTTAGCTAATGAAGGACTGTGTTGTATTGTTGCTTACTGTTTTACATTAGTTTGTTGGTCAGTGAATAGTTAACAAATTATTGGCCCAGCTATAGTTCTGTTCAATAGAAGAGTCAGGTTCATTTCCTAATGTAGTAGTAGTACCAGTATTTTTTTTAAATTATTTTTTTTCAATAGCTTTTGGGATACATGCAGTTTTTGGTTACATGGGTGAGTTCTTTAGTGGTGAAGTCTGAGATTTTAGTGTACCCATCACCTGAACAATGTACACTGCACCCAATATATAGTCTTCTATCCTTCACACATTTTCCAACCTTCTCCCCTCCCTAAATCCCCAAAGTTCATTTTTTCACTGTGTATGTTTTTGCATTCTCATGGCTTAGCTCCCACTTATAAGTGAATGGAATATATACAGTATTTGGTTTTCCATTCCTGAATTATTTAGAATAATAGCCTCCAGCTCCATCCAAGTTGCTGCAAAAGACATTTCATTCCTTTTTATGGCTCAGTAGTATTACATGGTGTATATGTACCACATTTTCTTTATCCACTCAGTACCAATATTTAGTGGATTTTTTTAGACTTATAGAGCTCCACAAAATACTTTTTTTGTGAAATTTAGCATAAGACAGGTACTGTTGTCTCTACTTCACATATGAGAAAAGAGAATCAAAGAGTTAAGTGCCCTGTTCAAGTTCCCAAGACAGTAAAAGGCAAAACCTAGTCTTAAAACCAATTGCTACTATTCTAAATATAATATGATAAGTGCTCCATGTGAGCAAAGATTTTTTTTTTTAATGCGTGGGACTTGACTTCAAGAAACTCACAAATTGGTGGAAAAATAGGCATTTAAACAGCTAAGTAAAATACAGGTTAGACTATGATGAGTACAAGCATTAAGTTACATGTCAAATCTTTACCATTGTAGCCTCAGCCTTAGAACAGTGCCTAGCACATGTTAGCACTCAGTATGTATTGTCAAATAGGTAGGTAAGTGAATTGTATAACTTAGAATTCAGGTGTATACATAGAATCACACAGGTTAAATCTGACTGGAATAATAAGAGAATTAATTTGAAATGAACCTGGTTAGAGGACAATTTTAAAATAAGTAGGTTAGGGCATTCCTGAAAGACTAAAAATGTAACCAGGGATATGGAGACTAGGCAGTGTCAGTATTCTGCTGTAACTGGAATGAGAGAAGATGAGTCTGGGGACAGGCTAAAGATAGATTGGGAGGGATTTTAGCTGAGTATCTTGTTAACGAGTTTGATTTTTTTTTTTAAGCAAGTGGTAGGTATGTGATTTTAATTGAAGAATAAGCCCATCAAACTATGCCTCTCCCAATGCTATACTCTTTTATTTTGATTTTATAGCTGTAATTAGGTCCTTGTAAGCTTTGTGGTGAATACTTGACATTTTCTTTCAAGACAGATAAAAAGATAAACATCAGAACAGCCAAACATCCAGTCTGATCAATAGCCTCTGGCATCATGGGGATTAGTCTCAAAATTTGTCTTTGTGGATAATCAGGTTTTAAGAAACACTAATTTAACATATTTGTCATATTTTATTGTATAAGTAAAATATGTTTAGCTTTATTGATGGAAAACAGAGTATTTTAATTTTCTCAAAATTCGAAGTATGTTACCCAGAAAGAGCAAGCAGTCTTTTTTTTAGCAATAACCCCAGATTGGCCTTTTAGAAAATCTTATAATAGGTACATGCAATATTAATAGTGTTTTTTTTAAATAGTTCAAAATTGTTACATTTTTACACATTTGACACTAACTTAAAAAATGAATTTCATTTTAAAAAAATTTCTTGTGTGTTTGCATATCTCACAAAGCACTACTTATGACCATTTCTTCTTAATGTGACTTTTACCTGTGGGAAGTAGTTTATTTTATATATGAATTCTATCTGGCAATTCTAGTTCATTAGTATTACTTTCTATATATTATTCATCCTTTACTTATTTTATTTTATTTTGGAAAGAATATTTAACATGGTATCTATGCTCTTAACAAATTTTTAAGTGTACAATACAGTATTGTCAATTACAGGCACACAGTTGAACAGCTGATCTCTCATCTTTCGTAACTGAAACTTAATGCCCAATGATAGCAACTCCCCATTTTCCCCTTCCCCAGCTCCTGGCAACCACCATTCCATTCTCTGATTCTATGAGTTTGACTTGTAATGGAAGCATACAGTATTTGCCTTTTCTGTGACTGGCCTATTTCACTTAGGATAATGTCCTCAACATTCATCCATGTGGTCACATCTTACAGAATTTCCTTCTTTTTAAAGAATGAATAATGTTCTGCTATATGTATACACCACATTTTCTTTATCCATTTGTCTATTGGTGGACATTTAGGTTGCTTCCACATGTTGGCTATTGTAAATAGTGCTGCAGTGAACATGGTAGTGCTAATATTTCTTTGGGATCCTGATTTCAGTTCTTTTGAATGAATGCTGATGTGCTTTGGATGTTTGTCCTCTCCAAGTCTCATGTTGAAATGTAATCTCCAGTGTTGGAGGTGGGGCCTGGTGGGAGGGATTTGGGTCATGGGGGCAGATCCCTTATGAATGGTTTGGTGCCATCCCCATGGTGATGAGTGAGTTCTCACTCTAGTAGTTCACATGAGATCTGGTTGTTTGAGAAGGAGCCTGGAATCTCCCCACTCTGTCTCTTGCTCCCTCTCTCACCATGTGATGTGCCTGCTCCTCCGTTACCTTCCACTATGATTGTAAGCTTCCTGAGGCCCTCACCAGAAGCTGAACAGATGTGGGTGCCATGCTTGTACAGCCTGCAGGACCATGAGCTAATAAACCTCTTTTCCTTATAAATTACTTAGCCTGCAGTAGTCCTTTCATAGCAGTGCAAACAGGTTAACACAAATACCCAGAAGTAGGTTTTTGGATCATATGGTAGTTCTATTTTTAATTTTTTGAGGAACCTGCATACTGTTCTACATAGCAGCTGCACCATTTTGCATTCCTGCCAGCAGTGTACAAGTACTACCTATTCTCCACATCCTCACCAAAACTTGTTATCTTTTATTTTTTTGATCATAGCCATCCAAACAGATGTGCGGTGACATCCTATTGTGGTTTTAATTTGCATTTCCCTGATGATTAATGACATAGAACATCTTTTCATATACCTGTTGGCCATTTGTATGTCATCTTTGGTGAAATGTGTATTCAAGTCTTCAGCCAATTTTTAACAGTGTTATCAGATTTTTGCTATTAAATTGTAGGAGTTTCTTATATATTTTGGAATTAGCCCCTTATGACATGTATGGTTTGCAGTATTTTTCCCCATTCTGTAGATTTTTTCAATGTCTTGTTTTCTTTGCTGTATGGAGGCTTTTTAATTTGATGTAGTTTCACTCGTTTATGTTTGCTTTTATTGCTTGTCCTTTTGGTATCATATCTGTGAAATCATTACCAAGACCAATGTCATGAAGCTTTCTTCTAGGAGTTTTAGAGTTTCAGGTCTTAGGTAGAAGTCTTAAATCCATTTTGAGTTGATATTTGGGTATGTTGTACGATAAGGGTGAAATTGTATTCTTTTGCTTATGGATATCCAGTTTTCCCAGCACTGTTTGTTGAAGAGACTTTCCTGACCCATTGTGTATTCTTGGCACCTTTACTAAAGAGCAGTTTTATGTATGTGGATGTATTTCTGGGCTCTCTGTTCTGTTCCATTGATCTCTATGTCTGTCTTTAGGCCAGTACCACACTGTTTTAGTTACTACAGCTTTGTTATATATTTTGAAATCAGAAAATCAAAGTCACTCCAACTTTTTCCTTCTTAAGATTAATTTGGCTATTCAGGGTATTTTGTGGTTCCGTATGAATTTTAGAATTGTGTTTTCTATTTCTATAAAAAATGCAATCAAGATTTTGATAGAGATTGCATTGTATCCATAGATCACTTTGTGTAGTATGGACTTTTTAGCAACATTAAGTCTTCCAATCCATGAGTACTGCATGTCTTTCTGTTTGTCTTCTTTCATTTCTTTTTAAAATTTTTATCTGTCTAGCTGTTTATTTATGAGACAGGGTCTTGCTCTGTTGCCCAGGCTGGAATGCAGTGGCATGATCATAGCTCACTGCAACTTTGAACTCCTGGTCTCAAGTGATCCTCCTGCCTCAGCCTCCCAAGTAGCTGGGATTACAGGCATAAGCCACTGTGCCCAGCTGTGCCTTCTTTAATTTCTTTCAATGTTTTGTAGTTTTTAGCCAAGTCTTTCACCTTCTTAGATAAGTTTATTCTTAAGTATTTTACTCTTTGGTGCTATTGTAAATGGGATTGTTTTTCTAATTTCCTTTTCAGTCATTAATGTTGTTAGTTGAAATGCAACTGATTATTGTATGTTCATTTTGTAGCTTTCATCTTTACTGAATTTGTTTTAACAGTTTTTTGGTGAAGTGTTTAGAGTTTGCTATATATAAGATTATGTTATCTGCAAGCAGGGACAATTTTACTTCTTCCTTTACAGTTTGGATGCCTTATTATTTCTTCTTCATACCTGATTGTTCTGGTTAGGGCTTCCAGGACTATGTTGAATGGAAGTGGAGAGAATGAGCATCCTTGTCTTGTTCCTGATATTAACTTAAAAGTTTTCAGGGTAAACCTTGAGTATGATTCTAGCAGTGGGCTTGTGGCCTCTATTATGTTGAGATAATTTACTTCTATTCCTAACTTGTTGAGAGTTTTCAGTCATGAAAAGTAATTGAATCTTGTCAAATACTGTTTCTGCATTTACTGAGATAATCATTTGACTTCTGTCTATGCTGTTAATGATGTGGGTTGCATTAATTGATTTACATATGTTAAATCATCCTTGTATCCTAGGAATAAATACCACTAGTTGATGGTGAATTATCTTTATAATGTACTGTTGAATTCAGTGTGCCAGTGCTTTGTTGAGGATTTTAACATCTATGTTCATCAGGGATATTGGCCTATAATTTTTCTTTTCTTGTGGTATTCTTATGTGGCTTTGGTGTCAGAGTAGTGCTGGCCTTGTAAAATGAGGGAAATATTCCCTCCTCTTCAGTTTTTTGGAAGGGTGTGAGAAGGATTGGTATTAGGTCTTTCCTTTAACTAGCAGAATTCAGTAATGAAGCCATCAGTAGAATTCAGTAATGAAGCTATCAGTCCTGGACTTTTCTTTGATGGGAGACTTTTTATTACAGCTCAATCTCCTACACATTATCAGTCTGTTCAGATTTTCTATTTCTTCATGATTCAACCTTAATAGGTTGTATGTGTCTAGGAATTTATCCATTTCTTCTAGTTTACCTTGTTTATTGGCTTGTAATTGTTTATAACAGTCCCTTATGATCATTTTAATTTGTGTCATCTATTGTAATGCCTCCTCTTTCATTTTGGATTGTATAATATTTATTTGCATCTTCTCTGCTTTTTTTCTTAGTATAAAGGATTGTCAATTTTGTTTATCTTTTCAAAAAAGCAACTCAGTTTTGTTATTTTTAAAAAACTGTTTTTCTATCCTCTATTTCTGCTCTAATATTTATTTTTTTTTTTCGTTGGTTTGCTAACTTCAGGCTTAGTTTCTTTTTTTAGTTCCTTGAGGTATAATATAAAGTTTTTTTTTCAGATCATTTTGTTTTTAATGTAGGCACTTATTGCTATAAACTTTGCTCTTAGTTCTGCTTTTGCTACATCCCATAAGTTTTGGTATATTGTATTGTTGTTTTTGTTTGTTTCAAGATACCTTCTAATTTATCCTTTGATTCTTTTCTTTGACCCATTGGTTGTTCAAAAGTGTGTTAATTTCTACAATTTGTTTATTTTCTAGTCTTCTGTTGATTTCTACTTTTATTCCATTGTGTTCAGAAAAGATGCTTGGTATGATTTCAGTTGTCTTAATTTTGTTAAGACTTATTTTGTGACCGAACATGATAGATTCTGGAGAACATTTTGTGTGTGCTTAAGAAGAATGTATATTCTGCCCCTGTTGGTTGGAATGTTCTGTATAGGTATGTTAGGTCCATTTGGTGTATAGTGTTTTTGAAGTCCAGTATTTCTCCATTGATTTTCTGTCTGATGTATTCATTATTCTTATTTACTTATTTATTTATTTAGTTAACAGATGGAGTCTCACTTTGTCTCCCAGATTGGAGTTCAGTGGCACGATCATAGCTCACTACAGCCTCAAACTCCTGGGCTTAAGTGATCCTTCTGCCTTCCAAGTAGCTGGAACTACAGGCATGTGCCATCATCACTGGCTTTTTTTTTTTTTCTTGGTAGGGATAGGGTCTTGCTGTGTTGCCCAGGTTGGTCTCAAAATCCTGGCCACTCTTTTCCCAAGTGATCCTCCCATCTCAGCCTTCTGAGTTTCTGGGATTACAGGCACGAGCCACTGTGCCCAACATGTTGTATTCACTATTGAAAAGTTGTGTATTGAAAGTTCCTACTATCTTTGTATTGCTTTCTCTCTCTCTCTTCAGATCTATTAATACTTGCTTTATATATTTAGGTAATGTGATGCAGGGTGCATATATGTTTATAATTGTTGTATCTTCCTATCTTCCTGGCATATTCTTTTATCATTACATAATGTCTGTGTCTCTTGTGACAAGTTTTGACTTAAGGTCTATTTTGTTTGATATGGTATAGCCACTCTTACTCTTTTTATTACCATTGGTATGAAATATCTTTTTTTATTCCTTCACTTCCAGCCTAAATGTGTTGTTAAATCTAAAGTGAGTCTCTTGTAGACAGTATATCATTGGATCTTGTTTTTTAATCCACTTAGCTACTCTGTCTTTTGATTGGATAGTTTAATCTATTTATATTTTAAGTAATTATTGAGAGGAAAGGATTTACTATTGCCATTTTATTATTTTATGTTGTCTTATAGTTCTTTGGTCCCTCTTTTTATCTCCTGCTGTCTTTCTTTGTGCTTTATTTTCTTAATATTGATATACTAAATTTTTTTCTCTTTTTTGGTATAACTTCTATATGTATTTTGTTTATAATTACCATGGGACCTACATAAATATCTCATAGATATAACAGTCTATTTTAAGCTCAATCCACATACACAGAAACTCTACACTTCTCCCCCCACACATACACTCTGTTACTGATTTCACCATTTATATCTACCTATAGTACATATTCGTTAATATACTCTTTAGTTATAGTTATTTTTAATGCATTTATCTTTTAGCTTATATGCAAAAATTAAAAGTGATTAATTCAGTTGTAACAAATATACCACTCTAGTGTTGAATGTTGATAATGAGAGAGGCTGTGCATTGTGTGAGATCAGGGGGCTTATGGGAAATCTCTATACTTTCCTCTCAGTTTTGCTGTAAACCTAAAACCATGCTTAAAAAAATGAAAAAAAAAATTTAAGACAGGATCTCACTCTGTCACCCAAGCTGGAGTGCAGTGGCATGATCACAGCTCACTGCAGCCTTGACCTCCTGCCTCAGCCTCCCAAGTAGCTGAAACTATAGACATGTGCCATCACACGTGGCTAACTTTTGTATTTTTTGTAGAGAAATGGTTTCACCATGTTGCCTAGGCTTGCCTCAAACTCCTGGGCTCAAGCGATCTACCTAGTTCAGCTTCTGAAAGTGTTGGAATACAGGCATGAGCCACTGTGCCCAGCCAAAATCTTTAAGTGATTTATTCACTGCCATAAGTGATACAGTACTCTTCATAAGTGAATCATAAGTGATTCATTACTCTTCGTTTGTTTACATATATTTTTCTTTTCTTTCTTTCTTTCTTTTTTTTTTTTTCTGGAGATGAGGTCTTGCTCTGTCGCCTAGGCTGGAGTGCAGTGGCACAAACATGGCTCACTGCAGTCTCAGCTTCATAGGATCAACCAATCCTCTTGCTCCACAGCCTCCCAAGTAGCTGGGACTGCAGGTGCATGCCACCACAGCTAGCTAATTTTTTGTATTTTTTTGTAGAGACAGGGTTTTGCCATATTGCTCAGGCTGGTCTCGAACTCCTGAGCTCAAGTGATCTTCCCACCTTAGCCTCCCAAAGTGCCTGGATTACAGGCATGAGCCACCATGCCTGCCTTATATATTTTCCTTCACCAATGAGTTTCATATTTTCTTATGCTCTCATGTTGCTTTTTAATGTACTTTTGTTTCAACTTGAAGAATTCCCATTGGAACTCCTTTTAAGGCAGATCAACTGGTGATGAATTTTCTCGGCTTTTGTTTGTCTTTATCTTTGCCTCATTTTTGAAGGACAGTTTTGCCAGGTTTGGTATTCTTGGTCGGCAGGGTTTGTTTGTTTTTAAAAAGCACTTTGAATATATCATTGCACTCCCTTATTGCCTGCAAGGTTTCTGCTGGAAAATCTGCCTTTAGTCTTATAAACATTCTCTTGTACATAAGTTGCTTTTTTCTTGCTGCTTTCAAAATTTGCTCTTTTACTTTGGCAGTTTGATTATATGTCTCACTGTGGATTTCTTTGGATTCATCTTATTTGGGAGTACTTTGGGCTTCCTGGATGTGGATGTCTGTTTCTTTCTCCAGATTTGGGAAGTTTTCGGCCATTATTTCTTTTAATAAATTTTCTGACACTTTTTCTCCTTTCTCCTTTGGAACTTTAGTAATGTGTATATTGTCCCATAGTGCCTTAAACTTTCTTTACTATTTTTCATTCTTTGTGTTCTTCTGATTGAATAGTAATTTCAATGACCTTTGAATTTGCTTATTCTTTCTTCTCTTTGATCTAGTCTGCTGTTGAACACCTTTAAAGAATTTTTCAATTCAGTAATTGTATTCTTCAGCTCCATGATTTCTGTTTGGCACTTTTTAAATATTGTCTACCTCTTTGATGAAATTATTACTTTGTCATGCATTACTTTCCTGACCTTGGTGTGAACATCTTTATGATGATGATTTTGAATTCTCTGTGAGCTAAATCATATATCTCAATTTCATTTAGGCCAGTTTCTGGAGATTTATTTTGTTCTTTGGAACATATTTCTTTGTTCATTTTCCTTGACTCTCTTTGTATCTGCACATTTCTGCCTACAGCTACCTCTTCCAGTTCTCATGGACTGGCCTCATACAGGAGAAGACCCTTACTAATCAGCCCAGCCAGAGATTCAGGGCCTCTCAAACCTTCTTGCTAGTCCAACTCACTTTCTTTCTAGTGGCTTCCAAGCATCTAGAGTATCCTGGGTCCTATCAGTGCTCTGAGTCAAGTTCCTTGGTTAGCCCCCAGAAAAGTTAGGTCATTGGATACTCCTCTACACTCCTTCCTGCCCCAAGTAGAAGGCGGGATTTGGGGCTTTTCCAGCTCTTCACTCTCTACTGAGACAAGTGAAGGGGTTCTGGCAACTAGTCGCATGCAACATCATCTACCTTCTTTGTTCTCATTGGCCCTCAGATGGCTAAGACATGCTAGGTCCCATTAGGAGGAGATATGGTGACTACCAACCCAAATCACCATTTATGTTCTTTCCCAGGTAGCTAGAGTTTGCTGGGTCCCATCAGCACTCCAAGACTGCAAGACAGAAATCAGTCATCTAGGCAACCCCTGGAAAAGTTGGGATGTTTGACATATGGTCTAACTCTTTCCTTCCCCAGGGAGAAGCTGGGATCTTATGGTTTTCTTCCCAGTTGTACAGCTCTGTGCCAGGGGTAGGATTCTGGTGAGAGTGTGTCTCATATTTCCCTATCAGCTTCAAAGTGTCTGGTTTCATGCTCATCCTCAGTGCAGGAGCCTCTCAACTAGTTTCTCAATTTCTCACAAAGAGAATTTGTTAATTGTTGAATCAGTGTGTTCATGGGAGAAGGAGGGTTTAGGGCTTCCTATTCTGCCATCTTGCTGATGTCACTTCTCCTCAAGCAGTCTTCTTAAGCCTTCTTTAGTTCTAATTCAGTTCAACCACATGTGCCATGGAAGGTACTCTAATCCATCAAATATTTCTTTGTCATCAAGGGAGATATGAAAGTGCTGCTACATTAGAGTATAACATGGAGAATTTTTAAATATGTTTTAGTGTGAGGAACTTTAAATTTTTACCCTTCTTTGTCACCAAGTCAAAAGACAGATAACAGTTCATATGATATTTATAACACTAATTTTCCTAATATAGAGAGTTTCTACAAATTGATTTTTAAAAATCAAAGCGAAACATAGGATAGTATTAGATAGTTCACTAAGGAAGTACAGATACCTCTTAATTTGATGAGCAGATCCTGAACTTCATTTATTTAAGAGAAGTGGACGTGAGAACTACCATGTCAGACCATTTTCTACCTTTCAGAATGATGAAAATAAATTTTCACTGTGTTAGTAAGAGTATATGGGATAAATATTCTGATTTATTCCTGGGAAGGTCATAAATTAGCACAACTTTTTCTATGTTTCCTAAGCTTTTTATCTGTGACCCAGAATAAAAAGATGTTTTTTGTTTGTTTGTTTTGTTGTTGTTTTCATTGTAACCCAATACACTGACACATATAGAACAGAAACACAAGTTTCACAAAAGATCTCTTAGCCTTATTACATATGATGTACTGGTGTTTTCTATGTTTCTTCTTCCTTTTTTTGTCTTCCTCACCCACCCACCCCCTTCTTTCTTTTGTTTTCTAGTGCTGATTGTGAACCGCTAAATACATTTCTCTAGGTTGCTATGGAGGAATCTACCACTTGAAAAACAGTGCTCCATTGATTGTATATTGGCAGCGTTTTGGATACCCCTGGTGTCCCACCTCATAGCCTCTTGGCCCATGTTTGTACTCAAACTATTGCTGCAGCATCTAGCTGCACATGGATGTGATTCTGACAGCACTTTCCCTCAGCCACATCACATACACATCTTTCTCACTTTCTGTACTGAGGCTTCACTGCTACACCACATGAGATACCTGCAGCTCAGCAATTCTGAACCTGTGCAAACCTGGCAGTGAAAGAGAGTTCACATCCCTGAGGGCAAGCCTTGACCAATGGGAGATGAGAGCCAGTGGTTAATATTTCATTGTTCTGTCTGTTGGATGGATAATTCAAAGTATGTCCTTCATAGCTCTTCAGGAGGTCCCCAACAAGATTGAGTCCCAGTTGCCTACAATAGTGAATTCTATATTAGTGTTTTTCGAACTTTAATGTATCTACAAAACACTTGGGGGTCTTGTTTAAATGCAGATTCTAATTCAGTAAGTCAAGGGAGGATACAGAGATTGTGTATTTCTAACAGGCTCTGGCTAGCTGATGCCACTTTGAATAGCAGAGAGCTAGAAAATACACCCTTGAATTGGCTTTTCTTCCTTTCTTCCCTATTGCACTCTTCCAGCACCTCAGATCCCCCAGGATCACTTCACAAATAAACTGCATATAAGCCTGTTTCTCAGGCTCAATTTTTAGGCAGAACCCAGGTTAAGAGAAGTAGTATTGACCCAGCAATTCTACTTCTAGAAATGTATCTTGTAGATATTTTCACATATTTGTGAAATAATGTTATATACAAGGTAAGTCATTACGACATCATAGCAAAACTGGAAACAATGTAAATGTCTTTAAGTAGAGGACTGGTTAAATGACTTGTGATATATCTATATTATGGACTATGACATGGCTATTAAAACAAATATATATATATACACTGGTAAGAAAAATATTCAAGATGTGTGCTAAGTGTAAAAGGCAAGATACAGGGCCAGGCGCGGTGGCTCATGCCTGTAATCCCAGCACTTTGGGAGGCCAAGTCAGGCAGATCACGAGGTCAGGAGATCGAGACCATCCTGGCTAACACGGTGAAACCCCGTCTCTACTAAAAAATACAAAAAATTATCCGGGTGTGGTGGCAGGCACCTGTAATCCCAGCTACTTGGGAGGCTGAGGCAGGAGAATGGCGTGAACCCGGGAGGCGGAGCTTGCAGTGAGCCGAGATCACGCCACTGCACTCCAGCCTGGGCAACAGAGAGAGATTCTGTCTCAAAAAAAAAAAAAAAAAAAAAAAAAAAAAGGCAAGATACAGAGTACTGTGCATATTAATGCCTTCATTTGTATAAAATAAGAAAATTACATATATGTTTTGTTTGTATATGCATAAAATAACTGGAAAGATAAGGGAAAAAATAATATTGGTTGTAAAATGGATGGTTTGGGGACAGGAAGGAGAGGAAGACTTTTCCTAGAATGTCCTTTATACATTTGAAAATTTTTTTTTTTTTAGCAATAGCAAGGTTTATTGTTTATTGTGAAGAGCGAAAGGACAAAGCTTCCACAGTGTGGAAGGGGACCCGAGCAGATTGCCCTACATTTGAAATTTTTAAACTGTCGTTGTGTTAACTGTTGAATTAAAATTTAAGTGTTTGGTCTGAAAGTATTACTTCTGTTTCTTTGAATCTCGAGGTACTCTAACATTTAATGTTTATCATATATTCAGATGAGTATGGAATAAGATCATGTATCATCTATGTTATTTAACTATGTCCATATTGTAGTTTTCCAAGCTAAATTATGACAATTATACTCTATATCTGTGGTTTTTAAAAAAATGCTACTGTCAGAGCACATCACATTATGTATATAGTAAGCACTTTGTAGATACCTGCCAAATTTATTTAAATACCTTACATTTGGCTTCCCTACCAGAGCAGTGCCTGCAGTAGAACAAATTGAGCTTATTGTCTAAAACTCTTAGTAATTGTACAGTTACTCAGGAAGTCACTGGAAGAGGAAACGACAATGGTCCTAAAAATTAGACGAATTATAGCAAAGTATGACTTTTTAAAATTTTACTCAAAGCAGTGGGAGAATATAATACATTTTTAAAGGATTATTGGCTGGATGCAGTGGCTCACACTTGTAATCCCAGCACTTTGGGAGGCCGAGGTGGGAGGATCAGTTGAAGCCAAGAGTTCAAGACCAGCCTGGATAACATGGCAAGACTCCATCCCTACAAAATTTTTTAGAGCTGGGCGTGGTAGCTCACACCTGTAATCCCAGCATTTTGGGAGGCCAAGGCGGGTGGATCACTTGAAGCCAGGAGTTTCAGACCAACCTGACCAACATGGTGAAACCCCATCTCTACTAAAAATACAAAAAATTAGCTGGGCATGGTGGCGTGCACCTGTAATACCAGCTATTTGCATGACTGAGGCACAAAAATTGCTTGAACTGGGGAGGTGGAGGTTACAGTGAGCCGAGATTGCACCACTGCACCCCAGCCTGGGTGACAGAGCGAGACCCCGTTACGGCGAGCTGAGATCGCACCACTGCACTCCTGCCTGGGTGACAGAGCAAGACCCTGTTTCACATGGCGGGGTCTTGCTCTGTCCCCCAGGCTGGAGTGCAGTGGTGCGATCTTGGCTCACTGCAAGCTCTGCCTCCCGGGTTCATGCCATCCTTCTACCTCAGCTTCCCAAGTAGCTGGGACTACAGGTGCCCGCCACCACGCCCAGCTAATTTTTTATATTTTTGTAGTTTCACCGTGTTGACCAGGATGGTCTCAATCTCCTGACCTTGTGATCTGCCCACCTCAGCCTCCCAAAGTGCTGGGATTACAGGTGTGAGCCACCTCACCTGGCCAGTACTTTTTTTAAAAAAAATTAGCTGGGTGTGGTAGCATGCACCTGTGGTTTCAGCTACTTGAAAGGCTGAAGCAGGAGAATCACTTGATCTCAGGAGTTTGAGGCTGCAGTGAGCCATGTTCAAGCCACTACATTCCAGCCTGGGTGACAGAGCAAGACTTGTGTCAAAAAAAAAAAAAAAAGAATTATTAGTAAATGGTTAAAATTTTTAGTTTTGAAGTTGAAAGATTAAACTTGTTATCTTAGAGATTGACTGATAGACTCTGTCACCAATCATATTAAAAGATCAGCAAATAAATTTTAGTGTCTACTATGACCCAGTTTTATACTAGGCCCTGAGGATACATTGGTGAGCTAAAACAGAGGTAGTTTTACACTCATTGAACATACAGCCCAGTGAGGGAGACAGACATTAAATAGTAATGTTCATGTTTGATTAATTACAAATGAATTAAATGCTCTAACAAAAAGCAACAGATTTTCTTATAGTGTGTATAAAAGAAATCTGATGTAGATATATGGTATCAGGGAAGA
Source organism: Homo sapiens (assembly GCF_000001405.40). Taxonomy (NCBI): domain Eukaryota; kingdom Metazoa; phylum Chordata; class Mammalia; order Primates; family Hominidae; genus Homo; species Homo sapiens. The sequence goes on from NC_000001.11 coordinate 92,165,488, forward strand.
TGTAGTGCTTCTGGACCTAAAAAAAAAAAAAACAGAGGCTGTGCAGAGTCCACATCATGCTGTCCATGTTAGGTATTTCAGTCATTTCCAGATTTATCAATGATCTATTGCTGTGTAACAAACCACACCCAAACTTGGCAGCTTAAAACAACTCCACAATTCTGTGAGTTCACTGGGTGATTCTTCTGCTGGTCTTGCCTGTGGCGGCTGCATTCAGCTGGGGGCTGAGCTGGGGGGCTGGTCTTCCCTATTAGGCCTCTTTGGTCTGGTGGTCCCAGGATTCTCAGAAGGTAGACTGAAGCTGCAAGGCTTCTTGAGGCCTAGGCTCTAGAACTTGCACATCACCACTGTTGGTTAAGGCAAGTGAGAAGGCTAGTAGTCTAGATTCAAGACTGAGGAGATAGATTCCACCTCTTGGTGGATGGAATTTGTGGCCATATTTTTCAATTTACCAGTCTATCAAGTAACTAATTAATAAATAGTTATTTACTAAGCATTGTTTTAAGAACTGGAAATCAAACATGAATAAGAGACAGTAATATATAAGTTGCCTTTTTTCCTTTTCTGTGGAGTACATGGTATTTGCTCATTGTCATTCCATTTTCCATAGAGATCAATATTTGTGAATGTTTTTTTCCATAGTAATGAATGATGAAATGAATAAAATATAAACAGTAGAGTCTTAACCTAATTAGAGAAGAGGAGGAAAATCCCTGGGGATTATAAGTAATTTTTAGTCTTTCCAAATTTGCATAAAGAAACATATTTTGTAGTCAGAAAAGAATTAGTGCTATGCTGGTGTAGCCATGCAGTTATAAATGATATCTATAAGCACAAAAATTAATTTAGTAGTGATAATCTTAGGGAACTCAAATTTTTCTTTCTAGTTATTATCACTTTGCTATCAGGTTTATTTTAGCTACTTTTCTTTTCTTTCTTTTTTTTTTTTTTTTTTGAGATGGAGTCTTGCTCTGTCACCCAGGCCGGAGTGCAGTGGTGCGATCTCAGCTCACTGCAACCTCCGCCTCCTGAGTTCAAGCAACTCTCCTCCCTCAGCCTCCCGAGTAGCTGAGATTACAGGCATGCACCACCATGCCTGACTAATTTTTGTATTTTTAGTAGAAGTGGGTTTTCACCATGTTGGCCAGGCTGAGCTTGAACTCCTAACCTCAAGTGATCCACCCGCCTCAGCCTCCCAAAGTACTGGGATTATAGGAATGAGCCACTGTACCCCACCTCTTTTAGCTACCTTTTAAAGGTGGTTTCTTCCTAGCTCAAACTTTACCCTTTTGAATAATTCTGAATTAATGAATAAACATTATATGTAAAACTAATAACAAAGACATTAGCTACCTGGAATTTTGTTTTTGCAGGAAACATCCCATAACAACAAAAGTATTTGATTTGCTTAGAGAGTTATTTTATTAGCAGTAATAGCATCTAACTTTCCAATTTTTTTTTAAATCTAAGAATGATAAGAATGCTGCTTTTCTTCTGATGGAAAGTGACAGGCTAATCATCAGTTTACCCAGAGTGAAGTGGACGGAAGCAGCACTGACCATGGCGTCTCAGCTTCAAGAAAAATGTATTGCATTTATTGTAGACAACTTCTCCAAGATTATTCAGAGTGAAAATTTTGCTCTTCTTTTACAGGTACTATGCCTAAATTATATCCTATATTTAGTTCCATCTTTGTGTTCTGATTTCAATTATGTAAGAGCTTTTAAATGCAGGTTGCTTTTGATTAAATTAATGTGATTTAAATAAACTCCATAGCAGATGGCATGTTTACATAGGATTTAAGGCAGTGATGGACAGGATATTTGGCTCACAAGATGAGAAAGGCGAGAGGGACAGGTTTGAGTGCCCTGGCAAGGCACAGTGTAATTCTGGCCAACTCTAGCCCTCCCTCAGCAAGCCACATTTTAGAAACCAAAGTCATAAAGGTACTGTTTTGGCCAGTAATACAATTATGATCCATGCAGAATTCTCTGTCTTATTGGGAAGCTACTTTCTCTAAAATTATTCACAGAATAACTCCTATTGTTTATTTCTAGGTTCTGTATTTAGGGCTATGTTGGCTTTTAAAAACTGTGTGTCCAACATGGCACATGTATACATATGTAACAAACCTGCACGTTGTGCATATGCACCCTAGAACTTAAAGTATAATAAAAATAAATAAATAAAAATAAAAGCTGCGTGCATATGCATATATGCGAATTTTTTAACAAAGGGAAAAAATACGATTTCTGGTTGACTTCATACAGCTAGTTATAATGATCTGTTACGCCAGACTTTCACATTTCTTGTGCATTTTATATGTATTCCTCTTAAATATTAATTTCTGTGTTTTATAGTCACAAGCAATGAGCAGCACAGCCGATCTGTTGGACACAATTTTAAAAGCAATTGAAGAAAATATCACCACTGAAAATAGCTGCTCTCTTCTTATGGCTCTGGACACACTGCTGAACTCTGACAGTACAAAGGAAATGGTACTGAATGTAATGAAATTTATTAAAATAATGCAATATTTGAACTAAGATTTTTAGATGTATGTGCATTTTAAATGTTGCAGGGTCATTGAAGCTAGGCAGTGGATACCTAGGGGTGGATTAAGGTCTCTACTTTTGTATATGTTTGGAATTTTTTATAATACTAAATTTTAAAAATTCCGTTTGTCTCCAAATGGACTTCTTATAAAAGTTTAGAAATTGGCAGTTTGGCTGGGTAATTTTAAATTTAGTGTGATATTTAGCAACATTATTTGGCACAGCATAACTCTCGTATTTCTCCCTGGTCCTACAGTAAATTTTCTAGATATAAAATGTATATTTTAGATATAAATGTATATTTTAGAGTTTTTAATCATCAGTGTCTTTTATTTTTATAATCTTAATTTTTCTCTTCAAAAAATCATATTTTAAAATTAGGCTGGGAAGCAAAATTAAAATATTTATTTTTAAATACAATTAATCAGTGGCCATTAATTAGGTAATTACAAATTATTGGCATTCTGTATTTGTTCGACAAGAATGGTTTTTAAAATGTATCATATTTATTACTATTCCATAGAGCATTTGACCTTGTAATGTCATAGTTGATATGAAAAGGCTGTGGAAGGTGTTCATATCAAGGGCATTGGTGTTTTAAAATAACATTTGGTTGAAAAGATGAGATTTTTTAGCTTTGTGTTCATTTATAAAATTTTGTTATTAATAAGTCTTCATAAATAACATGTACCCAACGATCTTAAAAATCTAAATGATGACATCATTGATCTAGCTTAGGAGTAAGTAGATTCTGAAAGGAATAATGACTGGTTGCTATGACAATGTGGCTCTCACCAGCTGCTGATTTGTTGCTTGAACACAGGGTTTTACGTGCAAGATCCAGGCTCTGCGTGATAAGCTGTGGATCTTCCTGGTTCAGTCTTTCTATGCTGTTCGTCACACAGAAAGCTGGAAGCTGATGAGCACAGATGATCAACAGAAAATCCAAGCAGGTACGTTAGCCTTGAGATATTTCAATTCTTATGTAATGATCATTGTGACAGCAGATATTTTGAGGGCATTCTGATAAGTGAAAAGGTTAACATTTGTGTGCTTCTGTTGGATAATAGGATAACTGAAACTGGTGCTCATATGTTTAGGCAGTTTTAATAAATCATGCTTTTTAGCTGTTCTTAGAAAATGAAACTCATTTCCTTTATATATATATATGTTTCTAATCTTACTATACATTAGCAACAATGTTCTAGGCAAATTTGCTTACAAGCATTCTTGTGAAGAGATTAAAAGTGTAAGAAAATGTAACCCACATAGAACAGAGTATCGAACATACTTTTTCCTCCTTTTTAAATATGTTTTGTCATAAAGCTTTTCCATCTTTTTCATAAGACACCCTTTCTTGTGGTTTTGCCTGGAATAGATGGCTTTATTTCACAACTGATTGGTTCAATGATGTGGAGTGTGCTATTGCGGACTGTCCCTCAGGAGCTGCACAGTGGTCTGTGACATTTAATAGGTATCATCTGAAACATTAGCATTAAACAAAAGATGTATATTGCTCAGAACATGTGTTTAAAAAAAATATCAAAATAAAAATTTGAGGGTGTGGAACTGAAAATGTCTTCATGACTATTTTTGGGTTAAAGCAGGTGCCTTAGATAAAATATTGGCATATTCAGTGTGTATACTTTTTAAAACATTTTAAGAGACTGAATTTTATGAAGCAAACATTTTAGTACTGTAAACATGGAAGCCATGTCTGTTAAAATATATTTTGAGAATGCATAAATATTTAAATTCTTTAGTGGTATCATCAGAATAGGATCTGCTTTTACATTATAAGCATTACATGATAGTGTAGCTAGATGTGATATGAAGAGCACTTTTCAAAGAAATTCCATTATTTTAAACAAAAATTATGAGAAGAATCTCTTAGAAATTGGACATTTTTTTCCTTGTGACTATTTCTGTGCTGATTTTTAAATGATGGTTTATTTTTACAAAATTTATGTAATGTAAAGTAACAAGATAAGATCAGCATTCCTTCAGTAGGTGTCTTCAGCTCTCTTCCGATTAGTAGCAAACTTTGGTTTTCTCTATTTTAGAGGATTTCATAGTTAAGTTGAGCTTCTGTGTTCTTTAATTCTTCAAAGTGCTAATTAAAAATACATGTAAATACCCATATTTAAATAAAATGTTATTGGTAATCCAACTATCCAGCTAATCCAACAATCCTTTTTGAATTGTCAAAAAGGACTTTTCGTTCTGTTACATTATATCAGTGTAATAATAATGTTTTAATCTTAAATAAGTTGAATTATAATGAGTTCTGACTTATGCATAATTACTTCATTGGGAAACCCAGATAAAGGAATGGTTCTGGGTTGTCTGTTACTACATTTCGTATGTCATAGTTGAGTTACTGACCTTTGGGAGAAATTTTTTAGTTTAATTTCTTCCTGTGTATTATTGTGCAGAGTCATTTGCTTACTGCAAATCAGTCCTATAGTGCCATTTTCAGGATCCTGCTTTGTCTTATAGCACATATCCTATAGAATAGAGATCATGGAAGATGCATGGTAGTTACAGATAATTTAATGTATTTTTTATTAGCTGATTTAATAAAAATCAAATAATTTTCAGAGATTGTATATATTTCTTCAAAATATGTCTTAAATCCCAGTAACCTTCAAAAGAAATACATTTGCTAAACTATATTTGTAGCTCTCATATAATTATTCCAGCCTACATATTTTCCTGACATTCAAATTCTTATTTGAAGAGCATAGACATGAGTTCTGCAATAAATTCCCATATAAACCTAACTTATAAAATGAATTTTTATTTAATTATAAAAAGAATATTTTGAAGATTCTTATTTTATTTTCAGTAGAACCTTATTTTTTTATTTTCTCTTTCCTCCTTCCTCATTATATATCTGCAAAACCAGAAAATATTTTTAATTTCAAGAGTATTTTTACATTTAGTATAAACATTTTCTCATATTTAATAGCTTGTAGAATGTTACATTTGCTATAATCTGTAATTTTTTGTAATTTGGAGAACTAAATGAAACCAATTATCTAAAATGTCACAGTTTGAGAAAATTCTCATGTTTTTCTAAATGTATGAATCTTCTCTGTGAGATTGTACAGTTCTTATTTATTAATTTTAATAACATAAAACCTAGGGGCCAGAGAATAAGATAGAAAATGAGGTTCTTTTAAAAAAATTCTAAAATATAATAGGGAGTTGTTTTGTATACTAGATTGGTTTCAGGTTTATTAAGTTATTTCCATCAAAATATAACCTTTTTTCTACTGACATACTATTTTTCCTTTACTTCTAAGGTAATAATAATGTTCCTTATAAAAACAAATTGCTGTTTCTTTCTACAGCTGCATTTGACAAAGGTGATGATCGAAGACTTGGCAAAAAGCCTATATTCAGTAGCTCGCAGGTAAACTTTCTAAATTTTATAGGTACAAATGAAAAAGATAACAAATTATTTAAAGCTTATTATTTTATATTTCAGAAAAAGTTTTAAAAATCTATTCATTAATTGAAGCTATTTCTTAATGGAAAATTTTTCTTTTTCTAAATCAAGTGAACATTTAATAAATGTTTTAAAGTGAATTTTTTATATCCAGTTGGCACTGGAAGTATCTACCTTTTTCATTTCCTTGAAAACCTTTTTGGCAGCTAACGTATTAGAGCTATTTCAGTCTATTAGAAGTTGTTTAGAACTCTAGACCTAATTCAATGTCTGTTTTTCTAATTAGCCTACTTCTTAAAAAAGAAGATTTTAGGCTAGGCATGGTGGCTCACGCCTGTAATCCCAGCACTTTGGGAGGCCGAGGCGGATGGATCACCTGAGGTCAGGAGTTCGAGAGCAGCCAGGCCAACATGGTGAAACCCCATCTTTACTAAATACACAAAAATTAGCCAGGCATGGTGGTGCACACCTGTAATCCCAGCTACTCGGGAGGCTGAGGGAGGAGAATTGCTTGTACCCGGGAGGCAGAGGTTGCAGTGTGATGAGATTGCACCATTGCACTCCAGCCTGGGTGACAAGAGCGAAACTCCATCTCAAACAAAAAAAAAGATTTTAATTCACATAATGTATTTTTGGTGTTTTTGAAAAAAGCAATTAGTACTAAGAGTACAACTGTGTTTTACTTTAAAAGTTACTTGGTATACTTTTATGAGGTATCTAAAGTAGTTGAATTCTTAGAAGGTAGTATTGTGGTTGCTGAAAACTAGAGGGAGGGAGAAAGGGGGAGTTGTTCAATGAGTACAGAGTTTCCATTTTGCAAGATGAAAAGTTTTCTGTTGTGCAACGAAGTGCATGCAGCTAACATTACTACACTGTTACTGAAGTGTATTAAAGAGTACTTAAGTGTATTAAATGGTTAAGATGGTAGATTTCATGTTTTGTGTGTTGTTTGTTTGTTTTTGACCACCCACAAGGTTATTTGGTGTTTTTCTTATAACCTGAAATAAATTTGTCTTCCCAAAAATGTTATTAATTATGGTTAGGGTTCCTAGCTGACTTACAGATGTTCACTTAACCAATAATATATTCAAAGTACAAAATTATTCTAACCTCTGTGTGGTACAATGATAGACATACATTGAGAGTTCCAGTTTGGAATGCAATGAACGTATTGCCCTAGCAGAGTGGAATAGGAAATCCTTTTTTCTTCCTCATCAGCCAGTTGATAGGAACTAATGCAGCTCCAAGCCACAACTGAGAGTTGTCATGGCTTGAGGAAGAGGTCAAGCTCCAAATGTCTTGAGTGAGAAACTGGGAGACTGGAGTTTTTGCCAATTAACCTCTTAGGATTGTTTCCAAAGTGGGTTTCACAAGATACGAGCTCCATCTAGCATCAACTATAAGTTGGAGAGTAGCTACACACCATAGCTCCTCTTTTTATTTTTTGAGACGGAGTTTCGCTCTTGTTGCCCAGGCTGGAGTGCAATGGCATGATCTCGGCTCACCACAACCTCCGCCTCCCAGGTTCAAGCAGTTCTCCTCCCTCAGCCTCCCAAATAGCTGGGATTACAGGAATGTGCCACCATGCCTGCCTAATTTTGTATTTTTAGTAGAGATGGGGTTTCTCCATGTTGTTCAGGCTGGTCTCGAACTCCCGACCTCAGGTGATCTGCCCGCCTCGGCCTCCCAAAGTCCTGGGATTGCAGGCGTGAGCCACCACGCCCAACCCCATAGCAACTCTTTATAGACCGACGATGCATATTATACCTTGAAAGTGCTGAGAAACACTAAAGAATACTTTTGAATTGTTGCATCCAAAATTTTCCCCAATGTTATAGCTATGGAATACGACTAGGGTCCCGACAACCCTTTTAAAGCATATTATACGATTCCACAGAACATACTCTAGGAAATGGTGCACTAGGACATTTTTTTCTGTGTTCCCTGTTATCCCCGTGTTTTTTAAAGGCCCCCAGGAATTAGCCTACTTGCCTTCCTATCCCCTGCTACTCACCAGGCTTTTCTGCCTTCCTTGCCTTACTGCAGAATAGAACAAAGTTTCATTATTTTTCCTCATCCTCCTGACTTTGTGGTTGTCTAAGTCTTTTTTCTGTTAAGAACAATGGGAAGGAAGGAAGTTTCCCCCAGAAAGACAGTGATATGCTGAAATGGATGCTGGACACAAAATCAAAAGAGTTCAAATTTTGGCTTTGCATTTATTATGTGTCATCTGTGAGTCTTAGTTTGCTTATTTATAAAATGGAGTAATAAAACCTAGCAGGATTATTGTGAAAATTAGGTGAAATAATTTATGTGCAATTATCTGGTATGTAGTAAGTGCTCAATAAATGTGGAGCAAATAAATGTGTTTTCCAAACAGGGATGAGCTATCTAGGAGGTGGGAGAAAGTTAATCAGATAAGACAGGGAAAGAGGTTTTTTGTTTGTTTGTTTTGTTGTGGTGGTGGTTGTTGTTGCCTGCTTCATTTTTCCTTCATAGAGCGATTTAAGAAGAATGCTTAGTACCAAAATACTTAAGGATAAAATATATGATATCTGGGATTTGCTTCAAAATAAAATGGGGGTGGGTGTGTATGAAATAAAATTGGAATTAATAATGAATTAATAATTTTTAGAGCTGGCTATTAGGTACGTGAGGATTCATTATACTCTTCTGTCCTCTTATGATTATGTTTAATTTTTCCTATTTTTTGAGACAGGGTCTCACTCTGTCACCCAGGCTGGAGTGGAGTGACACAATCACAACTCACTGCAGCCCTGACCTTCTGGGCTCAAGGGATCCTTCCACCTCTGCTTCCTGAATAGCAGGCATAGGCCCAAGCTACCATGCCTGGCTAATGTTTGTATTTTTTTTTGTAGAGGCGGGGTTTTGCCATGTTGCCTAGGCTGGTCTCAAACTCCTGGGCTCAAGCAATCCGCACCTGGCCTATTGTGAAATTTTTCAAGGCATACAGCTATACCATATACTATATAGATTTCACCCATAGCGTAATACTTCAAGATGCATAAATTCAAGGATAGAATAAATTAAGTAGATTCAGTGTTAAGGGTGGGAAGGAGTTCTAAAAGCAGAAGTCAGCCTGGTTTTAGGTATTAAAAATAGAGAAATGTTTTTTTTTTGAGCTAAGATTTGAGCAAGAAAACAAAAAATGAGGACCAAGCCTATCTGAACGTTTTAAATGTTAGAATCCTAGAAGACTGCTGTGAATAGGACCAGTCTCTACGCTGTGGACAGGCATAAGCTGAGACCCAAAGCTGTTAATAATTTCTGAAATGTCCCAGGCTGGTTAGAAGCAAAACTAGGACAAGAATCTAGTGGTTGTTTTATCACCGTGCTTTCCTTTTTTCTAAATTTAACCAAGTTATTTATTGTGTATTTTTTTGTGTGCACCCACATTCATATATGTTATTTTATCTTTGACAGCTTTTAATGTAATTGGAAGCTTTTCATATTTAAAAATAGACCTTAAACTGCATATCAAAATATGCAATATATGCCCAGCATTAACAACATTGATTACGTTTTTTGTTTGTTTGTTTTTTGAGTATCCAATATGTGACATGGTGCCGAGGGATACAAAAGATGAAGAGAGCACAGGCTCTGCCTCAGACCTCTACAATCTCATACAGCTTCCAAAGGAAAAAAAAAACCGTTTGCATACTTACATAAAGAATGACAATAGGACGGGCGCGGTGGCTCACACCTGTAATCCCAGCACTTTAGGAGGCTGAGGTGGGTGGATCACGAGGTCAAGAGATCAAGACCATCCTGGCCAACATGGTGAAACCCCGTCTCTACTAAAAATACAAAAATTAGCTGGGCATGGTGGCGCATGCCTGTAGTCCCAGCTACTCGGGAGGCTGAGGCAGGGGAATTGCTTGAACCTGGGAGGCGGAGGTTGCAGTGAGCTGAAATCGTGCCACTGTACTCCAGCCTGGCAACAGAGCAAGACTCCATCTCAAAAAAAAAAAAAAAAAAAAAAGAATGACAATATTGGCCGGGCACAGTGGCTCATGCCTGTGATCCTAGCACTTTGGGAGGCCGAGGCGGGTGGATTGCCTGAGCTCAGGAGTTCAAGATCAGCCTGGGCAACACGGTGAAACCCTCTCTCTACTAAAATACAAAAAAATTAGCCAAGTGTGGTGGCATGTGCCTATAGTCCCAGCTACTCAGGAGGCTGAGGCAGGAGATTGCTTGAACCCAGGAGGCAGAAGTTGCAGTGAGCCAAGACTGGGCCACTGCACTCCAGCCTGGGTGACAGAGCAAGACTCTGTCTCAAAAAAGAAAGAAAAAAGAAAGAAAAAAAAGAATGACAATATGATCTTAAAATATTATCCTAGAATTTCTACCAACTTAAAAATTTTCTTTGTTCCCTTTCATATCAAGGTTGGTTCTAAGGAAAATGATGAAGTAGGTATGTTTATCTTCAGTGCCATTTTATTTGTCCCTTTTTAGCCTATTTCAGCTATTTTTAGGATCCCTTTTCCTTCGCTTCCTATAGCCAGCCAGTGCTATACTAGTATCTTATTTGTCCAAAAACCAAGCTTTGCAGATGTAGTGTATTGATGTGCTGTGCTTCCTAGGAGCTTTTAAAAAAAAATTTTTTTAAATAAGGACTCCAAGAAGTAAAGGATTCTTCCCACAGAGGATTAAGTCTTTAATGATAAAATTTCTGGCACTTGGAATAAGGTTGAAGAGAGAATTTTTATTGAAAATCTTTATAATGTCCCTCAAATTATGCTATATAGATGACTTCGGTGTGAGGTTAAAAAATGAGCTCAAGTCCTGATTCCATCCCTCATCAGCCTGAGACCTGGGGTAAATCACATACCTACTTTAATCCTCAATTTCTTGTCTAAGAAATAGAAACAGCCACAGGAGCTAGTTCATGGGACTGTTGTGAGGATTAAGTGGGATGATGTATACAAAAGATGTAGTATAAAACATGGGAGTAAGCCTTCTAAAAAATCATGGATATTATCATTCCTCAGGGCATCCTGAATCTTTATAGACATTAATCTCTATCAAAACTTCATACATTAAAAAAGCCTTCCTTTTATTTATTTATTTACTTTAATAGATAGAATAGCATGCCTTTAAAATAAACACTTATGCTGTATTTCAGATTTGATTACGGTAATCTAAGACAAAGTTTTGATCCAAATGATCAAAGACAGTTCAAGCTTTGACCTTAAATCATAATATGAACTTTTCTATTTTTTTTCTTTGAAAGACTGGCTTTTGGAAACATAAAATATTATATGTTAAAGATTTCAGTCAAATTACAAAGTATTTTTTTTCTTTTTTATAGCAAAGGAAACAAGTTTCTGACTCTGGTGATATAAAAATCAAATCTTGGAGGGGAAATAACAAGAAAGAGTGTTGGAGTTATCTCTCTACTAATAAAAAGATGAAATCTGATGGATTAGGAGCATCTGGACATTCGTCAAGTACCAATAGAAATAGTATAAATAAAACTCTGAAGCAAGATGATGTAAAGGAAAAAGATGGTACAAAAATAGCATCTAAGATTACAAAAGAACTAAAAACTGGGGGAAAAAATGTTTCTGGAAAGCCCAAAACTGTAACAAAATCCAAAACAGAAAATGGTGATAAGGCACGGTTGGAAAACATGTCACCTAGACAAGTTGTAGAAAGATCAGCAACAGCAGCAGCAGCAGCAACTGGACAGAAGAATTTACTAAATGGAAAAGGAGTGAGAAATCAGGAAGGGCAAATTTCAGGTGCCAGACCCAAGGTACTCACAGGAAACTTAAATGTGCAAGCCAAAGCAAAGCCTTTGAAGAAAGCTACAGGGAAGGATTCACCATGCCTCAGCATCGCAGGACCCTCCAGCAGATCCACAGATTCAAGTATGGAATTCTCAATTTCCACTGAATGTCTGGATGAACCGAAAGAAAATGGATCAACAGAAGAAGAAAAGCCTTCTGGACATAAACTATCCTTTTGTGATTCTCCAGGACAGATGATGAAAAACAGTGTAGATAGTGTCAAAAATTCCACTGTAGGTGGGTTTTAGCACTGTAATTTTTAATATCTCCTGACAGTTAAATTTCCTTCAAAAAACAAAAACCTAAACCTGTATTTGGGCTTTTATTTAGTTTCAGATGCCAACAGAATACTTATGTATATGTACTTATGCAAACAGAGAAAATGGTAGTCCTTCCCACTTTAATATTTCATTTTGTTTATAGTGTCTAACCAGTAAACTTACACGTTTGTTACATATTTAATGTATTCTCTCTTATGACTCACTTTTTCTTAATTTATAGCCATAAAATCTCGACCTGTTTCAAGAGTTACCAATGGAACTTCCAATAAAAAAAGTATTCATGAACAAGACACTAATGTAAATAACAGGTAGGTCTTCATTCAGTGTTTTAACCTATCTGTTAGCTTTCTCTCAAAGTTAATTATATACTAACTGCTAGCTAAATATTTTTAAAATATCTTTTATTTTTTGTTAATGTATTTACATAATATTTTAACACAGTTTTTTATTTATTAAAAGAAATTAGTATATGCAAAATGATTGAGGCACAATATTTAAAAGAATATATTAATGTGTACTATGGCATATGATTATACCTTGCTTTATTATACTTGATCTACAGTTTTATAAACTTAAAAAGACTTATGAGCATATGATTTTTCTATTTTCAGGAGAGATGTATTTTTTATTTCTTGAAAAAAACTGTTTCAGGTATTGGTCTTTTAAAAAGTTCATGTTTTGGAATCTAAGTGTAATACTGAATGCAAATAATTTTTTTTAGTGTACTAAAGAAAGTCAGTGGCAAAGGATGTAGTGAGCCAGTACCACAGGCAATTTTGAAGAAAAGAGGAACTAGCAATGGATGTACTGCAGCTCAGCAGAGGACAAAGAGTACCCCATCTAATCTTACTAAAACTCAAGGTAAAGCTGAAATAGTACTGGATATCTTGAAATTATTTCCTTGTGTAAACTGGATAAGCCAAACTCTGATTTGCAACTTCAGTAGCAAATAAGCAAAATATGGTTTTACTCATTTTATGTTTGTTTCACACCATAGAGATGAGATTGTAAACTTTTACTTTTCAGACAGGTGTTTTGGGATGTAGGTTTGGTTTTTGTTGTTCTGTTGTTGTTATTGTTGAGACAGGGTCTTGCTCTGTCACCCAGGCTGGAGTACAGTGGCATGATCACACTGCAGTCCTCCTTCCTCTGCCTCCCAAAGTGCTGGGATTACAGGCATGAGTCAACACACCTGGCCTCTGTTTGGTTTTCATTGTCTTTTGTGAGAGAAATAATTAAGGGAGTCACTAATTTATCTGCATTTCTGGTCCTTTTAAATATTATGCCCATGTTTCTTGAAAGTTCCATTGATAATTATAGGAATTTCATTTGTAAAACTGGCACTAAAGAGCTCTATAAAAAGTAATAGTGCAGGCTAGGCGCGGTGGCTCACGCCTGTAATCCAAGCACTTTGGGAGGCCAAGGCGGGTGGATCACCTGAGGTCAGGAGTTCAAGACCAGCCTGACCAATATGGTGAAACCCCATCTCTACTAAAAACACAAAAATTAGCCAGGTGTGGTGGTGTGTGCTTGTTGTCCCAGCTACTTGGGAGGCTGAGACAGGAGAACTGCTTGAACCTGGGAGGCGGAGGTTGCAGTCAGCTGAGATCTTGCCTCTATACTCCAGGCTGGGCGACAGAGCGAGACTCTATCTCAAAAAAAAAAAAAAAATTGATAATGATAATAATAGTGCAGTCTAAACAACTATAATACATAAGGAGGAAGAATTTCCCTTCCAGAATCTGTGTGAGTCCATTGTTTTTCAGTGTTCTGAAAACGAAAAGAGTACTGATCAGATTGCATAATTTGCTAAAATAATAACCAATTTTCAAAATTGCTTTTATGTATCAAGCATTAACATATGTAAAAGCAGTTCTTAAAATGCTAAAAACAGTTTTGATTTAGATTATGAATTATTACTGAAAATCAATTAAAAATAAGGTAGAGAAAACATTTTCATATCCTAGTAATAACTAAATGTTAAACATTTTAAAATATTTGATAATTCTGTTTGGCAGATTTGAATGTCCAAAATATCATCTCTAAGACTTTCACCAGTATAAACAAATGGATTCCCCAAATTAATCCCCTTCTTTCCAGTCAGCAGTTTTAGTTTCCACTGGAGATCTAAGTTGTTAATCCTAATGAGCTACAGTAATAATAATCTGGTTATGACAAGTAAATTGGTTTTATTCATGTTTGAAGAAAACAACTGCAACAATTTTAACAGTTCTATTTATTTTATATTTAGCTTGATTCTCCTTTTCAGCTATGTAGAGCACACTATTTTTTTTTCTCCAAAAACTTCAAAGGGAAGACCTTTCTTGCTCCTTTGATAAAAGAAAATCCGATTTTTTCACCCTCATATATTTTTGCAAATCCAGTTTTGGCATAAAAATCAAGTCTGTTTACTTGAGGAAGAGAGATCCTATTTTAGTAATTTTTACTGGGACCCTGGAGTAGTCCCTCTATATTTTTAATTGAAAAAATTTTTTTATTTTATCATGTAACTGATTCCTAATCTGTGCTTGTCCATTTGATCATAGATATGTTACCCTTCCATTGTGTTCTTGATTTTATTTTTTCTGAAGTAATTTTAAAACAAATTACTAAATTTTACTCACAAATTGGAGGTGATATTACATTACTGAATATACCCTCTTACTTTTCTTAGGATCCCAAGGAGAGTCACCAAACTCAGTAAAATCTTCAGTCTCTTCAAGGCAGTCTGATGAAAATGTGGCAAAGTTGGACCACAATACAACTACAGAGAAACAAGCACCTAAGAGAAAAATGGTCAAGCAAGTACACACAGCTTTGCCTAAGGTTAATGCAAAAATAGTGGCAATGCCTAAAAATCTAAATCAGTCAAAGAAAGGTGAAACTTTGAATAATAAAGATTCAAAACAGAAAATGCCTCCTGGACAGGTTATATCAAAAACTCAGCCTTCCTCCCAAAGACCTTTAAAACATGAAACATCTACTGTCCAAAAAAGTATGTTTCATGATGTGCGTGATAATAACAACAAGGACAGTGTTTCTGAACAGAAGCCTCACAAACCTCTCATTAATCTTGCATCTGAAATAAGTGATGCAGAAGCACTCCAGTCATCCTGCAGGCCTGACCCACAAAAGCCATTAAACGATCAAGAAAAAGAGAAGTTGGCGTTAGAATGCCAAAATATTTCAAAGCTGGATAAATCATTAAAACACGAACTGGAATCAAAACAGATTTGTTTAGATAAAAGTGAAACAAAATTTCCCAATCACAAAGAAACAGATGATTGCGATGCAGCTAACATATGTTGTCATTCTGTTGGGAGTGATAATGTAAATTCAAAATTTTATAGCACCACAGCCCTAAAATACATGGTTTCAAATCCAAATGAAAACTCCTTGAACTCTAATCCAGTTTGTGATTTAGACTCAACAAGTGCAGGGCAAATCCATTTGATATCAGATAGGGAGAACCAAGTAGGGAGAAAAGATACAAACAAACAATCAAGTATTAAATGTGTGGAAGATGTTTCACTGTGTAATCCTGAAAGGACAAATGGTACCTTAAATTCTGCTCAAGAAGACAAAAAATCGAAAGTTCCTGTGGAAGGACTGACAATTCCTAGTAAGTTGTCAGATGAATCTGCTATGGATGAAGACAAACATGCTACAGCAGACTCAGATGTATCTTCCAAGTGTTTTTCGGGACAGCTATCAGAAAAAAATTCTCCTAAAAATATGGAAACATCAGAATCTCCAGAGAGCCATGAAACTCCAGAAACTCCATTTGTGGGTCACTGGAATTTGAGTACTGGTGTTCTGCATCAGCGAGAGAGTCCTGAATCTGACACTGGCAGTGCTACCACCTCCTCCGATGACATAAAGCCCAGATCTGAAGACTATGATGCTGGAGGGTCTCAGGATGATGATGGGTCAAATGACAGAGGTATCTCTAAATGTGGCACTATGCTGTGCCATGATTTTCTTGGAAGAAGTAGCAGTGATACCAGTACTCCTGAAGAATTAAAAATTTATGATAGTAATTTAAGAATTGAAGTAAAAATGAAAAAGCAAAGTAATAATGATCTTTTCCAAGTTAATTCAACGAGTGATGATGAAATCCCTAGGAAAAGGCCAGAAATTTGGTCTCGATCTGCAATAGTTCACTCTAGGGAAAGAGAAAATATTCCACGAGGCAGTGTCCAGTTTGCTCAGGAAATAGATCAGGTATCTTCTTCAGCAGATGAAACAGAAGATGAAAGATCTGAAGCTGAAAACGTTGCAGAAAATTTCTCTATATCTAACCCAGCTCCTCAGCAGTTTCAGGGAATAATTAATTTAGCTTTTGAAGATGCAACTGAAAATGAATGTCGTGAATTTTCTGCAACTAAAAAGTTTAAAAGGTCAGTTTTACTTTCAGTCGATGAATGTGAAGAGCTGGGATCAGATGAAGGAGAAGTCCATACTCCCTTTCAGGCTTCTGTAGATTCTTTTTCACCTTCTGATGTTTTTGATGGCATTTCTCATGAACATCATGGAAGGACCTGCTATTCCAGATTCTCACGAGAAAGTGAAGATAATATTTTAGAATGTAAACAAAATAAAGGCAATAGTGTATGTAAAAATGAAAGCACTGTCTTGGATCTTAGTAGCATTGACTCTTCAAGAAAAAATAAACAGAGTGTTTCAGCCACAGAAAAAAAGAACACAATAGACGTCCTATCCAGTAGAAGCAGACAGCTTCTTCGAGAAGATAAAAAAGTAAACAATGGAAGCAATGTGGAAAATGACATTCAGCAACGCAGCAAATTCTTGGATAGTGATGTAAAATCTCAAGAAAGACCATGTCACTTGGATCTTCATCAAAGAGAACCCAATTCTGACATACCAAAGAACAGCTCTACAAAATCTCTAGACTCCTTTCGGAGTCAAGTTCTGCCTCAGGAAGGTCCAGTGAAAGAGAGCCATTCTACAACTACTGAAAAAGCTAATATTGCTTTATCTGCAGGTAATGTACAGAAATAGAAATGCTAAATGCATAAGAAAATAAGTTTATAAAATTTTAAAGTTGTATGAAGCCCTGAATGTTATATTTTAGTCAGATAGAATAATTACTTAAGCAACAGATTAAAATTTTAAATGAAAAATGTCTTAATATGAAAATTACTCATTCTTTATTGTTCACTTAAAATCCTAATGAAGAAGTAATATCTAGTAAAAATTTTGATTGTTATATAGAGCTAACCTACTAAGAGATTTTAAATGAAAGAATAAAAAGAAAAACTTAGTTTGCTGCTATTTAGTTATTTATGTATAATTTAACACAAGAATTCTTGACTATTAGAAATTTTATTATACATTGGATATGATTTATAGACTTGATAGTATATAAGAGGCCTGTGCAATAACTCTAGTAATATGTAACTAAAAGCACTGAACTATTTTAACAACTAGATTGATTATTACAATTTATATACATTTTACAGAGATTAAAATTTTCAGGATCTGTCTATTCTAAAGTTTTCAAATAAAAAGATAAATTTCCTAAGAGATTATATTTAGAAGCAATGATAATATATGAAAAAAGCCCAGGCTTATTTCATATTGTTTAGATGATTTTCTGTCTAATTGTTTTGTGTTTTTTGTCTTCCTTATTATAGTAATTCAGACTAATGACCCACATTTAAAATATGCAATAGTGGCTGACTGAGTAGCTATTGTGTATTATAACTAAGAAAAATACTGATCAGTAGTTTCCTGTTCAGCAAAATCGGAAGAATAAGGAGGTCTTTAAAGTTGTACTTTTTCGTTTGTTTGTCCTTGCTTGCATCTTCCTTTGCATGTGCAATATACAAATAAGCCTTTAGGTGAAATGTATTTATCCCTGCCTTTTGCAACGGACTTACCCTAAAAGTCATCATCAAAACACTATGTCTTTTTTTTTTCTCTTTTTCTATTGTAGTGAATTAGATATATGTGCACATTCTATGTTTATGTTTAAATGATTTATGTTTTCTGTATCACAAGTTTTCAAATTAAAGTATGGAGAATTATTGTTAGTTGCCTATGTTGATTTTGCTTCTAAACATTACCCTTGAATTTTAAACACATAAAAATGCCTCAAAAATCTTGTCAATTTTGTATAGAAGTTATTTTTCCCATTCTGTGTTTTTTTTTTTTTTTGACTATCACTGTTATATTGTGTTAATATTCTACAAAACTCTGAGGGTACCAACGTGCAATTTTTACATTGTGTAGTATTATGAATTATTTCAGGAGACATAGATGATTGTGACACACTGGCACAAACCCGCATGTATGACCATCGGCCTTCAAAAACCCTGTCTCCAATATATGAGATGGATGTAATAGAAGCATTTGAGCAGAAAGTGGAATCAGAAACACATGTTACAGATATGGATTTTGAAGATGACCAACATTTTGCAAAACAAGATTGGACACTACTAAAGCAACTGCTCTCTGAACAGGATTCAAACTTAGATGTTACAAATTCCGTTCCTGAAGACTTAAGTTTAGCACAGTATCTAATCAATCAGACACTACTTTTAGCACGAGATAGCTCAAAACCTCAGGGTATAACACATATTGACACTTTGAACAGATGGAGTGAACTAACATCTCCACTTGATTCCTCAGCGAGCATCACCATGGCTAGTTTTTCCTCTGAAGATTGTTCGCCTCAAGGCGAGTGGACAATTCTGGAACTGGAAACTCAGCATTAAGTGTTAACATTTTGGAAAAATTTATGCCACTCCTTTATTTTTTGATGCCTATATTATATCCAAATGATAATTGCATTAGCCGGATATAAACTTTCTTTAATATTGAGTCTTTCCAATTTAATGAGGTAAACATAGTTTATTTATTAATATATCACATATAGAAAAATGTTTTTCTAAAGTTTTTGAGCATGTTTTCTCTAATTATTAGAGAAATTAGAAGACTTATAAGGAAACCCTAGCTTCAGTTTTCCTTTCCTAGCTGATGATTTGTTCACTTAATCATTATTCAAGAATTTAAAATGTGAATGCAGAAGTAGATCAGTCCCTTTACTTTTTGCTCTGCATAGGGTAACATAGTAATTTAACAATAAAAACTTACCGTGCTTGTGTCCATTCATGTAGAGTTTTCTGTGACTAACATTCAAACTCACATTTAGGTGATTGAGGCTGATAGCTGAGTGCTGGGGAAAATCTTAGCTTTCCCAACAATTCAGGCCCAGGAAATTCTGAAGCAAGTACATCTCAAATTTCAACCACATCATTACTAAAACAAGAGAAATGGAATTTCCTGTCTCTCTCTTTTGGGGATATATCCACAGAAGGGAATCTGCCCTTGTTCAAAAGCATAGACTTCCTTTACAGGTAGTCACTCATTCTCCATTTTCCATTCCATGTTAGGGATATGTTGGAACTGCACCTGCAATAAGCCAGCACTAAATATAAACTTGAAAATGAGTATATAAGGCAATTGAGTTACGGAGTTTAAATTGTGTGTATGTGTATGTATGTGCACACACACGTTTGCTTTCTTGGTGTGTCATTAGACACCAGTTCCTTATTTCCTGGATCAGATTGTCTTTCAGTCTGTAATTTTGGTAGTAAGTCAAAGATAAAAACCTTTGCTACAAAATGCTACCTGGTAGCGAGTACTTGGGTACTTTTGATATTGCCAATGGGATTATGAGATTTCATAAATAAGCCTCTCTCAAAGCTTTGTGACTCATAATTCTCTGAAATATGTCTGAAGCAAGGAAATAGTTTAGAACTCCTTTTCTAAATTAGTAAAGTCTTCAAAAAATAATATGATCTATAACTGTATTGAATACCAAGTCATATTAATGCACAATTATTTGTTCTAATAACATAGTTATGTTACGGTTAGCTGCTAACCTATTATACCATAAATTTGCTATGCCTTTTTTTAAACTAGCTCTGTGAAGAGGGGCACTCGTTCAAGAAACGGTTACTAACTCATTCATTCAAAGTCAAGAAACAGGCTCTGGATTTAGGCACTTGGGTGTAAAGAAAATAAGACTTGATTCCTGCTCTAAAAATATATAAATAAATAAATAGTTTAGTTTCTAGTAAGAGGACATGGGGGTATAATGTAAGAAAAAGTTCAAAATATAGTATTACAAAAACTTTGTAACTTAGAGCTGGATGGGAATTTAGAGATTATTTCGTTTTCTCTCTTCAAATTCCAAAGAAGGGCTCTGATGCCCAGAGGAATTAAGAGCTTGCCCAAGATCCCACAGCTAATTTGTGGGCTAGGATTCAATATCTGTAGCCCACAATAATACCACTTTGGTATTATTTCTACCACACAACACACTTTATTTTTCTCACAAACCTGCGATCAAATACATTTACAGGTAGTTTGCAGTATAAAGAAGTATTATATGATAGAGTCAAAGACAGCACAAATTCCCAAGACACTGTTTTCTTTTTCTTCAAATATGAAACTGTTAAGTGTTATTTTCAAAAAACTTCCTCAGAAGTTCACAAATTTATAATTGAAAATTTCTTTTCCCAGCTTTGAGGTCTTAAAATCTTCTTAAACTGCTAAACATTAAAATCTACTCAGTTTCACATCACATCTGCAAGTAGATAACTAACTAGGAAGGCATTTTGCTTATGTAATAACCACCCAGAGAATTTCAGGACATATTGTGTTTTCATAGCATGCTCTTTTGTGAACCACACATCTACCAGTCTGTTTGCTGTGGGACTCTTTGTACTAGTGCCTCATCATTCAACAAACAAAAATTGAAAAAGAATTGCTGACATTGATATAGCACTTACAACATGCTAGATGCTATGCTAAGTGCTTTAAGTACGCATTAACACATTTAATTCTATGAGATATGTCTTCTTATCTTTATTTTACACGTAAGGAATCTAATGTAGAATCCTTAACCTGGATGTGCTACCATTGTAGAAGAAACCAAAGGAGAAAGTAACACACTACACTATTGTTTGTATGGGAGCCCAGAAGGACAGCTTGTCAGGAAGAGGTTAGAGAAAACTTCTTAGGGCAAGTAATAGTCTGTGACTGCTTCAGAATTTCTGTGGAGGAGTTTTATTAGCTGCAATCTAGTTGAAAGTTAGGCCAAGGGACTTATCTTGAAGATGCACTTGTATAGCGAGTACTTTGCTTTTACTTAGTATGTTGCAGATAATAAAAATACAAATCTTTTTAAAGATGCTTTTTGTACATAGTTTACATGAGATTGCAAAACTCCATCCATACGAAATATTTTTTTAAATTTTGATTTGGGTTGCTTAGGGAGGACTAATGAGATTTATGGAAAGGGTTTAAAGCCCCCATTATACCATGTTTTGGTGAAACCAGGTAACATCTGATGCTGGCCCAAGGATGAATAAGAATTTGCTTGGTGACAGGGCAGTCTAGATATGGCACTACATTAAGGAATAGTGACCAGGGTGGGTACTGAGTATAGGTAGAAGAATAGTAGGAGATAGGGCTAAAGAGTTGAGCTGGTGGGCCGGTCATGATGGCTCACGCCTGTAATCCCAGCACTTTGGGAGGCTGAGGCTGGTGGATCACAAGGTCAGGTGATTGAGACCACCCTGGCTAACACAGTGAAACCCAGTCTCTACTAAAAATATAAAAAATTAGCTGGATGTGGTGGCACGCACCTGTAGTCCCAGCTATTTGGGAGGCTGAGGCAGGAGAATCGCTTGAACCCGGGAGGCAGAGGTTGCTGTGAGCCGAGATTGCGCCACTGCACTCCAGCCTGGCGACAGTGAGACTCCTTCTCAAAAACAAACAAAAAAAAAAACAGTTGAGCTGGTGCTGGGTTCCCAAAGTTGTTACTATAAATGCAATCTTCAAAGTGTTTAAGCCTTGGATTTGGTGGGTATTATGTCTTCTTTATTATGCATTCATTTATTTAGTTTAACACAATGTATTTCCATGTTCTTGGGAAATAACCACCTACAACTCACAATGAGTAATGATCAAAGTTGTTTTTTAAGTAGTTAGGTAACATAACCAGATGTGTTTTAGAAAGATAACCGGCAGTAATGAAGATGGCCAAGTATGGAGAAGTGCCCTAAACCTGTCAGGATGCAATTATGATAGTTTTGTTGACCTTAGAAATAGGGAATTGAGAAGGATTTGGTAATAGAGACGTTAGGTGGGTTGAGACTAGAACTTGGTGAATGATTACATGGTGTCAGAAGATGGAAAGGAATTTTTAAATTGTTGTCAGAGGCTGGACACGGTCACTCACACCTGTAATCCCAGCACTTTGGGAGGCTGAGGCAGACAGATTGCTTTGAGCCCACGAGTTCAAGACCAACCTGGGCAACATGACGAAACTGCATCTTTAAAAAAAAATTTTTTTTTTAACTAGCTGGGCATGGTGACACGCGCCTATAGTCCTAGCTACTCAGGAGGCTGAGGCAGGAGGATCACTTGAGCCCAGGAGTTAGAGACTGCAGTGAGCTGTGATTGTACCACTGTACTCCAACCTGGGCAATAGAGCGAGACCCTATCTCAAATAAATAAATTGCTATCAGAAATAACATTCGTTCCACACATTGAGGGCCTACTATGTTCCCAAAACTTTGCTAGTGCTGGGAAGAAAAAGATAGATGACATAGTATCCATCCTTGAGCATCTCAATCTAATAAGGGAGAATTGTTAAATAAAAATTGCAAAATTGCAATGTTAAGTGTTATAATAAAGCTGAGTATAAAGTGTAATTTGGAGTGCTTGGATGGGCTCCTTTGCTCTCTAAGGATTAGTAGGAATTCATAAAAAGGCACACTCTTGGCAGAAAAAGTTCAAAGGCAGTGGGGAATTCTGTTCTGTATGGCTAGAGAGAGAAGGAAATGGATTGGAAGGGCAGGGGATGAAGTTGGACAGGAAAGTAGAATCCAGAGATTAACAGGATCAGGTTTGCATTTTAGATGACTGGTAGCAGGATGTAGGATGGAATGGAGCATTGTGACAAGGCAAGGGGACTAATGAGTCGATTGCAATAATAAAAGCTTGAATAGGGCAGTGGCAGTGGAGACAGAGGAGTGGACGTGTTTGAGGGATTTAAGAGGTGGAATTGAAACCCTTGGTGAGTCTTTGGATGTGGGAAATGAGAGATGGGAATCATCTTAAAAGACAGTTTTCTCACTAGGGTGCCTGGGTGGTTGATGATGTCATTAACCAAAAACAGGAGCAAGTGTAGGAGTGAAGATCAGTTTAATTTGGGACACACTGAGTTTGAGATGCCTGGGGGGACATTCAGGAGGCTGAGGACAAAATGCTGTGGAATAGTCAGAAAAAGAAAAGCCTGAGACAGAGACTGAACCGGCACATTCAGAAGTAGAAGTAGGAGGCCAAGGTGAGGAGAGATTAATGTTTTGTTTGTTTTGTTTTGTTGAAGCAGGGTCTCAGTCACCCAGGCTGGAGTGCAGTGGCGCAATCATCACTGCAGCCTCAACCTCTCGGGCTCAGGTGATCCTCCCACCTCAGCCTCCTGAGTAACTGGGACTACAGGCATGCCAGGCTAATTTTTGTATTTTTTGTAGAGACAGGGTTCCGCCATATTGCCCAGGCTGGTCTCAAATTCGTGGGCTCAAGTGATCCTCCTGCCTCAGCCTCTCAAAGTGGTGGGATAACAAAAGTTTTTTTTTTGCTTTTTAAAAAATTCAATGTTAGCAAGAGAATGATAAGTTTGGGAGCTTCATATGATGCTTTAGAAGTGTAAATTTCCTTTCTGATAAGCAGCTAAGCAAGCTATATCAGGAATGTAGCTTTTTGGTTGTTTTTTGAGATGGTCTTGCGTTGTTGCCCAGGCTTTGAGTGCAGTGGCATGATCATGGCTCACTGCAGCCTCAACCTCCCTGACTCAAGCGATCCTCCCACCTCAGCCTCCCAGGTAGCTGCGACTACAGGCACGCACCACTCCACTCGGCTAATTTTTTATTTTTTATTTTTGTAGAGACAGGGTCTTCCTATGTTGCCCAGGCCAGTCTCTGAACTCCTGGGCTCAAGTGATCCTTCTGCCTTGGCCACCCAAAGTGCTGGGATTATGGGCGTGAGCCACCATGCCAGGCTTGTAGCTTTATATCTTTAGCCCTTTCTCCTCTTGGGATCTACCATTAAGGAACAAGGCCTGTTTACCGCCATACCACCCTGAATGCGTCCAATCTCATGTGATCTTGAAAGAAAGAAGGCCAGACATGGTGGCTCACACCTATAATCCCAGCCTCCCAAGTAGCTGGGACTACAAGGCACCTACTGCTGCACTTAGCTTTATCTTTTAACTCATATTTTAAATGTCTTCTACAAGGCACAGAAAAATAAGTAGTTGTGTTCATTTTTAAGTAAATAGTAGTAAACAGTTTCAAATGCTGTTTGAGATGTTAATTAAGGCACACACTTAGACTAGTCCATTTGATTTGAAAATTAGGATTTTATTTGTGCTTTTTGTTAATTACTGGCTTTTAAAAGATCAGTAGTGGGGCAGAAACTAGACTAGTGGGTTGAAGGGTGAATAGGAAATAAGTAATACTTATTCTTTCAAGGAGCTTGACTGAAAAGGAGACAGTGGTAGTTTGAAGATATTGCTGTTTTTAAGATAAAAATGATTTCAGCACTTTAAAAATAAAAAGTTGGAAATGATCAATGAATCAAGGATCATCAAGAAAGAGGCAAGAGGAAGTAAGATTAAGCACAAAGAGTATCAACTGATAGGTGGCATTTCAAGGAACTTCAGGTGTTGAATATCTAAAGCACCAAATGCGTGTGGACAGCAGTGAAGATAAAGCTGGAAATGCGCCGGCAGACCAACACATGATGAGCCCTGTAGGTGGTGGACAAAGACTATGAGCAAGCCATTTAGGCAAACATCTGAAGAATTTAAAAATCAAAGGCAAACAAATAGGACTGTTTCATTAAGATCACTTGCATTCTAACAGGTTATGATGAATGGAAAGCTGATGGTTCCTGGTTGGAAAAAAGATAATTTTCAATTTGGACATGTCACATTTGAGATGCAGTTGACACACCCAAGATACATAATATATTGTCTTTCAAAATTCAGAAACCTAATAAACCATGATCTTAATAACCGCCACTCCATCTCCTGCTAGTTTTGGCGGGGGGGTAGGGGGTGGGAGGGCAGGGTACTTTATTTGACTCAGTTTTGATCTATTGCAGGGGCTATTTTGGAGTTCTGATTATCTATATATTCTTCTCCAGTTATATACTTTTTATTTTGTAAATTCAAATACCAAGACTATTTTGAATCTGGCTTAGCTAGGTATGAAAAGTGTACATTTCTATCATGTTAATATTGTACGAGTTTTAGTGTTTAGTGTTTGTGATTTACCTCTCATAGAGTGGTTTCTTAATTACTTCCAAACTTAACCAATATTAGCATAAGAATTTTAATTCTAATTTGAGAATTTCAATTCTACTCTGATGCTGTATTTTTATTTTTATTTTTGAGACACGGACTTGCTCTGTTGCCCAGGCAGGAGTGCAGTGGCACAATCACGGCTCACTGCAGCCTTGACCTCCTGGGCTCAAGAAATCCTCCCACCCTAGCCTCCCTGTAGCTACCACATGCACGACCATGCACCACCATGCCTGGCTTTTTTTTTTTTTTAGAGATGGGGTCTCACTTTGTTGCCCAGGCTGGTCTTGAATTGGGCTCAAGTAATCCTCATACCTCAGCCTCCCAGAGTGCTGGGATCACAGGTGTGGCCCAGCCCTGCCCAGCCCCTGATGCTGTATTTTCATAACACCATCCCAATCAATTAAACATTGAATTTCCAAATCAGGGATATACTAGGAAAAACAATCTTTTTATTCAGAGACATGACATTTTTCCAGATAAGGGCTGTCATGAATATAGACTGTACTGAAGTTTACCTCTTTTCTTTCAATTCCATGCTTAATTTTAGCCTGGCAAATGAGCTGAGTTAAAAAAAAATGCAACTGAAATATACCTGCATTTAAACAATTACATGCTTAAGAAAGAAAATGTCTAATACTCCACAAAATTATTCTTTTACTTACATCCATGCAGCTCTCAAAAATATAATCTAGTCAACTGGGGAGATGAAATATATACATACATATATATGTGTGTATATATACATGCACAATCTACTTTGTTAAATAAGCAGGAGACCATTGGTCTGAGGTTGTCTCCATAATCTGAGTTTCTACTTAAGAAACTGCAACTTAACTTAGTACATAACAAACTGAAAACTAATTTAAGAGTATAATAAACAACTGAGTCTCAGCCAATCCTAAACAGCTGAGCTTCTGCTATCACAGGCTACCAACTGATCAGACCATGTCCAAATAAGGCAGACTCACAGCTGTAACCAATCAAGCTATTTCTGCACAATAGTACCTTGGTATTTCCAGGGGATTGATTCCAGAACCCCTACAGATAGCAAAATCTTCAGATGTTCAAGGTCTTTATATAAAATGGTGTATGGCCGGTCGTGGTAGCTCATGGCTGTAATCCTAACACTTTGGGAGGCTGAGGCAAGCAGATCACTTGAGGTCAGGAGTTGAGACCAGTGAAAGGGGAGAGTTGCTTGATTCCCCTTGCAGGAGGCAGGATGTGCAACAGGGGTGTGGCTCCCTTGAGAAAGGGGGAGCATGCAGATGGGCAGGTGCAGAGGTCGGGGCCAGTGCTTCGGGCTCCAGCTCCACGGTAGTGTCTAGGAGTGGGTGCCTGCAACCCTAGTGTTATGAAGCTCTTTCAGCTTTGCCGTCTGCAGATGGCTTGAGTGTTAATCAGCTCAGTGGATCCTCTGCCTTATCACAAGGGCAGAGGGCCAGTGTGACAGCTTTCTGTATCCTGAGATCATGCCCAGTGTCCTGGAAGAATCGGATCACACGCGGCCTTGAAGGATGGATGCGAGGTTTTGTTGAGTGGTAGAGGCGGCTCTCAGCAAGATGGATGGGGAGCCAGAAAGGGAGATGGAGTGAGAAGGTGATCTTCTCCTGGAGCCAGGCTGCCCAGCCACCAGACTCTTCTCCAACCACCCCCATCTGAATTCCTTTTGATGTCCAGACGTTTCTCTTCTTTTCCCTTTCTCCTCCACGTTTTGTTCCACTACCCGTCTGCTTGCCTCCTTGTCTCCTCACTTGCTAATCTGCTCTGGAGTTTGAGGTTCAGGGGGTTATATGGGGACAGGATAGGGGTGTGGTGGGCCAAAAGGTGAAACAGGGTGTGAAAACAGAAATGCCTCTTCTTATTTAGGGCTGTGGGGGTATCTGTGCTTAAGGGTGGGGTTTTTGCCGGGGAACCATCCTCTTCTACCCAGCATTTCCCTGTCTCCTGTTCATATCAACAGCCTGGCCAACATGGCAAAACCCCATCTCTACTAAAAATACAAAAAAATTTAGCTGGGTGTGGTGGCAGGCACCTGTAGTCCCAGCTACTCAAGAGGCTGAGGCACGAGAATCACTTGGACCTGGGAGGCAGAGGTTGCAGTGAGCCGAGATCCTGCCACTGCACTGCACTCCAGCCTGGGCAACAGAGTGAGACTCTGTCTCAAAAAAAAAAAAAAAAAAAAAAGGCTGGGCATGGTGGCTCACGCCTGTAATCCCAGTACTTTGGGAGGCTGAGGCAGGTGGATCACCTGAGGTCAGGAGTTTGAAACCAGCCTTGCCAACACGATGAAACCCCGTCTCTATGAAAAATACAAAAAAGTAGCCGGGCACAGTGGCGTGTGCCTGTAATCCTATCTACTTGGGAGGCTGAGGCAGGAGAATCACTTGAGCACAGAAGGCAGAGGTTACAGTGAGCCGAGATCACACCACTGCACTCTAGCTTGGGCAGCAGAGTGAGCCTCTGTAGCAACCCCCCACCAAAAAAAGAATAAATTTAACCAAAGAGGTAAAAGATATGTACACTGGAAACTATAAAACATTGGTGAAATAAATTGAAGACAAGTAAATAGAAAGATATTCTGTGTTTATGGATTTGAAGAATACTATTAAAATGTCCATACTATCCAAAGCAATCAACAGATTCAATGTAATCCCTATGAAAATTCCAATGTTATTTTTCACAGACATAGAAAAAAATTCTAAAATTTTTTAATAAATAAAATATATATATATATATTTTTTGAGACAATCTCCCTGTCACCCAGGCTGGAGTGCAGTGTTGCGATCTCGGCTCACTGCAAGCTCCACCTCCTGGCTTCAAGTGATTCTCCTGCCGCAGCCTCCCGAGTAGCTGGGACTACAGGCGGCCATCACCACACCTGGCTAACTTTTTGTATTTTTAGTAGAGATGGGGTTTTGCTATGTTGCCCAGGCTGGTTTCGAATTCCTGAGCTCAGGCAATCCACCTGCCTCAGCCTCCCAAAGTACTGGGATTACAGGAGTGAGCCACCATACCTGGCCAGTTTTATTTTTTAATAAATAAAAATAAAATTTTTATTTTAAAAATTAAAAAATAAAATAAAATGATGTAGTATTTGCATAACACCTAGGCACAATCCTCCTACTTTAAATCATCTCTGGATTACTTCTAATACCTAATACAATGTATGTGCTATATAAATAGTTGTTCGACTGTATTTTTTGTTTGTATAATATTATTCTTTATTGATATTCTTATTGCATTTTTAAAAAAATATTTTTTTGGCTGGACATGGTGGCTCATGCCTGTGATCCCAGCACTTTGGGAGGCTGAGGCGGGAGGATCACTTGAGGTCAGGAGTTCAAGACTAGCCTGGTCAACATGGTAAAACCCTGTCTCTACTAAAAATACAAAACTTAGCCAGGCGTGGTGGCATGTGCCTGTAATCCTAGCTGAGGGCGAGGCTGAGGCAGGAGAATCGCTTGAACCCGGGAGATGGAGGTTGTAGTGAGCCGAGACTGTGCTACTGCACTCCAGCCTGGGTGACAGAGTGAAACAACATCTCAAAAAAAAAAAATATATATATATATATATATATATTCCATGGTTAGTTGAATCTCTGGATACAGAAGCCACAAATATAGAGGGCCAACTGTACTTCCCATTTCTGTCTATAAATATTCACTGCCCAAGTTGCAGATTGGAGCTCTCTGAGCCATTTCTGCTTCTGAGTACTGCCCAATTCATGAATCATTCTTTGCTCAGATAAACTGTGCTAAATTTAAATTGTCCAAAATTGTTCCTTTGGCGACTTTTAAGTTAAGAAAGTAAATAAAATATCTTTCTACAGTTTTCTGGTTTAAATTATAGAGAAAATTCAAGAAATTTAGAAAATTCTAAATTCAAGAAATCAGAAAATAACATCAAATTGAATCAAATAGAAGAAAGGAATTATTATGGAACTTAGTGGAACTTAATTAGAAATCAGAAAAAGTAGAACTGATAAATCTAAAAGCTGGTTCTTTTTGTTTTTGGTAGAGATGGAGGTGACCAGGCAGCTCTCAAATTCCTGACCTTAAGGGATTAGCCTGCCTTGGCCTCTCAGAGTGCTGGGATTACAGGTATGAGCCATTGCACCCTCCCTAAGTGCTGATTCCTTTATTTTTTTTCTTTTTTTCTTTTTTGAGAAAGAGTCTTGCTCTGTCACCCAGGCTGGAATGCAGTGGCGCAGTCTCAGCTCACTGCAACCTCTGCCTCCCAGGTTCAAGTGATTCTCCTGCCTCAGCCTCCCCAGCAGCTGGGATTACAGGCGTGAGCCACCGTACCTGGCTATTTTTTTGTATTTTTAGTAGAGATGGGGTTTTGCCACATTGGCCAGGCTGGTCTCCTGACCTCGTGATCTGCCTGCCTTGGCCTCCCAAAGTGCTGGGATTACAGGCGTGAGCCACCACACCTGGCCAAGAGCTGATTCTTAAAACAATCCACACACTAGCTTAATGGAGAGAAAAGCCTAAGTATACAATATTAGAGAGGACATATGGATATTAAGAAAATAAGTATTTGGCACAACTACATACAAATATAGTTGAAAACCTGATTGAAATGGATGACTTCTAGGGAAATATGAATTACCAAATGGAGTAAAGAGAAAACTTACACAGATTATTAACCTTGGAAGAAACTGAGAAAGTATTCAAAATAGTGCTAACTAGTGTCACTATGAAGTCATTTTAGAATATGGAGAAAGAAGAAAAGCCAACAGATGCGATTTAAGAAGCTATCATAATATGTTCAGCACAATCTGACTAAAGATAGCATAAAAGAGAAATTTATAGAATAACATCACTTACGTTAACAAATGCAAAATTCCTAAAAGATAAAGTAGTATATTAAAATAATAATACATAGCAATTTATTTAAGAAACGCAAGGTGATTTTATGGGAAAACTACTCGTATAGTACACCCATATTAATAGGTCAAATAATAAAATATCACAATATATGACAAAATTTAACTTGAAACAACAAAATTAAAAGAGTACTATAAGAAAACACGAGTGGTATTTTAATATAATCTTTCAGTGAGAATGCACATGAAACCCAGAAAAACACATGAAACTCAAATCATAAAATAGAAGACTGAAATTTGGCTGTTTAAAATTTAGAACTAAGATATGCCTAAAATATCACAAACAGAATGAAAAGACAAAAGATAGATTGAGAAATGTTTGTTTTTTAACAAAAATTAAAATGCATGCAGTCGGAAAAAAATAAGATTTTAAACCAGACTCATAATTTAAAAAGCATTAGAAAAAGAACCATACAAGAAAAACTTTTAGGCACGGCGCGGTGGCTCATGCCTGTAATCCCAGCACTTTGAGAGGCCAAGGCAGGTGGATTGCTTGATCCCAGGAGTTCAAGACCAGCCTGGGCAGCATGGCAAAACCCTGTCTTTATTAAAGGAAAAAAAAAAAACCTTTTTGAAAATAAAAATAGATTCAATAAACAATAATAAATTTGATAAGTGGGGATATTATAGGTAAATAAGTGAATACATACTGGCCACCCCCCCCCCCACCCTTTTTTTTTTTTTTTTGAGACTGAGTCTCCCTCCGTTGCCCAGCTGGAGTGCAGTGGTGCCATTTCGGCTCACTGCAATCTCCGCCTCCCGGGTTCACGCCATTCTCCTGCCTCAGCCTCCCGAGTAGCTGGGACTACAGGCGCCCGCCATCACGCCCGGCTAATTTTTTTGTATTTTTAGTAGAGACGGGGTTTCACCGTGTTAGCCAAGATAGTCTTGCTCTCCTGACCTCGTGATCCGCCGGCCCCGGCCTCCCAAAGTGCTGGGATTACAGGCGTCAGCCACCACCCCCGGCCACTAGCCCATGTTTTCACTTAGGAATTACAAATGAAAACAAGTTGGATGCTTTGCTGACAATATAAAAAATTATTGGAGATAATCACAGACTCACCACCAATTGAAATGAAGTAGAAAAACAATTCCAAGTACTATTACACTATACAAGTTTAAATTATTGGTCAAGTCAGATAACTTGCTTAGAATTCAGTTTCACTTCTAATTTTCAATATCAAGCTAAAATTATGTGCAGATTACATTAAAACTCAACGCAAGAACTGTGTGTGGGATGATTGTGCTTTTCATAGTAAATGAGATAACATCTAAAAATTACCAAGGAGGAAAGGAAAACACGCTGGGGTGTCATATGTGGCACAAACGGCTGAGTTGGTTTAAATTACCCCAAGGATTTATTTACAGCACATCAGCGTCATGCAGCTATTACTGCCATCACAGATTTAACACCTTTATCTGCTGCTTTTTAATTTTTTAATTTCCTTAGAAGTAGGAAAGAATTCAAAAGATCATTGTTTAGTTGATTCTCCCATAAATTTTTTCTTAAAAAATATTGATCATCTTAAAATTCAAACATAATATTAACATCTTCTAGGCTGGGCAAGGTAGCTCATGCCTGTATTCCCAGCACTTTGGGAGGCCAAAGCAGGAGGATCACTTAAGGCCAGGAGTTCAAGACCAGCCTGGGCAACATGGTGAAACCCAGTCTCTACTAAAAATACAAAAGTTAGCCGGCTATGGCTGAATGCGCCTGTAATCCCAGCTACTCAGTAAACTGAGGCACAAGAATCGCGTGGTAGGCAGAGGTTGCAGTGAGCCAAGATTGCGCCATTGCGCTCCAGCCTGGGCAACAGAGTGAGACTCTGTCTCAAAAAAAAAAAAAAAAGAAAAGAAATGAAATCTTCCTAGAAATAACAATTCAATCGATAGATTCTAAAGTTAGTAATACTACTAAGTGAAGAAAACATTACATATGTAAGAATTTTTAGAAAAAAATTAAGTTTTCCCAAGTACTTTTTTTGGAAAGATATAACTGGTTACCTGAGTCATCCATAGGAATGATGTTTATCTATGAAAATAATCTCATTTTCATGTTTCAGTTCCCTTTATTTTTGTTACCAATAATATATCTTCATTAATTTTGATTGCCATAGTGAAAAGTTGAAGTGTGTATAGTTTCTTTGAATGATTTACATACTAAAAACCTTGTAATAAGAAAAAAGGCTGGGCACTGGTGGCTCATGCCTATAATTCCAGCACTTTGGGAGGCCGAGGCGGGCAGAAAACTTGAGGTCAGGAGTTCTAGACCAGCCTGGGCAACATGGTGAAACATGGTGAAACTAAAAATACAAAAATTAGCCAGGCGTGGTGGCACACTCCTGTAGTCCCAGCTACTTTGGAGGCAGAGGTAAGAGAATCATTTGAACCTGGGATGCAGAGGTTGCAGTGAGCCAAGATCATACCACTGCATTCCAGCCAGGGCAACAGAGCGAGACTACATCTCAAAAAAATAAAAATAAAAATAAAAAATAGAAGAGAAAAAGTAGGAAAGCAAATTAGGAATATTACTTGCAAAAAAAGAGAGAAAGATTTATATTCTTAATATATAAATATCTCATATATCAATCAGAAGAATGCTAACAGCCCAATAGAAAAACTAGGCAAAAAATAGACAAAGTTAAGAAAAGAAGAAATAGAAATGGCCAATAAAAATACAGTGAATGATAAAATAGTTTATATACTAGTTAATAAAGAAGTACAAAACAAAACATGTTTGTCCATTTAATTGATAAGAAACAAAATGATAAAACCTAATGTTGGATGGAGTGCAGTAAGATTGGCATTGAATTCATATATTACTAATGTAATAAATATATTGTAAATTGGTACAAACTTTCAGGAAAGCACTTTGGCAATAGGGATAAGGGCCTTAAAAATAAACCATGATTGTTAACTCGGTAAGCTCATTTTTAGAAATTTAATGAATAAGCTGAAATTGCTAAGATTTATACATATATGTATATATAACATTCTAAAGGTTATGGAATATGGAAATTATTAAATATCACTTTATTTTGATATGTTGGGATATTAAGCTACTTTGATAAATATTATGTTTAATAAGAATATTTGATGGTATTGGGAATGCTCACAATCAAGTGAAGAAGTTTGATACTAATGTATACATGTAGCATAATCTATGATAAAGACTGCTGTTATAATCTTACGTGTCAACTTGGCTAAGCTAAAGTACCCAAGGATTTAATCAAACACTAATCTAGGTGTTACTGTGAAGGTATTTTGTAGATGTGTTAAACCTAGAGAATCATTTGACTTTCAGTAAAAGAGATTCCCCTCAAGAATATAGCTGGGCTTCGTCCAATCAGTTGAAGGCCTTAAGCAAAAACTGAAGTTTCCTGGATATGAAGAAAATCTACTTCAAGACCAAAGCATCAACTCCTGCCTGACTTTCCAGGCTGCTGGCCTGCTCTACAAACTTTAGACTTGCCACGACTCACAATTGTATGAGCCAATTCCTTAAACTTTTTTTTTTTGAGACTAGCTCTGTTGCCCAGGCTAGAGTGCAGTGGCATGATCATGGCTCACTGCAGCCTTGACCTCCCTGGGCTCAAGTGATCTCCCACTTCAGCCTCCTGAGTAGCTGAGACTACAGGCCTGCACCACCATATGCGGCTAATTTTTGTATTTTTTTGTAGAGACTAGATTTCACTACGTTGCCCAGGCTGGTCTCAAACTCCTGGGCTCAAGTGATCTTCCCACCGCAGCTTCCAAAGTGCTGGGATTACAGGCGTGAGCCACTGAGCCTGGCCTAAGTCTGTCTGTCTTTCTTTCTTTCTCTTTCTTTCTTTCTTTCTTTCTTTCTTTCTTTCTTTCTTTCTTTCTTTCTTTTTCTTTCTTTCATTCTCTCTTTCTTTCTCTGTCTCTGTCTCTCTCTCTTTCTTTCTCTCTCTCTCTCTCTTTCTTTTTTTTTTGACAGGGTCTTGCTCTGTTGCCCAGGCTGGATGGAGTACAGTGTTGCAATCTTGGCTCACTGCAATCTCTGCCTCCTGGGTTCAAACGATCTCCCGCCTCAGCCTCCCAAGTAGCTGGGATTACAGGCATATACCACCACGCCCGGCTAATTTTTGTATTTTTAGTAGAGACAAAAAATGTTGTATTTTTGTACCAATTTATAATGTATTTATTACATTAATAATATATGAGTTCAATGCCAATCTTACTGCACTCCATCCAACATTAGGTTTTATAATTTTGTTTCTTATCAATTAAATAGATGAACATGTTTTATTTTGTACTTCTTTATGTCATGGGGTTTCACCATGTGGGCCAGGCTGGTCTCGAACTCCTGGCCTCAAGTGATGCACCCGCCTCAGCCTCCCAAAGTGCGTAAGCCACTGTGGCCTGGCCCTGGCCTAAATTTCTTAGTATGTATAAGGAAAAGTGTAGAGTGGTACTTCCTGAAATTTCCTTAAAGACATCTTCTCATCTTTCCTCTATCGAGCTGCCTGGAGCACAGACATGATAGCTGGAGTTCTGTCAGTGTTCATGAGGGTGACGGCCAGACCCCAGGGATGGTGGAGTAGAAAGCTGAGAGGAGCCTAGGTCCCTCAATACCTCATGAAACTACTATAGCAACTCTAGATACCGATGTCTGGACTGCTGTTACATGAGGGAACAGAACTTTGTGTGTTTAAACTACTATCGATTTGGATTTTCTCTTACATGTAGCCAAACCTAGTCCTAACTGATAAAGTATATACGAATATATTACTATCAAGAGTTAGTTCTGGGTTTTGGGAGTCAATCTTGTTATACTATTCTAAGAGTTTTTTTTTAGCAATAAACATGTAGTGATTACTCATAATAAAAACTTAATAAAAATTACTTAATGGGGTTATTTCTCCTAATGACTTTTATTATAATTGTAAATATTGTAATTGAAACATAAAGGGTGGATCTCATTGTGTCTTCAAAAGACACATGATAACTTTTACAATTAACATTAAATTTTGTAGCACACCAAACAAGTTAAGTGGGTTTATTGTTATTATTATTTATAGATAGGGTCTCTCTCTGTTGCCTAGACTGGAATGTAGTGGTGCTATCATAGCTCACTGCAGCCTCCCCCTTCTGGGCCCAAGCCATCACCCTGCCTCAGCCTCACAAGCAGCTGCGACTACAGGCATGTGTCTCTGAGTCTGGCTAAAAATGGGTTTAAATTAAGAATTAGCTAGAAAAAAGACCCATTAGTTTTAATTTTTATTTTCATCAAAGTTATATGTAAATATAGTTTAAAGAATCAGGCCATGCGCAGTGGCTTATGCCTATAATCCCAGCACTTTTGGAGGCTGAGCCAGGGGATCACTTGAGGTCAGGAGTTCGAGACAAGCCTGGGTAACATGGTGAAATCCTGTCTCTACAAAAATAGAAAAATTAGCCGGTATGGTAGCGCACGCCTGTGATCCGAGCTACTCAGGAGGCTGATGCACGAGAATCACTTGAACCTGTGAGGCGGAGGTTGCAGTGAACCAAGATTGCGCCACTGCACTCTTGCCTGGGCCACAGAGCGAGACTCTGTCTCAGAAAATAAGTAAATAAATAAATAAAATTAAATTTAAAAAAGAATCAAATTGCTCTGCATGTCTTAGTGAGAAAGCAGACAAAAATGAGTCCCCCATCTGGCTCCATCCATCCCCAAATCCCACTTTCTACAACAACCACTTTCAAACCTCCCACCTATTTCTTCTTTGTTGCCATTTCTCTAAATAACATGAATTCCCTATGACAGAATCTGTCACAACATGCTTTTCAGTTTTGGGCATTATGTATTGTCATCTCACTTTGGAAGATGAGAATTTGGTTTTCATTTCCTCACCTCCATGACCCAGCGTACTTGTATCATAATTTTAGTTATTCCAGAATTTAGAATTTACATTTTTATAATTATGAAAACTGCTAAGCCAGTAAGTAACAATGATTGCTTTTTCTTCCTTTCTTCTCTCTGGAGTTAGTAACTGTTCTTTTTGCCTGTTTTCTTAGCTTTCTATGTAAACATCATTTATTCACACCTAAACTCTTCCTCAGTTATCTATGTATGTTCCAGTATGTTCAAACATACCAGGTATGCACTTCAATTTCTCTTACTGGAACTCTCTCTCCTGGAGCCTCCGAACCTGTTACAATCTGAATAGTTTATTCTTCAGGAGTACTGCAGTGCTGTCTTCCTAGATCTCCCTTCACTTTCAACATGAAGATTGCTTCATCTCTCTCCTTTTTAAGCTCCATTTCCTGTCTCACATCTTCCTCTTTGCTTTATATCTTGTTTTGTTGAAGTACTTCCTGCAATAGCGTTCTGAGGAGTGCATGGGTGGTACCATTCTTGAGAACTTGAAACTCAGAAAAGGCTGAGTACACTGGCTCATTCCTATAGTCCTGGCACTTCGGAAGTCCAAGGCGGGAGGATGGCTTGAGCCCAGGAGTTCGACACCAGCCTGGGCAATATAGTAAGACCTCTCTCTCTACAAAAAAAAAAAAAAAAAAATTAAAAGAAAAAAGAAAATCAGAAAACCTATTTAACCCATACACATACAGGATAGCTTAACCATATATAAAGTTCTTAATCAGAAACAACTTGATTCTTTTTAAGTAGTCTGGAGAGTGTTAGGATTTTCTCTTTGGCCTTAATGTTGTAAGGCAGTATAATCTTGTGCCTTAATGTGGGTATAGTTTCATCCATTGTGCTAAGCACTTGATGGGCCTTGTTAGTCTGCAAACTCATGTCCTTCAGTTCTGGGAAATTCTCTTAAATATTCCTTTGAGGATTTCTTCCCCCTCTATTTTCTCTGATCTGTCTTTTTGAAACTCCTGTTATTTAGGTATAGGACTGCTAATACCTTTTCTCTCCTATTAGTCTCTTTGTCTTTGTACTTTACTCCTTGGGACATTTCCTCAAATTTATCTCTCAGCCCTTCCATTCAAGTTCTCATTTTCATTACTGCTATTTTTAAATGTTTGTATTTTTAAATTTTAAGAGCTGTTGATTTTGTTCTTTGAAATTTTCCTTCTTAAGAGTATCTTCTTCTTGTTCCTTGGATGCAATGTTTTCCTTATCTATCTGAAGAAAGAGGTTTTTTTTTTTTTAAGTTTTAAACTTTCTGCACACTGTATTTCTTCCAATTTGCTTTTTTCTATATGTTTGTTTCAGTCTATTTTAAATTAGAGGCATTCTTTGGCTGTTTGCTTATATTTAAGGGACTCAGTCTATTAAAATTCAGCTTGGATTAAGCTCTCAGTCACATCTGCCTGAACTGCAGCTATTTCAAACTGAAGGGGAAAGTGTATCACTGTAATCAAGCTGAGAAGTCTATCAACCATGGCTCCTCATTTTCACCTCAGCAAAGAATCCCTTCTAGTGTCAAAACTCACATTTCTGAAACTATGGACTGATTGTATCTATTCTCTATTACTCACACCAGAGCAGAAAGCACACATTAGGGCAAAATGAAACTTTACAAATATAATGAGATTGTTTCATATATTCACATCTTTCAATTCAGAGAAACCATACTGAAGAAAAACCTTACAAATGTAATGGGTGTAGCAAAGCCTTTAGTTTGTGTTCAAGCCTTCTAGTCACCACAGAATTCATACTTAAGAGAAACCTTACAAATGCAATGAGTGTAGCAAACCCTTTATCAAGAGTTCAACCCTTAGTTGACATCAGAAAGACCATTCTAAAGGGAAATCATATAACTATAACATATGTGGGAGAGGCTTTTTCCAGGCCTCAGAACTCACCAGGCATCAAAATATACGTCTTTGATGAAACCACATAAATGTAATGTACATGCTAAAGCTTTGACCCAGGGACCGAAACTATGGATCACGAGAGGATTTATACTGGAGAGGAACCTCACAAATGTAATGAACGTATAAGATTTTGGGTCAAACATTCATGATTTTGGTGTCATGAGAGGATTTATATTGGAGAGAAATAAGACAAATACAGTATAGGCAGAAAAATCTTTAATCAAAGGTATCTTCTCAGGATTTACAAAAAAAATCACACTGGAAAGAACACTTACAAATGTAATGATATGATAAATGTTAAAAGCAATTCTCACAATATACTCTACATCAGAACTAAGTCTCCAGTTCTCCAAGATTTGAGGTTTCTTGAAAAGGCTACTTTACTATCTATAACTTTCCATCTGAACTTTGAAGTCTATTGATATTATGCCTTTCTTACTGGCCTTTCATGGTATCTCTGGGAAATAATCAATAGGATAAAAGGTGATGTCATTAGGTAATGTTTATTTCAATCCATGTTCTGGGAAGAACAAGGAAACTGCCTTTTGAAATTAAATATTGTCTGAATTCGCATTTGTGAGGGGCAGAGAGTAATGTAAGACTGTGTTAGTCATCATGCTGATTGCATTCTGGAGACCCTTCTCCAGACAGAGGGCCACTGTGGGATATAGGAAAGGAATGCTTTACCAACTAACTGAAATAGAGCAGGCAAGGACCTTAGGAGGCTGGAATTTTTATGGGAGGACAGTAATATATTACTATGGACTGATTATGGTAGAAATAATGCAGGGGAAATGGTGGCCACCCTCTCCATTCAATGGTGATAGCCATTGTATAGCAAAGATTGACCAAAAAAAAAAAAAAAAAGTTCTTGAAATTGAAGACAGAACAGTCATCAGAAAGGAGGCTTTAATCAAAAGAACCAGACAGCTTGTCTTGAATAGAAATCACATTTAACTGCTAGTGTTACATTTTGCTTCTGTTTTATTCAGAATGTATCATAGCTCTCATGTTTTAATTAATAAAATTGAATCTTTTTTCATAGCTATGAATGAATTCCATTCCTTTTACCAACAAAGTTTTATCACATCCCAGTAGGATACTTCATAACAGACATTAACAATGTACTATTAGGCTCTTAAGATTGAAGGATCTATTTACTATAACAATTTTTTTTCTATTGTAGAATCAAACAACAATTTTGGGAACACATAATCATACTTTGCACTGGAGTTATTCTCTGCACTCTGCCCTAAGATACTTACGTAGGTATAATGAAAATTCCATAGAAATGGACTTTCAGACTGACACCCTAAAACATGTATCACAGTTGATGAATAGGAACCATATTATATTTCTACACGCCTTTTTTGTGCTATGTAAGACCCATGGCATGCACCTTGATTTACAAAAAGTGAAAATACAAATATATTAGGAATAGGAAAAAGACTATGAAATGAAAGAAAATTTGCAAATAAAAAAATAACTGTCTCTTTTTTATGCTTATAGTGCTCTGTGAAATACTTTGAAAACATCAGTGTTGATGAATTTCCTCTT
The DNA here is from genome assembly GCF_000001405.40 of Homo sapiens. NCBI lineage: Eukaryota > Metazoa > Chordata > Mammalia > Primates > Hominidae > Homo > Homo sapiens. Next base: position 92,205,238 of record NC_000001.11, read on the forward strand.
AGAATGAACGCATACAATGAGATTTTGTTTGTTTGTTGTGGTAGGTAAACTAGAAACTTTATGTATTCACCCATAGCATTTTTGTTAATTTGTACTTACAACCACTCCACTGAAACTGGGGTTGAACTCCACTTAAAGTTCGGTTTGGATGACAAGAATGATGATATCATACACTGGAGTGTTTTGAGAATGTTTATTGTAGAGTAGGGAAAGGTAACTGGCTTACGATATTATGGTGGTTACTGCGTGGGGCTGGATTGACAGTAGTTAGACAAGGTTTAAACTTCCAGCTGGTACCAAGGAAGAAAACACTCAGGCTTTATTATCAGCTTTCCCAGATGGGCAGAATAGGAAGAGGGAGTGATGAGGTATACAAGGTGTTAGCAGTCATACATCAAAAAATGGAGTCAGACTCTTTAGTACACCCTGAATTACTCTTTTTGAAACTCTTTATTTTTGGTTGGGAAAGACTCTAATTTTCTTTATGACAATCGCTTACTGCATTCCTTTCCCTTCTGCACACATAGGTCCCACTGCACAATATGATTGCGAATATGTTTGTGAAATACTGTTTACAGAAAACGTCCACGATATTTTTACACTAGTTCAATGAAAGTTGGTCTGTAGAAATGTTTTTTAGATAATAAATATATATGATTAAACAAATTTTTAAAACACATTCTAACAGGTATAAGGTGATAGCTCATTGTGGTTTTGATTTGCAGTCCCCTGGTAATTTGTGATGTTGAGCACCTTTTCTTATACCTGTTAACCATTTGTATGTCTTCTTTTCAGAAATGTCTATTCAGGATCTTTGCCATTTTTCGATCAAATTATTTGTTTTCTTGTTGTTGAGTTGTGCTCCTTATAGATCTTGACTATTAACCCCTTATCAGATGTATGGTTTACAAATATCTTCGCCAATTCCATAGGTGTCTCTTCGCTGTGTTGACTGTTTCTCTTGCTGTGCAGAAGCTTTTTACTTTGATAAAATCCCATTTGTCTATTTATGCTTTTGTTGCCTGTGTTTGTGGGGCTAAGGCCAAAAATCATCACCCAGGTCAATGTCAAGAAGCTTTTTCCCTATATTTTCTTCTAGGAGTTTTACAGTTTCAGTCTTATGGTATAGTCTTTAATCCATTTTGAGTTGATTTTTGTACTTGAGATAAGGGTCTAATTTCATTCTTCTGCATGTGGATATCATTTTCCTGGTTCCATTCATTGAAGAGGCTGCCTTTTCCCCATTGTGTGTTCTTGGCACCTTGTCAAAGACCAGTTGACCATAAATGTATTCTGTGCCATTTTGTTCCATTGGTCTTTATGTCCATTTTTGTGTCAATACCATGCTGTTTTGGTTACCATAGCTTTGTAGTATATTTTTGAGATCAGGTAGCATGATGCCTCTAGCTTGTTCCTTTTTCTCAAGATTGCTTTGGCTATTCAGGGTCTTTTGGGGTTCCACACAAATTTTAGAACTTTTTTTCTATTTCTGTGAAAAATATCATTGGAATTTTGGTAGGGATTACATTGAATCTGTTGATTGCTTTGAGTGGTATGGACATTTTAACAATATTAATTATTCCAGTTTATAAACACAGAATATCTTTCTGTTTACATATGTCTTTAATTTATTTCACCAATGTTTTATAGTTTTCAGTGTACATATCTTTTACCTCCATGGTTAAATTTATTCTTAAGTATTTTTTGATACTATTATAAATGAGATTATGTTCTTGACTTCTTTTTGGACATTCTGTTGTTAGTGTATAGAAATGCTACTTATTTTTATGTTATTTTTGTTACTACAACTTTACTGAATTCATTTATTAGTTCTAACAGTTTTTTGGTAGCGTTTTTAGGGTTTTCTATATATAAGGTCAGGTCATCTATAAATAGGGACAAAAAGGCATTTGGATAGCTTTTATTTCTTTTTCTTGCCTAATCGCTCTGGCTAGAGCTTTCAGTCCTATGTTGAATAGAAGTGGTAAGAGTGGGCATCTTTGTCTTGTTCCTGATCTTAAATTAAAGGAAAAGCTTTCAGTTTTCCACCCTTGAGTACAATGCTAGCTGTGGGTTTCTGATATACAGCCTTCATTATGTTGAAGTAATTTACTTCTATTTTAAGTTTGTTGAGGTTTTTTTTTTTTTTTAATTGGGAAAGGATGTTGAATTTTGTCAAATGCTTTTACTGGATCTTTAAAGATGATCATATGGTTTTTGTTCTTCATTCTTTTAATGCGGTGTATTACATTTACTGATTTGTGTATATTGAAGTATCCCTGCATCCTAGAGATAAATTTCACTTGGTCATGGTGAATGATACTGCTGAATTCAGTTTACTAATATTTTGTTGAGGACTTTTGCATCTATATTCATCAGGGACATGGGCCTATAAGTTTCTTTTTTTGCAGTGTCCTTGTCTGGTTTTGATGTCAAAGTAGTGCTGGCCTCATAAAAGAGTTTGGAGGTATTCCCTCCTCTTCAGTTTTGTGGGTGAATTTAAGAAGGACTGGTATTAATTCTTTAATTGTTTGCTAGAATTCAGTAGTGAAGCCATCAGTTCCTTTGATGAGAGACTTTTTATTACCAATCTAATCTTCCTGTTCATTATTGGTCTGTTCAAATTTTCTATTTCTTCATGATTTAGCTTTGGTAGGTTGTATATGTCTAGAAATTCATCCATTTCTTCAAGGTTATCCAATTTATTGGTGTATAGTTGTTCACAGTAGTCTTTTATGATGTTTTATATTTCTGTGTTATCAATTGTAATGCTTCCTCTTTCACTTCTGATTCCTTTTTTTTCCTGAGATAGGATCTCACCCTGTCACCTAGGTTGGAGTGCAGTGGCATGATCATAGCTCACTGCAGCCTTGAACTCCTGGGCTCAAGTGATTCTCCTGCCTCAGCCTCCCCAGTATCTGGGAATACAGATGCATGCCACTATGCTGGGTTAATTTTATTCATTTATTTATTTTTTGTAGAGACAGGATCTCACTGTGTTGTCCAGGCTAGTCTCGAACTCCTGGTGTCAAGTAATTCTCCTGCCTTGGACTCCAAAAGTGCTGGAATATACATGAATGAGCCACTACACCTGGCCCACTTCTGACTTAATTAATTTGAGTCTTCTCTCCTTTTTTTCTTACTCTAGCTAAAGGCTTGTCAATTTTGTTTATATTTTCAAAACACCAACTCTTAATTTCATTGCTCTTTTCTTTTTTTTCTTTCTTTTTTTTTTTTGAGACAGAGTGTCACTCGGTCACCCAGGCTGGAGTGCAGTGGTGCAGTCTGGGCTCACTGCAACCTCTGCCTCCTGGGTTCAAGTGATTCTCGTGCCTTGGCCTCCCAAGTAGCTAGGATTACAGGCACCCGCCACCATACCCAGCTAATTTTTGTATTTTTAGTAGAGACGGTGTTTCACCATATTGGCCAGGCTGGTCTCGAGCTCCTGACCTCAAGTGATCCAGCTGCCTCGGCCTCCCAAAGTGCTGGGATTACAGGCATGAGCTACTGAACTTGGCCTCATTGCTGTTTTCAGTTGTTTTTCTGGTTTGTATCACATTTATTTCTGCTCTGATCTTTATTATTTCCTTCCTTCTACTAACTTTGGGCTTAGTTTGCTCTTCCTTGAGGTGTTAATGTTAGGTTGTTTATTTGAGATCTTACTTTTTTTTTATGTGTTCATCGCTATAAACTTCTGTTGTACAACTGCTTTTGCTAATGTCCTGTAAGTTTTGGTATGTCGTGTTTCCATTTTTGTTTGTATGTGATTTCTCTTTTACGAGTCATTTTGACTTTTGTTTTAGCCTGGTTCCACAGAAAACAGAGCCCAAGGCCAAGTTTGTGTAACTAATGCTTTATTGGAGGGTTCAAACCCAGGGAAGCAACAATGAGGGGAAAGTAACATAAAACGGAGAAGGAGGGAAGCAAATGCAAGGTTTGTTGCCCTCAGCTCCACTACAAACAGCTGGTTGCTTGGCCACATCTCTGGAGAGGCCAATGGAACCTTTGAATCTTGGAACAGTCTCTCAGAAAGAGGAAGGGTAAACAATTTATCTGTTCACTCTTCCTTATGTCCATTTTCTCATTGCTCAAATTTTGTCCCACAGAAGTTAACTTTCCCACATTTCCAGAGTGTGGCATGGGCCCCTTTATCGCAGCTACTGGAGAATCTAGGGCCTCCATGGATCCCACTGGACCATGATAGTTCCCACTGTAGCACATACAATGGAGGCCATGCCAAAGGCTCATGCTTTAACACCCACTTGGAAAGGCTGAGCCAGCTGGTGGTGTCAGGAGATAAAATAGCGATTGAGGCAGGAATTATTATTGCAGGAATGGCATGAGCCTTTGATAGGGCTACTTAGGTTGGGAAGCAGAGCAAGTGCTTAGACCAGGGGGATGGGGCATCAACAGGATATGAAGAGGTGCATAAATAAGTGCAGTATACTTGAACTTAGCTTTGTGGCCATATTTATACTTTAGATTTATGTCTTCAATTAACTTGTTTTGGTGCTCACTGCCAGTTCTTTCTTTCTCTTAGTTACTGAAAAAATAGCTTTGAATAATTATATCCTGTAATTTAGTGTGCAGCGAAGAAGTCCAAGACTGACATTATGTTTTTGTTCTTTCTAGGTAACATATTTTATTTCCTTCTTGGATGTTTGTAAGTCATCTTCCATAGCCTTGTAATTTAAAAACATTGTCAGGCCAAGTCTAGATGTAGGTCTTCATCATTTATTTTGCAGGAAAAATGGTTATTCCTTTCTACCTCCATCTATGGGCTTTTTTTTTCCTCATCAAGAAACGGTTCTTCCCATCACATATTTAATTTTCTTCCATTTGTTTTGGTCTCTTCGTCATGAACACCAATTATCTTTTTTTCTCTTTTTTTACCTTTATCTCAACCACCTACCTCTGATCTTTCTCTCTTCATTCTGGAGTGCTCAAATAGTCCTCATTACTGATTCAATATTCTCCTAGAATCAAGTCTTTATTGCCAATATAGATTTTAATTCTATAGTTGCATTCTTGTATTATTTCAATCCTTCCTTATTTCATTCATAACATTGTATCGGCTTTCCATTTCAACCTCTTTCTTCTTCCACTGTATAGATGCATGTATGCAGAACATGAATAACTTTTTGAGCTCTATTGCAGATGCAAGTAGTCTCTTAAAGATTTTTTTTTTTATCTTGCAGTAGATCATTTTTATGCTTTTCCTTTGGTTCTTTATGTGGTTATTTCCTTTCCCTTGTTCTGAGGTATTAGTTTCACAGGCTCCATGCTGGCTTTTTGTCATTGTTGTTCTTTTACTTACTTTTCCATAAATAAGAGTCTTCAAACTTAGTATTTATCAACAGATAAAATGTGTATATTTCTCTTGGTCCTGCTACTTATCCACTTGTATATATGCCAGTTCTCATGTCAATTTCCATGTCTACTAGGCATTCACCTACTGTGGTTTCCTTCTATTGGCTTTTCCCCCCACATTGTCTGATCATTTGTAACTCTAAAATGATGGAACACACAAAAAACTACAGTTCCCATCTTGCACTGTTCTTAGGTTCATCCTCTCTCTGCCCCTAACTATGGTGCTATATACTGGGGCACTACATTTCTCAACATGTAGTCTGCTCCTTACTTCCTGCTCAGCTGTTTCCTTTGAGCTCTTCTCTCTATGGATGTAGAACAACAGGAGAAGGTTCATGGAGGTAGAGGGAGGAAGAGAAGAAGAGGTGATTCATACATCTCTGGCTGCCTCAAAACCACAGTGCCTACGAGGGAAAGTGATAACCACGAAGTTCCTAGCTGGTATAGACCCCCTGATCTGAGGCAGGTGGCAAATAGGTAATTATGTACCTTTATCCTTTTTCAGACAGTGTCTGATTCATATGATAGAACCTGACTAGCTTTGAAGAGAAGCCTAGGTAGGCTTTTCTTTATGTAGCTCAATATGCTTTAAATTTAGGAATTTTTATTCTTAGATTTAGCTGTTTTTTAGTGCATTGAGTTTTCATCTTAGTTGTTTTTACAGTGTGACGGAGGACTGAAGAAAGTTCTTCTTGCCAAAACCAAGAATCTGTCAAAATGTCTAAACTTTCAGGAATTCACCACTGAATCATAGCTATGCCCAGTAGTTGCATTACACCAACAGCAGCTAAAGCACAAGGCATTATCATGACAGTCAGCTAAGAACCGGGGGGGATTTAGTCAAAGAGGGTGAATGGAACCAGTGACATGGGAAAGTGCAATCTAGAAAACTAAGTATGTTTTGCTTTGATTATCTGAGCCATATACATACATATTTGAACCTATTTGAAAATAGAAAAGATTTTGAAGCCAAAAAACCAGCTTTTTTTTTTTTTTTTTTTTGAGACAGAGTCTCGCTCTGTCGCCCAGGCTGGAGTGTAGTGACATGATCTCGGCTCACTGCAACCTCTGCCTCCTGGGTTCAAGCAATTCTCGTGCTCAGCCTCTTGAGTAGCTAGGCCTACAGGCGTGTGCCACCACGCCCAGCTAATTTTTTATATTTTTAGTAGAGACAGGATTTCACCATGTTGGCCAGTCTGGTCACAAACTCCTGATCTCAGGTGATCCACCTATCTCAGCCTCCCAAAGTGCTGGGATTACAAGCGTGAGCCACCGCACCCAGCCTATTTTATTATTATTATTATTATTATTTTTAAGACAGAGTCTTGCTCTGTCATCAAGGCCGGAGTGCAGTGGCACAATCTTGACTCACTGCAACTTCTGCCTCCTGGGTTCAAGCAATTGTCCTACCTCAGCCACCCAAATATCTGGGATTACAGGTGCGCACCACCACACCTGGCTAATTTTTGTATTTTTAATAGAGATAGGGTTTCACCATGTTGTCCAGGCTGATCTCAAACTCCTGACCTCAAGTGATCCACTTGCCTCGGCCTCCCAAAATGCTGGGATTACAGGCACGAGGCACCATGCCTGGCCAAACCAGCTATTTTTAAAATAACTTATGGCTTAATTGAACTGAGCCTGTTGTTTTCAAAATAATAAGTTGTTTAAATCCAACCATTTAAAAATAAGTATTTATATACATAGTCAGGATCTAAGGATATAGTATTGTGTCCATTTCCCATATCAAAGAAAACTGGTGAAGGGCTAAATTTGAAAACAGTCACTTCTCTTTCATCAGATTTCCCCTACAATTCCCTTACTCTCTTTCTCTCTTTGTCTCTCTCTCTGTGTGTGTGTGTGTGTGTGTGTGTGTGTGTGTGTGCGCGTGTGTGTGTGTGTGTTTCTTTTGGACAGGTTACAACGTCAAAGTCAGAAACGTCAAGGACGAAGCAGGAAACAAAAAAAGAGATAGTGGAGTCTCAAAAGAAAATTCTTGTCAATGTTTGCAATTGACTAAAAGGGAAAAATATTGAAGTTCATTCATTATCATAGATCCATGCATTCAGACTAGGAAGATTAGAGGGCTTGCTGCTGCTTGTGAAACTGAGGCATCTCACACAGAAAACTAAGCTATTCTTAGTCTCCTAACAGCTTGTCATTTTGCAACTAATGTGGAAATATGACATTGCACGGTTTATGAAATATATATTTTTTATTGATTCTACGCTTTCAAGTTGAGGTATACATTTTCAATCCAAGAATCAATAATTTATGGAGTTAATTTTTCATTATAACTTTCTTGCAGCTGTTGAATTAGGAATGTTTTGACTCTAAGCAGGAATGTAAATTGAACATATTCCTGTGCAGGAATTCTAGGGAGTAGTGAATCAGGGAATTGGGCTGTTATAGAGTTGCCAAATACATTTGTGTATTCAATTTCAATATATTTGGACTTGAATCGCATAGGCACCTTTAAAAGCACAACTCTAACAGCCTTATTTGTTCTAGTAACAAATGATTGGTAGTAATACATGAGCTCCCGAATGGAAACTTGTTAGCAAACTTAGCTGTTAAACTTTTATTTCTAGCAAATACTTCTTAGACAAACTAATTAGCTTGGACCCAGAAGACCAAAGCTTGAAATAAATTAGTTCAAGCCTAAAAGTAATAAGACTAAGAATTTTAATCAAAATAGAAGCCCCCATTGGTACTATGTATCTTATGGCTGATAACATTCAATGAAGTCTGATTATGTTATCACTGAGACATAAGCCAGAAGGGGCCTTATACATGAGGATGAACGACACTTCAATGTTTGTCTGTATTTATTAGTGCTTAATAGGTACTAGACACCATTCTGTAATAGGTGCTAAAGATTCATCAGCAAACCAAACAGACAAAAATCTCTGCTCTTGTGGACTTCACATTGTAGTGAGAAGAGAAAGGCCATGAACAATAGAAATAATAAATATGTAAATTAGATAGTACGTTAGAAGGTGAGAAGTGCTATGAAAAAAGGACAGAAGAGCCTGGGCAACGTTGTGAAACCTTGTCTCTACAAAAGATACAAAAATCAGTTGGGCATGGTGGCATGCATCTGTAGTCTCAGCTACTCAGGAGACTGAGGTAGGAGGATCATCTGAGGATGGGTGGCCCAAGGACACCACTGCACTCCAGCCTGGGTGACAGAGTGAGACCCTGTCTCAAAAACCAAAAGCATAGAGGAGACTAAGAGGGATCAAGAGTGGTTCCAATTTTATTTTTAAATTAATTTTATTATTTCATTTTATTTACTCATTTATTTTTGAGACAGAGTCTCACTCTGTTGCCCTGGCTGGAGTGCAGTGGTGTGATCTCAGCTCACTGCAAACTTTGCCTTCCAGGTTCAATCGATTCTCCTGCCTCAGCCTGCCAAGTAGCTGGGATTACAGGTGTGCACCACCACGGCCAACTAATTTTTGTATTTTTAATAAAGACGGGGTTTCACCATGTTGGCTAGGCTGGTCTTGAACTCCTGGCCTCAAGTGATCCACTCACCTCAGCTTCCTAAAGTGCTGGGATTACAGGCATGAGCCACTGTGCCTGGCATTAGGAGTGGTTCCAATTTTAAATGAGAAAGTCAAGGTGGGCTTTATTTTGAAAGATGATAGTTGAGCTAAGATTTGAAGGAGGACAGATAGTTATGAAGACATTGGGGAGAGAGAGCATGCCAGACATAAAAGCTGGTGCAAAATCCCTGAGGCAGGTGCATGCCTGACAGTTAAAAGAAGCAAGGAGGGGGCCAATGGGCCTGGAACAGAGGATGCAAGTGGGAGAGATAGTAGCAGATGAGGCCAGATGGGTAATGGGATGATATGGTTTGGCTGTGTCCCCCACCCAAATCTCATCTTGAATTGTAATTCCCATAATTCCCACGTGTCAAGAGCAGAACAGGTGGAGATCGTTGAATCATGGGGGTGGTTTCTGCCATGCTGGTTCTCATGATGGTGAGTGAGTTCTCACGAGATCTGATGGTTTTATAAGGGGTTTTGCCCTTCACTCGGCACTCACTCCTTCCTGCCGCCCTGTGGGGGAGGTGCCTGCTTTTCTTTTGCCTTCTGCCATGATTGTAAGTTTCCTAAGTCCTCCCAAGCCATGTGGAACTGTGAGTCAATTAAAACTTTTTCCTTTATAAGTTCCCCTGTCTCAGGTATTGCTTCGTAGAAGTGTGAGAATGGACCAATACAGGGGAATTGGACCATGTTGGCTATCATAAGGATTTTAGCTTTAATTCTGAGAGGTTTGAGAGCCATTAGATGGTGTTTGTTTGTTTGTTTTGTTTTGAGACGTAGTTTCACTCTTGTTGCCCAGGCTGGAGTGCAATGGTGCAATCTCGGCTCACCACGACCTCCACCTCCTTGGTTCAAGCAATTCTCCTGCCTCAGCCTCCTGAGTAGCTGGGATTACAAGCATCCACCACCATGCCTGGCTAATTTTGTATTTTTAGTAGAGACAGGGTTTCTCCATGTTGGTCAGACTGGTCTTGAACTCCTGACCTCAGGTGATCCACCCGCCTCGGGCTCCTAAAGTGCTGGCATTATAAGCGTTGAGCCACTGTGCCTGGCCTGTTTTTTTATTTTTTTTTTTTTGAGAGCAATTATATGGTTTTAAGCAAAGGAAAGACACAATCTGACTTCTGTTTCAAAGGATTACCCTGGTTGCTATGTTGAAAAAAGACTTTAGGGGCAAGGTGAAAACGGAAACCTGTTAGGAGTCTATTGCAATAATCCAGGTGAAAGCTGATGGTGGCTCAAACCAGAAAGGTGGTCAGGCTCTGGATATATTTTGAAAGTACAGGCAACAAGACTTCCTGATGGCTGAAAAGGGTATGTAAGACAGTCAAAGTATTTAAATAAAATATGTGTAATCTTTAATTGAGATAAGGAAGACTATAGATGGTGCAGCATTGGGAGGGGAAGTCAGAAGTTCAGTTTTGGACATGTGAAATTTGAGATGTCTATTACTGGAAATATTAAACAGCAATTGGTTATACCAGTTTGGAGTTCAGGGGAAAGGCCAGGGCTGTAGATAGATATTTGGAATTTGTCAGCACATGGATGATATCTAACACTATGAGTTAAGGAGGACACCAAAGTAACAAATATACCCAGAGAAGAAAAGAGGTCCAAGGACTGAGCTTGCGGCACTCCAAGCAAGATTAAAAGGTTGGGTTTTGAGGAAGAACCAATAAGGATGCTGATAAATGGCCAGTGAGGCTGGAGGGAAACCATGAGAGCATGATATGGGGAAGCCAAGGAAAGAAAGTTTTTCCAGGAGGAGGGAATGATCAACTGTAACAAGTACTGCTGATTGACCAAGTAAAATTAGTATTGACAGCTGTTTGCTGGATTTACCAATGACTTTGACATGAGCAATTTCTGTGGTATGGTGGAAATGAAAAAGTCTGATTGGAATAAATTTGATAAAGAATGGGAAAAAAGGGCATTAGCAACAGAAATTATAGACAATCCTTTTGAGTTTTTCTGTAAAGAGAGCAGAGAAATGGATTGTTAGCTGGTGTGGGAGAGGAGATTAAGAGATTTTAAGATGAGAGAAATAATGGCATATTTATTTGCTATTGAGACTATTCAGTGGAGAGGAGAAAATTGAAGATTGTAAGAGTCAGGAAATAATTGGTGGATATATATATATATATATATATATATATATTTTTTTTTTTTTGAGACAGTTTTGCTCTGTTGTTCAGGCTGGAGTGCAGTGGCATGATCTTGGCTCACTACAACCTCTGCCTCCCAGGTTCAAGCAATTCTCCTGCCTCAGCCTCCCAAGTAGCTGGGACTACAGGTGTGCACCACCACACCTGGCTAATTTTTTGTATTTTTAGTAGAGATGAGGTTTTGCCATATTGGCCAGGCTGATCTTGATCTCCTGACCTTGTGATTCACCTGCCTCAGCCTCCCAAAGGGCTGGGATTACAGGCGTGAGCCACCGCGACTGGCCGGTGGAGCTATATTCTTGGGTAAGCAAGAAGAGATGGGCTCTGTTGTCCATTTGAGGGCTGGCCTTACATAGGATTATACAGTTCACCTACTATAGTTGGAAAGAAAGCAGAATCTGGCATATAGATGTTGGTAGATTGGTAGGTGGACATCTGTGGAACTTCGTTTCTGGATGCTTTTATTTATCTCATTTGAATAGTATTTAATATTAAATACTAAATACTATTAAAATCATAAATCTTTATGAAATATTAGCAGTAACTATTTCACTTCAGCCGAAAATGAAGATGAGGAATAAGTTCTGGAGATTTGAAGAGAGGAGGAATTGTCTTAGTCCATTATGGCCACGATAACAAAATACCTTAGACCAGGTAATTTATAAACAAGAGGCCAGGTGTGGTGGCTTAACAAACTGCCCAAATGAGGCAGCAAGAGTGCACCTAATTTTAATATCAGTTATACAAAATGCCAAACATACAAAATGGTTATCACAGGGAAAAATTAACAGCACATCACAAGTGTGCTCCAAAGGATTTTTCCTGGAGCACCTTTCTTTCTACAGGAATACCTGTTTTACAAAGTAAGGCACATAGTTTTGTATCCTAACCATTAGGCTCAAGGCAAGTAGTGGTCTTTGTCTTTTTACATTTTTATGATTGTGACACTTAATAAATTGCTGAGCTTCAATTAGGTCTGAACATAATGGGGTCCTAAAAAGCAAACACACAGGCCCCTGTATGTCCTTTTGACAGCTGCTCATGAAAATCTACCTTTTTCATAATTTGGATAAACTGAAGGCCACTTTGATTTTATGTTGCAAATGACAGAAATCTAAGAATTGAGCCTGAATTTTAGAAAACTGTGAAAATCAATTCCGGACAACTGAGTCTAACACGCAAAAATCTTGTTTTTTTTTTTTTTTTTTTTTTGAGACGGAGTCTTGCCCTGTCACCCAGGCTGGAGTGCAGTGGTGCGATCTCGCTCACTGCAACCTCCGCCTCCTGGGTTCAAGCGATTCTCCTGCCCCAGCCTCTCGAGTAGCTGGGATTACAGGTGCGCGCCTCCATGCCCAGCTAATTTTTGCATTTTTAGTAGAGACGGGGTTTCACCATGTTGGTACGCTGGTCTCAAACTTCTGACCTCGTGATCCGCCCACCTCGGCCTCCCAAAGTGCTGGGATTAGTGGCATGAGCCACCGCGCCAGGCCTACAAATCTTGTATCTTCTTAACCACTTCCGGCTTCCTGCAAACCTCGCTCTAGGGAGCCAGAAGCGCGGAAAAGGTTTGCGGGGTCTGCGGTTGCGCAGAAGCCCAGCGACTGCAGAACCCTGCCCCAGGCACCCTGGGCGCTCTGCCCTACCGGCGGCGCCTCTCACTGCTCACGGAACGTTCTGGAAGTTTGGGAAACCCTGAGCGGTCTCTGAGGACCTGGTGAGCAGGTGGGTTTGCAGCGCTGGGGATGAGGCCTCGGCAGACCTGTCTCTTCGCGTTTTTCTTTCTTCGTTCTTCGCCGGCGTAGTGCTCTCTGACTTGCCGAGCTCAGAGCTTTACCTCAGGGCTTTGGCGGGTGAGGGGAGGAGATCCTGCCCACCCTATTTTCCCCTTGAGAATCGGTGTGGAAAGGGCTCCCTCGGGGTTTTCCCTGTCAGAAGTCCGTCACCCACCTGCGAGTGTAAATTTTATTTGCTTTAGGCTTTGTTGGTCACTCCGAAAAGTAAAGAATGGAAGAGACCGTGAAGATCCTTGTAGGCCGGCGCCTCACTGGACCCGTGAGGAGACTGAGCAGGGAAAGTGACTTGCTGGAGATGATGGGGCAGTGTTAAACTTAAATTTGCAAACACTCCAGAGCTTGGAAAAAACAAAACAGTAGCAACAAAAGCCCAGAATACCAGGGCCTTGGAACTGGCAAAGGTTTAAGAGGCCACTGGGCCCACGCTTTTTGTTTTTATTTTTAATTTAACTTTTATGTTAGGTTCAGGAGTCCGTGTGCAGGTGTGTTACATAGGTTAAACTCGTGTCACGGGAGTTTGTTGTCCAGATTCTGTCGTCCCCCAGGTGCCCATTAGTGACTGTCCCTCCTCCACCTTCTGGTCCCCCGGTCCCGTCCCCCGCGCCTGCCCCTCCCCTCTGTCCCTGCACGCTCAGCGTTCACCTCCCGTTTAGAAGCTTTTTGTTTTCAGGTGAGGATGCAGCCTAACCAGAGGTGACGTGATTTGCCCAAAGCCACACAGTCCTTGCTTGGCTGCTGGTCGAGGAGCTTTTCCCCAGAAATGCTGAGAAGGCACTGCCCCAGCCCCAGGTTTCTGATTCATTCCTCACCTTTAACAGGGACTTGGGACACGACTGACCCCACTCCTTTCTCACTTATTGTGCACGTGATTACTTTACTTCTCTTAGCTTTAGTTAAATTGTTTTTAAAACCTATGTATAAGGGTGTAAAGATTTAAATGAACATTTATGGATTACTAACTGATAGGCACAAACATACATATCCACATACATACCAGTAACTACTCCAAAAAGTTCTTGTAACCTTTGCATATATGTATTCATAGCTATGTGGGTGTATTAGTAAGTATGTGTAGGGGGGGTTATAGAAGTTGAAGCCCTTCCCCCAGCCAACTCACCATTTACTCATTCACAAATCTTTGAGTGTCTACTGAGTGCCAGGTGCTGAGTAAGGTAAAACAGAATCAGAATGTGTCCCTGCTCTCATGGAGCTAGTTAACTTCTCATTCATTCATTCATGCAATAAATGAGGAAATTAGAGAGCAGCTGGTTTCAACTCAGCAGGAAGAACTTTCTAATTATTAAAGTTGTTGAAAAGTAGAATGAAATCACCTTGGGAGATACTAACTTACCATCACTGAAAGTGACTTTCTCTTTCTTTTTTTTTTTTTTTTTTTTTTTTTAAGACAGAGTCTCGCTCTATCACCCACGCTGGAGTGCAGGAATGGGATCTCAGGTCACTGCAACCTCCACCTCCTGGGTGTGCAGCCACACCTAAGGAATGGGGAGTTATATTCCCCACCCCCACTGTTTAATATTTTTAGAGACAGGGTCTTGCTATGTTGCCCAGGCTGGAGTACAGTTGTTATTTACAGGTGCAAACATAATGCACTGCAGCCTCAAACTCTTGGCCTTAAGCAATCCTCCTGCTTCAGTCTCCCGAGTAGCTTGAATTATAGGTGTGTGCCACTGTGCCCAGCTCCATGCTCCTGTTCTTAAGGTTGGAGTATATATACATAAATTTTTTGGAATTATTCTGCACAGATTTGTCTCTTCTCCATTTATTGGTTTGTTCAAACCTTTATATCAGTATAGACTCATGGATATTCACTTTATACTTTGGATTATAATGCTATTTTATTTTGCTCAAATTGTTCCAGCTTTAGCCATTGGGAGCTCTTTCAGTTGGTTCCTGTGCTCTTATGACATGCCCCATCAATGCCATCTGTGTGGGGTTTTTTTGTTTGTTTGTTTTTGTTTTTAAGTACTTTCTTTTTGGCACTACTCTGGACTCATCTTGTATGTTTCCTGTCCCAGTCCTAGAATCGACCATTTCTCCAAGGAGCCCTGGTTCCTTTTTTGGAGAATGCTATTTAGAAACCAAAATCTGGGTGCTAGGTGTACTTGTTGCTAGCACCCAGGTGCTAGGGTGTCGTTTGTTTTAGGCCCTTTCAGCTAACAGAGTAAAGAAATAGATGTGTGTGTACTAATCTGGGTATATACACATACAGTCATGCATTGCTTAATGATGGGGATGTGTTCTGAGAAATGCATCATTAGGTGATTTTGTCATTGTGAGAACATCATAGAGTGTAATTACACAAACTTAGATGGTGTAGTCTACTAGACATCTAGGCTATATGGTATAGCCTATTGCTCCTGGGCTACAAATATGTATAGTATGTTAATGTACTGAATACTGTAGGCAACCTGCATATCTAAACATATCTAAATGTAAAAAAAGTAAAAATACAGTATTATCATCTTGTGGCACCACCAGTCATATATGAAGTCCATTGTTGACTGAACAGTTAATATGCAATGCATGACTGTATCTATAAAATATTTCTGTGTGTATTCTTCTGTATCTATATTAACAATGAGTTCATACTGTGACCGCCAATTCTAACTATGGACCATTCTAGCCTTGAGAGGTAGGATTAAAAAGAGACTTTAAACAAAAGCATGAAGAATGAAGTTTTTAAAAATGCTGTTATGAGCATTCTTGTATAAGTCTCTTAGTACAGATCACATGCATTTCTGTTGAGCATACATTTAGGAGTAGAGTTGCAGAGTTACAGGTTACGAGTATCTTCAACTTTAGTAGATAATGCCTGCCAAGAACTGTGAAAAGTCTTATCCTACTTGCAAGCTAATAAGCTAGCCTGTTACTGTTTTATAGATGCTTGCAGAATATATAAGATGCCTCAGAGACAAAGAATATTTTTAATTCATGGAAAAAGCAGGAATTAAATTAAATCATGACTTGGATAAAGAAAATGAACATATACATCATAGAATACTATGCAGCCATGAAAAGAAAGAAATCATGTCCTTTACAGCAACACGGATGCAGCTGGAGGCCATTATCCTAAGTGAATTAGTGCATGAACAGAAAACCAAATGCCACATGCTCTCACTTATAAGTGGGAGCTAACCATTGAGTACATATGGACATAAAGATACAAACAATAGACAATGGGGACTACTAGAGGGGAGAGGGAGGAAGGAGGATAAGGGCTGAAAAACTACCTTTTGGGTACTGTGCTCACTACCTGGGTTACAGGATCATTTGTACCACAAACCTCAACATCACACAATATACCCATGAAACAAACCTGCACATATACCCCCTGAATCTAAAATAAAAGTTGAAATTTAAAAAGAAATTTTTACCACTGAAACAACATGCTGTAAGAGCAAAGGTGGTATTTTTCTAGCTTTATAAGCAGTGCAGATTATTTTATCTAAAAGTTGAAGATATTTTTCCTTTTGGAAAATAATTGGGATGTGGTAACTTCTGGGACCTTTTTCAGTGAATATCAAAGTGTTTCAAAGAGGTTATTTTTCACTATGCATAACAAGGGATTAGTTTTGCTTTCTTTGCTTGATTTCAACTGCCTGGCATTAATTTTAGTTTCCATAGCAGCAATAGTAAGCAATTGGCATTGGAGTAGCCAGATTTGCTGCAGATACCAGAATCTCACCATAGGAAATATTTTAAGTAGCCCTGGTGTTGGACTCCTGTACTTCTCTTCTGACACAACAGAATTTGCTAATTTTAAAATGACACACTTATCATTATTGAATATTTTCAGAGCTATTTAAAAACCTGTAAGATGGCTGGGTGTGGTGACTCACACCTGTAATCCCAGCACTTTGGGAGTCTAAGGTGGGCAGATCACCTGAGGTCAGGAGTGACCATCCTGGCCAATGTGGCGAAACCCCATCTTAACTAAAAATACAAAAAAAATCAGCCAGGCGTGGTGGCGCACACCTGTGGTCCCAGCTACTTGGGAGGCTGAGGCACGAGAACCACTTGAACCTGGGTGGCGGAGGCTGCTGTGAGCCAAGATCATGCCACTGCACTCCAGCCATAGTGACAGAGTGAGATTCCGTCTCAAAAAATAAATACAGGCATTTGTGTGCATGTGTGTCTATATTGTATAATTTATATGCAGTATAACATATGCATGTATATATAACATATACAACATGCATGTGTATATATAATGTAACATGCATGTATATATAACATATATAACATGCATGTATAACATATGTATGCTGTGATGTTTTGACACATTTATACACCTGTGAAACAATTACTACAATCAATATAGTGAATATACCCATCCCAAAGGTTTCCTCCTTCCCTTCTGTAATCCCACTTTTTTTCCCATTATCCCTTCTTCGGTTTTTTTTTTTTTTTTTTTTTTGTCACTATAGTTTGTATTTCTTTTTTCTTTTTTCTTTTTTTTTTTTTGAGACGGAGTCTTGCTCTGTTGCCCAGGCTGGAGTGCAGTGGCGCCATCTTGGCTCACTGCAAGCTCTGCCTCCCGGGTTCATGCCATTCTCCTGCTTCAGCCTCCCGAGTAGCTGGGACTACAGGCGCCTGCCACCACGCCCGGCTAATTTTTTGTATTTTTAGTAGAGATGGGGTTTCACCATGTTAGCCAGGATGGTCTTAATCTCCTGACCTTGTGATCCGCCCACCTCGGCCTCCCAAAGTGCTGGGATTACAGGTGTGAGCCACGGCGCCTGGCCTATCGTTTGTATTTCTTATATAAAATAAACTATACAATATGTGCTATGCTTTTGGGGGCGGGGGTTGGCATCTTTCCTTCATAATTTTTTAGAGTGACTCGGGTTATGTGTATCAATAGTTCATTCCTTTTTGTTGCTGAGTAATACGCCATTGTATGAATATATTACAATGTCCATTCACCTGTTGGGGGGCATTTGGGTTGTTTCTAGTCTTTGGTTACTACAAATAAATCATTCATGTGTAAATCCTTGTATAGATGTATGCTTTCTATTTTCTTTGGTAAATTACCTAGGAGTAAAATGGCTGGATATCATGGTAAGTATATGATTAACTTTTTAAGAAAATGTCAAACTATTTTCCAAGTGCTTGTACCATATACTTTCCAATTAGTAGTGTATGAGAGTTCTAGTTCCTCACATCCTCACCAACACTTGATACTGTTAGTTTGTTAAATTTTAGCCATTATAATAGGTATGTAGTGGTATCTTGTAGCTTTAATTTGCATTTCCCTAATAATAATGTTGACTATCTTTTTATGTCCTTATTTGCCACTTATATATCTTCTTTGGTGAATAACCTGCTTAAATCTTTAATTGGGTTGTTTGGTTTTTTACTATTGAGCCTTGAGTGTCTTTTTGTTTTTGTTTTTGTTTTGTTTTGTTTTTTGAGAAAGTCTTGCTCTGTTGCCCAGGCTGGAGTACAATGGCACGATCTCAGCTCACTGCAACCTCTGCCTTCTGGGCTCAAGCGATTCTCCTGCTTCAGCCTTCTGAGTAGCTGTGGACTACAGGTACGCACCACCACGCCTGGCTAATTTTTGTATTTTTAGTAGAAATGGGTTTTCACCATGTTGGCCAGGATGGTCTCAAACTCCTAGCCTCAAGTGATCCACATGCCTCAGCCTCCCAAAGTGCTGGGATTACAGGCCTGAGCCACCATGCCGAGCCCAAGCCTTAAGGGTCTTTAAAAATATATTCGGGGTACAAGTCATTTACCAGATATTTGCTTTGCAGATATTTTCTTCCAGTCTCTAGCTTGTCTTTTTATTGCCCTTAAGAGTGTCTTTTTAAACATTTTTATAAATGTAGGTGTTACTGGTGCAGTTTTGTTGTTGTTGTTGTTTTATTTTATTTATTTATTTATTTATTTATTTATTTATTTATTTATTTATTTATTTATTTTGAGACGGAGTCTTGCTCTGTCGCCCAGGCTGGAGTGCAGTGGCATGAACTCGGCTCACTGCAAGCTCCTCCTCCCAGGGTCACACCATTCTCCTGCCTCAGCCTCCCGAGGAGCTGGGACTACAGGCGCCCACCACCACACCTGGCTAATTTTTTGTATTTTTAGTGGAGACAGGTTGTCACTGTTAGCCAGGATGGTCTTGATCTCCTGACCTCATGATCTGCTCGCCTCAGCCTCCCAAGGTGCTGGGATTACAGGCATGAGCCACCATGCTCGGCCAGAGAGAAGTTTTTAACTTAGATTAAGTCCAGTTTATCAATTTGTTTTCTTTTATGGATTGTGTTTCTGGTGTCATACTAAAAATTATTTACCTAACTCAGGGTCACAATTATTATGTCCTATTTTCCTCTAGGAGACTTACAGTTTTATGTTTTACATGTAGGCCTATGATTCATTCTGAGTTAAATTTTGGATATGGTGTACGGAATGGATCCGAGTTCATTTTCTAAAACATACTGATGTTGAATTGTTCCAACACCGTTTATCGTAAAGACAGTCTAGCTCAATGTTTATCAATGTTGTTGATCTTTTCAAAGAACTGTTTTCTTTATTCTTTCTATTTTTATTCCATTGATTTCTGCTTTAATCTTTATTACTTTTTTTCCCATTGCTTTGGGTTTAATTTGTTCTTCTTTTTTTTCGTTTGAGACGGAGTCTTGCTCTGTCACCAGGCTGGCGATCTCGGCTCACTGCAACCTCTGCCTCCTGGGTTCAAGCAATTCTCCTGCCTCAGCCTCCGGAGTAGCTGGGACTACAGGCGCGTGCCACCACGCCCAGCTGATTTTTGTAGTTTTAGTGGAGACGGGGTTTCACCATGTTGGCTAGGTTGGTCTCCATCTCTTGACCTCGTGATTTGCCCACCTCGGCCTCCCAAAGCTCTGGGATTACAGGCATGAGCCACCGTGCCCGGCTTGTTCCTATTTTAAGATAAGATGGAATAAGGTATTAATTTGACATCATTCTTCTTTTCCGGTTTAGCCTCTTTTTTTTTTTTTTTTTTCTTGAGACAGGGTCTCACTCTGTCACCCAGTCTAGCTAGTGTGCAGTGGAGCAGTCATCTCAACCTCCCCAGGCTCAGGTGATCCTCCCTCCTCAGCCTCCCACGTAGCTGGGACTAGAGTTGTGTGCCACCATACCCAGCTAATTTTTGTACTTTTTTGTAGAGATGGGGTTTTGCCCTGTTGCCCAAGCTGGGCACAAACTCCTGGGCTCCAGCAGTACACTGGCCTTGGCTCCCCAAAGTGTTGGGATTACAGGCGTGAGCCACTGCACTCAGCCTAATTTAGTCTTTTAAAGCTATGTGTTTCCCTCTAAGTACTCCTTTAGTTACATTTCATAAATTTTTATGTTTTATGTTTGTTTTCACTCATTTCAAAATATTGCCTAACATCCATTATGATTTATTCTTTGATCTATGGGTTACTTAGAAGTGTGTGTTTGATTTCCAAGTATTCATGGCTTTCCCTCAAATTTTTTATTTATATTGATTTTTAATTTAATTTTATTGTAGTTTGTATGACTTTTGTTTCATGTATTTTGGAGGTCTGTTAGATGAATATATAATATATAAGGAATGTATGTATCAGGATATACATTGTTATATATTCCTGATATATTGACCTTTTTATCATTATAATACATCCCTCTTTGTCTCAGTTGATATTTATCTTAAAGTCTATTTTGTTTTTTTATCAGTATAGCCACTCCAGCTCTCTTACGGTTACTGTTTGCATGATATATCTTTTTCCATTCTTTTACTTTCAACCTATTTGTATCCTTGAATCTAAAGACAACATATAGTTGGATTTTGGTTTGACTGTAAAATCTTATCCATTCACATTTTAATGTAATTACTCAGTATTGCTGACTGCTATTTAAAAAATTTTTAAATTGAGATATAAGTCATGTGACATTAAATACATTTTAAAATGTACAAGTCAGTGATTTTTAGTACATCCACTGTGAGGTACAACCGTCACCACTATTAAGTCTGCCATTTTGCTATTTAGTTTCTAAATGTCTCATGTCTCTTTTGTTCCTTTGTTCCTTCTTTACTACCTCTTTCGTGTTATAGGAATATTTTGTAGTACACCACTTTGATTCCTCTGACTTCTAAATTTTTTTTGTTATTTTCTTAGTACTTTCTCTGGATACTATAATATGCATCTTAATTATTTCAGATTAACGCTAAATTCTGGAAAAATAGAGAAACTTTGCACCAATATAGCTCCATTTCCTCCCGATATACTCACATGCATACATGCACGCATGCACACACACACACACATACACACACACACACACTTGACCCAATAATATAATTACTGCTTTATATATTCATCTTTTAGAGAAATTAAGAGAACTGAGGAAAATACGTATTTATTTAGTCTTACATTTATGCATCTATTTACCACTTATGGTTCTCTTCATTCTTAACATGGATGCAAGTTAACATATGGTAGCAACTTTCTTTTGGTTAATGGTTGTGTGGTATATGTTTTCCCATCCTTTTACTTTCACCCTTTTTATATCTTAGTAGTTAAAGTGTTTTTATTGTAAGCAGCATATGGTTTTTCCCTTGTCATTTGGGGCAATCTTTTCTTTCAGTTGTAGAATTTAGTCTTATATGTAGATACTGATGTATTTGGGTTTAGTATGCCATGTCACTATTCGTTTTCTATTTGTCCCTCAAGTTATATGTTCTTTTTTCTCTCTCTAGCCTGCTTTTGGACTTCTGAAGTGTTTTTGTTTGTTTGTTTGCTTTAAATCTGTTTTTCTCTATTACCTTGTTGAGTTTTTTAAACCATAATTTGCTGATTAACTCAGAAATTACAAAATGCATGATTGACTTATCAAGATCCACTATAAGTGAGTACTTCTACCACTTCAAGGACCTAAAGCACCTTAGGTACAGTTACCATCATTTCTCCTTTTTTTTGCTATTGTTGTATATTTTAATTGAACATCTATTTTAAACTTCCTTATATATTATTGTTCTTATTTGTAGTCATTCTTGATTTAGAGTTACCCACATATTTACAGTTCTCCTTTCCATTAGTCTTCATTTATTCTGGCATCTTTGTGCTTCCATGTGGGATCATTTGCCTTGTGCCTAAAGAACTTATGGTATTTGGCCGGGCGTGGTGGCTCAAGCCTGTAATTCCAGCACTTTGGGAGGCCGAGGCGGGCGGATCACGAAGTCAGGAGTTTGAGACCATCCTGGCCAACATGGTGAAACCCTGTCTCTACTAAAAATACAAAAAAATTAGTCAGGCGTGGTGGCGCCTGTAGTCCCAGCTACTCAGGAGGCTGAGGCAGGAGAATGGCGTGAACCCGGGAGGCGGAGGTTGCAGTGAGCCGAGATCACGCCACTGCACTCCAGCCTGGGTGACAGAGCGAGACTCCATCTCAAAAAAAATAAAAATAAAAATAAAGAACTTCTCCTGGTATCTTCTTTAAGTGTGGGTCTACTGATGATGAAGTCTCTGATTTTATTTTTGTCATAAAATTTTTCTTTATTTCTCCCTCATTTTAAAAACATATTAATCTCAGCTATGATATCCTATGTTGACAATTATTTCCTTTCACCACTTAAAAGCTATTATTCAGTTGCCTCCTAGCTACCATGTTTCTATTGAGAAGTCAGTTTTCAGTTTATTGTTTCCCTTTAAAAATAATACACCTTTTTTCACTGGCTCCTTTGAAGATTTTTTTTTTTTTGGTTTTACTTTGTTAATCTGTTGCTTAGTTTAATCTGTTCAGATTTATTATTGCTCTTGAACCTACAACTTGATGTCTGTAGTCAATTTTGGAAAATTGACTTGGCCACTCTATTTTTATGTATTGGTCCTGCTCCATTCTCTTTTCTCTTTCTCAGACTTCAGTTATCTCTCTGTTAGACCATTTCACAAGCCTAATAATGCCTTGTGTGTGTATTATGCTTTTCTCTGTGTTCTTTATCCTTTTGCTTAACCTACCTCAGTCTGGATATTTTCCTCTGACCTACATTCCACACTTGTGTTTAACCTGCTCTTTAACCTATCCATTAAATTGTTTCCAATTTTGATATTTTTTCATTTCCAGAATTTCCATTTTATTTACTTTTACAGTTTCAAATTTTCTGCCAAAATGCTCCAATTGTCATATACTGCTTTGAACAAATTAATCATTTATAGTCTGGATATGACAATGCCAGTATTTCAGTCTCCCCTTGGTCTCTTCATTACAGTCAGCTTTTTCCTCTTGGTTTTCAGTCTGTTCTTAACTCTTTGTATGCCTGGGTATTTTTTTATTGTGTGCTGGGTGTTATGATTGCAAAATTATAACACTAATTTGTAACCTAAGGCTCTGGATAATATCTTCCTCCATAGGGGATTTACTTTTGCTTCTGGCAGAGAGTTTTTCTAGATACAGCTGTGACTCTCCAGATTGTCTGATTGAAAGGACAGAAACAACTGGTTCAGGAGCCCTTGCCAGCCTCTAGAGAAATCCCAGAACACTCAGCCCTGACACATTAATACCCTGCACAGATCGGAGACTGCTGGCCTTGCAGACTCACCAAGCCACAGACTTGTCTTCCGCAAGCATGTTCTTACCTCAGCCACGAAGTGACCAAGCCACATGTACTAAGGGTTGAAATCAAAGATATGTACAGGGTATTAAACAAATACCAAGGGGAACAGTTAACTTGAATACAAGGTCAAAATCAGCAACAAGTTCTATGATCCAGTGCTGATATCAGATACTAGCTTCAAGGACAATTTCTTTTCGAAGGCTTATTCCAGATTCGTGAGGCTAGCATGAGATGTATGCATTTGCCAGGGACAAATTTATACTTCTGAATTAACCCATGCAGCAAAAGCTATGCATCTGCTCACAGTCTATTTAGAAGCATTTGTGGTGAACAGTGGAGGGGCCCAACTTGTCATACTCCTGCTTGCTAGTGCACATCTGCTGGAAGGTGGACAGTGAGGTCAGGATGGAGCCGCCGATCCACACCGAGTACTTTCGCTCTCGGGGTGCAATGATCTTGATCTTCATGGTGCTAGGTGCCAGGGCAGTGATTGCCTTCTGCATCCTGTTGGTGATGTCTGGGTACATGGTGGTGCCGCTGGACAGCACTGTGTTGGCGTACAGGTCTTTGAAGATGTCCACATCACACTTCATGATGCAGTTGAAGGTGGTCTTGTGGGTGCCACAGGATTCCATGCCCAGGAAGGAAGACTGGAACAGCACCTCCGGACACCGGAACCGTTCGTTGCCGATGGTGATGACCTGGCCGTCGGGCAGCTTGTAGCTCTTCTCCAGCTTTTTGTCATCAGCTGTAGCTGTTCTTTGTACCATCTTCTTTCTGTGAGCTGTACCCTTGTCCCCATTCTGGACCTGATCCGGAAGTTTGGCTAACTTTTCTTGATTTGTGCTGTTGGTTAATCTGAAGCAGAGAAGGTCTTCCAACTCCAGTGTGCAGCAAGAACAAGATGGCTGCCCAGGAAGATTTCTTAAATAAGAAACAAAACCTACTAACCATAAATGAAAAGATTGATAAATTTGACTACATTGGAAATAATAATTTGTGTGTATCAAGAATTACCCTAAAGAAGGGGGGGTGGCACAGAAGACAAGTCACAAACAGGTAGAAAATACATAGCCAACAAAGGACTGATATCTATAATATACAAAGAAATCCTACAAATATATAAGAAAAAGAAAAAAGTAATAGGAAAATGGGCAAAAGACATGTGGAGATATGACTTTAGGGTTTTCAGTCTCAATGAAATTAGAAAAGTAGCAGATTTAGAGCTCAGTGAGATTCCATTTCATGCTACTAAGTTTATGGTAATTTTCTTCTCACCTCATACGTATACTATAAACTTTAGCACGCTGAACTTAAATGCAATTTTGTTTTACTGTATACCTGGTTGCCACTGTATGGTGCATTGTTGTTGTTGTTCTGCAGAATATTCTCCCTTCTCTTAGTGCAGTGGTTCTTAAAGTGTGGTCCCCAGACCAGTATCATCAGCATCACCTGTGTACCTCTTAGAACTGCAGATATTGGCCAGGTGCAGTGGCTCACACTTGTAATCCTGACACTTTAGGAGGTTGAGGTGGGAGGGTCGCTTGAAGCCAGAGTTCAAGACTGGTTTGGCCAACGTAGGGAGACCTGCCCCCGATCTCCACAATAAGTTAAAAAAAAAAAAAAATTGGCCAGGCGCGATGGCTCATGCCTGTAATCCCAGCACTTTGGGAGGCCGAGGCGGGTGGATCACAAGGTCAGGAGATTGAGACCATCCTGGCTAACACAGTGAAACCCCGTCTCCACTAAAAATACAAAAAAAAGATTAGCTGGGTGTGGTGGGGGGCGCCTGTGTTTCCAGCTACTTGGGAGGCTGAGGCAGGAGAATGGCATGAACCTGGGAGGCGGAGCTTGCAGTGAGCCGAGATTGCACCACTGCACTCCAGCCTGGGCAACAGAGCAAGATTCCGTCTCAAAAAAAAAAAAAAATCAGCCAGGCATGGTGGTGCATACCTGTAGTCCTAGCTACTTGGGAAGCTGAGGCAGGAGGATTGCTTGAGCCTAGGAGTTTGAGGCTAGGATCGCACCCCTGTACTCCAGCCTGTGGGTAAAAGAGTGAGACCCTCTTTAAAAAAAAATGCAAATATTCAGGTCCTACCTCACATATTCCCTATGTGAGATATATAGTATTTCCCTCCATAGTAGAAGACAGGTTTGCTTACAAGATTCAGGTTTCCTAAGCTCTGGGTTTCTTTCCTATAATACAACCCACTGTGTGTGCAGATGTCACCTGGCCTTTGTCCCATCACCCTGTGGGAATTGGGCTTGAGGAACTAGTGTAAGAAAATAATGGTGCTGTGGCTATACTGCTATTGCTCTGAGTGAAAAACTGTCCTTTGTCTCTGAGTCTGTCTTTTATCTGTATAAGTGAAACTCTGGCAGGCTAACTTTTTAGCTTGCAGGTAGGATAAAAACCTCAGACCTTGCGTGTTCTTGATGCAAGTCCTCATTCTTTGAAGTTAGTGTGCTGAAATGGGAATCATTGCTTTTGATACTTGTTAATGGGAAGCATAGTATTGAATAGGCTAAATGTATAACA
Source organism: Homo sapiens (assembly GCF_000001405.40). Classification (NCBI taxonomy): domain Eukaryota; kingdom Metazoa; phylum Chordata; class Mammalia; order Primates; family Hominidae; genus Homo; species Homo sapiens. The sequence continues at coordinate 92,231,241 of NC_000001.11, forward strand.
AGACAGATACTTTTTCTGTTGTCAAATTTTGATGTTCAAATATTCTTTAAAATGTCTCCAATACCCTAGTTTTATTTCCATCTTTAATTTACTCATTCATCAGATATTTCTTTGCATTCTTTGTGTTCTTAATTTTCTCAGATTGTTGCACCATTAGAAGCTAGGTTGATCCACAGACAGATGGCTGAAAGTGGAAAAGAAAAAATAAAATGGACAACCACCATTATTATTAGCTCATCTCTTAAGGTAAAGGGGCATTTGGGCCACTGATCTTTAACTTAAAAAAATTAAAAGCAGCTTTCATATAGAACAACATTTTAAAAGGTTCTTAGCTTAATTATCCACAATTAATTGTGGGGAGCAGGAAGTACATAAGCTAAATGTATTTTAAAGATAAATTAATAGACTTTTTCCATTCATTTTCAACATCCGACTTCCTTAATTCTTTGAAGGTTGGAGATTTTCTAAAGTTTTTTTTTTTTTCCTTCTGTAAGCACTCTAATAGAGATGTTAAGGAATTCCGGAAACAGTAAAGATATGCAAATATATATTAGTTAAGGCTTTCTGAGAGCTAAAGAACCAGAAACTGATATCCTAGCCTTGGCAGCACTGGAATGAGACTGTCTCCTTATGGTTTGGAGAGGGAGAGATGGAAAGTTGAATGCCTGAGAGCAGGTGGTCAGCTCACAACCGTTTTAAACTCCTCAGCTCACAAGACTTCTCCATTGCCCTGATATTTATCTTACGGACACCAGCTGATGTCTGGAATGAAGGGGCAAGAAATGATTGTTCCATAGTAACGTGTGGTTTTATGCTTTTTGCTGTATTTTGTTTTATACTTTGTTGTGAGTCCATTTTCATAAATTATATATATTTTTATTATTATACTTTAAGTTTTAGGGTACATGTGCACAGTGTGCAGATTAGTTACATACATATATATGTGACATGCTGGTGCGCTGCACCCACTAACTCGTCATCTAGCATTAGGTATATCTCCCAATGCTATCCGTCCTCCCTCCCCCCACCCCACAACAGTCCCCAGAGTGTGATGTTCCCCTTCCTGCGTCCATGTGTTCTCATTGTTCAATTTCCACCTATGAGTGAGAACATGCGGTGTTTGGTTTTTTGTCCTTGCGATAGTTTGCTGAGAATGATGGTTTCCACCTTCATCCATGTCCCTACAAAGGACATGAACTCATCATTTTTTGTGGCTGCATAGTATTCCATGGTGTATATGTGCCACATTTTCTTAATCCAGTCTATCATTGTTGGACATTTGGGTTGGTTCCAAGTCTTTGCTATTGTGAATAGTGCCGCAGTAAACATACGTGTACATGTGTCTTTATAGCAGCATGATTTATAGTCCTTTGGGTATTACCCAGTAATGGGATGGCTGGGTCAAATGGTATTTCTAGTTCTAGATCCCTGAGGAATCACCACACTGTCTTCCACAATGGTTGAACTAGTTTACAGTCCCACCAACAGTGTAAAAGTGTTCCTATTTCTCCACATCCTCTCCAGCACCTGTTGTTTCCTGACTTTTTAATGATTGCCATTCTAACTGGTGTGAGATGATATCTCATAGTGGTTTTGATTTGCATTTCTCTGATGGCCAGTGATGGTGAGCATTTTTTCATGTGTTTTTTGGCTGCATAAATGTCTTCTTTTGGGAAGTGTCTGTTCATGTCCTTCACCCACTTTTTGATGGGGTTGTTTGTTTTTTTCTTGTAGATTTGTTTGAGTTCATTGTAGATTCTGGATATTAGCCCTTTGTCAGATGAGTAGGTTGTGAAAATTTTCTCCCATTTTGTGGGTTGCCTGTTCACTCTGATGGTAGTTTCTTTTACTGTGCAGAAGCTCTTTAGTTTAATTAGATCCCATTTGTCAATTTTGGCTTTTGTTGCCATTGCTTTTGGTATTGTAGACGTGAAGTCCTTGCCCATGCCTATGTCTTGGGTGGTAATACCTAGGTTTTCTTCTAGGGTTTTTATGATTTTAGGTCTAACGTTTAAGTCTTTAATCCATCTTGAATTGATTTTTGTATAAGGTGTAAGGAAGGGATCCAGTTTCAGCTTTCTACATATGGCTAGCCAGTTTTCCCAGCACCATTTATTAAATAGGGAATCCTTTCCCCATTGCTTGTTTTTCTCAGGTTTGTCAAAGATCAGATAGTTGTAGATATGCGGCGTTATTTCTGAGGGCTGTGTTCTGTTCCGTTGATCTATATCTCTGTTTTGGTACCAGTACCATGCTGTTTTGGTTACTGTAGCCTTGTAGTATAGTTTGAAGTCAGGTAGTGTGATGCCTCCAGCTTTGTTCTTTTGGCTTAGGATTGACTTGGCAATGAGGGCTCTTTTTTGGTTCCATGTGAACTTTAAAGTAGTTTTTTCCAATTCTGTGAAGAAAGTCATTGGTAGCTTGATGGGGATGGCATTGAATCTATAAATTACCTTGGGCAGTATGGCCATTTTCCCGATATTGATTCTTCCTACCCATGAGCATGGAATGTTCTTCCATTTGTTTGTATCTTCTTTAATTTCATTGAGCAGTGGTTTGTAGTTCTCCTTGAAGAGGTCCTTCACATCCCTTGTAAGGTGGATTCCTAGGTATTTTATTCTCTTTGTAGCAATTGTGAATGGGAGTTTGCTCATGATTTGGCTCTCTGTTTGTCTGTTATTGGTGTGTAAGAATGCCTGTGATTTTTGTACATTGATTTTGTATCCTGAGACTTTGCTGAAGTTGCTTATCAGCTTAAGGAGATTTTGGGCTGAGACGATGGGGTTTTCTAGATACACAATCATGTCATCTGCAAACAGGGACAATTTGACTTCCTCTTTTCCTAATTGAATAGCCTTTATTTCCTTCTCCTGCCTAATTGCCCTGGCCAGAACTTCCAACACTATGTTGAATAGGAGTGGTGAGAGAGGGCATCCCTGTCTTGTGCCAGTTTTCAAAGGGAATGCTTCCAGTTTTTGCCCATTGAGTATGATATTGCCTGTGGGTTTGTCATAGATAGCTGTTATTATTTTGAGATACGTCCCATCAATACCTAATTTATTGAGAGTTTTTAGCATGAAGGGTTGTTGAATTTTGTCAAAGACCTTTTCTGCATCTTTTGAGATAATCATGTGGTTTTTGTCTTTGGTTCTGTTTATATGCTGGATTACATTTATTGATTTGCGTATATTGAACCAGCCTTGCATCCCAGGGATGAGGCCCACTTGATCATGGTGGATAAGCTTTTTGATGTGCTGCTGCATTCGGTTTGCCAGTATTTTATTGAGGATTTTTGCATCAATGTTCATCAAGGATATTGGTCTAAAATTCTCTTTTTTTGTTGTTTCTCTGCCAGGCTTTGGTATCAGGATGATGCTGGCCTCATAAAATGAGTTAGGGAGGATTCCCTCTTTTTCTATTGATTGGAATAGTTTCAGAAGGAATGGTACCATCTCCTCCTTTTACCTCTGGTAGAATTAGGCTGTGAATCCATCTGGTCCTGGACTCTTTTTGGTTGGTAAGCTATGGATTATTGCCACAATTTCAGCTCCTGTTATTGGTCTATTCAGAGATTCAACTTCTTCCTGGTTTAGTCTTGGGAGAGTGTATGTGTCGAGGAATTTATCCATTTATTCTAGATTTTCTAGTTTATTTGCATAGAGGTGTTTGTAGTATTCTCTGATGGTAGTTTGTATTTCTGTGGGATCAGTGGTGATATCCCCTTTATCATTTTTTATTGTGTCTATTTGATTCTTCTCTCTTTTTTTCTTTTAGTCTTGCTAGCGGTCTATCAATTTTGTTGATCCTTTCAAAAAACCAGCTCCTGGATTCATTAATTTTTTGAAGGGTTTTTTGTGTCTCTATTTCCTTCACTTCTGCTCTGATTTTAGTTATTTCTTGCCTTCTGCTAGCTTTTGAATGTGTTTGCTCTTGCTTTTCTAGTTCTTTTAATTGTGATGTTAGGGTGTCAGTTTTGGATCTTTCCTGCTTTCTCTTGTGGGCATTTAGTGCTATAAATTTCCCTCTACACACTGCTTTGAATGTGTCCCAGAGATTCTGGTATGTTGCGTCTTTGTTCTCATTGGTTTCAAAGAACATCTTTATTTCTGCCTTCATTTCATTATGTACCCTGTAGTCATTCAGGAGCAGGTTGTTCAGTTTCCATGTAGTTGAGCAGTTTTGAGTGAGTTTCTTAATCCTGAGTTCTAGTTTGATTGCACTGTGGTCTGAGAGATAGTTTGTTATAATTTCTGTTCTTTTACATTTGCTGAGGAGAGCTTTACTTCCAACTATGTGGTCAGTTTTGGAATAGGTGTGGTGTGGTGCTGAAGAAAATGTATATTCTGTTGATTTGGGGTGGAGAGTTCTGTAGATGTCTGTTATGTCTGCTTGGTGTAGAGCTGAGTTCAATTCCTGGGTATCCTTGTTGACTTTCTGTCTCGTTGATCTGTCTAATGTTGACAGTGGGGTGTTAAAGTCTCCCATTATTAGTGTGTGGGCGTCTAAGTCTCTTTGTAGGTCACTCAGGACTTGCTTTATGAATCTGGATGCTCCTGTATTGGGTGCATATATATTTAGGATAGTTAGCTCCTCTTGTTGAATTGATCCCTTTACCATTATGTAATGGCCTTCTTTGTCTCTTTTGATCTTTGTTGGTTTAAAGTCTGTTTTATCAGAGACTAGGATTGCAACCCCTGCCTTTTTTTGTTTTCCATTTGTTTGGTAGATCTTCCTCCATCCTTTTATTTTGAGCCTATGTGTGTCTCTGCATGTGAGATGGGTTTCCTGAATACAGCACACCGATGGGTCTTGACTCTATCCAATTTGCCATTCTGTGTCTTTTAATTGGAGCATTTAGCCCATTTACATTTAAGGTTAATATTGTTATGTGTGAATTTGATCCTGTCATTATGATGTTAGCTGGTTATTTTGCTCGTTAGTTGATGCAGTTTCTTCCTAGTCTCGATGGTCTTTACATTTTGGCATGATTTTGCAGCGGCTGGTACCGGTTGTTCCTTTCCATGTTTAGTGCTTCCTTTGGGAGCTCTTTTAGGGCAGGCCTGCTGGTGACAAAATCTCTCAGCATTTGCTTGTCTGTAAAGGATTTTATTTCTCCTTCACTTATGAAGCGTAGTTTGGCTGGATATGAAATTCTGGGTTGAAAATTCTTTTCTTTAAGAATGTCGAATATTGGCCCCCACTCTCTTCTGGCTTGTAGAGTTTCTGCCTAGAGATCTGCTGTTAGTCTGATGGGCTTCCCTTTGTGGGTAACCCGACCTTTCTCTCTGGCTGCCCTTAACATTTTTTCCTTTATTTCAACTTTGGTGAATCTGACAATTATGTGTCTTGGAGTTGCTCTTCTTGAGGAGTATCTTTGTGGCGTTCTCTGTATTTCCTGAATCTGAATGTTGGCCTGCCTTGCTAGATTGGGGAAGTTCTCCTGGATAATATGCTGCAGAGTGTTTTCCAACTTGGTTCCATTCTCCCCGTCACTTTCAGGTACACCAATCAGACGTAGATTTGGTGTTTTCACATAGTCCCATATTTCTTGCTGGATTTGTTCGTTTCTTTTTATTCTTTTTTCTCTAAACTTCCCTTCTCGCTTCATTTCATTCATTTCATCTTCCATCGCTGATACCCTTTCTTCCAGTTGATCGCGTTGGCTCCTGAGGCTTCTGCATTCTTCACGTACTTCTCGTGCCTTGGCTTTCAGCTCCATCAGCTCCTTTAAGCACTTCTCTGTATTGTTTATTCTAGTTATACGTTCGCCTAAATTTTTTTCAAAGTTTTTAACTTCTTTGCCTTTGGTTTGAATTTCCTCCTGTAGCTCGTAGTTTGATTGTCTGAAGCCTTCTTCTCTCAACTCGTTAAAGTCATTCTCTGTCCAGCTTTGTTCCATTGCTGGTGAGGAACTGTGATCCTTTGGAGGAGGAGAGGTGCTCTGCTTTTTAGAGTTTCCATTTTTTCTGCTCTGTTTTTTCCCCATCTTTGTGGTTTTATCTACTTTTGGTCTTTGATGATGGTGATGTACAGATGGGTTTTTGGTGTGGATGTCCTTTCTGTTTGTTAGTTTTCCTTCTAACAGACAGGACCCTCAGTTGCAGGTCTGTTGAAGTTTGCTAGAGGTCCACTCCAGACCCTGTTTGCCTGTGTATCAGCAGTGGTGTCTGCAGAACAGTGGTTTTTTGTGAACCACGAATGCTGCTGTCTGATCATTCCTCTGGAAGTTTTGTCTCAGAGGAGTACCCGGCCGTATGAGGTGTCAGTCTGCCCCTACTGGGGGGTGCCTCCCAGTTAGGCTGCTCAGGGGTCAGGGATCCACTTGAGGAGGCAGTCTGCCTGTTCTCAGATCTCCAGCTGCGTGCTGGGAGAACCACTGCTCTCTTCAAAGCTCAGATGGAAATGCAGAAATCACCTGTCTTCTGCGTTGCTCATGCTGGGAGCTGTAGACAGGAGCTGTTCCTATTTGGCCATCTTGGCTCCTCCCCCATAAATTATATTTTTACAAACATTTGCCCATTTTATAGAGGCTTTTAAATGTGTTAAGTTGAACTTTATGAAATTTACATTTCTGTGGTGAAAAGTTTCATGTTGTCATTTTTTAAATTTTCTAATCAACTGTTAAGTGCCCCTTTTCATTCCTGTTTTTACTTACATTTTCTTCCTTATGAGTGATAGACATACTAGTTTTTGTTCTTTGTTTTTTTAAGATGGAGTTTTGCTCTGTCGCCGAGGCTGGAGTGCAGTGGCACAGTCTTGGCTCACTGCAACCTCCGCCTCTCGGGCTCAAGTGATTCTCCTGCCTCAGCCTCCCAAGTAGCTGGGATTACAGGTGCCTGCCACCACGCCGGCTAATTTTTGTATTTTTAGTAGAGACGGGGTTTCACCATGTTGGCCAGGCTGGTCTCGAACTCCGATCCCTGCCTGCCCCCACAACCTGCACGATGGCTTCCAAAAGTGCTGGGATTACAGGCTTGAGCCACCACACCTGGCTGACATAATACTAGTTTTAAATATTATTAATAGATGTTACATATGCAGGAAGGAGTATTGTATGGATTTTATTTGGGATGCTGGTATAAAAGTTAAACAAGTGTTTTTTTGTTTTGGTTTGGTTTTCTTTTTACTGCACTATTATTCAGAGACTTTAATATGCTCAAATGCATTGTAAAACCCCAAAAAGAGATGAGATAATATTCAGCATTTCCGAATCTTATTTCAATCCGGAGCATCTTTTAATATCTCATAGGACTAATATTCTATGAAACATATTTTGAAAAATCTATACTTAGCTTCCTGGTCATTTTGATGAATCAGCTCTTGAACTTACTGTTTTCTCAATTCAATACTTTCTAATTTTACCATTTTTTTTTTAAGCATTCCATTATTTTATTCTTTTAGTTGGCTCCTCCTCCTCCTGATAAAAGGATATTATTGAAATTCATTAGCATGATATTTATGGGTGCTCATGATCTGCCTGCAGTTATTCCTAACATTGTACCCAAATTAGCTGACTTGTGTATACCTTACACACTCACCATATAAGAACCATACCTTTAGGTCTGAATGCCTTTACCTATGTTATTCTTTCTGTCCATACTCTTCTCATATTTGTCTTCTTCCTTCACTTGTCTGCTTAATACACTGCTTTTTATTTTAAAGATTTGACTCAGATTTTTTGTTATATTTTTTGTTTATTTTTTAATTAGGGTCTCACTATGTTGCCCAGGCCAGTCTTGAACTCCTGAGCTCAAGCAATCCATTGCCTTGGCCTCCCAAAGTGCTAGGATTATAGGCATGAGCCACTGTGCCTGGCCCTATTTGAATCAAATTTTAGGGAGCTTTCTTAACTCATGTTTTTTACATTTTTAAACATATCTTCTAGTTCTTTGCCAAAATTCTCAAGCTAGGTTTTATCTTCTTGATCATAGTAAACAGGCTGTTTTAAGGTGTGTATTTGATAGATTCACTACATGGATCCCTTGTGGGCCTGTTTCTGTTCTCTATTGTTTCTGATAGTTTTCTTTAATGGAATTGTGTCCCTTTGTATGTCTGATTATTTTTTATTATATGTTGGAATTTGTATTTGAAAAATTGTAGAAATAATTTGAAGCCTAGAATAGTGCTATCTTCCCCTTGAGAGGTTTTAATTCTGTAAGAAAATTAAATTCCTGATGCCCTAAGTAGGGTTGCCAGATAAAATACAGGACACTCAAGTTTGAATTTCCAGCTAGGTGCAGTGGCTCATGCCTATAATCCCAGCACTTTGGGAGGCCAAGGTGGGTGGATCACTTGAGGTCAGGAGTTTTGAGACCAGCCTGGCCAACATGGTGAAACCCTGTCTCTACCAAAAATACAAAAATTAGCCAGGCATGGTGGTGCATGCCTGTAATTCTAGCTACTTGGGAGGCTGAGGCAGGAGAATCATTTGAATCTGGGAGGCAGAGGTTGCAGTGTCCAAGATCATGCCATTGCACTCCAGTCTGGGTGACAGAGTGAGACCCTGTCTCAAAAAAAAAAAAAGTTTGAATTTCAGATAAACAGTGAATTTACTGTAATTATGTCCCAAATATTGCATAGGTCATACTTATATTGAAAATTGCATTGTCACTCATTCACATTTAACTGAGTGTTGTGTATTTTTATTTGCTCAGTCTGACAACCCAACTCCTAAGGCATCTCTTTTATATGATGAATTAAGTTGTATCCTATACATCTAGAGTGTTGAACTAAATTGTCTCCTGTACATCTGGCTATGAGAGAATTGAGAAAATAGTCACTCAGATCATTTTCTTTGTTCCATAATTCAGATGAGGAGACCTGATTGGGAAAGGTTGCTCCAGAGAGTGCTTCTGCAAGGTGCTTGGAAGCACTAGTAATTCACTTATCACCTTAATACAATTTCAGGGATTGAAATGGTTTGAAGCTGGGCTATAGTCCCTGTGAGAGCTGTTCTATTTTCGTCAAAAGATCTGTTCAGCCTCTCTTCTGCCTCTTTCTGAGCTGGCAGATGCCCTCAGGGAAAAAAGTGGCCTAAATACTTGCTCATATATTTGAATTTCTGTGTAGATCTTGGCCTTATAATTTTTTACTATCCTGTTAGCTCTCTGGTGTATTCAAGCAGATTTTAAAAGGTTGTCCAGCTTTTCTAGTTGCCTTCAGCAGGCGGGTTGGCCTAAATTACTTAATCTGCCATTGCTGGAAGCATTATATAATTTTAAAACAGCAGAAGAAAAGAGCCATAGTTAAACTGTAGGTCAGGATCTATCTGAGTGACACAAAATACTCTTTAGAAAAGAAAGGAAGCATGTATTTTTATACATAATTTCAGCCTGTGTGCTTAACATATACATGTTCTGAGGCAAAACAGAAAATAAAATTAATCTACCTAAGAGATTTTTATCTATCTGGAAACTAACAAGTTTGAGTTTTATTTATTATTTTTATTTATTTTTTAATTTTTAGTAGAAAGAAGGTCTCGCTACATTGCCCAGGCTGTTCTCAAACTCCTGGGCTGAAGTGATTCTCTCACCTCAGCCTCCCAAAGTGCTAGGATTACAGGTGTGAGCCATTGTGCCTGGCCAAGTTTAAATTTTAACCTATCAGGAAAAACTATTAACCACCTAGATTTTAGTATTGTGGGTAATATGATTTAATTGCCTGGGTGGAATAGGAAATCAGGTGATATTTGAAATGGTTAGTATTAAAACCAAGAGTCCTATAGCTGTTTTCTTACATGTTTTATGACTCATCTAAGGCTTAAAACATTTTAAAAGTATACTAAAGTAACTGTAATGTAAACTGATGAATTGTCAAATTGGTTGTCTTCTGTGATGGTATTGTATATGTCTGGCACTATGTGGTTCTGTCAACTATTTAAGAAATATACAACCACCTATTTTCCATAGTTATACATTAATGCATGTCAGAATCCATCTCCAAGTTGCTTATTATTATTATTATTATTATTATTATTATTATTATTATTTGAGACAGGGTCTCACTCTGTCACCCAGGCTGGAGTGCAGTGGTGCAATCATGGCTCACTGCAGCCTTAACCTCCCAGGCTCAAGTGATTCTCCCACCTCAGCCTGTGAGTAGCTGGGACTACAGGCATGTGCCACCATGCCCAGCTAATTTTTGTAGAGAAGCAGTTTTGCCATGTTGCCCCGGCTGGTCTTGAACTTCTGGACTCAAATGATCCACCAGCCTTGGCCTCCAAGGTCTCCGTAGCCACCATGCCCAGCCTCCAAGTTGTTTGTTTTTTGAGGTAGAGTCTTGCTCTGTCACCTGGGCTGGAGTGCAGTGGCACAGTCTCAGCTCACTGCAACCTCCACCTCCGAGTTCAAGTGATTTTCCTGCCTCAGCCTCCCAAGTAGCTGGGACTACAGGCATGCATCACCACACCCAGCAAATTTTGGGCTTTTACCATGTTGGTCAGGCTGGTCTCAAATTCCTGACCTCAAATGATCTGCCCACCTTGGCCTCCCAAATTGCTGGGATTTCAGGCATGAGCCACCACCCAAGTTTTTTTTTAAAGTGAAGTTTGCAGCTGGGTGTGGTGACGTACACCTATAGTCCCAGCTACTTTGGGAGGATTGCATGAACTCAGGAGTCTAAAGTCAGCGTGGGCAACAAAGTGAGACTTCATCTGTCTCTAAAAAAGAAAAAGAAATTTGCATTTGCTCTGGTTTATACAGTTTTTTAATGCTGTCTTTAAGTTCTGTTCCTAAGTAACATAACTGTAGTACGTAACTCACTCCCAAACTTGAAATAAATGTTTCAGTAGAACTAAATGTTTTTGCTTTTTTAAAGTTTTTTCTCCATAGAAAGCATATTTATTTATCTTTTGATGATCATATCTTTAAGTGGTAGTTATAAAACAACATATTAAACTTTTAATTTTTTCTTTAGCTTTAATACAATTGTAAGCATGCCTTAAATTTGTATTTCTGATATTTTTTAAAAAAGAGTTATGAAGTTGCAACTGCCCTAGAAAATCGAAGCCACAAAGTTCGATATTCAGATTCAGTGGAAAATGGATCAATTATATTTTCTCTTTCTGGTATGGTATATTTGCTCACTGCCTTAAGTTTCTTATGAAATATGTTGGTATAAATTCTAATGACTTCATAGTTCAGTAACCATGTAATGTATTATCTTTTGGGAAGGGTAAATGTGTAAAACTTTGTTACTACTACAAACAGTCCATATGGCCAATTCCAAAATATATTCCTTTTTAGATTACAATTGTTAAAATAAAGCTGAACTAGTGGAGTCTGGTAGAAGATGGGAAAAAACTACTTTGGAACTGAGATGAAAATAGAAAAAGCCACTTTCCCAACAATCTATACTTACATTAAAGTATTACTTGCATTAACAGAGGACACATTTGTCAAAACTGATATACAAAAAAAATAGAATGTTTTCCATTAATTTTTATAAGAGTTTGCTGGATATAATATAAATATTAACCAAAAGAATCATGGGGACAAATAAATGTTCATGAAATGACAACTGATATAACTGTTAGTCATGGACAAAAGTCCAGTAAGGAATTAGATTAGGATAAGAGAAGGCTGAGGAGATGGGAAGGGGGGAGGTCCACCTGTGCTTGAGAAATGACAGAAGTGATTTTTAAAAAGGTAGAGGTAAAGGATTTTATCTGGAGGGTTGCAAATAGACTCTTCTAGCAGTTTTGGAAGACAAGCACATTCAAAAAAGCTCCTAGAATAGATCTCCAGGCTGAAAGTGGTATCGCCTCAAACTTATTCTTCTGGTTAAATACAGAACCCTCCAGGGAGAAATAAAATATTTGGTGAATATTTGCCTTGGCTACTTCATATACGTGATCTAATTTATCCTTCTGACAAATCTAACAAAAAATTTACTCCCATGTTACAGAAGAGGAAACTTATGTTCAGAGAGGTTATATAAGTTGCCCAAGTTTACTCAATTAGTGTATAATCACAATCATTTTCCTCAGACTGTCTCCCACATCGTTTGAAGAGCTATAATCAAGTTTCCCTTTAGGACCATTCTTAATGGCCTGACACTGTTTCAGAGATTGCAGATATCTGCTCACTGAGTGTATTAATTTATATAATTCTTTTTTTTATTTTTTGAGATGGAGTCTTGCTTTGTTGCCCAGGCTGGAGTGCAGTGGTGTGATCTCAGCTCACTGCAAGCTCCGCCTCCTGGGTTCACACCATTCTCCTGCCTCAGCCTCCTCAGTAGCTGTGATTACAGGCACATACCACCACACCCAGCTAATTTTTGTATTTTTAGTAGAGACAGGGTTTCACCATGTTGGTCAGGCTGGTCTCGAACTCCTGACTTTGTGATCCGCCCACCTCGGCCTCCCAAAGTGCTGGGATTACAGGTGTGAGCCACTGCACCCAGCCAAAGGCTTGCTTAAGACTCTCTTTCTTTAGCTGATTTCCAGCTTTTAAAAATAATTAATAAGAGCCTCTTGGTTGCTGAACACATGGAGGTGTCTGGAGGGTGGCAGGCCCAGAGAAGGCGTTGAAGCTCCATGTCCCTTCCCACATACCTAGCCCTACACATATCTTCATCTGTATCCTTTGTAGTGTCCTTTATAATAAACTAGTACATATTTTAAAAGTATAACATGAAAAATTAACTTTTTAAATGTAATTCATCTTTTTAATGAAAAACTACCCAGTATCTTCATGTGGACAATGTCTTCATCTAGGAAAAAAAAAAAAACAGTAGTTACTGATCCAAAAAAGTTTTTCTCTTATTTAGCACAAGTCATTCTTTTATACAGAGCACTTCAAAGAACTACCTAAATTATTTTGTTGTGTAGGAATTCCATTATAGTACTTTCTATTCCTTATGAGTTTAGGGCTTGGACACATGTGGTATACTTAGTTATTTTGGTTGATTTTGAGTTTATAACAAAATTTCATCTCTATAACAAAGTGACATTTTATATTCAATTCACCTTTCCTAGGAGTTGCATTTTTATTAATGGATACTAAGGAATGTCTTCTGTCAACTGAAGAAATATTTCTAGCCAAAATTGAGAAATTTATTAACATTCACCAAAATAGTTTTTTGGTTTTGTCTGCTGCCCTCCATGGGCCTGAAGAATGGAAACTGATGTTCAGGATTCAGCAGAGGTATGGAAGAATAGCATTATAGACTTATTTTTCTTATATTGTATTTATTTCAGTTCTTAATTCTTTTAGGTAAGTTTTGTTTTGCTAGATGATGAACACTGTGATGTTAACCTATCAAATTTAATGAAACATGGGCCAAATAGCTATTCTATGAATCGAGGTGACAGGGTTCATGATGTTGCAAGGGCTTCTCCAAGACCAAGCCAAAAGTGAACACTTTTTTAGTCAGTGATGTTCTGGCTATAAAGCCATCTCAAATCCTCTGTGGAGTAAGGCAGGGCATGAATGCATAGACAAATAACAAACAATAGAGATTTGTCTCTTCTTTCCACTTTCTTAAGAGAACAGATGTCAGCAAGTTATATGATCTGTATAACATGAATTGTTTTTCAGATTCCTGGGTTGTAACTTACGAATACTTCCAGTACACAACACAGTAAATGCTATTAATCTTATGTGCACTATAGCAAAGGTGAGTCACCCGTGGAATATGACACATACACACATACATTTTAAGGTTTTTAACTTCCAATTGTCACCCTTTTGAGCGAGACTGGCAAATATCATGCTTCTGTTCCCCTGCGGGAGTTGCTGTTTCAGGGTGCAACTTTTTCCCAAGCCTAACTCTCTTAAGTCTTCTCAATTTACTTCCAGTAGCCACTACCATTTAAGACTCACTTGGGGCCAAAAGAGCATTTGGCTGGCCCTATTGGTTACTTATATCTTCATTCAAATTCTAAAGTTATAAGGGTTGGTCAGATTGAAGTCATAAACGGTCAGAGTGCAAGCATACTACCTTATGGAATGTCATCTACCAATTGTCTACTTTCTTTTCTTGCTTTTTGTCCTCTGCAAAGTGTGCCCAGACACCTCCAACCCCCTAGGCAGACTTAGGTCTTCCTTGCTTTTATACTTGGAACATATCCCCATTAAAGCAATTTTTATATATTCTACTTTTTGGCTTGCATGTTTAAAATTCCTTGATAGAAACTAAGTATTTTCCTGTTGACTACTCTAGTAACTCATACATAGTATTTAGCACAAAGATGATCAAGAGATTTGCTGAAAGAATGAAAGTCAGGTATTTTTAAATGTGACCTTGTGAAAATACCTTATTTCTGTAAATAATGCTGCATCTTTATATCTTCTTCCAGACTACCTCCAAACCATACATAGATAGCATTTGCTACAGAATGATAACAGCTAAAGCTTACATCATTGAGCAAAGTCCTGTTTGGAAAACACTTCAGAAGATAAAACTGAATAGTGATTCAGTTAACCCAAATTAGAGTACCAACTTAATGTTTTTCTCGAAGAATGTGAAAATAATTAGACCTGTTAAATTATAATATTCAAATATCTATTTAAAGACATTTATATTAATTTGAAATAATAACATATACAATTAAAAGTGATTTTATTTTAGGAGTTTCGCTGCAAGATTTAACGCTCTTTAGCAAAGGACTGATACATACATATACCATAAAACTCAGGTGTAGCTTCTTAGTGAGTTAAATGGACAAATCTTTAGTAGGAAATAAAAATACAGAATTTTCTAATCAGTTTCTTAAAGTCATATATATTTTTTAGTTTTTTTCCATAAAGGTAGCAAGTATTTCTAAAATTAATCTTTGCAGATGTTTTCCTATTATAACTTCTGCTGGAGAGGTGGTGATGGGACTCTGCTCCCAAAGACTCCACCTGAGCCAGGAAAAGAGAAGCTAAGAAAAGTCAACTGGCCTCTTTACACTGGTATGATAGCCAACTTGACACTAGGAGTTCCGAAATGTTACATAGCATCTAACTGCAGCAGAAAGTGTATCAGTATTTTTATAAGCTCACTAAAACTGTAGGAATGAATATAGACAATTCAGCTACATTTTATGAAGTTATAAAATTATTAGTTTGTATTGGATTTTCAAAAGTAGTATTTAGGACATATGTGGGCATTATTTACCATTAGATAACTTTAAAACCAAAAAAACCTGTTCTATAGTGTATCATTATAGAAATTGATAAATGAGAAAAGCTACATTTATTTTTCAAGCAGTAAATTTTTACAGAAAAATTTTTTATAAAGGTATTAAATGAATCATAATGGAAAGTACTATATTTTATTAGTTTTTATTTAGGAAATGGAACTTTCACTTTATCCCAATATTTTCTTCAGAGGTAGACTTTGTTTTTATTTCAATGAGTTCTTCCACTCGAGCTAGAACACTTTCAATCAAATCAAATGTGAAAAGAGCTGAATGCAGGACCTGCAATGCCAAGAAAAAGTAATGTTATTAATGCTGCCTTTAAAGCAAAACAAAGCAAAACACAGAAAAGATTTCAGCTGGAGGTAGCTTAGGAATATTTAAGACCAGGTACAGTGGTTTGCACCTGTAATTCCTGTGCTTTGGGAGGCTGAGCTGAGAGGATTACTAGAGGCCAGGAGTTGGAGACCAGCCTGAGCAACATAGTGAGACCCTATCTCTACTAAAAATTAGCCAGGCATGGTGGTGTGCACCTGCAGTCCTGGCTAATCAGGAATCTGAGGTGGGTGGATCACTTGAGCCCAGGGAGTTGAAGCTGCAGTGAGCCACAATCATGCCACTGCACTCCAGCTTGGGCAAGATAGCAAGACCCCGTTTCTAAAGAAGAAAAAGGAAAGAAAAGAAAATTTCAGATCACCTTAAGCTGCATTTCAGGAGGCATATTAGGGATCTCTTCTCCACTTACAGTTATAGAACAAAGATCTTTAGATTTCTGGGCCTCTGTAAGAGAAGAAAAATCATGTGTGACACTTAACTCTCAGATTTCAATAACAAAGGTATAAGCTACTTTCATTCACTAACTTAAAACATGTCAGTTATTTGTATAAATTATTAAGTCCATTGTTTAACAGCTCAGGGTATACTTAAGCTATAAGCAAACAGAATGAAATATCAAAATTCTGCAACATGTAAATTAATGCTTCTTTAGATAAATAGCATTATTTTGGCATGTATAGGATTCATGAAACTGTTTTCTTCAGTATATAATCAGAATTATAGCCATTATACTAAAAACAAAATTTCCGGTAATGCCTATAAAAGCACCACCACAGATATACGGAAGAGATCACACGATTATTATAGAATTATTGACTTAAAAAAATTCTGGATCTAAGATTCTTTTCATAATTTGTATGGATTTACTTGAGAGTGAGATGGAGAGTGGACCCAGCAATACCAAAGGAATGGTACCCAAACGGAAATAGCTGTAATACAGATTCTTAATCAGACCTTGAGGCTTTACAATGTAATATTTGGTTTAAGTCTTCATTAACCCGATTTTAGGTAAATTAGCTTATAGATCTGCTAAGAATTTTAACTATAAATAAAATGGCTTAGCTGTTATGGTCTCTAAAGTACAAGATTTTTAAAAAGTTCTTAAATTTGAATATGACAGTTCCAAAATTAGACTACTTTTTAGACCTAATTGAAAACAAAATTGCACATTACCAACCTTGGCTATTTTTAATTTCTGCTTCATAATGTGCTTTTGACATATTAAGTCCTATATGAAGTGGCTTTAAGAAATTATTCTCAATATTTCCAAGTTCTGTCCATAATCCAGTCTGTTAAGAATGAAAGAATGAGTTATTTAGTTCAACAATGATTGATTGCCTACTATTAAACGCGATAAAAGCTCAAAAAACAAAAATAAATGAAACATGGCCCTTGCTTTTCACAATGGACTTCACTATTTAATAATTATTACTATAGCTAGTTATGTGAATACCAATTAAAAGAAAAATGTACTTGGGGCACTACGCTTATCACTGCACCATTTGGATAGCTCCAGGTTTTGAGATCTATTAACTTGTTAAGTTTTATTTATGAGAAAATTATTTGAGGATAAATTCACAGACGTCTCTTCCTCTATGAGCCATCTCCACAATGACTCTACCTTATTTATGCCTTCATCCCAAGTATGGCCTTTCAATTGATATCCACACCACGGATCTAGTTCTAGAGGATGCTTTCCCTTTCCTACTGATGGAAACTTTTCTAATACCCGGCTAATTTGAACCTCCCTGGTGACCAAAGTAGGTGAAGATTTTATCTGTTGAGGGCAGCTTATTTTGTCATGTATCTTAGAGTTTATTCCAAGAGCATTTTCTCTTACAGTACTAATGGAGAGGACTCATGAAGTCTTTATTTTAAAAAATAGAGAAAAGAAAATCCATTGGTACTTCCAGTTTCCAAGTACTCTTTACAAAGGAAAATGTCTTAGGTCAAAAAGGGAAACGTAGGGACCCAATTTATTCTTAACTAGAATAATGAACTACTTGATAACCTATTTTGTAATGAGCTTATTTTGACCCAAGTAGTACATGTTACTTGCAGCATTCCAAATAAAATCTACACATGTCTATGCTGAATAATTGATAATATTAATGTCTCACACCTATCCTTTTCATTTCAGTCATCTTGTCTTATTTATCCTATACTAATAGGAAAAGTAGAATACTAGAGAGGATCTAAAACCCTCAAAAATATGCATACCTTTTCACTTAGCATCTATCAACTTATCTTGGGGAAATAAAGATGTATGTTATGATTCTACTGCAGATGTTTTTTAAAAATGTTTAGTGAAACATTAGAATTAAAATAACTCAACAGGAGATTCATAGTAAATTATGACATATTAACATAATGGAAAAACTATACAGCCATTAAAATACTGTTTTTCAGTACATATTGGTGAATGGGAAAAAAGGTTATAAAACAGTGTGATTCTTTTAGTATGATCTCATTTTCTTTTTAAAAAAGAAAAAATGTACAGACGTATTAACCCAAAACCTAGAAGGGAATACAGTATATCAACAACGGTGTAATTTTGATTACTATTCTTTTTTTTTTTTTTTTGCTTCTTTATGTTGATTTTTAAATAATGGATGTTTTAGTTGTATAATTTTTAAATTGTTAAGTGGAAAGTTTTCTTAACCTCTAATGGCAAATTTGGGTTATATGCAGCAGGAATTTCCTTAACCAGTGTAGCCACACAGTATAACAAGCATATTACTCTTATGTGCACTGACTGCTCTCATTTCTCCTATTTTTACCTCTCTCTATCCAGCCTTTTTCTTTTACTGATACATGATATTTTACATATTTATGGGTACATGTATTTGTTACACGTATAAAATGTATAATAATGTCAGAGTATTTGGGGTATCCATCCTCTTGAGTATTCATCATTTCTATGGGTTGGTAACATTTCCTGTCCTCTCTCCTAGCTACATTGAAATATACAATATATTGTTGCTAATTATAGTCACTGTAATGTGCTATCAAGCAATACAGCTTGTCTTTTATCTAACTCTTTTTGTACCCATTCACCAGTTGCTCTACATTTCCTCCTCCCATGCTCACACTCTGGTATCAATCAATCATTCTATATTCTGTATCCACGAGATCAAGTTTGTTAGCTCACACATGTGAGAATATGTGATACTGTCTTTCTGGGCCTGGCATATTTCAATGTAATGACATGTAGGTCCATCCACGTTGCTGCAAATAACAGGCTTTTATTCCTTTTTACGTCCAGCCTTTTCTTCACCATTTATTCCCTGCCCCCCAACTTTTTTTTTTTCTTTTTACTTTGCATTCACCTCTGGGTTTATAGGCAGAACCCACTGCAACTGATGGCTTTCAAGACTAGGTTACTGATGACTCTCTGTTACCCACTAAAGCACATTTGAACATAAAGAGTATAGGGAAAACACCTAGCTTTGACAAAAGGAAACCTTTGACAAAAGGAAACATTTTATCATATTTACTTTTAAAAAATAAATACTAGATATGGCTGAAATCCCCTTTATTCAAGAGGTAGCCATTATCTAAAACTTGAATGTTTTGCATTCCTAATGTATCACTTAAACAATATAATTTTTCATGTTTAAAAGCACATAAATGGTATACTGTATATAACCTGCTTCAGCTTCCTTTTTCTTTGTCAATCTTATGTTTTTGAGAGTTATTTGTGTTGTAGCTCTAATTTTAATTGGTGCATAAGCATTCCATTATATGGAATTTATCCTAAGTTTTTAGTATTTCAAAATAATGCAGCATTTACATTGCTGTATGTTTTCCCATTCACACGGGGTAAAAGTTTTTCTAGGATACTGTTTTTCAAATTATTTTTGCCATGACTCTCAGTAAAAACTAGGTTTTACATCACAACTCACACGTTTATTTATATAGTTGAAATAAAAGTTTTCCCTCAAATCCTTTCCATATAACACATTTAATCTTAATACTTTAATGTAGAAAAATGGAGAATAAACAATTCAAAAGTAAACATCAGAAAGATTTTTACATAATCAGTGTGCTTGCCTGTTCATGAGGTAATTTCAGTCTAATTCACTATTGAGCCTAGTTCTTTTCTTTTTATTATTTTTCAAAGTCAGGTTTGTTGAGATATTGTTTACATACAGTAAAATATAACCTTCTAGCTATACAATTCTGAGCTTTGACAAAGATATATAGTGATATAAAGTCATGTAACCACTGCTGCTGTAAAGATATTCCCATGACCCAGAAATTTCTTTGTGCCCCTTTGTAGTCAGTTTCCTCCCACCTCCAGCAACCAGCAATCTGATTTTTGTTAAGGTAATTTTTGCCTTTTCCAGAATGCCATAAGTGGAATTAAAACTCTTTGTGGCAGAAATTGACAAAATTCTAAAATTTATACAGAAAAGGTAAAGGATTTAAAAATAGCCAATACAATTTTGAAAAAGAAGAACAAAGTTGGCAGACTCACATTACTTGAGGTCAAGACTTCCTATAAAGGAATAAAACAGAATAATTTCTTCCTATAAAGGAATCAAGACAGTGTGGTATTGGTAAAAGAATAGATACAGGTAAATGGAATAGAGTCCAAAAATAGACCCATACTTATAAAATGATTTTTGATAAAGTTGCCAAGATAATTCAGTAAATTAAGGATAACCTTTTCTACAAATAGTGTTGAGGTCAAAATAAAAGAAAAAAAAATCTCTCAACCCATATCTCATATCATAAAAAGTTTACTTGAAATGGGGTCATTGACCTAAGTGTAAAACCTAAAACTATACAATTTCTACAAGAAATTACCTTTGTGATCTGGGTTAACAAAGACTTCTTAGAACCCATAAATAATGAATCATAAAAGAATAAAATTGATAAGTTGGACTCCATAAATATTAAAATTTCTGTTCTTTGAAAAATACTATTAAAACACAAGCCACAGACTGGAATATTTGCAAAAATATAACCAAAGAATTTGTATCCATGAAAAACTTTCCTCTTGTAGAAGTTCTAAGTTGAAAATTTTTTTCTTTCATCCTTTCAGTTTTACTTTGTAATGGAAATTCTTTTAAATCTGATTCCCAAAACTTTTTTTTTTTTTTTTAAGATGGTGTCTTCTTGCTCTGTTGCCCAGGCTGGAGTGCAGAGGCATGATCTGAGCTCACTGCAGCCTCCACCTACTGGGTTCAAGCAATTCTCCTGCCTCAGCCTCCAGAGTAGCTGGGATTATAAGCGTCTGCCACCATGCCCAGCTAATTTTTTTGTAGTTTTAGTAGAGATGGGGTTTCGCCATGTTGGACTGGCTGGTCTCTAACTCCTAACCTCAGGTGATCTGCCCGCCTCAGCCTCCCAAAGTGCTGGGATTACAGTGATAAAGTTTTATAATCATTCATTGGTACAAATATACAATTAAGCTTCACTAATTCTCTTCAGCCAAAAATTTTAACCAAATTACTAAATCAGGACTTTAAAAAGCAAATGTATCTCTAACCAAACGTTTTCTTTTAATGTTTCAAATTTCTCAAATGGAAATAATCACATATTAATAAAGAGTACTGGCCCAGCGCAGTAGCTCATGCCTGTAATCCCAGATGGGAGGATCACCTGAGTACAGGAGGTTGTTATTGCAATGTGCCGTGATTGCGCCACTGCACTCCAGCCTGGGCTATAGAGTGAGACCCCAACTCAAAAGGAAAAAAAAATTAATATAAATTTAAATAGTCACATGTGTCTACTGTCTACTGTATTGGACAGTGCAAATCTAGATCTTTGAATGTTAAAACCTTAGCTGTTTTCAATGGCAATAGCCCATAATCATAAAACTTCAGGTAATAAAAACACATGCCAAAAGTAGCCTAAAGAAATTTTTTACATATTCTGTTCAGCATAATTCCACAAATTTTTCAGATGATAAACTGTAATATTTTTAGAAGCATGTAGGAGTGAAGAAGCTGTGAGAATAAGAATATTTTTTCTCTCAAGGTTACCAGATCGTTTTTAAAGAAATAATAAATACTACAAAGAAAATCACATTTTAAGATTTCTTAAAATCTTTCAGTGTCTAGAAAAAGTAAATTAAGAGTTTTAAAATAGTTATAATTAAAAATTTGAAATGTTCACAAATACCTGCTTTTAATTTCATACCCAAGGAGGCTTACTGATTTCCAGTTCTAAGGCTTAAAACTATACATTTCAAAATTCACTGTAGCATATCTCTCTCACAAAAGGAAGACTAGGCAGTTCTACACTACAATGAAATTTATTGCCAGAACAGTCAGGAACCCTGCAAAGAATACAGTCAGTGATGGTAATGAAGAAATAAAAAGCCATGAACAAGACCCAGGTTTCCCCTTTCTTCTAATTCATATAGAAGTCATCCGGCTCTGCAAATATTTCATGGATATGTTTTATCTTAGAGAAAGAAACAACTTACACAATATGCCCCTGTACCAAACCTGCACCCCTGAATCTTAAATAGAAATGGAAATTGAAAAAAAACTTAAGCTCTAGATTCCTCCTCTCTCTGGGCAGGGCATCTCTGAAAGAAAGGCAGCAGCTCCAGTCAGGGGCTTATAGATAAAACTTCCATCTCCCTGGGACAGAGCACCTTGGGGAAAGGGTGGCTGTGGGTGCAGCTTCAGCAGACAAACATTCCTGCCTGCCAGCTCTGAAGAGAGCAGCAGATCTCTCAGCACAGCGCTTGAGCTCTGCTAAGGGACAGACTGCTTCCTCAAATGGGTCCCTGACCCCTCGTGCTTCCTGATAGGGAGACACCTCCCAGCAGGGGTCAACAGCCACCTCATACAGGAGAGCTCCGGCTGGCATCTGGCGGGTGCCCCTCTGGGATGAAGCTTCCAGAGGAAGGAGCAGGCAGCAATCTTTGCTGTTCTGCAGCCTCCAATGGTGATACCCGGGCAAACAGGGTCTGGAGTGGACCCCCAGCAAACTGCAGCAGACCTGCAGAAGAGGGGCCTGACTGTTAGAAGGAAAACTAACAAACACAAAGCAATAGCATTAACGTCAACAAAAAGGATGACCCAAGCAAAAACTCCACCCAAAGGTCACCAACAGCAAAGACCAAAGGTAGAAATCCACGAAGACGAGGAAAAAGCAGCGGAAAAGGGCTGAAAATTCCAAGCACACGAACACCTCTTCTCCAAAGGATCACAACTCCTTGCCAGCAAGGGAACAAAACTGGACAGAGAATGAGTTTGATGAACTGACAGAAGTAGGCTTCAGAAGTTGAGTAATAACAAACTCCTCCAAGCTAAAGGAGCATGTTCTAACCCAATGCAAGGAGCTAAGAACCTTGATAAAAGGTTAGAGTAATTGCCAACTAGAATAAGCAGTTTAGAGAAGAACATAAATGACCTGATGGAGCTGAAAAACACAGCACAAGAACTTCGTGAAGCATATGCAAGTATCAATAGCTGAATCGATCAAGTGGAAGAAAGAATATCAGAGATTGAAGATCAACTTAATGAAATAAAGTGTGAAGACAAGATTAGAGAAAAAAAGAATGAAAAGGAATGAACAAAGCTTCCAAGAAATATGGGACTATGTGAAAAGACCAAACCTATGTTTGACTGGTGTACCTGAAAGTGATGGGGACAATGGAACCAAGGTGGAAAACACACTTCAGGGTATTATCCAGGAGAACTTCCCAACCTAGGAAGACAGGCCAACAGTCAAATTCAGAAAATACAGAGAACACCACAAAGATACTCCTCGGGAAGAGCAACCCCAAGACACATAATCATCAGATTCACCAAGGTTGAAATGAAGGAAAAAATGTTAAGTGCAGCCAGAGAGAAAGGCTGGGTTACCCACAACGGGAAGCCCATCAGACTAACAGCGGTTCTCTCTGCAGAAACCCTAGAAGCCAGAAGACAGTGGGGGCCAATATCTTAAAAAAAAGAATTTTCAACCCAGAATTTCATATCCAGCCAGATTAAGCTTCATAAGTGAAGGAGAAATAAAATCCTTTACAGACAAGGAAATGCTGAGAGATTTTTGTCACCACCAGGCCTGCCTTACAAGAGCTCCTGAAGGAAGCACTAAATATGGAAAGGAAAAACCAGTACCAGCTACTGCAAGAACAACCCAAAATGTAAAGACCATCGACACTATGAAGAAACTGCATAACTAATTGGCAAAATAACCAGCTAGCATAATGACAGGATCAAATTCACAGATAACGATATTAACTTTAAATGTAAATGGGCTAAATGCCCCAATTAAAAAGCACAGACTGGCAAATTGAATAAAGAGTCAAGACCCATCAGTGTGCTGTATTCAGGAGACCCATCTCATGTGAAAAGACACACATAGGCTCAAAATAAAGGGATGAAGGATTATTTACCAAGCAAACGGAAAGAAAAAAAAAAAGCAGAGGTTGCAGTCCTAGTGTCTGATAAAACAGACTTTAAACCATCAAAGATCAAAAAAGACAAAGAAGGGCATTACATAATGGTAAAGGGATCAATGCAACAAGAAGAGCTAACTATCTTAAATATATATAAAGCCAATACAGAAACACCCAGATTCATAAAGCAAGCTCTTAGAGACCTACAGAGACTTAGACTCCCACACAATAATAGTGGGAGACTTTAAGACTCCACTGTCAATATCAGACAGATCAACAAGACAGAAAATTAACAACGATATTCAGGATTTCAACTCAGCTCTGGACCAAGCAGACCTAACAGACATCTACAGAACTCTCCACCCCAAATCAACAGAAGATACATTCTTCTCAGCACCACACAGCACTTATTCTAAAATTGACCACATAATTGGAAGTAAAACACTCCCTCCTCAGCAAATGCAAAAGAACAGAAATTGTAACAAACTGTCTCTTAGACCACAGTGCAATCAAAGTAGAACTCAGGATTAAGAAACTCACTCAAAACCACAGAACTACATGGAAACTGAACAACCTGCTCCTGAATGACTACTGGGTAAATAACGAAATTAAGGCAGAAATAAATAAGTTCTTTGCAACCAATGGGAACAAAGACACAACATACCAGAATCTCTTGGACACAGCTAAAGCAGTGTTTAGAGGGAAATTTTTAGCACTAAATGCCCAAAGGAGAAAGTGGGAAAGATCTAAAATCGACGACCTAACATCACAATTAAAAGAAATAGAGAGGCAAAAGCAAACAAATTCAAAAGCTAGCAGAAGACAAGAAACAACTAAGATCAGAGCACAACTGGAGATAGAGACGCAAAAAACCCTTCAAAAAAAATCAGTGAATCCAGAAGCTGCTTTTTTGAAAAGACTAACAAAACAGACCACTAGCCAGACTAATAAAGAGAGAAGAATCAAATAGACACAATAAAAATTGATAAAGGGTATATCACCACTGATCCCACAGAAATACAAACTACCATCAGAGAATACTATAAACACCTCTATGCAAATTAACTAGAAAATCTAGAAAAAAAATGGATAAATTCCTGGACATACACACCCTCCCAAGACTAAACCAGGAAGAAGTCGAATCCCTGAATAGACCAATAATAAGTTCTGAAATTGAGGCAGTAATTAATAGCCTACAATAAAAAAAAAAGCCCAGGACCAGACAGATTCACAGCCGCATTCTACCAGAGGTACAAAGAGGAGGTGGTACCATTCCTTCTGAAACTTTTCCAAACAATAGAAAAAGAGGGACTCCTCCCTAACTCATTTTATGAGGCCAGCATCATCCTGATACCAAAACCTGGCAGAGACACAACAAAAAAAAGAAAATTTCAGGCCAATATCCCTGATGAACATCAATGCAAAAATCCTTAATAAAATACTGGCAAACCAAATATAGCAGCACATCAAAAAGCTTATCCACCATGATCAAGTTGGCTTCATCCCTGTGATTCAAGGCTGGTTCAACATACACAAATCAATAAACGTAATCCATTCCATAAACAGAACCAATGACAAAAACCACATGATTATCTCAACAGATGCAGAAAAGGCCTTGGATAAAATTCAACAGCCCTTCATGCTAAAAACTCTCAATAAACTAGGTATTGATGGAACGTATCTCAAAATAATAAGAGCTATTTATGACAAACCCACAGCCAATATCATACTGAATGGGCAAAAACTGGAAGCATTCCCTTTGAAAACTGGCACAAGACAGGGATGCCCTCTCTCACCACTCCTATTCAACATAGTATTGGAAGTTCTGCTCAGGGCAATCAGGCAAGAGAAAGAAATAAAGCGTATTCAAATAGGAAGAAAGGAGGTCAAATTGTCTCTGTTTGCAGATAACGTGATTGTATATTTAGAAAACCCCATCATCCCAGTGCAAAATCTCCTTAAGCTGATAAGCAACTTTGGCAAAGTCTCAGGATACAAAATCAATGTGCAAAAATCACAAGCATTCCTATACACCAATAATAAACAGAGAGCCAAATCATGAGTGAACTCCCATTCACAATTGCTACAAAGAGAATAAAATACCTAAGAATCCAACTTGCAAGGGATGTGAAAGACCTCTTCAAGGAGAACTACAAACCACCACTCAAAGAAATAAGAGAGGACACAAATGGAAAAACATTCCATGCTCATCGGTAGGAAGAATCAATATTGTGAAAATGGCCATACCGCCCAAAGTAATTTATAGATTCAATGCTATCCCCATCAAGCTACCACTGACTTTCTTCACAAAATTAGAAAAAACTACTTTAAATTTCATATAGAACCAAAAAGTGTCCGGATAGCCAGGACAATCCTAAGCAAAAAGAACAAAGCTGGAGGCATCATGCTACCTGACTTCAAACTATACTACAGGGCTAAAGTAACCAAGACAGCATGGTACTGGTACCAAAACAGATACATAGATCAATGGAACAGAACAGAGGCCTCAGAAATAACGCCACACATCTACAACCATCTGATCTTTGACAAACCTGACAAAAACAAGAAATGGGGAAAGGATTCCCTATTTAATAAATGGTGCTGGGAAAACTGGCTAGCCATATGCAGAAAACTGAAATTGGACTCCTTCCTTACCCCCTATACAAAAATTAACTTGACATGGATTAAAGACTTAAACATAAAATCTAAAACCATAAAAACCCAAAACCATAAAAACCCTAGAAGAAAACCTAGGCAATACCATTCAGGACATAGACATGGGCAAAGACTTCATGACTAAAACACCAAAAGAAATGGCAACAAAAGCCAAAATGGACAAATGGGATCTAATTAAACTAAAGAGCTTCTGCACAACAAAAGAAACTATCATCAGAGTAAACAGGCAACCTACAGAATGGGAGAAAATTTTTGCAATCTATCCATCTGACAAAGGGCTAATATCCAGAATCTACAAGGAACTTAAACAAATTTATAAGAAAAAAAAACCCATCAAAAAGTGGGCAAAGGATATGAACAGACACTTCTCAAAAGAAGATATTTATGCAGCCAACAAACATGAAAAAAAGCTCATCACTGGTCATTAGAGAAATGCAAATCAAAACCACAATGAGATACCATCTCATGCCAGTTAGAATGGCGATCATTAAAAAGTCAGGAAACAACAGATGCTGGAGAGGATGTGGAGAAATAGGAACGCTTTTACACTGTTGGTGGGAGTCTAAATTAGTTCAACCATTGTGGAAGACAGTGTGGCGATTCCTCAAGGATCTAGAACCAGAAATACCATTTGACCCAGCAATCCCATTACTGGGTATATACCCAAAAGATTATAAATCATTCTACTATAAAGACACATGCACATGTATGTTTACTGCAGCACTATTCACAATAGCAAAGACTTGGAACCAACCCAAATGCCCATCAATGATAGACTGGATTAAGAAAATGTGGCACATATATATCATGGAATACTGTGCAGCCATAAAAAAGGATGAGTTCATGTCCTTTGCAGGGACACGGATGAAGCTGGAAACCATCATTCTCAGCAAACTAACACAGGAACAGAAAACCAAACACCACATGTTCTCACTCATAAGTAGGAGTTGAACAATTTGAACACATGGACACAGGATGGGGAACATCACACACCGGGGCCTGTCAGGGTTCGGGGGCTAGGGGAGGGGTATTAGGAGAAATACCTAATATAGATGGTGAGTTGATGGGTACAGCAAACCACCATGGCACGTGTATACCTATGTAACAAACCTGCACGTTCTGCACATGTATCCCAGAACTTAAAAGTATTGAAAAAAAACCAAAACTTAAATGAGCACCCAAAATATGGATTATATAGAATTTTGTGTATGTGTATTTATTATACAAGATACAGTTTTTTCCTAAATGAAAAGCACACTCACACAGACTAAGCAATTCAATTTTAAAATTCCTGATATTTACCTGTGGCCTTTGCCATCTCATTGTTTCCCTTGTCCCAGCTTTCATTCTACATACTATAATTACAAACTTTTTAGAAAAAAAGATGAGTAAACAGATGGATGGGAAAGGATATGAGTACACAGGACAGAAGGTAAGGGATAACATGATTATTGGATATGTATTAGAATAAATTATTGTAATTCGAAACAACTAATAATTATTTAAAGATACTCTATTAAATATCTATTAAATAGATAATATTTGGTATAAAAACTAAGTTGGTTTTACCAGTAAAGATGGGAGCATGTTTGTACTATAATATTCAAGAAAAGTTATATGAAATTCAAGAGTAAGAGAAGGTGCCTGAAACTTAACCAAGGAGATACAAGAGGCATGAAATAGTAGGGTGAGGAAGGAGGGCTTACGAAGAGAATAAGTCAGTTGACAGTAACCCAAAATAGCAAGAAAAGAAATGGATTATTACTCAATTATGAATCACTTTGTTGTCTTTGTATTTGAATGTGATTCTCTTCTTAATCTTCCTGTTCATATTTCTGACTGTGTGTCTGCTTTTCATCTGACTAATTACCCTCTTAGCACACTTAAGTGCTCAAAAATAGGTACTGGTAGGAGTCCTTTTGAATAAAATGCCCCATATTTCAGCATCACCAGACCATCATTTTGTTTTTTCTTTTTTTTCTTTCTTTTTTTTTTTTTTTTTTTTGAGACAGACTCTTGCTCTGTCACCCAGTGGGGAGTGCAGTGGCATGATCTCGGCTCACTGCAAGCTCCGCCTCCCGGTTCACGCCATTCTCCTGCCTCAGCCTCCCGAGTAGCTGGAACTATAGGCACCCGCCACCATGCCTGGCTAATTTTGTTTGTATTTTTAGTAGAGACGGGGTTTCACTGTGTTAGCCAGGATGGTCTTGATCTCCTGACTTCATGAACCGCCCGCCTTGGCCTTCCAAAGAGCTGGGATTACAGGTGTGAGCCACCACGCCCAGCCCATTTTGTTTTTTCTTTAACCAAAATCTTCCAAAAACTCAGGAAGTGTCATTTTTTATTAACCACAGTAGACATATTTGCCTCTCAGTTATTGACACGACCTATTGTCATTGCACTCAGGAGAAATGTTTTCAAGATAGACAGGCTTTTAAGCGCCTAAAAGATGTGAGGCTGCCAGCTTGGACTGGGTTTTTGCTAATTTCCCTGGTATAATTCTTATGGTAACTTATAAAGCAATAATTTAGAATATTTGATCCCTTAGAAAAATTATTAAAAACCATTAAATGAGAGATGCCTGTTGGCTGGGTGTGGTGGCACACACCTGTAATCCCAGCACTTTGGGAGGCTGAGGAGAGAGGATCACTTGAGGTCAGAAGTTTGAGACCAGCCTGGGCAACATGATGAAACCCCATCTCTAGTAAAAATACAAAAATTAGCTGGTGTGGTGGTGCCTGGCTGTAGTCCCAGCTACTCGGGAGACTGAGGCAGGAGAATCATTTGAACCCAGGAGGTGGACGATGCAGTGAGCAGAGATCGTGCCACTGCACTCCAGCCTGGGCGACAGAGTGAGACTCCATCTCAAGAAAAAAAAGAAGTGCCTGTAATCCCAGCACTTTGGGAGGCTGACGTGGGAGGATTGTTTGAGCTGGGGAGTTTGAGGCAGCAGTGAGCCATGACTGCCACTGTACTCCAGCCTGGGCAATACAGTGAGACACTGTCTCTTTGAGATGGAAAAAAAAAAAAAAAAAAAAAGGCAGTCCTATAGGCTGGCTGTATCCTTTTCTTCACCATAAAATGTACATGACAAACAAAAGTGAGGAATTATCTATGGATAGTATAGCAGACATTGCACAATGCTAAACTGCTCTCAGGTCTTCCCTCTCTAAGCAGAGACCAATCTGCTGCCTTTGTATTACTCTGTGTTCCATATCTAACACACCTATCAATCCTAATCAACAAGATTCCTTTTCTTTTTGTCAGGCAAGTCAGATAATCTCTCAAGTAGGTACAGCCTTTCTTGATTACTAAAAAAATAAAAACTCATACCCTACCCTAAGGCCACCTTCCTGAAGTCTCAGGGCCTCTACTGCTGCTGAATTTTATATTGTAGCTTTTCAATTTTTATCACAAGCTCCTTCAGGAATCAGGATTTAGTTTGTGATTTAGAAAGTTCTGGCCACTGCCTGGGGTCATAGCTATTTCTACCACTTTCCAGATGTTTGCCCTTGTGCAAGTTAATGAACTTTTTTCACCTACATTATCTATGAAAAGTGAAAAATAAAGAGTACTTTTCTTGGTTTTCCATGGTGGCCCATGCCTGGAAGTTACCCCAGCACTTTGGGAGGCCGAGGTGGGAGGATCTCTTGAGCCCAGGAGGTCGAGGCTGCAGTGAGCCATGATTGTACCACTGTAATCCAGCCTGGGCAAGAGAACGAGACGCTCTCTGAAGAATGAATGATATACAGCACTTGGGCAGAATAGTGGTTGTCCCTGGCAGGGGTGAGTAGCACAACGAGGTCAGAATTAACTAGGAAGGGGTATGAGGAACCTCTTGTGATGCTGGAAATGTTCTATATTGATATGGGTTTGAGTAATATAGATCTATGTATTAGTTAAAATTCAGTGAATATACACTTAAAATTTGAACATTTCATTATGTAAATTTTACTTCAAAGAAAAACTACAGACAAATATTTAATCAATGTAATGAAATACATGCTGAAATATTTCGGAGAAAGTATGCTGACGTCTGCAGTTTACTTTGAAATACATCAAAAAATAGACTGACGGAGTGATAGACAGAGGGTGGAGTGATAGATACATGATGAAGTTAGTACAGTAGAATCATAGACTCTAGGTGGTGGGTAAACCAATGATCACTATAAAATTCTTTCAACTTTGCTGTACATTTGAAAAGTTTCACAACAAAATGTTAAAAAAAAATAGCACCTGATACAGAGTAAGCACTAGTCAATGATGGCAAATAGCTATTTTCAGCTGAAGAGGGATGAACGGGGGTTCAAATCACTGAATCTACTATAGATCTGTCAGGAAGGAAAGAGACTGCTACTTTTCTCATAAACCTTCATCCCAAATCACGATTTACCTAATTTAAAAAAAATTTTCTTTGGCATCTTTATATAAAAATGAATTACTAAAAAAAAACCAATTAACAACACATGATTCAGGTAGTTCTAGCTAATAGAGGTGACACATATAGGGAAAGCAATGATCAGAACAGGGTAGAAAGAGAAGATAAAAAGCAAATATAATTTTACTGTATGACAAATCTCCCTCAAATAGTTTTCTATTTATTGAATACTTCTCTATTTATTGAATACTTCTAATGATGTGCTATTTTTAAAAAATCCAACTTCCTAAACATATCTAAAAGGTGCTGTTAACAAATTCTGTTTTAGTGCTGAAAATGCTTCAATTTGTCATGTCTGATGAGGCAATATTAAAATATCAGATGATTTTATACAGCTCATGAGCTATAGGTGGAGGAAACTGAACAAGACACCATATGTACGTTGAGCTCCACAAGGTTAGTTGACTTAGGACCTGCAACTTATCCACCCAACAGGACTAAGTGCTTTCAGCAAGAAAGCAGACGTACAATAGGAAATGGAAAGGGAAAGGAAAGCTGGATGTGGGGTGGTAAATGCTCCTGGGAATTAACTTCAGGTTTCAGAATAATTGTTGGCACTCTTCCCGGCCTTTATATCTGGGTAAGATATTAAATATTGGCTTTAGGTACTGAATATCTGAAACATTCCTTATGCCTTTTGAATATACTCACAGTTTCTTTTCAAATACTTCACTTACTTGATTGTCATTTTCATTATCTTTGATAACCAAATACCTCAATAAATTTAATGAAGCCATAATCCTGTTAATTAAAAATATATGTTACTTACAGTATGGTTTTATATAGTCAACAGCAATCTCAATAAGCTAAAACTTTGGTCATATTTTTATAATTAGGTTTGCCAATAGAAACTATTTCCATTAATATCTTTTTGAGTAGTAATAACTTATCACTGTTTTCCATTTGTTTAAATCATACAATTGTGAAAATTATCATCCTTGTTTAAAGAAAGCCTTGTTATCTTTAATATTTGAGAGCATCATCTCTTGCTTTCTGAATTTTAAGATTACTTTTTAAATGCTTTAAACCATTTCTCAATATCCATTCCAGTATACTGAAACTGAAATTATATGTTCTATATGAAAAAAAAAATGACCTGGAAAACAATAAAACAACAAAACCTAAACACATAAATTACATACACAGATTTTTAGTTTTAAGTCACAAGTGCTGTCATTGCAAATTTCTATGGAATGCTGGGTACATAAAAGCTATCAAATCATAGTGCTGGTCATTCATCTAGAAAGAGGAGGTTTTAATTTTGTTTCTACACATTATCAAATCACTTAAATATGAAAAATCTTTATGTAACTTAATGAATTAGCCATAGATCATAAAATCACAGGAAAAGACATTTTATTACTTTAGGTTCCCTAAGCAGATGTTTCACATTTTATTCTGAATTTACTATGTGAACTTTGGTAATGGTCACCTCACCTATCTGAGTTTTGCAGTAAATCTGTTTCTGCACCCTCTGGGAGAAAAAGTACCAAATCAAGAAGGGAAATCAACTGTGGTCCTGTAAACCATTTGTTGTTACGTGTTCTCTGAAAAGCAAACGAAAAATTGAGAAAGCTTTATAATTCATGTAATTCATGTGTTTTTCTAATACCTTGACACTACAAAAATGAAGAATTGCACATTTAAAATACAGTTTTTAACTTTAATTTCCGTACTTTCATTCACTTTCCAGACACCAGGAACGAACCCTGCCAGTTTGAGAACACTGGTCACTCTGTTTTCCATTTAGAATTACTGAGCACTCAGAAACAGAAGAGACTTAAGTTTCCATTCATTTTTGAGAAGCATATAACAAAGCAAAAATAAGCCACAATATCAGCTCAAAGAGGCCCAGAGTGATGACTCACACCTGTAATCCCAGCATTTTGGGAGGCCAAGGTGGGTGGATCACTTGAGATCAGGAGTTCAAGACGAGCCTGGGCAACACAGTGAAACTCCATCTCTACAAAATCAAAATTCAGCCAGGCGCACTGGTGGACACCTGTAGTCCCAATTACTCGGGAGGCTGAGTTGGGAGAACTGCTTGAGCCCAGGAGGTGGAGGCTGCAGTGAGCTGAGATCATGCCACTGCACTCCAAGCTGGGTGACAGGCGTGAAACCCTGTCTCAAAAAAAACAAAAACAAAAACCAAAACCTCAAAGAATACAATTTAAACTTATAGTTAACTAAATTTCCAAATTCAGAGTTTTTAAAACATAGTAGAAATAGGGGAAAAAATATGCCTTAATAATATTTAAGTAATAGTAATACTAGAGATAGAGCAATAACTCACATTAATGTATTCTACATATGAATAAATATACCCTACGAAATAAATTGGTAATTGACACTTTGGCTATGTTCTTACCTTTAATGACATGTCAATTTGATTTTTGATATTTTGAATAATAAAAGCCTCCACACCTGAGTGATTACTTGTATTCAATAAGCACCTTGAAAGCAAAATTACAATAGATGTGAAATTATCCTGGACAGCATTAGAATTAAATGGTGATAAAAGTTTTACAAATTCAAAGAGGCCATGTGTTACTTCTAGGAATAAAAACCCCACAGTAATGGTAATTAGCAAGGTCATCAACCAATTACAAAGTCACCTGTAATAGTTATTGCTCTCACTAAATGGTAAATTCTTATTTATTTTATTTTACTTTTTTAGACAGAGTCTCGCCCTGTCGCCCAGGCTGGAGTGCAGTGGCACAATTTTGGCTCACTGCAACCTCCGCCTCCCGGGTTCAAGCGATTCTCCTGCCTCAGCCTCCTGAGTAGCTGTGATTACAGGCGCCCGCCACCGTGCCTGGCTAATTTTTTGTATTTGTAGTAGAAACAGGGTTTCACCATGTTGGCCAGGCTTGTCTCAAACTCCTGACCTCGTGATCCGCCTGCCTCAGCCTCCCAAAGTGCTGGGATTACAGGCATGAGCCACCACACCCGGCCGGTAAATACTTATTTATAACTGGATCTTCCAACAAGCCATTTCTATCAAACCAAAATTTGAATATTTTTATGAACATAGTTACAATAATTTAACATGGCAAGAAAGGGCACTAACATAATGGTCTAAAAAATCCCCAAATTATTTCCTGTGAAAGTAGTCCAGTGCTAGAGTAGCTTAATTGCAAAAAAAAAAAAAAAACTAGATATGACTAGCTTAAGAAAAAAAGGGGATTTATTGGTAGAGATACACATAGAACAGAACAGGAAAGCCGGTATAATACCTAAGAATTGAGATTTCATAAACTTGCTCTTACTATCAATAGAAAACAAGAAAAGATAGAATCAAGAGTGTTGGCTGGGCATGATGGCTCATGCGTGTCATCTCAACACTTTGGGAGGCTGAGGTGGGTGAATCGCTTGAGCCCAGGAGTTTGAGACCAGCCTGGGCAACATGGCAAAACCCCATCTCCACAAAAAAATTAGCTGGGCATGATGGCATGCACCTGTAGTCCCAGCTACCTGGGAGGCTGAAGCGGGAGGATCACCTGAAGCTGGGGGGCCAAGGGTGAAGGCTGCAGTGAGCCATGATCACACTGCTGCACCCGCCAAAAAAGAACAGTACTAATATTGGCCAATCCCAGGTAAGACATTTTAGCAAATCCAGCCTGATGCCCAATTTTATCAATAAAGTTTTACTGGAACACACCCATCCCCAATACAAAGTCAAAGTTGAGCACTTGCAACAGAGACTGTATAGCCCATAAAACCTATATTTACTATTTGGCTCTTCACAGAAAATTAATTAGAAAGTTTACCAATCTTTAACTTAGAGAGTTGCTAGAATCTTATCCACCTCAAAGAGCAGTATTAGTAAGCTCTTACTATTAACATAGTGCATAGCCTATCAAAGTTGTAATTCCAGAGCCATCAATTTGAACTGTGAGTAATGGAGATTAGTGACATACATAAAGTTCCAGCAGGAGCATCATCAATCTCAGTTTAATTATTTTTAAGTCTATTTCAAATTTAGAGTATTCCAATTGATTGAACTGCAATATATACTATTAGTCATACAAAATATAGACATATATATAGTATGTCTGAAATATTTGATTAACCCTTTCTCTAGCCATCACTGAGAATTTATAATATGGGTTCCAACCAGAGTTGAATTACATGTAAAACATACCGACATACTATGCCCTAAAACAATTACATGGCATTAACATGACTTTTAATCAACCACACACTTAGCAATTAGCCATGCTTGATACATACCTAAATAATGTATATTTGCCTTGTGAATCCAACTTGTTAATATACAGCTGAAGCATAGCTAAACTCTTTTTCCTCTAAAATGGAACAAACAATATTATTATATAAAATGAATAAAGCTTACCCAGACTTCATCACTATCCATTTTATGCATGTAATACATCCACACTTGTACCTCCTAAATAAAAATTTCACAAATTAAAATTTTTAAAAAGAAAATTAAATTATTTGTCAAATTTTCTCACTGTAACTCATTATTCTTTAGTCACCAAATATTTACATACCAGTGTCTCAATGGGGCAAAGTGTCATTACTTTCACTAAGCCCTGGAAATAAAAAAATGTAAAATTCAGATGTAAACAGATTATACTGACTGCAAACAAACAACTATAATACATCAATAGGATACTAAAAATTCAGAGAAGTGAGGGTAGGAGATTTAAAAGTGAAGTAAATTAATTTTTCCCTAAGCCTTCCATTCCAGAAAGCTAACTACAATTGATTTTTTAAGTGATATTGAGTAGAGTGTCACACAGTGTACTTTTAAAAGCAAACGATAATTTTCAATTATGTCTACAGTGGCAAGAAAATGAAATCAAATCTACAGAAATATAATTTATTAATTAAAAACAATCAAACAATATGTTAACAAAAACCATGTTTTTCTATTTAAATATTAGGAAAACCAGTTCCCACACTGAAATCTAAGGATTTCCTTGGATATCATAACTAACAAAGAGGATTGGGCAAAATAAACCATAGGAGGGAAAAACACAATGTGTATTAGTCTTTCTGGTAATGAGTCAGTGGATGCCTTAGATGGAGTCCTGAGAACTTGAGTTATGAGAAACATAAAGAAGCTTCATTTTCCAAGATCCCTACAGAAATAAAGTGTTAAAAGAAGAAAGTTATGCTTTTCTACTGGATGCTGTGCTATCAATAATGGTGGCCTCTAATAGCTATTCGTGTTTAAATAAATTAAAATTTAAATTTGAAACTTAGTTCCGGCTGGGTGTGGTGGCTCACACCTGTAATCCCAGCACTTTGGGGGGCTGAGGCAGGCTGATCACGAAGTCAGGAGATCGAGACCATCCTGGCTAACACAGTGAAACTCCGTCTCTACTATAAATACAAAAATATTAGCTGGGTGTGGTGGCGGGCGCCTGTAGTCCCAGCTACTCGGGAGGCTGAGGCAGGAGAATGGAATGAACCCAGGAGGTGGAGCTTGCAGTGAGCTGAGATAGCACCACTGCACTCCAACCTGGGCGACACAGCAAGACTACACCTCAAAAAAAAAAAAAATAGTTCCTTAGTCACATTTCAAGTGTTCAGTTTGGCTAGTGGCTTTCATATTGTCAAAGTTCTACTGGACAGCATTACACCAGAGTTTTCAAAGGTTGCAGAGAAAAGAGTGGGAAAGGAATCAGAAAAGACCTTACTTTAAGTTCAGAACAGGCAAAGGGCTATTTTCAATATTAGAATACATATTTTATTTACCTGAGGTACAGTAAGAAAACTCTTGATTTCTAAGTACTGGTAAAGTAGACTATTGTCTTCTATTCTCAATAAACTATTCTCCAGCAGCTCCTACAGATTAAAATATATGCAGATACATATATAGTGAAGTCAACAGCTGTTATTTGTTGACATAACTATGTATTTAAGTTATAATGGGAACAAACATCTTACCAATCCTTTGGAGATAACAGACTCTTCTGTTCTGAAAAATAATATTAAAATTTATCATGAATTTGTAAACTATTTTAGAATGATACTTCATCTTATGAAAAATACAGCAAAAACTGAAATTTTAACACTTTTAAAATGCATATCATTAAGGAGAAATTCTGTTGAAGAACTTGATCAAAAGTTTTAATCCATCTTTGATCTGTCTTTCGGTTTGGCTAAGGCCACTAAATCTGACCAAAATAAATCTACTCAGGGATTATTTCCTAACTTCAAAACAATAGATCTTCAACAGCAAGTGCTAAGAAACTAACTAAACCTGATATAACCAATGCTATATATTCCAGTTGATTATTCTGTAAAATCTTTCCAATTCTTTTTATTCAAAAAAAGACTCAATGACTCTGCAGTTTGGAAATCTCAAGAATTTAGGACTTAGATTCAAAACAATACATATTATCACTGTATGAATAACAGAAACTAAATGTAATGAATATAAAATCATTAAAACATACATAATACAGCAAATTTACAGAATTAGTAACTACTTGTGCCAGGAGACCCTTGGAAATTCCTGCCTTGTATGCTGAAGCTTTGGACATTGCCATGTTACAAATCTTCCTTCACCTGGTAAGAGATGGGACTGATAAACTGTCACTAGTGTTCATAGAGGATAATTGCAAAGCCCTAACTGATCTCAGGGGATAATTTAAACATGTTACATGTTATAGTGAAAGAAAACAAAGCATATAGTTCTGTGAAATTCTTTAATTTCTGTCTAGAAATTATGTATACCTGTTACTCTGTAATTTCCTTTTTTTTTTTTTTTTCTTTTGCGACAGGGTCTTACTCTGTTGCCCAGGCTGGACTGCAGTGGCATGATCTCTGCTCACTGCAGCCCAGACCTCCCAGGCACAGGTGATTCTTTCACCTCAACCTCCCAAGTAGCTGGGACAACGGGCAGGCGCCACCACTCCTGGCTAATTTTTTCTATTTTTTGTAGAGAGAGAGACTGGTTTCGAACTCCTGGGGTCAAGCAATCCTCTCGCCTTGGTCTCCCAAAGTGCTGGGATTATAGGCGTGAGCCACCGTGCCTGGCTTTTTTTTTTTTTTTTTAAATAGAAAGTCCTGCTGCTTAGCACCTCAAATGAGAAAAGTTGTAATTGAATGACATCACTGTCAATAATCTAAATTATAAAAGGTGGAAGTCAAGACACCTCCTTCCTTTTGATGCAATTCACAGACTGTGTCCATGAAGGAAAAATACGGAAGAACTTCTTTTATTGACTGCCCTTCCTTAAGATGGAGGAGGATGCAGTGGGGTAGAGGTGTTTTAATTTACCAACTTTTGGAGTAAGAGAAGAAACCTTAGAAACAGATGACTGTAAAAGCCCTTAAGACAAAATCTTAATACTGTCTTAAGTTTAAAATAAAACAGACTTTGGTGTAAAACCTCCTTGACTCATTTCTGTCTCTCTCGTGAATTATTTGCCTCGCTGTTTTATAAAATAACCAATTAATTAATTAGAGCTTAGCAAAGAAAAGGCAGTCTCCGCTGATCTTAACAAGGACTATTTTAACACTACTATTTCATTTTGAGATACCATCTAAACGATCTTACCTTTGCAAAAAGACTTCAATGTGCCCCATATTAAACTGCAAAAGGTACAATGGGCTAAAATAGAAACAAAACAAATATATATATTATACACACACACAGAGATATGTACACACATACATATTGTTATGGGTTGAATTGTATCTCCCCCAAAAAAGATATGTTGGAGTCCTAACCTCTAGTACCTCAGAATTTGACCTTATTTGGAGATAGGGTTATGGAGGTAATCAATTTAAAATGAGATTATTAGGGTGGGCCCTAATCCAATATGACTGTTGTCCTTATGTAAAAGGAAAGTTTGGAGACAGACACAAGCACACAGGGAGAACAGCATACGAACATGAAGGCAGAGAACAGGATAATGCATCTACAAGCCAAAGACCATCAAAGATTGTGAGCAAATCACCAGAAGCCAGGAGAGAGGCATGGAGAAGATTCTCCTTCACAACCCTCAGAAGGAGCATCCAGAACTATGAGACAAACTATTTCTGTTATTTCAACCATCCAGTTGGTAGCACTTTTTTACAGGAGCCCTAGCAAGTTAATATACATATGCTGTATAAGTTATTTTGGTGATAGAATGTGATGCTTAAGAGTATAGGCTCTGGGGTCAGACAGAGCTATCTGCATCCCACCTATGCCACAAAGTAGTTAGATCTTCAGTGGTATATTAACTTGTCTAAGCCTGTTATTTTCATCTGTAAAATGAGAGAATGCTCTATTTCACAGGCTTATTATAAGGATGAGATAATGCATATAAAGTTATTAGCATAATGTTTCATACATGGTGAACATGCAAATGATAGCCAGTATTTCAACATTTACATACGAATGTACTCCTAGCTATATTCATATATAAATGCACAAACTCACACAAATACCCAATGCCTATAAGACAAATACACAATCCTTATTATCATAGAACTCAAAGTCCAGAAGATATTACATTATAAAATTATATATTTTAAAAATAATTTTAATAAACATTGTGGGAAAAGAAGACAAGGTCAAGGTAATTATAATAGAAGGATTCAACCTAAATTGGGTGGTGAGTGAAGGCTTTCTTCAGAAAGTGACATTTAAGGATAAAGAGAATTTTAAGCATATACAAAGGCCAAATAGGAAAATTCATAACATTTAAACTAGAAACAAAAGAAGGTCTGTGTCACTGGAGCATAGTAAACAAGAGGAAAGGTGGTAGGAGATGAATCAGGTCAATTAAGCAGGGACCAGACCAGGCACAAGTTTGTCTCAGAAGTTATGCAAAGGCATTAAGACTTTATTCTTAAAGCAATAAAAAGCCACTGGAGGGTTTTCAGTAAGGGACTTCTTTTAAGGCTTCGCTTTCTGGTATGTTGAGAATGTGTTAAATTAAAAGGAAGTAAAAGTAGATATATAAATCCACTCAGGATTACAGCAGTAATCCAGTGAAAAGATGATGATACCCCTGGGTACCTGGCTAGTTCCAGGGTGGTCTCAAAAGCTTCAAAACCAAGCCCTGTTTATCATCTTCTGATTCTTGTCCCCACCATTCCCTTACACCTATTTCAACACTCCCCACTTTCATTACTTGTCTACTGCTATCTTTAACAGATTATAGCTGGGATCATTCTTATTAAAAATAGCCTTTACTATTTATTTAAAATGTATTAGTGTGTTAATATGCATATATTGGACATTAGATAAATGAGAATTTTATGAAATTCCTTTTAGAATACATGAATAAACCAAACACTAACTCTTACCTTAAGACCATTGGAAGCTGATCAATATGGATGCCCTGTACAAATACTAGATATGCCAGAGAAGCCATTGAGTCTGCTAACTGTTTATTTTCTTCTTCTTCAAATTCAAGGTAATTCCAAGTTCTCTTTTTCCTTCCATGATTAAAAATCATTTTGGGGAAAGGGTGTCCAATTGCTGATAAAAAACCCTATGAAATGGATAAAAAAGGAAACCATAGCACACAGACTCTAAAATGCCCCCCACCCCGTGTATTCAAACTCCACATTCTCACCAAGGGGAGGTGTAATCACTCCCTTTGAGCGTGAGTGGGACCTATGAGACTTGCTTTCAACCAACAGAATGCGCCAAGATGTCACTCCCATGATTAGATTATATGACAAAAGTGAAGGGGTTTTTGCAGATGTAATTAAGGTCCCAAATCAGTAGATTTTGAGTTGGGTGGCCCTAACTTAATCAGGTATATTTTTAAAGGGGGTCCAGGCCTTCCCTGAGAGTCAGAAACTTTGCTCTCTGACTCTCTCCCTTGCTGGCTTTAAAGAACTAAGCTGCCATGTTATGAGAAGGCTCATGGACAGAACTACATGGCAAGGGACCAACTACAGGCAGCTCCTAGAAGCTAAATGTGGTCCCTGGCTGACAGCCAGCAAGAAAATGGGGACCTCAGTCCTACAGCTTAGAGGAAATGAATTCTGCCAGCGGAGGAAACCTGAAAGTGGATCTTTCCCCAGTTAAGCTTCTGATAAGACTACAGACCCAGTCAACAACTGGCCTGTAGCCCAATGAGACCCTGAGCAGAGGACCCAATTAAGCTGTGGCTGGACTCCTGATCCATAGAAACTGTGAGATAACAAAGGTATGCTGTTTTAAACTGCTAAGTTTGCAGGAATTTGTTATACAGCAATGAAAAACTAATACAGAAGCCAACAGCAAAATCGTATTTTACATAGCATTTTATACATCAGAAGTATTCTAAATTAATTCAGAATCATAGTTTAAAAAGTTTAAAATGATGAATTTTATGTATATTTCACCACAATTTTTTTTAAAAAAGTGCTTCAGGGATATTTGAGAGCAATCTGAAACGTGAGACATACAAATATATGAAGCAAGGGTAAAGCAACTAAGATGAAGAATACTCTAGGAACAATGCTCCACTAACATTGTGCCTGTAGAGAGTGGGATGCAGGAACGCTGGGCAGGGCAGCTGGGCCTGAGGAAACACTGTTGATCTCTCAGTCATCAGGGTTCTCATGTGAGACGAGAAAGAGAAGCATCCTTGCATGAGTGGGTAGGACCACAGGGCTAAATAAAGCTTTCCGCTCAGGAAACAAGATCACTCCTATGCCTCTTATACTGGTACTAATTCTAGCGTACCAGAAAGCACCTACCTTCAGAATCCACTGACATTGATTTTGAGTTTTGGCTCTACCATTTACTACTTGTGTGACACTGGATGAGCCATAAAATGACATAATACCTATGTCAAATATTTATCGAGCAGCTCCACAAAAAAAGCGTAAGAAAGTTAAAGTCACAACAAACTACAAGAGTTAAAAGGGAATGAATGACAAAAACAGCTAAAGCAGAATGAATAACTTCCACACAAGTCACTCTTTTATTCAATAAACACTTAAGTGCAAGGTGCTGGGCCTGACTTTGTGGGGAATTATAAAGCCAAGTATAAGTCTTTTCCAGCCTTCAGGGACTTAAAATCTGCTGATCCCAGATGGTTCCATTAGTCATTTCAGAATACAAAAAGGAACCATGGAAAATCATCCTCAGTCACAAGAGACTGCTATTCAGCGACCAGATGCTAAATATATACTGCTGCAGTGATTTTCAAAGCCATGCATTCTGGTTATAGCTACAAGACAAAAAGTTTATTGCACTCTGATTCCAAATGTCCTTAATCATGAAGCTCCATTTCTTTATTCAGCCAATGCTACATGTGTTTTTTCCAGAGTAAGGTAGCCCTGTTTTTTTTTTTTTTTTTTTTGGCGACAAGGTCTCACTCTGTCACTCAGGCTGGAGTGTAGTGGCATGATCATGGCTTACTGCAGCCTTGACTTCCCCAGGCTCAAGCAATCCACCCTCCTCAGTCTCCTGAGTAGCTAGGACTACTGGTACATGCCACCATGCCCGCTATTTTTTTTTTATTTTTTTTATTTTTTATAGAGATGGGGTTTCGCCATGCAGCCCAGGCTGGTCTTGAACTCCTGGGCTTAAGTGATCTGCCCACCTTGGCCTCCCAAAGGCCTGGGCCTACAAGCGGGAGCTACCGTGCCCAGCCTAAGATACCCTTTTTAAAACATTATTATATGCAACTAGATTCTACAGTGCTGCTCTGGATATCTGAGATCCAATCTGTTCCCAAATCTGGGCCTTCACTATCTATCCACACACCATCCAGCAGTCTTGCTCAGATCCAGGCTGTACCTGGCACCATACAATTTCTCAATATTCATGGCAGCTTTTGTCCTTTCAGAAATGTTCCTGTACTACAGCCTTTGGGACATTCTAGTAGTTCTGTACCAAAATAACTTGTACCAAAGTGAGGATGGCTGAGGCCTGTGAATCCCAACCACACCACACTTACCAGTACTTCTCCAGCACAGAACAGAAGACATCTCCTCATTTCATCTCCAAGCTGGTCTCACCTCTACTTCTAGACTGCTACGTGCATCCTTACTGCTGGCTCTTTCTACTTGCAATGTTCCTTCTACTGAGATTTTAGAACCACTCACCTACATCCTCAGTCTCTTCATAGGATGCTTGTTCTGCCTCACTGCTTTAACTAAACCTGTCTGATTTCTGGTGGGAGATGCTCATTCTCACACCTTTTATACCACAGGGCCTGGAATGCAGCTGTTGGGTAGAGGAGTACAGGTAGGGGCTTAGCACAGTATTGTAGTATTGGCTTTTTCTGTACTTTTCAACAAAAGCACATTTTCCTTTGATGCAGATAACATACTGTCCTTTTCTCTGTCATATGCTGACTTCCTGGTAATTTCCTGACATTCACTGAAGACTCTGGCACCTTCTCATAATCTTTTTCTCTACCCAATTCCTGCTATGATCCTGGGAAAATTCAATGTTCATGGAGATAACCCCTATAACAGGCTAGTCTCATGGTCCTTTATTATTATTAATTTATTTTTCAATCAAGCAACAAGTCATTGCATCCACTCTCATGGTTCTCAATTTCTAAATTCTAGTGACTTTTAGTTCTAATCCATTTCAGTACCTAATCCCATGCTGGATCTCTGAACATCTGGAACTATTCTGTATTTGATACTTTAAACTCCAATATCCCATTTTCTGACCAAAATCTGTCATCCTGTCTCTCCTAGCAATCTGCTTTTCTACTTCTGACTTCTCCAGTCCTGTGATTCCTACATTTTGACCTACCTAGGCATTCCCTCCTAACCCCCCTTCTTTCCCTATCCAACCTGAATCATGGATTATTGACCAGCTGAACTATCTGCACCCTGTATTTCCTTCAGCAGTATCTACCCAGTAAAATGCCAGCCTTGGAAAAATAACTGCAATCTACCTTCTCTGCTTCTACACACAGGGAGCTGAGTATTGCTGGATAAAAAAATACAGACTGTTACCACTATAGTTGTGGTTTCCAAGCACCATTGAGTGCTCAGTACTACTGACTCATGCTTCCGTGGTCTTCCACCATCTCTTTCCTTTCCCCTCAGTATTCCAAACCTTTACCAGTTTCCTTAAGCCCTTTTACTCAATGCCCATTTCTACCTCCTCATTATTAAGAGATCATCTCTCCTTCACCTAGAAATCTGAGGCCAGTGGGTTTGACTCCCCTCAATTGTAAGATTCCATTCCTGCTACAAATTTCTCAACATGTTTTCTTACCTTGATACCCACTAGTTCTTCCTGTCTAGGACTTTCCTTATGGCCTTGATACTATGTCCAGCCATTTGCTCATAAGCCACATTATTTCAGTTATCTCATAAACACTTGTATTTTTCCCTCAACAGTTTGCACCCCAACAGCTATAAACATGCTCAAGTCTTCCCACCTCCATTACCTTCCTACCCTTAGCTCATGTCTTCTAGCTATT
Organism: Homo sapiens; assembly: GCF_000001405.40. Lineage (NCBI taxonomy): Eukaryota > Metazoa > Chordata > Mammalia > Primates > Hominidae > Homo > Homo sapiens. Next base: position 92,275,553 of record NC_000001.11, read on the forward strand.
ACCTCTCCTTCCTTATTCATCCAACCTCTTTTAAAGAATAGCTTACACTAGTCATCTCCTTTTTCTCATCTGTCATTCATTCTTTTATCAACTCCACTCTGATTTGTCTCCAACACTGTACTTACACTGTTCTTGCTAAGATTACCAATGCCATCTTACTTCCTAAATCCTACAGATGCTTTTCAGCATACCTCTATGCATTTAACAGTACTGATCACCTCTATCCTTCTAAAACTCTACTACACCAGTTTCTGTGTATTTCTACCACTTCCGACTTCCTTCTTGGGCTCATTTTAAGTGCTGGTACTCTCTAGAGTTCACTCCTGAGCCCTTTTCTCTTGTCACCTCTTTAGGTAATCTCACCCCCTCTCATTCAAAGTATCTCCTGGCCAGGTATGGTGGCTCAGACCTGTAATTCCAGCACTTTGGGAAGCCAAGGTGGGAGGATCACTTGAGCCCAGGAGTTCAAGACCAGTCTGTACAACATAGTGAGACTTCACCTTTACAAAACAAAAATTTTAAATTAGCCAGGCATGCTGGGGTATGCCTGTAAGTCCCAGCTACTCAGGAGGCTGAGGTGGAAGGATCACTTGAGCCTGGGAGGTTGAGGCTGCAGTGAGCCATGGTTGTGCCACTGCACTCCAGCCTAGGCCACAGAGCAAGACCCTATCTCAAAAAATATATATACACATTTACATATAATTCTATATTAAATATACATATATTTACATATTAAAATATTATATTTTAAATTCCTTAAAAACCTATTCTCTCTCTGGTTATTAGATATATATTAAAAAATTATTGTTAATCTTGTTAGGAGTTAGGCTGGGAACAGTGGCTCTCGCCTGTAATCCCAGTACTTTGGGAGGCCAAAGGCAGCCAGATCGCTTGAGCCCAGGAGTTCGAGACCAGCCTGGGTAACATGGTGAAACCCCATCTCTACCCAAAATACAAAAATTGGCCAGGTGGGACGATGTGTGCCTGCAGTCCCAGCTACTTGGGAGGCTGAGGCAGGAGAACTGCTTGAGTCCGGGAGGCAGAGGTTTCAGTGAGCCGACATCATGCCTCTTCACTCCAGCTTGGGCAATGGGAGTGAAACCCTGTCTCAAAAAATTTTAACAAAAGGTAATAAAATCTTGTTAGGTGTCATAATAGCCTGGTGGTTATTTGTTTTTTTAAAAAAGCCCTTGTCATTAGGGAAGCATCCTTAAAGACTTACAGATGAATTATGTTTAGGACTTGTTATACTACAGCAAGAAAAGGAGGAGGACAGATAAAACAAAATTGGCAAAATGTTCATAATTATTGAAGCTGGGTGATGGGTACATGGGCATGTGCTAGATTATTTTTAGTACTTTTCTGAATGTTTGTAAATTTTTACAATACATTTGTTTTAAAGGCACAAGACCCCCAGATTCTTGCTCTGTATTCTCTATCTCAAGTATTGGCACCTTCATCTGCCCAGTTATCCAAGCAAAAACCCTCATCCATGTTTTATTCTAAATCCAATCAATGACCAAATTTTGCCAATTTTACCTACTATAAAGTTCTCAAATCTGCCCTTTCTTCATCTTTAAAACTATATCCCTACTAACAGAATGTGTCATAAATTTAGTCAATTAAAAAAAGGAAACAAACAAAAAATATCCATACATCTATACTCAGGCTCCCATCATTGCTTACTTAACTCCCAAGGCTTCCCTACTTCCAATTTTATCCCAGTTAGTCATCTTCCTTTAAAGTGATGAATCCTAAACACAGTTTGATTACATCACTCCCAGATTTAACATCTGTGATACTGTGACATATATATTTGCTCTTTGTTCCCACTTCCTGGGATATAACTCCTAAAATCCTTGGAATCTCCAAAGTGATAAGTGTCTTTATGCTATTGAGTTGACTGATAGCTGCGTCTCCTGGATAGCCTCAGGATGGGAGCTGGTTGCCAAGGGAACCAACCCTGTGATTAGAAGGCTGGACCTTTCAGTCCCACAGCCCTACCCCCATCCCACCCCAGTAAGGGAAAGGGGCTGAATATTAAGTTGATTACCAACGGTCAATGATGTAATCAATCATTCCTACATAATGAAGCCTCCATAAAAACCCAAAATGATTGGATTCAGAAAGCTTCTGGAAGCTGAACGCACGAAGTTTCCAGTAGGGTGGTGCATCCAGGCAGGGTATGGAAACTTGGTGCCCCCTCCCCTATACCTAGCCCTATGCATCTCTTCATCTGTATCCTTGGTAATATTCTTTATAGTAAACCACTAAATGTAAGTAAGCAGTGCCCTGAGTTCTGTAAGCCAATCTAGCAAATTAATCAAACCCAAGGAGGGGGTCCTGGGAATCCTGATTTATTGCCAGTCAGTTAGAGCACAGGTAAAACATCCTAGGGCTTGAGACTGGCATTGGAAGGGGGGGCAGTCTTGAGGTATTTAGCCCTCAACCTGTGAAATCTGACACTATCTCCAGGTAGGTAACGTTGGAATTGAATTAGAGGACACCCAATTGGTGTCCGTTGTACAACTGCTTGCTTGCTTGCCGTGAAGGGCAGGGGGCAGGGCAGGGAACTCCATACATCTGGTGTCAGAAACTTGTTATGACTATAGTAGGAGAAACTGAGTTTGGTTTTTCTACATCACCAGATTTCCTTTAATAGTTTCCAACTTTCATAGTTGTCTTCTCAAAATACATATCATATGTGATGGTGCTTATACTACCTCCAGAAGATGATACTGTGCTCTAGCACTGGTAACAATGAAGAGCCCCCAGACTTTTGTGTGCTCCAGAGAAAACCCGTCACCTCTCCTACTTCATCCCTCACAGCCTCTTCACTATTATCGTGACCATCAGCATTAACCTTATTAAATTATGTATTCCTAATTATATCAGTCACCAAGTCATCTCTCATCTTCAGAATTTATTCCCATAAACTTCTAGCATCCCTTCATCTGACCCCTTTTTCCATCTCTCCTAAATTAAAATTGGCTCTCATCTGAAAACAGCTGCTTTCTCTGCAACCCTTCAAAAGACTACTGTATTTTTCATCTATACCCATTGTACCACTGAGCCTGGGAATACATCTGTTCTCCTTGCTGCTTCTACACCATTCTCTCCCCATCCTCTCTAAAAATCCCTCAACTCTGAAACTCATTTTTTATGACTTTACCATTTCTACCCCTCCTTGTTGCAGTTAGTAGACCCCAAGGTCACCCCATCACATGGCTTTCCAACATTATAATTCTGTGTGATTTAAATGTACAACCAAAGATCTTCTGATACTCTGAAATCTCAAGTATTTCATTTTCTCTAGCCCAATGACCTTTGCCTCTATCCTCTCCTTTAGAACACCCTCTCATGGTCACACCCCAGACATTGATACTAGTAACTATAATCTTTCCATAATACTATTTTCAAGCATCCTATTCTTTACACCTATTTTTTCAGTTCACCCCTTTTAGTAACCTAACTCCAAACATCTGTCACCCACACCAGGTTCTACAACCTAATGATCCAATCACCTTTTCACTGTCTCTTGCATGTCCTAACTTTACTCCTTACCCAGCTTAAATTCTATGTCCATCATTAAAGTCACTTTGTACATTAAAATCACCTTGCGGCTGGGCACAGTGGCTCACGCCTGTAATCCCTGCACTTTGGGAGGCTGAGGCGGGTGGATCACGTGAGGTCAGGAGTTTGAGACCAGCTTGGCCAACATGGCGAAACCCCAACTCTACTAAAAATACAAAAAATTAGCCAGGTGTGGTGGCGGGTGCCTGTAATCCCAGCTACTTGGGAGGCTGAGGCAGGAGAATTGCTTGAACCTAGGAGGTGGAGGTTGCAGTGAGCTGAGATCATGCCATTGAACGACAGCCTGGGCAACAGAGCGAGACTCTGTCACAAAAAAAAAAAAAAAAAAAAAGGAGTCACTTCCAAGATGGCCAAATAGGAACAGCTCAGGTCTGCAGCTCCCAGCGAGATCGACGCAGAAGACCAGTGATTTCTGCATTTCCAACTGAGGTACCTGGTTCACCTCACTGGGACTGGTTGGACAGTGGGTGCAGCCCACGGAGGGCAAGCTGAGGCAGGGCGGGGCATTGCCTCACCCGGGAAGTGCGAGGGGTCAGCGAATTTCCCCTTCCTAGCCAAGGGAAGCCGTGACAGACTGTTTCTGGAGAAACAGTACACTCCTGACCAAATACTGTGCTATTCCCATAGTCTTAGCAACCGGCAGACCAGGAGATACCCTGCCATGCCTGGCTTGGTGGGTCCCACACCCACAGAGCCTTGCGCACTGCTAGCGCAGCAGTCTGAGATCGACCTGCGAGGCTGCAGCTAGACGGGAAGGGGTGTCCGCCATTGCTGAGGCTTGAGTAGCTCACAGTGTAAACAAAGAGGCCTGGAAGCACAAACTGGGCGGAGCCCACCGCAACTCAGCAAGGCCTACTGCCTCTATAGATTCTACCTCTGGGGACGGCACAGTAGAACAAAAGGCAGCAGACAGCTTCTGCAGACTTAAACATCCCTGTCTGACAGCTCTGAAGAGAGCAGTGGTTCTCTCAGCATAGCATTCGAGCTCCGATAATAGACAGACTGCCTCCTCAAGCGGGTCCCTGACCCCCGCGTAGCGTGATTGGGAAACACCTGCCAGTAGGGGGCCGACAGACACCTCAAACAGGCGGGTGCCCCTCTGGGACAAAGCTTCCAGAGGAAGGATCAGGCAGCAATATTTGCTCTTCTGCAGCCTCCACTGGTGATACCCATGCAAACAGGGTCTGGAGTGGACCTCTAGCAAACTCCAACATACCTGCAGCTGAGAGGTCTGTTAGAAGGAAAACTAACAAACAGAAAGGAATAGCATCAACATCAACAGAAAGGACATCTACACCAAAACCCCATCTGTAGGTCACCAACATCAAAGACCAAAGGTAGATAAAACCACAAAGATGGGGAGAAACCAGAGCAGAAAAGCTGAAAATTCCAAAAAACAGAGCGCCTCTGCTCTTTCAAAGGATCACAGCTCCTCACCAGCAAGGGAACAAAACTGGACGGAGAATGAGTTTGATGAGTTGACAGAAGTAGGCTTCGGAAGGTCGGTAATAACAAACTTCTCCGAGCTAAAGGAGCATGTTCTAACCCATCACAAGGAGGATAAAAACCTGGAAAAAAGGTAAGACAAATAGCTAACTAGAATAAACAGTGTAGAGAAGCACTTAAATGACCTGATGGAGCTGAAAACCATGGCACGAGAACTTCATGACGCATGCACAAGCTTCAATAGCCGATTTGATCAAGTGGAAGAAAGGGTATCAGTGACTGAAGATCCAATTAATGAAATAAAGCAAGAAGACAAGATTAGAGAAAAAAGAGTGCAAAGAAACGAACAAAGCCTCCAAGAAATATGGGACTATGTGAAAAGACCAAATCTATGTTTGATTGGTGCACCGGAAAGTGACAGGGAGAATGGAACAAAGTTAGAAAACACTCTTCAGGATATTATCCAGGAGAACTTCCATAACCTAGCAAGGCAGGCCAACATTCAAATTCAGGAAATACAGAGAACACCACAAAGATACTCCTTGAGAAGAGCAACCCCAAGACACATAATTGTCAGATTCACCAAGGTGGAAGTGAAGGAAAAACTGTTAAGGGCAGCCAGAGAGAAAGGTCAGGTTACCCACAAAAGGAAGCCCATCAGACTAACAGCAGATCTCTCAGCAGAAACCCTACAAGCCAGAAGAGAGTGGGGGCCAAAATTCAACATTCTTAAAGAAAAGAATTTTCAACCCAGAATTTCATATCCAGCCAAACTAAGCTGCATAAGTGAAGGAGAAATAAAATCCTTTACAGACAAGCAAATGGTGAGAGATTTTTGTCACCACCAGGCCTGCCTTACAAAAGCTCCTGAAGGATTTACTAAACATGAATAGGAACGACCGGTACCAGCTACTGCAAAAACATGCCAAATGGTAAAGACCAGTGACACTATGAAGAAACTGCATCAATTAACAGAAAAAATAACCAGCTATCATCATAATGACATGATCAAATTCAAACATAACAATATTAACTTTAAATGTAAATGGGCTAAATGCTCCAATTAAAAGACACAGACTGGCAAATTGAATAAAGAGTCAAAACCCATTGGTGTGCTGTATTCAGGAGACCCATCTCACATGCAAAGATGCACATGGGCTCAAAATAAAGGGGTGGAGAAAGATCTACCAAGCAAATGGAAAGCAAAAAAAAAAAAGCAAGGGTTGCAATCCTAGTCTCTGATAAAACAGACTTTAAACCAGCAAAGATCAAAAGAGACAAAGAAGGCCACTACATAATGGTAAAGGGATAAATTCAACAAGAAGAGCTAACTATCCTAAATATATATGCACCCAATACAGGAGCACCCAGGTTTATAAAGCAAGTCCTTAGAGACCTACAAAGATACTTAGACTCCCACACGATAATAATGGGAGACTTTAACACCCCACTGTCAATATTACACAGAACAATGAGACAGAAGGTTAACAAGGATATCCAGGACTTGAACTCAGCTCTGGAACAAGTGGACCTAATAGACATCTACAGAACTCTCCACACCAAATCAACAGAATATACATTCTTCTCAGCACCATATCGCACTTATTCTAAAATTGACCATATAATTGGTAGTAAAATACTACTCAGCAAATGTAAAAGAACAGAAATCACAACAAACTGTATCTCAGACCACAGTGCAATCAAATTAGAACTCAGGATTCAGAAACTCACTCAAAACTGCACAACTACATGGAAACTGAACAACCTGCTCCTGAATGACTACTGGGTACATAACGAAATGAAGGCAGAAACAAAGATGTTCTTTGAAACCAATGAGAACAAAGACACAATATACCAGAATCTCTGGGACACATTTAAAGCAGTGAGTAGAGGGAAATTTATAGCACTAAATGCCCACAAAAGAAAGCAGGAAAGAGCTAAAATTGACATCCTAACATCACAATTAAAAGAATTGGAAAAGCAAGAGCAAACAAATTCAAAAGCTAGCAGAAGGCAAGAAATAACTAAGATCAGGGCAGAACTGAAGGAGATAGAGACACAAAAAACCCTTCAAAAAAAATCAATGAATCCAGGAGCTGCTTTTTTGAAAAGATCAACAAAATACATAGACCTCTAGCAAGATTAATAAAGAAGAAAAGAGAGAAGAATCAAATAGATGCAATAAAAAATGATAAAGGGGATATCACCACTGATCCCACAGAAATACAAACTACCATCAGAGAATAGTATAAACACCTCTATGCAAATAAACTAGAAAATCTAGAAGAAATGGGTAAATTCCCAGACACATACACCCTCCCAAGACTAAACCTAAAAGAAGTTGAATCTCTGAATAGACCAATAACAGGTTCTGAAATTGAGGCAATAATTAATAGCCTACCAACCAAAAAAAGTCGAGGACCAGACAGATTCACAGCCGAATTCTACCAGAGGTACAAAGAGGAGATGGTACCATTCCTTCTGAAACTATTCCAATCAATAGAAAAAGAGGGAATCCTCCCTAACTCATTTTAGGAGGCCGGCATCATCCTGATACCAAAGCCTGGCAGAGACACAACAAAAAAAGAGAATTTTAGGGCAATATCCTTGATGAACATCGATGAGAAAATCCTCAATAAAATACCGAATCCAGCAGCACATCAAAAATCTTATGCGCCACAATCAAGTCGGCTTCTTCCCTGGGATGCAAGGCCGGTTCAACATATGCAAATCAATAAACGTAATCTATCACATAAACAGAACCAATGACAAAAACCACATGATTATCTTAATAGATGCAGAAAAGGCCTTGGATAAAACTCAACAGCCCTTCATGCTAAAAACTCTCAATAAACTAGGTATTGATGGAACGTATCTCAAAATAATAAGAGCTTTTATGACAAACCCACAGCCAATATCATACTGAATAGGCAAAAAATTGGAAGCATTCCCTTTGAAAAATGGCACAAGACAAGGAAGCCCTCTCTCACCACTCCTATTCAACACAGTGTTGGAAGTTCTGGCTAGGGCAATCAGGCAAGAGAAAGAAATAAAGGGTATTTGATTAGGAAAAGAGGAAGTCAAATTGTCTCTGTTTGCAGATGACATGATTGTATATTTAGAAAACCCCATCGTCTCAGCCCAAAATCTCCTTAAGCTGCTAAGCAACTTCAGCAAAGTCTCAGGATACAAAATCAATGTGCAAAAATCACAAGCATTCCTATACACCAATAATAGACAAACAGAGAGCCAAATCATGAGTGAATTCCCATTCACAATTACTACAAAGAGAATAAAATAGCTAGGAATCCAACTTACACGGGATGTGAAGGACCTCTTCAAGGAGAACTACAAACCACTGTTCAACAAAATAAAAGAGGACACAAACAAATGGAAGAACATTCCATGCTCATGAATAGGAAGAATCAATATCATGAAAGTGGTCATACTGCCCAAAGTAATTTACAGATTCAATGCTATCCCCATCAAGCTACCACTGACTTTCTTCACAGAATTGGAAAAAACTATTTTAAAGTTGATATGGAACCAAAAAAGAGCCCGTATAGCCAAGACAATCCTAAGCCAAAAGAACAAAGCTGGAGGCATCAAGCTACCTGACTTCAAACTATACTACAAGGACACAGTAACCAAAACAGATTGGTACTGGTACCGAAACAGATATACAGACCAATGGAACAGAACAGAGGCCTCAGAAATAACACTACACATCTACAACCATCTGATCTTTGACAAACCTGACAAAAACAAGCAATGGGGAAAGGATTCCCTATTTAATAAATGGTGCTGGGAAAACTGGCTAGCCATATGTAGAAAGCTGAAACTGGATCCCTTCCTTACACCTTATGCAAAAATTAACTCAAGATGGATTAAAGACTTAAATGTAAGACTTAACACCATAAAAACCCTAAAAGAAAACCTAGGCAATACCATTCAGGACATAGGCATGGGCAAGGACTTCATGATTAAAACACCAAAAGGAATGTCAACAAAAGCCAAAATAGACAAATGGGATTAATTAAACTAAAGAGCTTCTGCACAGCAAAAGAAAGTATCATCAGAGTGAACAGGCAACCTACAGAATGGGAGAAAAATCTTTGCAATCTACCCATCTCACAAAGGGCTAATATCCAGAATCTACAAAGAACTTAAACAAATTTACAAGAAAAAAAAAATCCCATCAAAAAGTAGGCAAAGGATATGAACAGACACTTCTCAAAAGAAGACATTTATACAGCCAACAGACATGAAAAAATGCTCATCATCACTGGTCATCAGAGAAATGCAAATCAAAACCAGTGAGATACCATCTCACGCCAGTTAGAATGGTGATCATTAAAAAGTCAGGAAACAACAGATGCTGGAGAGGATGTGGAGAAATAGGAACGCTTTTACACTGTTGGTGGGAGTGTAAATTAGTTCAACCATTGTGGAAGACAGTGTGGCGATTCCTCAAGGATCTAGAACTAGAAATACCATTTGACCCAGCCATCCCAATACTGGGTATATACCCAAAGGATTATAAATCATTCTATGATAAAGACACATGCACATGTGTGTTTCTTGCAGCACTACTCACAATAGCAAAGACTTGGAACCAACCCAAATGTCCATCAATGATAGACTAGATTAAGAAAATGTGGCACATATATACCATGGAATACTATGCAGCCATTAAAAAGGATGAGTTCATGTCCTTTGCAGGGACATGGATGAAGCTGGAAACCACCATTCTAAGCAAACTATCACAAGAACAGAAAACCAAACACCGCAGGTTCTTACTCATTGGTAGGAGTTGAACAATGAGAACACATGGACACAGGGTGGGGAACATCACACACCATGGCTGGTTGGGGCGTGGGGGGCTGGGGGAGGGATAGCATTAGGACAAATACCTAATGTAAATGATGAGTTGATGGGTGCAGCAAACCAACATGGCACATGTATACCTATGTAACAAACCTGCACGTTGTGCACATGTACCCTAGAACTTAAAGTATAATTGAAAAAGAAATCACCTTACATACATGCTCAATCCCTTGCCCCCCTCTTGCTCTCTACAACTTACCCTGTTCTTAAAACCCCACCCTAATTCAACCAAATGTTACTCCTATGCTGCACCTGCACTCATGTAGCTGAACATGGCTGAAGAAAACTACACAGCCACATGGACTTTCTCTTTTGAAATTCAGAAACATCAACTTAAAATAAATTTTTTAATATTTCAGATTATTTCTCTAATACAGAATCTGAGCACATTTTAAAATACTATTGATGCATAAAGCCAAATTGCTTTTAAAATAAAATTTACTTAAATATGGAGCTATTTTGAAAATATTTATCACAGGGCATGGAATTTCCACTCTAGGAGTTTTAAGGAAATAATTTGAAAAGTATGCAAAAATTTAATTACTAGGTTACTTATCATAGACTTAACAGTTAAAAAAAGAAAACTTGGAGTTGTCCTACAATAATGGAAAATTAGAAACAATCCAAATGTTGAACTATATGGCACAGGTGAAATACATTATACTAAGTCCATACCATGGAACACTATTAAGCCAATGGAAAAATATTCATAATATACTGTTGAAGAGGAAAAAGGTAGATTACAAGATTATATATATATATAAAATCTTTGAAAAATTTATATATATGTATTATTATAAATAAGTATATAAGAAAAAAGCCTGGAGGATGTTAATATTTATCTTTGGATAATAAAATTATTGCTGTTTTATTTTCCATCTTTTGTTTATGTGTGTTCTACAAAAAATACACATTTCTTTATTAATGAATGTATCAATTTACATGTGCAGTACTGAGAATATAGTGGGATAACATTTAAGATTATAGCAGATTAAATTAGCTGTACTTACTATTATTTCTGATGCAAAATACCTGAAAGGATCATTTCCACCTTCTTCAGACTGTTCAAAGAATTGTGCTGTCAGCAAAGGGCATTTCAAGCTTTTGAAACAACTAAGGCATAAGAAATAGGTAACTATGAAATCAACACTTCCAAGTATAAAATCCCTAGGTCTTCAAATCTAAGTTAATTTTACTTGAAAAATAACATAAGCACTGCTATGGTTTGAATGACTCTGCTCTCCAAAACTCATGTTGAAATTTAACTGCCATAAGGAGGTGGGAATTAGGCCAAGGGGGCTCCACTCTCACGGATGAGATTAATGCTGTTATAAAAGGGCAAGTTCAGCCCACTTTTGCCTTTTGCCCTTTTACCTTCAGCCACATTATGACACAGCTAGAAGGCCCTTGCCAGATGCCAGCGCCTTAATTGCAGACTTCCCAGCCTCCAGAACTGTGAACCAATGAATTTCTGTTCATTATAAATCACCCAGTCTTAGGTATTCTGTTATATCAGCACAAATGGATTAAGACAAGCATCAATAACTCAATGGTCTATAAAACTGGTGATGTAACGTCGTTCGTACTAGTAATGGGGAGAACATGAGAACACCTTGCTAGACTCAACATGCTAAGACTGACTTCTACATCTGAACTATTCCATTGAATTCTGAATGTTTGAGGGCTGGTGCTAGTCTATGATGTTGTTTTCATTAGTTCAAAGAAAAAATCAAGAAATACAGTCATTTTTTCACACAGCTCTATTTGTTTTATTTAGAAAACCAAACTTTATTCTGTGATTAAGCCTTTCCTATTTCTTTAGTTAAAATACCTTTTCTTTTATGAAATAATGGGTTTTATAAATGGTAAAAAACTTTTTTTTTGAGACAGGGTGTCTGTCACCCAGGCTGGAGTACAGTGGCACAATAATAGTGCACTGTAACCTCAAACTCCTGGGCTCAAAGGATCCTCCTGCCACAGCCTCCCAAGTAGCTGGGACTACAGGCACACACCACTGTGCCCAGCTAACTTTTTTATTTTTTGTAGAGACAGGGTCTCACTATGTTGCCTAGGCTGGTCTCAAACTCCTGAGCTCAAGCAATCTCCCAGCTTGACCTCCCAAAGTGTTAGGATTACAGGTGCGAGCCACCACGTCTGGCTGTAAATTTTTTTTTAAATGTCCTAACCTGACAAGTAGGAAGCTAAAAATAGTATTAGTCTCCAAAATTAAAATATTATTTTATATTCTATTTTTTAGAGACGAGGTCTTGCTATGTTGCCCAGGCTGGTCTTGTACTCCTGGCCTCAAGTGATCCTCCTGCCTCAGCCTCCCAAGTAGCCAAAATTTAAAAATTACTGGTCCATGTAATTAATCTAGTCTATCACTGTCCAATAGAAATATAACACAGCCCCATATATAATTTAAGATCTTTTAGTAGACACATGAAAAAAGTAGTAAGAATGGGAGAGATGATTTTAATAATTTATCTTAACCCAGTATATCTGAAATATTGTCATTTCAACATGTTATCAATATAAAAATTGAGGTATTTTACTGTTTTTTTTTTTTAAATAACAAGTCTTCAAAATCCAGGGGATATTTTATAATTAAAGTATATCTGAATTTGGACCAGCCATATGTCAAGTGCTACAGCCATATTGAACAGTAGATGTTTAGTCTATAGTACCCATGGAGGGAATGCTATTGGGTGGATACTCTACCACTATTTTTGTGGTCCAGTTGGATGTTCTGTCTGGTGGTCTTTCTGCTGCTTCCTTTGAAAGAGTAAAACACAATTTCTCCACAGAGCTACCTATATCTATTTCCCACACTCACCCTGAGCTACATGTATCTATTTCCCCCACTTTCATTATTCACCTACTATGATGAATAAGGCAATACAAAGAAGAATATAAAGTAAATGAATGGATTTTGGTTTTATAATTATTTTATTAATTAATTTCTTAAAGACAGGGTCTTGCTCTGTTGCCCAGACTGGAGTACAGTGGCCAATCATCATTCACTGCAGCCTCACACTCCTGGATTCAACCCATCCTCTAGCCTCAGCTTCCCAAGCAGTAGCACTACAGGTATATGCCACTACATCTAGCTAATTTTTAAATTTTTTTATAGAGATGGGGGTCTCACTATGTTGCCAAGGCTCGTCTCAAACTCCTGGCCCCAAGCAATCCTCTCACTTCAGTCTCCCAAAGTGATGGGATTACATGTGTGAGCCACTACACCCGGCCTATAATTTTTTAAAATATAAATGTCTCAAGTTCCCATGCTGTATCAACTGAACCCCACATTCTTCTAAAATTCAAAATCTGAAACTAGATTTCTATTTACATGTCAAACAAAGTGAAGAAACATAAAATAACTGAACTATCAATTACTTAAGTCCACTGTGAGATGTTCTTAAAATTATACTTACAATTTCAGTAATTCATCCTTTAACTTTTCATTTTCCAGTGAGTTTTCTTTGTTATCAATGACTTCTTCCACAAAAGGCTTAGTGAACTCTATTAAGGCCTTGCAACACTGACAAAGGCCATAGTCATCCATTTGTATTTGTTCTTTTGAGTATGGAACAGGAAGAAGAGATAGCTGATTCCAAAGGGTAGACAATGCTAATCCAATTGAATATGCCTTGTTATGAAGTTTCTGAATCACTAAAACAGAGATCAAGTTGTCGCTCATCAAGTATGCTAAACATGGGACAAGAAATTCGGCAAATGTGGAATTATAAGACACTTCCTCCTCCCACATTTTAACAACTCTTGAATCAAGATGACACATCACAGTCTAATTGGCAGTGTTTTTTTCTTCTTAGTTGTGCATAAAATAATACAGCATCTTGCCATGAAATGCTGTTTAGGTTATGTTTATAACAGACTATGTGTAACAGGCTATGTACTTAAGACAGAAACATGTTCTTTCCATGTTTTTGGGTTGTTATAAGCACAAAATATAAGTGTATTGTAAACTATAAAGCACTACACAAATAGGAGGTGGTATTATTAGATTTTTTTTCCCTAGAAGACTGAATATTACAGGTAGTATGAAGCTGGCAGGCATTCATATTTAAAACAAATTTAATTTCTGATTCTAGGTCCCTCTATCAGATTGTGAGATAAACGAATTTCCTAAAATGAAAAATAACCTCTTCCTATGGATACTGTCTGCCTTGGTTGCTAAGACCCATTACCTACCAATACTGTTACTGCACTCAGCCATGGAGCCTTATCATCCCATATCTCCTCGTTTCATTCTTCAGTAGTAGCTTTGCTATGCCCAATCCAACCTCCCAAAGCAGAGGCTGAGCAATGCCTTGCCTGATACTCTTCCAGACTACCATAATGCTATCAGATTTAGTACTGCAGACACCACAGAGGTAACCCTTGAAACATGTTTAGAGAGAAAATTCTAGATTTAAGCAGCAGATAGGAAGGTTAGGCAAAAAGGTATAGTTTTCAATATAGCACATGAAAAATAGTATGACATTCAACAGAATATTTACTGGGTACCCACTCTGGCCAGATACTATAATCTTTCTATGAGCAGCAGTATTCACATTGGCATTGCTATTATTGGTTTAAGCAGAGTACTCACTAATTAGCTGTAAACTTTACTTTGGTGTAGTATTGACATTTTGAGGTAACCATCAAGGCATTTAGAGATACAACAAGAAGTACTCTGATATCAAAATTCTCATTACCTGTTTGTAATGGCTGAAGCAAAAGAAGAATACTTTGGGATATCTGTTTTCCAGAGGGCTCTTCAATCAGTTCAAGCAAACCCAACAATAATTCCTTTGGATTGCATAACTATAAAAATATTCACAATTGAACCTGTTTAATACAAGTTGTATTTAAAGCCACATTATTACTATTTTTAAGAAGGCATGTATCGACAAAATATTATACAATTATGTTTTTGCTTAACATTAAAATTATTTATACAATTGTTGAAAAAATATGCATGAGCAAAACACAGAATCTGTGATGGTCAAGTAACTATAAAACTAAAAAGCAAGAAGTCAATGGATCTTTAGGCTCAGGTTTCCTTTGAGCTTCACCTGTCCACTCTGAAATTGCCTTAACAGATTCTCAGGGGCTCCAGCAGGTGGGACCTTTCAATCCCATGCTGCAAGCCTATTTAGACTAGTCTGGAATCTCTTTTGTATTTTTTGAACAGGTAAAACTTTGCATTGCTTTCTGACTGGCCATATCTTATCATCTCACTTGACTGGTTTTTTAAAAGCTCCCAGCTCCCATAGTCAATAACTCATACAGATGGAGCTCTCCTTCCAATATATATTTGGGTATATTTGCACTGATCACTAAACAGTTTCTTATAATATACTTTTTCTCAGAATTTATCTTTCTTGGCCATCAAATATTGACTGTAAACTCTACTAGCCTTTTACCCAGGGTCGCTTTCTAAGGTTGTTAGTCACAACTGATCTGTATTCTACCCTATTCCTACTTCAATTTTAATCACTTGTATTCTAGGCCTTCCATTTTCTTTTAGGGAACATACCACAAAGGAAAGAGGACTGAGATTTTAATCTAGTTCCAATGTTGCCAAAAGATAAATGTGACCTTGAACTACCTCTCTAAAGCTTGTATTCCACATCTATACGATAAGGCTACTTGTTAAGATATAGCTTCCCAGGTCTCTCCCTGGAGATGCTGAATCAATGGGTCCGATATGAGGTTAATATGAGGTTAGACAATTCTTTTATCCAGAAAATTTGGGAAATCCTGAAATGGAATTGCCTATCCAATCAATAAGACTGGGTCTTTTCTCCAACGAGTTCCTTTCTGCATGTACTTTCATGAACCAAAAGCTTTCTTACCAAACAATAAACATTAAAGGGAATTATAAAATACTGCTGTGTGTTATGATAAAGAGAACCTTGTTTTGTTAACTTACCTTTACCAATAAATCAAAGATCAAAAAATAAACTTTTCTTTTACTATCCTCTTTATCTTTACACAAAAGGCATCGAACAACAGGACCAACGAGATTCCAGCCCATATTCTTGATGATGACCTGTAAAAACATTTTCAGAGTAAAGCAAACACTGCCATCTATAGGACTCTCGCAGTGTGCTTTCCTATCTTGGAAGAGCTCAGAATTGTTTCTGAAATAGGAAGATGAGACAAGTGAAGCCTATGACATTTCACCAGAGACTTTCCAGGGTTGGCTACTAACAGACATCAACATTTTTAAATAGTTTTTAATATGTTCCCTGAGGAAAGGCAAAAGGGTCTTTACTTTTTATCAGGCAAGTTGGTGTTTCCCAAGATTTAAATAGTGCCTCTATTTCCAACAAAAGAGTTAATTTGCTTAATACAGGTACTTAACTTCCACAGACAATTTTGCTCCCCTTATTCATAAAGAAATCCAGCCAATGCTCATGTACCTTTTAAAGTTCTTGGAGTCTCTAAATATAATCCTTGTAATTTATAAAAAAAAGAAGGGATACAACTTCATTAATTTTCTCTCCTACATACAAGTGGCTTCTATGTTCAAAGATATTTCAGAATGCTTACCATACAAGTAAAAGTTTATCTTTATAATGACTAATTCACATTCATTATCAAAACCACTAATTCTCAAAGGATCAACAATGTATTCCACTTCTCTGGCCTGCTTTGTATTTTAACTCATCAGTATTTACCAAGCCTACACTATAATATTCTAGAGGTTAGAAATAAAGTGAGGAACACACTGGATAAGATCACTACCCTCCTAGAGTCCTTCTTTAAAAGCACGGTGGTTGGCTGGGTGCAGTGGCTCATGTCTCTAATCCCAGCACCTTAGGAGGCTGAGGCAGGAGGATCACTTGAGCCCAGGAGTTTGAGACCAGCCTGGGCAACCTAGTGAGACCCTGTCTCTGTTTTTTAAAGTTAAATACATTCTTATTTATTTATTTATTTTGAAACTGAGTCTCGCTCTGTCGCCCAGGCTGGAGTGCAGTGGCGCTGTCCCAGCTCACTGCAAGCTCTGCTTCCTGGGTTCATGTCATTCTCCTGTCTCAGCCCCCCAAGTAGCTGGGGCTACAGGCACCCGCCACCATGCCTGGCTAATTTTTTGCCTTTTTTTTTTTTTTTTTTAGTAGAGATGGGGTTTCACCATGTTAGCCAGGATGGTCTCGATCTCCTGACCTCGTGATCCGCCCACCTCAGCCTCCCAAAGTGCTGGGATTACAGGCGTGAGCCACCGCACCCCGTCTTTTCTTTTCTTTTTTTTTTTTTTTTTAAGCATGGTGGCTCATGCCTGTAATCCCAACACTTTGGGAGGCTGAGGTGGGTGGATCACTTGAGCTCAGGAGTTCAAGACCAGCCTGGGCAACACGGCCAAACCCTGTGTATAAAATACAAAAATTAGCTGGGTCTGGTGGCACACGCTTGTAGCCCCAGCTACTTGGGAGGATGAGTGGGAGGATGGCTTGAGCCTGGGAGGCGAGGTAGCAGTGAGTTGTGATCACACCACTGCAAACCAGCCTGGGTGACAGAGACAGACCCTATCTCAAAAAAATATATAAATAATGAAAAAGCAGATCTAACCCATCTGACAAGAGATTAATAACCAGAATAGAAAAGAAGCTCAAACAACACTAAAGGAAAAAATCTAATAATCCGATTAAAAAATTGGCAAAAGATTTGAATAGACATTTCCCAAAAGGCATACAAATGGCAAACAAGCATATGAAAAGGTACGCATCATTATCATCAGAGAAATGCAAATCAAAACTACAATGGGATATCATCTCACCCCAGTTAAAATGGCTTATATACAAAAGACAGTCAATAACAAATGCTGGCAAGGATGTGGAGAAAAGGAAACCCTCATATATTGTCGCGACATGTATTGTCGCGATCTCAGCTCACTGCAAGCTCCACCTCCTGGGTTCACGTCATTCTCCTGTCTCAGCCTCCCAAGTAGCTGGGGCTACAGGTGCCCGCCACCACTCCCGGCTAATTTTTTGTATTTTTTTTTTTAGATATTGTTGGTAGGAATGTAAATTACTACAACCATTAATGAGAACAGTTTGGCAGTTCCTCAAAAAATACAAAAATAGAGCTACCATATGATCCAGCAATCCCACTGCTGGGTATATACCCAAAAGAAAGGATATCACTATATTGAAGAGATATTTGCACTCCCATGTTCATTGCAGCACTATTTACAATATCTCAGATATGGAAGCAACCTAAGTGTCCATCAACAGATGAATGGATAAAGAAAATGTGGTACACATACACAATGGAGTACTATTTGGCCACAAAAATGAATGACATCCTGTCATTTGCAATAACATGGATGGGACTGTAGACCATTATGTTAAGTGAAAGAAGTCAGGCACAGAAAAACATTGAACGTTCTCACTTTTTTGTGGGATCTGAAAACCAAAACAACTGAACTCACGGACGTAGAGAGTAGGAGGATGGTTACCAGAGGCTGAAAATGGTAGTGGGAGGCAGGGAAGATGGCTAATGGGTACCAAAAAAAAAAAAAAAAGTTATAAGTAATGAATAAGACCTACTATTTGATAGCACAACAGGGTGACTATAGTCAATAACTAATTGTACATTTTAAAGTAAATGAGTATAATTGGTTTGTTTGTAACACAGAGGATAAATGCTTGAGGGGATGGATACCCCATTCTCTATGATATTCTTATTACACATTGCATGTCTATATCAAAACATCTCATGTACCCATCAATATATATGCCTTCTATGTACCCACAAAAATTAGAATTTTTTTAAAAAAAATCTGATCTAGGAAGAAGACAAAATGACACCTATAATACCTCATCTTGACCCCAGTCTTGTAAGATAATAAAAATAGAGTATACGATACAGTAGTCTCCCCACTTATCTGCAGGGGGTACATTCCAGGACCCCCAGTGGATGCCTGAAACCATGAATAGTACCAAACACTATATATAAATACTATACATGCATATCTGTGACAAAGTTTAATTTATGAGATTAACAATAACTACAACAATTATAATATACTGTAATAAATAGTATGTGAATGGTCTCTCACAAAGCAGTAAATAGTAAATCTTTTTATTTTTATTTTTTTTCTTTAATTCAGTCTTATAGGTGAAGATAATAGTAAATCTTGGTCAATTTTGATAGTGTCACCTGGCAAGAAAATTAAATTGTAGTCAGTTTTTTGTTGTTGTTGTTGTTGAGATGGGGTCTCACTGTTTCCCAGGCTGGAGTGCAGTGGTACGATCTTGGCTCACTGCAGCCTCCACCTCCTGGGTTCAAGCAATCCCCCCATCTCAGTCTCCCGAGTAGCTGGGATTACAGGGGCGCACCATCACGCCCAGCTAATTTTTGCATTTTTAGTGGAGACAGGGTTTCACCATGTTGGCCAGGCTGGTCTCGAACTCCTGACCTTAGGTGATCCACCCGCCTCGGCCTCCCAAAGTGCTGGGATTATAGGCATGAACCACTGTGCCCAGCCTGTAGTCAGTTTTGAACATTGTCTTATCAATATCTAAACCTTTGCATTTAGCTGACCACATATTGCAAAGGTGATTCTCAAACTATTAAGACTAAGCCTCACATGTTTAAATCTATCCCATTAGCTATTCAGAAGCATGCTAAAAATAAAACGCTAAGGCATGCAATGCCTGAAAAATACTTTGTTTATACTTCCCTTTTCCTTCTGCCTCACTGATGTGGTGCTGATCCTCATCTCCTTGGCAGGCCTCTTCTCTCTACCTGTTTCTTAAATTCTTCAAGATGGGATCTTGGGCCTCTTCTCTTCTGCCCCTTTTATGTGAACTCAGGTAAATTCTTGTTTTTTTTTTTCACTCCTCAATGCTTCAATTACCCAATCTTTAGGTAATTAAAGTCTCACAGATATGTGTCTCAGAGATCTACATCTTAATTCCTCTATCTCTACTGAGCTCAAAACCTTATTTTCCAATTGACTGCTGTACTTAAACTCAAAATTTCTAAAAGTCAACTCACTTGTTCCTTCAGAAAACTTTTCCCTCTACTTAGGTTGCCTTTTTCTGTTTGATATCATATGTTATCCTTTTAGAGGCTAGAAACCCAGTCATTTTTGATGCCTCTCCCTCTCAATCAAGCAATCCCCTGTATTCTACCCTAAAACCATACGCCATACAGCACTAACCAGAGGTAGAGCAGAGTGGTTAGGAGCTCCAAAACCATGCTACACAGGTCTGAATCTTGGATGTTACATAAAAGCTGACTTACTTTTGGGCAAGTCATTTAACTTTTCAGTTACAAAATGAACACCTACCTTCTGAGATTTTGGAGAGACTAATTAAGTTAATAAATGTAAAGGACTAAAGACAGCATCTGGTACATGTAAACATGCAATAAATATTAGTTGTTATTAATTTTTTTATTATTAGCTGAAAGCTAAGTACTTTAGAAGGTTATCCTGAGAACGCAATTAGAAAAAAATCAAGAAGAGTTTAAAAAACATAAGATTTATTATATTGGAGGTTACAAAGTTATCATAAACATGTATCAAAAACTAAATAAAATGTCCTATTTTAATAAAAAATAAGAAGGGTATAAGCCATTTGAACTACTGACTAAGAGATGTTATAATAATATATGATTAAAAAGTTTTAGGAATCCCCCAAATCCAATCAAGATGCCCTGGAGAGAAACACAGATCAACATGATTACACTGTGATATCAAGAAAGAAAACTTCTAATAAATAAGTAGCACTGCAAATGAAGAAAGAGTGTGTACCTAGAAGGAAGATGGTCTTTGTATTAGTCTGTTCTCATGCTGCTATGAAAAAATACCCAAGCCTGGGTAATTTAGAAAGAAAAGAGGTTTAATTGACATGCAGTTCCACATGGCTAGGGAGGCCTCAGGAAACTTAACAATCATGGCGGAAGGCACCTCTTCACAGGGCAGCAGGAGAGGGACTGAGTGCCAACAGGGGAAATGCCAGATGGTTATAAAACCATCAGACCTGGTGAGAACTCACTCCCTATCATGAGAAGCATGGGGAAACCACCCCCATGATTCAATCACCTCCACCTGGTCCCATCCTTGACACACAGGGATTATTACAATTCAAGGTGAGATCTGGGTGGGGACACAGAGCCAAACCATAGCCGTCTTCCTTATAAGGAGTATCCAAAGACACAAAATTTGGCAGGATGTTGCCAACACAGTGTCCCAGGAAAAAGTTATTCCTGATCCACAAATAAGATCCTTTTCCATTGTGGAGGATGATTTCTCAAACCATTGTAACTGGATGATACTGGCTAGTATAATGACATATCGTTTTCCTCCTGTTCTGATTCTATGCACATAAAATACTGTTTTAATTAAAATTTGGTTTTCCATACACATTTGGCTGGAGGAGAATGGGCTGATCACCCAAAATGAATATTTAGCCTGCTTGATATGTATATTTCTCATTGTAAATTAATGACTCAAACACCATTTTTGGACTCCCTAAACCAGAAGTAATTCTGTTTCTTCTAAAAACTCTTTACTTCAACTATAGCAATTATTTATTTTGCCTCATTATTGTTAGTTGTTTACATGTTTATGTTTGACCAGATGGTAAAAACCTTCAAGTATATGACTGTTTCTTTTCTTTTTTTTTTTTTTTTTTCTGAGACAGGGTCTTACTCTGTTGCCCAGGCTGGTCTCAAACTCCTGGGCTCAAGTGATCTGCCTGCCTTGGCCTCCCATAACGCTGTGATTACGAACGTGAGCCACTGCGCCTGGCCTAAATATTTCTAATTCTTTTTTTGTTTTCAGTTCCCTACTGTGAAAATTTAAGTAGATTCTTAAATGTTTGATGGATAAATGACTGGATGAATAGCATCATGTGATTATTCTCTTCCCAAGACTGAAAAGTAAACACCAAGATTGTACGCACCTTATTCTTTTCATTTTGAATAATTTCTAATAGCTGGTCTGTGTGCCCTTCTTCTATGCATCTTTGCCCAGCTAACTGAAATAGGCCAAAATCCTCTTCTTTAAAGTCTTGCTCTTCTAGGATTTGCTGGCAAAAAAAAAAAAAACCCAAAAAACAAACAAAAAAAAGTATATGCAAATAAAAATTAAATACAATAACTTCTTGATTTATCTATGAAAAAAGGAAATCTGTTTAAATTCTAGATAAATGTAACGTAAATAACACACGTATCAAAATTAGGATTACCCTAATAAATACTTTAATAAGTGACCTTGAAATCTACTGTACCAGTGAAATCTATGAAAAGGATCAGGATTAAAATGTAAAAGGTTATTTAGATAAGTATGTCACCTGGAGAAATAATCCAATCTGCCTCCCCCACTCATGCTCTTTACAGGTCAAAAAAAGCAAGGATTAAAGAAGATAAACAATTTGAGTGACCACAAATATAATTAAAAACAATCTGTGCCCTTCCCATATTTTGAAAGGTATTTAATTTTACAAAAATTAATACTTACACATCTCTTTATTATAGACTGAAGTTCCTCTACAGCCATTCTTATTTCTCCTAGTTTCGATGCTAAAATCTACAAATACAAAACACACTGTTAACTATCCGTGATATTACACTTAAGTATTCAAAAGTTATGTTTCAGTGTGATAAATTATTAGTAAATACAATAAAGAAAATGGAAAGTTTTTGTTGTTGTGTTTTTTGGTCCAATAGCATGCTAGGAGAAAATGTAAAGTTTTAAAGTTGAAATGTTATTACTGAATCTTAGTATGTTTGCCTAAGAAAATAAAGTGTTTTTTTAGAAGCCCTTATTGCATGTTTTAAGTTTTCTAGGAGCATAGTTTTGAAAGCTACTTTGAAGGAAAAAAAAACAAAAAAAACCTCTCGAGCACTCCCAAGAGGCGAGGCATATACGAACTAAAGGGCTTTTAAAAAGCAAAGCACTTCTTTTCTGAAAAAAAATTTCCAAAAGGTGGACCTGAAATCAAAATTCTAATCATCAGGGGATTTTTCATTTTTAATGTCTCACCTCACAAAAATTGGGGTGCAACACAAGCTTATCTATAGGGGGTGAAGATTCAGATGCCCTCCATTCCATTTCTCTCTAGGAGTTGCAGTCCCCAAAGTGATCAATCCAGCTAGTGAAATCACTGTATCACACGGAGACAAGACAACGGCGGCCTTCAGGAGGAGACCATCGCTTCTCCTGGCGGCAAGGCTCGGCCCCAAGCCCTCAGTAGGGGCGCGAGTCAGCCCGGTCCTCAGGGCAGCGCGCTGGAAGGCGAGTGAACACCCCAGCGCGCGTGCGGGCTGCATCAGAGGAAGCCATGTCTTCCGATTCCTGCTCGCCTAGGTGGGCAGGCTCCACCACCTCGCGTGGCCTAGTCGGCCCGCAGCACCAAGTCCGCCGCGGCTCACGGCCAACCGCGAGCCCTGGCCACCCTGAACCTCTCCACAACTCCACTTACCGGCCAGAACCCTCGCCTCTCCCAGCCGCCGCCACCTCCTCCGGCGTCTTAGCCCGCTCTTCTGGCCCCGCCCCGCGCTACGCGTAGGGAGGCGGGGCCTCGGGGCGAGACGCCGGAGCGTGTCCCCGTCCGGCAGACTACTCTCCCCCATGGCGGACTTCGCTGGGCCGTCTTCTGCCGGCCGCAAGGCCGGGGCTCCCCGCTGCTCTCGAAAAGCCGCAGGTAGGAGCAAGGATCTCTTCCCACTTTTGGACCCTGAAAGCTGGGCCCCGATCTCGAGTTATAGACCGCAGCGCGCGGGCGCTCCTGAAAGGCTGCTTCAGGGGAGGGGTTCTCCCAGGTAGAGTAGGCCGAAAGCTTCCCACCGCCGTCCGCACCTCCTGGGAAAGATTTCCTGGCCGCCCCTCACCCCTTTACGCCAGTGTTCCAAGATTTCCCTCACGCGGACTGTGGCCCCAGCCTCTGAGACAAAGGACAGTGGAGGCCCCGGGAACCCAGGCCTGGGGTCCCCGGGTTTCGGGGCAAGTGACTAGGGCAGCGTTGGCAGCTGGCCTTGAACCTAGGACCGGTCCTCCTTTCCAGATTGCTTGGGTGCCCAGTTCTTTAAGGTGCCGGACTCCCCTCTTCCCCCAGAGAGGACGTTTGGCAGACGGAGAGAGGTTTCCCCTAAAAGTACCCAGATCTCAGATTTTCAGGAGTGGTTAATTAAGCAACTATGATACAGAAGAAAATTCAATCCCCAAAGAGATACATTTTAACCAAGAAAAATTAGACAGTAATCAATTTGCAAAAACAAATTGCTCTCCCTTCCTATTTCATTTTGATTTACACACGATTGGACATAAAATATGTGGAAAAGAAGAAAAGGTGGTCTACAGTTTGTTATTTGTGTAGGAATCTATCTTGTACCTAATGTGTTTGTGTAGACCTGACCTACTGCCACCATGTGTAGCTTAACTGCGGGGATGCATTTTGAGAAATAAGTTGTTAGTCGATTTCATCCTTGTGTGACCATCATCGAGTGCACTTACACAAACCTAGATGGTACAGCCTACTTACACACTAGGCTATATGGTACAGCCTATTGCTCCCAGGCTACAAACCTGCACAGCATGTTACTGTACTAAGTACTGTAGGCAACTGTATATCTAAACATAGAAAAGGTACAGTAAAAATACAGTATTTTAATCTTATGAGACCGCTGTCTGTATGCTGTCCGTCGTTTACGGAAATGTCATTATGTAGCACATGACTGTATTTTTATTGTAGGTACTAAACAGACAAGTACTTTGAAACAAGAAGATGCTTCTAAAAGGTATGACAGCTACATGGACAACTACATTGGCATATCTACTTATCTTGTATTACTTGTACCAATTTTAAAACAATAATGGTTACCTTTTTTTTTTTAGAGAAAATTATCATGAGAGGGAAGGGAAAGATCTGGGAAGGCCTATAAATTCTCACATAGACTGTTACATTCCTCTACTCCAGGCTTTAAGAAAACCAAACTAAGCACTCAGACTGCTAGTGAAGGAATGAGTGTCTGTAGAAGGTGTTTGTTTTTCACCGCTTCAGGTACACTCTCCTTTTATTGCTTTATATGCCAGAGACTCACTCTCCAAGTTTCGCTGTCACTCCAAGAAACCTTTTCTGTTCTTTGTTACATCAAGTCCAGATTTTCATTAAAAAGCTGTCTTGTACTAGTTCTGGTTCTAAAAAGGCAAGATATTACCACATATCACACAGAGTTTCTAGAAGAGGAGTAGAATGTGAAGGGGATTAAAAGCATATGTAGCTATGATTTTTATTTTGTGAAGACTCACTAATCTTATATTGGCTTTGGTCTTAATTTACTCATTCTTTCAAAAATTATTTATTGAGTATAAGATATGTCGGACCTGTGTTAGGCTCTGAAGATATGGTGAACAGAATAGACACAGTTCTTGCCTAGTGGAACAGAGGAATAAATAATAATAAATTAATTAGTTAATTAACATAAACAAATACATAATTACAAATTGTGATAAGCACTATGAAGGAAAAGACTGTGATGTTACGAGAAGGAATAACGAAGTCTAATTTAGTTGGAGGTGGGTGGCAGGGAGGTTGGCTGTGAGTTTTCAGCGAAAGCCTTATGCTGAGACCTGCGTGCTAAGTAGACATTAACCATACAAAGAGTATATAAAGACTTATGTATGTGCAGTGCAAAAAGTAGCTTGTTTCCTTTTTGAAAAGTATTGGATCAAAAGTAACAGCATTAGAAAACAGAAATTTGGCCGGATGTGGTGGCTTATGCCGGTGATCCCAGCACTTTGGGAGGCTGAGGTGGGAGTGTTGCTTGAGGCCAGGAGCTCGAGACCAGTTTGAGCAACATAGTGAGACCTTGTCTCTACAATTAAAAAGAAATAAATATTTTTATTCAAAAAATTTTTTAAATATATTTAAATTTAAGTGGCAAAATAGTGAGTTAGGTTAGTATTGTATTTTAAAACATGGAATGTTGGACATGAAGCTTTTAAGTAGATTAAGTTTCTCTTTCAAATTTTAGGAAAGCTGAACTAGAAGCAGCTGTGAGAAAGAAGATTGAATTTGAGAGAAAAGCTCTACATATTGTTGAACAGCTTTTAGAGGAGAATATTACAGAAGAGTTCCTAATGGAGTGTGTATGTGTTAAGTTGACAAATTATTAGTTTTGTAGTATAACATCTTTAAATCTGTGCAGCATGAAACTTCTTTGCATTATTAGAATCTTTGAATTTGTTCTGAGTCATTAGATGCAGATAACAATCCATATAATTCATGCATTTAAAAATAAACAACTATCATGCATTCCTTGTATAATGACTTTAAAATGCACTAATGAAAAATAAGTACGTAACAAGGTGATGACACGTAATGTATATTTCAAAATTAATAAGAGTGGATTTCAAATGTTCTCACCACAAAGAAATGATAAATATGTGAGGTGATAGATATGTTAATTAGCCTGATTTGCTCAATGTATACATGTGTTAAAACATCACATACTACCCCACAAATATATACAATTATTATTGTCAATTAAAAAGCAAAAGAGGCCAGGCACAATGGCTCATGTAATCCCAGCACTTTGGGAGGCTAAGGCAGGCGGATCACTTGAGGTCAGGAGTTCGAGACCAGCCTGGCCAACATGGTGAAACCTCGTTTCTACTAAAAATACAAAATTAGCCAGGTGTGGCTCATGCCTGTAATCCCAGCTGCTCAGGAGGCTGAGGCATGAGAATCACTTGAACTCAGGAGGCAGACGTTGCAGTGAGCTGAGATCACACCACTGCACTCCAGTCTGGGCAACAAGAGTGAGACTCTGTCTCAAAATAAGTATATAAATAATAAATGGGAAAAAAGAAAAATGAGGATGGGGGAGAAAAAAAAAAAAAGAAAAAGCAAATATATTTTACCCTTAGTCATAGTTCTTTTAACCAGTCTGCTAATATCACTTGATTTTCTTCAATTTGTTCTAATGATTGCAATTCCAGTTTTCTATATTCTGTGTTGTGTTATTTTAAGTAACAGAAGAATATTATTTTTGTCAATGTAATTTCATCAATTTTCTTATTTCAAAAACCTGAAATACAGCTCATTTATGACTCAACATAAAACGGGAGAATTAAATTCCGCATTAAATTTTTTTTTTTTTTTTTTTTTTTTTTTTTGAGACGGAGCCTCACTCTGTCGCCCAGGCTGGAGTGCAGTGGCGGGATCTCTGCTCACTGCAAGCTCCGCCTCCCGTGTTCACGCCATTCTCCTGCCTCAGCCTCCCGAGTAGCTGGGACTGGGCGCCCACCATTACGCCCGGCTAATTTTTTTGTATTTTTAGTAGAGATGGGATTTCACTGTGTTAGCCAGGATGGTCTCGATTTCCTAACCTCGTGATCCGCCCGCGTCGGCCTCCCAAAGTGCTGGGATTACAGGCATGAGCCACTGCTCTCGGCCCGCATTAATTTTTTTTTGGCCAGGCACGATGGCTCATACCTGTAATCCCAGCACTTTGGGAAGCCAAGGCGGTAGGATCGCTTGAGCCCAGGAGTTTGAGACCAGTCTGGACAACACAGCGAGACCCTGTCTAAATAAAAATTTGAGAATAAAAAAATTTTGAAACAGCTTTACTACATTAAAATTTTGAATGGAAATTTCTCTTTATATTTTTGTAATCCTTAAGAGGGCAAATTAAAACTCAAAGCTTCTATTACAAAAACACTTCTTAGTGTAGTTGATAGATCTTTTTCTAAACAGGAATATGAACATGACAATTCATATTTTTATTGACACAGGTAACTGCATCAGAATCTGCATATTTGATGACACCAGAAAAGACAAAGGCAAATATGCTTCATTTGAAACATAAAACTTACATCACTCTCAATAAAAAGTATTTCTGTCTCTGTGAAAACAGAAAAACTTGTTAAAAGATCTCAAAGTTATGAACAAGAATCAAAATTATTTGATCATGAAGATGTCAAAGGAAAATATTTGATGTTAGCTTATAACCATCACCTCACCACTCTGTACAGATTTTTCAGAAGTAGGAAAATTTTGCACAAACTGTGTTCTGCAGTAACAATGACACTTTTGAAATACTTTGTTTTTAAAGATTATGCTTTAAAAAATAGGTAAAATTATATTTTATTATTTTGTGATTTAGTTAATTTTTTAAATAATACTTTTTCAAAAATAAAAGATACTGTTGTCATTTAGCTTGTGTATAGCTATAGCATCACTTCTTCCTCATGCCTCAGAATTATTTCATTTAACTATATAATCTACAAAGATGCAGAGACTACTGTGGCAGAAATTTTTTTAATAATAACTTTTTTTTTGAATGCTCACTATATGTTGAGCACTTCTCTAAGTGATTTTGCTTTATTTTCTCCTCTAATTCTAACCTCTAACTTATGAGGAAGGTACTATTGCTATCCCTGTGTTTTCAGATAAGATTGATGAGGCTTAGAGAGCTGATAAATGAACTTTTCTATTAAACTAGGAGGAAATAACCCTCTCATTTCATTTTAGGGGAGGTTCATTACACCTGCTCACTACAGTGATGTCGTGGATGAACGTTCTATTGTCAAACTCTGTGGTTATCCTTTATGTCAGAAGAAGCTGGGAATTGTAAGTAACTCATTTTTTTTAAAATATAGGCTTTTATTATTTTCATTTAGCAAAATACTTTGTTGTAAGAATAAGAAATAAAACCTAAGGTCATGAACTAAAGGCATGGATTGGCCAATGATATGATATGTAGATGACTTAATCTTGTAACATAACGTTCATGTTTATTATTTGGATTCTTTTGTAAGCTGTACTTTCTTTTCTTTAGGTACCAAAACAGAAATATAAAATTTCTACCAAAACCAATAAAGTCTATGATATTACTGAAAGAAAGGTGAGTTTAAAGGCTTTCATTGTGGCAATTAATTTTTTTTCTTTACTAACCACTATCCTAACAAGGCATGGCAATTAATTTTTAATGATATTAAATAGGATTCTAAAAGAAACTTTAAAATCTTACTGGTTAGAAAATAGTGATGTTAAAAGTTTGATTTTATTTGTAAATATTTCAATCAAGGTATTAAAAATTTTTTTGCTTAAGCTTCAATTAAGACTTGAACATTTAAAAGTGCATATTGGCACAAATCTGGGCAAATAAATCATGGAACAGAATAGAGAGTCAGCAGCAGACTAACCACATATGTAGACACTTGATATATGACAGCGGGAGTATTGTAGATCAGTAGAGAAAGGATGGATTTTTCAATAAATTATACTGGCACAATTAGTTATGCAAATGGAAAAAATTAAAATTGATGCCTATCTCAGTCTCTATACATAGATCAATTTTAGGTAGATTAAAGACATAAATGTAAAAGGTAGAAGACACTATGGGAGATGCTGGTCGTGGTGGCTCACACCTGTAATCCTAGCACTTTGGGAGGCCAAGGGGGGCGGATTACCTGAGCTCAAGGAGTTGGAGGCCAGCCTGGGCAACGGCAAAACCCTGTCTCTACAAAAAGTACAAAAATCAGCCAAAGGTGGTGGTACGCACCTGTAGTCCCAGCTACTCAGAAAGCTGAGGCACATGCATCGCATGAACCTGGGAGGCAGAGGTTACAGTGAGCCGAGATCATGCCACTGCACTCCAGCCTGGGCAACAGAGCAAGACACTGTCTTCAAAAAAAAGACAATAGACCGGGCGCCCTGGCTCAAGCCTGTAATCCCAGCACTTTGGGAGGCCGAGGCGGGCAGATCACGAGGTCAGGAAATCGAGACCATCCTGGCTAACACAGTGAAATCCCATCTCTACTAAAAATACAAAAAAATTAGCCAAACGTGATGGCGGGCGCCTGTAGTCCCAGCTACTCGGGAGGCTGAGGCAGGAGAATGGCGTGAACCCGGGAGGCGGAGCTTGCAGTGAGCCGAGATCGCACCACTGCATTCCAGCCGGGGCAACAGAGTGAGGCTCCGTCTCAAAAAAAAAAAAAAAAAAAGACAATATGGGAAGATATAAACTTGGGGTAGAGAGACTTCATAAAATAAGATGGAAAATTATAGGCCAAAGAGGAGAAACTGATAAACATTTCTATATTAAAATGTAAAACTTTTGTTCATCAGAAGTTTCAAAAAAAAAATGAAAAGAGAAGCCACAAAGCAGAATGTTAACTGACCATAGAATCATATCTAGAATATATGATCTATAAGAAAAAGACAGACAAACTAATAGAAAAATTTACACAAGGAACTTGAATGGCTAATAAACATATGAAAAGATGCTAAATATTATCAGTAATCAGAGAAATAGCAAATAAAAACACACTGAGTTTTGTTTTCACAGCCCACAAAATTGCGAATGTTAGGAAATCTTTTTGCAACTAGTGGGAATGAAAATTGGTACAGCCTTTTTGAGAAATGGCTTGGCATTTGTCTGGTGAAGTCTTTGCACATTCTCTATAATTAAGCCTTTCTATTCCTTGGTATAAACCCTAAAAAAATTCTTACACATGTACACCAGCATGTATGTATAAAAATGTTTATAGCTGGATAAACAATGTCGTATATACACACAATGGAATATTAGCCTTTAAAAAAAGGAAGGAAATTCTGACACATGCTACAAGGTGGATGAACCTTGAAGATAATATGCTAAGTGAAATAAGCCAGCACAAAAGGACAAATACTGTATGCTTTCACTTATATGAGGTACCTAGAGAAGTCAGATTAACAGAGACAGAAAGTAGAATGATCATCAAGAGAGGTGGGAATGGGAAGTTAGTGTATAGGGTTTCAGTTCTGTAAGATAAAAAGAGTTCTAAAGATGAATGGTGGTAATAGTTGCACAACAGTGTGAAGGTACTTAATACCACTGTGCTATATACTTAAAAATGCTTATGATGATAAATTTTAGATTATGTATATTTTACCACAATTGTGAACATTTTTTAATTGTAAAAAAAAGTTTATAGTAACATTGTAGTGATAGCAAAAAAATTAGAAACAACTCAATTGTCTATAAATGGTAAAGTGTAATACTCTAACAATGGAATGTAGTACACAGTGAAAATTAATAAGCTACAACTACTTGAATGAATCTTAAAAACATAATTTTAAACAAAAGAAGTGGCTAGGTACGGTGGCTCACACCTATAATTCCAGCACTTTGGGAGGCCAGGGAGAGAAGATAGAGACCAGCCTGGGCAACAAATAGAGACCCCATCTCTACAAAAAAATAAAATAGCCAGGTGTGGTGGCACGCCTGTAGTCCAAGCTACTCAGGAGGCTGAAACCAGAGGATTACTTGAGCCCAGGAGTTTGAGGCTACAGTGAGTGAGACCCTGTCCCTAAAAAAAATAAAATTTAATAAGTGAATGAAGTAAGATAAGAATGTATAACAATATTATTCCATTCAAAAAAATGTTTAAAAATAGGCAAAACTGAATATTTTTTAATAGGGATATGTACACAGGTGCTAAAACTGAAAGGAAATGAGGGAATGATTAACACCAAATTTATGGTAGTGGTTACTTCTGGGGAATGCGGAGGGTGATGCAGTTGGGAAGGGGCACATAGAGGCCTTCAAAGGTTCAGTATCTTATTTCTTACCTTGGGTGGTAGATCTGTAGGTTTCCATTTTATTCTTTGAACGATACATTTATGTTTTATACTCTCAACTGTATGTAGGTAATGTTTCATGATAAGAAAAAAACTAGATTTATAATGTTCTTTTCAGTCTTTTTGCAGCAATTTTTGTTATCAAGCATCTAAGTTTTTTGAAGCACAAATTCCCAAAACTCCAGTATGGGTTCGAGAAGAAGAGAGGTAATTTAAGTCATTGTGTATATACATTTGTTCATATATTCTAATAATTTGTTTCTGCTTTTTGAGATTAGCTGAGAGTAAGTCTAGTTTTCTGTAAAAAGTTACCATTTTATATACTTTATGGGGAAATGGTTATATTTTAAGCATAGCTATTAAGGATTTTACACTTAAAATCAGAAAATGCATACATACAAATGTTATTTGTTTGTTGTTTTAGCTTTAATTGCAAAATCAGAACTTTAACTCCAGTGTCCTGTGATGCTAGTTATGTCTGTGAATCCTGTTAATATAATAATCCTGGAGGAAGAATGTTAAATTTTTTCAGAAGTTACTGGGTCTTAGGATCCAGGTGAACTCTGCTATGAGAAAGGTTAGAAAGTTCAGGTTCATTTAATCTTTATAAAAATCAGTACACTATTTTATCAATTTAAAGACACAATTAAAAAGTAATTTTTTTTTTTGTAAAAAGAGTTTATGGGCAATGCTGGAGTTTAGCCTCTTGGGAAATGATTTAAATACTGGCAATGTTTTACTAGATGCTAAAGTCAAGAAAATTTTATTATTGAGGGTGAAATGGCATGATAATATAAAGGTAACAAGTTATCCTTATGGTAATTAAACTGTATTGCCTAGAAATTCCAATGAAATGCTTAATGAGATAATGCCCAAAATAAATTCATGTTTGAAAGAGTGTATTATAGCAACACAAGGCAGTGTTACTTGTGGTAAGGTAGGACCTATGCTAAATAAACTAATGACCTAAACATAATGAGATGCAGGTTAGCTAAAAAGCTCTGGCTCAAAAAAAAAAAAGCAAACCTTGAAGTCTTTTCTGATGCGTAAGGCGATGTAACACCACTCTCAATTCAAATAACATCAATTATGCTGACAACAGCACCTGTGATGGCAGACACCTCTGCCTGCCGATCCAATCCTGTGTGGTTTAGGATATGGAAAACTTAACACTGTGTGGCCCTTGATAATTGAGTTAAACATAATTAAGACTAAATTGTTCATCATTTCACCACCAGTCTGCCAGCTTCCTTGTTGGGAAAATAAAAGACTCTGGCATTGTTCGACATGACTGGGAAGCTAAGAGTACTTTTTTACTTATCCTTTTTCTCCTTTCTTAATATTTCTGTCACTAGAGCTGCCCAGTACTTCCCCAGTCCTCTGAGAGCAACATGTTTTATTCCCCACTGAAACCAGTGTTTCCTCAAGTTATCCTTAACTTTGCTTCCAAAGATATTTTCTCTACATCTTAAATTTAACCCTTTGTGCCACCCTCATATCTACCTCAACTGCTTCAAAACCATTTACCAAATTACCTTTCCTGCCATCTCTGTTTTCTTCAAGCATAGGTATTGGTCCTTCCTTTAGCTAATTTAAAACAAATCTTCCAGCCTGGTGTAGTGGCTCATGCCTATAATCCCAACACTTTGAGAAGCCAAGGTGGGTGGATCACTTGAGTTTAGGAATTTGAGACCAGCTTAGCCAATATGGTGATACCCTGTCTCTACTAAAAATACAAAAATTAATTGGGTATGGTGGCGGGCACCTGTAATCCCAGCTACTCAGGAGGCTGAGGCAGGAGAATCACTTGAACCTGGGAGGCGGAGGTTGCAGTGAGCCAAGATCGTGCTGCTGAACTCTAGCCTGGGCCACAGAGTGAGATTCTGTCTCAAAAATTAAATAAATAAATAAAATGAAGTAAAACAGGTCTTCCTGTAACCTTTTCCTAAAATCTCACCATCCTCTATTCAGAATGCTCACTGTTTCCCAAAACTTGAAGCCCTTTTACTTTATATTTGCAGTTCTTGAAATTCTACCTTAGCTATATACCCTTCACTACCTCACTAAAAAAGAAAGATGAAAATGTCCTTTGTGCCGGGCGTGGTGGCTTACACCTGTAATCCCAGCACTTTGGGAGGCCGAGGGGGGCAGATCACAAGGTCAAGAGATCGAGACCATCCTGGCCAACATGGTGAAACCCTGTCTCTACTAAAAATACAAAAATTAGCTGGACGTGGTGACACATGCCTGTAGTCTCAGCTACTCAGGAGGCTGAGGTAGGAGAATTGCTTGAACCTGGGAGGCGGAGGTTGCAGTGAGCTGAGATCGTGCCACTGCACTCCAGCCTGGTGACAGAGCAAGACTCCATCTCAAAAAAAAAAAAATGGACTTTGTTTCTCTAATCTAAATGAATCAACTTAATTTACATTTAAATTGTGCAGTAAGTGCTTAGTACCTGGCAGGCTACACACATACACATACACATACACATACACATACACATATACATATACATACACATACACATACACATACACATACACATACACATACACATATACAAGTATAAAACCCAACCTGTGAATTTAACAATCACTGGATGCCAGAACATGAATTAAACAAGTTTGTGTTGACTTTAATGGGGACCTGTCCTATAAATTAGCAAGGTTAGGACATTGCATAATGAGAAACTGTGAGCAAAAGTGAGAAAATAAACTTGTGGGAATGGGTTGGGATATTGAACATTG
Source organism: Homo sapiens (assembly GCF_000001405.40). NCBI lineage: Eukaryota > Metazoa > Chordata > Mammalia > Primates > Hominidae > Homo > Homo sapiens. The sequence goes on from NC_000001.11 coordinate 92,309,817, forward strand.
GCCCACTTGAAATTTGGGAAACGAGAAGATAACAATAGGTAAATAACAAAGGGCCAGGCTGAGTGTGGTAAACCCTCAAGTATTGGGGAGCCATCAAATGTTTTTGAGCAGAATTTATTCTGATATTGGTGTACAAAATGAATTAAAGAAGAATCATAATTAAAAGAGCTAAAAGGGTCCTTAGAGAGATTTAATCCAACCCCTTCATTAAGTGTATTTCTTAAACTAGTGATCCGTATGAGACCAGGATTCTATTTATTATATTCCACTTGATTAGAAGGAAACAGTGAATAATCTATATATATGCATCTGCCTCATTGTATAGCATAACTGTAGCCCTTAATTATATATAACACTTGTCAGTGTATAACCATATCAGTATCTTTTATATCTGGATGCATTTGTGTTACCTTAATTTCCAAATTCTTAGGGGCAGGGATTATGTCCATGCTATTTAATGAATCCACTAGAGGTCACTGTTTTTTCAGACATCTTTTTACCTGTGCCAAGGATCAGAATTCTAGAATTTTGTATTTTTAAAAGCTTGTCTAGCTATTGCACATTTAAGCTCTACAGAAATGTGATATTTTAAAGAATGTCTGTTTACATATGGCATGGGATACAATATCCTGAGTCAGTCTTCCTTTAGGGAGGAAAAAATTGCTTCTTTTAAATGGTGGCATGTAGTATTTAATGCAGAGATATTTTTATTAGCTTACAATGAGTCATGATAAAGAATAAATTGCATCATAATAGTAATTTTAATAATCATAATTTTAAAATAATAATAAATTTTTATGGCCAGGTGTGGTGACTCACGCCCGTAATCCCAGCATTTGGGAGGCCGAGACTGGTGGATCACCTGAGGTCAGGAGTTCAAGATCAGCCTGGCCAACATGACAAAACCCTATCTCTACTAAAAATATAAAAATTAGCCAGGAGTGCTGGAACATGCCTGTAGCCCCAGCTACTTGGGAGGCTGAGTAAGAAGAACCGCTTGAACCTGGGAGGCAGAGGTTGCAGTGAGCCGAGATCACACCATTGCGCTCCAGCCTGGGCAACAGAACGAGACTAAGAATAAATTGTTAAATCCACCCAAAAGATTAGATATCTTATTGAAATGACTTCCAAACTTTCGACCACTATAATAAGTGCATTTTACATTATCTCATATATGCATATAACTAAAACTAAAGCAAAACTTCTGTGAAACAATATTATTCTTACTACATGAAATGCCTCTGATATTTTCTACTCTGTTGCTTTTTTAAAATGCTGGCAGCAACCTACTTAATTGATTGGTCCTGATCTGCAGTTTGAAGAGCGCTGTTTTGTTGGATTTAGCTCACGTTTTTGGTTGTTTTACTGTAGGAAACCTGCTTCTCAACACTAAGTCTCAGTTTCCTCATTTGTAAAAGGAAAAAGTTGCATTCAACTTCCGAGTTCCCTTTGGTTCTAATGATTTACAGTTCTAAGCCAATTGTGTCATTAGTCATTGCTACTATAGAGAAAGTTTTCTACATAAGGAAATATTTATTAAAATGATGAAAATTAAAATTATCTGCTTAAGACTAGAGAAACTTATACTACCTTGTAGAAAGGTCTGTCTCAATAATTTTGAATAAAGTTACTGACTTTAATAATTTGATCTCTTTAGTCTGTAAAAGTGAAGGCTGATAAAATGTAGATCAAAGCTTTTAAATTATGAAGAAAAACCAGGCATGTTTTAGAGCATGTCCTGAACAATTTGAACTTGGCATCACTGAGGATGCCATGACCTTACACACCATTTGGAAACAGAATATTGAATTTGACCTAATTTGGTCTTTCTTACATTATTGTGAAAGCCAGTAAGTACAGGCATATCTTGGAGATATTGCAGGTTTGGTTCCAGACCACCACTATACTAAAGCAATAAAGCAATCATGGATTTTGTTTCCCAGTGTATGCAAAAGTTATGTTTCCACTATACTGTAGTCTTTTAAATGTGCAGTAGCGTTATATCTTTAAAAAATAATGTACATACCTTAATTTTAAAATATTTTATTGCTTAAAGATGCTACTGATCATCTGAGCCTTCAGCAAGTATTAATCTTTTTGCTGGTGAAGGGTCCTGTTTTGATGTGGATGGCTGCTAACTGATCAGGGTGGTGGTGTCTATAGGTTGGGATGGCTGTGGTAATTTGTTGAAATAAGACAACCCCAGGTTTGCTGCACTGATCGACTTCCTTTCACTAAAGATTTCTCTGTAGCATTAGATGCTGTTTGATAGCATTTTACCCACAGCAGAACATCTTTCAAAATTGGAGTCCGGCCAGGAGCAGTGACTTATGCCTGTAATCCCAGCATTGTTGCGGGGCAAGGCAGGAGGATCACTTAAACAAGACATTTGAGACCAGCCTGGGCAACATAGAGGGACCCATCTCTACAAAGTATTTAAAAAATAAAAAATTAGCTGGGTGTGGTGGCACACAACTGTAGTCCTTGTAGCTACTTGGGATGCTGAGACTAGAAGATCACTTGAGCATAGGAGTTCATGGTTGCAGTGAGTTAGATCACACCACTGCACTCCAGCCTTGGCAACAGAGCAAGACCGTGTCTCAAAAAAAAAAAAAAATTGAAGTCAGTCCTCTCAAACTTCATTGCTGCTTATCAGCTAAGTTTATGGAATATTCTAAATCTTGTGTTACCATTTCAACGATGTTGACAGCACCTTCATCAGGAGTAGATTCCATCTCAAGAAACCAGTTTCTTTGCCTATCCATAAGAAGCAGCTGTATATCCGTTCAAGTTGGATTATGAGATTGATGCAATTCAGTCACATCTTCAAGCTCCACTTCTAATTCTTATCTTGCTATTTCCACCATATCCATAGTGACTACCTCTACGGAAGTCTTGAACCCCTCAAAGTCATCCATTAGGGTTACAATCAACTTCTTCCAAGCACTTGTTAATGTTGATATTTTGGCCTCCTCCCATGAATCCCAAATGTTCTTTTTTTTTTTTTCCTTTTTTCTTTTTTTCAGACAGAGTCTCACTCTGTCACCCAGGCTGGAGTGCAGTGGCGCGATCTTGGCTCACTACAACCTCTGCCTCCTCAGTTCAGTGGCGAAATCTCAGCTCACTGCAACCTCTACCTCCCAGGCTCAAGCGATTCTCATGCCTCAGCCTCCCAAGTAGCTGGGACCACAGGCATGCGCCACCACACCCGGCTTATTTTTGTATTTTTAGTAGAGATGGGGGTTTTGCCATGTTGGCCAGGCTGGTCTCGAACTCCTGGCCCCAAGTAATCCACGCACCTTGGCTTCCCAAAGTGTTGGGATTACAGGCATGAGCCACTGTGCCCACTCCCAAATGTTCTTAATGACATCTAGAATGGTGAATCCTTTCGTGAAGGATTTCTATTTACTTTGCCCAAATCCATCAGAGGAATCACTCTATGGCAACTATACCTTTAGGAAATGTATGTCTTAAGACTTGAAAGTTGAAATTACTCCTTGACCCATGGGCTGCAGAATGGATATTGTGTTAGCAGGCATGAAAACAACACTAATCTTGTACATTTGCATCAGAGTTCTTGGGTGGCTAGGTACATTGTTAATAATCAGTAATATTTGGAAAGGAATCTTTTTTTTTTTTTTGAGCAGTAGGTTTCAACAGTTGGCTTAAAATATTCAGTAAGCCATGCTGTAAACAGATGTGCAGTCGTTTAGGCTTTGCTGTTCCATTTATGGAACACAAGCAGAGTAGATTTAGCATAATTCTTAGGGGCCCTAGGATTTTCAGAATAATAAATAAGCATTGGCTTCAACTTAAAGTTACCAGCTACGTTAGCCCCTAACAAGAGAGTCATCCTGTCCTTTGAAGCTTTGATGCCACATATTTACTTCTCCTCTATAGCTATGAAATCCCTAGATGGCATCTTCCTCCAATATAAGGCTGATTTGTCTACATTGAAAATTTGTTTAGTGTAGCTATCTTAATCAGTGCTCCTAGCTAGATCTGTTGGATAACTTGCTGTACCTTCTACATCAGCACTTGTGGCTTCACCTTGCACTTTTATGTTGTGGAGATGGCTTCTTTCCTTGAATCTCATGAACCAAACTTTGCTATCTTCTACCTATTCTTCTGCAGCTTCCTCACCTCTCTCAGTCTTCACAGAATTGAGGAGAGTTAGAACCTTGCTCTGGATTAGGCTTAAGGGAATGTTGTAGCTGGTTTAACCTATCCAGACCACTAAAACTTTCTCTATACCAGCAATAAGGCTGTTTTGCTTTTTTGTGTTCACTGGACTAGCATTTTAAATTTCCTTTAAGAACTTTTCTTTTGCATTCACAACTTGCGTACTGGCAAAATAGGCCTAGCTTTTGGCCAGTCTCAGCTTTTGACATGCCTTCCTCACTAAGCTTAATCATTTCTAGCTTTTGATTTAAAGTGAAAGAAAGTGTGACTCTTCCTTTTACTTGAACACTCAGAGGCCATTGTAAGGGTTTTTTTGTTGTTGTTGCTGTTGCTGTTGTTTTTTGGTTTTTGGGTTTTTTTTTTTTTGCATTTAGTAGTGCATTTTATTTATTCTAAGTTGCATACATTTTTACATTTTTAACATCTGTGCAATTGAAATGGATCTCACAACTGATAGACTCTTAGATTACAGCTGGACACAGAGGCTAACACCAGTAATCCAGCACTTTGGGAGGCCAAGGCCGGTGGATCACTTGAGGTCAGGAGTTCAAGACCAGCCTGGCCAACAGGGTGAAACCCCATCTCTACTAAAAATACAAAAATAGGTGGTGGCATGCACCTGTAATCCCAGCTACTTGGGAGGCTAAGGCAGGAGAATCACTTGAACCCAGGAGGCAGAGGTTGCAGTGAGCTGAGATGGTGCCACTGCACTACAGCCTGGGCAACAGAGTGAGACTCCATCTCAATAAATTAAAAAAAAAAAAGGCTGGGTGTGGTGGCTCACACCTGTAATCCCAGCACTTTGGGAGGCCAAGGCAGGTGGATCACCTGAGGTCAGGAGTTTGAGACCAGCCTGGCCAACATGGCAAAACCCCGTCTCTACTAAAAATACAAAAATTAACCGGGCATGGTGGCTCACGCCTGTAATCCCAGCTACTCGGGAGGCTGAGGTGCGAGAATCTCTTGAACCCGAGAGGCAGAGGTTGCAGTGAACCGAGATAGTGCCACTGCACTCCAGCCTGGGTGAAGAGCGAGACTCTGTCTCAAAATCATAAATAAATAAATAGAAATTAGCTTTTCAGAGAGACAGAGGTCTTGTCTTGTTGCAGTCTCAAAAAAAAAAAAAATTTAAAGGAAAAGCAGTATTCAATGTCAGTGAGTCTTCCATTGTAAAGTTACTAATTGGCCTAATTTCAATATTGTTGTGTCTCAAGGAATAGGGAGGCCTGAGAAGAGGAAGCGAGATGGGTGAACAGCTGGTTGGTGGATCAGTCAGAACACACACATTTATCAATTAAGTTTGACATTTTATGTGGGCTTGGTTCATGGTACCCCAAAGCAATTACAACAGTAACATCAAAAATTACCACATATTACTATAACAGATAATAATGAAGTTTGAAATATGATAATTACCAAACTGTGACACAGAGAACACATTTTGTTGGAAAAATGGTGCTGACAGACTGGCAGACACAGTTACCACAAACATTCAATTTGTAAAAAATGCAGTATTTGCAAAGCGCAGTAAAGGAAAGCACAGTTAAACAAGGTATGCTTGTGTAAATTTATTTACCAGATTTTATAATACCAAAACCAAACAATATCCCTTAGAATTTATAAGAGTAATATCTTTATATCACAGTAAGCTCACTACCTCATTGGTATAGATGTTTAAATAAATTTAAGATTTAGACAAATTCATAAATTCTACCTCCATACTTTTATAAGGTTTTGGAGTCAGAAAGGGCCTTGGAGGTTTTCTAGCTCCTCATCTTTAAGGTATGTAAAATATCTGGAGTAGATCCGTAATGTCATGGAGACTAACAGTGGTTCTCACAAAATGTCTCCTGATACCCTGTTAGAGACAAAACATTGACCTAGAATGGTCTGGGTCGTGACGCACTGTGATGCTTCTCATCTTGTGAGTTAGAAATTTTTCACCCACTTGGTGGCCAGAAACAGACCACATAGAGTTTTGATGCTCTGAGACAGTGTGCTCACATAGGTAATTATATAGTTGCAGTTATAAATCCTGTTTGGCTAAATGTAGGCTCTGACAAGCCTTTGAAGGTGGGAAGTCTCCTGCATTGTAATCTAAAATCTTAAATCTAAGAAGGACAAATGTGGAAAATCAAATTATGATTTTAAAGATGAAATTGGGGTGAATGGTTAATGCTGACAGAGCTAAAAGCGCCATCATCTGGTCCAGAGTAGGGGATTTCACACGTTGCTTCTTGGCAGTAAACAGTAGAATCTCAGAGGTGCGGAAGCCAAAAACCTCTGCAGAACAACTATAACCTCTTCCTGAACAGCCACCTCTGTTGCTTGGTATGCAGAATAAAAGCTTTCTGAAACAGGGTTTGACATGTCTCAAAATAGATTTGAAAAGTTCTCACCATACCTGCTGCTTCTGTTGGTTTACATATAACATACATATTCCAAGTGATATATATGCACATATATATAAATATGTACATATATCCACTAAGTTCTTTGGCATAAGTTATTTCTAGTTTTAGATTTACTTTGCTAAAATGAAAACCAATCATCTAATTTATACCTTAGTGAAAGTAAGATGAAAATGTTTATAAAGAAACAGCTTACAAGCATTCTTTAACTAGGATGGTTACATATTTTTGTTTTGTAAACTGAGCTTTCACAACTATCTTCAGGACAACAAAAATTGTGGGAAGATAATAGAAAATACTTAGCTGGAAGAGAAATGGCACTTTCTCTTCAAACGAAAGAAATTTGGATTTCATCTAAGAAAGGACAGAAAAGAAAGAGCAATGTAACTTGGTGCTTCATTCTTTCTAAAACAGCACCTAGCAAAAACAAACTGGAATTTTATATCGAATCTTGAATCTAGTTTATTTCAGTGTCAGGTACCATTCTTTATAGATTGGGGATGAGGGAAGGTATTTAAGGTTCCTTTAAGATAGTTAAGATCTAGAAACAATGTTGAGTTTAGTTCTTAGAAAAATTACACAAAGGAGAAGAAAATAGTTTGTAAAGTATATTGAGTTCCTGTGAAAGGGATTAAGCAAAGGTGGTATCCTTGCAACTTTTTTGGGTCTTTTTCTAACACTAAATAGAGGCAACAGGATATAGAAAGGGCTTGGCCTAATTCGAATCCTAGATTTACTACTTGTTAGCTATGTGATCTTAGGAAGTCATTTAACCTCTCAAAACTTCGGTTTCCTCATCTATAAAAATAGAGTTGAAGGCTCGGTGCGGTGGCTCACAACTGTAATCCCAGCATTTTGGGAGGCCGAGGCGGGTGAATCATGAGGTCAGGAATTCGAGACCAGCCTGGCCAACATGGTGAAACCCCATCTCTACTAAAAATACAAAAAATGAGCTGGGCGTAGTGGCGGGTGCCTGTAATCCCAGCTACTCAGGAGGCTGAGGCAGGACAATCGCTTCAACCTGGGAGGCGGAGGTTGCAGTGAGCCGAGATTGTGCCACTGCACTCCAGCCTAGGCAACAGTGAGACTCTGTCTCAAAAAAAATAAAAATAAAAATAGAGTTGTAAATTGTGTGAGGATTAAATGAAATAATGTGTAAAACCATCTAGCAGACAATTTGGGAAGATGAAAAAGTGCTGGAGATGCATGGTGGCGATAGTTGCACAACAGTGTAAATATACTTCATGCTACTGAACTATATACCTAAAAATGTATTAAACGGTAAATTTTACCACAATTTAAAAAATCCACCTAGCATATGGTAGGTGATGCCTACCTTATGCTTTTTCCCTTGCCTTCTTTAAAGATACAATTTTCTTTTAATTCTCAAAAAATAACAAGTTGTATAGCAGGAGATGTTGCATAAAGCTGTCTTAAATTGCATTCATAATTTACAGTAATGTTTATATATTTTGATTACCATTTGATTGAGCTACACTTGGACCTCATTCTTGTTTGGAACTATTCTGCCTTCAAGATCTTGAAATAAGAGCTTCCCGTCTCTGACCACAACCTCTATCTCAATCTGCAGCTATCACTCCTGAGTCTGCTTTGTGACCTCATTTTGACCTCCTATCTCTAGCCTAGCTCTATTCTTCTGAGTTGGCAGACCCTCTTACTTTTGTTTTCTTGAGCTCTACAGTCAGCGATTACAGTGTCCTCTTAAACAATTGTAGATTCTTTCTCCCTTAACCTTCTGGCATGTCCACCTTCCCAACCTCCAGTCATACTTTTTTTCTATTTAGCTTGCTGAACATTTTGGGGAAAGTTCTCAAATAAGACCATTAGCGCTTTAGATAAGCTATCTCATTTAATTCAGTCCTCTTAGCATCCCTGGGGAAATATTATGTTACTCACTTTATGGATGGTGGAACTGAGGCTCAGAGTGGTATGGTGACTCACCCAAGGACACTTAGTTACATATAGATTTGGGATTTAAACCCAGGTCTGTCTGATATCCAAGCCTACATTCATTGTATCCCTTTGGCCCTGTTCTCTCTACTATGTTTTTCCCACCTTTTTTTTCTTTCTTACTGACTATAGAATAGACCTTTTCTACTCTCAAACTTTGAATCGACCACCAACCATAGTAGATAGTTTAACCCACTTTACTGAACCAATTGGAGGCATCCAGCAGAAACTCCTTCAACATTATTTTCTTCATATGGGCTCTCATTTCTCTGCCTCATTGCTGATAAAGTACCCTCCTTTATCTTACTGATTCCACTTTCTCTCCTGGGCCTTGCTTTATGATTTATTTGTATTCTGCCTCCTTTGAGATATCCTTTCATATTGATTATTTTCCCTCTACCTTAAAAAAACCTGAAAAATATCTATGAGCAGTCTTATAGTAATTGGTGATCTCAGTGAGAGCCATTTCAGGAGAGAAATGAGTACAGATTCCAGAAGGCAGAAAGCTGATAACTGAGTAGGAAATATGGAAGTTGAAAATGATGAGGGCAGACTTCTTTAATAAAGGCTTACGATGAAATGAGTAGGGGCTGTATGATCAAAGGATTGTTTGTTTGTTTTTTTTAAGAGATTGGGTAGATTTAAACACGATTACATGCTTTAAAAAAGAGAAAAAAGGGAGAGGTTTGTAGAGTAAATACCCCAGAGTGGAGATTCAAGGGATTAGCCTCAAATGCCTTTATATACAGACTGTATCCATCTTTATAAGCCCAGCTGAAATGACACCTCTCTGAAACTCCTTTTGATTGGCTCAGAAGCAAGTTTTTCTCTGATTTCCTGTAGCAGCTTATACATCTCTCATGGCATTTAACACATATTGTCTTGAATAACAGTGTAGTTATTATGAGCTTTACTGTCTGGGTTTGATTCCTGGCTTCACCACCTACTAGCTGTGTGATTTTGGGCAAATTGCTTATTCTCTCTGTACTCAGTTTCCTTATCTATAACATGGGGATAATATTAGTAGCTACATCGTTGTTATGAGGATCAATATCTGTAAAGCTCTTAGAACATGCATTTTTCTTCTACTAAATTTTAAGGTCTGGCAGGCGCGGTGGCTCACACCTGGTAATCCCAGCACTGTGGAAGGCTGAGGTGGGGGCAGTGGGGAGCGAGGGGTTGTTACTACTCCAATGTAACTGCTTTCTCAGAAATTAAGGCAAAAAGTCTTACTGACCATGTAAAGGAAATCCAACAATTATAAACAGTCTCTGCCTTTAAGGAGCTTATAGTCTAGTTAAGAAACCAGACTTAAACATATGAAAAGTTAAACATTGGCCAGGCACAGTGGCTCATGCCTATAATCCCAGCACTTTGGGAGGCCAAGGCAGGAGGATCACCTGAAGTCAGGAGTTCAAGACCAGCCTGACCAACATGGAGAAACCCCATCTCTACTAAAAATACAAAACTAGTTGGGCATGGTGGCACATGCCTGTAATCCCAACTACTTGAGAGGCTGAGGCAGGAGAATCACTTGAACCCGGGAGGCAGAGGTTATGGTGAGCTGTGATCACACCATTGCACTCCAGCCTGGGCAACAAGAGCAAAACTCCATCTCAAAAAAAAAAAAAAGAAAAAGAAAAAGTTAAACATTTAGGTAATGGTTCTAGTAGTAGGCCATAAAGGAGTTCATGATTAATTATGTTAATTGTACAGACAATGATGACTCTGGAATTTAGGGAAGGGATTTACTTTAGTCCAAGTTAGTCAAGGAAAACTTTATTGGGCTGGTGGAATTTGAACTTAACCCTGAAAAGTGAGTATAGTTTGGGTAAGAGAGAGACTAATCCAGATTTCTTGTTGATGAATTTCAGAGTACTTTGTCCTTTAATTTTTTTCTTTTTTTTTCTTAAGATGGAGTCTCGCTCTGTCGCCAGGCTGGAGTGCAGTGGCGCAATCTCGGCTCACTGCAACCTCTGTCTCCCTGGTTCAAGCGATTCTCCTGCCTCAGCCTCCTGAGTAGCTGGGACTACAGGCGCGCACCGCCATGTCCAGCTAATTTTTGTATTTTTAGTAGAGATGGGGTTTCACCATGTTGGCCAGGATGGTCTCAATCTCCTGACCTCGAGATCCGCCTGCCCAGCCTCCGAAAGTGCTGGGGTTACAGGCATGAGCCACCGCACCCGGCCTAATTTTTATTTCTGTGTTCTTATTACAGGCATCCTGATTTTCAACTGCTAAAGGAAGAACAAAGGTATGGTTGAATCAGTATCATTTACCATTTATATATTTATGTTAATAGAAACATTAGGAGTGAACCAGGTGATATGAGCTCTTGGACTTCCTGTGCTGATGCATTATGTAAGTGTCCCATTCTAGCCCACACAAAGAAATATTTGACCTGTTCAGCTTTTTCTTTTGTGATGGTAAGATGATGTGTTTGATCTGTATGATTTATTGTACAGCTGTTCCTCCCGAGGAAATCTAATTTAACCTGTTGAAATATGACATAAACACAGCCTCCATCTCAGATACCATGCTTCTTTGTCAACTAGATTGTGCCTATTACATTTGTTGAAAGGTTTTTACAGTCCTATAGGATTTCAAAACCAGTAATGTACCAGTTACTTAATTATTTGAAAGAGCATCTAAAGCATTAATATAAATTCCAAGTTGTGATTTTCTTTCTAAACTTTCCTCATGGTATTGTTTGCCTGACCATGGCCATCTCTCAAAACACATCCCTTAACTCTCAGAATAAATGTTCCTAGTTAATAGTCACTACCTTAGTCACATGGCGTTGAGCACAAATAAGAGATATTTATTTATTGATGTATATCTTTATAGCTTCAGAGTAGTATAAAAACATAATTGCCTTAAAACTCCAAGAGAAAGTATGAAATACATGAAAGTTAAATTGTTCTAATTTTTTTGAGCTTACACCTATTTTTACTTTTCTTCTGATGCAAGAGACAGCCCCATGGCTATATAGGCTAGATTCTAACTAAAAGATGGTATCTAAGACTAAACTAACTTTTCATCTTTTTTCTTCATTCCCATCCATGACCTTGCTTTCAACTTTTATATATATATATATTTTTTTCTTTACATTTCCCCACAGCTTGCTTCTTGACCCAGAGTCTTTTTCATCCTGATCTTTTAAAGTTTTGATAGTGTCTGTGCTTTAGAGCATCCTTGTTTGTTTCAAGTTTGTATTGGCAAAGCTACTGTTGCCTTCCCTTTTTCGTAATTCTTCATCTTATTCAAATCTAATCTGAAAATTGAAGAACATTGTCAGGGAAAACTTTTGTCTTTTATTGTTAGCATATTGTTGTAACTCTGGATTTTCAAATTTAAATATCTTTTATTGAAAAATGTTGATTTGCTAACTTGTTCTGCTATGACTTTCCTGTGATTTTCATTCTGTAGAATTTTCTGTACAACAATCAACCAGAATTAGAAAATGTTTACCCATTTATTTTTATCATTTTATCTTTTCAAATCTAAACACAATTCCTGTAATTTTTTTTTTTATTTAAGAAACCGATAATGAAATTTTCTTTCTTTTTTTTTTTTTTTTTTCAAGACAGAGTCTCACTCTATCACCCAGGCTAGAATGCAGTGGCGCGATCTCGGCTCACTGCAACCTCTGCCACCTGGGTTCAAGCAGTTCTCCTGCCTCAGCCTCCTGAGTAACTGGGACTACAGGCATGCGCCACCACTCCTGGCTAATTTTTGTATTTTTAGTAGAGACAGGGTTTCACTATGTTGGCCAGGCTGGTCTTGAACTCCTGACCTCAGGTGACCCACCTGCCTTGGCCTCCCAAGGTGCTGGGATTACAGATGTGAGTCACCACACTCAGCCAAAGTTTTCAAAAGAAAAACTTTTTTTAAAAAGGTCAGCCAGTAATCCCAGCAGTTTGGGAGGCCAAGACAGGTGGATCACTTGAGGTCGGGAGTTTGAGACCAGCCTGGCCAACATGATGAAACCCCATCTCTACTAAAATACAAAAATTAGCTGGGCATGGTGGTGTGCACCTGTAATCCCAGCTACTTGGGAGGCTGAGGCAGGAGAATCACTTGAACCTGGGAAGCAGAGGTTGCAGTGAACCGAGATCTTGCCACTGCGCTCCAGCCTGGGTGACAGAGCAAGACTCCATCTCAAATGAATAAAAATAAAATAAAATACAAAAAATAAAAAATAAAAAGCTCAGCCGGGCACGGTGGCTCACCCCTGTAATTCCAGCACTTTGGGAGGCCAAGGTGGGCAAATCACTTGAGGCCAAGAATTTGTGACCAGCCTGGCCAACATGGCAAAACTCCATCTCTACTAAAAAAATACAAAAATTAGCCAGGCGTGGTGGTGCCCACGTGTAATCCCAGCTACTTGGGAGGCCGAGGTGGGAGAATCGCTTGAACCTAGGGGGCAGAGGTTGCAGTGAGCTGAGTTCACACCATTGCACTCCAGCCTGGGCAACACAGACTTTGTCTTAAAAATATATATTTATTTTTATATTATTTTTCATATTATATATTTTTTAAACTACATATATACTTTATATATTATATATAATATACATTATATATGTACAAGTATATATTATATATGTAAATATGTGTACATATAAATATATACTTTATATTTTTATATATTTATATATCTTTATATTTATATATATACTTTATATATATATTTATATATATATATATATTTGCAACAACAGGCAAATCCAAATAGTGCAGTAGGATAGCATTATCAAGTTTTTTAAAAAGTTTTGCTGTACTCCTGTAACAATTTTAAAATAATTGGGGGAAAAAGATGAAGGAAGAATACAGAAGGAGAACTATATCAAAAAATATATTATTAACAGATGTACTGAAATTATAGGCTTCTTCTGAAATTTATATATCAGAACCTAGAAATAAGGTTTTGTCTGGGGAATAAAAATTTCTACCTTGAAAGTTACAATGTATAAATACTATGGGGTACTTTACTTTTCTATTGTTTTCGGGTTTTATTTGCTATTTTTTATTTAGTTATTTTATTTCTCTTTCATTCTACAGTGGCCATTCTGGAGAAGAAGTACAGTTATGCAGTAAAGCCATTAAAACATCAGATATCGACAATCCTAGCCACTTTGAAAAGCAATATGAATCTAGTTCTTCTAGCACTCACAGTGATAGTAGCAGTGACAATGAGCAAGACTTTGTTTCCTCCATTCTACCAGGAAACAGACCAAATTCAACAAATATTAGACCACAGCTGCACCAAAAAAGCATAATGAAAAAGAAAGCTGGTCACAAAGCTAACTCCAAACACAAAGACAAAGAACAGACAGTAGTAGATGTCACTGAGCAGTTAGGCGATTGCAAATTAGATAGTCAGGAGAAAGATGCTACATGTGAACTTCCTTTACAGAAAGTAAATACTCAGAGTTCTTCAAATAGCACTTTGCCTGAAAGATTAAAAGCGTCAGAAAATTCTGAAAGTGAATACAGTAGGTCAGAAATAACTCTAGTAGGCATAAGTAAGAAAAGTGCAGAGCATTTTAAGAGAAAATTTGCCAAATCAAACCAAGTGTCTAGGTCAGTGTCTAGTTCAGTGCAGGTGTGTCCTGAAGTTGGAAAGAGAAACTTACTTAAAGTTTTGAAGGAGACTTTGATTGAGTGGAAGACAGAAGAAACATTGAGGTTTTTGTATGGCCAGAATTATGCTTCTGTGTGTCTGAAACCCGAAGCCTCTCTGGTTAAAGAAGAACTTGATGAAGATGACATAATCTCAGATCCAGATAGTCATTTCCCTGCCTGGAGGGAATCTCAGAACAGCTTGGATGAGTCTTTACCTTTTAGGGGCTCAGGTACAGCCATTAAACCACTGCCAAGTTACGAGAATTTGAAAAAAGAAACTGAAAAGTTAAATCTGAGGATCAGGGAGTTTTACAGAGGACGGTATGTTTTGGGTGAAGAAACCACCAAATCACAAGACTCAGAAGAGGTATGTCTTACAGACATTGAGTTTTTCCAGATCGTTAACATTTGGAAAACTCACCACAGCAAATCTTGGAGCAGGAAGGATATTGAAGAGTTAATTGTTAAATTTTCAAATAGTTTCTTTAGTCATTCTGCCTTTTGGTTTACAGTGCCATCTCCACTGTTGGCATTACTATTTTACAAATAAGTTGACGTTTACCCCTAGCAAATTTTCATCAGTGTGCAATATTTTTTTCTAATGTAAAAATAGCCTAAAATGGTGGGACAAAGTTTTCCCTAATTCTTCATACAATAAATGAAGCCTCTGAAGAGGCTTGCTTTTTCTTCTTCGGTATTCTTTCAGATTTTTACATGGGGTCTGTGTGTGTGTGTTTAATGGAAGTATATGCCATGGAATAGACTTGGTAGTTACATTGGAAAATATTTAGCAAGCATGTCCATTGAAAACATTACAGATCAAAATAGTTTGTAAAAGAGACTTATTGGGAAATAATGGACAAAGAGAATGGAAAGCACATTCAGATAGACCTAGATTTGAACATCTGTTGTGTCATTTACTAGCTGTATGAAAAATTAGTTTCTTGGTCTGTTTGCTCATCTGTAAATGGAACTATTAATAGCTTCTCTTGCTCAATTGTTATTTGTTTTAAAGATAATGTGTATAAAGCATTTATCACAGTACATGACATATAATTGGTACTCAGTAAATAGTACCCATATGTAGAGATTGAAAATGTGCCACTGAGATTTAGAGAGCATCTTTTAGTATTTCTACTACCCATCTTTGATTGATGTATACTCCCTGGAAAATGAAGTCATTTAACATGAAGAGGAATGGGTAATAACCTTGTTTTTACCACAAAACTTTGTTCTCAAATATTCCTAAGTAAATGTGGCTCTAAATTTAAAAGCACATTGGAGATTTGGAAAGAGGGTAGAAGTAGAAATGTAGTAAAAAATTTAGAAATATATTTCTATAGAGTGTTGCTTGGCCCAGCACCCTACTTCAAATCATTTCAAGTATCTTATTAGACATCATCCAAAACTTATATTAAGCTAGGAGAAACATTGATCTCTGTCACTGAGCTGCATAAACCTACCATAGAACATCACTTATTTTATCATTTTGTCCTTTTTAGCCTTAAAAAGGAAAAAATAATCCCTGAAATTTGACTTTTAAAAATTTATAACATTTTCCAAAAATGTTACATAACATGTTAAAACATTTCCATTGAAGTACAACACAAATAGTAATTATATGATTTCTTGAGTATTCACATATGAATGTCCTGATGTAATCACTACCCAAGCCAAGAAATAGGTCATTACAAGTAAACTAGAAGCCCCATATATATCCCCTCCTAATCAGCACCTCTTTCCAAAATTAATATTATATTAGCACAGATTAGTTCTGTCATTTTTTTTCCAGTATATATTCTTGGTGTCCAGTTTATTTCATGCAATATTATACTTTTGAGTCATTTGTGTTGTTGCATATAGCTGTAGTTCATTCTTTTATTGCTGTATAGTATTCCATTATATAAATATACCATTTATTTATGCTAATGGACATTTAGACTATTTCCAATTTGGGGCTATTATGAACAATATTCTTAGGAACTTTCTCGTATTTATCTCTCTGCTAATATGCGTATGTATTTCTGAAGTATCTAGGACTGGGAATGGTGGGTTATCGTATATGCATATATGCAACTATACTAGATAATGCCAAACAGTTTTCCAAAGTGGTTGTACCGGTTTACAGTTCCACTACTACTATATGGGAGTTTCCTTGATTCCATGTCCTCCCTGGTACTTGATATAGTTAGTTTTAGCCATTCTGGTAGTATTGGTTTATGATTATAATACATTACTGTGATGATGAATAAATTCAGCACTATTTTATTTGCTTATTGACCACTTGGATAATCTCTTAGGTCAGGTCTGCAGATCTCTCAGCCATGGATACCAGCACCTGCTCTGGTGGAGATGGCAGGGGGGTGAAATGGATTCTGTGAGGATCCTTGCTTTTGGTTGTTTAATGTACTATTTTTGTGCTGGTTAGCCTCCTGCCAGAAGGTGGCACTTTCAAGAGAGCATCAGTTGTGGTAGTATAGGGAGGATCAGGCTGTGGGTAGGGCCGTAGAACTCCCAAGAATATATGCCCTTTGTCTTCAGCTACCGGAGTGGGTAGGGAAGGACCGTCATGGGGGCAGGGCTATGTGCGTCTGAACTCAAGACTCCTTGGGCAGGGCTTGCTGTGGCTGTTGTGGGGGATGGGAGTGTGGTTCCCAGGTCAGTGGAGCTATTCCAGGAAGATTATGGCTGCCTCTGCTGTGTCATGCAGGTTGTCAGGGAAGTGGGGGAAAGCTGGTGGCAGGCCTCACCCAGCTCCCATGCAACCCAAAAGACCAGTTTCACTCCCACCATGTCCCTTCAAACAGCACCAAGTTTGTTTACAGGCAGTGGGCAGGAAGGGCTGAGAACTTGCCCCAGGCTACCAGCCTCTCACCTGTGAGAACAAGTAGGGCTTTCACATCTCCCAGCCTGTGGAGTCTGCACACCAGATTCACACCCTCCCTTGAGTTCTGGCCAGGAGACTTCCTGTTCATTTGGAATTGTTACAAAGTTCAGCTGGCCTATCATATGGTCTATCTCGGAGACTGTTCCATGTGCTGATGAATAGAATGTATATCCTGCTGTTGTTGGGTAGAATGTTCTGTAAATATCTGTTAAATCCATTTGTTCTAGGGTATAATCAAAATTATATCAAATATTCTCTCAGACCACAGTGGAATTTTTTAATTTCTACTTAGATTTCATTGTTGACCTAGTGATCATTCAGGAACAGGTCTTGATGACCTGTCTAGTGCTGTCAGTGGAGTACTGAAGTCCCCCACTATTATTGTGTTGCTTTCTATCTCATTTCCTAGGTCTCGTAGTAACTGTTTTATAAATTTGGGAGCTCCAGGTTTAGATGCATATTTATTTAGGATTGTCATATTTTCCTATTGGACTAGTCCTTTTATCATTGTATAATGTCCCTCTTTGTCTTTTTAAACTGCTGTTGCTTTAAAGTTTGTTTTGTCTGATATAAGAATAGCTACTTCTCACTTTTGGTGTCCATTTGCATGGAATATGTTTTTCCACCCTTTACCTTAAGTTTATGTGAATCCTTATGTGTCAGGTGAGTCCCTTGAAAAGCAGATACTTGGTTGGTGAATTCGTATTAATTTTGCCATTCTGTATTTTTTAAGTGGAGCATTTAGGCCATTTACATTCAATGTTAGTATTGAGATGTGAGGTACTATTCTATTCATCGTGCTATTTGTTGCCTGAACAGCTTTTTTTTTTTCATTGTCTTATTGTTTTATAGGTCCTGTGAGATTTATGCTTTAAAGAGATTCTATTTTGGTATTATTTCCAGGATTTGTTTCAAGATTTATCGCTCCTTTAGCAGTTCTTGTAGTGCTGACTTGGTAGTGGTGAATTCTCTCAGAATTTGTTTGTCTGAAAAAGACTATCTTTCCTTCATTTATGAACCTTAGTTTCGCTGGATACAAAATTCTTGGCTGACAGTTGTTTTGTTTAAGGAGGCTAAAGATAGGACTCCAATGTCTTCTAGCTTATAGGGTTTCTGCTGAGAAATCTGCTGTTAATCTGATAGGCTTTCCTTTATAAGTTATCTGATGCTTTTGCCTCACTGCTCTTAAGATTCTTTCCTTCATCTTGACTTTCGATAACCTGATGACTATGTGCCGGGGCAATGATCTTTTTATGATGAGTTTCCCAGGTGTTCTTTGAGCTTCTTGTATTTGGATGTGTAGGTCTCTAGCAAGGCTGGAGAAGTTTTCCTTGATTATTCCCTCAAATATGTTTTCCAAACTTTTAGATTTCTCTTCTTTCTCAGGAACACCAATTATTCTTAGGTTTGTTTGTTTGACATAATCCCAAACTTCTTGGAGCCTTTGTTCATTTTTTAAATTCTTTTTTCTTTGTTGGACTGGGTTAATTCAAAAGCCTTGTCTTGAAGCTCTGAAGTTCTTCTACTTGCTCAATTTTATTGCTGAGACTTTCCAGTGCATTTGCATTTCTCTAAGTATGTCCTTCATTTCCCAAAGTTGTGATAGTTTTTTATTTATGCTATCTATTTCACTGGAGATTTTTCCATTCATATCCTGTATGATTTGTTTGATTTCTTTAAGTTGGGCCTCACCTTTCTCTGGTGCCTCCTTGATTAGCTTAATAATTGACCTTCTGAATCCTTTTTCTGGCAATTCTGAGATTTTGTCTTGGTTTGGATCCATTGCTGGTGAGCTAGTATGATGTTTTGGGTTGTTAAAGATCCTTGTTTTGTCATATTACTAGAATTGTTTTTCTGGTTCCTTCTCATTTGGGTAGACTGTGAGAAGGAAGATCTGGGACTCAAGGGCTGCTGTTTAGATTCTTTTGTCCCACAGGGTGCTCCCTTGATTTGGTGCTCTCCTCCTTCCCCTAGGGATGGGGCTTCCTGAGAGCCAAACTGCAGTGATTGTTATTGTTCTTGTGGATCTAGCCACCCAGCAGAGCTACCAGGCTTCTGGCGGGTACTAGGGAGTGTCTGCAAAGGGTCCTGTGATGTGATCCGTCTTCAGCTGTGGATACCAGCACCTGCTCCAGTGGAGGTACAGGGGAGTGAAGTGGACTCTGTGAGGGTCCTTAATTGTATTTTTTTTAAGTGCGCTGGTTTTGTGTTGGTTGGCCTTCAGCCAGGAGGTGGTGCTTTCAAGAGTGCATCAGCTGCAGTAGGATAGGGAGGATACAAGCTTGCTCTGGGGTCAGGCAGTGGGTAGGGCCATAGAGCTCCCAAGAGATTAAGTCCTTTGTCTTCGGCTACCAGGGCCAGTAGAGAAAGACCATCAGGTGGGGGTACCATTGTGTGATTCCCAGGCCAATGGAGTTATGTTCCCAGGTGGATTATGGCTGACTCTGCTGCATCACACAGGTCACTAGGGAAGTGGGGGAAAGCTGGCAACCACAGGCCTCACCCAGCTTCCACACAGCCTGCAGCCTAAAAGGCCAGACTCACTCCCACCGTGCCCCCACAACAGCACCAAGTTTATTTCCAGGCAGCTGATGAGCAGGGCTGAGAACTTGCCCCAGGCTACAGGCCTCCCAGCTGAGAAAGCAAGCTGACTCACAGTTCCTTGCCTTTTCTGGTATGTTTCTGCGGTAGTTCTTGGAGCAAAAGTTCATGATGGGAGTCTCCACATGCCGCTCTGTCTGACCAAGTGGGAACTGCAAGTTAGTCCTGCCTCCTATCTGCTATTTTTTCCCAGACCTAACATTTATTTTTAATATTAAACCAACTTTGCATTCTTATAATAAACTCAACTTGATTGAGCTATAATAGCCTTTTTATATAATACTGGATTTGGTCCTCCTAATATTTGCCTTAGAATTTTTGCACATATTTTCAGAATGAGTGACATTAGCGTATGAATTGGTCATGGTCTCATCATAAATCACATGGTACAAATTAAGTAATCTGAGGAAAGTTTAATTATAGGACTGTTTTCCAAAGCGTGAAAATGTGGTCAGAATGAAGGAAACCAAAGGAATGATACACTAATCATAGTTTGAGAGCCCTCACCACCCCTAGACCTCAAGGAAAAAGGTAGGAGTGGACCACAAGGTCTTGTACCAAGGAAGTGCTGCTTGTAGTGGACCAAGTGGGAATGACTCTTCTGCACCGTCCAGTTTCTTATTCTTCATTGGCAAAACTGAGATAAAAGCCAGAGAGCAAGGAAGCCCATTGATGCAGCCCATACAGATCAGCCTTCTGAAGTACAAAGACAGGTGGAAAAGGGTGAAAATTGTTCAGAATGAAGATACCTTGCACTGCCTATAATTTTCCTTTCTTGTAATATCGTTATCAGGTTTTGGTTGTAATCATTTGGTAAAACAAGTTGGGAAATGTTCCCTCCATTTCTGGAAGAATGTGTCTAAAATTAATGTTAGTTCTTTAAATGTTTAGAAGATCACTCATTGAACTATCTTTTCCTCTGATTTTCTTTGTGGGTTGTCAATTTTTTTTTTTTTTTTTTTTTTTTTTTGAGATGGAATCTTCTCTGTTGCCCAGTCTGGAGTGCAATGGTGCCATCTTGGCTCACTGCAAACTCCACCTCCTGGGTTCGAGCGATTTTCCTGCCTCAGCCTCCCAAGTAGCTGGGATTACAGGCACCCGTGCCATGCCTGCCTAACTTTTGTATTTTTAGTAGAAACACAGTTTCACCATGTTGGCCAGGCCAGGTTGGTCTCGAACTCGTGAGCTCAAGTGATCTGCCTGCCTCAGCCTCCCAAAGTGCTGGGATTATAGGTGTGAACCACCACGCCTGGCCTGTGGGTAGTCAATTTTTAAAAACTTTTTGTTATGGAAATTTTCAGAAACACACAAAGATAGACTAATACAGTGCTTACTATACAATGTGTGGTCCATGGAACCAGCAGCGTCAACATCATCTAGAAGCCTGTTAGAAATGCAGACTCTTATCCCCACCCCATATTTACTGAATGAGAATTACTTTTTAACAAGATCCCCAGAAGATGAGCATGCACATTAACATTTGAGAAGCACTGTTGGGGTGTGGTGGTTTGGGTTTGGGTTTTGGTCTGCTCATTCCATCAGTCACTGAGAAAGATGAGTTAAAAATCTCTCACCTTAATTGTGGATTGATTATTTCTACTTTTATTTCTGCAAATTTTACTTTTTGAGACCATGTTATTGGGTATAAATGTAAAATTGTTATGTCTTCCTGGTGAATTGAAACTCATATCACTATGGAGCAACCTTTCTATTTGCTTTTTTTCTTTACAGTCTACTTTGCTGACATTAACATTCTTGTATTAATGTGGTCAAGGACAATCTGTCTAGATTGATAATCTTTGTCCTTTATATGGAGAATTTAATCTATTTGCATTTCATGTCACAATTGGTATACAGTATTTGGGTTTAAATCTACCATCTCACTCCTCTTTCTATGTGTCCCACTTATTCTGTCTTCCTTTTCTCTCTTGCTTTCTTTTGCATTGAATCATTATTCCATTTTTTAGCCTCTGTTAAATTGTTTTTATATACTCTTTTACTGATCATTAAATGGTTACCCTAAGTGTTAAAACCTGAATCTTTGTCTTATTAAAGTCTAATGTAAGTTAATACTTTTATTGCTTCCTGGACAATTAGCACCTTAGCATGATTTAACTCCATCTATCCCTCTTGACTTATGTTCTGTTATTGGATATTTTTATTTTCTCTAAATTTCAAATATATTGCAAGATTATTTATAGCCAATACTCAGCTGGATTTATTCAATTAATTACTCTTTCATTGTTTTTCATTCCTTCTTCTATCCCCATTCTTCCATCTGAGATCATTTGCCTTGTGCCTGAAGAATATACTTCTCTTAGTATCAGTTGATAAAGAATTTTCTCAGTTTTTCTTTGTCAGAAAATTATTTTACTTTCACTTTTGAAAGATATTTTTCTATATTGAATTTTAGATGAGCAGTTATTTTCTTTCAGCCCATTGAAAATATCATTCCCTTGTCTTTTGGCTTACATTTGTATCTCTTATTGCTACTCCTTTGAAAGTATTGTGTTTTCTTCCTCTAGCTTCTTTTAAGGTTTTTTTTTGTAAGTTTTGGAATGTTCCCAGTTATCTCTTAGATATTGCTTCTATTCCATTCTGCCTCTTCTCTTTAGTCTTTTTTTTTACTGTATCTTGTAGGTCTCTTAATCTCCTTTGTGCTTTACATTATGTGTTTGGGGAGTGGTGACTGTGCTTCATTCTGGATATTTTCTTATTCAGCATTCTCTCTTCAGCCATTTCTACTATGCTTTTATGTCTCCCCATTAGTTCTTACTTTTAAATACCGTATTTTTCTATTCTAGGGTTTTCATTTTGTTATTTTATGTAGTTTCCAATTATCTGTCAAAAATTTTCAACCTCATAATTTTTCTTTGAATATATTAAACATGTATTTTAAATAATGCTGATAACTTCATTATTTAGATTCCCTGAGGATTGATCTCTGTAGGCTGTTTCAGATTTTTATCATATTGTCGTGTTTTATTATATGCCAAACATTGTATATTAAAAATTACAGAGATAACTGGAGACTCAGGATGATGTTATCTTCCTCTAGAATAGATTTATATTTGCTTCTGACATGATTTGTAGCAGTTCCATGTCACTGTAATGTAATCAGAGATTAAGATGATTTCAAGGTGGGATTCACTCCCTGAAAGAACTAGTCTATTTCCTATTCTTACTGTTATTCCTAGAGTATGGTCTTTCCAAGTCCTGGTCTCATACTTGGGGAAGGTTGCCCATACCCCTGCCTTCTTGAAGGATACCCTGAACTCTTTTTATTAGAAAAACTGCTCAATTTCTCAATATCTAATTAGAAAATTAGTGCTCTATCTGTAATTACCTTCTCCAGGATCTCAGACTGTAATTCTTTATAGCCTCGTTAGCTCTCTGATGCTAACAAATGTGTTTCAAACAAATGTGGATTGTTTTCCCCCAACTTTTTTCAGTTCTCAGAGAGAGAGTCGGTTTGAATTATCTTGTCTGCCATTTCTAGAATGGTTAGGGGTCAAATGACATAATGACTGAACTCCTCATAATATATTTATAGTATTTGCTAATTTTAATATTTTAATCCCCTACATTTGTACAGCACTTAGCAGTTTACAAAATCTTTTTGTTTACATTTTATTATTTAATAAAGGAGGTATTAATATCCCAATTATAAAGATGAGAAAACTGACTCTCCAAAGAGGGCAAATGACTCAAAGAAGTTCACAACAGCCTAACAACTGAGTTGATACTCAAATTTAAATCTAATTCTCAAGTCTAGTTATTTTCCTACTGTGCCACAGATACAAACTTTTGTGTTTTAATGTTTATTGTTCTGCTTATCAAAGAAAGAATGTAAACTTATGATTCTGTTTTGCTTTGTTTAAAAATGTGATTCAGCATGATTCCACCTTTCCACTGATAGACTCAAGTTCCCAGAACCAGATTAGAAAACGCATCGTACTTGAAAAGTTGAGTAAAGTGTAAGTATGTAATTGCCATTCCAGCTTTGTAGTAGTTTTAAATTAACTTGACATTTAAGCTCATAATGTGTAAGTATTATCCTCAGATTTTGAACATTTTGAAAAATAATGTGAAAAGTTCACATGGATTTCTTCACTTAAGAAATTTGGATTTTTAAGATATTTTATCCAAGAAATACAAATTTTTGTGTAGAGGACACAGAGGCACATCATAAAGAGGAAGGTTGAGATTGTGGGTTTAGAAGACCAAACTACCTTACTCCCACCTAATCAGTGAAGTCAGGGAAAAAATATCAAAGCTAGACCCATTTAAATACTGATTTGCGGTAAATGTGTCACAGCAGTTTCAGATGCAAATAAGATGTTATTACAAAGTTTTAAGGGTCTGTTAAGTCACTCTGCATGCATATCCTTAGAACCATTTCACACTCAGCAACATGAGTTTTTGTTCAACTCAACGTTGCACTTTAGCTTTAAACTTCCCGTGGTGGAAATTATTGTTCTTGTAATTAGCCCAGTCATAAATGACATTTAAAAATTGCTATCTTGGTTTTTCTTTCAAAAAGAACTTGAAGGTTTTTTTTTCCCAGAGGTATGAGGGCTGTGTTGAACTTTTCAACCTGCATTTTCTTATTTTAGCAGAAAACATGGAAAAGTGTGTCAGTCATTATTTAAGGGTTGTGAATATGAAGTTTTATTTTGTAGCAGTTTGAAAATACAGAAAACATTTCACATTAACCAAGGCATAAAGAAGAGTGAAGACAAAACTAATTATGGTATAGGAGTTTTTTGTTGTTTGTTTATGAAAGCTGTTGGGTTTTTTTCTCATTATCAAAGTTAGACCTTTTTTGGTTTTTTATTTGAACCAACCAATTGTAAAAAGTGTTTATTTCAGAGTATCAGAGGAAATAAAATATGTTGTATATTAGATGACACTAAGGAATTGTTAATTTGGATGGTTATGATCATTTTATTGTGATTATATAAGAAAGTGCCTTTGTATTTAGAGATAAAAATGGAAACAGTTAGGGGTCAAATGACATGACGACAGGGATTTACTTTAAAATATTACTACAAAATAAGAAAAAAATGTGCCAGGTGTGGTGGCTCATGCCTGTAATCCCAGAACTTTGGGAGGCTGAGGCAAGGGGATCACCTGAAGCCAGGAGTTCAAGACCAGCCTGGGCAGCATAGTAAGACCACATCTCTACAAAAATAAAAATAAAAATTCGGCCGAGTGCAGTGGCTCACACCTGTAATCCCAGCACTTTGGGAGTCTGAGGCAGGCAGATCACAAGGTCAGGAGATCAAGACCATCCTGGCTAACACGGTGAAACCCCATCTCTACTAAAAATACAAAAAAAATTAGCCGGGCGTGGTGGCGGATGCCTGTAGTCCCAGTTACTCAGGAGGCTGAGGCAGGAGAATGGCCCGAACCCAGGAGGCGGAGCTTGCAGTGAGCCAAGATCGCACCACTGCACTCCAGCCTGAGCAACAGAGTGAGACTCCATCTCAAAAAAATAAATAAAAATAAAAATTAATCGGGTGTTGTGGGGCTACTACTCAGGAGGCTGAAGTGGAGGATCGCTTGAGCACGAGAGTTTGAGTCTGCAGTGAGCTATGATTATGCTCGTGATTAAACTGTTCTCCATAGTGGGTGTACTAATTTACATTCCCACCAACACTGTATGAGGGTTCCCTTTTCTCCACATTTCTCACCAGCATTTGTTATTGCCTGACATTTGGATTATGCCACTGCACTCCAGCCTGGGTGCTGAAGGGAATGAAAAATGAAGCAAAGGTAGCAAAAATTAAGAAATTGAATCTGGAAATAGATATACGGGATTATTACTATTCTTTCTATTTTGGAACATGTGTGAAACTTTTTATACTATCACACTGGTCTTAAAAAGAAGCTTAAAAAAATAAAGTAACACATACTTTAGAAAATGAGGCAGTACAAAATGGTTTAAAGAAGGAAGTAAAAATTACCTGTAATCCCACCACTCAACAATAACTACTATTAATATTTTGATGTATATCCCTGACATATATATGGCATATGTATATTCATTCTATTTGGTTCTCTCTGTGGATAAACCTAGAAGGAATGAAATATGCTTGATATATATGAAGTACAATGGTATTATATAATACATGTTTTTATAAAAATAGGATAATACTATGTACATTTTTCACTTCACATCTATCATGAATATCTTTTTATATTAAAAAATAGATTCACATTATTTTAAATGTCTTATTCTATTAAATGGGTATAGCATAATTTATCTAACCAATCACCTATTGATACACATTTGTTTCTGATTTTTCACTACTAAAGCTATTTCTGCAACAAGCATATTTTTTATGTTCATCTGATTATTTCCTTAGATTAAATTTTTTTCATAGTAAAACTGTTGGGTCAAACACATTTAAACTGTTAATATATATTGTCAAATTGCTTCCTAAAAAGGTACTAATTTTCACTCCCACCATGGGGATTTAGTAAGGAAGAATATACCACACTCTCAGATTGGACCATTTTGGGGGCAGTTGTGTTCTTTCCATCTTGGTCTAATATTTGAAAATAAACAGGTAAGTAAAACTAGGGACAAGAATTTAAATAGCTGCCAAAATGATTTTGTGTTTCAGTGCTTCACACTCAGTAACAGACTACAAAGTGGAGTGTGGGGTTACTATGAATGTTTCCTTATGAGTTCTCACCAATCATAACCTAGGTTAACCTTTAAATCATGACTGCTTCCATCTAAATGCCATTATTAGCTATGGAAAATTCAGATCTAGGCATGACCCAAAAAAAGTTTCCATATAATTTTGTTTTAAAATAAATGTAATTTTTAAATTTTCAGGTTGCCTGGGCTTCTGGTTCCTCTTCAGATTACATTGGGAGATATTTACACACAACTTAAAAATCTTGTTCGAACTTTCAGGTTAGTGTTTATATTACAATTATCCTTCTCAATTATTTTGACTTTATTTATTGCCTTGCAGAATCCAAAGGCACAGAGAAAGTAAGTGACTTACCTTTCAATGTCACAGATCTAAATACAGTATTCTATTTTCTCCTCCACTAAACAACATTATTTCTCTCTTCTATTGAATGCAACCTTTATTTGCTCAAGCCATTATATATTTCACTTTGGATAGTTTATTTACGGAATAGCCTAAAATTGAGAAGGAAAATTATATCTATGATGCAAAGCCAGTAATACTATGGGTTTAAGTGAAATAGTAAATATATATTGGCTGACCCACACTGCACCAGGCACTATGGGTAATGTAAAAGAAACATAGTGCCACCCTAAAGGAAGAACTCTCCTCTGTGAAGATCATGTGAGTACAGTAAACAGTACAAGACAGTGGGCAATTTAATATTGAATTACACAGAACAGACTTAAAGTGCTAAGAACTATAAAGAAAGGGAGAATAGAGAATTGATATCAATTGTGAGTGAAACTGTTGTGATTTTTCCTAAAACTATCAAGATAAAAATACTCACTCAGGCTAAGACTAGGTTCTCTCTACCAAGAAGCATAGCAATAAGCCTCTAAATGGCTTATTAGTAGAGGTGTACCAAATACACATTTCAGCCAAATGCCAGTGACCAAATATTAAAATTAACATTTGCCTGTGGCTGATGTTGCACTGACACAGAATAAACTTCTAGGGTGGAAGAATTAATTCATCCAAGAAATTTATCATATATATTTATTATTATAGTCTATTGTTGTCAACAATAGCAGTCAGATTTTAGAAGTGTAAAATTACAGTACAGGAACAGTTTCTTGGCATAGTCAGCTGTTAGATTTCTCTTGCAGTCACATACTGTACATTAGTAACACCTAATAGACATCATTTTAAACTGGCAAATTTAAAAACATCAGTAACCTTTTTGTATGCCAAAAGTAATTCAGGAAAAAGTTTTTCAGTAAGTCTTTTACTAGAAAGAGCTTTGTATCTAGAATTCATAGTTTAAGGCAAACCTCAAAAATTATTTGTCTTCAAAGAATTGTCTTCAGCTGCTGAAAAGGATAATTTGTAATAATTTACATTAAACTATCAAACCTTCATAGATTCCAAACTATAGATGTCTTAAAACATTCTTCTAGAGTCTTCTGTAGTGAACTTTGAGTAAACAAAATGTACTTGGGATATCTCAGTTTTCTCTAAGTTTTATCTTAACACTTTTTTATATCATGATTAGATATTATATTGGATTATTATATATCTGTTGTTTATATATAATTTAGGAATTTTTCCAACTCATGATAGTTTGAGGGGACATTGATTTTCATTCATCGTCAATTCCCCAACAGAAATTTAAATACAGGTCTTCAAGGTTATTTTCTTTAATGTTGTGACTACTAGTAGGTAATACATTTCTGCAAAGTTTGAGTTATTATAAAATCTAATGTCTATTATTCTGTTTTAGATTATTTAAATTTTTATTAACCTATTCCCAAGATATGTTCTTGAGAAAGTAATCTAGTGTATTCAATGTTTGTATTAACTATCATTCTGTTTTCCTAAATAATTGAAAGTTATTACTGATTGTTTTATACTTAAAATTAAGCTTTCACAGGCATCATTAATTATTGTGGTATTTTACACTTCAGTTGGCTGATAAAACAAGCACATAAAGACATTTTTACTTCATTTTATCTAGGATGTTTATATTTGAAAGTGAATGTTTAGGTAATGATAAACTGAATGATATGATTGTTCTAATTACTAAGATTTTTACCCTCATTAGGTGTCATGAAAACTATGCAATTTGAAGATTATTGATCACTCACAAGTTCAGGGATGTCAATCCTCAGATTGGCCTTGGCCTTTGCCAAAAGAGGATTTGAGCAAAATAACAAGTCCAAAGCTGAACTTGTCTGCATGCTGTGTGTCCTGTTAGTAATGACGAGAGACATTTTTTAGATACACTGTCTTATACCTATCACAGAACCATGCATCCAAAAGGAGATAAAAAGTATTTAACAACTGTCTACACTGATGATAAAGTTTAAATAGATATACATAGTATGGAAACACTGAAGTTTAGGATTTGTTCAGGATTTACCAGGGAGTGAATATCATCATACTAACATAAAGTCGAGTGAGGGAAGATGAAGGTCAGATCAGGCAGAGGCTGATCATTGATTTTTTTTTTTTTTTTTTTAAAGACAGGGTCTTGCTCAGTTGCCCAGGCTGGAGTTCAGTGATGCGATCATGGCTCACTGCAGCCTTAACTTCTGGGCTCAAGCCGCAGCCTGGCTAATTTTTTTTTTAAGTTTTCTGTAGAGATAGGGGTCAGTCTCACTATGTTGCCCAGGCTGGTCTTGAACTCTTGCCCTCAAGGGATCCTGCTGCCTCTCAAAGTGCTGGGATTACAGACACAGGCAAGAGCCACAGCTCCTGACCATTTCATTGATTTTCAAAGGACTTGCCATTCACCCTCCTGCAGACAACACTTATTTAATCACCATTCTGAGCAAACCGATAAAGTTATGCTGTACATATCAGAAAAGATGAGAATAAGCCCTATGGTCTCCAACTACACACTTTTTATCTAGCTTATGTAGAATAGGTTAACTAGCAATTTAATTTACTTTGTCTATATTTTTTAGAACAATATTTTTCTATAGATCTAATTTGATGTCTCTTTTTTAAAAAACTATTCTGAGGTTCTCAAAAGTTACTAGAAACTTTAGGAAAAAAATGTTAGGCTACCCCAGATACTTCTAATCAGTGAGATTTGCTCAAATTTGGAAGCTTATTAGAATCACCTAGGGAGCCTTTAAAAATTGCCACCTGGGTCCTACCCCACCCCCGCCCCCACAACCGCCCCCCAATCCCCCAAGGATTCTGATTTAATTGGTTTGGCATATGGCATTCAAGGGACAGGATTTTAATGCTCTCCAGGTGATTTTAATGGGTAGTCAAAGCTGAGAACCTACTGCTGTAGGGCATGATGCAAAAAATAATAATAATAATTTTGGGACAAATACCTCACTGACCTTCCCAGTCCCTTGGTTTTCCTGCCTGCTCCCTTCTGGCAGCCAGTCAATAATTTTAGAACTTTTACTGAATGGAGACTGGTAATAGTGACATTTCTATTGTAGTGATTCTTCACAGTTGTTTTTTTTCTCCTACATCTAAGGACCTCTTTATTTTTCCGCCATAGAATTGATAAGTAGTGACTAATTTGTGTTTTTTAAAATATTATTATTATTAATGAAAAATACAGCCGGGCACAGTGGCTCATGTCTGTAATCCCAGCACTGCAGATATGAGGAGACATTCAACTGCCCTTTTCCTCTTATAAACTATTATGACTTTTTTCTGTCATTCCTATTTTCTGGCTCTAAGTCCCTTCTAGTTACTTTCTGCATTATTTAAAGACTTGATTATATGACATCTGAGATTTGCTTCAAAATTATCTAGATTAGCAGTAGTGTTGAATATGGGGTTGTACAGAAGAAACATGATTAGCTGGGAGTTGGTAACTGTCAAAGTTGTGATGTGTATATAGGAATTTATTTTATATTCTCTCTACTTTTATATATGTTTGAAATTTAATAAAAAGCTTTGGGAAAATAAGCCCAAAAAAGTATGCTTTATTTTGGTAGGAGGTGTTATAAAATTCTGTTCCAAAAACCTTGGTGTTAATTACTTTTGAAAATCTTTACTCCTTAGTAACTGTAAGTCAAAGTCTGTAGCTTTGATAAAAATTGCTTAAATTGGCTTCACTGTCCTTCAGAAAAGTGTCAGTTGCTTAGAATACAGAATGACCTCTGATAAGACAGCTGATTTGAAGTCTTCAGATTCCAGATTCTGGACAACGTTGGCAGGTCTGTGACAGTTTGTAGGCTAGGGCTGCCAGGTGAAGCTTCTGGAAAAATGCCATATTGATGACAGTAACTATTGTTGAGAAATCTTTTCAATCAATACTGATAGTGGGAAAGAGTTGACATAAATAACCATATCCTTCTCTCTGAAGTGACAATCAATAATAGGAACTTGTAGAACAGTGATTCTCAAGCCAGTTGTGCATCAGAATTACCTGGGGAGCTTTTAACAACTATAGATGTCCGGCTCCACCCTAGAGATTGAGTTTCATTCGGCTAGGGTTGGGCTCAGACATTAGTATTTTCTAAAAGCCCCCCTTAGATAATTCTAATAGGTAGCCAGAGTTAAGAGCCTATTTTGGGACCTAAACATAAAGCAGCTTTTTCGGCTCTATGAGAATTTCCCCAGTGAATAGAGCTGTCTTTTCCACTGAATTGCATTACAAATCTGCTATCTAGAATGTTACATTGGTTTACCTGTCGTAGTGTAAAGCAGTTTCCATCAGAATCTGCTTGATAATGACTCACTGTCATCAGTGTTGAATCAAGATATTTTTCTAAATTTGAATTAAAATTTATTTTTACACAAAAGTCCATTTTAAATTTAATCAGTGATGAATCAAGGTATTTCAATCTGTATGAATTTCAAATTATGTTTTGAAAATCTGCTTTTCATTTATTTTTATTTTTGAGACAGAGTCTCACTCTGTCACCCAGGTTGGACTGCCGTGTCGTGATCTCAACTCACTGCAACCTCTGCCTCCCAGTCTCAAGCAATCCTCCCACCTTAGCCTCCTGAGTAGCTGGGACTACAGACACACACCAGCATGCCCCGCCAATTTTTGTATTTTTTGTAGAGACGAGGTTTCACCATGTTGCCCAGGCTGGTCTCGAACTCCTGAGCCCAAGCAATGTGCCTGCCTCAGACTTCCAAAGTGCTGGTATTACAGGCATGAGCCACCATACCTGGCCTGAAAAATCTGCTTTTTAAATGTTTTCTATCAAATATTACTGTTTCCCTTTTGAATTGTCACTCAAACAATAGTAAATACATTCATTTAGCATCTGTGCTGGAAATTATTTTGGCTCAACAATAGGAAAAATATGAAAACAGGTGAAATTTTGCTAGTTTGCTACTGGAAGTACTTTGAAATGAAATGAAATGAAAGCAAAACCTCTTATTTGTGTTCTCTCCAGTGCGTGGAACAGTGATAATACAGCAGACACTCTAAATACATTTTTGGTGAATGTATAAGTGAATTATGAAATCTTAAATCTGTCTCAACTCTAGGAGATTTGAGTATAATAGAAAAGGAAATACTTTTTTGAGTTGTATCTTGCTCTGTCGTCCAGGCTGGAGTGCAGTGGCATAATCTTGGCTCACTGCAACCTCCACCTCCTGAGTTCCAACAGTTCTTCTGCCTCAGGCTCCCAAGTAGCTGGGATTACAGGCATGCGCCACCACACCCAGCTAATTTTCATATTTTTAGTAGAGACAGGGTTTCACCATGTTGGCCAAGCTGGTCTCAAACTGCTGACCTCATGATCTGCCTGCCTTGGCCTCCCAACGTGCTAGGATTACAGGCGTGAGCCAACACACCTGGCCAGGAAAGGAAATTTTATTCTTTTGTCATTTTATTCCTATATGCTTATCCTTATTTGAGCTAGCTCCTTTGGCTATATGCTAGATACTGTTTTATTTGCTACAGGTACATCAGTGAACAAAACACACAAATCCCTTCACTCATGGAACTTACATTCTAATAGAGGGAGTACAAAAATATGCCCTTTTCCTTTGAAGCAGGGAAATCAAATAGTACTAAGGAGGGAGAAAGTTGCACTTTTTAATAGGCTGGTTAAGGAAGACTTCATTGAGAAGACACTGTTTGTGTAAAGACCCGAAAGGAGGTAAGGGAGCAAGCTGTGTTGCTGTCTGTGAAACTACAGCAGACAAGGAATTAGCAGGTGCAAAGACTAAACCAGGAGCAGGCCTGGTGTATTCACAGAATATTTAGGTTGCTGGTGAGGCTAGAGAAACGAGCAGAGGCAAGAGTAGAGAGATATGTGGTCAGAGAAGTATGGGATTGGGGTTGGGTGTAGTACAGACTGTATAGGCCTTGTAGCTATGATCATTCTTTGACCTTTACTCTGAGTGAGATGGAGGGTAATTGCTAGGTTCTGAACAGAGGAATGACATGATCTAACATACATTTTTTAACAGCATCATTTTGGCTGCCAAGTTGATAATTACAACAGATGGGCCGAGGCAGAGAGACCAATACAGCTAGAAATAGCCAGGACTATTTTGGTAATCTAGGTAAGAAATGGTGTGACTGAAGAGAAAGCAGTGGAGGTAATAAGAAGTGATCAGATCCTATTTTGAAGGTGGAATCATTAGATTTGGTGACTGGCTGGACATGGGATGTGAGAGAGTCAAGTTTAACCATAAGATTTGTGGCCTGAGCAACTGGATTCTGGAAGGATAGGGTAAGCCATTTACTGAGATAGGAGTGTCACACCATCCTTAGTTTTGGGGGAAGGATGAGGAGCCCAATTTTGGCTCTACCAAATTTTGAGATGCCTATTAGACATCCAAGTAGAAGTGTCAAGTGGACCCTTAGATACAGAAATCTAGAATTCAAGGAGGAGGTCCAGACTAGAGCTAATACATTTGAGAGTTGTCAGCATATAGTTTCTAATATTTAAAGTCGTAAGATTGGATAACATCACCAAGGGAAAGAGTGTTTGTTTATACAGGAGAGAAGAGACCTAAGGCCAGAGGCCCTGGGACACTCCAGTATTAAAAGGTCCAAGGAGAGTGCTCATGAGAGGTGGGGGAACCAGGCAAGTGAAAACCTGGTAAAGAAAATGTTTCCTGGAGAAGGGAGTGATTGTCAAGTGCTGGACAGATTAAGATGAGGGTTGCGAAATGTCCGTTGGATTTGGCAGTATGGCTGTCTCTTGTACAGTTAATCCTCACAAGAACCCTGTGAGGTGGGTGATATTATTGTCCTTATTTTACCAAAGTAAGTTTCACAGCCATCAAACAACGTGTCCAAAATAAAACACTACTGAGGACAGATCTGGATATTAAACCCATATCTTTCAGACTCTAACCATTATATACTGTACTTCCTATCATCTAGGCTTTTTTAAATTTTGGAAAATGATGGGGAAAATTCAGATTAATGTAACAAAATATATCCTCCACTCAGAATTAATAGATTTTAATATTTTCTAAAATTTGATTCAGGTATATATTTTAAAGAAAACATTATAATTAATTTATTCAAAAAGTATTAATTGAATGCCTACTGACGGCCAGCCACTTGTTCTGTAAACTTGGAATAGTGAAGTACACAAAGACTCTTGCCCTCTGACAAGAAAAAACAGAAACAACAATTATATATTAGAAGGCAATAAGTGGTATGGAAAAAAAAGAAAAACATATAGCAGAATAAGGAGGTCAGGAATATTGGGTTTGGGAGGTAGAGGGCAAGTTGTACTTTTTAATACTGTGGTCCAGATAGGCCTTATTGCAAAGATGACATAAGGAAACTTACCTGGCAGAAGATTGTTTCAGATGGACGGAATAGCTGATGCAAAGGAGGAAGAGGGCATGAAGTCAGTCCCCTTTGTTCCCTTTCCCAATCCATTCTTCGTTCCTCCCCAGAAGCAACTGCTACTGTGAAGTAGATGTGTATCCTTCTAGTCTTTTTTTTGTATGTTTACTGCCATAAACAATATTTAGTATTTAGTCTGTTCTTGATTTATATAAATAATGCTATACCAGCTGGGCACCGTAGCTCATACCTGTAATCCCAGCATTTTGGGAGGCCGAGGCGGGTGGATCACTTGAGGCCAGGAGTTAGAGATCAGCCTGGGCAACATAGTGAAAGCCCACCTCTACAAAAATACAAAAATTAGGCGTGGTGGCATATGCCTGTAATCCCAGCTGCTTGGGAGGCTGAGGCAGAAGAATTGCTTGAACTCGGGAGGTGGAGGTTGCAGTGAGCTGAGAGCATGCCACTGCACTCCAGCCTGGGTGACAGAGCAAGACTCTGTCTAAAAAAAGAAAATGCTATACGATGTTTGCTTTCTTTCATTCAAAATTATGATGAGCAAAATATGTAAATCTAGTTTATTCATTTTAACAGCTATTTAATATTTTATAAATATGCCACAGTTTATTTTTCTATTACAAGCAAAGTTGCATTAAAACCCATTTTTTTAACACACATTTTTTTTATGTATAAGTGAGAGTATTTTTAGGCTTTATATCTAGAAGTATATAAATAGCTGGGCTGTTTATATGCATTTTCAACTTTATTAGATATTGCCAAATTGTCATTCAATTGCTCACATCAACAGTGTGTTAAAGGCACTATTTCTTCCCATCCTCACCAACCCTTGGTATTGTCAGTCTTTCATTTTTCCAGGTGGATGGAGTGAATTATTGTCTTTATATTAATTTCTCAAATTATTAGTGAGATTGAGCTTTTCAAATTTCACGGTCCATTTCAAATTTCCTCCTCTATAAATTCCCTGTTCATATCCTTTACCATTTATGTATTGGCTGATATTTTCTTATTGATTTATATAATTTTTAAATTTAGAGTGATCTTTCTAAATGCTTTCTGAGAATCTAAGATGACTACAGAGTTTTTTGTTGCCATTAATGGCTAAATGATAAAATTTACTTCTGTTTTTTTAAAAACTGAACTTTTCTTTAATAAAGACCTATTCTTATAATTTATTAAGCCAACTCTCATTTCTGTAAATTATGCATTATAACATGCCTTAATTGCCTGCTACCAACCTAGCACCAGATGGAAAGGTACAGAAGATGAAGTAAAATTAAAATCAGAAATTGCTTACCTTAAGCCAGACACAGCAGCATGTACCTGTCATCCCAGCTACTCAAGAGGCTGAGTCAGGAGGATCTCTTGAGCCCAGGAATTCAAGGCTACAGTGCACCATGATCATGCCTATGAAGAGCCACTGCACTGCAGCCCAGGCAACATAGCAAGACCCCGTTTCTTTAAAAAAAAAAAAAAAAAAAAAAGAGAGAGAGAGAAGAAAGAAAGAGAGGAAGGAAGGAAGGGAGGGAGGGAGGGACAGAGGGAGGGAGGGAAAGAGGGGAGGGGAGGAATTGCTTGGTTAGGGGAAAGCATAGAGAATATTATGAGTATGTTTGTTGGGGATATGTGTGTTTTAATCAAGCAATTTAGTTTCCCACATTGTTCCTACATGCTTATCTTGTCTAGTAGTAATATTATTAAAAACATATAAAAGTGGGGCTGGAACACTTCCTTTTGAGATGGCCATTATCAGATAGTGACTATTGAGCCACATTATTATACTATTGACTCTTTCCTGTCAAATATAACAAGTATTTTAAAAAAAAGTGCTTCTTTGGCACATTATTATAAATCTGATGTTATCTAGAAAGAAATAGAAAGTTTATTTAAAGGTAACACTCCTTGGATAAATTTTATCTATCTTTCAGGTTAACAAATAGAAATATTATACACAAACCTGCGGAATGGACTTTAATTGCTATGGTGTTGCTGTCATTGTAAGTACTCTCTCAGATTTTAACTCTAAATACTAAATGTGAAGCATATTGATTAGGGAAAAACAAAGTGATCCACTGATTTTGTAAACTGCCTTGGAAAATATCATACCTCTATTTTGTGCCTTATTTTCCTTTCCTATGTAAGAAAACAATTTTTATTTAAAGTGATATGTAATTATTCTCTATATTTTTTACCATCTTTTCTTCTGAATACCTTATTCTTTACAAATACTATTTGTTTTCATCTCTTTTTTGTTTTTTTTTTTTGAGACAGGGTCTCGCTCTGTTGCCCATGCTGGAGTGCATTGGTGTGATGTCAGCTCACTGCCACCTCTGCCTCCCAGGCTCAAGCAATTCTCCCACCTCAGCCTCTCTAGTGGCTGGGACTATAGTCACACACCACCATGCCTGGCTAATTTTTGTATTTTTTGTAGAGACAGTGTCTTGCTATATTGCCCAGGCTGGTCTTGAACTTCTGGACTCAAGAGAGCCACCTGCCTCTACCTCCCAAACTGCTAGGATTATAGGCATGAGCCACCACACCCAGCCTGTTATCATCTTGGAAAGAGACAAATATCCTCATGTGGAGTATATACAGAATAGTCTTTTCGTTTCATTTTTAGTAGTCTATTATATTAACATTGAATGGGCTTCATTATTTTACATCTGTATTTTTACATATCTAATATTATTTTGTTTGTCAACATACTTTATTAGCACCAAAAAAGTTTTTCAAATTAATGTACATTTTTAAAATCTGACAGGTTTAAAGGAACTAAACCAGATGCTTACTACAAAAGCATATATAAAACATTTAGTACTCATTCAGCTTTTAAGAAACCACTAGTGGTTTCTAAGGCTATTTATCAATAGGGTTAAAACTATTCAATAAGTGTAGTGTTTTTCAGCTTGAATTGTAAAATTCTTCTTTTGAGGATCATTCATTATTGCATTACTGTTGCTGCTTGGTGCTTGTTAGAGGTCATTGAAGCCCATAGGACATTGAAAACTTACCAGACACTCACAGGTCAAAAAGTGTTATGAATCAATCTCATAGCCTCTCCAGCCCTGCTTTCTCTTTCTTTGATATTACTTCAGTCTGACATGTTATTCTGGCTTTACTGTCCCTAGGAAGGCTGTGCTGAGAAGCATTAGAGTAGGCTTCAGTGAGCCAGAATCTGTGTCACCCAACTAGATGCAACTCACATGATTCATTAAATCAGAACATAGAAAATAACTTTACTTGAATGCCCTGATATAAATTTTTTATCAACCATAAGAACAAATCTTTTGTCATTTCTACTATTCAGTGTTCCAGCTGAATTGGTAATTTGTGAAACAGATCTTATTAATTTTTTAGAAAGTTCTTTCCATTTTATGAAATTTGTAAATATTTTGGTCACTGGCAAAGAAAATATCAGTATCTCTGCTCACCCACCAGATCATATGCCTGCTAGTAAACACTTATAGACAACTGTCTAACTGTAGTTCTGCAATTCATTATACTAAAGGGAGAAGTAACTTTTTTGGTCGACAAGTCAGAGGCCTAGGCTCAGCACTAATCTCAGAATCTTGCTTTCTAAGCCACTTACTGAAAGTATTATCATCATGAGCACTGCTTACTGAAGACACATTAAGTCCTACTGTTTT
The DNA here is from genome assembly GCF_000001405.40 of Homo sapiens. Classification (NCBI taxonomy): domain Eukaryota; kingdom Metazoa; phylum Chordata; class Mammalia; order Primates; family Hominidae; genus Homo; species Homo sapiens. The sequence goes on from NC_000001.11 coordinate 92,347,565, forward strand.
TGGATTAAGTTTTTGCCACATCTTATCTAAAATATATAGCAAAGAACTGAAAAAGTATGGAAAATGAAATAATAAAGGCTACCATTAAAATTTCATATGATTATTCTATACAAAAGTAAACCTCTCTAGTGTTTGATTTTAATAGAGGCATCCATGTGGCACAAAATACTGAAAGCTTTGCTAGTCCTTTTAGGCACTGTTTGACTTCTTTAACTTTGGATATAATGTAGGGAACCTCTTATTTCAAGAGTCAGTGACCCATAAAAATTGTGCCTTAATTGAATTCACGGAACAAATTGCACACATTTTACTGTAGTGTATCGCATGTTTCATATTGGGCAATCAATCTTTTTTTTTTTCTTTGAGATGGAGTCTCGCTCTGTTGCCCAGGCTGGAGTGCAATGGCACAATCTCGGCTCACTGCAGCCTCTGCCTCCCGGGTTCAACCAATTCTGCTGCCTTAGCCTCCTGAGTAGCTGGGATTACAGGCACCTGCCACCATGCCCAGTAGAGCTGGGGTTTCACCATGTTGGTCAGGCTGGTCTCGAACTCCTGACCTTGTGATCCACCCGCCTCGGCCTCCCAAAGTGCTGTGATTACAGGCATGAGCCACTGCATCCGGCCTAGGGCACTCAATCTTGAAATTGTAGCAGTAAACACTATTTGCTTTTGTCATTCACCTTGCATCCCTTCTCTCTTTCGTTATGCCCTAATCCCTACCTCTAGATCTAACCTTCCTTCTCCTAGTCATTGGTCAACTGGACAACTAAAATCTTCCCCAGTTAGGGGAAACCCTTTTAGCTTCTTTAAAAATCTTTGGTCACTATAGACACCAAGACAAGTGGTGTTTCCTAGGTTTTTGCCTTTGAAATCTTGTTTTCTGATAATTCTAACTTTTGCTCTAGGCCTTCCTTGCAGATTCTTTTCATTCTGCATTTGCACATTCTGTATCTTCACTAGCTGAATCTCCCTATTCTTTTGATCATCAGCTTCTAAGACTTCTGTCTCCTGCCCCATATTATTTTCTTATTTCCTCTTTTCTCAGAAATTCCCCTTTAGCTTTTCATATTTCTGCCCCCACTGGAAATCTGTGGCTCAACTGATAGACTTTTTTTATCTCCAACTTTGTCCATTTGTCACCTTTTTATAGCAAATACTACTGTACAAGTTAGGGATAAAATTAAAATACATATTCATCATGTTAAAACTCCATTGACTTCTATAAAGTATAATTATACTTTAATGTGTATTTCCACCCCTCTTCTCCCCCTTACAGTTTTCACAATTACATTTTAGAGAAGGCATTTTGTCACTGGGGAAAGCAAAAACAGGCATGAAGGCCAGCATTGGATAAATAGCCTTACAGTGAAAATATGGAGACTTTAGAAACCCAGAGACATGCACATATAAAGAGAAAGGACGAAACACATGCACACGTTATTTGTGGAGAAGTAACCCCACCTTTCAGCCTTTTAGCTTATTGCCACTAACATTGACTGTAGGCATACATGGGTGTATGTCTTTTTTAAAAATAATTATCCTATTATTCAGAAAATTTTCACATCTACTCTCAAATTTCCAATGGAATTTTTAAGTCACAACTTGTAGACATTTCTGGAATTCATGTTTAAAAACAAACTGCTTATAAGTCTTTATAGCTAGGCAAAAGATTCTAAATGGCAGTTGTCACTTAAGATGAATATAAGATAATATGTTCAGTAGAACTGTTCTTTATATATGAATATTGCTAAGTTTTATTATTACTATAATAGCATTTGTTTAATCCATGAAAGCTGTTTTCAGAATTCCTCATGTGAACTCTTAGAAGAGGATACATACATACACCTATATATAATTGTATTAGTATGTTGCTATAATGCCACAAGTCTAACTCTTGTTAAAGGGGGAAAAAAATCAACATTTTGACCAAAACATGATAGTCCAGGATAACATAAATAAAACTGAGTCTTGAATTTTCACACCTTTATTCTTAAAGGAAATAAGGAGTTTTGGTAGTAAGCCATCTTCTCCTGGTGACTTTCATTGTTCTTTCACAGATGTATTAACATTTTTTAAATCTGTGCCAGGTGCAGTGGCTCATGCCTATAATCCCAGCATTTTGGGAGGCTGAGGCAGGAGGATTGCTTGAGCCCAGGAGTTGAAGACCAGCCTGAGCAACATAGTGAGACCCCGTCTCTACAAAAAATAAAAACATTAGCCAGGCACAGTGGCATATGTCTGTAGTCCTAGCTACTAGGGAAGCTGTGGTGGGAGGATCTCTTCAGCCCAGGAGATCAAGGTGCAGAGAGCCATAATCATGCCACTGCACTCAAGCCTAGGTAACAGAGCAATACCTTATCTCAAATAATAATAATAATTTGGACCATAACATGTAATTTATCAATGTATACTGATGGAAATTGTATTTGTGTATCTCAGAAAAAAATCTGACCAGTTGGTACAGTTGATCATTGCACACTCAATGAAATGCATCCCATATGAAAATACACCATGACCCATTCCCACTTCATTTAGGTTTCTCACTGATTCCATGGGACTTGAATTACTATTGTGATTGCAACATTTATTGATATTTATACTATGAATTCAGCCCTAAGTGGTTACCCAAGAGCACATGGAAAGACCTTTTAAAGCAGAGCTTAAGCACTATACATTTATGAAGGAATTAATGTTCCTTTAATTCCTTTAAAAATGTCCTCTTATTCTTATTTAATAAATGTTACAATTAAAGACTCTCAAGCACTCCTTACACACAGAACATATATAACAGTGATAATTGATTGACTTTTTTTAGAAGAACTCATTAGAAATGCAATAAAATAACCTGATAATTGCTCAGATTTATTGCTTAAGTACTTGGTTGTAATTTTGCATCTTAGTTGAAGTTTATCAGACTTTACTCTTAGATCTGATTTTGTTCCTGGAAAAGGTACTATATAGTGAAATAATACAGAGTTGAACCTGATTTTCTTAACTAAATATGCCCTATTGAGATGTTAGGCTCTTTCCACAATCTTTGATGCATGACTTTTAATAAAAATGTATATAAGTATATATAGATTGTCTTCTATAGGCCAGGTGCAGTGGCTCATGCCTGTAATCCCAGCACTCTGGGAGGCCGAGGCAGGCGGATCAGTTGAAGTCAGGACCAGCCTGGCCAACGTGGTGAAACCTCATCTCTACTAAATATACAAAAATTAGCCAGGCATGGTGGGGCATGCCTATAGTTCCAGCTACTCTGGAGGCTGAGGCAGGAAAATCACTTGAACCCAGGAGGCAAAGGTTGTAGTGAGCTGAGATGGCACCACTGCACTCCAGCCTGGGCGACAGAGCAAGACTCTGTCTCAAAATAAAAGATAGTCTTCTATAAATATTTAGTACCTATATACTCTACTGTGTAAAGCTTATTAATGTATTTATATATTTTGAAGTTAGAAAGGACAGTAGGCGGGGTGCAGTGTCTCACGCCTGTGAGCACTTTGGGAAGCCGAGACAGGTGGATCACGAAGTCAGAAGATTAAGACCATCCTGGCCAACATGGTGAAATCCCATCTCTCCTAAAAATACAAAAATTAGCTGGGTGTGGTGGCATGTGCCTGTAATCCTAGCTACTCGGGAGGCTGAGGCAGGAAAACCGCTTGAACCAGGGAGTCAGAGGTTGCAGTAAGCCAAGATTGCGCCACTGCACTCCAGCCTGGTGACCGAGTGAGACTCTGTCTCAAAAAAAAAAAAAAAAAAAAAAAGAAAGGACCATAATGAATTGCATAAAATTATATTTTTTGATGTGGTATCAAAGTATATCATATTTGTTTTTATATTCCTCATAATTCCATGTTACCCACAATATAAGAAACCTGAAAGTAAAGAATCACTTTTAATCATGGTCACAGTATTCAGAATAGCTTTTTTGAGATTTAACTGGTATTTTGAGAAGATTTTCTAGCCATAGGACACATCGCTCAGCTTCTGTCCCATTTACTCCTTCCCTCTTCCCTTTGCTCTTGGTCTTCCCCAGTCTTCTGTGACCTCTGTCAGTATATTTGAGCCTGTAACACAAGAGGTCACTGTGCTGATGGTGACCTAAAACTGAGAAATACAGGGAAACGTCCAGACCAAAACTGGCAGCCAAAGAGAAGACATATAGAAGGCTATCGAGAAGCAGCTTGACTGGCCCGAGTTCCTTTATGTGCAGCCTATGTGCCAGAAGTGGGAATCAGGTTTCCTCAAGTGTTTATACTTAAAATGTAACTTTTCCTCCCAAATTTAATATAAAAGCTTTGTAAATAAGCCACTACTTTGTATTCTGATGGTCTGTGGTCAATTGTATCATAGGAGTCAAATGTCTCTTGGTGGCCAGGGAGAGAGGTGTGTGTTGTGTTCTGTGTGAATTATTTGGTTATCCAATGAAGGAGATGAGTACTTTGTATTACTCAGAAAGGATAGAGGATAAAGTGACTTGTAGTAGTCTAACATGGATACATGCTATTCCTAGTTCTATGCCCTTGATGTTCTCTAATGGAAAGCTTTCAAGACCATCTCCAAAAATGTCTGCTTTCATTTTATTTATCTGAACTGGCTGTTTCCAGTGAACTGTGGCCCGCTTCCTAGGCAGAGACCATACAATAGTTTATTCTCTCTAAAAGCTTTGAGTATTCCTGTCGTTCAGGGAGTAGCATGCAAGTCCTGGGAAATGGTATTTAAACAAGCTCAACTTGACCATGATCGCTAAACAAAAGCCATCACTGGACATAGGCAGCCACTTTAGGTAACCATCATACAGATAGATACTCTGGAGAGTCACTTCCCTAGGGCTACCAGGCCTGAATGGAAAGATGTGAGTAAGGCTTTTGCCTCAGCAGGCTGTTTTTTTTTAAAGCCTGCCTATCACTAATTTCCTCAGAAAAATCTGTGAACATACCATGAAAAACAAAGAGATGGTTCCTTAGAAATTTATTGGTTACAAGTATTCCCAACTCTTTCCCTTAACAGTCCAAATTTAATTTTAGGTATCTGAGACCATATTTGAAGATCATTGAAATTACTTTTTTATATTTCCTTACAACTATGGAATTTTTATATTTAACTGAGCTGTTTAAAGTTGAGATAAAATTAATATACAGTTCATCATTTGTATATTTTAAAATATACAAAATATACAATTCACTGGTTTTTAGTATATTCACTGTGTTGTACAACTATCACCACTATCTAATTCCAGAACATTTCTGTCACCCAAAAAAGAAACCTCCTATCTATTAGTTCAGTCCCAATTTCCCTTCCTCTAGTCCTCTGGCAACCATAAATCCATTCTCTTATCTTGACAGATTTACCTATTTCTGAACTTTTCACATAAATGGAATCATATGTGACCTTTTGTATTTGGCTTCTTTCACGTAACATGTTTTCAAGATTCATCCATTTTGTAGCATGTAACAGTACTTCATTCCTTTTTATGGCCAAATAATATTCCATTGTATGGATATACCACATTTGTTTATTCATCAGTTGACAAACATTTGGGTTATTTCCATTTTTTGCTATTTAATGGATAACAGTGCTATAAACATTCATGTACAGATTTTTTTGTGTGAGCATATGTTTTATGTTCTCTTAGGTATATACCTAGGAGTAGAATTGCTGGGTCATATGATAACTCTGTTTAACCTTTTAAAGAACTGCCAAAGTGTTTTCCACAGTGGTTGTATCATTTTACATTTCCACTAGCAAAGTATGAGGGCTCCAAAGATTGAACTTTACAAATTATCTCATCTTGCTTCACACCCAGTAGTCATTTTAAAGGCTTATATATGCAGTTTCCCAAAAACTTAAATATGCCTAATCTCATTGATTTTAGGTTTTCATGGACATGTAACATCAATTTCTTATGTTTTAGGAATTTCTACTATACACGCAAAATGAGTACTTTCAAGCTAAAAACAAAGGTTACGGTGTTCATAGTGTTCAATTTGAAACCATATAAATGTCTGAACAGTAGCTACTGGTATTCTTTTGGATTCCTCAGTATCCATAAAATTCATTTTTTGTTTCTTGCTTATATACATCTTGAATTTGTTATCTTATGATATTTACTATCCTATCACCTTTGTCATTGTGAAGTTTAAGTATTTACCTGTTTACTGAGGATTAAGCAATAATTAGATTATTTCTATACGTTCCCATACTTATTGCTGAGAGTTTATGTAAGAAAAACATATCTTTAAATTGAAATAACTTTACCCTCAGCCAACAGAACTATATGGGAATCTAGATAGTTTCTAAAGAAATAATACTTGTTCAAAGTTTTAATCAAAGCCAATTTTCTACATTAATTTTCCCCACAGAATTCCCTATATCTTTGGCAGTTTTATAATGCTACTCTTTTTTTTATTCATAAGTAGTTGAGTGTCTCCAACTTCAGGCCATACTCCACATTAAAAGTCACCAAGGATCCTGAGCAAAAAGATGTGCACTCCAACTTCACTATCCCAAGCAGCAGCAGTGGTGGTGATGACAGCAGTTAGCAGCAGTTGGCCCTTGCAAATCACAGCCTTGATTTTAGGAGCCAGTCCCTAGATCTGCTAGTGCCATCATCACATCCTGATTGAGCTCCCTGAGAGCTAGGAAGCATGAAGCTTAAGGGAACTGTTAACCTTAGCATCGGGGTCTGCCACTATAAGGGTGTGATAATCATTGTGTGTGGAAGCCATAGTTGATTACATTTCAATCTTAGAGTATTGAAAAAAAGCTGGAGACACTATTCTGAGAGAATTGTTACAAGGCAACAATGATAAAGAAAAGCTTTTCCAGCATTCATCTGCCAAGCTGTTCTATAGATCTGTCACAAACAGGAATTAGATATAAAGTTGTAAAGTCACTGTAACCCAGCCCTTTAAACAAACCTATGTGTAATATATCACCACAAAGTGAGTTACAAAGAACTTTTTTCTTTTGAATTAGAAATATCAGTGGAAAGCATCCCTGCTTCCTTATTAATGGGTAAACCTAAAGCATTAAATGCAAACATTAACAGGACATAAACCATCTGTTATAAGAAAAACATTTTATTTTATTTGGCTATCATAGTTTCTTATAATCAAAGTTTTTATCTCTGTTTTCTAGATAGTAGTTCTGAAATGGAAAGTTCATAGTGACATACTTCTTAATATTATATTCTTCTTGTCTACTTTTTTTGTTTCTCTTGGAAGTCCTTTAATGGTACTAACCTCACATGCCTCTTGGTTTTTCAAATTTGGGGACATTAGCTTTGTGCCTAAAATTAAATAAATGCAATTTTAATTTATGTAAATTATTATTATTATTATTATTATTATTATTGAGACAGGTTCTCTGTCACCCAGGCTGGAGTGCAGTGGCACGATCTCAGCTCATTGCAATCTCTGCCTCCCAGGCTCAAGCAATCGTCCCACCTCAACCTCCCAAGTAGCTGGGACTACAGGCACATGCTACCATACCCAGCTAATTATTATTATTATTTTTTGTAGGGATAGGGTTTGACCACATTGCCTAGGCTGGTCTTGAGCTCAAGCAATCCTCCCACCTTGTCCTTATGTCATTAATTTTTATTTAACATTTTTTTTAATATAATTATTCTACCCCATAGACTACCTTTAACTATACAAGGGTCTCTTGAAACCCTAAACTCAGTCTCATTCTGGATATATCCTATTTTTGTTCCTAACTATCAGTGTAGCCTTGTACAAGTTACTTAACTTCATTGACTATTGTTGGCAGTATGAGGGATTGGAGTAAATCCAGGTTAAATCAACTTGGTAGTACTAATTCAAGTATGAGGTGTAAAAAGTAAGAAACTGTTTTCATGCGATATATCAAAGGCTTCTGAAAGAGATAAAGATGAGTATATTTAGCATAGGAAACAATTTAATTTTGCAAATGGAGTTCCATGGTGACACTGTCCAAGTGTTATACTTTGTTAGGTATCTCCATCATAAGCTTGGCAGGGAAATACTAGTCAGTCACTCTTTCTATGGAAAGATTTCAGAGTACTCATTTAAGAAAGTGAGAGGAACACCCCCAAGATGCCTTCTCTTTCTAGTGCAGACTTTAGTTGACATTATACAGGTTAAGTATTAGAAATCCAAAATCCAAAATGCTCCAAAATCCGAAACTTTTTCAGCACCAACATGATGCTCAAAGGAAATACTCATTGGAGTGTTTCAGATTTTGGATTTTTGGATTAGGGATGTTCAACCGGTAAGTATAATGCAAGTATTCCAAAATTCTAAAAAATCCAAACTCCAAAACAGTTCTGGTCCCAAGCATTTTAGATAAGGGATACTCAAACTATATTGCTCTTCATATCAAAGATATGGAACTTTTCCTCAAATGCAAAAGGAGAACGTGGAGTGGTTTAGTATCTGCACATTATAATAAAGGTGGTAAAGAGCAAAATGAAATGTGTAAATTAATTTTTTAAATGTTAAAATATGTTTTAAAACTGTTTTACTTACAGAATCCTCACTCCAACTGTGGGCCTTTTTTTCCTCATCCAATTTATTCTTTACATTTTATTTATTTATTTTTTAATTTTTTTAGTAGAGACGGGGTTTCACCATCTTGGCCAGGCTGGTCTCAACTCCTGGTTTCAAGTGATCCACCTGCCTCAGCCTCCCAAAGTGCTAGGATTACAGGTGTGAGCCACCATGCCCAGCCTATTATTTATATTTTATTCTGGGAATAAGTATCAACAATGAATAGAAAAGTCTAGAAAGTTATTTTATGTGAGAGTTTCTGATTCTTCAAATCACATTTAAGGAATTTTTTAGAAAATAGCTCTGGAATAACATTTTCCTTTTTTTGTTTTTATTTTTTGAGACAGAATCTCTCTCTATCACCCAGGCTGCAGTACAGGTGACCTGATCTTGGCTTACTGCAACCTCCGCCTCCTGGGTTCAAGCAATCCTCCTGCCTCAGCCTTCCAAGTAGCTGGGATTATAGGTGTGTGTCACCACTCCTGGCTAATTTTTTTTTTTTTTTTTTTCTGTATTTTTAGTAGAGATGGGGTTTTGCCATGTTGGCCAGACTGGTCTCGAACTCCTGGCCTCAAGTGATCTGCCCACCTCAGCCTTCCGAAGTGCTGGGATTACAGGCATGAGCCACCACACCTGGCCCATTTTCCTTTTTTATTCTCTACTTTTTTTGTCTCATTAAAAAATGGGCCAGGCGCAGTGGCTCACACCTGTAATCCCAGCACTTTGGGAGGCTAAGGCAGGTGGATCACTTGAGGTCAGGAGTTCAAGACCAACCTGGCCAACATGGTTAAAGTATGTCTCTCCTAAAAATACAAAAATTAGCCAGGCATGATGGCGGGGACCGCCTGTAATCTCAGCTACTCAGGATGCTGAGACAGGAGAATTGCTTGAACTCAGGAAGCAGAGGTTGCAGTGAGCTGAGATTGTGTCACTGCACTCCAGCCTGGGTGACAGAGCAAGACTCTGTCTCAAAAAAAAAAAAGAAAAAAAGGATTACATACACACACACACACACACACACACACAAACAGATGTTTATTGAGCAATGCTATGAGTAAGACTGTGTCTTAGACCCTGTAGGGAATACAAAGATTAAACAAATCCCTTTCCCTCAAACACTTTACAGCCTACTGGAGGTTGAGGAAAGGGAGAAATCATGTGCACAAGTAGCTACAATAAAAAATTGAATGTGTTAAATGCCAAAAAAGAAAAAGGCACAAAATATTGTTGGGATTCATAGAAGTAAAAGATTTCAATTGGGAGGTTATAACAGAAGTAAAAGATCTGTTTGGGGGGCCATACAAAGTTGATGGGTTCAAAAGACAGAAAGGATTTCAAGAAATAGAACAGATGAGAGTATTCTAGGAAGTACCTATAGCGTGAAAAAAGCAAGATAAGGCTGATAACTAGAAGGAAAGGTTGGGTCTGTTGTACTGATGGATTTTTTTTGTTTGTTTTCAGACACAGTCTCTGTTGCCCAGGCTTGAGTGCAGTGACATGATCTTGGCTCACTGCAACCTCTGCTTCCCAGGTTCAAGTGATTCTTGTGCCTCATCCTCATGAGTGCTGAAGACTATAGGCATGCGCCACCACACCCAGCTAATTTTTGTATTTTTAATAGAGATGGGGTTTTGCCATGTTGGCCAGGCTGGTCTCGAACTCTTGGCCTAAAGTGATCTGCCTGCCTTGGCCTCCCAAAGTGTTGGGATTACAGGCGTGAGCCACCATACCCTGCCCCTGAGATAAATTCTTTAATGGCAGACAAACTTAATTCAGTGGGTAATGAAAGTCATTTAAATTTTTTGTTTTTGTTTTTTGTGGAGTTTCATTTGCTCGTTTGTTTGTTTTAGACACAGGATCTCGCCCTGTTGCCTAGGCTGCGGTGCAGTGGCGTGATCATAGCCCACTGTAACCTCAAACTCCTGGGTTCAAGTGATCCTCCCTTGATGTAAGTTTTGAGTAGAATAACATCATAAAATCTGTGTTTTAGGAAGGTTAGTCTTTCAGAGATCTGGAGCCAGATCTGATACTATCTTCCACCTTGCGTCAGCCCTTCAAAGGCTTTCAATTGCTCTTAAAGAAAAACTTTTTATTGTGGCCTACATACCCCTGTGGTCTAGCCCTTCTTTCTTCTCCAGCCTCATCTCACACCATCCTACCTTGTTCTCCCATTCCGGTCACTCTGACCTTCTTTCATATGTTTCTCATCATAGTCTTTACCACTGTAGCACACAGGTCCAGAATGTTCTCTCCCCTCTTCCCTTGGTTAATTCCTCTTCATCTTTCAGAACTTGAGGAAGTGTTTCCTCCTCACGAAACTTTCCCTGACTTCCCTGACTAGATAAAATATCTCTATACATAGGCCTTTACAACACTATATACTTTTCTTTCTTAGCACTTATCCTGTTTTCAGTTTTATATTTAATTGTATGATTACTTGATTAATGTATGCTTGTCTCACTGTACTTAAAATTTTTAGGGGCTGGCTCATCTTTATTTTTTTTCCTTTTGAGACAGGGTCTCGCTCTGTCACCCAGGCTAAAGTGCAGTGGCACAGTCGCAGCTCACTAAAGCCTTAATCTCCTGAGTTCAAGTGATCCTCCTTCCTCAGCCTCCCGTGCAGCTGGGACCATAGGCATGCACCATCCTGCTCAGCTTTAAAAAAAAAAATTGTAGAGATAGGGGTCTCACTTTGTTGCCCAGGCTGGTCTTGAACTCCTAAACTTAAGTGATCCCCAACCTTGGCCTCCCAAAGTGCTGGGATTACAGGTGTGAGCCACCATGCCCAGCCTATTCATCTTTAAATTTAAAAAAAACAAAACAGAAAAAACAAATAGACCTATCCTTTGTTCTTGACCTCAGGCTATCATCCACTCACCTACCAAACTTCTTGAAGAGCAAGTCTGCTCTCAGTAATTCCAGTGCTTCTCATTAATCCTTTGCATTCTGTATCTTGCCCCCACCTTTTATGGAATTGATTTTCTCAAAGCCTCTACTAGTAACAGCCTAGTTAAACAAAGAGCAATGAGGCAATGAAATGAAAAGGAAGAGACAAATTATGAGAAACACTACAGCTCTAGAATCCACAGGATTTTGAAAAGCTGGGGAAAGTCAAACATAATTTTAAGATATTAAGACAGGTGGCTGTGAAGATACTGATGCCTTCTGGGAAGTAGGTAGGAAGAACTGATTGGAAGAGATGATGCATTTGTTTTTATTTTATATTTATTTATTTATTTATGAGACAGAGTTACGCTCTTGTTGCCCAAGCTGGAGTGCAATGGCACAATCTCGGCTCACCGCAACCCCCGCCTCCCAGGTTCAAGCAATTCTCCGGCCTCAGCCTCCGAAGTAGTTGGGATTACAGGCATGCGCCACCATGCCCGTCTAATTTTTGTATTTTTAGTAGAGACAGGATTTTACCATGTTGGCCAGGCTGGTCCCGAACTTCTGACCTCAGATGATTCACCCGCCTTGGCCTCCCAAAGTGCTGGGATTATAGGCATGAGCCATCGTGCCTGGCAATGCACTTGGTTTTATACCTGTTTTGCAAGTGCTGAGACTTCCTGTTCAATTTAAGATTTAGGCAGATTATCAGTTAGATGGCTCCCTGACAGGAGTTGAAAATGTGGAACTAGAGCTGAAGAATGGTGATGAAAATCAGAGACCTAGATTTTAGTGTCAGCATTGGGATGGATGAAATGGCAAGAGGCAGAGGATGTTAAATGCAGAGTCAAGATGGGACAGAACTTTGTGGGACAGCTGGATCAAGGCCAAGGATGCCTGAAGAATACAGAGAAAGCAGAAAAGGGGAGGGAGGGGAAACAGACACTTTGAGCACCAACTAAATGCAAACACTGCTAGACTCTACATTATTTTATTTGATTCTCACAATTCAGTCTGGTAATTTGGTAGTGTTCCACTCACCAACGGAAGAAATAGGCTCTGTAAAAACATATACTTTGCCCAAGGTCAGAGCTAAGATTCAGACTCAGACCCTATCTGACTTCAAAATATGTACTTTGCACTGCAGTGTGCCTCAGACAGGTATGTAATCAACCAGAACACTGTTAAAGAGTCCAAAGTAAGTTTAAGTGTCAAGAAAAATGTAGTAACTACCTTTCTAGAGATGAAGTAGTTGCTGTCTGCTAAACGAAAATGAGAATAAGGACTAAGGACTGTGGTCCTGGCAATTAGGTGGTGTGGGTAACCTTCAAGAAAGCAGTTTCTACAGAATGATAGGAGTGGAGACCAGATTGCAAAGGCTGCTATAGTATTACATATGGTGTTGGGGCACTAGACGGAGCAAATGCCGACTACTCTTTTCTTATGGTTGGCAAAAGCAGAAAGGAGAGGGAGTTTATAATCCAATATGATATGATAAATTGTCAGAAGATTCTCAGGATAGTGGAAGTTTGAGCATTTTGGTAGCAGAGGGGAAGGAGACGTTAGACAGGCAAGGCTGGAAGAACTAGAGGGTAACTGGTGGAATGTGGCCCATGAAGAGACTGGGAATGACATCAAAGGTGTATTTGCCTCTTTTTCTTTCCTAACTCCTTTCACCCACTTTCCTACATATCTGCAACATATTTCTCTCTCCTTGCCTTAAATGTCAGTGTTATTTGGTAACATTTTGCCTCCTGTTCTTAATTTCAAAAGTGCAGAAACCAAACCTTGTATATTTCAGCTCCCAAAAACCCATATTGTTAATTTTCATTACTGTTACATTCATTACTGTATTATTAGTTTCATTCTGGCTCTGATTGATTCTTACCTCCCTTTCTCCACAGGTCAATTATTCCCCTAGGAGAATTAATTTAGGCATTTCTGAGCTTGAGTTGTACAGCCACTATGTTTAATTATGGTGACTAACCTTTATTTTCTCATATTCATGACTTTTACCTTCCCCTGCCTTCTCACCTTCCATGACCCACAAGTCGGTTTTAGGAACATAAACATGTAATTTACCAAAAGCAAAAAGCATATATATATATATAATATATATATACACACACACACACATATATATATATATACACACACATAAACACACACACACACACGTAAGTTTCTACATGAGAATAAGAGAATTTCCATTTATCCAATATTGTGTTTGGACAATATGTAAACAGTGCTAAACCAGGAAAGATACCTATAGTAAGTGAGGTAAATTTGAAGCAGTTTTCTTACCAAAACATAATCTCCATGCAGTCAAATACATTGTCTGGATTACTTTTGTCTTCCTAGTGCCAAGCACTTACTCTAGCACTTAGTAAGCATTCAGTGAATATTTGTTGATACATCAAAAGAATGAATGGATGGGAAAAACTTGGATAAATTATTGTTGATATTATGGACTTATGGCATAGATTTGATAACACTGGTAAAATTGCATTGCACGTGAAAAAACAAAAATAGTTGCTTACTATTGTGACTGAAGAAAAGACTTTCATTATAGAGATGTAATCTGTATAATGATTCATATTTTCCCATGTGAATACAGTCTGATAAAGATGGGACTATTTAGCCTTAAAAGAATTGCTACTTTTAACCAAATCCAGCATTGCCTTTTTGCAAATACAATTTTTATAAAATCTTTAATAAAATTAACAAAAAACAAAGTTAGATGTAAATGTGAGATTATCTTTTAATTCATTAGTTATAAAATTAGTAAACACTTTAACTTTTTAAAATGTTTCTTTGATTCAAAACTTTATTCCAAATATTGCTTTTATCTTCCATGGACGTAACTGTTTTCTGTGGACTGACAAAATAGAAGAATTGGTTATAGAGCAGTTAATCACCAGGTCGATAGAGGTGGCACTAAGTCTTTTAGTTATTTATCTGATGCATCACAGATACAATTCTGGAGAATTCTTTAAATGTTTTACATGTTGATATTTGTTCGTTGAATTGGAAGCATTTATCAAATATTAATGGGTCCTAATGGAAATTTTTTACTCAAGAGGCAAACTCTTCCTTTAACTAGTTTTACTGAATGTATTTTAAAACATAGCCTTGCAAACTTAAATGAAAGTTATAAGGAGAAAAAAATTATTCCCAGGTGTATTAAGAGTGCTCGTTAAATTCAAGATCCTGATCACCGAGTGTGTTTTCTCCTCTGTTGTTAAACACTTCCATTTAGATTGTATATTATAGAGACTCAACAGCTTTTAAATATTCTTCCTGCCTCTGGCTTTTCTCATTCTGATAATTCCAGTTAACCAATAAAGTCCTGTGGTTTTTGGAAGCAAAATTCAAATGCTTCCATTTTATTCCTTGTTTAAATATTTTTACAAAGTTTTAAAGCAGATTTTACAAGCCAGAATGGTGAAAAAGAGCCTGGAATTTTCTGCTTCTCACTATTGGCTGTTTGTGTTGTCCCACCATTCGCTTTGAATGAGTTTGGGATTTGGCTGTTTGTCATTTTAGTACAGCTCAAGTATAATCTGCCTTAAAGATGGGAACATATCAGAATACACAAGGCTTAACATTGAAAATTCCGAGTGCAGCAAAAGCACTTCAGAAACTGCTCAAAACTGCTTGGTGAACACCTGCAATTTTTGTGGTGGTGAAAAGACATTACAGTAATTGAATCTCCAGGACTATTTCCATTTTATTTATATACTAATTTTCTTTTCAGTGAGTTTTGAGGCCCCACATTATAATGTTTTTTATCACTTACAGGTTTTTCATTGCAATGAGTGACAAATCTGCTGCACTGCAAAAATGTTTCATGAGAATAAAAAAATTGCCAGGTTATAACTAGTATTATTCTGGTTTCAGTGCAGAAAAAAATGTTGCTCTAAAATACTAAGACTTACACAACTTTTACATGCTCCAAAATCAATCAAGTTCCCAAACATATAAAATTAAGTGCCACTAGCTAATTCTTTGCAGCCAAGGTTATACATTGAGATAGAAGGTTATACATTGAAAGTAGGAGTAAAATCTATACTCCTTCTCCAGGGGGAAAAAAATGCACATTTGAAAAAATAAAAGCCTTTTTATAATTTGAAGGAGTCTATGAACCCCTGCATCTCAAGTTAAGATAAGGAAGTGGAGTCAGTAAACGTTGGCTTCTCTTTTGAGGAACCTGATGATAAGGGTAGGAAAGAGATTGAACAGTAACCATTTGTTTTGGATAGAAACAGACTTAAGCATACGGTATGGAGAAGGAGCCAATAAAGAAAAATAATTTGAAGCTGCGGGCAAGGTAGATACACATGATGGAACAGGGCAGGTCTCAGAGGAGGCACAAGGAAATGTGATCATGGCACAGGCAGATGGAATAGTGTGAACAGGAGAGAAATACTACATCTTCTGAGACAGGAAGAAAAGAACAGCGTGGCTGCAGATGCATTTATAGGTAGAAGGGAGAGATTTTTACATCATGCCTAACAACTTCATTTTTCAGTGAAGTAGGGTATGAGGTTCTCTTCTAAGAGTACAGAAGTTACGGTTGTATAAAGAGTGAAAACACAATTGACCCTTGAACAACATGGGTTTATGGGTTTGAACTGTGCAAGTCCACTTCTATGCGGATATTTTTCCACCTCTGCCACACTTAAGATAGCAAGACCAACCCCACTTCTCTTTCTCCTCCTCCTCAGCCTACTCAATGTGAAGACAAGGATAAAGACCTTTATGATGATCTACTTCCACTTAATGAATAGTAAATATATTTTCTCTTCTTTATGATTTGCTTAACATTTTTTTTCCTCTAGCTTACTTTATTATAAGGATCTAATACATATCCTTACATATGCATTATGTAATATTTATTATAAGCATATAACATAAAATATGTGTTAATCGACTGCTTATGTTGTCTCTAAGGCTTCTGGTCAACAGTAGGCTATTTATAGTTAAGTTTTGGGGAGTCAAAAGTTATATACAGATTTTCAACTGCATGGGGGAGGGGGTCAGTGTCCCTAATGCCTGCATTGCTCAGGGGTCAACTGTAATGATAATGGAGTAGTCATTGAGAGGATCCAGAAAAGGAGCTAATTCAGGGTGAGAGAAAATTGACAAGTGACATTAAGTATCCAGATGAGGCTACAGATCATGGATTTGTAGTGGTATCGACCTTCAGGGTTCCCTTCTTCCCCATATCTCCATACCACCAGTAGTTTCCAGCCATCTATTATAGGTATGGAGAAAGCAGATTGCAACATTTATCTCAGGGTGTAGGTTTTGCTAGGTAGAAAAGCTAAAGCAAGGATGCAAGAGGTTTGGAAGAGTACTAATGAGATAATAGTTCAAAAAATCAAGACAAATATAAGGAAGAAAAGTAGAGTTACCTAGAAAGAAAATTGGTCATCCTCATCAAATAATTCTTGTGTTTCTCCCCCCAAAATGGTATCTTCAGCTCTGACATCTCTCCTAAATCGTAGACCAAATTTTTTTTTATTTTTTGCTGGGCACCTTCATTTGGATATCTCCCAAGCATTTCAAACTCTCAAATTTGAGATTAAGTCATTTTGCCTTTCAAATGGCCCCTTTTGGTGGCATTGGTATCCTCCTAATTACCCAGAATTGTGCTTCTCTTTATCTCTCATATCTAATCAATTGCTAAGTCCTTTTAGTTCTGTATACAGTTAGCTTTCTCCATTGCCACTGCTACTAACCCACATTAGGCCTTCATTACTTGCCTAGACTGCTGCAATTATAGCCCTCCCAAGCAGGTCTCCTTGCCGTGTGTCTCTTCATTCAACTAGTCCATCCTTCCCTCTAGCTTTAAAAATCATCTCACTGAAGCTTAACTCTGATCAAGGCAGGCCTTTGTTCAGCAACTTAGTGACTTCCCAGCTCCTACCAGATAATTTTGCATGAAATTCAAGGCCCTTCAGAAGTGGCCCCAACTTACCTATTCACCTTATTTCCCTTTTATGTCTTCACATTATGTCCACTGACTGTTTCCCCCACAATCATCTTCAATAGGACTTGACCTATGCTTGAAACTTATTTTCTTTTCATATCTGCCTATTCTAGCCTTCAAGATCCAGTTCAAATGTTACCAACTCCTTAGAAGCCTTCCTTAACACCCCACAGTCAGAAATAATACCTCCCTTGTATAAACCCCCTTAAGTAAGACCTCTCATTGGGCCCTTCTGCTTTGTTACACATTTATATAAAAATCTCATTTTCTTTACTATCCGATTTCTTCCAAAAGTGTAGTTAACAAGTATAACAAATAAACAGAACTACACAAATTTATTCAATTCAGAACTTTAACACAGCTTCACATCAGTTGTTTTCAATACTGGCTATACATTAGAATTACATGGGGAGGTTTTAAAAAAATACTAATGGCTGATTCAAAGATTTTGATTCATTGGTCTTGGGTGGGGCATGGGCATAAGAATTTTTTAAGTTCCCCAAGTGATTCTAATTTGTGCAGGCAGAATTGAGAACCACTGTCTTAATTCTAGTGCACATTGGTGTGCTAAGTAGAGAAGTGCTAAATCAGTTGACTTAGCTGCATATACCAGGATTTGCTTGGTTAGAGGTACTTAACCTTTTTTCTAAAATCGTTAATAGTTTGAAAGGTTCCTCTTGACTATCACAAAGGAAGGGTGAATTAGAAACAGCAAAACTGTTGGTTTTCATTTGTACGTTTTATTTGGTTATGACAGATTTCAAAAATTATTTGAAGAGTATATCCAAGTGGGTCTTTGAAAATTGTAAGATCTACTCAGTTCTTAAAATGAATCAGACATGTGAACTTGTGTGGTCTAGCGGTTAGAAGTGTAGACTAGTGGGAGTACTTCTGGGGTTATTTGTTCATCTTTTACTGACTTACATGACCTTAAGAAAGTCACTTGAGCCTCAACATTTCCTGCAACTTCACAGAAAGGTTGAAGACCAACAAGTCAGTCTCATAAAAAAAAAATTTAACAAACTTGGAAATCACGATAGCTTCTTAGGTTTGACTGAGTTGTTGAGATCTTTCCTGCCACAAAGGGAACAACTAGGAAAGAACTGGCATTCAGGAGAAGCTCTCTAGCTCCAATTTAGAAAGTTTCCCACCATCCATTTTAAAGTATCTGAATGTTTTAGCCGGATGTGGTGGTGCTTGCCTGTAGTCTCGGCTATTTGGGAGGCTGAGGTAGAAGGATTGCTTGAGCCCAGGAGTTTGAGGCTGCAGTGAGCTGTGATTGCACCACTGCACCTCAGCCTGGGTGACAGAGCCAGACCATGTCTCTTAAAAAAAGTGTCTGAATTTTAAATTTAGCTCTGACCTCTTGGCATTTGTTTCCTTATCAATTATAAAACCATATTTACTGAAAAACAACATCAATAACAGCAGTTTAGCAAAGTACCACAAAGTAGTTACCTATGCATGTGGCCCAGTCCATGTTATTTTATGGAAAAACAAAAACTCTTCAACAGGGTGACAGGTTCGTTCTCTATGCCCAGGGAGCTATTGTGTTACTTTGGGGAGGAAGCCAGGGGCCACATGTGAGACAGATGTTTTCGGTGTCTCACTAATGGAGTTGAATCTTCTGCCTTTTCCTCAATAACAAACAAGCAAGGCAGAGAAAGAGTTAATATTAAACATGAAATTGTAATTACTTTCATGCTAAGGAGCATGCAGTATATATTGTATATTTTATCTAACATACAGATAAAATTCCTTTTGAAAGTATATACCAGACTTTTTTTTCAGTATCTGAGAGAGGCATTTTGCAAAATGTCTGGGGTTTGTATGGAGCCCTGCAATTTCTGGAAATAGGTGACATTTTGACCCTTGGTGTTACTGGTCACAGCTCTTCATTTCAGTTTTGATTGTATGGGTGTGCAAACAGGTATTTTGGTTTAATCCTTGATCATTTACCACTTGTTCTTGTAGAAAAGGGAGAAATCTCTACTCAAGTTTTAGAAGAAGATAAAATATGGGTAAGGTGACAGTTGTTACTGCCATGCAGGAAGAAAATATTGGGGCTTGATAGATAAGCAAATAAACAAGATACCTTTGTGATAAAGGTCTCCACTTTTAGCACTCTTCTTAGCCAGTATGACCCTCAATAATTCCTTTACCATCTCCAAAGCTTCAGGTACTTCAGCTCTCAAAAGGAAAGTGACTGGATAGGTTGCACCTAAAACACATTTGGGAAAATTAAGTGTGATTTCCTCAAATATAACCGTATAGCCTCCTAAAATAAGACTATGCTGTTAAACCTCTTCTTTTAGATTCTTTACTTACCCAACCCATTATTAATTAGTGCCTCATCTATCCCAGACGGCTTTTGCGTTTGTTTGATTGTAAGCCTTCAAAGTGTCAGGTATTATAATACCCATTTGTTTTAATTGGTTAAAGTGATAAACATAGTGCCTGTGCATGTACACATTGAAGGTATGGCTGTTTGACAGAAATAATCTTCCTACCTTCTCCTTCCCAGCCCTAACTTCTGAAGGGTGAGAGAATGAGTGTTTAAAAAAATTTTCTTTTCAGCCCAATGTTATCTTTTAGCAGTCTTTACATCTTCATCACCTTTATGCATGGTAATCAGCAGAACAGGTCTCCCTACTGCAGCAGAACTCTGCATGAACCCAGTAATTTCTCAAATCTGATAGGTACAGAAAAGTGTGTGGCCTTTCACTTCCTGTCCCTTCCTCCAACCCCAAACCATAGAGAAGCATGCTTTCTGGTGACATTTTATTCACATAGACATTCTCACAGCTCTTTATTCTGTAAGAAAGATTATGTGGAGTATGAGGAGTGTTGTTCCGTGTCATTTTATAACTGCCTACTCGTTTGATTTTGCAAATTTGGAAATAAATTATGAACGCTCAGGAAAATCCTTCTATGAGAGAGTTATTACTTCTGTCCAGTTTTGAAAGTCAGGTTTGCAGCTATCTGTGCTATATCATTTTAGGAAGGTGCCTGATGTGATCTTCACACGTATCACCTAGGATTATTCAGGAAAGGATAATTCAGATTGTGGAGCTACAATATGGAGTTTCCAGTGGTTCAGTATGAGTGCAGTGAGCAAGACAATAGGGACCAGAATGGGGAAGGCCACTTAAAAATCCAAGTTCATGGCTGGCCACAGTGGGTCACAAGGTCAGGAGTTTGAGACCAGCCTGGCCAACACGCTGAAACCCCATCTCTAATAAAAATACATAAATTAGCTAGGCGTGGTGGTGGGCACCTGTAATGCCAGCTACTCGGGAGGCTGAGGCAGGAGAATCGCCTGAACCCAGGAGGCAGAAGTTGCAGTGAGCCGAGATCGTGCCACTGCACTCTAGCCTGGGCGACAGAGCAAGACTCTGTCTCAAAAAAAGAAAAAAATCCAAGTTCGTTACTGACTTTTATTGTACTCCACGAGATAAAAAACATAGAGATTCATCAGTTTAGCTCTACTTGCTCAATAAACCACAACTTTAACTCTTTATATATATTTTTCTGTTGACAGAATACAAACTGGTGACTTCCAAAATTATGGGTACCTTACTTCTGAGGTTTAGTCAAGAGTTTGTACAGCTCTAAATCCTTGGATAGAAGGTTTTAATAAAAATGCCAACTTTTAATTAAAAATCTCTCTCTTGATTCAGTTATCTTGCCCAAACTTGGAAACTCTTCTTACTACTGTATATAATAATTCCTGTTAACCAGATGTTGTTTGATAGCTCAGTAATAACAAATGGAGGGTACTTGTCCTAACCTGATTTACATTCTTTCCTTTTGATGTGTAGCATATGTGGAGCAGTCAGCTAAATAAAGGTCTTATCAATAAGATGCAGTTTGACACTTGGCTTTTTGCTTTTGTTGTTACGCCACTTACCATATGGTAAAGAATTGTTATAGAAGGATATCTGTATTTTCAGAAGTGAGGTTTGAATTGGTGGAGGTTTCATGAGCAGTTTCCTCATTTGTGATTTATACATTGTAAGTTTTTATCATGTGAGTTGTTTTCAAATTATATTCACCAGCAGATAGCCTGTGTTAAGCCATCTTAAGTGTCACCTTTTGAGGTTTTTATTCATACTTAAAAGCAATTGAAAGAAATAACTTTCAACAGAAATCTTTTGTTTTTACTTACAGCCAATCACATTCTCTGCTGATTATTTTAATAAGTATTTCCTGCATAAAACACATTAAATATCAGCTGTAGTATAAATTACTGTTTTTTATTTACATAGAAGTTATTTGGGCCCACCATGTTATTATGGGGTTTTGCTTGTTTGTTTTGTTTATGTTTTAGAGACAAGGTCTGTCTCGCTGTTTCATCCAGGTTGGAGTACAGTGACATGATCATAGCGCACTGTAAACTTGAACTCCTGGGGTCAAGTTTACAAGTTGTGGGAACCGATCCTCCCACCTCAGCCTCTTGTTGGGACTTCAGGCGTGCACCTCCACACTCAACTAATTTTTTTATTTTTAGTAGAGATGGGATCTTGCTCTGTTGCCCAGACTGGTCTCAAGTTCCAGGCCTCAAACAGTCTTCCTACCTCAGCCTTCCAATGCACTGGGATTGCAGGTATAAGTCACCACTCCCATCCTGGATTTATTTGATATTCACTATTAGAAGTTGCAAGATTGGAATAGAGGCTTGAGTCCCTTTCATTGTGTATTGGGGTAGGAGTTGTTCATTAATGAAAAAATTAAACAGGTAAGTAATTAGTATATCATAATTTATACTGCACAGATAAAGGAATAAGGAGAAAAGAGGAGCCTGGGGAGTCAATTTAACAAAAGAAAAAGAGAGGAAGCAGGTGTTTGGTAAGATCTTGCAATTGTACTTCAAAGAAAGATAACCTGAAAGTAAACATTTTTATTTTGTATGTTTCTCTTTCTGTGAGACAAGAGTCTTGCTCTGTCACCCAGGCTGGAGTGCAGTGGTGCGATCTCGGCTTACTGCAACCCCCACCTCCAGGGTTCAAGTGATTCTTGTGCCTCATCCTCCCAAGTAGCTGGGACTACAGGCATGTGCCACCATGCCCAGCTAATTTTTGTATTTTTAGTAGAGATGGGGTTTCACCATGTTGGCCAGGCTTGTCTTGAACTCCTGGCCAAAAGTGATCCGCCCGCATCAGCCTCCCAAAGTGCTGGGATTACAGGCATGAGCCACTGTGCCCAGTCTATTTTATGATATATTTCTGTGGGGTTGGACATGTTTTGTTTTATATTTTGAAGTACTGAATTTGGACAGTTTGGACAATATTTATATTATGGGGCACTACGCTTTAAGAAAATGATAAGCTAGAAGTGAGTATAGGAAAGAACACCACTGCAAACACCAATCCCAATAGGGAGTAGTCAGATGGCATCTATAAGGAAAGATTAAAAAGACTTGGAATTAACTGAGAATCATTTTCAAGAATATGAAGGAATAACTTCAAGAGCTTTCGTACCCCCCCACCAAAAACACCCACAAAAGTTCCATGAAGAAGAAAATAAAATCCTGCAAGAGACATTTAGATTATATATGAGAAACAGTGTCTAGAATTTAAGGTTTATTAACTGTTGCAGCATGCTACACATAGAAGTGTAGAATCTCCATCCTTCAAAATCATGTAGGTAGTTTATTAGCAGTTTTGTGAAAAGAGACCAAATCACTATATTAAGAAAGGGTCTATTCTGCTTACTTTGGTGAGACTTTAAAAAAAAACACGGGGGTGGGGGCTTTGGGTCTCATTTAATTCTTAATAGAAGGAGACTGAAAGGGAGTATAAATCCCCAAAACAGTTGAGTCTTCATTTTGCTGATACTTTCTGCTATTCTCATTTACCTAAAAAAAATAAAAATATACCCCATGCAAGAATAGTGATAGCCAGAATTACACAGAAATAAAGACCTATAGATAACAAGCATTGGTGAAGATACCTGGAAAAGGGAACCCTTGAACATTGTCAGTGGGAGTGTAAATTAGTACAGCCATTATGGAGAACAATGTGGAGGTTCCTCAAGAAATTAAAAATAGGCCGGGCACTGTGGCTCATGCCTGTAATCCCAGCACTTTGGGAGGCCAAGGTGGGTGGATCATGAGGTCAGGAGTTCGAGATCAGCCTGGCCAACATGGTGAAACCCCGTCTCTACTAAAAATAGAAAAATCAGCCAGGCGTGGTGGCATGTGCCTGTAATCCCAGCTACTCGGGAGGCTGAGGCAGGAGAATCACTTGAACCTGGAAGGCAGAGTTCGCAGTGAGCTGAGATCGTGCCATTGCAGTCCAGCCTGGGCAATAGAGTGAGTCTCTGTCTCAAAAAAAAAAAAAAAATATATATATATATATATACCTACAGTATAATCCAGCAATCCCACTGAAGGGTGGGTGGGTGGGTAGGTATCTAGGTAGATAAATAAGACAGATGGATAGATAGATAAGATAGATCCACAGGAAATGAAATCAGTATGTCAAAGAGACATCTGCACTCCCATTTTCATTGCAGCATTGTTCACAATAGCCAAGATATGGAATCAGCCGAAGTGTCCATCAACAGATACATGAATAAAGAAAATATGGTATATATATTATATACATATAAACAGCGGCATATATTCAGCTTTAAAAAGAAGGAAATCCTGTTATTTGTGACGACATAGGTGAATCTGGAGGATGTTAAGTTAAGTGAAATAAGCCAGGCACAAATACAAATACTGCACAATCTCACTTATATGTGGAATCTTAAAAAAAAAACCTGGGCCAGGTGCAGTGGCTCATGCCTGTATTCCCAGCACTTTGGGAGGCTGAGGTGGAAGGATTGCTTGAGGCCAGGAGATTGAGGCTGCAGTGAGCTCCGATTGCACCACTGCACTCCATCCTGGGTGACAGTGAGACCCTGTCTCAAAAAAAAAAAAAAAAAAACCAGAAAAAGCAAAACAAAAAGAAGTATCTTACACCTAGAAAGCAATAAATATTAGCCATTATTATCATCATCATCAAAACAGTAGATTTAAGTGTTCTTACCACATAAAAATAAGTATATGAGGTAATGCATATGTTAATTAGCTTGACGCAGTCATTCCACAATGTACACATATTTCAAAACATCATGTTGTACTCCATAAATATATGCAATTTTTATTTGCCAATTAAAAAATAACTTTATGTAGATACCCTAAATTGCTTCTTCCCTTGGCCAAGTAAATCTCATATCATTTAGAATGAAAAGAATTTCCTCTCCTTTCATATTTCACCTATAAGGCTTAATTAAGTACTTTTGTTCCTGAGAAAGGGACCAAGCAACCACTCCAGGCCCAGCCCCTTGCTCTACAGTTTCCTTTGTAGTTCTGGAAGTGAATTAAAGCTAACGCCTAAGCCTGCTCAGTGGCACATAGCACTATTCATGCTTAGCCAGTCGTAGGGCTTCCCAGACAACACTGAATTCCAGGACAAATGGAAGTGAGGAAGAGAATTTCAGTAACAAGTGGTAGGTCATGATTTAATGCCTGATGAATTTAAAGCTCATCTCACACCTCACTGATGGATGTTTTGAAATATTCTGGCAGGAAGATGCAGAATGTGTGGCCTGGGGGAGGGGGAATGAAGAAAATGTTTCCTCCATTCTTCTAAAAATGAAAGGAGGGGAGCCCAGCACAGTGGCTCACACCTATAATCCCAGTCTCTCAGGAGGATGAGGTAGGAGGATTGCTTGAGGCCAGGAGTTCAAGACCACCCTGGGCAATATAGCAAGACACTAAAAAAATTTTTTTAAAGTAGCCGGGTATGGTGGCACATGCCTGTAGTCCCAGCTATTAATACTTTGGAGGCTGAGGCAGGAGGATTGCTTGAGCCCAGGAGTTCGAGGCTTCAGTGAGCTATGATCGCACCACTGCACTACAGCCAGAGTGACACAGCAAGGCCTCATCTCAATCTTCCAAATGAGAGGAGGAAAATTTTGTGAAAGAGAAAAACATTTCGGTAATCACAATAAATAATTGTCCTCTTAAACTAGTTCTTCAACAAGTAATTATTGATGATCTACAGTGTAACAGGCACGACGGATACAGTGGACACAATATATGAAGTCATTGTCCTCATGACGTTCACATTCTTTTGGATGGAGATAGACAAGCAAACAAATAGACAATTATTAATGATGATGGAGAAAAAGCAAAGAAAGGAAGTAGAGAGGTGAGACTGAGGATGGATTTTTAGAGGGAAAGGTGACATTAAACAAAACTGAATCACATGAAGGATCCTACCATGCAGAGAACTGAGGGGGAATATCCCCAAGCAAGCCTCTAAAGAAGCCTCTAAAGTGAGGACAAATTTAACCTCAGCACAAATTGAGATATGGTTAGCCAGTATGATTGGAATAGAATGAGCCAGGGAAAATACTCTCTCCAGCTGGAAACTTTTATGAGATAGTTTTGGTTACTAAGCATCCTCCATCCGTAAGTGGTCCAGTATGTGAGAGATTTTTCATAGATCAGCCCGTGAATATCCTAGAGCTAAACGGTTCCTTTAGATTTCTCATCTCCTGTTGTAATTGCTCTAATCATCAGAGCGATAGTATATAAAGCATTACATTAATGACTGAGTTATTCATTTTAAATTAAAACTGTAAGGCCATGTACAGTGGCTTACACCTGTAATCCTAGCACTTTGGGAGGCCAGGGCAGGCGGATCACCTGAGGTCAGGAGTTCGAGAGCAGCCTGGCCAACATGGTGAAACCCCGTCTCTACTAAAAATAAAAAAAAAAAAAAAAAAAAAAAAAAAAAAAGTAGCCAGGCGTGGTGGTGGCGCACCTGTAATCCCAGCTACTCGGGACTCAGGCTGAAGAACTGCTTGAACCCAGGAGGCGGAGGTTGCAGTGAGCAGAGATAGCGCCATTGTACTCCAGTCTGGGCAACAAGAGCAAAACTTGGTCTCAAAAAAAAATAATTAAAGCTGTATGTAATAGTACAGGGGTTGGCAAACTTTGGTAAAGGACTAGATCATAAATATGTTTGTCTTTGCTGGTACTACACTTGCAACTACTTGATTGTGCTGTTGTAGCATGAAAGCAACTATGGAATATGTAAATAAATGGTTATGGCTGTATTTGAAATAAATGGGAAGCCCAATTTGGCCTGTGGACCATAGGTTGTCCATTGACCTATTCTATTACATTGAGAAGCCAACAAGAGAGATTATAAAGAATCAGGGGTAGGAGAAAAACCATGACTAAGAGGAGGAGAATTCTAGGAAGGGAGGAAGTGATCAGAAACATCCAATACTGCAGTTAACTAGGAAGAGAACACAGAAGAGCCTTTCAGAAGTGGAAGTTAGGAGGCCATTACTGACCATGAAAAGAACAGTTCTGGTATTAAGTCTGTTCATTTTTCACTGGGCCTGGTTCTATGCACATATAGGGACTGCGTTGCTAGGTGCTTTGTGGTTTACAAAGTCCTCTTCCATGGTTACTACTAACAAAAGCACACTCTGAATAGAACCTTATCTCCAAGCTCAGTGCTTGGACCTCTACATCAGATAGGTCCTAAACTCGAGTTACTCCAATGACACCTATCATTAGGGCAGTATGTGTCCTAAAAAGAATCCCAATAGTAAGTAGCATCTTTGGCAATAGCTACAACCAATTCTTATAGTTGATCAAAACCATAGTAGGCGGATAAAATGTTATAATCTCACTTCTGATTCATCTATGCAAGGAGACACAGAGCCTCTTGCTACAGACATAACATGGAATTCAGAAAATGCCCAGTAAGCAGCCAGACTGGAAAAGCATGCAGGTAGTTAATTGCTATTAAGTAATAAAACATAAAGTTGATGGGTGAGAGGGAGTGAGGGATTAAAAAACTGCACATTGGATACAGTGTATACTGCTTGGGTGATGGGTGCACCAGAATCTCAGAAATCGCCTCTAAAGAGCTTATCTATGTAAGCAAAAACCACCTGCTCCCCCAAAACCACTGAAATAAAATAAAATTTAATAAATAAATAAAAATAAAGTAGATGGGGCAAGGAATCTGTGCTATTAAGTAATAAAGCATGTTAAATGAATCTGGAAAACATAAAGATTATATATAGACCTTATTCAATTTTGAATGTAAATTACTTTGGAAATAAAAGCAAATCATAATACTCTTGAATGAATCATTCATAAAATTATATTATACATCAGATTTTCAGGGTTCAGCATCTTAAAAATAATATGTTTTACATGACTCCAAAAGTAGTCCACTAGATTAATATTTAGAAATACACAGGAACTATTACAGTATTTATTCATGTATACATCGCCTAATTCCAAAAATAATTTCTCAACTTATAACTCTTAGAAAGCTAATACAGTTAGTTCTTTGTACACAGGGGTTCTGTAACTGTGGATTCAGCGAATCACAGATCAGAAATATTCAGGGAAAGGGCCGGTGCAGTGGCTCACACCTGTAATCCTAGCACTTTGGGAGGCTGAGGCAGGTGGACTGCCTGAGCTCAGGAGTTCAAGACCAGCCTAGGCAACATGGTGAAACCCTGTCTCTACTAAAAATACAAAAAATTGGACAGGCGCAGTGGCTCAAGCCTGTAATCTCAGCACTTTGGGAGGCCTACGCGGGCAGATCACTTGAGGTCAGGAGTTGAAGATCAGTCTGGCCAACATGGTGAAACCCCATCTCTAGTAAAAATACAAAAATTAGCTGGGTGTGGTAGCGGACGCCTATAATTCCAGCTACTCAGGAGGCTAAGGCAGGAGAATCACTTGAACCCAAGAGGCGGAGGTTGCAGTGAGCCAAGATAGAGCCACTGCACCCCAGCCTGGGTGACAGGGTGAGACTCTGTCTCAAAACAAACAAACAAAAAATTTAGATGGGTGTGGTGGCGCTCACCTGTAGTCCCAGCCACTCAGGAAGCAGAGGCCCAAAAACCGCTTGAACCCAGGAGGCAGAGGTTGCAGTGAGCCAAGATAGCGCCATTGCACTCCACCCTGGGTGACAGAGTGAGACTCTGTCTCAAAAAAAAAAAAAAAAAAATTAAAATATTCAGGGAAAGAAAAAACTGCATCTGCTTTGAACACCTATGGACATTTTTTCTTGTCATTTTCCCCTTAAAAATACAGTATAACTATTTACATAACACTTACATAGTATTAGATGTTATAAGTAATGTAGAAATGATTTAAAGTATACGGGAGGATGTGCATAGGTTATATGCAAATACTATGCTATTTTATATCAAGGACCTGGGCATCCTCAGAATTTGATTTCCATGGGAGGTCCTGGAGCCAATCCCCGACAGATACTGAGAGACGACTATATTATATAGATCTATAATCATTTATATTCTGTTAGGGACTGGTGGGGGAGGAGTCTTTTCAGTTAAAGATTAAAAGGGAAATACAAGGGAATAAATAAGATTAAAGGAAATCTTATTTCCTTACTGACTAAACTTTCCAAGAATATAATTATGCAGCAACAGTTAGGGGTCACGTGTTAAGAATAGTCAGGAAATCCTGTCTCCAGATGCCTGAGGATTGCTATCTATTTGTTTGATGACTTGCTGTAGAAATCTCTAGGCCCCAAGTTGATATTCTTGTCTCCACCAGACACCAGACTTTGTGTGATTTCTCTATCAGCACTTCCTTCTGCCTCCCAACTACTTGCCATTTTTACATCTGTAGTCCTCTAGTTCTCTAAAGCAAATTTAAATCATTCTATTCCTTCTGTATGTTCATTGAGGGATCAGTACGTATGAGTCAGGCAAGTAACAATTAAATTTATAGCACTTTATAGCCTACAAAGAATGAAAGCTAGCATATTAGCTAAGAGTTTGGGCTTTTTGAGATAAATTGTTTAGGTTCAAAGCCCTAACCTGCTACTTACTATCTTTGTGAACTTGGGGAAGATACTTCTATTTTTTATGCCTTTATTTCCTTGTCTGTTAAATGGAGGTGACAACTACATCCTTAGGATCTCTGTACATTTAAAGGAGATAATTCATGTTTAGAACATAGTACATGGTAAGTACTCATAAGTAGCACATGGTAAATGTTAGTTGATAATATAACCAATACTATAATTGATAAAAAGAGCTATTCCTCTACAGTATCCCATTTGAGTTTTGTAATAATCTTTTAAGGTACTTTAGTATTATCAGCCCCATTTTATAGATAGACCCTAAGGCTTTGAGGTGCAACTTGCCCCAAGTCATACAAGCATTCCTAGCAGGGCTAGGATTAGAATTGGGTTGTGTAGGCCGGGCGCGGTGGCTCATGCCTGTAATCTCAGCATTTTGGGAGGCCGAGGCGGGTGGATCACAAGGTCAAGAGATCGAGACCATCCTGGCCAACATGATGAAACCACTTCTCTACTAAAAATACAAACATTAGCTGGGCGTGGTGGCACACGCCTGTAGTCCAGCTACTCAGGAGGCTGAGGCAGGATAATCGCTTGAACCTGGGAGGCGGAGGTTGCAGTGAGCCAAGATCGTGCCACTGCACTCCAGCCTAATGACAGAGCGAAACTTTGTCTCAAAAAAAAAAAAAAAAAAAAAAAAGAATTGGGTTGTGTACATAGTTCCTCTAGGGCTTGTAGTTAGACTGGGGGGGAACAGGTTTCATCTCAAGAGCCAGCCCTGAACAGTTGAAATGGTTATTCAGAGTCCTGTTTTGATAATTCTCAAAGCAGGTCCAAGCTCATTAAGAAAAGAATGCCTGATAGATGAGCAGTATTTGCCATGGGCTCAGGAACATGTAGTGGGATTATGTCCTTGCTCTCCTTTTGTGTTTGTTTGTTTCCTCCTACCTAAAGTTTCTCATTAATCCAAGGATTTCTTTATAAACAGAAATTTTGGTTTTAGTAATTTATAGAATCATTTTAGCCTTACAAGTTTTCTAGAGAAGTATTATTATTCCTAAAATAGTTTGTAACTAAGGCAGTTGATAGAGGGGCAGCTCTTACAGCTGTTTCTCTGTAATAACTCTTTACATTTGCTATTCTCATATGGGCACACAGATTGAGAAATCTAGTAGTCACCATTTATTTATAATTTTAGGTTTAAGTTTGGACATTTGGGTTAAGTACTAATGGCACTTTGAGAAGGAATTGAGAAAACCTTATTTTCACATATGAGCCAAATACTAATCTCCTTGAAAGTCAGAGAAGTCGTTTTGGATGTGTCAAATAAGTACCACTTTATTTATTCATTCATTCATTCATTCATTCATTCATTCATTTTTGAGATGGAGTCTCACTCTGTTGCCCAGGCTGGAGTGCAGCGGTGTGATCTCTGCTCACTGCAACCTCCGCCTCCTGGGTTCAAGCGATTCTCCTACCTCAGCCTCCTGAGTAGCTAGGATTACAGGTGCCCACCACCACACCAGGCTAATTTATTTTTTATTTTTTATTTTTAGTACAGATGGGGTTTCACCATGTTGGCCAGGCTGGTTTTGAACTCCTGACCAAATGATCCGCCCACCTCGGCCTCCCAATGTGCTGGGATTACAGGCATGAGCCATCGCGCCCGGCCAGTACCACTTTAAATATAAACAAAAGCTAGGTTTCTGTGGAGTTGGTATATTTGAACCGCCTGACTTGGACTTCTTGGTTTTATTTTAGCCAGTGTTATCCCATCCCTTATTCTTGGTCTTACTATGGGGAAGTAGCAACTTAATATTTTAAATGTTGACATCACTTAAGTATTGGAAAAGCTAGAGTTAGCTTCTCGGTTCCATCTTCTCTACAGGAAAATGCCTCAGAAAAAAAGCTGGCCACAACTCTAGGTTTACCTCTATACCCAGCTTGGGCTTGGCATTGGAATACTTGGGTAGTCCTATTTCTCAGTATGAACTACCTTTGGGGAATATGTGCAGACAAAGCTCATGAAGTCTGAGAACTTAGTACTCCATCTCCTAGCTGCAAAGAAATACAGGAGAGATGGTAAAGGAATGCACAATAGCAATTTTCCCAGTTAGAATTCTATGGATTTCATTGGACTATTGCAGTCATCTCATCTCCAGTTCTTGCTAAAATACTTCAGGGACATAGAGAATTTCCCACCTCCTCTGGAAGTCCTGGCCATATTTGGACAATTCTGACAAAATTTCCCTTTTACTTCTACTTTCCGTATAGGATGGGCTAAGCAAGGAAGAAAATCTGCCTCTCAGAAAACACTTACATTTCACACTGACTACTATGGAACTGATCTGCTCTGATTTCTTGAGCTTTATTGATTTAAATTTGAGAGTTATTTTATTTTTATTAAATATGCCCAGGCAAATAACCAAGGTTAAATAAATATCTGAAAGAGCTTTGTGGGAAGTGTAAAACTATTTGGGGAGAAAAGAATTTTCTCCCAAAAAGCTTTCTAGGAATGTAACTTGTAAGAACTCTGAGACGCATACTCTCTAGAGAAAAAAATATATATATTTATGAGAAGTCAGGGTCTTTAATCTTTATAATTAGAATAGATATTGCTCAGTTTTTAAAAATCATGTCCTGATCACATTTCAGTTTAAATTACTTTTAAAATTCCATTGTGCAGAGTCAATCTTTAGGAGTACTTACTGGAAATGATTAGAGAAAAAAGCGTATTGTTTCTTACAGAATTGGTATGAAGTGCCTTACAAGACGTAATTCATTTATTTAGTGTTTTAAAAAGAAAAATGTTAGCCAGGCGTGGTGGCTCACGCTTGTAATCCCAGCACTTTGGGAGGCCAAGGCAGGTATATTGTTTCAGGTCAGGAGTTCGAGACCAGCCTGGCCAACATGGTGAAACCCCATCTCTACTAAAAATACAAAAATTAGCCAGGCGTGGTGGCACACACCTGTAGTCCCAGCTACTCAGGAGGCTGAGGCAGGAGAATTGCTTGAACCCAGGAGGTTGCTGTGAGCTGAGATTGCACCACTGCATTCCAGCCTGGGTGACAGAGCAAGACTCCATCTCAAAAAATTTAAAAATAATAATAATATAAATAAATAAATATAAAAATGTTGACCAGGCATGGTGGCTCACGCCTGTAATCCTAACACTTTGGGAGGCTGAGGCTGGTGGATCGCCTGAGGCTGGTGGATCGCCTGAGGCCAGGAGTTCGAGACCAGCCTGGCCAACATGGTGAAACCCCGTCTCTACCAAAAAAACGAAAATTAGCCGGGCGTGGTGGCAAGCACCTATAATCCCAACTACTCGGGAGGCTGAGGCAGGAGAATCGCTTGAACCCAGGAGGTGGAGGTTGCAGTGAGCTGAGATTGTACCACTGCACTCCAGCCTAGATGACAGAAGCGAGACTCTGCCTCAAAAAAAAAAAAACAAATAAAATTTCATTCAAAAGGTAATCTTGTTTGTTTACTATTGTCTTTTTAGGTGATATAATCCAAACATCTAATATAAGTATGTTTTTAAAGCAATTCTCAGCTCTAAACTCCTTTTCGTAACCTCCCTTTCCCAAATGGAAAGAGTTCATTTTCTGAGCAGAATTTTAGTAGTTTTTGCTGGCATGAAGAAGAACAAACATATTATAGATTTAGGCTTTTATACTTCTTTCATACTTAATGTTTGATCTTTCAGTCTTTTCCTGAGACTTCTCTTCTGCCTTTGTTAGTAAAGCCTTCTCTCTGGGAGTTTAGTTAAATCAAAGAGACTTTATTATTCTCATAAAATTTTCTCTGCCATGTTGAAGATAGGAGTCCCTTTGCCCTTATCATTTCATGGATATGCATTTAGTATTTTTGGTTGTTTCAGACTGACCCCAATTCTTGGCATTCAGAAACATTCTCAGGAAGGTATGGTGTTTACACGGTTTCTAGACACCCTCCTTGAAGAATTACATCTAAAAAATGAAGACCTTGAAAGTCTAACCATCATATTTAGAACCAGCTGTTTACCAGAGTGGTAAGTTGGATTGTGTTTTATTTTGGTTTTTATTCTTCATTTGTTGCCTATGTGGATTCTTTTTTTTTTTAATTGGAAATTGTAAAAACCAAGTACAGACCTCAAGATGCCCTCAGTTTGCTAAGGAAGGACATGATATCCCTTAGTTCTCAACTGCCTCAGTCACTTCCTGTCTACTTACTTTGTGCCCCATATTTGTTGCATTCCTCTCTTGTAGGTTACAACAGTTCTGTTTTTTGCAGTCCAGGAAGCTCCGCATTATCAGTTTCATACTCAAGTGTAGGCTATCCCACATGTCCCATCTGATAAGTTTCTTCCCAGGAAGTAGCAGTTTACTTCAACTCGGCTACTGCAGTGATCCATTGTGAACATCCTCATCCTACTGCCCCTTTCAGTGAAATCAACCCCTACCCAGCCAATACCTTAGTCATTTCATGTACAGATAAGCAGGTGAATTTACAAGTCTGACTTTGTTGAATCCTAACCCTGTTCCCAGATACACAGCCCTCTCCTACTATCCCAAACCCTTCCCTCTTTCAGAACTGCCCATCAGAATATTCCCTTCCTTGTCCTGCCTTAATTATAACTTTCCATGTATTCCTTCCTTCTCATTTCACACAATCCCAAAGTGCATGCTCAGATAGGTACTGATTTAATGTTATAATTGAGGAAATTCATCCTAAGCTACAAATGAGATTCTCTCAGGGAGATTTTCTTTTTTTTTTTTTTTTAACGTTTTTTAAATTATAAAAGCAATACAGAATGTTGTAAAATAAAAATTAAGCAATACAGACTGCATAAATATAAAAGGAAAATTCCCCCTTCACCTCTGCCTCTAATCCTATCTCTTTCCCACAAGCATACTTGATGTCTGTCATTTATTTTATTATTTTTTTTAATTTTATTATTATTATACTTTAAGTTTTAGGGTACATGTGCACAATGTGCAGGTTTGCTACATATGTATACATGTGCCATGTTGGTGTGCTGCACCCATTAATTTGTCATTTAACATTAGGTATATCTCCTAATGCTATCCCTCCCCCACCCCCCACCCCACAACAGTCCCCGGTGTGTGATGTTCCCCTTCCTGTGTCCATGTGTTCTCTTTGTTCAATTCCCACCTATGAGTGAGAACATGCGGTGTTTGGTTTTTTGTCCTTGTGATAGTTTGCTGAGAATGATGGTTTCCAGTTTCATCCATGTCCCTACAAAGGACATGAACTCATCATTTTTTATGGCTGCATAGTATTCCATGGTGTATATGTGCCACATTTTCTTAATCCAGTCTATCATTGTTGGACATTTAGGTTGGTTCCAAGTCTTTGCTATTGTGAATAGTGCCTCTATAAACATATGTGTGCATGTGTCTTTATAGCAGCATGATTCATAATCCTTTGGGTATATACCCAGTAATGGGATAGCTGGGTCAAATGGTATTTCTAGATCTAGATCCCTGAGGAATCGCCACACTGACTTCCACAATGGTTGAACTAGTTTACAGTCCCACCAACAGCGTACAAGTGTTCCTATTTCTCCACATCCTCTCCAGCACCTGTTGTTTCCTGACTTTTTAATGATCGCCATTCTAACTGGTGTGAGATGGTATCTCATTGTGGTTTTGATTTGCATTTCTCTGATGGCCAGTGATGATGAGCATTTTTTCATGTGTCTTTTGGCTGCATAAATGTCTTCTTTTGAGAAGTGTCTGTTCATATCCTTCACCCACTTTTTGATGGGGTTGTTTGCTTTTTTCTTGTAAATTTGTTTGAGTTCATTGTAGATTCTGGATATTAGCCCTTTGTCGATGAGTAGGTTGCAAAAATTTTCTCCCATTCTGTAGGTTGCCTGTTCACTCTGATGGTAGTTTCTTTGCTGTGCAGAAGCTCTTTAGTTTAATTAGATCCCATTTGTCAATTTTGGCTTTTGTTGCCATTGCTTTTGGTGTTTTAGACATGAAGTCCTTGCCCATGCCTATGTCCTGAATGGTATTGCCTAGGTTTTCTTCTAGGGTTTTTATGGTTTTAGGTCTAACATGTAAGTCTTTAATCCATCTTGAATTAATTTTTGTATAAGGTGTAAGGAAGGGATCCAGTTTCAGCCTTCTACATATGGCTAGCCAGTTTTCCCAGCACCATTTATTAAATAGGGAATTCTTTCCCCATTTCTTGTTTTGGTCAGGTTTGTCCAAGATCAGATAGTTGCAGATATGCGGCATTATTTCTGAGGGCTCTGTTCTGTTCCATTCATCTATATCTCTGTTTTGGTACCAGTACCATGCTGTTTTGGTTACTGTAGCCTTGTAGTATAGTTTGAAGTCAGGTAGCGTGATGCCTCCAGCTTTGTTCTTTTGGCTTAGGATTGACTTGGCAATGCAGGCTCTTTTTTGGTTCCATATGAACTTTAAAGTAGTTTTTTCCAATTCTGTGAAGAAAGTCATTGGTAGCTTTATGGGGATGGCATTGAATCTATAAATTACCTTGGGCAGTATGGCCATTTTCACGACATTGATTCTTCCTACCCATGAGCATGGAATGTTCTTCCATTTGTTTGTATCCTCTTTTATTTCATTGAGCAGTGGTTTGTAGTTCTCCTTGAAGAGGTCCTTCACATCCCTTGTAAGTTGGATTCCTAGGTATTTTATTATCTTTGAAGCAATTGTGAATGGGAGTTCACTCATGATTTGGCTGTTTGTCTGTTATTGGTGTATAAGAATGCTTGTGATTTTTGTACATTGATTTTGTATCCTGAGACTTTGCTGAAGTTGCTTATCAGCTTGAGGAGATTTTGGGCTGAGACGATGGGGTTTTCTAGATATACAATCATGTCATCTGCAAACAGGGACAATTTGACTTCCTCTTTTCCTAATTGATACCCTGTATTTCCTTCTCCTGCCTGATTTCCCTGGCCAGAACTTCCAACGCTATGTTGAATAGGAGTGGTGAGAGAGGGCATCCCTGTCTTGTGCCCATTTTTCAAAGAGAATGCTTCCAGTTTTTCAGTATGATATTGGCTGTGGGTTTGTCATAGATAGCTCTTATTATGTCTGTCATTTAATATTTATTTTTATTATTTGAATTTTTATAAAACAATCTTTTTTTTTTTGAGACGGAGTCTCGCTCTGTTGCCAGGCTGGAATGCAGTGGTGCAATCTCAGCTCACTGCAACACCTGCCTCCCAGTTCAAGCGATTCTCCTGCCTCAGCCTCCCTGTAGCTGGGACTACAGGCGTGCACCACCACGCCCAGCTAATTTTTGTATTTTTAGTAGACATGGGGTTTCACCATGTTGGCCAGGATGGTCTCGATTTCTTGACCTCGTGATCTGCCTGCCTCAGCCTCCCAAAGTGCTGGGATTACAAGCGTGAGCCACCGTGCCTGGCCTATAAAACAATCTTTAATCAAATCTCTAAATATACAGGAAAGATATTTGAAAGAGGTGATTTTGGTGATTAAGAAAGAATACCAGACCGGGTGCGCAGTGGCTAATGCCTGTAATCCCAGCACTTTGGGAGGCTGAGGCAGGAGGATCACTTGAGGTCAGGATTTCAAGACCAGCCTGGCCAACATGGTGAAACCCTGTCTCTACTAAAAATACAAAAATTAGCTGGGCGTGGTGGCAAGTGCCTGTAATCCCAGCTACTCAGGAGGCTGAGGCAGGAGAATCACTTGAACTCAGGAGGTGGAGGTCGCAGTGAGCCGAGATTGTGCCACTGCACTCCAGCCTGGGTGACAGTGCAAAACTCCATCTCAAAAAAAAAAAAAAAGGAATTAGCACTGTAACTGCCCCCCAATTTATACCCAATGGTCTTTTCAAGTGATCCTGCTACTCTGAGGACACTATATAGCAAAGGCTTTTACTGAAGGAGTGAGCTTGGGTTGGTTTGTATAAGCATAACATTCAAAGGCCCTTAAAGAATATGGAGAGGTTGGAATTTAAACCAATCATACTCCTCAGTCCATGACATCCTTTGTACATTGGTTGACAGGTGTCTTGGCTGGGTGCAGTAGCTTATGCCTAAAATTCCAGCACTTTGGGAGGCCAAGGTGGGAGGATCGCTTGAGCCCAGGAGTTCAAGACCAGTCTGGCAACAAAGTTGCCCAGTTTTGTAGAGATCCTGTCTCTACAAAAAATAAAAAAATTAGTCAGATATGGTTGCCTACAGGTGGCACCTGCCTGTAATCCCAGCTACTCGGGAGGCTGAGGCAGGAGGATTTCTTGAGCCCAGGAGGTCGAGGCTGCAGTGAGCCATGATCACACCACTGCACTCCAGCCTGGGCACCAGAGCAAGACCCTGTCTCAAAAAAAAAAAAAAAAAGAGGTTTCTATTTCAGACTGAGAGCAAACAGTACCTAGCCAGAAGTCCTTCTAAACCTGCTGTAATGAATAGATACCAATTAAAAATCATTTTAACTAGCATATTTTAAACTTGTACATAAACAGATGATGTTAAAGTAGTTTTAAGGACTTTCAACAGTAGATGTTTTAAGTGGACTTAACAGTTCCCCTATGATCATTATTTATTTACATTGTTCATTTGCTTAAGTAATCAAAGGTAAATCTTGGCCCAGATTACTTTGTCAGTATTATAAAGGATTATGAATGAATGGCCCTTATTACATAATTTTCTATATGAGAAATGAAGATGGTTGTGAGTAGAAGGATAGAAGGTTTTTTTGTTTGCATTATTTTGGTATGCCATGGTAAATTCATTTGAGTTTAGAGATTTTAATATCTAGTAACCTTTTGAAGATTACTACCTAGTATATTAATATGCTTTCAGTTGTGAATAACAGAAAAAAAATCCATTTCCAACTACCTTTTGTTATTGTGGTATATTAGTTAACTTTTGTTACTAACAAATTTCTCCAAACAAACAAACAAACAAAAAAGATGTTTGTGGTTTAAAGTAACAAACATTTTTTATGTCACAGTTTCTGTGAGTCAGGAATCTAGGTGCAGTTGAACTGGGAGCCTCTGGCTCAGGGTCTTTCCTGATGTTACAGTTAAGCTATCTGCCAGCGCTATGATGTCACCTGAAGGCTAGAATGGAAGATCTCCTTCAGGCTCACTCATGTGGTTGTTGGCAGGATCGCACTCCTCATAGACTATTGAACTCAGGGTCTCAGTTTCTCACTGTTGTCTAGAAACCTCCCCTAATCCCCTGCCCATAGGCCTTTCTAGAGTGCACCTCACAACATGGCATGTGGCTTCCATCGGAGTGAGCCAGTGAGAGAGGATACCCATGATGGAAGCCACAGTCTTTTTGTATTAATAACTAATCTCAGAAGTGACATCCCATCACTTTTGCTATATTCTGTTAGTTAGAAACTAGTCACTAGGTCCAGCCCATACTCAAGGTGAGAGGATTATACAAGGGCATGAATACCAGGAGACAACAGCCATTGGGGGATATCTTAGAAGGTGTCTAGCAGAGGGGCAAAAATGTTCAGTAGGCTCCAGTTTTATATATAGCATACCATACTGCCTTGGTGAGAGTCTTGAACTTCATCCTGACTGAGGACAGCCCTGAACCAATTCATGGGGTCATGGGAATGCTGTGAGCTAACGAAATCATTCTGGCAAAGGATAAGGGGAAGAGCTAATGAAATCATTCTGGCTAGGGATGAAGGAAAGAGAAGGGCTTTTCCAGTTGACCTTGATCAGTTAAAACTTAGCCCTCAAGTTGAATACGAAGCTCAGTCTACTCCACCCAAACTGTTGTTGGGTAGAATATACATGATGGGGAAGAAATTGAATGAATATTGACAAGACACACAGTGTCTACAACAGCTAGTAAAATACTTTACATGTTTTTTTGTTGTTTTGTTTTTTGGGTTTTTTTTGAGATGGTGTCTTGCTCTGTCACCCAGGCTGGAGTGCAATGGTGCAATCTTGGCTCACTGCAATCTCTGCCTCCCGAGTTCAAGCAATTCTTCTGCCTCATCCTTCCGAGTAGCTGGGACTACAGGTGCATGCCACCATGCCTGGCAAACTTTTTGGGTTTTTTTGTATTTTTAGTAGAGATGGGGGTTTCACCATGCTGGCCAGGTTGGTCTCAAACTCCTGACCTCATGATCTGCCTGCCTTGGCCTCCCAATACATGTTTTACTCAAAGTATCCTTTTTTGCTTCACAGATATATTCCATGAAGACAAAATAGAAGATGAACTTCTATTCACCGTTTCTGGAATTCTAGCCGCCATGATGGTCTGGTGGTGACTGATAACTAGTTTTATTCCAAGACATACCTTTACCTCTTTAAGTTTCAATCTCCCATCTCCCAGTCCTTCAGTCCCCAACTGCAGAGGATGACCTCCCCAGATAGAGGAGAATCATTACTCCAACAAGAATAACCAAGTCTTTGTATCCCTAGTACAAGACATAGTATTTTTATTCGAAAATGAATGTTTAAGTATTAAATTGAAACTTGAATGAATATTCAAGAAAATATAATGATCTCTACTTTTTCTGGATGATTTCCAGCCATCATATCAGTTTGCCAAAAAAATTGAGAAAGTTATGATTTTGACCTCCCAACCTAAACTCTAAATTCTAAAGATCAGTAAACAATTAGGTCAATAAATACATACAATTTAAGATGAAGCCCTTTGGAAGTCTAGTCCAAAACAGGAAAATCTCAGAACTTTCTGGACTCAAGGAAATGCTTTAAATGGAATCTGTAGTTTGTTTGCAGGAGAGACAATTTCTAGAATTTAGATTGCTTTTCAAAATGTTTATCAGGTAGGCAAGTTAGCAGTTGAGGCGGAACACAGACAACTTGGGGAGCTTTACTGGAAGGCCAAGAAAATACTCTTGGACACTGGAGGAAATGACAGCTACTAAAGCCCAATCATGGAAAAGGACCAGAAAGCAGCCCACTGGAATGGGGAGCTTAGTGGGCAAGGAGGTAGGGATATAATTTCTCTTCTTGGCTCCACCAGTAATTAGCTCTGTGGCCCAGTCACCTAAACTTTCTGGACTTCAGTTCAGGTTGTATGGCAGTAGGCCATAGAATTGGCTACTGCCATACAATCTCTATGGGAAAGGACTGCAAAAACTAAATTTTATCTCTGTATGGGCAAAGGCTACTGTCATCCTGTTGTTGGTCTGGGGCCACTCTGACAATTTTTTTTAACCTCATTTGATTGTGTAAGGGTCTAACCACAACAAAAAATCATAGTGTAATAGAATTAATCAAGTTCAGCAAGGTCACAGGCTAGATCAATATACAGAAAATCAATTGTATTTTTCTGTTCAGAAAACTCCAAAAATGAAATAAAGAAAATTGTGTTCACAATATCACCAAAGAGAATTAAATACTTAGGAATAAATTTAACAAAATAAGTATAAGACTTGTATAACGAAAACTATAAAACATTCAAGAGGGCTGGGCATGGTGGCTCATGCCTTTAGTTCTAGCACTTTGGAGGCAGAGGCAGGAGGACTGCTTGAGCCCAGGAGTTCAAGACCAGCCTGGGCAACAAAGTGAGACCCTGTCTCCACAAAAAATAAAAATAAAAATAAATTGAAGATGGCCGAATAGGAACAGCTCCAGTCTACAGCTCCCAGCAGGATGGACACAGAAGATGGGTGATTTCTGCATTTTCAACTAAAGTACCTGGTTCGTCTCACTGGGACTGGCTGGACAGTGGGTGTAGCCCACAGAGGGTTAGCCGAAGCAAGGTGGGGCATCGCCTCACCTGGGAAGCGCCAAGGGGTCGGGGGATTTCCCTTTCCTAGCCAAGGGAAGCCGTGAGTGACTATACCTGGAGGAGGGGTACACTCCTGCCCAAATACTGCTCTTTTCCCACAGTCTTCGCAACTGGCAGACCACGAAATCCCCTCCCATGCCTGGTTCAGTGGGTCCCACGCCCACAGAGCCTTGCTCACTGCTAGCGCCAGCAGTCTGAAATCGACCTGGGACGTGGGAGCTTGGCGGGGTAGAGGTGTCCGCCATTGCTGAGGCTTGAGTAGGCGGTTCTATGCTCACAGTGTAAACAAAGCAGCAGGGAAGCTCAAACTGGGCAGAGCCCACCACAGCTCAGCAAGGCCTACTGTCTCTGTAGATTCCACCTCCAGGGGCAGGGCATATCTGAACAAAAGGCAGCAGACAGCTTCTCCAGACTTAAACGTCCCTGCCTGACAGCTCTGAAGAGAGCAGTGGTTCTCCCAGCACCGCGTTCAAGCTCCGATAATAGACAGACTGCCTCCTCAAGTGGGTCCCTGACCCCCGTGTAGCCTGACTGGGAGACATCTCCCAGTAGGCGCCGAAAGACACCTCAGAGAGGTAGATGCCCCACTGGAACGAAGCTTCCACAGTAAGGATCAGGCAGCAATATTTGCTGTTCTGCAGCCTCCACTGGTGACACCCAGGCAAACAGGGTCTGGAGTGGACCTCCAGCAAACTCCAACAGACCTGCAGCTAAGGGGCCTGTCTATTAGAAGGAAAACTAACAGAAAGGAATAGCATCAACATCAAAAAAAGGACATCTACACCAAAACCCCATCCATAGGACACCAACATCAGAGACCAAAGGTAGGTAAAACCACAAAGATGGGGAGAAACCAGACCAGAAAGGCTGAAAATTCCAAAAACCAGAATGCCTCTTCTCCTCCAAAGGAACACAACTCCTTGCCAGCAAGGGAACAAAACTGGACAGAGAATGAGTTTGACAAGTTGACAGAAGTAGGCTTCAGAAGGTCGGTAATAACAAACTTCTCCAAGCTAAAGGAGCATGTTCTA
Source organism: Homo sapiens (assembly GCF_000001405.40). Lineage (NCBI taxonomy): Eukaryota > Metazoa > Chordata > Mammalia > Primates > Hominidae > Homo > Homo sapiens. The sequence goes on from NC_000001.11 coordinate 92,389,618, forward strand.
ATGCGTCGCAAGGAAGCTAAAAATCTTGAAAAAAGGTTAGACAAATGGCTAACTAGAATAACCAGTGTAGAGAAGAGCTTAAATGACCTGATGGAGCTGAAAACCACAGTACGGGAACTTCGTGAAGCATACACAAGCTTCAATAGCCAATTCGATCAAGTGGAAGAAAGGATATCAGTAACTGAAGATCAAATTAATGAAATAAAGCGAGAGGACAAGATTAGAGAAAAAAGAGTGAAAAGAAATGAACAAAGCCTCCAAGAAATATGAGACTATGTGAAAAGACCAAATCTATGTTTGATTGGTGTACCTGAAAGTGATGGGGAGAACAGAACCAAGTTTGAAAACACTCTTCAGGATATTATCCAGGAGAGCTTCCCCAACCTAGCAAGGAAGGCCAACATTCAAATTCAGGAAATACAGAGAACACCACAAAGATACTCCTCAAGAAGAGCAACCCCAAGACACATAATTGTCAGATTCACCAAGGTTGAAATGAAGGAAAAACTGTTAAGGGCAGCCAGAGAGAAAGGTCAGGTTACCCACAAAGGGAAGCCCATCAGATTAACAGCGGACCTCTGGGCAGAAACCCTACAAGCCAGAAGAGAATGGGGGCCAATATTCAACATTCTTAAAGAAAAGAATTTTCAACCCAGAATCTCATATCCAGCCAAACTAAGCTTCTTAAGTGAAGGAGAAATAAAATCCTTTACAGACAAGCAAATGCTGAGAGATTTTGTCACCACCAGGCCTGCCTTACAAGAGCTCCTGAAGTAAGCACTAAAATGGACAGGAACAACCAGTACCAGCCACTGCAAAAACATGCCAAATGGTAAAGACCATCAACACTATGAAGAAACTGCATCAATTAATGGATGAAATAACCAGCTAGCATCATAATGACAGGATCAAATTCCCACATAACAATATTAACCTTAAATGTAAATGGGATAAATGCCCCAATTAAAAGACACAGACTGGCAAATTGAATAAACAGTCAAGACCCATCAGTGAGCTATATTCAGGAGACCCATCTCATGTGCAAAGACACACATAGGCTCAGAATAAAAGGATGTAGGAAGATTTACCAAGCAAATGGAAAGCAGAAAAAAGCAGGGGTTGCAATCCTAGTCTCTGATAAAACAGACTTTAAACCAACAAAGATCAAAAGAGACAAAGAAGGTCATTACATAATGGTAAAGGGATCAATTCAACAAGAACAGCTAACTATCCTAAATATATATGCACCCAATACAGGAGCACCCAGATTCATAAAGCAAGTTCTACAAAGAGATTTAGACTCCCACACAATATTAATGGGTGACTTTAACACCCCACTGTCAATATTAGACAGATCAACAAGACAGAAAATTAACAAAGATATCCAGGACTTGAACTCAGCTCTGGACCAAGCAGACCTAATAGACATCGACAGAACTCTCCACCCCAAATCAACAGAATATACATTCTTGTCAGCACCACATCACACTTATTCCAAAATTGACCACATAATTGGAAGTAAAGCACTCTTCAGCAAATGCAAAAGAACAGAAATCACAACAAACCGTCTCAGACCACAATGCAATCAAATTAGAACTCAGGATCAAGAATCTCACTCAACTGCACAACTGCATGGAAACTGAACAACCTGTTCCTGAATGACTACTGGGTAAATAACGAAATGAAGGCAGAAATAAAGATGTTCTTTGGAACCAACGAGAACAAAGACACAATGTACCAGAATCTCTAGGACATGTTTAAAGCAGTATGTAGAGGGAAATTTATAGCACTAAATGCCCACAAGTGAAAGCAGGAGTGATCTAAAATCAACACCCTAACATCACAATTAAAAGAACTAGAGAAGCAAGACCAAACAAATTCAAAAGCTAGCAGAAGGCAAGAAATAACTAAGATCAGAGCAGAACTGAAGGAGATAGAGACTCAACAAACCCTTCAAAAAATCAGTGAATCCAGGAGCTAGTTTTTTGAAAAGATCAACAAAATTGATAGACCGTTAGCAAGGCTAAAAAAGAAGAAAAGAGAGAAGAGTCAAATAGATGCAATAAAAAATGATAAAGGGGATATCACCACTGATCCCACAGAAATACAAACTACCATCAGCGAATACTATAAACACCTCTACACAAATAAACTAGAAAATCTAGAAGAAATGGATAAATTCCTCGACACATACACCCTCCCAAGACTAAACCAGGAAGAAGTTGAATCTCTGAATAAACCAGTAACAGGTTCTGAAATTGAGGCAATAATTAATAGCCTACCAACCAAAAAAAGTCCAGGACCAGACGGATTCACAGCCAAATTCTACGAAAGGTACAAAGAGGTGCTGGTACCATTCCTTCTGAAACTATTCCAATCAATAGAAGAAAAGGGAATCCTCCCTAACTCATTTTATGAGGCTAACATCATCCTGATACCAAAGCCTGGCAGAGACACAACAAAAAAAGAGAATTTTAGGCCAATATCCCTGATGAACATCGATGCGAAAATCCTCAATAAAATACTGGCAAACCGAATCCAGCAGCATATCAAAAAGCTTATCCACCACGATCAAGTCAGCTTCTTCCCTGGGATGCAAGGCTGGTTCAACATATGCAAATCAATAAACATAATCCATCACATAAACAGAACCAACGGCAAAAACCACATGATTATCTCAATAGATACAAAAAAGGCCTTCAACAAAATTCAACAGCCTTTCATGCTAAAAACCCTCAATAAACTAGGTATTGATGGAATGTATCTCAATATAATAAGAGGTTATTTATGACAAACCCACAGCCAATAGCATACTGAATGGGCAAAAGCTGGAAGCATTTCCTTTGAAGACCAGCACAAGGCAAGGATGCCCTCTCTCACCACTCCTATTCAACATAGTATTGGAAGTTCTGGCCAGGGCAATCAGGCAAGAGAAAGCAATAAAGCATATTCAAATAGGAAGAGAGGAAGTCAAATTGTCTCTGTTTGCAGATGACATGATTGTATATTTAGAAAACCCCATCGTCTCATCCCAAAATCTCCTTAAGCTGATAAGCAACTTCAGCAAAGTCTCAGGATACAAAATCGGTGTGCAAAAATCACAAGCATTCCTATATACCAATAATAGACAAAGAGCCAAATCATGAGTGAACTCCCATTCACAATTGCTACTAAGAAAATAAAATACAAAGCACTGCTCAAGGAAATAAGAGAGGACACAAACAAATGGAAAAACATTCCATGCTCATGGATAGGAAGAATCAATATCATGACAATGGCCTTGTTGCCCAAACTGATTTATAGATTCAATGCTATCCCCATCAAGCTACCACTAACTTTCTTCACAGAATTGGAAAAAACTACTTTAAGATTCATATGGAACCAAAAAAGAGCCCACCTAGCCAAGACAATCCTGGGCAAGAAGAACAAAGCTGGAGGCATCACACTACCTGACTTCAAACTTTACTACAAGCCTACAGTAACCAAAACAGCATGGCACTGGTACAAAAACAGATATGCAGACGAATGGAACAGAATGGAGGCCTCAGAAATAACACCACACGTCTACCACCATCTGATCTTTGACAAACCTGACACACACAAGCAATGGGGAAAAGATTCCCTATTTAATAAATGGTGTTGGGAAAACGGGCTAGCCATATGCAGAAAACTGTAACTGGACCCTTTCCTTACACCTTATACAAAAATCAACTCAAGATGGAACAAAGACTTAAACGTAAGACCTAGGACCATAAAAATCCTAGAAGAAAACCTGGGCAATACCATTCAGGACATAGGCATGGGCAAAGACTTCATGTCTAAAACACCAAAAGCAATGGCAACAAAAGCCAAAATTGACAAATGGGTTCTAATTAAAGAGCTTCTGCACAGCAAAATAAACTATCATCAGAGTGAACAGGCAACCTACAGAATGGGAGAACATTTTTGCAATATATCCATCTGACAAAGGGCTAATATCCAGAATCTACAAAGAACTTAAACAAATTTACAAGAAAAAAGCAAACAACCCCATCAAAAAATGGGCAAAGGATATGAACAGATACTTCTCAAAAGAAGACATTTATGCAGCCAACAGACATATGAAAAAATGCTCATCATCACTAGTCATTAGAGAAATGAAAATCAAAACCACAGTGAGATACCATCTCATGCCAGTTAGAATGGCGATCATTAAAAATCAGGAAACAATAGATGCTGGAGAGGTTGTGGAAAAATTGGAACGCTTTTACACTGTTGGTGGGAGTGCAAATTAGTCCGACCATTGTGGAAGTCAGTGTGACGACTCCTCAAGGATCTAGAACTGGAAATACCATTTGACCCAGCAATCCCACTATTGGGCATATACCCAAAAGATTATAAATCATTCTACAATAAAGACACATGCACACGTATGTTTATTGCTGCACTATTCACAATAGCAAAGATTTGAAACCAACCCAAATGCCCGTCAATGATAGACTGGATTAAGAAAATGTGGCACATGTATACCATGGAATACTATGCAGCCATAAAAAAGGATGAGTTCATGTCCTTTGCAGGGACATGGATAAAGCCGGAAACCATCATTCTCAGCAAACTATCACAAGATCAGAAAACCAAACAACGCATGTTCTCACTCATAAGTGGGAGTTAAACAATGAGAACACATGGACACAGGGAGGGTAACATCACACACCAGGGCCTGTGGGGGGTGGGGGGCTAAGGGAGGGATAACATTAGGAGAAATACCTAATGTAGGTGACAGGTTGGTGGGTGCAGCAAACCACCATGGCATGTGTATACCTATGTAACAAAACTACATGTTCTGCACATGTAACCCAGAACTTAAAGTATAATAAAAAAAATAATTATTAAATTTTAAAAAACTAGCCAGGCATGGTGCTGCACACCTGTAGTCCCAGCTACTTGAGAGGCTACATTGGGAGGATTGCCTGAGCTTGGGAGGTTGAGGCTGCAGTTAGCTGTGACTGTGCCAGTGCACTCCAGCCTGGGCAACAGAGCAAGACCCTGTCTCAAAAAAAGAAAAAGAAAAATTCAGAGAGATTAAAGAAGGTATCAAGAAATGTAGACACAATCCATGTTCATGAATTGGAAGATCAAATGTTGTTAAGATAGCAGTTCTCCCCAAATTAATCTACAATGCAATCCCTATCAAAATCACAGCAGGCTTTTTTGAAAAATTGACAAGCCAATCTTAAAATCTGTATGAAAACATAAAGGATTCAGAATAGCCAAAATAATTCTGAAAATGAAGAAATAATTCTGATCCAGAACTTACTACAAAGCTACATTAATCAAGACAGTGTGGTACTGATATAAAGATAGGCATACAGATCAGTGGAACAGAGTCCAGGAATAAACCTTCACATTTATGATCAATTAAGTTTTGACAAAAATCCCAATGAAATTATGGAGAAAAGATGGTCTTTTCAACAAATAGTGCTAGGATATTTGGATATCAAATGCAGAAGAAATTAATTTAGATTCTTACCTCCTACCATATGCAAAAATAAACTCAAAATTGATCACACACCTACATGTAAGAGCTAAAACTATAAAACATGTAGAAGAAAACATGGGAGAAAACCTAGATGACCTTGGTTTAGGAAGAATTCTTAAGACACTAATAGCACAATTCATAAAAGAAAATATTAATAAATTGGACTTCATTAAAATATAAAATTTTGTTTCAAAAAACTATTAAGAAAATTAATTGGCCCGGGGAGGTGGTTCACATCTGAAATCCCTGCACTTTCGGAAGCCAAGGAGGGTGGACCACTTGAGCTCAGGAATTTGAGACCAGACTGGACAACAGAGCAAAATGCCATCTCCACAAAAAATACAAAAATTAACCAGGCATGGTGGCGTGCTCCTGTAGTCCTGGCTACTCAGAAGGCTGAGGTGGGAGGATCTCTTGACCCTGGGAGGCAGAGGTTGCAGTGAGCCAAGATCACACCACCGCACTAGAGCCTGGGTGACAGAGTGAGACCCTGTCTCAAAAAAAAAAAAAAAAAAAAAAATTAATTGAAAAATCACAGACTGGGAGAAAATATTTTCAAACCATAATAAGTATCTGATAGAGGACTTGTATCTAGACTATGTAAAGAATTCTTAAAACTCAAAAATAAGGCAGACAACTTAAAAATGGACAAAATGTTTGAATAGATATTTCAGCAAAGATATACAAATTGCTTAGCATATGAAGAGATGTGTACTATCACTAGTCATTAGGAAAATACAAGTTAAAAGCAAAATTAGATACCATTTTGGACCCACTAAAATGACTATAATAAAAAAGACAGACAAAGATATGTGTTGGTGATGATGTGGAGAAACTGGAGCCCTAATGCATTGCTGGTGGGAATGTAAAATGGTGCAGCCACTTTGGAAAACAGTTTGGCAGTTTCTTAAAAAGATAAACATAAGTTTACCATATGATCCTGCTATTCCATGAGAAGAGAAGTGGAAATGTGTTCACATCAAGACTCGTAGGCAAATGTTCATAGCATTATCATTCATATTAGTCAAAAAGTGGAAACCAAATGACCATCAACTACTGGATTTTTTTTTTTTTTTTAAGAGATGAGGCCTCACTATGTTGCATACTCTGAAGTCAAACTCCTGGGCTCAAACAATCCTCCTGCCTCAGCCTCCTCAGTAACTGGGACTGCAGGCAGGCACCAACATACCCAGATTATTTCTTTTTCTTTTTTTTTTTAACTGGTGGATTTCTTTAAATGATATATGTATACAATGGAGTAGTGATATAGGCTACAATATGGATGCATCTCAAAACATTATGCTTAGTGAAAGAAGTCTGATGCAATATCCCACATATGGTATGTTTCCATTTACAGTCCAGAAAAGGCATATACTAAATTAGCAGTTGCATGGGTCTGATGTGAAAACATGGATTGCCTGCAGATGGGCACAAGGGATCTTTTGGGGGTGACAAAAATGTTCCAAAACTAAGTTGTAATTTTTGCACAACTTTTATGTGTGTGTGTGTGTGTGTGTGTGAGATGGAGTTTCACTCTTGTTGCCCAGGCTGGAGTGCAATGGCGCGATCTCAGCTCACCACAACCTCCGCCTCCTGGGTTGAAGCATTTCTCCTGCCTCAGCTTCCTGAGTAGCTGGGATTACAGGCATGTGCCACCATGCCCGGCTAATTTTGTATTTTTAGTAGAGACAGGTTTTCTCCAGGTTGGTCAGGCTGGTCTCGAACTCCTGACCTCAGGTGATCCTCCTGCCTCGGCCTCCCAAAGCGCTGGGATTACAGGCGTGAGCCACCACACCCAGCCATTTTTGCACAACTTTATAAACTTTAAAAATAATTGATTTATGCACTTAAAACAGGTAAAGTTTATGTGTATAAATTATACCTTAATAAAGCTATTAAAAGTCAAAGATTATAACAGGGCCTCTCTCTCTCTGACCTAGTGACCTAGGGTAAAGAGAAAAAGAAGCTAGCCAGGCACAGGGGCTCACACCTGTAATCCCAGCACTTTGGGAAGCCAAGATGGGCTGATTGCTTGAGTCCAGGAGTTTGAGACCAACTTGGGCAACATAGCAAAACCCTGTCTCCACCAAAAATAAAAAAAATTAGCCAGGCATGGCGGTGTATGCCTGGAGTCCCAGCTACTCAGGAGTCAGAGGTGGGAGGATCACTTGAGCCCAGGAGGCAGAGGTTGTAGGGAGCCAAGATTGCACCACTGCACTCCAGCCTGGGTGACAGAGCAAGACACTGTCTCAAAAATTAAAAATTAAAAAATGAGGGAAGCTGCTGTATCTCCACTTCTTCCCTCTCTGTGCCCAGAGATATCTCTTCAGTTATCTCACATGCCCTACAAGTCTAGAGACCTCAGGTGAGGAGCCAGTAGCTCAGTATAGAAACTAAGGATCCAAGTGGACAACTGCCACCAAGTCACCACAGGGCCAGCTGCTTTGGGAGGGTGCTGCATCTGCCTCCCATACACTTCTGCCAAGTTTATGTTAGTTTGGGAGGACTGAAGCAGAATTCAGTTCAAAGTACTGTGCTGGATTTTGGTTTCTAAATATTTTCCAATAGAAAAGAACCCAGGCTTCTTGAGAAAATAGCTAGGTTCTAAGGCTAGAGCCAAAAAAATGCAAGATAAGCCTGGAGCATCTTGTAGTACCAGAAACTAAGCAAGTGCTCAAAAACAAAAGGATAGAAGCATGTCAGACAGACACAGGAGCCAATCTGAAAGAGCTCCCTGGCCGGGCACGGTGGCTCACGCCTGTAATCCCAGCACTTTGGGAGACTGAGGTGGGAGGATGACTTGAGCCCAGGAGTTTGAGACCAGCCTGGGCAACATAGGGAGACCCCATCTCTACAAAAAAGTAAACAATTAGCCGGGCATGGTGGCACACGCCTATAGTCCCAGCTACTCAGGAGGGTGAAGATCACCTGAGACCAGGCGGTCAAGGCTTCAGTGAGCCATGATTGTGGCACTGCACTCCAGCCTAGGCAATAGAGTGAGACTGTCTCAAAAAATAAAATTTTAAAATAACTGAAGAGTATAACTGGATTGTTTGTAACACAAAGGATAAGTGCTTAAGATGATGGAAACCCTATTTATCCTGATGTGATTATTACACATTGCATGCCTGTACCAAAATATTTCATGTAACCCATAAATATATACATCTACTATGTACCCACAAAAATTAAAAAATGTTTACAGGAGTGAACCACCGCACCTGGCCAGTGGAGTCTTTTTAAGGTATTATTTAGCATCTTCTGCTTATAGTCATGTCCAAAAACCAGTTGATCTTCCTACTCATTAGGGGACAAGATCAATTCTCTAAAAAATTAACCTAGCCCAAGGTAAGTGGTACTATTCTGAAATCTGAAAATCTTTAGTAGCCTCACATTATAAGCCCTTCGTAGAAAAAGAAAAGTAAGCATTTCTAGAAGCACATTTTTGTTGGACTGAGGGTGGGGCAAGGAGCAGGGGTGACTTTCATCTGAAATGTACCTAGGCAGGCCAGAGTCTGAGTTAGGACTGGCTCCTGGGACTTTGCCATCCAGGCCAAGAAGCATGCTCCAGTGTGCATGCACTCTCATCAAAGCCCTAGTCAGGAATCCCAGCCACTCCTCTCCTGTGCAGCACAAGCTGAAGGATAAGGTGTGGGGCAGTGACTGCGTGGGGCTGCCTGTGTGATTCCTGATAAAGAAATGCCTTCATGAAATGTATTGTTCCCCAATAAAGCTCATTTTCTGTGAGAATTCATGTGTCCTTTTCCAAATTAAACTAGCAAAATATGAACTTTTGTAAAAGGTCCACACCCAGCCAGTTTTCTACTCTCTAAATGTTCAGGCCTTTGCCTGTCCTTCCCTCAGCAAAAATACTGTGTTTTGGAAAACATTACCAATAAAGGAGCTGGGAGGTGGAATTGGATCAAAATACCTTTAGATGAAAGCAGCAGCACAAGCCATTCCCTTTAAATGAGCTGGCCTCACCTCTGGGGCCTATGAAGAAAAGCCTGCTTCAAGGTGATAGTTTTCATTTTGCTTCCCAGCACCTCTGCAGTCATAACCAAAGTGAAGGACAATATTGCATGACTTCAGAAGAAAGCCATCCAGCCACCTTGCAACATGTTCAGGAAATTCTGGACTCCCTTGGGGCTTGCAAAACTCCCTATGTCTTGCAGACCAAAAGCAAGTTCTCAGTCACCTAGCTCTAGTTTGCATAATTAAAGAAAGTGGAAGCTGGTTCTTTTCTGGGTGACCCTTCACCCAACCAAGCTCATAAGGACTTGTGACAAAAATAAGAGCAATAAAATGAAGTTTTAACAGTGAAAACTTCTATCACTTAGATAAGCAGGAAAAGCCAGTCCCCTAGATGCCCATCTGACCCTACCTTACTGGGGTCATACAGCCAAAGCAGTGTCCACTTCAGGTACTGTAATGTTTTGAAGTTGACACATATAATTTAATGTAGTTTCATGTCATAAGTTATAAGACTTTTCAGAGAAACAATTTAGTAATATCTTCTGTAATACCCATCTTCATTTTTTATATGAAAAAGCATAGCCTATGATCTGTCACCTTGCTCACTCCCACATCCTTACCTCTTATCCTTCTCACATCGTCCCATTAACACATTATCCATCTTTGGGGGGAAAAAATACACTAAATTTTAGACAGAGTCACTTTCACTATGGCCACAATGGGAGAAAAGACAGTCCACCTTCAAAGTCAACCAGAATGACTCTTAACCTCTCTTGTCTGGGTTGGGCATCCAGATAAGATTTTCTTCGTACAAAGAGTCTTGCTACTAGGAAAAAGAGTTTGAAAATCACTAGTCTAACTAAATATCTCACTTTAAAAAAAGCACAAACTAAGACTCAATGAGGTTTATCTTCCACAAGATCAGCCAGTTTTAGCAGAGCAGTTGCTAAAACCCAGGTCTCAAACTCCTTGTCTATGGCTCATCTAACTAAGCAACAAAAAGCCCAATGAGCTCTGGAGAGAGAGAGGGAGCTAAAACAGGACTCAATCAAAACCCACTTGGGATTAGGGAAGCCACCCTCTGTGAGTGAGTTAAACTGAGATTCCCTCCCCTTCACCCTGGCTTCCTTTGCAGAACAAGGGTCACCGCCAGAGGGAAAGCTGAGTTTACGGAGGGGATCCTGGTTGGAGTCAGAGTATACCTTGGTTTGGTTTTGTGGGGTTTTTTGAGACAGGGTCTCACTGTCACCCAGGCTGGAGCACAGTGACAGTCATAGCTCACTATAGCCTCAGACTCCTGGCCTCAAGCGATCCTCCCACCTCAACCTCCAGAGTATCTGGGACTATAGGCACGTACCACCATACCCAGCTAATATTTTTTTTAATTTTATATTTTTTAGAGACAGGGTGTCACTATGTTACCCAGGTCTCAATCACTATGTTACTCCTTGCCTCAAGCAATCCTCTCACCTTGGCCTCCCAAAGTGCTGAGCTTACAGGTGTCAACCACTGTGGCCAGCCACGCATTGGTTTTAAGGTCCAGAATTTTTCTGTTTGGAGCCTTCACAATTAGTTTTAGGTTGGGAGACCGTGAACCCACCAAGCAGCCCTTTAGAGGCTGGAAAAAGAGTTTGGAAAAAGAACTCTGTGGCTTTAGGAATTTCTCTCGGAAATCCTCTAGGGCAGAGAAGGAAAATTTACCAAATGGGAGAGTGTATTAGTCTATTCTTACATTGCTATAAGGAAATACCCCAGACTGGGTAATTTATAAAGGAAAGAGTTTTAATTGACTCACAGTTCCACATGGCTGGGAAAGCCTCAGGAAACTTACAATCATAGCAGAAGGCAAAGGGGAAGAAAGGCACCTTCTTCACAGGGCGGCAGGAAGGAGAAGTGCAGAGCAAAGTGGGGCAAAGCCTCTATAAAGCCATCAGATCTCATGAGAACTCACTATCATGAGAACAGCAGGGGAGAACCACCCCCATGATCCAATCACCTTCCACGAGGTCCCTCCCCCAACACGTGGGGATCACAATTTGGATTACAATTCAAGATGAGATTTGGGTGAGGACACAGAGCCGGACCATATCAGAGAGAAAGCTATTACTGAAGACCTTTCTAACTCACTTCTGTAAAGATCAATTCAATAAAAGCAGCAAACACACATACTTTGCTTTCCTTGTGATTAATGCCTTGACTTTTTTGTGGAAAGTAACACCCCAAGAAAGCCAGCTACTCATGTTGGCAATAAAGGTAAAAGTATCTATGGAATAAGGACCATTTTTAGGACAATACTTTCCCTACTACTTAGTTCTAGTCCCTTTTTTGTAGAATTCTGAGGACTTTCTACATACACAATCATGTCATCAGCAAATAAAGATTATTGTACTTGTTCTTTGCCAACCCATATGTCTTGCCTTACTGCCCTGGTTAGGACCTTCAGAACAATACTGGATATAAGTGGTGAAAGCACATATCCTCCCCTTGTTCCTAATTTTAGAGGGAAAGTACTCAGTCTTTCGCCATTAAGTACAATGTCAGCTGTAAGTTTTCCTAGAGACCCTTTCTCAGCTTGAAGATGTTCCCTGGTATTCATAGTTTGCTAAAAGGTTTTTGTCATTTTAAATCATAAATGGGTGTTGAATTTTGTCAAAGGCTTTTAATGCATCTATGGAGATGATCCAAGTTTTTTTCCTCCTTATTTCTGCTAAGGTTGTATAATTATGCTCATTGGTATTTTAAATGTTAAATTAACCTTGCGTTCCTGGGATAAGACCCACTGATCATGATGCATTTTCCTCTTTGTAAATTGCTGTATTCATTTTAGTTTCTTCAGGATTTTGCCTATGTTTGAAGGATATTGGTTTGTAATTTTTCTTGTAACATCTTTGTCTGGTTTTGAAATCAAAGTAATACTGGCCTAATAAAATGAGTTGGAATGTGTACTGCCCAATTCTATTTTCTGAAACTTCTGCATGGATGAAGGATTCTATTATTCCTTCCTTAGATGTTTGATACAATTCACCAGTGACATCATCTCAGCCTGTGAATTTCCCTTATGAGACAATTTGTAATTATGACTTTAAATACTTTCATTAAAATATGTATATTTAGGAATGTTTTTTCTTGTGTCATTGTTGGAAACATGTTTCTTCCAATGAATTCTTCCATTTCATCTGTTTTCAAATGTATTTGCATAGTCATTCATAATATCCTCTTACTATTCCCTTAATTAATGTAGAATCTTAGTAGTGTTTTCTCTCTTTTTTTTTTTAAGAGACAGGGTCTCACTGTATTGCCCAGGCTGGAGTGAGGTGACTATTCACAGGCACAATCCCACTGCTGATCAGCACAGCAGTTTTTACCTGCTTCATTTCCAGCCTGGGACAGTTCACCCCTCCTTAGGCAACCTGGTGTCCCCATGCTCCCAGGAGGTCACCATACTGATGCCAAACATAGTGCAGACACCTGACTGGCATGCATATTACAGCCAAGAACTCCTGGTCTAAGCAGTGCTCCCACCTCAGCCTCCTGAATAGCTGGGACTATAGGCGTGCACCACCGCATCTGGCAGTGTTCTCTCTTTTCCTAGATACTGGTAATTTGAGTCTTCTTTTCTCTTGATCAGTCTCAAAAGAAAACAGCTGGGTGTGGTGGTGCACGCCTGTAATCCCAGCACTTTGGGAGGCCGAGACAGGTGGATCACTTGAGGCTGAGTTCAAGACCAGCCTGGCCAACATGGTGAAACCCCATCTCTACTAAAAATACAAAAATTAGCCAGGCATGGTGGCAGATGCCTGTGATCCCAGCTACTTGGGAGGCTAAGGCAGGATAATTGCTTGAACCTGGGAGGCAGAGATTGCAGTGAGCCAAGATCATGCCACTGCACTCCAGCCTGGGCAACAGAGTCTGTCTCAAAAAAAAAAAAAAAAAAAAAAAAAAAACCACATTATTTTGCCTTCATTTTTGAAGGATATTTTCACTTGTTTTCAAATTGTCCTTTTTTTTTTCCTTTTGGCACTTCAAAGATACCACTCCATTGTCTTCTGGCTTGCATAGCTTTAGACTATAAGTATGCAGTAATTCTTATCTTGGTTTCTCTGTATATATTGTATCTTTTTTTCCTCTGGCTGCTTTTAAAAATTTTCTCTTTATCAGTTGTTTTTCAGCAAATTGATTATATGCTTTGGTGTGAGTTTGTATGTGTGTAGGTTTATCCTGCATGGGGTTCATTGAGTTTCTTGAATTTTTGCATTAGCATTCTCAACAAATGTAGAAAATTTTTCAGCATCACATCTTAGTATTATTTCTTTTCTTTTTCTTTTTTTGAGACAGGGTTTCACTCTGTTGCCCAGGCTAGAGTGCAGTGGCATGATCTTGGCTTACTGCAACATCTGCCTCCTGGGTTCAGGTGATCCTCCCACTTCAGCCTCCCAAGTAGCTGGAACTACAGGTGCGTGCCACCATGCCTGAGTAATTTTTTGTAGTTTTTGGAGAGGTGGGGTCTTGCTATGTTGCCCAGGCTGGTCTTGAACTCCTGGGCTCCAGTGAGTCACCTACCTCAGCCTCCCAAAGTGCTGGGATTACAGGCATGAGCCACCGTGCCCAGCCAGTATTATTTCTTAGCATTCAGAAAATGAGGCCAGGCACGGTGGCTCACAACTGTAATCCTACCACTTTGCGGGGCCGAGGTGGACAGATCACGAGGTCAAGAGTTCTAGACCAGCCTGGCCAGCACAGTGAAATGCCATCTCTGCTAAAAATACAAAAGTTAGCTAGGCACGGTGGTGGGCACCTGTAATCCCAGCTACTTGGGAGGCTGAGGCAGGATAATTGCTTGAACCTGGGAGGCAGAGGTTGCAGTGAGCCGAGATCACACCACCGCCCTCCAGCCTAGGTGACAGAGGGAGACTCCATCTCAAAAAAAAAAAAAAAACTTAATGAGACCCCAGTGCAGATTTCTGGAGCACTTCTGCATAACACCCCCTTATCTGAATTTTTTCCCAACTTTCAGCTGCCTCAGCCTCCCTGAACTACTCCAATATCACTGTCTCTCTCTCTGCCTCTCTCTCTTCAACTCAGTGAGAGGATTGTGCTCTGCTTAGGATTTCTCTCCTTGCTCCATGGTCTAGAATGTGCCTCCAAATAGAAACCTAGGTGATAATAAAGCTCACTTCATTTGTTTCTCCTTTCTCAAGAATCACAATCCTGTGCTACCTCTAATTCAGTATCAGAAAACAGCTGTTTCATACATCTTGTCCAGTTTCTTCCTGTTTACATTGACAGGATAAATATTGTCCCTAATACTTCATCATAGATTAAAGCCAAAGGTCATTTATGCTTTTTAAAAAAGTATTTACTTTGGGAGGCTGAGGTGGGTGGATCACTTGAGGTCAGGCGTTCAAGACCAGCCTGGCCAACATGGCAAAACCTCAACTCTACTAAAAATACAAAAATTAGCTGGGCATGGTGGCATGTGCCTGTGGTCCCAGCTATTTAGGAGGCTGAGGCACAAGAATTGCTTGAACCCAGGAGGCAGAGGTTACAATGAGCTGAAATCACCCCACTGCACTCCAGCCTGGATGACAGAACGAGATTCCATCTCAAAAAAAAAAAAAAAATTACCAACAAATTTTGGGAGGTAGTATGGAGAAAACATGTGTTCAGTCTACCACATTTAAATGGAAATCTACTTCAATTTTTTTTTTTTTTTTTTTGAGACAGGTTCTTACTCTGTCACCAAATTGGAATGCAGTGATGCAATCACAGCTCACTGCAGCCTCAACTTCCCAGGGCTCAAGCCATCCTCCCAGCTCAGCCTACTGAGTAGCTGGAACTACAGGTGTGCACCACCAGGCCTGGCTAATTTTTTGTATTTCTTGTAGAGATAGGGTCTCACTTTGTTGCCCAGGCTGGTCTTGAACTCCTGGGCTGAAGTGATCCCCCCACCTCAGCCTCCCAAAGTGCTGAGATTACAGACATGAGCCACTGCACCCAGCCTACTTCAATTTTTTAAATTACAAACATAAGACATAATAGTTTTCAAATTAGTAATTATTCCAAAACAGAGGAATAAGATTATTTTCACCAGGGATGGTGGCGCACACCTGTAATCCCAGCACTTTGGGAGGCCGAGGCAGGTGGATCACCTGAGGTCAGGAGTTCACAACCAGCCTGACTTACATGGTGAAACTCCATCTCTACCAAATACCAAAAATTAGCCAGGCATCATGGCGCATGCCTGTAATCCGAGCTACTTGGGAGGCTGAGACAGAAGAATCGCTTGTACCTGGGAGGCAGAGGTTGCAGTGAGCCGAGATTGCACCATTGTACTCCAGCCTGGGCAACAAGAGTGAAACTCCGTCTCATAAAAAAAAAAAAAAAAAAAAAAAAAATTGTTCTCAACTTTTTGCCAAGGTGTCTGTGGTCATTTTGATAAGGATTGGCTTGAGCCATAAGTCAGTTCCACATCCAGTTGTTTTCTTTACTTACTTTCAACAGGATCTTTTGATAAAAGAACTATGCCAGGTTTGTTCTGCCTTCTCTCCAAGCCCTATGCTTGTCATTAGTTTAACTTAAGCTGACTATTCAAGCATCCTTACAGTAGTATGACTTGTATATGTTTTTGCTCTAAGTACAACTTTAAGTAATACCTCTGTAATTTTGGTCTCTGCTCTACCTTTATTAACAAAATCCATATCCTACACATACTCTGGAAAATGTCCATTGATTTACCAGAGAAGTAACCATATTTTTTTTTAACTTTGATGGCCTTTGCCACTATCGGACAAAGCATCACAAGAAACAATATCCTTAGGGATCATTCACAACCCAATAAAGTCCAATTTTCAGATATTCAGCACTGTATTTCCTATTTGAACTCTTCTTTTTCAGCTACTGTGCCAAATCAGCACTCCTGCTGATTATATTCTCCTAGCTCATAAAGATTCATGGTGTGTATTCATAGTGTAACCCTATTAAGTATTTACACTTACAACATTATTCTCTATTGCACTATTGACAATATTATTCTTCATCATTAATTTTACTCTTTGATGAACTACTTTTGAATCATGAGAAATAATGCAACACAATAGTAACAACAAAAATGTAGATTTTGTCTGGGTGCAGTGGCTCACACATGTAATCCCAGCACTTTGGGAGGCTGAGGCAGGAGGATTGCTTGAGTCCAGGAGTTTGAGATCAGCCTAGGCAACATAGCAAGAGCCCATCTCCACAAAAAAAAAAAAAATTATTTTTAATTAGCCAGCCAGCTGGGTGCAGTAGCTCATGCCTGTAATCCCAGCACTTTGGGAGGCTGAGGCGGGTGGATCACCTGAGGTCAGGAGTTTGAGACCAGCCTGACCAACATGGTGAAACCCCGTCTCTACTAAAAATACAAAAAATTAGCCGGGCATGGTAGGCACCTGTAATCCCAGTTACTCGGGAGGCTGGGGCAGGAGAATTGCTTGAACCCAGGAGGTGGAGGTTGTAGTGAGCTGAGATCGCACCATTGCACTCCAGCCTGGGCCACAAGAGCAAGACTCTGTCTCAAAAAAAAAAAAAAAAAAATTAGCCAGGCATGGTGGCTTGTGCCTGTGGTCCCAGCTATTCAGGACACTGAGGTGAGAGGATGACTTGAGCCTGGGAGGTTGAGGCTGCAGTGAGCCATGTTCATATCAATGCACACTCACCTGGGTCACAGATAGAGACCCTGTCTCAAAAAAAATAGATTTTTATGACTAAGATTTTAACACTCATAATGTGAAACATATTCAAAATAAACTATAACTGATAACTGAAATTGGCTATGATGAACTAGCCAAAATAGTCCTTGCAGTAAACGTCATGAAACAATTATTAATAAAATAATAAAATTTCTATGATAGTTGTAATCTTTTTCTTTTTAGCTTTTTTTAATGAGACAGAGTCTTGCTGTGTCACCCAGGCTGGAGTACAGTGGCATAATCTCGGCTCACTGTAACCTCCGCCTCCTGGGTTCAAGCAATTCTCCTGCCTCAGCCTCCCGAGTACTTGGGACTACAGGCATGTGCCACCATCCCTGGTTAATTTTTCTATTTTAGTAGAGACAAGCTTTCACCATGTTGTCCAGGCTGGTCTCGTATTCCTGATCTCAAGTGATCTGCATGCCTCGGCCTCCCAGAGTGCTGGGATTACAGGCGTGAGCCACCGCGCTCAGCCAGAAAACCTTATCTTATTATTTATTTATTTATTTATTTATTTATTTATTTATTTATTTTTGAGACAGACTCTTGCTCTGTCGCCCAGGCTGGAGTGCAGTGGCATGATCTCAGCTCACTGCAACCTCTGCCTCCTGCGTTCCAGCAATTCTCCTGCCTCAGCCTTCCGAGTAGCTGGGATTACAGGTGCATGCCAACACATCCAGCTAATTTTTGTATTTTTAGTAGAGATGGGGTTTCACCATGTTGGCCAGGCTGGTCTCAAACTTCTGACCTCAGGTGATCCACCTGCCTCAGCCTCCCAAAGTGCTGGGATTACAGGCGTGAGCCACCACACCCAGCCCTTAATCTTATATTTTAAACAGTTAAGTGTATATGAACAAAACTGTTTCATCACTCTTTACTCTGAAACTATCAAACCAGTTGCAAACTCCTTGACAGACCACCAGAGTTTTGTGGACAACCTTTGAGAAACCGTATTCCAGGATAGGCATTCGTATCTCTAATCAGTCGTAGTAATTACTGATTTTCAGGGCTCCACACATTGAAGGCATTTAATAACCATTTAATAAATGATTAGTCAATATTTATTGGTTTTGTTCATAAGCACTATTCTAAACTCTGAGGATATAGCAGTGAAAAGACATTGTTTCTATCCGGAGGTGCTTCCTCTCTAGTGGTGAAAAGCACACAATACAAGGAAATACAAGTTAAAAAATATTAGTGATATAAAGTTCTACAGTTGAATGTCCCCTCGAAAACTCATGCTGAGGCCCAGTGCAGTGGCTTACACCTGTAATCCCAGCACTTTGAGAGGCCAAGGTGGGTGGATCACTTGAGCTCAGGCGTTCGAGACCAGCCTGGCCACCATGGTGAAACCCCCGTCTCTACTAAAAATACAAAATTAGCTGGGCATGATGGCACACGCCTGTAGTCCCAGCTACTCAGGAGGCTGAGGCAGGAGAATCACTTGAACCTAGGAGGTGGAGGTTGTAGTGAGCCAAGATTGAGCCACTGCACTCCCGTCTGAGTGACAGAGCAAGACTGTGTCAAAAAACACACACACACACACACACACACAAAAAAAACAAAAACAAAAACAAGCAAAACCAAAACTCATGTTGAAACTTATGACAGTATTAAGAGGTGAGACCTTTAAGAAATGATGACAATATGAGGGCTCTGCCCTCATGAATGGATTAATGCCATTATCACAGAAGAAGTTATCATGGGAGCTTGGCCCCCTTTTTCTCTCTGTCTCAAACACTGGTTTGCCCTTCCACCTTCCACCATGGAATAATATAGCACGAAGGCCCTCATCAGATGCCAGCACCTTGATACTGGATTTCCCAGCCTCCAGAATGGTGAGAAATAAATTTCTTTTTTTATAAATCATAGTCTGCGGTATTCTGTTATAGCAACACAAAACAGACTAAGACATAAAAGGAAATAGTATAATGATATAAGTTGTGACTTCAAGAGGGCAAGAGCTACTTCAGATGGGTGCTCAAGGAAAACCTTCTGATGAGGTGACATTTGAGAGCAGAGAGCAAAGTGATGAGGAGTAGGCAAACACTGAGGAGCTGAGACCATTTTAGGTAGAAGGTCAGTACATGCAAAAGCCCTAAGGCAATAGTAATGGTTTGGCCTTTTGGAAGAACTGAAAGAAGGCTGAGGTACCTGAAGCAGAATGAGCAAAAGGAATGATGGAATGAGAAGAGGCTGGGAATACAGCCAAGTGCTAGATTAGCAGAGACTTGTGGGCTGTGGTGAGGACTCTGGGAAGCTACTAGAAGACTGTAAGCAGGGGAGTGACCGGAGCTAATTTACCTTCATAAAAGACCACTGGATAGTGCATGGAGTATGCAGGGGTTGGAGACAGGCAAAGTGAGGGTAGAGAGACCAGCTACAAGGGTTTTTAATAATCCAAGCAAGAGGTGTCTAGGGTGGAAGCAGTGAAGATGGAGAGAAGTGGATAGATTTTGGAAGTATTTTTTCATCTAGAACAGGTAAGGCTTGCCATGCATTGACTGAATTAATCAAGGAGTCCATTAATGAATCATTACTAAAATGGGGTGATCCAGAGGAGAAAGGTCAGTGTGTGCTGTGGAAGTTAAGGAATGCTTTCTGGGGGAGGCAGAATGAGAGCTGGGCTTGAGAAATGAGCTAATTACAGCTGAAGAAAAGTGAAACAGTAGGGATCTGATCTTAAACAAAATCAATGAGGTGGGAATGAGCTTCCATGTGTTTGGGGGATCTTGAGGAACCTGCCTGCTAGCTTGGTGTGGATATTGGTTGTTGAGGAACAAGCAGGATGATAGGATAGGGTGAGATGGGAAGAGCCTGGATGTAGTAGATCTGGAAAGCCCAGATGAGTGAACCTTGTACCTACCCTCTACTTAATCCCCAGAGAGGTGTACCATAGGCTTCCTATCAAGCTGACTGGCATTGAGCCCTTTCTCCAAGTTTTATTCCTCGACCCAGACATTCACTTTATTGCCTCAGGAGAGGTTCAGTGTGATCACTGACCTGCTCAATGTCAAGGTGACTGGTGAGTCAGTGGGCTTGGAACTGGAACAGGTCCTTGTCACATTTACCATCCCTGGCAGATACGGCAACACCTAACAGTCTATAAATGCCTCAGATAATAAGTAAAGTATACCATAAACTCTGAGCTATGGAGGCATCAGTCCGTCTCTGCCAAAGGTGGTAGTTTTTTCCAGCATTAGATGGGAAGCACCTCCAGGGCTGCCTGTTCAACCACCCACCCCCAAAGCAGCAGCAGCAGCTCCTCCTCCTCCTCCTCCTCCTCTTCCTTCCCCCCACCCCACCCCTCGCCCAGCAGGCTGGCAGCCCAGCCTTTCCTGTCTCTACCAAGGAAGGTGTGTGTCCCACAACTCCACGAAAGGGCCCCTGTTACACCTGGAGAGGAGGCTTGGATTTTAAAATGCCAGACTCTCTAAGAGACCCCACTGAGGTGGTCAAGCTTACATTTCCAGGCCCTGTCACCTCTGTGACTATAACAGATACTTCCCTGCCATGTGGTTCCAGCTCAACTGTAAGCTCTACAAAGGCAAGGATGATGCTATCTCATACCTGCTTGTCCCCAGCAGCCAACACAGTGAGTGTTTAGAATGCATTCGCTAAACAAATGATTGACCATGATGTGGACTTAGGGATGGGACACAAAAACTGCTCAATGCCTATGCAGCTCCTCTGGAGGTCTGCTCACCACCTCCATGGAATAACAGCTGCCTTTTACTCAGTTGTGCATTACGGTGGTAGGCACATTTCCCACAGCAGTTCATTTAATATTCACAACATCCACCTTTTATGGGGAGCATGCTTATCTGCATTTTACTGATGAAGAAACTGAAGGTAAGATGAGTTAAGGTCACACTGCTAGCAAGAAGCAGAGCCAGGACTCCCACCGAAGTCTGACTGACCCCAAAGCTCTCATCCTTTCAGATTGTAAGCCTAGAGTGCTTCTGTGAGCAAAGTCACTGGAGTCTTCCACCTGCCACTGGGATGGCAATACAGCAACCCTTTAGCTCCCCCTCCCACCTTGGCAGGAAGCGGTTTATCAGATTAACAACCTGCCTGCTCCCACAGCAGCGACCAGTGCTCTAAGGAAACAGAATTGGGCTGGGCTCAGCCTTCTGTGGGGGCCAAGGACACAGGGATACCCCAGGCCTTGGAACTGGGGTGCTACCTTGTGCTTTTCCCCTTCCCAGCAGGAGATCCTAATGTATCCTTTGACATCAATGTCAGTATGAAGTAATAGGAACTACACAGAATTTGGAGACAGACAGACATGGGTTTGAGGTTTGAGCCTTGACAGGCTTTGTGCCCTTGGACAAGCAGCATAGCCTCTCAATTCTCAGTTTCTTCAGCCAAAGAATGGTTTCATGACATCATGGGAGTTATCTTCAGTATTAAATGAGATGGCATGTTTAAGGAGCTCACTCCACAACTGGCACCTAACAGTGCTTTTAAACAAGAGTTTTCCTTTCCTCTCAACTGGATAGGGCAACAATTATTGGTCCCACTTGTCAGATGCGCAAACAGGTGCCAATAGGTTGAGTGGCCTATAGCTAGAAGAAGGGTGCCATCCCCTAACTCACAAGCCAAGGCTCTTTCTGCTGCCTTTTATCTGGCTCCTCAAAAGCAAAAACAGTTTGTTCTCCCCAAAACTGCTGATTTTGCCTTGAATAGGTAGCAGTCTGGGTCCTCTTCCTTTTCTCCTTGCTCCCTTTCCCCATATTCTTATTTTACCAGTCTCTTTGCTCACAAATCAGACTTATCATCATAAAGCAATAGAAAGGGCCATGGGCAGAATGGGAGGTAAATACAGTCCTCTCCACAAGGAAAACAAGCCCTCTCTATTGGTGCACAGTCATGACTCACCCCAGGCCTTTTATGAGGGCCAGATGCTGAGCATGTCTGAATTGCTTCAAATTGCTTCTTCTTCAGTGTGTGCTGGTGGTGGGGAGGGGAACAACCAACATCTATATATATTTATACATTTACCAGGAAATGTGTTTAAATTGTTTTCCAATCAAGTTTTACCACAAGCCGGGAGTTCCACACCTAATGAGTAGGCCAAACCCAGCCCATTGTCAACAGAGAAAAGTACATCTCAAACATAAAAGATTTCAAATCAAAATGGATATTAGAAGAGCATGATTCTTGGCATTGCTGAGCAGCCGGAGTTGTCTCCAGCAGCTGACAGTGTGAGTAGTAGTTGTTTTGAGGCTGACTTCATCCTGGATACCTTAGGAGCAAGGCAATGAAGGCTTCCAAGGAAGGAAAGCGTCTCTTTATGGCCTGCAACTGCTATACATTCAGACCTTTGGAAATCCCTGGTGTGGCTGCTGACCACCGAGAGCCCATCCCTGAGTTTGCCCACAAGGCAGCAGCCCTGCCTCAACCTGTCTGTTGCTCTGGGGCCACGGCTTGGGTCTTCTCTAAGACAACTTGAACCTAGAGATCTGTATGGACCCCTTACATCCGGATGTTACTTGTTACTTTCTTTTTTTTTCCTTTTTCTTTTTCTTTTCTTTTTTTTTTTTTTTTTGAGACAGGGTCTTTCTTTGTCACCCAGGCTGGGGTCCAGTAGCACAATCATAGCTCACTGAAACCTTGAACTTCTGGGCTCAAGCAATCCTCCTGCCTCAGCCTCCCAAGTAGCTGAAACTACAGGCATGCACCACAATGCCCAGCTGATTTTTAAATTTTCTGTAGACAGGGTTTCACCATGTTGCCCAGGCTGGTCTCGAACTCCTCATCTCAAGAGATCCTGATGCCTCGGCCTTCCAAAGTTCTGAGATTACAGGCATGAGCCACTGTGCCCAGCCCAGACATTACATTTTGTAGTCTTCAGTCAGTGTCCAAAATATAAGCCTTCTCATTTGTTCTTTCTCACATTCTCATCACCACACTGCTCTGTGTCCTCTCCCAAATCCCTTTCCCTTTCTCTGCAAGGCTTTCCTCTATGCACACTGGATCCTCATTCCATGGCAAATCAATCCTCTTCGTCCTTCATCTTCTCACAGAATGCTCTCTCCTCATCTTGGCCTCCCTAAGGCCTGGTCATCCCCCAGTCACAGGTGTGACTATCAGCTATCTTCAGTGATGGCTTTTTATTCTGCTACACCTGTGTATCTACCTGGGTCAGCAGATTAGGCCTGCAGGTAAGGTCAGTGTTCTCACACTCCTGTGCTCCTCTAGACCATTACTCTCCTCCCCCAGGGAACTGCCTTGGGGATCACACCATCTGGCTACACCAGCTTCCCTGTATTTTGTGTCTCCTGCCATATTCCTGCAGTCCAGTGTGCAGTGGGAGGACCGTCCCAGGCCATGCCTTACCCTCCTTATATTGAGTGACCCTCATCTCCCTTCCATATCCATCACCTACTGCCACAGCCACACTATCTGGTTTTTAATCCCTCTGAGATCGCTAGTCCCTTGATCCCTCCTCCTTCTCCCAGCTTATCATCCCCCAAACAGCATTCTCTCCTTTCCAACACAGCTTAAACTATTCTCTCATCCACACCCTCCATGCCTGGTACTGATATTCTGCTGCCCCCCAACCCCCTGCACCATGTCCCGTTTGCCTTCTCCTTTCTGTACTGGTAGCTAAGAAGAGCTACAGAAGAAAATCACATGCCTCTACCACCCCACAAATGTGCCTGCACAGAGGCTGCTGACTACCAACCCTAATATGTCTATTACCACCACCTTAGGATCTTGATTTGGAATAAAAATATTTCCCAGCATCCCTTAGACCAAAACACGGCCACATCACTCAGCTCTGGTCAGTAAGATGTGAGTAAAATTATTATGTGGCAGCTTCTAGGAAATTTCTTTAAAATACACCCAGAATGTACCCTTCATCTCATCTTCTTCTCCTCCATCCTTCTTGGAACATGGATATGATGGCTGGACTTCATCCTGGACCATAAGGATAAGGGTCACACCTGACGGATGGCAGAATGGAAAGCTAGAAGCAATCTGGGTCCCGCAGAACTGTAGAACCTGAATTGCCTACAATAGGCTTTCTTTTATATGAGAAAGAAAGAAATGTCATTATGTTTAATCCACTGTTTTTAGGTCACTGTTACTCACAGCTCCTCACAATAGAACTGAATTCTACTAACACAATGCCCTACACACACAGTCAATTCTTCTGCTTTTCCTTGGTCTGCTTACTTTCCTGACCCACTCAGGCTCTAGGGCAAGACAGTGTCTCACAGTTTTCAACACACTCAACTGCCACCCCTTCCCTAATCTCACCAAGTGACCTTCCAGTCTTTAGTTAGGTGGCTAGATACAAGATAAACATTTTAAAATTCATAACCTTTCTCTATTCCAGCAGCAAGCACTACAAAGGAAATGGGGAAAGTATTGCACTTAGGCAGCCAAAATTATAACACATTTAGAGATCTATTTAATACAAAGACACTGAAACCTAAATGAAGAACATGTATTAGAAGATATAAAACAATATCTGGGTAATAGAAAGCTATGGCATTTTCTTGGAGAAGACCTACTGGCTTAAAAAATGTCAGTTTGGGCCAGGCATGGTGCCTCATGCCTGTAATCCCAGCACCTTGGAAGGCTGAGGCAGGCAGATTGGTTGAGTCCAGGAGTTCAAGACTAGCCTGGGCAACATGGTGAAACCTCATCTCTACGAAAAGTACAAAAATTAGCTGAGTGTGCGGTGGCATGCACCTGTAGTCCCAGCAACTCAGGAGGCTGAGGTAAGAGGATCCCTTGAGCCTGGGAGGTTGAGCTGTGATCATGTCACTGCACTCTAATCTGGGCACCAGAGTGAGACCATGTCTCAAAAAAAAAAGTCAGTTTCCTCAAAATGTGTGTGTGTGTGTGTGTGTGTGTGTGTGTGTGTGTGTGTGTGTATGATTAGTTCCAATTAGAATCCCAACAATGTTTTTAATAGAATTTTATGAAGATCCCTGAAAAGAATAAATGACTGAAAATACTAAGAAAATTATAAAAAAAGAACAGTAAAAGGGACTTGCCTTACCAGAACATATTATAAGGTCAAACGGAAATAGAGAAATAGATCAGTAAAATAAAATAGAAAATCCACAATCAATAGAAGTATTTATGAAAAGTTACCACGATGCATGTGAAAGTCTAATTTGGTAGGAAATAAAGTTTCCTTTTTTTATAGTGTATAATGTGAACTTTTGATATCTGTATACATTGTGAGATGGCAAAATCAAGCTAATTAACATACCCATTACTTCACATACTTATCATTTGTTTTTGTAATAAGAATATTAAAATATACACTCTTAGTAATTTTCAACAATACAGGCCATCGCTGGGTGCGGTGGCTCACACTTGTAATCCCAGCACTTTGGGAGGCCGAGTCAGGAGGATTGCTTGAGTCAAGGAGTTAGAGACCAGCCTGGGCAACTCAGCAAGACCCTGTCTCTAGTTAAAATAAAATTTAAATTTAAAAAAGACTCTATGGCCGGGTGTGGTGGCTCACGCCTGTAATCCCAGCACTTTGGGAGGCTGAGACAGGTGGATTACCTGAGGTCAGAAGTTCAAGACCAGCCTGACCAATATGGTGAAACCCTGTCTCTACTAAAAATACAAAAATTAGCTGGGCGTGGTGGCAGGCACCTGTAGTCCCAGCTACCCCGGAGGCTGAGACAGGAAAATTGCTTGAACCCGGGAGGCAGAGGTTGCAGTGAGCTGAGATTGTACCATTGCACTCCAGCCTGGGTGACAAAGCAAGACTCCGTTTCAAAAAAATAAATAAATAAATAAAAAAGACACTTATCATTCAGAAAATAAGGAAAAAAAAGAATACAGGTCAAGCTTAGTGGCTCATGCCTGTAATCCCAAAACTTTGAGAATCCGAGGTGAGAGGGTCACTTGAGCCCAAGAGTTTGAACCAGCCTAGGCAATATAGTGAGACTTTGTCTCTACTAAAAATGAAAAGAAATAGCCAGGTGTGGTAGCACATACCTGTGGTCCTAGCTACTCGGGAGGCTGAGGTGGGAAGATCATTTGAGCCCGAGAGGTCAAGGCTGCAGTGAGCTGTGTTCATGTCACTGCACTCCAGCCTGGGTGCCACAGACAGACCCTGTCTTCAAAAAAAATACTAAAAGAATACAATACATTCTTGGAAAGCTGAGTCAGGAGGATCACTTGAACCCAGAAGTTTTAAGACTGCAGTGAGCAATCATATCATGCCACTGCACTCTAGCCCAAGCAACTAAGCAAGACCCCATTTCAAAAAAAAAAAAAAACATAAGTGTGATCCAACGAGTATATTAGCATGACCCCAAAACCGTGTGTGTGTGTGTGTGTGTGTGTGTGTGTGTGTGTGTGTGTGTGTGTGTGTGTGTTAGGGCTTGAAGAAGTCTTCCATGAATAAGTAGCACCCTTCTTCCTTGCCCAAGGGTCTGAAAAAGTTGAGAGTAAACAATGAATAAATACAGGGCCAAAATATCCTTTTTTTCTTTTTCTTTTCTTTTTTTTTTTTTTTTTTTTGAGACAGGGTCTCACTATGTTGCCCAGGCTGGTCTCAAACTTCTGAGCTCAAGGGACCCTTCCAGCTTGGCCCCCCAAAGTGCTAGAATTATAGGTGTGAGCCACCATGCCTGGCCATTTTTTTTTTTGAGACAGATTTTTGCTTTGCCACCCAGGCTGCAGTGTTGTGATCACGGCTCACAGCATCCTCAAGCCCCCACAGGCTCAAGTGATCCTCAGCCTCAGCCTACCAAGTAGCTGGGACTATGGGTACATGCCACCATGCCTGGCTAATTAAAAAAAATTTTTTTTTTGTAGAGATGGGTGTCTCACTCTGTTGCCCAGGATGTTCTCAAACTCATGAGCTCAGTGATCCTCCCATCTTGGCCTCCTAAAGTGCTGGGATTACAGGTGTAAGCCATTGCACCTGGCCCACAATATCCTATTTTTAATGATGCGGCTGATTCCCCTACCATCAGACTGTCACTCCTTAAGCCCCTCCTCTGTTAAATTCTGGATTGCCCATAGCCAGTCCAAATATCTACATCCTATCTCAGTCAGTCTCATAGAAAAGAAGATGACTCTTTGGGTAACTAACTCTCAAAATCTGTAGTTTTTCCTTATTTCAGTAGTTGTGAGTATACCTCTGTCCCTGAACTGATCACAGTGATAGGCAGAATGGGATATGTTGATTGGCTTAAACAATCAGACCCCTGCCTGGAGCTTGGGGAGAAGAGTCAGTCGTACCAATGAGGGGGTAGAGTGAATTTCCCAAATGGGAATCCAAGAACTGCCTGCAAGAGAAGAAGGAAAATAAGTCTGGGCGAGGTGGTTCATGCCTGTAATCCCAGCACTTTGGGAGGCCGAGGCAGGCAGATCGCCTGAGGTCAGGAGTTCGAGACCAGCCTGGCCAACATGGTGAAACCCTGTCTCTACTAAAAATACAAAAATTAGCTGGGCACAGTGGCAGTCGCCTGTAATCTCAGCTACTCGGGACGCTGAGGCAGGAGAATCGCTTGAACCTGGGAGGCGGAGGTTGCGGTGAGCCAAGATCACGCCATTGCACTCCAGCCTGGGTGACAAGAGTGAAACTCCATCTCAAAAAAAAAAAGAGAGAGAGAGAGAGACGGAAGAAGGGAAATAGAAGTAGGGAGCTAACTAGCAAATGCCCCCTACACATGGGTGTGAAGTACCCAGAACTGGAGAGCCAGGTCACAGTCAAGCTGAGACCTGAAAGTGAGAAAGGAGTTAACAGGAAAAGAGGGATAGAAGACATTCTGGGCAGAGGGAACAAAGGTACAAAGCTTGGAGGTAAGAGATAATATAATGCATGCAAGAACTGCTAGGATTTCAGTATGCCTAGTGCACAGAGTGATAAGAGATGACAAGAGAACGTGCTGAATGGGTGAGCAGAGAGCAGACAAGGATTGTGAGCTCTTTGGTGATGGGATGGAATTTATATCTCCTAGGCAGTTTAGCACAAGCTTCAGATAAACAGACCTGGGATCGAGTTCAAATCCCAACACTGTCCCTCAATGATTTTGGACAACCTCTCTGAGCTTCAGTTTTTTTAATGTCTAATTTTATAATCTATAAAATACAGCTATTAATAGCTCTTTTTCAGAGTTGTTGAAGGGTTATACAACAGGGTATATGTATGGTCTCTGACATATAGATAGTCTGGATAAAAAGTAACTGTTATTATTACTATCAGTGCTTCTCTCAGGCCTGGCATCCCTGCCCTCAAAAACCAAACAATACCTAAGTAGTATCAGTAAACATCTGTGGATTGAAGGGCTGGCATCCCCTGTGAGTCAGCCTTGCCCCTGTACATAGCTCCATACTCCAGCAACTCCTTAGCCCCTGACCCCAGTCCTGCAGTGTCCTCCTCAATTTCACGGTGCTCACAACTGCCAAGAAATACCCAAAGCACAGGTATCAAAAGACTGGGACCCCAGGCTGTTGGGCCTGCAGAGATGACGGACTCTGCCCCACATGTGTACTCTGGCTGGCAGGTCCTGAAAAGACACAGCAACCAGGGCTTGGGAGAGACCAAGAGACCAAGGAGGACACAGCTGCCTGAAGATTAGGGAAAGCTTGGCTGAGTGAGACATCCCAAAGGTGATTTTTGTTGGCCTCCTCCAGAACCTAGGAGACTAACTCTTAGTGGTATATATTCCGGGATCTTAGCACCCCTTTCAGGGCATTTGGAAGTGTAAAGGATCACCATGTCTGAAGATCTGGATGTCAAATCTGTCACTGTCTATCTCCCCAGAGGCTGAAGGCCTTTAGGTGTCTATTCAGAAGCTGCTGGACACAGACCTTTTTCAGGCATCCCTAAAGGGTCTAGAGAATTGGTAGGTGTTGACCACATTATACCTGCCTGATCATCAGTGTGCACAGTGCATAAAAACTTGTACATGGAGGCCAGGTGCGGTGGCTCACACCTGTAATCCCAGCACTTTGGGAGGCCAAGCAGGGCGGATCACTTGAGGTCAGGAGTTCAAGACCAGCGTGGCCAACATGGTGAAACCTCATCTCTACTAAAAATGCAAAAATTAGCTGGGTGTGGTGGTGCATACCTGTAATCTCAGCTACTCGGGAGGCTGAGGCAGGAGATTCACTTGAATCCGGGAGCTGGAGGTTTCAGTGAGCCAAGATCGTGCCACCACTCCAGCCTGGGCAACAGAGACTGTGTCTCAAAAAAAAAAAAAAAAAAAAAGAACTTGTACGTGGAACTCTCACAGAAATAGGCTTGAACCTCAGCTCTGCTATTCCATATTTGACTTTGGGCAAGGTACTTTACATCCTCATCTTCAGTTTTCTCATCTGTAAACTGGGGATGGCAATGCCGAGAATTAAATAAGAAAAAATACGCATAGTGCAGCCAAAAGCGGTGGCTCATGCCTATAATCCTAGCACTTTGGAAGGCCAAGGCAGGTGGATCACTTGAGGTCAGGAGTTCAAGACCAGCGTGGCCAACATGGTGAAACCCCGTCTCTACTAAAAATACAAAAATTAGCCAGACATGGTGGCATGTGTCTGTAATCCCAATTACTTGGGAGGCTAAGGCAGAAGAATAACTTGAACCCAGGAAGCGGAGGTTTCAGTGAGCCGAGATCACGGGCCACTGCGCTCCAGCCCACGCAACAGAGCGAGATTCCATCTCAAAAAGAAAATATATGTGTGTGTGTGTGTGTGTGTGTATACACATACATATATGTGCAAAGTGCTAAATATGAACATCCTTCATAAATATTAGTTCCTTTCCTTCCTTTGTTGCTATCAGGCTTTTTTCCTTACTCTTGGGTTCTTTCTCCTATTCTTTGGCACCCATCCATCTTGTCTCCTATTCTTGCTGTGTACTGACTGTCAGGAAGCTTCATAGTGCTGTCCTCTTGGATTAACTTCCTCCCAACCCACGGCACTGGCACTTCAGAAGACTTGGCAGTAAAAAGAGCCATAATCATTCAGTCATGCAAATTGAGCACTCTATGCTAGGTCTTACGCTAAGCGAAGGAAATACCAAGGAGAATAAGGCAGTCTGTTCCTCATGAAGCTCCACCCCAGTGAGAGACACCAGCACAAAAGAGCTCATAATAACGCTGTGTAAAAATGCAGTGACTTTGGCAAAGAAGGGCCTACCTGCTGGGTGTGGGAGCCTCTAGGAGGAAGCAACACACAAGATGAGTCTTAAAGGATGAGTAGATACTGCCTAGAGGAGGGAAGGCGAGGGGAAGCATAAGCAAAATCAAGGAGGAGACCTAGAGCCTGGCATGTGCAAAGAAACATGGGCAGTTCTGCATTGCTGGAAAATAAAGTGGCACATAGCCTACAGTAGATGGCCAATTAATATTTGTTTGGGTAAGCATAGAAAGAGACTGATGGACAATACAGCAAACTGTTCAATACTATGAAGTTGAGAACAGGAGGCAAGGGAATCCTTCAGTTTTCACATTATACACTACCATGTTGTTTGAAATTGTTACAAGCATGTATCAATTTTATAATTTAAAAATACACTTTTGGCCTGGTGCAGTGGCTCATGCCCATAATCCCAGCACTTTGGGAGGCCGAGGCAGGTGGATCACCTGAGGTCAGGAGTCCAAGACCAGCCTGGCCAACATGGTGAAAACCCGTCTCTACTTAAAATACAAAAGATAGCCAGGAGTAGTGACAGGCACCTGTAATCCCGCTGCTCGGAAGGCTGAGGCAGGAGAATTGCTTGAACCCAGGAGGCAGAGGTTGCAGTGAGCTGAGATTGCATGATTGCACTCCAGCCTGGGTGACAGAGTGAGACTCCACCTCAAAAAAAAAACAACAAAAAACACTTTTTTGAAAATAATAAAAAGTTAATTTTGGCTGCAATGTGTAGAACAAGTTGGAGTTGGGGTAAGCCTGAGGCAGGGCGACCCAGTTATAAGGCTACTGCAGATGATGAAGGAGTCTTTTTTTTTTGTTGTATTTTTAGTAGAGATGGGGTTTCAACATGTTGGCCAGGCTGGTCTCAAACTCCTGACCTTGTGTTCCACCCTCCTCAGTCTCCCAAAGTGCTAGGATTACAGGCGTGAGCCACCGCACCTGGCTGATGAAGGAGTCTTAAACCAGAGAAGTAGCTATGGGGGTCGGGAGAAGGAAAAGTCTAGAGCTTCAAGATTGTACAGCTGTGTGGGTGGTGGTACCTTTACTGAGACAGAGACCATGAGGGAAAACAGGTCTGGGTTAGGAGGGGAGGAGAGGTAGAGACAATGAGAGTAGTTTTGTCCATGTAGGAGCTGTGGTGTTCATGGGATACCCAGCTGGTAACTTGACTATATGAGTCTGATGTTTCAAAAGAGACAAGAAGTGCCGGGCACGGTGGCTCATTCCTGTAATCCCAGCACTTTGGGAGGCCGAGGTGGGTGGATCACAAGGTCAGGAGATGGAGACCATCCTGGCTAACATGGTGAAACCCCGTCTCTACTAAAAATACAAAATTAGCTGGGCACGGTGGCGCATGCCTGTAATCCCAGCTACTCGAAAGGCTGAGACAGGAGGTTGCTTGAACCCGGGAGATGGAGGTTGCGGTGAGCCGAGATCATGCCATTGCACTCCAGCCTGGGTGACAGAGCAAGATTCCGTCTAAAAAAAAAAAAAAAAAAAGCTAGGTGTGGTGACACACGCTCGTAGTCCCAGCTACTAAGGAGGCTGAGGTGGGAGAATCGCTTGAATCAGGGAAGCTGAGGTTGCAGTGCCAGGGCACTCCAGCCTGGGCGACAGAGCCAGACTCTGTCTCAAAAAAAAAAAAAAAAAAAAAAAGACAAGAAGAAAATGTAAATTTGAGACATACCAGCATGTAAATCATTAAAACCAAGAGGATAGATGATACCACACAGGAAAAATATGGCAAAGAAGAAAAAGAGAGGGTCTGGGATGGACACCAGCCTTTAAAATCAGGCAGAACAGGCCAGGCACAGTGGTTCATGCCTGTAATCCCAGCACTTTCGGAGGCCTACGCGAGTGGATCACCTTAGGTCAGGAGTTCTAGACCAGCCTGACCAACATGGTGAAACCCGTCTCTACTAAAAATACAAAAATTAGCTGGGCATGGTGGGTGCACCTGTAGTCCCAGCTACTCGGGCAGCTGAGGCAGAATTGCTTGAACCCAGGAGGCAGAGGTTGCAGTGAGCCAAGATCACACCATTGCACTCCAGCCTGGATGACAGAGTGAGACTCTGTCTCAAAAAAAAAAAAGAAAAGAAAAGAAAAATCAGGTGGAAGAAGAATCCATGGTGACAGAGGAAGAACAGCCAGAGGAGTAGGAAGAAAACCAAGAGGTTATATGCTTCCTTGGAGGAAGAATGGTTTGGAAGAGGGAATAGATACCAGTGTCAAATACTTCTAAGAAGTCAAGGAAGATGAAGTCTCAAAGTGACCTTGACATGTCCATCAAGACCTCTGGGTTTCCTGGGAGTGTCACTCAGAATAATCCTAGGTAGGAAGGGCAGATACTGGAGCTTCCATCCTGCTAATGACTGTATGTGTGAGCTGACTTTTGCCTTTTCCTTTTTTATCCCAATACTGCAGGACCCAAACCTTATCACTACACTTAGTCTGGCTTTGTACATTCTGAGTTCTAGAAAGTCTCAAATGGAAAGGGCTGCGAACCACCCTTGGGCATCCTGAAAAAGGCACCAATCCTGGCACATCCCTAACTTTCTTTTTGACCCTGAGTAAGCCATAGTTCCTCTGTTGGCCTCAGTTTTCCCATTACTAACTAAAAGGGTCAGAGGGAATCATATTTAAGGGCCCCCTCCCAATCCTCATATTCCATGATCCAATAAACCCCATGAAGAGACAGCCTAGCTTTTTCTGAGCAGGGAGCATTTTAAGATCTGGCTTTGGCCGGGTGCAGTGGCTCACTCCTGTAATCCCAGCACTTTGGGAGTCTGAGGCCCAGCAGATCACGAGGTCAGATGGACACCATCCTGGCCAACATGATGAAACCCCATCTCTACTAAAATACAAAAAGCTGGGCGTGGTAGTGCATGCCTGTAGTCCCAGCTACTCAGGAGGCTGAGGCAGGGGAATCATTTGAACCCAGGAGGCAGAGATTGCAGTGAGCCGAGATCGTGCCACTGTACTCCAGCCTGGCGACAGAGCGAGACTCCGTCTCAAAAAAAAAAGATCTGGCTTCCTGGCTGGATGCCATGGCTGACGCCTATAATCCCAACACTTCGGGAGGCTGAGGCAGGAGGATTGCTTGAGTCCAGTAGTTCAAGATCGGCCTGGACAACATAGTGAGACCCTGTCTCCACAAAATTAAAATAAAAAAATTAGCTGTGCATGGAGGCACATGTTTGTAGTCCCAGCTACTCGGGAGACTGAGGCAGGAGAATTGCTTGAGCCCAGGAGATTGAGGCTGCAGTGAGACATGATGGCCCCACTGTACTCAAGCCCAGGTGACACAGTGAGAAGCTGTCTCAAAAAAAAATTAAAATTAAATTAAATTTTTAAAATCTGGTTTTCTGATGTAAAAGCTTGCTCAGAGATCACAGGCTGTGGTTTCCTTTTTGTTTTTTTTTGTTTGTTTGTTTGCTTTGTTTTTTGAGATGGAGTTTCGCTCTTGTTGCCCAGGCTGGAGTGCAATGGTGCAATCTTGGCTCACTGCAACCTCTGCCTCCCGGGTTCAAGCAATTCTCCTGCCTCAGCCTCCTGAGTAGCTGGGATTACAGGCATGCGCCACCACACCCGGCTAATTTTGTATTTTTAGTAGAGATGGGGTTTCTCCACGTTGGTCAGGCTGGTCTCGAACTCCTGACCTCAGGTGATCTGCCTGCCTCAAGCCTCCCAAAGTGCTGGGATTACAGGCATGAGCCACCGTGCCCAGCCAAAAGCACATCTCTTCTAATTGCTGCCACAGAACAGAAAGGAAGCTTTTCTTTCCAAAAAATGTTTATTCTCCAGTTGCCTAAGGAGAAACAGCGCAGGTTAAAACGGAACAGGTCAAAACTCCCATGCTAATCAGTAGTGGGATTTCACCTACGAATGGGCACTAATGGGCACTGCACTCCAGCCTGGGCAACACAGCAAGAACCTGTTTAGAAACGTATTTTTGTTTCATTAAAAAAAGCTTTAGTATGTTTTCTTCTCACTTGCTGTAATTGGAGGAACCTATTCTTGGAGGTAGGATGAGGTCAGTCCCATCCAAACCTATGGCTCAACGGAAGACAGTGGACAGGTCCCCAGAGGAAGATCAGGATATAATTTGACCAAAGGATGGAAGATGTTTACTACAGGTCTCTACTAGACACCAAGCACCATGCTACATTCTGGAGACATAATGTTCAAAGACACAATTCCTGCCTTCCAGGAGTTCACAGGAGAACAGTGATGAGGAAACAGTTATAATACAGCACAAGGAGAAAAGCATGAACCTGAGAACACACAGGAGCTCCTCCTGCTCAGCCACTCCAACGGGGTGAAGGGTCATAAAAGAGTGAAAGTGGGGGGTTGTCATGGAACTTCCCAAAAGAGGTAAATCTTTTAAACTTTTTTTAACATTATTTTTTACACACAGCCTCCCATAGGAGAAGGGAGTGAAATCTTGAAGGATAAGTAAAGCTTTATCAAGTGTAGATGGAAGAAGGGATTTCTAAGCACAGAGCACATCAGCAAAAGCATAAAAATCTCAAGAAAATGGGAGTAGCTGAGAATGACTGGACCATAAAGTACATGCAAGAGCCAAGGAGAAGAGGAAGCAGTCAGGAGAGAGTGGTGACACACGAGGCTGGAGAGGTGGGCAGACCTCAAAATCAGGCCGTGCTGACATTTATGCCAAGATTTAAGTGGCATTGACATAAACTCGACAGTTGGAGATCTGGGTAGGGTAAAGCATGAGGAAAACGTCAGGCAAAAAAACAGGGAACCAGAAAAAAGCCTGAAAAGGTGTTACCACAGAGGTGGAAGGACCAAGTAAAACAGAAGGAAAAACATTTAAAAGGGAAAGATAGGAAGTGGCAGTTGCTGCAAAGAGATTAGGGAGGCTAATTCCTGAGAAGACTTGTGATTAGTAATTAATATTGACCTTGACCTCTGACAGAACGATTTCAGTGACAGTGAAAGGGTTACGTTTGCTTGGAATTTAGTGAATGGGATTTAAAGTTGAAGTGACGACAGTAGGCTACTCTTTCAAAATATTTATGTTTTGCAAAAGCTATGTATCCAAATACTTATAAGATGCACTCAGTAATTCCCCTTCAGAAATTTATATTAAAGAAATAATCAGAAATATGTGCAAAGATGTATCACAAAGGTTGTACTGTTACTAATTATAGCAAATAATTGAGAATAACCTTGTGGTTATGGTTTAAAATGGCTAAATAAATTATAATGCATCCATATAATGAAAAGTTTAATGCCATGATTAAAAAATAATGTGGTAGAATACTTACTGGTAGAGTAGAAGTGTCAGATTACAAAATATAACATCCAGAATGCTCTCAATGTTGAAATAAATGAATATTATATATGCACAGAAATAAGATTTGAAGGATATAAACCAGAATGTGAACCTCAGTAGTTACCTCCAGAAGTGTGATTACAAGTGTTTGAAACATGTTTAGTTATTTGTACTTTCCATTTTTCTACTATAAATATATATTACTTTTGTAATGAAAAATACTAAGAGCTTGACAATAGAGAAAGGAGGAAGGGATTAGCTTTGAGGGAAACATGGTAGAGGCTTCTATAGTTCGAGGAAGATTTGAGCTTGTTTATGGGTCAAGGGAAAAGAAGGGAGAAATTGAAGCTATATGAGAGGAAATAATAGGAGAAGCCTGCCCTGGGCAGAGAAGAGGGTACCTGGGGACGAGGGCCCTGGGGAGATGAGGTGAGGATGGCAAAGAACCCAAAGGCAGCAGGAAAGAGAACTGTTCACGGATGCATGATCACCTGCCACTGTGTTGAGAGCAGGGAGGGGATTAAGGAGATGGAGGAGAGTGGAAAAGGTTTATAACAGCTGCTATGAGGAATTAGGAAGTCAATTAGCAATAAAAAAGGGGATTGCAGAAAGGCTCCAAGGGAGGGCCCAGCTGCCACTGAGGAGCAGGACTTGATTCCATTGCCAGTTAATTTACTAACTGCAGCTAAAGAGGAGCTATGTGGCCTGGATCCATCCAATGAATGTCCAAAAAATATCCAGAAAATGTGACTCAGAATAACTACAATCACTAAGGTCTATACTCACATATTAACTAATTTAAGTGCTGCTTCCTTCTTCTGGTTTGGTCCCAGGCAGTTGTACATCTTCACTATAATTATTATTTTTAAAAATAAGAGAGGTGAGCAAAGTTAGTAAAATGAAAAAGAATTTAAGAAAATGACATTTTATCAGTAAAATGAAGAAGTGTCAAAACACCACTAACACATTCGACCAAAAGACAAAGCTGTTTTCAGGGCTGCTGGTGCTTGTTCACATCTAGATGAATGTTTGTAGAAGCCTTCCTAGTGTCTGATAGTAAACATTTGCTTTGCTTTGGCCTTACAGGTAGGTGATTACAAGGGATTCTAGTCACATAAATAAATGATACCCAGATTTTTCCAATCTGGCCAGTATAATCATTATAATTCACCTGGAAGGAAAAGTATGAAGAAATTCAGGATTGCTAGCAACCAAGCAGAATTCTCTTATAATGTAGTTTGTGCTTAAGGAAATCATTTCCTGGACTGAAGGAAAAGAGCTACCATCTGTTAAGCACCTACTATGTGCATGTTCTTTGTTCAGCCCTTTATGTTCACTATTTGTATGTAATCCTCACAACAGTTCTGCAAGGTAGATATAATTTTCCTCATTTTACAGATGACAGAAGAAGCTCAGAGGTGGTAAATGGTAAAAATGATAGTACCTGCCTCATAAAACTGTGCATTACATGAGGTAACATCTGTAAAGCATTTAACACATAGCACTTAGCACATAGTATACTTAGCATAAGCATTAGCTGCAATAATGATTTAGCCACAATAATATACCAGCATTTATGATATTGTTTGACAAAATAAGGTGGATCTTCTTATCATCATCCTTACTTCACAACAAATGAAACTGGTTTACCCAAGGTTCCAGTAAGCTCTCTATAGTCAATATTTCAGTAATCACTTTCACTAGGATCTACTGGGCCTTCATGCTTCCCCCCTAGATTTGAATTTATGTTTTCTCTGTGTTCCCAATCAAATAATTTTGCAATCCCTTGAGCACACATCACTGGGGAGGAGGACAGCCCAGAGAAGCAGCTTAGTTAGGCTCCAGCCAGAATAAATTTGGCATCAAAAAAGTGCTGCATATAGGGAAAGGAAAATCTTTTCAGCAAATGGTGTCAGGGAAACTAGATGTCCCCAACCACAAGAATGAAGTTGGACTCTTACATTATATCATATACAAAAGTTAAATCAAAATGGATCAAAGACCTAAATATGAGACCAAAAACCATAAAACTCTTAGAAGAACATGGAGGGAAAAAGTTTCATGACATTGGATTTGGCAGAGTATACTTAGATACCAAAAGCACAGACAATGAAAGAAAAAATGGACTGCATCAAAATTAAACAATTTTATGCATCAAAGGGCACTATCAACAGAGAAAAGGCAACCCACACAATGGGGAAAAATATTTGCAAATCATTTATCTGATAAAGGATTAATATCTGGAATATATAAATAACTCCTATAACTCAAGAATATAAAAACCAAATAGCCCAATTAAAAAATGAGAGAAAGACTTGAATAGATATTTCTCCAAAGAAGATATACAAACAGTTAATATGCTCAACATCACTAATCACTAGGGAAATGCAAATCAAAACCACCATGAGGGCCGGGCGCGGTGGCTCACACCTGTAATCCCAGCACTTTGGGAGACCGAGGCGGGTGGATCATGAGGTCAGGAGTTCAAGACCAGCCTGTCCAACAAAGTGAAACCCCGTCTCTACTGAAAATACAAAAATTAGCCGGGCGTTGTGGCATGTACCTGTAGTCCCAGCTACTCAGGAGGCTGAGGCACTTGAACCCAGGAGGCAGAGGTTGCAGTGAGCCGAGACCGCGCCATTGCACTCCAGCCTGGGTGACAGAGTGAGACTCTGTCTCAAAAAAAAAAAAAGAAAAAAAAAAAACTCGCAATGAGATACCACTTCACATCCATTAGGATAGGAATTATCAAAAATTGAAAATAGGTGGGGCACAGTGACTCACTTCTATAATCACAGCACTTTGGGAGGCTGAGGTGGGAGGACTGCTTGAGTCCAGGGGTTCAAGACCAGCCAGGGCAATATAGCGAGACCCCTGTTTCAATTCTTTAAAAAAAATGGAAATAACAAGTTGATATGGAGAAACTGGAACCCTTCTGCACTGCTGACAAAAATGTAAAATGGTGCAGTTGCTATGGAAAACAGTATGGTGGTTCTTCAAAATGTTAACCATTGAATCAGTACATGATTCAGCTATTCCACTCTGGGTATTTTCAAAACAGAATTCAAATTAGGGATACAAACAGATATTTGTACACCAGTGTTCATAGCAGCACTATTCACAGTAGCCAAAAGATAGAGATAACCCAAATGTCTACTGACAGATGAATGAATAAACAAAATGTAGTATATACATATAATGGAATATTATTCAACCTTACAAAGGAAGGAGACTCTGGTACATGTTACAACAGGGATGAACCTTAAAAACATAATGCTAAGTAGAATAAGCAAGACATGGCCGGGCGCAGTGGCTCATACCTGTAA
Organism: Homo sapiens; assembly: GCF_000001405.40. Classification (NCBI taxonomy): domain Eukaryota; kingdom Metazoa; phylum Chordata; class Mammalia; order Primates; family Hominidae; genus Homo; species Homo sapiens. The sequence continues at coordinate 92,428,594 of NC_000001.11, forward strand.
TCCCAGCACTTTGGGAGGCCAAGGTAGGCAGACCACCTGAGGTCAGGGGTTCAAGACCAGCCTGGCCAACATGGTGAAACTCTGTATCTACTAAAAAATACAAAAAATTAGCTGGGTGTGGTGGCAGGTGCCTGTAATCACAGCTACTCGGTAGGCTGAGGCAGGAGAATAGCTTGAACCCAAGAGGCAGAGGTTGCAGTGAGCCGAGATCGTGCCATTGCACTCCAGCCTGGGCAACAAGAGCGAAACTCCGTCTCAAAAAAAAAAAAAAAAAGATAAAATAGACAAGACACAAAAGGACAAATATTGTATGATTCCACTTATATGAGGTACTTAGAGACATAAGGTCAAATTCATAGAGACAGAAAGTAGAAGAGTGGTTGCCAGGGGCTGGGGGAGAGAATAATGGGCAATTATTGTTTATGGACATAGGGTTTCAGTTTGGGATGTTGAAAAGTTCTGGAGATGGATAGCCATGCTGGTTGCACCACAGTGTGAATGCACTTAATGCCACTGAATTGTACACTTAGAAATAATTAAAATGGCAGGGCGTGGTGGTCACACCTGTAATCCCAGAACTTTGGGAGGCCGAGGTGGCAGATCACCTGAGGTCGGGAGCCTGACCAGTATGGAGAAAAAAACCCGTCTCTACTAAAAATACAAAATTAGCCGGGCGTGGTGGTGCATGCCTGTAATCCCAGCTACTCAGGAGGCTGAGGCAGGAGAATTGCTTGAACCCAGGAGGCGGAGGTTGCGGTGAGCCGAGATCATGCCATTGCACTCCAGCCTGGGCAACAAGAGCGAAACTCCGTCTCAAAAAAAAAAAAAAAAAGAAGAAGAAATAATTAAAACGGTAAATTTTACATTGTATGTGTGTTTGTGTATATATGTATATGCGTTACACATATAATTTTTTTGTGTGATTCTTCTGCCTCAGCCTCCCAAGTAACTGGGACTACAGGCACGTGCCACCACACCCAGCTAATTTTGGTACTAATATTTTTAGTAGAGACGAGGTTTTGCCATTTTGGCCAGGCTGGTCTCGAACTCCTGGCCTCAAGTGATGCACCCGCTTCAGCCTCCTGAGGTGTTGGGATTACAGGCATGAGCCACCGCACCCAGCTGGTGCACTGTGTATATTTTATCATAATTAAAAAATGTAGTAAAAAAAAGTGCCGCAGATAAAACAAGAAGACAAGAAAGGAGTTCATTTAAAGCTTCACAGCGATTATCTTTGGAGTGCGGATTACAGGCAACTTTGTTTTCTTTATACTTTTTCTTATTTTCTACATTTTCTTCGATGAGCTTTTAAAATGAGGGGAAAAAACTTTTGGGGTTTTTTTTCATATCAATTATATTTATTTGATCATACAGCTTCTTCTTTCCTACCTCACCCCCCTTAAAAGTAGATTATGTATAAGGTATTTTAAAAGTAGATATGTATAAGCTGTTTTACACACACACACACACACACACACAAACTTATTTTTAGAGCAGTTTTAGGATCACATCAAAATTGAACAGAAAGTAGAGAGATTTATTATATGTCCCCTGCCCCACATGTGCACAGCCTCCAAGTTTTGGGTTTTTTTAACTGCTGTATCTCCACTGGGATGACAATGGAAATGATGTCATCAAGCACCAATTTTAAAATGCCAATAATGATTTTCTCCAGAACAAATATGGAGTTTATCCTAATATTATGCGTTAAAACAGTTTAAAGTATTCTGAAGAGCAGACAAGCAATTTTGATACTTTGGGGAAGATTGATTTGGAATTTTTTTTAAGATGATTGTTCACTGTACCAGCAATAAACTTTAAATTACATAATACATACTGAAGACATGCCAGTCTCTCTTAATCAATTTAACAGACATTAGTTGAGCACCCAGGATGTGTCAGACCTGAGGCTCGGTGCATAGAAAACCCTTATCCTTTGAGCCTAAAATGTAAGGGGGTGGATCTTGACTGCTGAGAGTTCTCTCACTCTTCTATCACCACTTCCACCCCAGGGGTAACCATTGTTAATAAACTGAAGTATATGCTTCCAAATCATTTTGCAATGCACACCATATAAAAATACTCTTTTTACAAATATAGTTACAAAAATTACATTTTATGTTTTTAAATTTTTATTTTTTAATTCTTATTTATTATAAGTTAGTTTTATTTTTATTATTTTTTATTATACTTTAAGTTCTAGGGTACATGTGCACAACGTGCAGGTTTGCTACATATGTATACATGTGCCATGTTGGTGTGCTGCACCCATTAACTCGTCATTTACATTAGGTGTATCTCCTAATGCTATCCCTCCCCATTCCCCTGATCCCATGACAGGCCGTGGTGTGTGATGTTCCCCACCCTGTGTCCAAGTGTTCTCATTGTTCAATTCTCACCTATGAGTGAGAACATGTGGTGTTTGGATTTCTGTCCTTGCGATAGTTTGCTCAGAATGATGGTTTCCAGCTTCATCCATGTCCCTACAAAGGACATGAACTCATCCTTTTTTATGGCTGCATAGTATTCCATGGTATATATGTGCCACATTTTCTTAATCCAGTCTATCATTGTTGGACATTTGGGTTGGTTCCAAGTCTTTGCTATTGTGAATAGTGCCACAATAAACATACCTGTGCATGTGTCTTTATGGTAGCATGATTTATAATCCTTTGGGTATATACCCAGTAATGGGATGGCTGGGTCAAATGGTATTTCTAGTTCTAGATCCTTGAGGAATCGCCACACTGTCTTCCACAATGGTTGAACTAGTTTACAGTCCCACCAACAGTGTAAAAGCATTCCTATTTCTCCACATCCTCTCCAGCACCTGTTGTTTCCTGACTTTTTAATGATCGCCATTCTAACTGATGTGAGATGGTATCTCATTGTGGTTTTGATTGGCGTTTCTCTGATGGCCAGTGATGATAAGCATTTTTTCATGTGTCTGTTGGCTGCATAAATGTCTTCTTTTGGGAAGTGTCTGTTTACATCCTTTGCCCACTTTTTGATGGGGTTGTTTGGTTTTTTCTTGTAAATTTCTTTAAGTTCTTTGTAGATTCTGGATATTAGTTCTTTGTCAGATGGGTAGATTGTAAAAATTTTTCTCCCATTCTGTAGGTTGCCTGTACACTCTGATGGTAGTTTCTATTGCTGTGCAGAAGCTCTTTAATTAGATCCCATTTGTCAATTTTGGCTTTTGTTGCCATTGCTTTTGGTGTTTTAGACATGAAGTCCTTGCCCATGCCTATGTCCTGAATGGTATTGCCTAGGTTTTCTTCTAGGGTTTTTATGGTTTTAGGTCTAACATTTAAGTCTTTAATCCATCTTGAATTAATTTTTGTATAAGGTGAAAGGAAGGGATCCAGTTTCAGCTTTCTACATATGGCTAGCCAGTTTTCCCAGCACCATTGATTAAATAGGGAATCCTTCCCCATTCCTTGTTTTTGTCAAGTTTGTCAAAGATCAGATGGTTGTAGATGTGTGGTATTATTTCTGAGGGCTCTGTTCTGTTCCATTGGTCTATATCTCTGTTTTGGTACCAGTACCATACTGTTTTGGGTACTGTAGCCTTGTAGCATAGTTTGAAGTCAGGTAGTGTGATGCCTCCAGCTTTGTTCTTTTGGCTTAGGATTGTCTTGGCTATACAGGCTTTTTTTTGATTCCATATAAACTTTAAAGTAGTTTTTTCCAATTCTTTGAAGAAAGTCAGTGCTAGCTTGATGGGGATGGCATTGAATCTATAAATTACCTTGGGCGGTATGGCCATTTTCACAATATTGATTCTTCCTATCCATGAGCATGGAATGTTCTTCCATTTGTTTGTGTCCTCCGTTATTTCGTTGAGCAGTGGTTTGTAGTTCTCCTTGAAGAGTCCTTCACATCCCTTGTAAGTTGGATTCCTAGGTGTTTTATTCTCTTTGTAGCAATTGTGAATGGGAGTTCACTCATGATTTGGCTCTCTGTTTGTCTGTTACTGGTGTATAGGAATGCTTGTGATTTTTGCACATTCATTTTGTATCCTGAGACTTTGCTGAAGTTGCTTATCAGCTTAAGGAGATTTGGGGCTGAGACAATGGGGTTTTCTAAATATACAATCATGTCATCTGCATATAGGGACAATTTGACTTCCTCTTTTCCTAATTGAATACCCTTTATTTCTTTCTCCTGCCTGATTGCCCTGGCCAGAACTTCCAACACTATGTTGAATAGGAGTGGTGAGAGAGGGCATCCCTGTCTTGTGCCAGTTTTCAAAGGGAATGCTTCCAGCTTTTGCCTATTCAGTATGCTATTGGCTGTGGGTTTGTCATAAATAGCTCTTATTATTTTGATATGTCCCATCAATACCTAGTTTATTGAGAGTTTTTAGTATGAAGGGCTGTTGAATTTTGTCGAAGGCCTTTTCTGCATCTATTGAGATAATTATGTGGTTTTTGTCTTTGGTTCTGTTTATATGATGGATTACATTTATTGATTTGTGTATATTGAACCAGCCTTGCATCCCAGGGATGAAGCCAACTTGATCGTGGTGGATAAGCTTTTTGATGTGCTGCTGGATTCGGTTCACCAAGTATTTTACTGAGGATTTTTGCACTGATGTTCATCAGGGATATTGGTCTAAAATCCTCTTTTCTTGTTGTGTCTCTGCCAGGCTTTGGTATCAGGATGATGCTGGCCTTATAAAATGAGTTAGGGAGGATTCCCTCTTTTTCTATTGATTGGAATAATTTCAGAAGGAATGGTACCAGCTCCTCTTTGTACCTCTGGCAGACTTCAGCTGTGAATCTGTCTGGTCCTGGACTTTTTTTTTGGTTGGTAGGCTATTAATTATTGCCTCAATTTCAGAGCCTGTTATTGGTCTATTCAGGGATTCAAATTCTTCCTGGTTTAGTCTTGGGAGGGTGTATGTGTCAAGGAATTTATCCATTTCTTACAGATTTTCTAGTTTATTTGTGTAGAGGTGTTCATAGTATTCTCTGATAGTAGTTTGTATTTCTGTGGGATCGGTGGTGATATCCCCTTTATCATTTTTTATTGCGTCTATTTGATTCTTCTCTCTTTTCTTCTTTATTAGTCTTGCTTGAGGTCTATCAATTTTGTTTATCTTTTCAAAAAACCAGCTCCTGGATTCATTGATTTTTTGAAGTGTTTCTTGTGTAACTATCTCCTTCAGTTCTGTTCTGATCTTAGTTATTTCTTGCCTTCTGCTAGCTTCTGAATGTGTTTGCTCTTGCTTCTCTAGTTTTTTTCATTGTGATGCTGTGGCGTCAATTTTAGATCTTTCCTGCTTTCTCTTGTGGGCATTTAGTGCCATAAATTTCCCTCTACACACTGCTTTAAATGTGTCCCAGAGATTCCGGTATGTTGTGTCTTTGTTCTCATTCATTTCAGAGAACATCTTTATTTTTGCCTTCTTTTCGTTATGTACCCAGTAGTCATTCAGGAGCAGGTTGTTCAGTTTCCATGCAGTTGTGTGGTTTTGAGTGAGTTTCTGAATCCTCAGTTCTAAATTGATTGCACTGTGGTCTGATAGACAGTTTGTTGTGATTTCTGTTCTTTTACATTTGCTGAGGAGTGCTTTATTTCCAACTATGTGGTCAATTTTGGAATAAGTGTGATGTGGTGCTGATAATAATGTATATTCTGTTGATTTGGGGTGGAGAGTTCTGTAGATGTCTGTTAGGTCCGCCTGGTGCAGAGCTGAGTTCAATTCCTGGATATCCTTGTTAACTTTCTGTCTTGTTGATCTGTCTAATGTTGACAGTGGGGTGTTAAAATCTCCCATTATTATTGTGTGGGAGTCTAAGTCTCTTTGTAGGTCTCTAAGGACTTGCTTTATGAATCTGGGTGCTCCTGTATTGGGTGCATATATATTTAGGATAGTTAGCTCTTCTTGTTGAATTGATTCCTTTACCATTATGTAATGGCCTTGTCTCTTTTGATCTTTGTTGGTTTAAAGTCTGCTTTATCAGAGACTAGGATTGCAACCCCTCCTTTTTGTTTTGTTTTGTTTTCCATTTGCTTGGTAGATCTTCCTCCATCCCTTTATTTTGAGCCTATGTGTGTCTCTGCACATGAGATGGGTTTCCTGAATACAGCACACTGATGGGTCTTGACTCTGTATCCAATTTGCCAGTCTGTGTCTTTTAATTAGAGCATTTAGCCCATTTACATTTAAGGTTAATATTGTTACATGTGAATTTGATCCTGTTATTATGATGTTAGCTGGTTATTTTGCTCATTAGTTGATGCAGTTTCTTCCTAGCCTCTATGGTCTTTACAATTTGGCATGTTTTTGCAGTGGCTCGTACTGGTTGTTCCTTTCCATGTTTAGTGCTTCCTTCAGGAGCTCTTGTAAGGCAGGCCTGGTGGTGACAAAATCTCTCAGCATTTGCTTGTCTGTAAAGGATTTTATTTCTTCTTCACTTATGAAGCTTAGTTTGGCTGGATATGAAATTCTGTGTTGAAAATTCTTTTCTTTAAGAATGTTGAATATTGGCCCCCACTCTCTTCTGGCTTGTAGAGTTTCTGCCGAGAGATCAGCTGTTAGTCTGATGGGCTTTCCTTTGTGGGTAACCCGACCTTTCTCTCTGGCTGCCCTTAACATTTTCTCCTTCATTTCAACTTTGGTGAATCTGATAATTATGTGTCTTGGAGTTACTCTTCTCGAGGAGTATTTTTGTGGCATTCTCTGTATTTCCTGAATGTGAATGTTGGCCTGCCTTGCTAGGTTGGGGGCGTTCTCCTGGATAATATCCTGAAGAGTGTTTTCCATCTTGGTTCCATTCTCCCCATCACTTTCAGGTACACCAATCAGACGTAGATTTGGTCTTTTCACATAGTCCCCTATTTCTTGGAGGCTTTGTTCGTTTCTTTTTACTCTTTTTTCTCTAAACTTCTCTTCTCGCTTCATTTCATTCATTTTATCTTCAATCACTGATACCCTTTCTTCCACTTGATCAAATCGGCTACTGAAGCTTGTGCATGCATCACGTAGTTCTTGTGCCATGGTTTTCGGACATGTAAGTTCTTCTCTACACTGTTTATTCTATTTAGCCATTCGTCTAATCTTTTTTCAAGGTTTTTAGCTTCTTTGCGATGGGTTCAAACATCCTCCTTTAGCTCAGAGAAGTTTGTTATTACCGATCATCTGAAGCCTTCTTCTCTCAACTCATCAAAGTCATTCTCCATCTAGCTTTGTTCCATTGCTGGCGAGGAGCTTCATTCCTTTGGAGGAGCAGAGGTGCTCTGATTTTTAGAATTTTCAGTTTTTCTGCTCTGGTTTCTCCCCATCTTTGTGGTTTTATCTACCTTTGGTCTTTGATGATGGTGACGTACAGATGGGGTTTTGGTGTGGATGTCCTTTCTGTTTGTTAGTTTTCCTTCTAACAGTGAGGACCCTCAGCTGCAGGTCTGTTGGAGTTTACTGGAGGTCCACTCCAGACCCTGTTTGCCTTGGTATCACCAGTGGAGGCTGCAGAACAGCGAATATTGCAGAATGGCAAATGTTGCTGCCTGATCCCTCCTCTGGAAGCTTCGTCTCAGATGGGTACCTGGCTGTATGAGGTGTCAGTCAGCCCGTACTGGGAGGTGTCCCCCAGTTAGGCTACTTAGGGGTCAGGGACCCACTTGAGGACGCAGTCTGTCTGTTCCCAGATCTCAAACTTCATGCTGGGAGAACCACTACTCTCTTCAAAGCTGTTAGACAGGGATGTTTAAGTCTGCAGAGGTTTCTGCTGCCTTTTGTTCGGCTATGCCCTGCCCCTAGAGGTGGAGTCTACAGAGGCAGGCAGGCCTCCTTGAGCTGTGGTGGGCTCCACCCAGTTTGAGCTTCCCGACCACTCTGTTTACCTACTCAAGCCTCAGCAATGGTGGACACCCCTCCCCGAGCCTCGCTGCCACCTTGCAGTTTGATCTCAGACTGCTGTGCTAGCAGTAAGCGAGGCTCCCTGGCGGTGGGACCCTCCAAGCCACGCACGGGATATAATCTCCTGGTGTGCAGTTTGCTAAGACCATTGGAAAAGCACAGTATTAGGGTGGGAGTGTCCCGATTTTCCAGGTACCATCTGTCACGGCTTCCCTTGGCTAGGAAAGGGAATTCCCCGACCCCTTGCACTTTCTGGGTGAGGTGATGCCCCACCCTGCTTCAGCTCACACTCCGTGGGCTGCACCCACTGTCCGACAAGCCCCAGTGAGATGAACCTGTTACCTCAGTTGGAAATGCAGAAATCACCCATCTTCTGCGTCACTCACGCTGGGAGGTGTAGACTGGAGCTGTTCCTATTTGGCCATCTTCAATTTTTATTTATTTTTTCGAAACAGGATTTTGTTCTGTCACCCAGGCCAGAGTGCAGTAGTGTGATCATAGGTCACTGCAGCCTCAAACTCCTGGGTTCAAGGAATCCTCTTGCCTCAACTTCCCAAATGGCTAGGACTACAGGCAAGCACCACCAGGCCAGGCTAATTTTTTGTATTTTTTTATTTATTATTAATTTTTTTTTAGAGACAGGATCTTGCTATGTTGCCCAGGGTGGTTTCAAACTCCTGGTCTCAATCGATTGATCCCCCCGCCTCCCCCAAAGCTCTGGGATTACAGGCATGAACCACCGCACCTGGCTCAAAAATTACTTTTTAAATTCCACATTATGTTACTGACATTTTTCTATGTTACTACATAAAGACCTACCTTTTTGTTTTAACAGTTACAGAGTATTTCAAAGTGAGGGTATTCCATTATTATTTATTATTTAGTTAAGCATGTCCTTATTGATGGACATTTAAATTGCCTATAATATACAATAAAAGCACTTGAATATTTACCCTTGTAAGCACCTATGACTTTTATTTATTTATTTATTTATTTTAGAGACAGGGTCTTTCTCTGTCTCCCAGGCTAACGTGCAGTGGTGGCGTGATCATGGCTCACTGCAGCCTCAATCTCCCACCTCAGCCTCCCAAGTAGCTGAGACTACAGCCATGCACCCACTATATCTGGCTAATTTTTTGATTTTTTATAGAGATAAGGTCTCACTATGTTGCCCAGGTTGGCCTCTAGTACTTGGCCTCAAGTGACTCTCCTGCCTTGGCCTCTTGAAGTACTGGGATTACAGGTGTGAGCTACTGCAGATGGCCTTCTGTGACTATTTCTGAAGAACAAATATCTAGATGTGAAGTTGCTGGATCATGTCATACACTTTTAGTTTATACTATTTAATTGTTTTTATAATCTTTGTAGGCCATCTTAATCCATCTTATAATATAGTGTAAACACATAGAGTGAGAACTTTACTTTCAAAAGACACAAGACAAAGAGGGAACTTTGTGTCTTTTCAGGAAGCCCACAGAACTGGAGGTGGGTCAGGAATGTTTAGTGAAGGCAGAGCAGATTAAGGGATTTTATTCTTTGTGCTCATCACTCTTCTTTGTACCTCTTTCTTGTTTAGATAACAGGAAACCATTTTGGACAACTGTCTATGGTTTGAACCAACAAATAAAGGGAAGACATTCTAACTGATGAAGCTGCTCAACAACAAAACCAGGAATCTTCTGAGACAGTGAGCTTCCCATGACTGGAATGGTTATAGCTGAAGCCAAAATGGCTTACAAGAGAGGCCACACATTGTGCTGGTTAAAAGCACAGACCCTGGAGCCAGGATGCCTGGATTTGAATCCTGATTCTCATATATAGCTGGGAAACCTTGGGCAAGTTTACTTGACATTTTTTGTGCCTCAGTTTATTTATTATTGTTATTTTTTTCCAAGACGGAGTCTTGCTCTGTTGCCCAGAGCTGGAGTGCAATGGCACAATCTTGGCTCACTGCAACCTCCACTTCCCAGGTTCAAGTGATTCTCCTGCCTCAGCCTCCCAGGTAGCTGGGATTATAGGCGCAAACTACCATGCCTGGCTAATTTTTGTATTTTTAGTAGATACGGGTTTCACTATGTTGGCCAGGTTGGTCTTGAACTCCTGACCTCGTGATCTGCCCACCTCAGCCTCCCAAAGTGCTGGGATTACAGGCATGAGCCACTGCACCCGGCCGTGCCTCAGTTTCTTCATCAGAAAATAGGAATAATAAAGTACCTACCTCATAGAGTTGTTATGCGTCACTTGTTCTCTCCATGTTTAAATATACCTTTCAAAAGAAACAAGGAAGAAATTAGCTTTCTAAGATTATATACCTTGTAACAGTTTTTTTTTGTTTGTTTGTTTGTTTGTTTTTGTTTTTTAATTCCCATAGAAGTTAAATCACCCAAAATGAGGTTGGGAGAGGGAAGACCCTGAGGATAAAAAACTGATCAGGAACTTTGGCTCTGAATCCCTCAGGCCTAGGTCCATTCCAGAGTTGTTAGGGGAGTAGCATCATAATAAGGAAACTAACAAAACAAAAATGTATTTAAATTCTTCTAGGAAATTCTCTGCAGGAAAGTTGGAAGTCAAGCATCACATCTCATCATGGTGAAGTGAAAAGAACACTGGATGGGAGTCACAGACTAGGGTTTTAGTTCTAAATCTGTCACTGTGCCACCTTGGTCAAGTGACTTCACCTGCCTGAGTCTCATTTGCCTTAAAATAAAATCATCTCCATGCACTTTACACCCATTAGCTCCCCAAATCTTTGATTTTAACAATTAGTACTCAAGTTCAGAAGATAGCTGCTGGTCAAGCCCCTCACACTAAGGCAAATGAAGGGCTGTGGTATGTACGTAAAACCCCTCCATCAAGGAAGCAAATCAAGGGAATCCCAGAGGGCTGAAATGTAGAATAGGGTGCTTATCAAGGATTCTGTTCTCTAGGGAACAGTTTGATGTAGATGTTTCTTTCTAACCATAGATTGTCAAAACTGGAAAGTACCCACTCTTGCCCTCTCATTCTGCAGGTTCACAAAGGTTAACTAACCTGGCTGAGGTCATCCACCCAGGAAGTGGCAGAGATGGGACTAGATCTCATGTCTTCTGACAGATCAGAGTTTTGCCACTACCCTTGTTATCTGGAAGTGTGGGGCTCAGGGCCTAGCACACAGAAAGTGATCAGTTACATTAGGTTTTTAGTAAAATAGCATCCTGGACACAAGCTGGGCTGGGACTAAAGTGAGGCAATAAAGCACCTGTGTCAAGTACAAAATTTAAAAAGGGCAGGGAGCAAAATGCTCAGTATTCAAAACAAATAATATTTTACAAGTTGAATATCTCTGATCTGAAACGCTTGGGACCAGGAATATTTTGGATTTCAGTACGGGTTTTTGCTTGGTTGGTTGGTTTTTGTTTTGTTTTGTTTTGTTTTGCATATACATAACGAGGTATCTTGGGGATGGGACCCAAGTTTAAACACGAAATTCATTTATGTTTTCATATATACTTTACACACATAGTCTGACGGTAATTTTATACAATTTTTTTTTTGTTTTTGAGACGGAGTCTCACTCTGTCGCCCAAGCTGGAGTGCAGTGGCACAATCTCGGCTCACTGCAACCTCCCAGGTTCAAGTGATTCTTCCGCCTCAGCCTCCTGAGTAGCTGGGATTACAGGTGCCCGCCACGACGACTGGCAAATTTTTTGTGTTTTTAGTAGAGATGGGGTTTCACCACGTTGGCCAGGCTGGTCTCAAACTCCTGGCCTCAGGTCATCCGCCCGCCTCAGCCTCCCAAAGTGCTGGGATTATAGGCGTGAGCCACCACACCCAGCCTACAATATTTTTTAAAATGTGCATGAAACCAAGTTTGTATACACGGAACCATCAGAAAGCAAAGGTGTCACTATCTCAGGACCCATGTAGACAATCTGTGGTTGTTTGGCATCGCCATCACTCACTTAGGGATGCTGAATAAACTGTGTGTTGTGTGCCTGTGTTTTGACTGTGACCTGTCACATGAGATAGATTGTGGAATTTTCCACTTGTGGTGTCATGTCAGCACTCAAAAAGTTTTGGAACATTTTGGACTTTGAATTTTCTGATTAGGGATACTCAACCTATAATGCACTATTTAATTTTTTTAAAATCCATGATGAACAAAATACAAAATATAAAAATTTAATCAAAGACAAGCTCTGGCCCTGCACTTGGACAATCCTGTCTCACCCATCTCACCATACTCCCTAGTTCCAATAAAAGGTTGTTTACAAAAAAAGGCAACAGTCCATGGTTTGCAGATATGATTGTTTAAAATGCTACATTAAAATATTATCCATCTTGGCCCAGCGGGGTGGCCCATGCCTGTAATCCCAGCACTTTGGGAGGCCCAGACGGGCAGATCACTTGAGGTCAGGAGTTCGAGACCAGCCTGGCTAACGTGGTGAAACCCCGTCTCTACTAAAAATACAAAGATTAGCCAGGTGTGGTGGTGCGTGCCTTTAATTCCAGCTACTCGGGAGGCTGAGGCAGGAGAATCACTTGAACCTGGGAGGTGAGATTGCAGTGAACCGAGATTGCACCACAGCACTCAAGCCTAGGTGACAGAGTGAGACTTCGTCTCAAATAAATAAATAAATAAATAAATAAATAAATAAATAAAATATTATCCATCTTGATTTCCATACTTTTGTATGGCCCCTTAAATTGTGTATCCAACGCATAATTTGGACACTCCTCAACCTAGTCCTATCTCTGGGCACGACAAGAAATTCTGGGTCCTCAGGCCCAGGTCATCGGGGCATGCTGTACCTAGAATCCAAGGTTTCCTAACCTGGGAGTCTGTAGATGGGTTCCTCCGATTACAGGCAAAATACTGTGTTGACATTTCTCTTCCCAGGGAAACGGCTCTTAGTTTTCGTCTAAATCTCAAAAGACCCCAAAAAGGTTAAGAAATGCTGCCACAGAATGAGACATTAAGTTTGCTTCTAATACTCTCAACCTACCCCCCCCCCCCAATTTTCCTATGTCCCCATTCCCAGCCTAAAACTTGCTGCCTTAAAACGTATCGCCCTGCACGTTTTCAGGTAGGGAATGCGGACATACGAAAATTTAAGGAATAGGCTAAGACATGCATTCCCACTGAAATGCAAATGACTTTATAAGACACAAAGCCCAGAGCACTGTTTATTCACGGCAGCTCAAAAGCCTTGGGCCAATTTTAAGTCTCCCTAGGATAGCAATTAACGCAATGGACACAGGCCTTAGGAGGCCTTTTCCAGGCCTTTCCCCTCAAATCACGCCTGTCACCATGCGTCCTTGGAAGCCTCCTAACCCTTCCCTGGCATGTCACGACACCTCCAGACGGCCACAATCAACACCCTTTCGACAGGTCATGGGGCGTGAGCAAAGGCAACACCTGCCTGAAAAGGTTATTAGCTCCGCGAAGCGAGCAACTCAGCAAAAACGCCTCCTCCCTTCTCAGGCATTCGCCTCTCAGAAGCGCAGGCCTCGAGGCCGGAAGCGTGGGGGCGGCGCCTGCGCGGGGGCTCACGGGAGAGGGGCGGGGCCGGGACTCCCTAGCAGCTGCGCCGGTCCCGATTGAAAGTTGATTAGTGGGTCCCTGTTTCATGCTACCAATGTTACTGCAATCGAACTGGCAAATATTTGCCTTGGGATTAGAGTGACTGAAAATATTTGGTTGGAGCCAGATGCGTCGCGTGTCTGTCCCTGAAATATTAGCTAAAGGAGTGATTTAGCAAAATAAAATGGTGGGTGGGGCCCCTGCCTGGCGGAGCTGTTTACTCGGAGTGGAGCTTCTAACAATCCCGGAGGGAAGGTGAACAGCTGGGAAGCAGGCCAGACCCAGAGGGAGAAAGGGTCTGTTTTGGTTTGGGGCAGATGGTTTTACATAAATCAGAGATGTGAGAATACACATCTTCCTTAAAAAGTTCTTTGTAATATTCCGAAACAAATGACTGTCTGGAGATAAACCGTGAAGTGGTTTTGTTATATACAATTGTAGAGCTCATCTGAAATAAAGGCGCTTGTTACTAGGAAACCAACAGCACCACTCAGAAATGCTGCTGTTCTCTGAGCAGCTTGTCTGTTCCTGAGGTGTTGGTGAGCCAATTCATACAGCTCAGTGTTGTCCAACATGCCTACTGCTTCATACCTAGCAATGTGGTCACCTCGGTTGGCGCATTGTCTAGCAGTCTCACAGCCAGCACAAACCCAAGATGAGTTATCATTAGCTCCATTTTGTAGATGAGGATCAGTTTCTGAGCCACAGCAAAATATGCCCAAGATCTCCGAACTCGAGAGTGGCAGAGCTGGGATTGGAACCCAGACTCTCTCTGGACCCCTTGAGAGTCCACGTGATTGTGTGATAGGTCCTATAATTCTACACATGAGGGCAGTGGGACTCATGCTGCTGATTGGGACACTTTGTGTGTCTGTGGCCAAAGGTAACCTCTTTCGCTGATCCTTGTTGCTAACTATGCAGTACTGGGAGATGCTGCTTCTAAAGAAAATAAAACTAAAAATAAAACAAATGCAACTACAATAAGCTGCTAGCAAAGCACTCAAAAGAAGTGGGCCGGGTGCGATTGCTCACGCCTGTAATCCCAGCACTTTGGGAGGCCCAGGCGGGCGGATCACCTGAGGCCAGGAGTTTGAGACCAGACTGGCCAACATGGTGAAACCCCGTCTCTACTAAAAATACAAAAATTAGCCGGGCGCGGTGGTGGGTGCCTGTAATCCCAGCTACTCGGGAGGCTGAGGCGGGAGAATAACTCGAATCCAGGAGGCAGAGGTTGGAGTAAGCCGAGATCACGCCACTGCACTCCAGCCTAGGTGACAGAGTGAGACTCTGTCCCCCACCCCCCAGCAAAAAAAATAGTGAATATTTTATTTCTTTTTTTTTGTTTTCAAATGTAAAGAGAATACAAAGTTTGTAGGGGCATGGACTCAATAGAAATTTTATTTCCTAAGGGCAGACAAAGATTCAGAGGAGGCAGGCCGGGTGCGGTGGCTCACGCTTGTAATCCCAACACTTCAGGAGGCCGAGGCAGGCGGATCCCTTGAGGTCAGGAGTTCGAGACCAGCCTGGCCAACATGGTGAAACCCCGTCTCTACTAAAAATTCAAAAATTAGCTGGGCATCGTGGCAGTCGCCTGTAGTCCCAGCTATTCAGGAGGCTGAGGCAGAATAATCGTTCGAACCCAGGAGGCGGAGGCTGCAGTGAGCCGAGATCGCACCACTGCACTGAAGTTTGGGCGACAGAGGGAGACCCTGTCTCAAAAAAAAAAAAAAAAAAAAAAAAAAAAAAGGAGGCAAATCACCTATAACAGAATGTACCTACTTTCTCTAACCCTAGTGTGCTTTTTAAAACTATAATCTGTGTCTAAAGACATGACTTTTGTTTTAAGAGGTTACTTTCCAATCAAATAGTTACTTTGTAACAATTGATTGTCTTTAATTAAACAAATATTTTTTCTAGAACAGACTCTGTTTACACAAGCCATGTAATATGAAATTACAGTTACCAAAATGTAATTTCCAGCTTCCCAATCACTTGGCCTAGAAACCTCGAAATTAGCTTCTGCCTCACCTTTGCCACTCACATCCTGCTCAAAACTTTTAGTGGCTTCCCTCTGCGATGAGACAATCGCTTAACTCTAGCCTGGCATTCAAGATACTCCTTGGTCTGTCTCAACCTAACTGAAAGCTCAAGCTGGGAGCCAGGAGAGCTTGAGGTCCAATTCCTTCCCCACCACTGAATAACTGAGAGGACCCCTGTCTCTGTGAGCCTTAGTGCCTTCATCTGTCAAATGAATGTGTTGGGATAAATTATTCGCTGCCCTTTATAACTGGAACTTTCCTGGCATCTGCTCTTCTAGCCTTCTTTCCTGTGTCTTCCCTTCTTGTACCACATGCTCTGGCCCCTACACAACCCAGGACGCTTCACATGCTCTGAACATTCCCACTTCTGACTTCCTGCCTTTATTTAGAATGCTCCTTCTCCTTCTTCTCCAGATGACCAAATCCTTCACTTAAAGACTCAAAGATACTGCCAACCCCCCAGGAAGTTTCCTCAGTTTCCTTGATAGGAAGTCATTTATTCAGCTGAGGAATTGCATAGCCTGGTATCTGACATCAGCACCACCACCCACTTTTGAGCACAGAGCCATGTTTGGATTATTTACATACCATCAGGTCTAGGTCATCTTTGTGTCTTCCCCAATGCCAGGTTAAAATAAGCCATTTAACTAAATAACAGCAGGTAATAAATGGATATTAAATGTTAACCAATATTAGCTATCAGCAAGTAATAAACACCTATTAAATTGTAAACTACTATTTTTAATACTAATGATGATAACAGATGTTTGTTAAATAAGTAAATGAATGAAATAAATTGCAAACCAAAAAGCCTATGAAAATATGCCAAGTTTTGTTAGGCTGAGTCCCTAGAAATAAAGTCAAAGGACATACATTCCCTGGAAACATCCAGGAAACAGAGCCAGTGTTTGGGGCCAAGATTTCCAGTTGTACATGTGTAGATATGTTTAAATTTAAAGACAACCCATAGGAATCTTAAAGTTTTGAATGGGTAATTTACATCAGATTTTAATCTCATCATCTTGAAATTCTCCATTCTTCCTATTTGAATAAATATCCTCACATATTGAATACTTTTTAAAAAATGAAACTTTAAAATTTCAAAAACAGTATGACTCCTTTATTAGTTTAACTGAAAATGGTACATAAATAAATCTCAAATTCAGTGGTCAAATATGACACCAAGCTACCTCAAGTATTTTAATATATAAATATCTACAGGTACATGCCTGGTTGGAAACAGTCATTGCAAATGAATGAAGGCAAGAAGCTGCTATTGAGCACTGTGGAGTAAGACCTGCAGTTATGGAAACAAAGTGTCTCTGGGTCTCAAGGAAACTTTTTTTTTTTTTTTGCTTTTGAAATGGAGTCTTGCTGTGTTACCCAGGCTGGAGTGCAGTGGCAAGATCTTGGGTCACTGCAGCCTCCACCTCCCGGGCTCAAGCAATTCTCCTGCCTCAGCTTCCTGAGTAGCTGGGGCTACAGGCACCCACCACCATGCCTGGCTAATTTTTGTATTTGTATTTGTATTTATTTTTATTTTTATTTTGAGATGGAGTCTTGCTCTGTCTCCCAGGCTGGAGTGCAGTGGCGCATCTCTGCTCACTGCAAACCCCACCTCCTGGGTTCAAGCAATTCTCCTGCCTCAGCCTCCTGAGTAGCTGGGACTACAGGCTACAGGCACCCACCACCATGCCTGACTAATTTTTGTATTTTTAGTGGAGACGGGATTTCACCATGTTGGCCAGGCTGGTCTTGAATTCCTGATCTCAGGTGATCCACCTGCCTCAGCCTCCCAAAGTGCTGGGATTACAGGTGAGCCACTGCACCCGGTTCAAGAAAACATTTGACCATGAATTCGAATCAGCACCAAATCTTCACCTTGGCTAGTGAGAGGGCACAGCAAGCATCAGTGAGGCTAGGAATGGAGAAATGTTTCTGACACTGCCTTTCTTTTCTTTCTTTCTCTTTCTCCTTTTCCTTTCCTTTCCTCTCCCTTTCTTTCCCTTCCTTCCTTTTCTTTTCTTCTTTCTCTTTCTTTCTTTCCTTCTTTTTCTTTCTTTCTTTTCCTTTCTTTCCTTCTTTTCTTTCTTTCCCCTCCCACCCTCCCTCCCTCCCTTCCTTCCTTTTCCTTTCTTCTTTCTTTCCTTCTGATCCAAAAGTAATGCAAAGTTATATAAAATTCAAACATTGCAGAGTACATAACACATATATCATAATCTCCCCAAGTTCCATCCCACTTCAGCCCATCCCCATGTAATCAATGTTAACATTTTGGTGTACTTGTATGTTCTTCTGATTTTTTTCCTATGTATGCTAACATTATTATTGTTATCATTGATTTTTACCACTCGGGAACTTGCTTTGCCACATATCAAATCGCTAGCATTATGACATACGGATGTGCCCATGTCTTTGCTGAGCAGATATTACCAAGGTTTCACTTGATGAACATCTTTGTGTATTATATCTTTTGCTTATGACATTACTTTCAGACAGGGCAGACTCCATCTTCAAAAGCTGTGGAGGAGGAGATCCAGCGGATTTCTCAGTGATAAAGCAGTTAGTCAGCAGAGTAGTTTCAAGGCAGATTAGATAAACCATACTTGAGAACAGCAGAAGGAATCCCACCACACCCACATTCAAGGGAACTTTCCCAGAGGCTTGGATAAACCCAGCTCTCTGCCCTCCTCCCTCAGCAGCCACCACACAAGACCAGATTTATCTTTGGAAACCAAGCCAGTTATCTTCCATACCCAGTTCTCTCTGCAACACGTAGATCTGGAGGGCATTATCATATCACAATGTGTGTAAAATGCATAAAGAGCAGGCTATCTCATCTGTGAATTAGAAGGATGATTGGTGTGAGGAGTCAAGAAGTTCAACATTGAAGACTTTCAGTGGTGGGTGGGCGGGGGGCAGTGAAGTGGGGGTACATTCGAAAAGTCTTCGTATAATTAGGAGAAAGGTTGGCAGCTTCGCACCCATCTAGCAGCCCAGACCCAGTGCTTCCATGCAGAGCTCTCAGCCTGCAGGCTCCTCGGAGAGCCTCTGGAATTCCTTCTGACTGGCTGGAAGGGTGCCTTCCCAAGCAAGGCTCCTCTGAATGGGGGTTTGCTTTGTCCCTGCTCAGCCAGCCTCCAAACCAGTCAGGTTCTGGTATGAGAGAGAAGAGCCCCTGCTTCCTATTTGGTGAGCACTGAACTTCTGAACTTGTGAGTGCTTATGATGTTGTGAGGGCTGCTCACTCAAATAAACCATTTCTGACCTTTTTCTTTCTTTTTTTTTTTTTTTTGGCTTGAGTCAAATTTCCTCTTTCTCTGGGTTCATGAGGATTTAAAAATACAGTATCATCCAATTTGAACTTCTCCAACCCTCTCATTTGACAAGGAAACTGGGGCCAAATAATGAAATGACTAGCCTCAGGTTACACTTTGTGAGTAATAGAGCTCTTCAGTTCCTCCACATTCCTTCTTGTCTTTGAATTAGTATCATCAACTCGTTAACATCAGGAGCTATCAGAACAAGTAGGACTTGCCTATTAAAGGGTCCCTGTCTTGAATGCCACAGAGAGAGATTTATCAAAAAAGAAATAACAGCAATAATAATAAATTATTATATGTGTAATATATTTTTATTTTTTAATGTAATAACTATTATTATAATGATAACATGCCAGGCACTGATCTAAGTGCTCTAGACCCTGTTAGTATCTGTTGCTTTTTTCTCTCTTTCTTGCTTTGCATTCTCGTGAATTGATTTTTTTTTCCAATTTCATTTCCCTTAACTTGTTTGGAAAGTATATGCATTGTGTTTCTTATTTCAGGGGTTACACTAGCTTGTTTAGCATTCTGACCTAAGGTGAAGTCTGAAGTTGATATCTTTACCTCACTCCTAAATAATCAAGAACTTTGGACAACTTTAATTCTAGTATAAGCCCAGTATGTTAATTCTCTTTTTTCCCTCCAAAAGTTGAACATTGTTATAGTTTGTTGTTCCATAGTCAATGTTTGCTGAGATATGCCCTCATATTCCATATTCACTGCTCCTTTTTATTTATTTATTTTTTTGAGACAGGGTCTCACTGTGTTATCCAGGCTGGAGTTCAGTGGCGCACACAGGCTCACTGCAGCCTTGACCTCCTGGCCTCAAGTGATCCTCCCACCTCAGCCACCCAAGTAACTGGGACTACAGGCGCATGCCACTGCATCTTTTTTTTTTTTTTTTTTTTTTTTTAAGAGATGAGGTCTCACTATGTTCACCTGGCTGGTCTCAAACTTCTGGTCTCAAGTGATTCTCCAGCCTTTGGCCTCCCAAAGCACTGGATTACAGGCATGAGCCACCGCATCCATCCACTCACCACTCTTTTTTGCATCTTGGGCTTTTCAGTTTTTATTCTCTTAAAGTATATCCTTTAGGATTTCCTTTAATGAATCTCTTTGGATGGTAAATTTTCAAGTTATTGGGGAGGCAGATGTTTTCATTGTTTTTCTCTGTTTTGTTTGCCTGAAAATATTCTGTGGTTTTTTTTTTTTTTTTTTTTTTTTTTTGAGACAGAGTTTCGCTCTTGTTGCCCAGGCTGGAGTGCAATGGTGCGATCTTGGCTCACCACAACCTCCATCTCCCAGGTTCAAGTGCTTCTCCTGCCTCAGCCTCCCGAGTAGCTGGGATTACAGGCATGCGCCACCATGCCCGGCTAATTTTGCATTTTGACTAGATGGGGTCTCGAACTCCGTACCTCAGGTGATCCACGTGCCTCGGCCTCCCAAAGTGCTGGGATTACAAGCATGAGCCACTGTGTTGGGCTGAAAATATTCTTTATATAATTTGTTTTTCTTGAAATATAACCTCACTGGGTGTGAAATTCTGGGTTGATAGCCATTTTCTCTCAACACATCAAAGAAATTATAACATAGTATTCTCTTAATTGTTCTTAAAAAGTGAACTATATGCCTAATTGCCCATTTTCTTGTAGGTGATTTGTCTTTTCTCCCTGGAAGCTTTTACGAGTCTCCTCTCTCTCTCTCTCTCTCGTTTATGTGAATATCCTGCAGTTTCACTATGATGTCTCTAGGTGAAAAGTTTCTTTAATATATCCTGCTTGAGATTCACTGGGTTCCCTGGATCTGAGAAATACTGTTCTTTTCCATTCTCATTATTATTTCCTTCTGCAACTGTTTGCTGACTTTCATACTCTAGTCTTAGTCTCTTTATAACACATCCCTCTTTCTAGCTCTCTCTAATACATGTGGATAATATCTTCAGATCCAGTTTTTTAATTCTTTCTTCAGCTATGTTTAGTTTCTTTTTAGTGCATTGAGATTTTTAAAAGCAGCTTTATTGAGGCATCAACATAAAATCAGCTGCACATATTTAAATTGTACATTTTGATAGATTTTGATATGTGAATGTGCTTATGAAACGATTACTACAACCAAGATAATGAGTAAATCCTTCGCCTCCAAAAGTTTCTCATGCCCCTTTCTAATGTTTTCCTCTCATCTTTCCCTACCCTCACTCCCCGCCAAGCAACCATTAATTTGCCTTCTGTCATTATTAGTTTGCATTTTCTAGAATTGTATAGTACAAAGTCATACAATACAACTTCTTTTTTTGGTCTGACTTTTTTCACTGAGCAAAATTATTTGAAAGTTTATTCATGTGTTTATCAATAGTTCATTTCTTTTTATTGCTGTATAGTACTCCACTGTATGGATAGACCACAGTTTGTCTTGTCATTTGGGCATTTCCAGTTCTTGGCTATTACAAATAAAATTGCTATAAACATTCATGTAGATCTTTAAATTTTTTTAAAATTTTTCTATTGGTATATAATAATCGTACATATTTATGGGATACATGTGACATTTTATTTATTTATTTTTTTGAGACAGAGTTTCACTCTGTCACCCAGGCTGGAATGCAGTGGCCAGATCTTAGCTCACTGCAACCTCCACCTCCCGGGTCCAAGTGATTCTCCTGCTTCAGCCTCCCGAATAGCTGGGATTACAGGTGCCTGCCACCATGCCCAGATAATTTTTGTATTTTTAGTAGAGACGAGGTTTCACCATGTTGGCCAGGCTTGTCTCGAATTCCTGACCTTGTGATCCACCCACCTTGGCTTCCCAAAGTGCTGGGATTACAGGCATGAGCCACCATGCCTGGCACATGTGATATTTTAATACATACATAAAATGTGTGATGATCAAATCAGGGTATTTAGAGTATCCATTACCTGAAACAGCTATCATTTCTTTCTGTTGGGAACATTTCAAAACTTCTCTTCTAGCTATTTTGAAATATACAATAAATTATTGTTAACTATAGTCACCTTACTATGCTATCGAACACTAGAACTTATTTCTTCTATCTAACTGTGTGTTCGTACCCGTTAACCAACCTCTCTTAATTCCACCCCACCCCTACCCCCATGCAGACACCCATCCCAGTCTCTGGTATCTATCATCCTACTTTCTACCTCCATGAGATCTACTTTTTTAGCTCCCACATATGAGTAAGAACATACAATATCTGTCTTTCAGTGGCTGGTTTATTTCATCTAACATAATGATCTCCAGTTCTTTCCACGTTGCTGCAAATGATGGCTTTTTATGGCTGAATAGTATTCCTTTGTGTATATATACCACATTTTCTTTATCCATTCGTCTGTTGGTAGACACTTAGGTTGAATCCATATCTTTGCTGTTATGAATAGTGCTGCGATAAATACAAGGGTGCAGATATCCCTTTAATTTACTGATCTCCTTTCCTTTGGATAAATATCCAGTAGTGAAATTACTGGATCATATGGGAGTTCTATTTTTAGTTTTTTGAGAAACATCCATACTGTTTCCATAATGGCTGTACTAGTTTACATTCCCACCAACAGTGTGTAAGAGTTCCATTATAACCACAACTTTGCCAACATTTTTTTTTTTTGTCTTTTTAGTAATAGCCATTCCAACTGGGGTAAGATGATATCTCGTTTTGGTTTTGATTTGCCTTTCCTTGTTGATTACTGATGTTGAGCTTTTTTTAATATGTCTGTTAGCCATTTATATGTCTTCTTTTGATAAATGTCTATTCAAATCATTTGCCCACTTTTTAATGTTTTTTGTTTGTTTACTGTTGAGTTGTTTGAATTCGCTATCTATTCTGAATATTAGTTCCTTTCTGGATAAATAAGTTTGCAAATACTTTCTTTTATTCTACAGGTTGTCTCTTCAGTCTGTTGATGGTTTCTTTTGCTGTGCAGAAGCGTTTTACATGTATATACCTTTATTTTTCTTTTCTTTTTTTTTTTTTTTTTTTAGATGGAGTCTCCCTCCAAGTCGCTCAGGCTGGTGTGCAGTGGCTCAATCTCGGCTGACTGCAAGCTCCGCCTCCTGGGTTCAAATGATATTCCTGCCTCAGCCTCCTGCGTAGCTGGGACTACAGGCGCCCACCACCACGCCCAGCTAATTTTTGTATTTTTAGTAGAGACGGGGTTTCACCATATTGGCCAGGCTGGTCTTGAACTCCTGACCTTCTGATCTGCCCACCTTGGCTTCCCAAAGTGCTGGGATTACAGGTGTGAGTCATTGTGCCCAGCCTAGATGTATATATCTTTTTATAGACATGTGCTTTCATTTTTCTTTGGGTATATATGTAGGAATGAAATGGCTGAACTATATAATAGGTGTATGTTTAACTATTTTTTTTTTTGTCTCGTTTTGTTTTTGAGACGGAGTCTCGCTCTGTCACCCAGGCTGGAGTGCAGTGTCGCGATCTCGGCTCACTGCGACCTCCACCTCCCAGGTTCAAGCAATTCTCTTGCCTCAGCCTCCCGAGTAGCTGGGATTACAGGCACTCTGTACCCTGACCGGCTAATATTTGTATTTTTTGTAGAGACGGGGTTTCACTGTGTTGGCCAGACTGGTCTTCAACTCCTGACCTCAGATGATCCGCCTGCCTCAGACTCCCAAAGTGCTGGGATTACAGGCATGAGCCACCATGACCGGCCTGTTTAACTATTACTTAACATACTGCCAAAGGGTTTTCCAAGTGGTGATACCATTTTACGTTCCTACCAGCCATGAATGAGGGTTTTCCATACCCTTGCCAATACATGGTAGTATGAAGCCTTTTTTTTTTTTTTTTTTTTTTTTTGAGACAGAGTCTCGCTTTGTCGCCCAGGCTGGAGTGCAGTGGCGCGATCTCGGCTCACTTCAACCTCCGCCTCCCGGGTTCAAGCGATTCTCCCATCTCAGCCTCCCGAGTAGCTGGATTACAGGCACACGCCACCACTCCCGGCTAATTTTTTTGTATTTTAGTAGAGACGGGGTTTCACCGTGCTGCCCAGGCTAGTCTCGAACTCCTGAGCTCAGGCGATCTGCCCCTTCGGCCTCCCAAAATGCTGGGATTACAGGCGTGAACCACCGTGCCCGGCCTTATGAAACTTTTTAATTGCAGCCGTTCTACTGGCGTATAACAGTGTGTTTTTAATTTGTGTTTTCCTAATGACTAATGATGTTGAGCATGTTTTCATGTGATTATTTGCCAATCATATCTTCTTTGGTGAATGTCTGTTCAAATGTTTTGACTATTTTTAAATTAGATTGTCTTCTCATTAAGTTGTAATAATTATATATTCTAGATGTACGAATTTATTTTTTTCACCCCACCTTCCCTACTCACCCAAGATATAAGAATTTAGATATATATTTTGCTAATATTTTCTCCCATTCAGTAGTTTTCCCTTTTTTTTTTTCTTTTTTTTTGAGATGGAGTTTCATTCTTGTCGCCCAGGTTGGAGTGCAATGGTGCAATCTCGGCTCAGTGCAACCTCTGCCTCCTGGGTTCAAGTGATTCTCCTGCCTCAGCCTCCCAAGTAGCTGGGATTACAGGCACCTGTCACCATACCCTGCTAATTTTTGTATTTTTAGCAGAGACGGGGTTTCACCATGTTGACCAGGTGGTCTCGAACTCCCGACTTCAGGTGATCCACCTGCCTTGGCCTCCCAAAGTGCTGGGGTTACAGGCATGAGCCACCACTGCACCACGCCCCCTTTCCATTTTTTAATGGTGCCCTTTGAGAAGCAAAACTTTATTTAGTTATTTATTTTTGAGACAAAGTCTCGCCCTGCCGCCAAGCTGGAGTGCAGTGGCGAGATCTCAGCTCACTGCAACCTCCGCCTCCCGAGTTCAAGTGATTCTCCTGCCTCAGCCTCCCGAGTAGCTGGGACTACAGGCGTGCATCACCACGCCCAGCTAATTTTTCTATTTTTAATAGAGATAGGGTTTCACCATGTTGGCCAGGATGGTCTTGATCTCTTGACCTCATGATCCATCCGCCTCGGCCTCCCAAAGTGCTAGGATTACAGGCATGAGCCAACGTGCCCAGCGAAAAGCAAAACTTTTAAATCTTGATGAAGTCCAGTTTATTTATGTTTCCTATTATAGTCATGATTTTTGTGTCACACTATTAAAAATCTTTGACAAATTCAAGGTAAGATTTTCTTGTACATTTGCATCCAGAAATTTCCTAGTTTTGATTCTATATGTTTAGGTGAGTGTTGAGTTCATTTTTATTTTTATCTATTTTTTTTGAGATGGAGTGTTGCTCTTGTTGTCCAGGCTGGAGTGCAATGGCACGATCTTGGCTCACCACAGCCTCTGGGTTCAAGTGATTCTCCTGCCTCAGCCTCTCAAGTAGCTGGGATTGCAGGCATGCGCCACCATGCCCACCTAATTTTTTTTTGTATTTTTAGTAGAGACGGGGTTTCATTATGTTGGCCAGACTGGTCTCGAACTCCTGACCTCCTGATCTGTCCGCCTCGGCCTCCTAAAGTGCTGGGATTACAGGCATGAGCCACCGCGCCCCATCTGAGTTAATTTGTAAATATGGTAGGATGTAGCATCAAAGTTGATATCTTTCCATGTGGCTATCAATTATTCCAACACTATTTGTTGAAAAGATTATTTTCCCCCATTGAATTATCTTGGTAGTTTGTTGAAAAGCAACTGACCAGATATGCCTGGGTCTATTTCTTGACTTTCTGTTCTTTTATACTGATTGATTTGTCTATCTTTACACCAAGACTATGCTGTCTTAATTATTGTAGTTTTATAATAAGTTCTGAAATCTGGCAGTGTAAGTACTCCAATTTTGTGGGGTTTTTTTAATGTTGCTTTAGTTATTCTAGGTCTATATAAACTCCATTTCTATGTAAACTACAGAATAAGTAGGTTAATTTATACCAAAAAAGCCTGTTGGGATTTTGATTGGGACATAATTGAATCTATAAATCAATTTGGGGAGAACTTATATTTTAATGACACTGAGTCGTCATTGTCTTCTTCTTCTTCTTCTTCTTTTGAGACGGAGTTTCGCTCTTGTTGCCCAGGCTGGGGTGCGATGGCATGATCTTGGCTCACCACAACCTCCGCCTCCCAGGTTCAAGAGATTCTCCTGCCTCAGCCACCTGAGTAGCTGGGATTACAGGCATGTGCCACCACCCCTGGCTAATTTTGTATTTTTAGTAGAGACGGGGTTTCACCATATTGGTAAGGCTGGTCTTGAACTCCCAACCTCAGGTCATCCACCTGCCTTGGCCTCCCAAAGTGCTGGGATTACAGGTTTGAGCCACCACGCCTGGCTGACACTGAGTCTTCTGATCCATGAGCATATAGTTTTTCTGTTTTTCAGTCTGTCAATATCGTTAATTATATTAGTTAATTTTTAAATTTTTTTTTTTTGAGACAGAGTTTCACTCTTACTGCCCAGGCTGGAGTGCAATGATGCAATCTCCTCTCACCCCATCCTCCACCTCCTGGGTTCAAGCAATTCTCCTGCCTCAGCCTCCCAAGTAGCTAGGATTACAGGCATGCACCACCATGCCTGGCTAATTTTGTATTTTTAGTAGAGACGAGGTTTTCTCCATGTTGGTCAGGCTGGTCTCGAACTCCCAACCTCAGGTGATCCACCCACCTCGGCCTCCCAAAATGCTGGGATTACAAGCGTGAGCCACCCCACCCGGCCTGCAATTTTTAAATGTTAAACCAAGCTTGTATCCCTGGAATAAAATTCTCCTGGTTACAATGTATAATCCTTTTTATATATTGTTGAATCTGATTGGCTAAAACTGTTACAAAGTTTTGCATCTATGTTTATGAAAGATATTGGTAGACTGAGGCAGGAGGATTGCTTGAGCACAGGAGATTGACACCAGCCTGGGCAACATAGTGAGACACTGTCTCTATAAAAAATACATTTTAAAAATTAACCAGGTGTGGCAGCATGAGCCTGTAGTCCCAGCTACTGAGGAGGCTGAGGTAGGAGGATTGCTTGGGCCCAGGAGTTTGAGGCTGCAGTGAGCTATGATTACATCATTGCACTTCAGCCTGGGCACCAGCAGGGAAAGCCCTGTTTCAAAAACCAGAGAGACAGAGAGAGAGAGAGAGAGAGAGAGAGAGAGAGAGAGAGAGAGAGAGAGAGAGAAAGAGAAGTTTTCTTGTAAATGCCTTTCTCTGGTTTTGATACCAGGGTAATGCTGGTTTCATAGATTGTGATGAAAAATATTTCCTTCTCTTCACTTATCTGGAAGAGTTTTTATAGAATTTGTATTATTTCTTCTGTAAATTTTTGGTAGAACAAGGAAAAATGGGGAGGTATTGGTCAAAGGGTACAAAGTTTCAGTTATACAAGATAAATCCCAGAGATCTACTGTACAGCATAGTGCCTATGTTAACAGCACTGTATTATATACTTGAAACTTTGCTAAGAGAGTAGATGTTAAGTGTTATCACACATATATACACACAAATAATAATAATAAATAAAGAGGGCAGGAAATGACTTTTGAAAGTGATGGACATGTTTATGACATTGATTATAGTGATGTTTTTATGGGTATATACTTATCCCCAAACTCATCAAGTTGGATACATTAAATACATACAGCTTTTTGTACTTCAATAAAGTGGTTAAAGAATATTTAGGATTGTGCAGAATGCAGTGGCTCACACCTGTAATCCCAGCACTTTGGGAGGCTGAGACAGGAGGATCACTGGAGTGCACCACTGCACTCCAGCCTGAGTGACAGAATGAGACCCTGTCTAAAAAAAAAAAAAAAAAAAAAAGGATTGTGACATTTTCTTGGAGAATTGTCGCCTTTATCTCTTTGAAATGACCTTCTTTATCTCTGGTATATTCTTTGCTATGAAATCTGTTTTGACTGACATTAATGTAGCTTTCTTTCTTTTTTTTTTTTTTTTTTTTGAGATGGAGTCTTGCTCTGTTGCTTAGGCTGGAGTGCAGTGGCATGATCTTGGCTCACTACAACCTCTGCCTCCCGGGTTCAAGTGATTCTCCTGTCTCAGCCTCCCGAGTAGCTGGGAGTAAAGGTGCATACCACCATGCCCAACTAATTTTTTGTATTTTTAGTAGAGATGGGTTTTTACTATGTTGGCCAGGCTGGTCTCGAACTCCTGACCTTGTGATCCGCCTGCCTTGGCCTCCCAAAGTGTTGGGATTACAGGCGTGAGCCACTGCGCCCAGCCAGCTTTCTTTCAGTTAGTATTATCATGGTATATCTCCTTCCATTCTTTTAGTTTTAATCTCTTTGTTTCTATTTTTAAAACGAATTTTTTTGAAGCCAACATATAATTAGATCTTGCTTTTTTATCTACTCAGATAATCTCTGACTTTGAATTGGGGTGTTTGGAATTGTCATGTCCAATACAATATGTGTAGCAACTAGCCATATATTCCTATTTAAATTTAAATTAATTAAAATTAAACACAATTTTAAAATCAGTCACACCAGCCACATTTCAAGTGTTCAATAGCCAAATGTGGCTAGTGGCTACTGTATTGGACAGCACCGGTTACGTCATTTGCATTTATATATAATGGGGATTATTGATATGGTTTGGTTTGAGTTGTAACATTTCACCATTTCTTTTCTTTTTCTTTTCTTTCTTTCTTTCTTTTTTTTTTTTTTGAGACAGAGTGTTGCTGTGACACGCAGGCTGGAGTGCAGTGGCACGATCTCGGCTCAGTGCAACCTCCAGCTCCCGGGTTCAAGTGATTCTCCTGCCTCAGCCTCCTGAGTAGCTGGGATTACAGGAGTGCACCACCATGCCTGGCTAATTTTTGTATTTTTAGTAGAGATGGGATTTCTCCATGTTGGCCAGGCTGGTCTCAAACTCCTGGCCTCAAGTGATACGCCCTCCTCGGCCTCCCAAAGTGCTAGGATTACAGGTGTGAGCCACCGTGCCTGACCTCTCCAATTATTTTCTATTTGTCCCATCTGTACTGGTTTTATTTCTAGAAGTTATATTTACTTTCAAATCTGCTTGGTCTTTTTTTTTTTTTCCCCGAGATGGAGTCTTGGTCTTGTCACCCAGGCTGGAGTGCAATAGGACAATCTTGGCTCACTGCAACCTCCGCCTCCTAGGTTCAAGCAATTCTCCTGCCTCAGCCTCCTGAGTAGCTGGGATTACAGGTGCCTACCACCACACCTGGTTAATTTTTTTTGTATTATTAGTGGAGACAGGGTTTCACCATGTTGGCCAGCCTGGTCTTGAACTCCTGACCTCAGGTGATCTGCCCACCTCGGCCTCCCAAAGTGCTGGGATTACAGGTGTGAGCCACCATGCCTGGCCCTCTGTGGCCATTCTTTATTGTCATTATTCTCTGCTCATATTTTTAAGCACTTATTTTTTCTCTTTAAACATAATAGATTATTTCATATCTGTTTTCCAACATCTGAAATATTTGTGAGTCTATATTTGCTGAAATTTGTTTATATTGATTCTCATTTATGGTGTCTTGCTTACATCATTATACGTCTTGTGATTTTTTAAAAAAAAAAATATAAGCTGCCTGTTCTCCTTGGAACTTAACCTGTAGGAATTCTTTAAGGTCTGGATTACAGTTAAATCCTTCCAGAGAAATTTGTTTTTGTTTCTATCAATTGCCCCAGGTGCTACCAATCTGGGACTATAGTTGAACTATAGTTAGTTTAAAATTTTAGACTGAATTCTCACAAACACACACGAAGGCCAACTTGCTTTACGAACTGTTAGGGAAGATTTCCAACCCCTCCACCAGCGCCAAGGTGGAAATAGGCATTTCTTCATTATCTCCTTCTGTGCAGAGTGACTTCCTATTCATCCTTACA
The DNA here is from genome assembly GCF_000001405.40 of Homo sapiens. NCBI lineage: Eukaryota > Metazoa > Chordata > Mammalia > Primates > Hominidae > Homo > Homo sapiens. The sequence continues at coordinate 92,458,228 of NC_000001.11, forward strand.
CTGAGGGTATAGAGGGGTGAGTTTCCTAAGATTCTCCACCTTAGTCAGCCCTAAGCTTTAACTCCTGATTCTGTGCCTTCTTCATACAGCTTCATGCAGCCTCAAAGAAGGAAGGACTCTCCAGAATTTGAAAAAACCCTGCTTCCCCGACCAGATTTCCTACTTTCACTACTGTTTCTGAAATCAACAAATTCCTTATTTTGGTGACAGATCAGTGATTTATTTATAATTATGTAAGAATAGTTTACCCAGAATTTTGGTTGTTTTAATCTACAGAGTTATTCAGGATATCTAATCTATGATACTGCCAGAAATGGGAGTTTCCAGCCCTGTTACACTTCTTTTTCTTTTTTCTTTTTTTTGAGACAGAGTTTCACTGTGTCACCCAGGTTGAGGTGCAGTGGCTCCATCTCGCCTCACTGCAACCTCCACCTCCTGGGTTCAAGCGATTCTCCTTCCTCAGCCTCCCGAGTAGCTGGGATTACAGGCATGCGCCACTACGCCCAGCTAATTCTTGTATTTTTAGTAGAAGACAGGGTTTCACCATGTTGGCCAGGCTGGTCTCGAACTCCTGACCTCAGGTGATCCACCCGCCTTGGCCTCCCAAAATGCTAGGATTACAGGTGTGAGGCACTGCTCCTGGCCAGCCCTGTTACATTTCAAAGTCATTGATTAAGAATAATAGGATAATAACTATTATATGTTGGTTGTTTCCTCTGGGCCTGGCATCTTGCAGGTATCTGCAATCCTCACAATAACCCTACAAGTAGGAATTATTCTTCCCATGTATTCCCAACAGATAAAGCAACTAGGATTAAATTGTCCAAAGGCATGCAACTAGTCAGCAAAGGAATTTGAATTCTGCTCTTTGCAATCAATCTTGATCTACTTTTCTTTTTATTTATTTATTTATTTATTTATTTTTGAGACGAAGTCTCACTCTGTTGCCCAGGCTGGAGTGCAATGGTATGATCTTGGCTCACTGCAACCTCCGCCTCCCAGGTTCAAGCGATTCTCCCACCTCACCCTCCCAGTAGCTGTGATTACAGGCACCTGCCATCATTCCCGGCTAATTTTTTTTTTTTTGTATTTTTGTAGAGACGGGGTTTCACCATGTTGGCCAGGCTGGTCTTGAACTCCTGACCTCAGGTGATCCGCCTGCCTCGGCCTCCCAAAGTGCTGGGATTACAGGCATGAGCCACTGCACCCAGGCCTGATCTACTTTTTAAGCCACAGAGATGTTTTTCTTAATATTGATGGAACACAGTGGCTTTCATATTTTAGAGGAGGCACTGAAAGCAAGGTAAGCAGAGAAAAGATTTTATGGGGTAAGTCTTTCCACTTCAGAGTTCCAACACATGGGCTCCCATCAGCTCACTCCATATCCATGATAGGTTTAATCAGATTCAGGTTTAATCTATAATGAAATAATCGTGCAGAAACCGACTTCATGATACTGGCAGTCAGAACTCTCAGATCTCCCTTGTTCTCTATTATTTCCAAAGGTGACCTTTGTTTGCTTGAGACACAAAACCAGTTCCTTCATCTGAATTGTCTTTTACACCCTCACGTATCTAATAGGACTTTCTCTCAAATACAGACTTTGGATGTCATTTTCTTCATTTTGGGGGGTTGGTGGCTTTTGTCCTTAGCAGCTGTGGCCTTAGACTTTATCTAGGTTTGCAATCAGGAAGCTGTGATACTTCCTGAGACTGTTCTGGGTAAAATTTACACAATACAAGTTGAGTTCTCTTTCTTCACTTAGGAGTTGCTCTGGGCTCTTGAAAGGACAGGCTGTGCTCTGTCCAGTTTGCTACAGGTTGAATCCAACAGTTGGTAAGAACCAGCCTCTGTGGTTTACAGCTACTTGTGCTTCCTGAGCAACACTCGTGGAGAATTTGGAAAGAAGGCAATGATTAGGATTAGAGTCTAGAAAACCGTTAAGAAGGAGGAAGTTTATCAACTTAGTGGGAGTAAATCTCCAAACCACTCTCAGAATGCTAACACGCACAGTTTCTCTTTGCCATGACCAATCGTCAGGCTGTTGAAGGAAACCAACCTAATAGCAGAGGCAAAGGGAGAAGCTGGAGAAGAATAATCATTTAAAAATATTCACATCCTTTGACCAAATAAATAAGTCAGGAATGGACATTGTTAGGTGCCCCCCCCAACTTTTTTTTGTTGTTGTTGTTGAGATGGAGTCTTGCTGTCACCCAGGCTAGAGTACAGTGGCACCATCTCAGCTCACTGCAACCTCCACCTCCTGGGTTTGAGTGATCCTCCTGCCTCAGTCCCAAGTAGCTGGGCTTACAAGTATGTGCCACCACGCCCACCTAATTTTTTTTTTTTTGTATTTTTAGTAGAGATGGGGTTTCGCAGTGTTGGCCAGGCTGGTCTCAAACTCCTGACCTCAAGTGATCCACCCACCTTGGCCCCCCAAAGTGCTGGAATTACTGTGCCCGGCCCTAGAGCCACTTATTATACACAAGTTTTTCCATTTGTGAAATGCTCCCAAAGTTGTAACCATCATTCTGTATTTATTTCTTGACTTATAGACAGGGTCTCCCTCTGTTGCCCAGGCTGGAGTGCAGTGGTGCAATCATAGCTCACTATAACCTCCAACTCCTAGGCTCAAGCAATCCTCCTGCCTCAGCCTCCCACAGTGCTGTGATAACAAGCATGAGTCACTGTGCTTGACCCTATCACTCTATATTTAAAAGTTATTTCCTTGCTGGGTACACCTTGGAACTCTCTGATGAATTAATCTATTTTTATATTTATTGATACAAATTTTAATACTATTTTAAATACTATTAAAAGTTTCATGAGCTTATTATTAAGTTTGTGTGCTAGGAGTCTAGTTTCTGGGCCTTCATCCCCAGAGTGCTGTCTTTGTCTCCTGTTGGTGAGAGGACTTAAAGGAGTAGGAGAGGGGAAAATACACAAGTTGGAGTCTGTGTAAGCAGATTTGGTAAATGAAAATGAGAGAACAGGGTGGCCTGAGGTTTGGGATGATGTCTGAATTAGAGGTGTTCAGCTTTGCCAGCCTCCACAAACAATAGTAATACAGAAGAAAATGTCAACTCACTGCCTATCAGAAAATAGCATAAATAATGCCTTTGACGACTATAGTATCTGTTCTCTGAAATTTAAAGTATTGCCTCACCAAATCCCATAACACCTCCTGTGAAGTGAATAGGATAAGTATTAGCATTTCCACTTGAAACCCCTTATTTCAGTTAGGAGTAGATTAGGGGTAGGGAGAAAAGCAGAAGAACCAGATATCTAGGAAAGAGACTGCCTGATCCTCATGAGGCTGAACTTGTCCACACATCTCATGCCTTTTCACGATCACATGCCCAGAAGACCTGATTCAAATCTTGTCTTCACCATTTAGTACCTCTCTGAGTTTCAGTTTTCTCATGCATAATACAGATGTAATGACAATCATCTAACAGGAATGTTAAATTGGGAAAATATTGGCAAAACGCTTGACACATAATAGGTGTTTAAGATATGTATGATCTCTTCCCTTCCCCGACAGTTCACAAAAGCGAAATTATTATCACATGTTTTCTATAATTGGAAGGGAACAAAAGTAGTAGAATATCCCTAAGGTTGGCAGATACCACAGTCAAACCACACTCCATTTAAGATGTGCTAAACAAGGTATTTAAGAAAGTGACCACATGGGGGAATAAAAGAGACATTTATAATGGCAACCCAAAGAGGCAAACCCCACAAGGACACAATGAAAACTGAAACCACAATAATCTCTAAATAGAGAAGTAATAATTGTAGCCTATATTTAAGTGTACGGGAAGCAAAGGTTTAGGTGGGTAGGGTTGTCTGCCATGGCAATCATGCTTATTATTTCAAAATTTGTGGAGAGAACTAGAACTATTTTTTTTAAGTCACAAAACATTTCAGGTCTTTCCACTCTTATTGAAAAAAAAAAAAGTACAGAAATAAAAGAAGTAATAAAAAGTGAGGCTGGGGAATGGGCCAGGGCAGGAGTATACAGGTAGAATCAACTGTATTGATAAAATTCTTTTTTTTTTTTTTTTTTTTTGAGACGGAGTCTCGCTCTGTCACCCAGGCTGGAGTGCAATGGCACAGTCTCAGCTCACTGCAAACTCAACCTCCCAGGTTCAAACAATTCTCCTGCCTCAGCCTCCCAAGTAGCTGGGATTACAGGCATGTGCCACCATGCCTGGCTTTGTATTTTTAGTAGAGACGGGGTTTCACCATGTTGGCCAGGCTGGTCTCGAACTCCTAACTTCAAGTGATCTGTTCGCCTCAGCCTCCCAAAGTGCTGGGATTACAGGCATGAGCCACTGTGCTCGGGCAACATAATAAAAATTTCTAAGTGGATTTGAAATAGGTGGTCAAGTTACAATAAAAAAGAATCATCGATATCTGCAGGGAGTTCTATCTGCAATCAAAAATGAAATGTGTAATCCCACTTTCCAAATGCTGCCAGAAAACATATTTGCACTTCTGATTTTAGAATCAATAAGTTAGTTAACAAAGAATACAGCTTTGCCCCTGGACACTAGTAAGTTGCTGGATCAGGTGCCTCATACAATTGTACTTATTCAGGGACATAGAGAAGCCTGGTCTCCATCAGGCAGATGGAAACAACTTGGGCTATGGCAGCAAAGGGCACCAGGCAATGGAATAGTCCTGGGCTTGGGAGAGGTGGTCTGTAAATTGCTGCCGTCAGCAATGAGTGGCTAATTTCTTAAATATCCTTGTGAATTTTTAAGAGAAAAAAATACACCAGGATAGACTTAATTGAATGTATGTGATTTAATAAGGATAAGAATAATAAGATTATCAGGGTTTCCAGAATAAAATTTTGTCATGATCTAATTGAGAAATAAAATCAACCAGTGACGTGAGCTGACCCCAAAGAAATAGTACAAATAATCTGAGATCAGCCTTGAAAACCAGACTGCCTGGGGTTTAATACCAGCTGTGTCACATATTCACTATGTGACCTTGGAAAGATGGTTAACTTTTCTGTGCCTTAGTTTACTCGCCTATAAAATGGTGATAATAATGATAGATACTTTGTTTCAGAGGAATATTGCTAGGATTAAATGAGAAAATGTATGCAGAGCATTTAGTTCATTTCTTAACATAGAGCAAAGTCTTAATAAGTGGTGGTAGTTATTCATATTAGAAGATATCAATAATGATAAAAATAGTCATGACAGCGGGTTATTTATTGAGTGCCCACTCTGCACCAGACTCTTGACATAGATGATATGGTATATATATTTTTCCTGCAGATTTACCTTACAAATTGGGTTTAATATTTAAGGTGAGGTTGTGAGCAAAGGAAACCAGACTTTTCAAAGGGACGATGATCACAGTGAAACTGAAAGCATAAATTAAGGAAAGATCAGTTATGCCCTTTTTTTCAGGGACAAGTTTCAGGAATCCAGATTTTCTTTATTTGATAGACACATATGGAGTAACTCTTAGACTCCGCTGGACTAAAAAGAGACAGCTACACTCTCCAGTTAGAAATGGCTGTTCATACTCTGAAACTGATCATCATCTAATGTAAGTACAGTATGGCATATCTCTAAGATAAATGGAGAAAGTGCAACCCAACTGAACGCTGATGGCAGTTGCTTCCTGGCTTGGAGAAACAGCGATTGCATTCTTAGTTTTAACCTTTCTGGGCCCCAAGCTTAGGATAATATAGTCTATTATTGGCCTGTTTCTCATATTATTCTGAAATTTCTAGTGTCTACCTTGTAAGAGAAAAACATTACTAGCCAGGCGCAGTGGCTCACACCTGTAATCCCAGCACTTTGGGAGGCCGAGGTGGGCGTATCACCTGAGGTCAGGGGTTCGAGACCAGTCTGGCCAACATGGTGAAACCTCTACTAAAAATACAAAAATCAGCCAGGCATGGTGGCGGGCGCCTGTAATCCCAGCTACTCAGGAGGCTGAGGCAGGAGAATTGCTTGAACCTTGGAGGCGGAGGTTGCAGTGAGCCAAGATGGCGCCACTGCACTCTAGCCTGCGCGACAGAGCGAGACTCTGTCTCAAAAAAAAAAAAAGAAAAAAAAATTACTGAGTACATAAATATATGTATGAATTTAAATGTACTCCCACCTCCCCAGCCAAAATCCTATTGCACTGAACTTAGGCTAAATTTAACAACATTTAAGTAATATTTATTCATTTAAAAAAATACTTGCTTTATAGGCCCTAGAGATGCAGTAGTAAATAAGATAGACATGATCTCTGACTCATGGGAAGTCAGATAATAAACAAGAAAACAAGTAAATAAATCACAAATCATCAGAAAATGCAGAAAGGAAGGCAATTTGTGAACAGAATGACTCTGACACAAGCCAGTCTTTTGTGAAGCCCTCTTCCAGGCTAATCTGGGCCCAGGATGTATATAGTCTCTGTCCCTCTCAGATGGTACTCCAACATCTTAGGGGAGGAGCCCTAGGGGTCATGGCTTTTCACAGCATGAGAATCAGAAGGAGAGGAAATAAGGGGGAAATGTCATGGCCACATTAGTGTTCGCACACACACACCCAGGAAGGGGTGCCGGCACTATGACCTAGGGTAAGGCTATACTCTGTAGGGGTGTGGCTGTCATCCTGATTCTTGGGAACATGAGGAAGTGAATGAATTTCCCAGGCACTGCAGGTGTCGGTTAGAAAATCCTTGGGGGAACTCTGATTCTTGTTCTTCCCTCTTGGGCTGGGAGAGACCACCTCCAAGCTGGGTGTTTCCAGGGCCCAGCCAAGGTTTTGATAGAATCATAGGACTTAGATGGTCAGAGCTGGAAAGTCCCTTCGAGAGCATTTGACACATCCTCCTCACTTTACAAAGAAGAAAACAAACTCAGAGACAGGATAACCCCAAGTTTAAAAGCTAGCTAGGGACCAGGCATGGTGGCTCACACCTGTAATCCCAGCACTTTGAGAGGCCAAGGTGGGAGGATTGCTTGAGGCCAGGAGCTCCAGGCCAGCCTGGGTAAGAGGAGACCCTGTCTCTACAAAAAATAAAAAAATTAGCGGGGGATGATGGTGCACATCTGTAGTCTTAGTTACTTGGGAGGCTGAAGCAGGGGGACTGCTTGAGCCCAGGGTGTTGAGGCTGCAGTGAGCCATAATGGTGTAATTCCAGTCTAGCCTGGGTGACAAAACAAGATCCTGTCTCTTTAAAAAAAAAAAAAAAAAAGACTCACTAGAGGCTCACCATTTTTTCTTCCTTAACAGAAAGGAAAATTACATTTCCCAGCATTCTTTGCAGCAAGGTTGGGATTTTGTGTTGAGATCTGATCAAAGGAAAGTGAACAGAAGCAATCTATACATTGCCCAGTCTGGCTTTACAAAGGTCCCATATGATCCTCTACACACCTTCTGTCTTCATTCATCAGCCAGCTAAATGCAGACAATGCAGAAGAGAACAAGAAATCCCTGGAAGATGGCAGCATTGCAAGATAGAAGGAATTGGGAGCTCTCAATCACCAGTGAAGAAAGCAGCCTGAACACACTCAAATTCACTGTGATATGTTAATTATTTATTTATTATGTAAGCTACTGCAATTTTGGAGTTATTCGTTACAGCACTAGTGCTCTTTACTCTGATAAATATACTGGCAATTTGGAGACCATGATGGTTAGTTTTTGTGTCAGTTTGACTGGGCCTCAGGTGCCCAGAAAGTTGGTTAAACATTCTTGCTTGGTATGTCTCTGAGGGTGTTTCTGGATGAGATTAACATTTAAATCAGTAGACTGAGTAAAGTAGACTGCCTTCCCTAATGTAGGTGGGCCTCATCCAATCAACTGTAGATCTGAACAGAACAAAAAGGCTAACAGGGAACTTTGCCTGTCTGACTGCTTGATCTGGGACATCTGTCTTTGTCTTCTCCTGGTCTTGAACTGGAACTATATGCAGATAAGTAATCAATATACCATATTTAAGGATCTCCTGACCTCCAAATTCAATGCAGTTTTTAACTAAACAGTTCTGCTTCTCCAAGCTAATAGAAGGTTCCCTAGGAAAGTTCAGATCCATTTCTCACACCTGGAACCTGCCAGTCTTGGACCAACAGTGACCAGTGGAAAATAAACCTCCATATAGACCCCAGGGGGTCCTTAGTGATGTACAAAGAATAAGTGTTGTGGGTGCCCTGAAATCAAATCAGCTAAACCTTTGACACTAGCATTTGGATTGCAAAGAGTCTTCCAGTTCACTGCCCACTGGTTTTTTTGTTTGTTTGTCTGTTTGTTTGGAGACAGGGTCTCACTTTATTGCCCAGGGAATTAAAAAAAAAAAAATATCAGGGACCAGGTCTCATTATGTTGTCCAGGCCGGTCACGAACTCTTTGCCTCAAGAATTCTCCCACTTCAGTCTCCCGAGTCACTGGAATTACAGGCATGAGCCACAATGCCCAGCTCCTGGATTGAAAGAGTTTTGAAGGTCATCTGGTTCTACCTTTATTTTAAACTTTTTATTTTATGTTATTTTATATAGTACCTAAATATATCATGTAAACAATAACCATGCAAAGATGACATGCAAAAATATTACACTGTGGTGGGACTCCCTCAGCCCAGTTAAGAACCTGTTACTCTTGTTTATTAGAGTCCCATGAACAGTGGTTTTTAGTACAGGGAAAGAGGAAGTTGAGTTTGTGTGATGTCTCTGGGAAGGTATATCCAAGAGGTGAAACACAGACAATTCTACTAAAGGTTAATGAAAGGATGGTTTCTGGCTCTCCCAAAAAGTCACAAGAGGCATCCACTCAGATTTTCCTTACTCTAAGAAAAACTGAAGAACTGCTATTGCAGCAAATCTTATAAAGGCGTGCCAATCAGTTCTTCTCAGAAAGGGCAACCTAGGAAATTGTCTAATTCATGTTAAAAGACAGAATTGAAACTAGGCTTCCTACTTTACCAAAAATTAAAAAACTTCTCAATGAAGTTTGTAAAACTAGCATCAAGAAACAAACCTAACTTCCTGCTTTTGGGTCTCCTTTACAGTTAAAACAAATGCAAGCTTTAAAAAACCTTGCAAGATAGAATCCTTCCTTGAATACCAAAAAATGGACTAGCAGAGTAAAGCAGTAAGCATCATATTGTTTTGGGCAGAGTGAGTACTTTTCTCTCCTGTGTGTGTGTGTAATTCTTTTTTATCAGTAAAAGCTCATTGGAAATGAGAAAACAGCAACAGATTCCTATTAGATTAAGTTGCTTAGAGATGAAAAGATCAGGTACATGTACACCACACATACATATAGTGAAACAGTATCAGAAATTATATTTTCAATTGGAAATTTTATTTTACTTATGTCTGACTTTAAAAAGGTAAATAATATTGAATTAATGCTATTTACAAAGATATATTCCTAAAGCATAAGAACATAAAAAGATTAAAAATAAAAGGACATTAAAAATACCATGTAAAAATAGGCCAGCCATAGTGGCTCACACTTGTAATCGCAGCATTTTGAAGGCCCAAGGTAGATGGATTGCTTGAGGCCAGCAGCTCAAGACCAGTGTGGGAAATATGGTGCAACCCCATCTCTACAAAAACTACAAAAATTAGAAGGGTGTGGTGGTATGTGCCTGTGGTCCCAGCCACTCAGGAGGCTAAGGTAGAAGAATCACCTGAGCCAGGGAGGTCAGGGCTGCAGTGAGCCGAGATAGCACCACTGCACTCCAGCCTAGGCAACCCTGTCTCTAAGGAAAAAAAAAAACTTAAAAAAAAAACAACCAACCAACCAAACAAAAAACTAAAGGCAATGAGTACAATAGAATGATGATTAAAAAAGGAATAATTCACCAGGAATACGAAATAGTTCAAAATTTTATGCACCTAATAACAACCCTCAAAATAGGTAAAAGAAAAAGAGTTAACAGAATTCAAAGGAGATTTTTCTCAAGCTCACATGGAAAAAAAAAAAAGAACTTAAAGGAAAAATTTATAACTTAATAATCACCATGAGAAAGTAAAACCTATCTCTCTCAGTGATTGGTTGATTAAGCAGACCAAAATTATTTAGGATATAGAAAATTCGAACAATATAATCACAAGCTTAATCATAGTGGAACTTGCACTTGGCAATTAGAATATATACATTCTTTTCAAGCACACATTATCTATAAAAATTGACCATGGAGAAGGCCACAAAATAAATCTCAACAAATATTAGAGAATTAATATTATGCAAGTCAGGTTCTCTGATCAAAATATAATTAAATTATAAATCACTTACAAAAATTACTGAAAAAACATGTTTAGAATTTTATTTTGCAACTCTAAGCCAGAGATGTTTAGAAATTTTAAATGTACTTCTAAATAATACATCTGTCAAATAAGAAATATTGTTAGATAAGATATAGAAATGAATGACAATGAAAATATGCTGCAAAAACTAATAAAATAGGGACCTTTGGCAATATTAAAGAAAAAAGATAAAGGTACAAATGAACAATATCAGAAAGAAAAATTGAACATAATTATAGGTGGAGTAGACATTTTTTAAAAATCAGAGAACTCTATGAAATGTCTGTGGCAATTAATTTGGATACTTATAAATATGCTGATATATATATATGATACAGCATTTTTTTTTTGAGATGGAGTCTTGCTCTGTCACCCAGGCTGGAATGCAGTGGGGCGATCTCGGCTCACTGCAAGCTCCACCTCCCTGGTTCATGCCATTCTCCCGCCTCAGCCTCCCAAGTAGCTGGGACCACAGATGCCCGCCACCACGCCCGGCTAATTTTTTTGTATTTTTAGTAGAGACAGGGTTTCACCATGTTAGCCAGGATGGTCTCGAACTCCTGACCTCGTGATCCAGCCGTCTCGGCCTCCCAAAGTGCTGGGATTACAGGCATGAGCCACCGTGCCCAGCCATGATACAGCATATTTAAGAAAAAATTAAAAACCTGAATAGACCTATAGTAACTAAAACTTAAATATACCCTCCTCTTTGCTAGCCTTCATCAAAAAAATCCCAGGTGAGTTCTATCAAACATTCAGAGAACATATAATTCCAGTCCTTCACAAATTGATCCAGAAAACAGAAGAAGAAGAAATGTTACCCTGTTCATTTTGAAACATGTTAAACCTTGGGCAGCATAAGAAATAAAAATTATAAGCCAATTTCACTAGTAAGTATAATGCAAAAATCCTAAGTAAAGGTCAGCAAACCAAATCAGCAATGTTGTTTAAATGACTAAGTTGGAATTTATTCCCTCTAGGTGGGGGTTTTTTCCCCAAATAATACAAGGATAATTTAAAACATTAGAGAAAATTATAAATATAATTTGCATGTTGACAAAGGATAAAAGATTAAAAATATATTTATTCTCTCAATAGATGCAGAAAAATCACACAAAAATAATTAAATACCCATTGATTAAAAACACACATACACAAGTGGAAATTCTTACCAAATAGAAACAGAAATTCCTAATCTCATTTTTAACAAGTTATCTACCAAAAACCTACCAAAAACATCACATGAAGTTGTGAAAAACTAAAAATATTTCCCTGGAATAAGGGAATAAGACAAAGATGACTATTATTCAGCCCCTATTCAGTATAGCCCTGGCCAGTGCAGTGAGGCAATAATAAGATGGAAAGAATGAAATAAAGCTATAATCACTTGAATATCTTATGGCTATCTTACTCTGAAAATCTAAAATAATCTGCAAAAACCAAAAAAGAGGGTTCAGCAAAGTTGCAGGATACAAGATCAACATATAGAAAAATTAATTTTGTTCCCATACATCAGCAGCAATGACAAAATTCAATTTTCAAAAAAAGAACTAAGAAAATAAGTTTAAAAAGTAATTAAATTATGCAGACAATGACAAAGTGTTATTGAAAGCCATAAAAGAAGATTAAATAAGTAATCAATATACCATATTTATGTATAGGAAGAATCAATAGCAAAATAATTTCAATTCTCCCCAAATTAAATAATAAATGTAATACAAACCTAAATTCCAATAGAGTTTTTCACATGCAAGAACGAAGGGCCAAAGGTAGCCAGGATACTCCTGAAGAGGATGAAACAGGTCACAAGGCAGCCTTCCCTACTAGCTATTAAGAGTTTATTGTAACTTAAATTATTTAAGACACTATGGCTTTGGCATAGAGATAGACAAAATGACCAGTGGAACAGATCAGCAAGCCTGGAAATAGAACCATACAGAAATAGAAACTTGACATATGACAGAGGTGGCATTACAATCAGAGGGAAAAGGATGAAAATAGCAATACATAATGTTGGGATAATTGGTTATCCATTACTAATGGTGAAGAAAATTTTTAAAATTAGGTCCTACTTTATACTATACACACACAAGTGGATTAAAAAGCTAATGTTTCACGCCTGTAATCCCAGCACTTTGTGAGGCCGAGGTGGGTGGATCACCTGAGATCAGGAGTTCGAGACCAGCCTGGCCAACATGTTGAAACCCTGTCTCTACTAAAAATAAAAAATTAGCCAGGTGTGGTGGCACATGCCTGTAGTCTCAGCTACTTGGGAGGCTGAGGCAGGAGAATCGCTTGAACCCGGGAGGCAGAGTTTGCAGTGAGCCAAGATTGCGCCACTGCACTCCAGCCTGGGTGACAGAGTGAGACTCCACCTAAAAAAAAAAAAAAAAAAGAAAACCTAATGTTACAAACAGAAATTTAAACACTTTTAGAAGAAAATATAGGGAATCTAATGACCACCAGCTAGGGAAAGAGTGTAAATGATATGTAAGAAGCATAAACCATTGAGGAAAAGACTAATACATTTGATTACACACAAAAACAAAACAAGCAAACAATCCTCTCTTCAAAGTGAAAAGGCAAACCATAGACTGGGATAAGTATGCAACACATTTAACTAACATAACAGTGAGCGTTTAGAATATATTTAAAGAACAAATTGATAAAAAGCAAACAACCAACAGAAAAATGGACAAAGTACATGAAGAGGCATTTCATAGGAAAGGAAATCTGTCAGGCCCATCAACTTATAAAAAGATACTCAACCTCACTAGGAATCAGGAAATGCAAATTACAATGACATTCACATCCATCTGATTGGCAGACATGTTTAAAGTTTGACAATACCAAGTGTTGGTAAGATTTGGAGTAACAGGAATTCTACATTGCTGGGGAGACTGTCAATTGGAACAACCATTTTGAAGAGCAGTTTGATAATATCCAGCATTTTCATTCCCAGGAATACATCCTAAAGAATCTCTCACAAAAGAGATACATAAAAGGTTGTTTGCTTCAGAATCATTTGTAATAGGAAAAACTGGAAATGACCCAAACTCTCCCAACAGGAGAATAAATTACCAAGCATTCATCCCATGGAATTCCATATGCAGTGGTTAAAATAAAGGAACTAAACTGCACATATCAACATGGATAAATCTCAAAAACAATGTGTTAAGCAAAAAAACCAGAAAAGTGCAGAAGTATAAACTATGATCCATTTACATGAAGTTAATATGCTAAATTATATATTTACATAATTATATATTTATATATAAATACAATTATATTTTTATTATATTAATTATATATTTATATGATTATATATTATTTATGGAATTATGTATAAATTAAAGGCATACAAATATTCGTGGCAATTATATATACTGATTTTGGTATAATGGATGCCTCTGAGGAGAAAAGAAAGGAAATGGGGCTAGAGAGGAATATATCCCAGAAGAAATTCAACTATACCTGTAACATGTTATTTCAAAAATAAAATCTGAAGTAAATATGGCAGAATGGTGGGTACACTGATGTTTATTATTCTCTGCAATTTCCAGTATGCCTAAAATGTTTTATTCAAAAAGTGATAACATTAAACTTCAGAAAAGACTTTTTCTCAATGATTGATAAGATTCCCAATAAAATACTAAGATTTCAATAAAATTTGGTCATAAAATTGTCCAAATTCTCATTGTGAAATATCTGTTTTAAGTATGTGTCCATATAATAAAAGAGCTATCTAGACAAAAATTATAAAATATAAATATACGCACATGTGCCTAAAGACTAGAAAGGAACAAACTAGAAAGGAACGCATACAAAAAGAACATAAGCTTTTAAGCTAGAAGGATTTAGGGTGCAATTTCTTTAACTTTTTAATTTTTAAAATCTGACTTAATGAATGGGAAAAGGGGGTTAAAATAAACGTATTATATACTTCCTAAAAAGTTTTTTCTGTAGAAATAATAATGGCATTTCTGTAGAAATGCCCAGTAAAAAGTAGTGAAGTCCTTTCAGGATTTCCTCTGAGTTCATTTCTTTCTGTGAAATGATCAGGTTGAACAAACAGGCACACAACAAAGTGACTTGGGTCAAATCACTATCACCACCCAGTTTTCAAGGGCAATGGCAGTCAAGAAGTCGCCGGGGAGTGATACTCTTCTATCCCTTTAATTAAGGCGGGGCTTTTAAAACTCAATTGTTCCATCCGTGTCTCAAATCAATCAGATGAAATTCACCTTTTACGTGGCCTGAATCCTGATAGCTCAGCACACTTGATAGGTAATTTAATCACGTCTGGTGTAGATGAACGCAAACTCAAATTAGCGCTGAAAGAGTTGGTCTTCTCAGAGATAGCTGTGCTTTTCCACTTTTATGCAAGAGCTGAGCTTCACCAACTGGCTAGCTGGAGGTGTTATTAAAAATTTAGTGAAAGAAACAAAGGTGTGCTCTGGTGTCTCTTGTTACCCTTTCTACTGTTACTCCAGCAGACAAAAGGCATAGAGCCTGCCTCATGAATAATGTGACATGGAATATTCACAATCTATTTTTAATGGAGTCAAGTAATAACATTAAGAGAGATATTTGCAATCTTCAAATTTCACACGGTAACAGGCACAGTAATTTGTTTTGATTCTGAACTGGGGATATCAAGATACATTTTTTACCAAAAAAAAAAAAAAAAGGCATACAGTTAACATCAAAATTACAATTCCTCACTTAGAGCATAAACAGGGATAACAAAAATGGACCAAATGTTCTAAACGTCATAAGGGAAGAGCAGGACAGCACAGGCACCTAGATTTCAATCAGTTCTACTTACCCCTCAGTGCAACTTCTTTACTTTTCAAACCAGGTTGGAAATAACCAACCAGTACACAGGGTGACTTCTGTGGGAAGGATGTTTTTGTCATTTTCATTCACTGGGAGGATTGTCTCCCAGGACACTAGGAAGTGGTTCCTGGACGCTGCAACTGTTCATCATCCATCAGTTCTGAAAAACTATCTTAAACTCCATTACAGAGTAAACGAATTTAAATTCTGAATGAGAGTAAACTGACATGGAAAGACATGGTGCTGGAAATCAGGTGAGGACAGCCAAGGACTGAGATTTGGAGAAACCAGAGAAAAGCAGCATTCAAGCCCCCCTTTCCTGCCAACCTGGAGAGAAAGTCGTGTGGATTCTATTTGTTTCCCAGGCTGTCAAGCAATCTCTCTTCCCTTTGTGCTGTAGAGAGCAGAGCCAGGCCCTAGGATGAAGCAGGAGCTTATTTTCTGTTTATTCACTTAACATCTCAGTAAATATTTATTAATCTCCTACTGTGTGCCAGGCACTATTCTGGGAACTGAGGATTCAACAATGAATAAATAAAGCTTCGTAAGACATTGTCCTCACTGCTATATCTCCACCCCCTAGAAGAATGCCCAGCACATACTGGGTGCTCAATTATATGTGTGAAATCAATTTGAGTTGGAAATGGGCAATCTGCTGGTTCTCACCATGGGGCATGCATACCCTGAATGTCTGGCTGGGAGGTGTTAAAGCACTAGTAGTAGGGATTTTGGCCAGGATTTTATTCTGGTTTCATTCTCTTAAAGGATTGACTTATGCAAAAAACTCCCACAGGTGGGACAGAACCAGAAATAACCCAGATCCTCATGGGCCTTTAGATTTGTGACTTGCATTAGGGGAGGCAGCTAACCAATCTCACACTTTTTTTCCTTTCCAGTCTCCACAGAATCAAAGCGGTCAGGGTTGGACAGGAATGACAGAGCTGTCTCCGTATTACTTGATCAAGGAAACCAGTATCGGGGAAGTCAAAAGATTTACACAAGTCACATGATGTGTTGGTGACAGAGCTGTGACTAAAACTAAAACCTAGACCTAAGACCTGTGATTTCTTTATTCATCTGGGAGCCTTCAGGCCCCTAAAAAAATATGTTGACATTTTCAGAGGAAAGAGCTTACTTACGTGCCTGTGGAACCATCAGGGGCTCTACAAGGTAGTAGCTTAGTTTTGTACACCTCCTAGTTTTTCTCTTATGAAAGAAGATGAAAGAAGTATCTCTGAGGTGTAGCAGCAAAGGAGAAAGTATATGGAAACCCGAGCAATTGGATTTTACTCTTCTGGATATTAGCTTGTGTGCTTCACTTTTATACTCCATTGCAGTTTCCTTCAGTGCCAGCTTTCCCCCTACAGACTAAAACAAAGGTCTTCCCCAAATTCCCTGCCTAAAGGAAAGGCAATCTGTAATACTCTTAATACTTTATTAACTTAAAACATCACTCTAATAAATATGTATTAACAAACATAATGCTTACCAGAAGATCTAAAAACATTTACCAACCTCATCAAAGTGAAAATACCACCTTTCCCCCCTCTATGGTACACATGGAGGGTCAAAGAGTTGAAGACAGAGCCTTCCTTCCCACATGCCTGCTAGCTCAGAAATCTTTAAAATATCAGCTTAACAATAAAAAACTGAATATACACACATATCTTTGAAGTAACTGTTCAGCTTTTTGTTTACACCTGATAAAATCCAAAAGGGTCAAAAGGGAAGGTTTACAATTCTGTGCTGTCTTCTCAGAATTCCCTCCAAGAGTAAGAACAGACCCAGCCACTTGGAGGTGCAACCGTTAGCTTTTGAGGAGCAGTCAGGGGTTGTGACTTCAGTCTCTCTTCCCCAATACCTAGCATGGTGCCTGGTACCTTGGTAGCCGGTGATCCATGAACATTTGCTGAGTGAATGAATGACATCTTGTCCACAGGCATTGCTTGTGCTTTTACCTCCAGTGATGAGGTTTTCACAGCCCTACTGAAGGGAGGACCTCTAATCCCCTCTCATTACCAACTTCTCTTCTGCTTCTTCTTGGGGGTAGCCTCGATGGTGCATCTCATGACTTCAAAGTATTAAATTCCTTCCCCAAGTCAGTTTCTGAATCAGTTTTTGAGGAGGAGAAATGATTCCTCCAAGATTTATAGGCAGCACCCAAAAGAAAGGAGTCAACAGACCCCCCAGAAGGAAAAAAATAAAAGTTAACACTCACTCTTCTTTCTAGATAAAAATATTAGCATTTGTCCACCTTGTAAATGGTGATTCCTCCTCTTCCACACAAATATCTGGGGTAGGTCAAGAGGGGGGAGGGAAGAAACCTGAAGGGCATTCCTGTCTGTAGATTAGGGCTGGAAATGGGAAGGACTGTGGGGTCTAAGATTTATTCTGGTCCCCATTTGACTTTGCCTTTGTCTTCAGGTGTAGAGGAGCCTATTTGTGTCCGAAGCCTAGAGAGTCACTTGGTTCTCACTCTCGGCTGCACTTTGAAAAGGTACCTCATTTCTTCTGGCAGCTCCAGGAGGTAAGGCGAAGGAGGAGCAACCTGGTAGGATCTGCAGACTGGACCTGGGGTCTGGAAAGTCAGAAGGGAGTGGAGGCAAGCAGGGAGCAGAGTGGTGGCAAGCAGGGAGGCTGCCCTCTGTAGTGTTGTGTAGCTGCTGCTTGCAGCCAGCCAGGGTGCTCATTTGAGCCCATGCTGCGTCTCCCGGTGCCTTCGGAGGTCCACCTTCCTCTGGAAACCCTTCCCACAGAGGTCGCAGCCGAAGGGCTTGAAGCCTGTGTGTTTGCGGCTGTGGGTGATGAGGTTGGAGCTCTGGCTGAATGCCTTGCCGCACACCTGGCACTTGTGAGGCTTCTCACCTGTGGGGATGGGAGGGGGAGGGGAGAAAGTATGAGTCTATGATAAAGCTAGAGGGGACCCACTGTGACCCACATGCTCTTGGCAGCAGCTGGTTGCACCACAGTCTAAGGCCTTCAAGCAACTTGGAGGGTGACGTGTTGCAACCTGAACTGACTCCCAGCCTGCAATGCGAGTCCCTGGAAGCACCATGGGGGCACCAGGTGAAAGGGAGACTTTCTGAAGGGGGGTTCCCAGCCAAAGGCCTCAAACGGTTTCCTGCTAAACGGAAACAGAGCAAAGGCCACGTGCCCTCCCCAGCTGAATCTACCCCGGGAGGACTCCCCTGACTTTATAAGCCATGAACACTCAGAGCAGATGTTCAACAGGAAGGGGAGGGGGAAGCTGTCCTAAAACCGTGTGACTCCGTTCTAATTCAGAGGAAGTTTTCAAATCTGAATTTCCAAGTGGGTGTTAGTTTGTATGGATCAGTGAGCCCGTCTTCTTTCTTGTTCTTGAAGGACAGCAGATTATATCTGAAAAAACATCTTAACATGGACTTTCTTTCTTTCTTTATTTCTCTCTCTCTCTCTCTTTCTTTCTAAGTTCCGGGGTACATGTGCAGGATACGTTTTTCAATATCTTATTTTAAAAATCCACATTTGGGCCACAAAGGATTAAGGCAGCTGATACTTTACTGTCTTGATTTTTCCTTAATTTTATGGGGTTAATCACATGATTCTTTATATACCAGCAATTCTTCACCACAAATTAATAAATAAGAGAACACAAGAAGGTTTTGTCTTGTTCCCCATCTCATGTGTTGTTGGGTAAATGGCATGAATTTCCAATAGCCCAGCATGGCATTATAGTCAGGGCTCAGCCTTGGAAAAAGTATAAAATAGATGAAGTTTGTTTTTGAGGAACCCTCTGTCCTCCTTGCTAAAAACTCTTTTCTGTTTTCATGCTTCAGATTTCCTTGATAAGAAACCACCCATCAAAATGTATTCTATCCCTTTAGGGTCAAACAAATCTGAGAAAACAAATTCTAGGTATAACGTAAATGTTTGATAAGGGCTTAATGTTTTATTCAGTCAAGATCCTAGTTGCATTTTGATAAGTGTCCTGAATACCTTACTTATAAGGAGTGAATTACATGGAAATTTCAGGTAAGAGGGAATGATTAAAGTAGAATACTTTTCTGGGTTTTCAATGGAAATATATACATTACCCAAGTATATTTATAAACATCAAGGGTGGGTGTTTAGAATACACTGTGATTTGTTCTAAATCAGTATTCATATTCTGCAATAAAATTTTCAGAAATTCTGGGTCTCATGTAAATGTCTTTTGACTATTAGAGTGTTCTTGGCATTAAAACTCCCACCCGCACATAAAGTGTTAGACAAACAGTCCAGGATTAAAAGCCAGAGCATTACATGGCTACATTATTCATTCAGTCTTACTTCTGATAAATCATTCACTCTTTCTGAGTTTCAGGATGGTAAGAGCAGCTCCTTCTACTTTCTTGAGTGGCAATAAGAATCAAATGAAATGATAGATTTGAAAGTACTTTGTAAATTATAAAGCATTATAATAGGTAAGGAATTATCATTATTATGGCATTAACTTGCAGATATTTTGAAAAGGGCAATAAGTGAACAGAAGCTTTCTGTCTACCAACCTCATGACTCTGAACATAAAATACAATAAACAGTGGTCAAGAGTGAACATTTGAGAGGTCAGACCTGAATTTGAGCTCTGGCCCTGTCATTTGCTAGCAGTGTGACCCTGGGCAGATTACCTAGCCTCATTTTTTTCATCTCTAAAATGGGGAGAAGGAGTAGTCGCTACCTCTCAGAGTTGTTGTGAGCATAAAATGAAATAATGCATTTAAAAAATGCTTAGCAGAGAGTTTAATCATATTTGCCATTATTTGTTCCTCTTCAATCAGAATAAGCTCTCAGACTCCTGAAAATGCAGCCGGAGAGTCCACACGAGTCCCTCCCACAAAAGGCCAGGTGGTTAGGGAAAGTCCTCAATCTCTAGGTAAGCTTTAGAGCAACTCTCTAAGAGGACCCTGGAGCTTCATATTTCACCCAGAGCAGGCAGCAGGGGAAGCAGCTGCTAACCTAAAGGAAAATGTTCTTTCCAAGTATAGAGTACCTGTGAGCTGACCTGCTGAGTGGCCTTTCAGACACAACCCCAAATCAAGGTGGCTCTGGGGAGAATTATGCCGGTAAATGAACCAAAGAACCCACCCCTTTGTTTTCTTTAACACAGAGCAGAGAATAACTCCATCAGAAAGGCCTCATCCACCACTCACTGGGGCCAGAAATCAGAGAAGATGAGTAATGTTGGCCTCAGGGTGTTTCCTACAAGCCAAGGGCCTTTTTAGCTCACCAGTGTGGATGAAAGTGTGTTTCTTCATGTCTGACTTCTGGTGGAACCTCTTGCCACAGTACTGACAGGGGTAGGGCCGAGTGTCTGAGTGGATAAGCAGGTGTGTGGACAGTGTGGATGACCTCTTGAAGCTCTTCCCACAGATCTTACAGTCAAAGCTCCGTTCCTGCAGAGAGAGAGAGAGAGAGAGAGAGAGAGAGAGAGAGATGCAGAACTCCTACTGCAGTCAACTAGACTGCTGCTCTCCTCACCCCTCAGCTGACCCTAAAATCCCTTGAACACTTTTTCTTTCTTTTTTTGAGACAGTCTCCTCTGTCGCCCAGGCTTGAGTGCAGTGGAACGATCTCAGTTCACTGCACCCTCCACCTCCCAGGTTCAAGCAATTCTCGTGTCTCAGCCTCCCAAGTAGCAGGGACTACAGGCACACGCCATCACACCTGACTAATTTTTGTATTTTTAGTAGAGATGGGGTTTCACCATGTTGGTCAGGCTGGTCTCAAACACCTGGCCTCAAGTGATTCGCCCACCTCGGCCTCTCAAAGTATTGGGATTACAGGCGTGAGCCACCGTGCCTGGCCCTTCAACACTTTTTCTACCAAAACATTCTTCACCCACAACCTTCCACACCCCATGGCAAATACATATCCACACCCTGCTTTTTTTGACACCCATTAGCACACACTTCTCCACCCTCCTCAACAGGAGGCTTAGACCTCAGTCACTTGAGATGCCACCTCCCCCCAGCCAGTGTGGGTGCTGGGGGAGATGGGCTAATACTCTTTTTAGCCTTCGTAAGTAGGCATTCTCCTGAGATAGCTATTGGCATATTTACTTGCTCATCTACTCTCCATCTCTCAGCTAAACTATAATCTTCATGTGGGCATGCTGTCAAGGACCTGATGTGTTATAAGATTCTTAAGTACTTGGCACCTGGAAGTTAGCCAACAAATATTTATTAATGAATGAATGAATAAATAGCGGCGGTGGGGCATGGTGGCTCACGCCTGTAATCCCAGCACTTTGGGAGGCCCAGGCTGGTGGATCACTTGAGGCCAGGAGTTCGTGACCAGCCTGGCTAACGTGGCGAAATCCCGTCTCTACTAAGAACACAAAAATTAGCTGTGCTGTAGTGGCATGCGCCTGTAATCCCAGCTACTTAGGAGGCTGAGGCACGAGAATCACTTTAACCTGACAGGGGGAGGTTGCAGTGAGCTGAGATTGTGCAACTGCCCTCCAGCCTGGGCAACAGAGCCAGACTCTGAAAGAAAAGAAAAGAAAAAAGAAAAGAAAAGAAAGGAAGGAAGGAAAGAATGAATAGCGGGGTGAATATGCTACTAGATGCTCTAAATGAGCTGAGATTCCTGCCTTTTCAGTCGAGAGGGGTCAATGCAAATTAAGTGACAACCATTTGGTGAAAAGAATAGGCACAAAGAAACAGAGCTAGTAAGTCTGATATATCAGCAGCACGAATCAGTGCATACAAACCTACCTCAAGCCCAAAGTAACAATGAGGATCACACTCTCGAGGCTCACAGTGGTGTGACACCAAAATCCAGGGCTGCCTCAAGGCCTGAGCCGGCCACAATCCTCCTTTCCCTACACACCTGCACCAGGGCAAGGGGACGCAGCGGAGGGCTTGGGGGAGGAAACTGGGGGAAGTCGAGGAGAAAACTTCCAGGCAGAGAGTGGCTGGTGCTGCACCGAGGAGATGCAGAAGATCCCCGAGCAGGGCCGCGCGCGGCGGTGCGCCCCGCGCTTACCTGCGAGTGCACGGCTTTGTGCTGCTCCAGGCTCACCGCGTGCCCGAAGGTCTTGCCGCACATCTCGCAGGCAAAGGGTCTGGTACCGCTGTGGGACCTGCGCACGTGCACCTCGAGCCCGTGCGGCGTGGAGAACACCTAAGGCGGGTGGGGCCAGAGAGAAGGCCGCTGAGAGGGGCCGCGGGGCGCAGGCGAGGCGCGGGTAGGGGAAGCGGGCGCACGGCAGGCGAGGTGGTGAGCTCGGGAGCCTCACCTTGCTGCACTTGATGCACTTGTAGGAGCCGCCGCCCAGCAGCAGGCGGGTGCACAGCAGCTCCGACTCCACCTTGACGCCAGCGCCCTTGTCTGCGTGCAGCCCGTGGCCACGCTCGGGGTACAGCAAGCCCGCCGCTGCCGTGGGCCTCTCATACAGCCCGGCTGCCGCAGACCCGAAGTCGCCGTAGAGCCCTAGGCCAGGGCCAGCGGTGGCACCGGCCCCTGCGCTGCAGCTCCCTGGCGCCCCGGCCCCCGCGCCGCCGGCAGCCCGCTTCGGGCCGTACAGCGCGGCCGGGTGGCCAGGCTCCGGGGCGGGTTCGCAGAAGAGGCCCAGGCCAGCGCCACGCTCCAGGGCCCCACACGGTCGGTAGCTCTGCACCAGGTGCCGCAGGTCAGAACCCGCCAGGCCGCTCCATGAGTACGGTTTGAAAGGCAGGGGGAAGGGCTGGGCTTCGTCCAGCGATGGGCACATTGACTTCTCCGAGGCTGTGGAGGCACAAGGGGAGCGTCCGGTCAGGCTTCAGACGGCAGAGCGGAGGCCGCCGGGCTGCGGCTGCGAGCGTGGCGTGTTCGCGGACTGCGGGGCACCCAGCGCTTGTAGAACACTGCGTGCGCCAGGTGCCAGGCTCGCCCCAGGGTAAAACGTGGCCCGGGCCCTGGGGCCTCGCAGGCCACTATAGGAGGCAGAACAGTAAACAGATCATTGAAAAGACCTCGGGAGAGGAGGTCGTAAATTCTGTGCGAGTGCAGCGGAGGCGCTCGGCGTTCCGAGGATCTTTTCTGGCTGGACCCGCGCACCTGGAGATCCTACAGGGAAGGGCGCATCTATAAATGCCCGTAGTTGAGCTGTTAAGAAGGAGAAGGTGGCGGCCGTTCGGCCCCTCACAGCACTCAAGGGCGGAAGGGTCCAGCCACCAGCGCAGGCACTCTCCCAGCCCCTACATGTTCCCATTCAATTCTTTTTCTTCCCAGAATCCAAGAGGAAGGAGGGAGAAGGTCCATAAATGCGGCCCCGAACTACCCGAAAGGCTGCTGTCTGAATAAACCCGAAGGTATTAAGATTTCACGAAGTTAAGTGCCCAGTGTACGTAGCAAAGGAGCAGCAGGAAAGGGGCTTTTGGGCTTAAATTGACAGCCAAATACTCCCCATTCCTGTTACAGTTTGATGGAGGCGGGGAACCTGAATTTCTCAGAGAATAACTATAACTCATAAGGTTTAGCCACCACCTGCAAGGAGACAGCTCTGAATTCTCGGCCTGCTACGCCCCCACCCACGTGAATTTTGCTAAAACTAGTGACCCCAACGCATGTGAGTGCATACGGCATTTACAAATGTGTGTGTGTGTGTGTGCGCACAACACTCCAGTTCAGGCTGGCCACTTCAGTGAGAGGCTGTACCCGGAGTTTCGTTCGGAGGGGTTCGGGGCGCGCCCAATCCTTGTCTGGCCACTTGACGCCCTGGCAGGAAGAATCCTCCCGCCGCCGGCTCCCAGACACACTTGCTGGAGCTATGGTTTTCGCCAAGTCAACTCACTGATTGTGGGACGGGTGGTGGTATCTTCTAAAACTAGCAAACATATTCTGGATATAACCGGCCCTTGACAGAATCCGGCTGGTCTGCTCATTCCTTCCCCCGGCCGGGACTCGAGACGCCCCCACCCAACGTGTGGTCACTTAGTTTGCCTGAAGCTGGATTGCTCGCTGGAAATGAAACCCAGAGAGCAGGCCCCTGAGGCTAGGTTAACCCGGCAAAACGAAAAATGAAACAGGCCCCCAATCTGCGCCTGTGAAGACCAAGCCGCGGGCTGAGATTTTCGTCCTGCCCCCTCCCTGCCGCCCAGCGCCTAGCTCCTCTGCCTGGCCCGTTCTGCCCTGTTCTCTGTTTGAGGTTTGGGGGTCTAGATTGCAGGATCCTAGCACTTTATAAAACAGTCAGGTCTGGTCAGAAAATGAAAGGTCAGCGTTGCCGCCAGTCGAAACGACTGGTTTGTTTTCCGTCACTGGCCAGCTCCGCGCAAACGAATCTAAGCGACAAGCAGCTAGGGTCCTGCCGCCTGGGATGGAGGCAGCAGCCCCAGCGGGCAAGCTGTCCAAGTCCCAGAGAAGCCGGATGCCTCCTTCCCCTACGAATCAGCTCCCTTCTCCCGGAAAGACTCTCCAACTCCCCGTTAGCATTTCTACGCCCAAGGTCGCGCCAATTCCCCCCCAGCACTGCCGGGTCCCTGCAGCTCCCGCCCAAGAGGTTCCCAGTGGGTTCCTACCTGGAGACGCGGAGGGTGACGGGGGCCTCCAGAAGTCCTCAAACTCCGAGCTCCGTTCGCAGACGCTGCCTTCGCAGCTGTCTGGGGATGCGGAGGCTCTGTCTGGGGCTTCGGTCAGCTGCGATTCGGGGGACAAACGGTCCCGGGGCTCCGCCTTCGCCCCGCCTGCATTTGAAGTGCTGTCTGCAAAGAGGAGGCAGGTGAGGGGCTCAGGCTGGGACCGGTTGAGTCTGAGGGTGCTGAAGGCTCCCCCAATCCCCCGACCAGGGCAGCCGAGCGTCTTCCCCTCTCCACCCAGACCCCGGCCGGGAACCCTCTCGGATCCGAGGGCAGGCGCAGAGAGGCCATGGCACCTAGGAGACAAACCCGGAGGAACCAGGACAGTAGGAAACAAAAACAGCAGCAAAAGGGACGTTGGGGCAGCCCCTCCCAGCTCCGGACTAATGGTGTGCCGAGGTGCAGTAGGCATCCGGGGGAGCAGCCCCGCCTGGCCCGCGCGCGCCTCGCACCTGCTCGGCTAGGCGCCGGTACATTCTCTAAACGGAGGGAATAG
This sequence comes from Homo sapiens, assembly GCF_000001405.40. Classification (NCBI taxonomy): domain Eukaryota; kingdom Metazoa; phylum Chordata; class Mammalia; order Primates; family Hominidae; genus Homo; species Homo sapiens. The sequence continues at coordinate 92,483,417 of NC_000001.11, forward strand.
TCTGGTCCTGGGGAGCGCGGCTGGTGGTAGCTGTGAGCCTTCTTGCTTTTGACGAGAAATGAGCGCGGCATGGTGGTCCGGCACTTTCCCCACTGCGCCCCAAGAGTCCCTGGAGCCGCTGTCACCCACGGTCACTCCGAGGGCTTGCTCAGCCCCAGCCCGGAGGAGACCTGAGAGGGAAAGAAAACCAGGTGGAGACGTGGGTCAGTACTCTCCGGTGCGGCGGACTGGGCACCCAGGCGGAGGGAGAGCGCGGGCCAGGGAGGCGCGCAGAGGGCCCACGGGAGGAGGGGCTTGACCCTGCTGCGCCGCGCTTACCAGGTGGCACTTGGACAGGTGGCGCGAACCCGCCGTCGTTGCCGCCGCCGCCACTGACACAGCTCAGCGGTAAAACCTGTCCCGGGGCCCTGTCTCAGGCCCCTTTCCTCCTCCCTGCCCACGCCCCCCAGCTCCTCCCCTTTCCTAGCGAAGCTCGCTCCGGCAATCAAACTCCCTGGAGAGCTGTAGTTCCCATCGGGTGGGTTACCCCAACTCAGCTACTCATCGCCTGCCTGGCTGTGCTTTACGGCTGGCGAGGGAGGGCGGGGACACGCGGATCGGTTTAGGGGCCGGGGATGCCCAGTGGTCGAGGACCCGGAAGGGGCAAGGAGCCAAGACCTCCAAGAGCCAGCTACCAACTGGAGTGAAAGGACCGGGGGGAGGGGGGAACAGAACACAAGATAAAACTGTGGGGCGGCGGGAGGACAGCAGCAGAGGGATTGGGGACAGCAGAGGCCAGAGAAAGGAGGTGGGAGAGCAAAGGGACAGGAAAGTGAGGGGAACAACAGACGACCAACCCCCGCCCCAGGAGAAACTCGCATCTGGGTGATCCCACTCGCCCCTCACTAGTGCCCCACGTAGGAGAAACTTTGCCCTTGGACTCCCGGCTGCGGCGGGCACCGGTCGAGGCTGCGGCGAGCCATCCCAGACCATGGAGACCTAACCTCGGGAATCAGGTCCCGGGAAAAAAGCACTTTCCGTTCTGCTCACCAAAAAATCTTGTCCTAGGGAGGTGGAGCCCGATCCACGAACGTTGACTGGGAAATGCTAGGTGTCCCGAGTCGGTAGTGCACCGACAATTTAGCAGACAAAAAAGACAGGACGCCAGAGCGCGCAGGCTGCATTAGCAGAGAGCGGGGGTCGGGCCCGGGCCCGGGAGGGAACTAGCTGCCCGGGGCGTCGCTCTCATTAACCCCCAATCAGTTCACCTAATACCAGGTCGAAATCTGAGCGCAGCGGGAGGGCGTGGCTGCGCCTGCCGCTAGGCTCCAGCCGGCTCCGGGGGCGGTACCCCACAGTCGAGGTGGTCTGGAGTAAACGAATCTGCCTTCCTCCCGGGGTGAAGGCGATGGTGACCGGGTTCACACGTGAGCTGCAGTACAGCAGTTCTCCGTGGCCTCGGCTGGTTCAGAAACGAGGGTGCTGGGAACTCTGGGCCGGGGCAGGACCTGCAGTCCTCCGGCTTCGCGCTGTTTCCACTGCCGGACTAGGAGCCCCTCGGCTTCCTAGGCAAGATGCAGGCCACACAGTCTACGTCTGTCCGTTGGCGCTCTCAGCTCAAACGAGTCCTACAGGCCTTGGTCCCTGTAGGGTGCAGGCCCCCTGCTCCAGATCCCCAGCCCCATTGTGTCCCCTTCTCCGGAGGAATGGGAATAGACCTGGGAGAAAAGACGCCTGGGACGTGTCGCGGGGCTCCCGCGAAGTTTCCCGCTACCCAAGCGCCAGAATGCCCCTAGGGGTGAGAGTGCCATCCGCCTCCCTCCGGGGTGGCTCCTAGGGCTAGAGCTTTGTCGCTTCCTGCACTTCTCGTCCGTACAATTAGACGCCACAAACCCCAAACCCAATTCTTTAAACAGCCACGAAACTCGGAAGAAAAGAAAAACGGAGTGGCGTTGTCCCGAGGGTCCCGCTGCAGCTTGGACCCACGTTGGCTGGGAGCGGGACAGATGGGGGCGGGGTAACTGTCAGCGCCGGAGCTGGGTCTGGGCTGGCGCCACCAGAGACCAGGCGGACGCGGAGGCCGCCTCCCCACCCGGGCTGTAAGCCCACGCCTCTCTCGCACCCCGGCCCGCTTTGCTGGTTCCTGTGGGGAGCGACAGAGTTTGGAGGAGATAGGGGCCCCGGGGCCTGGGCCGAGCGCGTGGGAAGGCAACCCCGCGCTGCAGCTGGCGCGGGAGGTGGGGCGGCCCCTCCGCGCGCTCAGGCCTCTCCTCACCGTCCGGGCCCAGGAAGGAGGGAGCCGAGGGCGCTAAGGGGGCGTCCTCCCGAGCGCAGCTGCCGCCGCCTCCCCACCAGATGTTTCCTTCCCTGGTGGATTTGGCTCCCCTGCCGAACCACCAGACCGCCTGCTGCGCGCCCCCAGCTCCAGATTTCCAGTCACACTGCGCGGGTCGCGCCCTAACCCAGCTGCCGGAGCTCTCTGGGCTCCCGCACGGCGGTCCGCAGCAGGTGGGAAACCGCCCGCGCCCTCTGATCGCCCCCGCAGTGCCAGTGCTCTGCGAGTCCCCGCGGCCGCCCCCACCAGGGCAGGAGGCGCAGAACAGGCTCGGCGGACCTACCTGCGGAGTCACGGCGCGGGCACCGCGCTAGGAGAGTTTTCAAACGGAATCTTGCTTTCGGGAGAGACCGCTCTATCTCTCTGACTTAAAAAAAAAAAAAATTCTCCTTCCGAGCTCAGCCCCCAAAACCACAAGCTTCACTTCCTGAGCGTTACTGAGTCGCTCGCATAGCCCTCCCAGACCTGCTCCCAACCCCCGTCGGGCGGCCGGGCGCGCTCCTTTGCGCAAGTGGCCAGGCGGTGGGGGGCCTGGCCTTTCCAGCCCGTCCCGCGCGCCCCTTAGTAGTCCTCCCAGTTCTCTCCCTGTGGGTCGGCAGGGGATGGGGGAAATTGGAGGTCCGGACACTTAGGCACTAGAAATGACTTGAAAGAAAATGAACTATTCTTGGCTCCAGGGAGACTTCCGCAGCGAGAGAAGCCACAGATTGAGGACACAGATTGACTGGCGAGAGAGGGGTGGGGGGCGCCCCGCTCCGAGGACCCTCCCCGCCCCTCAGGCCTCGGTCACCCGCCCCCCCCACCCCCGACCCCGCCGCCTCCTAGGGCTGCACCACCCCCGGGTCGGGACCGTGAATCACCGGCCCGCGGTGCCGCCGGCCTGGAGCCCGGCGAGTGGCCACGGCGTCCGCAGAGCGAAACCTGCCCCGCAGGCCCCGAAATAGCTTGTTGTGGAAACACTTGGGGATAAATACGCCCAACGAGGCTGAAAATACCTTGACACCCAATCCGAGAGGTTTGCTCATTTCCCTTCGGATTTAGGTAATGGTTAAATTTGGAAGAGGTGGGCGAGCGCCGAGCCCCCGGCGGAGAGGGCCCTGGCGGCGCGTCCCGCGGGCGCCCGGCGGGACCGGTGGGCGCACCCTCCCTGCGCGGAGCTCGCCGGCTCTCGACCGGGTCCGCTCAGCCTTCGACTAATTTCCGGTGGTCGGAGCTGCAAAATTAAAGGCCGCGCGGGGGCAGCGCCGGCGGCTGCTAGGCTGACTCCGCCCTGCCGGGGCAAGCCAGGGAGAGCGGGACCTCGCACGCGGGCTCTGCCACCGCCTGAGGTCATACCCAGGCACTGGGTGTTGGCGGGAGCAGTAAAGCGCCATAAAAGCACCACTTGGATGACTATTGCAAAGTAAGCCTTCTTCGCTCGGATTCTATGTTTCATGAGGGTAGGCACTGGATCTTCATCTTTATGTCCTAGGCGGGCTCTTAACAAAAGGCTGTGGACTGAGTAAATGAATGAGTGGGGTTAATTAACTAATTAATTATATTAATAGAACAGGGGGAAAAAACTTAAAACCTAACTCATAGATACATGAACAAATGCAGCAACCTCCAACGCTAGACTGTATGCCATGACCCATAGTGTGTGGCCTGCTGTGTATACTCAAAGCCTACACCCTTTGCTCATTGGAGTGGATGGATGTTGTAGTCATGTTACTTTTCAAAATGAATTGACTTGGATTTTGATCACAACTTCGTGCACAATAGGCCTCCAATGTCAGACATGCACAAGGAGAAGAGAGTGGTGCTCCCCAGTTCTTGCAAAATAACTACCATGTTCTAGGTTAATCTTAAATTGTTATGGGGGGGGAAGCCCTTAAAGCTCTTTTTCTAGAAACAGTTTTTAAATTATTCTTATTTTGCACTGTAAATTTAAAATTTTGCAGGGAATATTTGGTTAGTATAGCAGTGCTTCGAGCATGTATTAATAAATTATACGTTTTGTTAAGCAATGACCTGTGCCCCTATTGTATGCCAGGCGCTGGGCAAATCTTGTCTGCCTAGCTGTCCTCCTTCATTTGCTCAACACATCCCTTCTTTATATATAAATGCAGAGGCAAGCAATTTTGGTCAGAAAGGAAAATTAAGGACATTTTGTTAATATTTTATTTCTTGTGTGCTTTGTCCTGGCCTAAGGTATAAAAATCTCACAGTAGTGCAAAAACAAATCTTTCCCTTATTCCCTTCTCTCCTACTCGATAGCAGAAAAAAACAAATTTTTAGAATAAAATTATAAATGGGACAAAATAAAATTTCTTATCAACCAAGTTCTAGAGAAATGGTTGGACTATTTCCTTTGCATATTAGCAAGTTCAAAGTCAAAATTTCTCGAAAAGGTGCTGTGACTATTTTATAGTTTAGTTGAGTGTTGCTGTTTGAAGTCTCAGAAAACTTGAGGGAGCCCATGAAGGGGGCAGATAAGCACCTTGAGCAGTGAGCAGTATCACCTTAGAATAAATCCCTTTCATTCAGATTTAGTCTAGTCATTTTGCTTTTCATTTGCCCTTCACAGACTCTTGGGATTTCTGAGTTTGAAAAAGAAAACTGAGAACTGGAACAGGGACACGCAGAAAGGAGCAGGTGGGAGGGAGATGGCACTGAATTTCCCTTTATGTCTTTTACATGTTGAACCATGTGTATGTAGTACTAACTCAAATAAATAAATACACATTTAAAAAGTATTTAACAAGTATTCAACACGTTTAAAAAGTATTTAACAATACTTTTTAACAACACAACACTCCCGGGTGTATAGTGTTGAAGTGTGACTCCCACACTTGGGGAAGAATAGGAGAAAGGTAAGAAGAGGGGAACCCAGAGAGGTTAAGAACCTTGCCAAGGACAGTGAAGAGCTAGGACTAGAAATAACGATACAATGAACCCATCTCTGACTTCCTGCTACTCCAAACTACCTCTTGCTTCTATTAAACTAAGGGCAAAGAGAATAAGCCACCCCTCCATGAACATTTTTAGAAGCTACAAATACTCCCTCTCCCTCCATATATTCCTTTGGAATTGAAATAGATCTAATGGTAAGCAAAATGTATACCTGAGGCACAATTTTCTATAAATAGGGTCTTTCCAAAGGAATAATTTTACATTTACTGCCTTTTCAATAATTTGAAACTAATTGTTTCAAATATTTAGAAACTAATTGTTTCTAAATAGCAATAATAATGTATCTGTCGATGCCAAATAACAACTGACCTTCTCATACCACAAACATTTCCAAGCCTTGGCCAGTAGCCCATTTATTTCAAGCAGCCTCTCATAGATCAGAATTTCCCTACAACAGAAGATTTGAGACATTAAAAAAAAAAAAGTGGAGATGGAGTCTCGTTATGTTGCCTAGGCTGGTCTCAAACTCCTGGCCTCAAATGATCCTCCTGCCTCAGCCTCCCAAAATGCTGGGATTACAGGCGTGAACCACTGTGCCTGGCTGAGACATTTTCAAAAAGAAAATTGTAACAGGATATTACCAGTATCTTGTTTATTTTTTCACAAAGCTTTACAATTATGATCTCTGTCCTTTGTGGGACGGCATGGGAAAAGTGGGTGATCCTGAAACCCCAGGGAGGGGCAATACCCCCATTTCCAGAATACATTTCTATGTTTGCCTCATTTGATTCTCACCATGATGATACCAGGAAGGGAAAAAAGAGTTCAGGCATTCAAAAGCTAGTAAGATGTGATTGTCAATCTCTGTTCTGCTAGTACCAGCTTTGAGACCTTGGATAAGTTAGCTCAACTCTCAGCCTGTTTCTCACCTGTAAAGTCGGAATACTGGTACCTACCACGCAAGACTGTGGAGCAACCTTTTTTTTTTTTTTTTTTTTGAGATGAAGTATTGCTCTTTTGCTCAGGTTGGAGTGCAGTGGCGTGATCTCTGCTCACTGCAACCTCCACCTACCGGGTTCAAGCGATTCTCCTGCCTCAGCCTGCCGAGTAGCTGGGATTACAGGCATGCACCACCACGCCCAGCTAATTTTTGTATTTTTAGTAGAGACGGGGTTTTACCATGTTGGCTAGGCTGGTATTGAACTCTTGACCTCGTGATCCACTTGCCTCAGCCTCCCAAAGTGCTGGGATTACAGGCATGAGCCACAATGCCCAGCTGGAACAATCTTTTAATTTGCACTCTTTACCTGTTCATTTGGGCAGCAAGAATGGGAGAATGCTCCAAATGAGGGTTTCTGAGTTTTAAATATAAACGTATAAGAAATTATGCTATATTATTTGTATATTATAAATAATAATATAAATAAGACTATATTACAAATTATGCTACATATATCTGATAAGAAAAGAATAAAACTCTGTAAAACAACTTTCAAGTATTCTTGCTCTATTATTTAACAAAAATTATAATCGTATTACAGATACAACTGAGTAGTCTGCTTTTCTTCCCGAATATTATAATTATTTTTCTTTTTTCTATTCTCTTTATTTTCCTGTTTTCTTAAATGGAATATAAACTTTTTATAGTAAAAATTATTTAAATAAAAATCATGACAATCATCTTCCTTGCTTTTTATATACAATCTTTCATTTTCAATTGCTATAAAAAAGTTCTATCAGCTAGTTTACTATAATTTACTCAATCACTCTCATCTTACTATTTAGCTTGTTTCGAGTTTTTACTATTTTAAGTAATACAATGAAAAGATTTTTGAATATAGCTTTCCCTACATTTGGAATTATTTCCTTAGGATATATTTTTAGGGGTGAAATTTCTAGATCCAACAATGATTATTTGTACGGTCCTTGATACATACCAGAACAAGTTTTATGGATGGCGCTTATGTAATGCATAAGCCAAAAGAATTCATACCACTTAACAGTTAAAAGACTACAAAAATAAACTAAGGAAAAGTTTGACTTGGATTAAAGACCAGATATAGAACTGGTCTTTATTTTATGTACAGGAAGTACTTGTTAGAACCACACCCTGTCATATTGCCATGGTTTTATCCTCATGTATACTAACAAACTATTTAATTTTTGTCTTTGGATTAGGTGTCATGATAGGTGTAGTCAAACTGAAATAAGAATTACATATATTTTAATTGTATTAATTCAAAGAAAATAAATGCAAACTGATAACTGTGTGATGCCTTAACTTGAATGACAGGTAATATAATTATCCCCTTCTAATCTTATAAGAAGCAGGCTATCAAAATAGAATTCCACTGACACCATAAGTCAGAATACGATTTAATGGTACCATCATTTGTGGGAAGTGGGTAATGTTTTTTGTACCAGCTCATGCAAAAATTGGGAAATTAAGTAAAGGAGAAACATGGAGATAAGTTAATAGAAGACTTAAGGTATAAGAACCAACTTTGTATTAATATTTTTTACTTTTCAAACATGAAGAAAAACATTTGCTTTTAATAAACATTTTGGGACTGATATATTTAAATCTCATTACATTTAAAAATATTATCTATTACTATAAAGTTTAAATTAGGCTTTTACATAAAGGATTTCAAACATCTGAAGAGGGAGGAGACTGTCAGCTTTGGTGTTCAGAGTTCAAATAAGAAAATTGTTAATCTCACCACATACGTATTTTTACATTGTTCCTAAGAATAGATTGAACGAAGTGTCATCTTACTGTGAGCTATGTGATATGACTCCTCATAGAAACACAGCCAGTGTGAACTTTTATAGGAAAAAAAAGGAGTATAGTTTGCTTTGTGAATGGAAAATCAAACGAGAGAAAATGCAAAAATTATCTTTCTTTTGAGTTTTTCACCATTTCCTCCAGTATGTTTGGTGATTAGTTCACCCTACCCCAGATGAAACACTTCACTTTAAAATAGTACAGCCTATATATTGTAAATTTTAAAAATTACTCACAAAACACAACTCCCTTAAAGGAAATATATGACCCCATATCTGGAGGTAAGGTGGGAGTTGAGGCTTCTGAAAATCTCTGGCCGCTGCTGTCTGCATGAGGCGGGGCTTGGAGGATCATCCCACATGAACAACCTCAGGCTCGCCCAAAGAGACAGACAGAAGGACAGCATGAACTGATGATAGGTAGATGCAGCCCACTGGATGTTCCACCTCAGCTGCTATCCTGGGCTTCATAGAAGAGAAAGAAATGCTGGGAGTTCTCCAAGGCAGGCATTCTGGTCATTTCTGTTTTATGGATAAGGACACCAGTGGTCCATACGTGGGAAAGGAAGGGAAAAAAAAAAGGGGGAGACACCAGTGGTTTAAGAAGCCCAGGTTCTGATAACTAGCAGCTTTCTTATTCCAACCAAATCTGTTGATTCCAAATATTGTTTCTTTCCACCAAATCACATTACTTGTTTCACATCCAGCATAGGGTAGAAAAGCCTGGAGCCAAAAGTCACGTGCCTGTCACAGACTTGAGAGGTAGTAAGGATGGGATGGTGGAGGAGAGACACATTCCCTCCTCTCCTGCTGCAAGGCCCAACCCATCACTCCCAACAGTGTGGACTTGGCAGGCATGCTGCTCATCCAAAGGTCAGAAAATAATAGTATTTAAGTTGCTGAAAGCAGCATAGTTATGTTAATTCAATAGAACATTTGTAAAGTAGACAAAATAAAAAGTAAAAATACAGCTCCATATCTCACTACCTTAGTTCAACCTCTAGTAATATTTCAGAGTGTTTTCCCCCCAGTCTTAAAAAAAGAGTCTACTATGATGATATTGTATAATTGTCCATTTAGATGATGTGCTGTGATCTTATTTATTATGTTACTGGACAGTTGGATTATTTCCCTTTTTCCCTACTATAAATGATGCTGTGATTTTTTTTTTAATTGTACCTGGGTTTTTCTATATGTAGGATTCTTTCTTTAGGATTCATAACCAGAAGTGATTCCCCTCCTGGATCAAAGGTTAGGAACCTCCTTTTTGTTGTGTTTTGTTTTTTATGTGTTTGTATGTTTGTTTTGTAGAGGTAGGCCCACTATGTTGCCCAAGCTGGTCTTGAACTCCTGGCCTCAAGGTGATCCTCCTGCCTTGGACTCCCAAACTGCTGGGATTACAGGTGTGAGCATCCATGCCCAGCTAAAGGCTAGGAACATTTTCAAGTCTATGGACACATATTGAGAAATTATTTTCCTGAATGATTGTAATAATTACACCCCTGCCAAGAAAAATTATAAATACCACAGTAGCTAAGAGGCAGAAGAGTGTAGCAATTAAGAGCATGGACTCTAAGCCAGATTTCTAATGTCTGGAAATTCTGGCTCTGCCTTCTTCTATCCTTAAACAAGTTCCTTAACCTCTCTGTACTTCAGTTTCTTCATCTGCAAACATGGTTACAATAACAACACCTACTTCATAGATTCTGGAACAGATTCAATGAGTTAATACATGTAAAGCATAGAGTAGGCATTTACTAAGTGTTAGTTATTGTCACTATTACAACAGGCACTATTGGCGGCCCTTTTTATGTACATTATCTCTAACCATCCCAATGAACAGGCTGTGGGAATAGACTCAGAGAGGCTTGCCTTCCCCAGATCACATAGCCAGAGAAGGACAGAGTCCTGATTCCAACGCAGGCCAGCCTGACTCCTGACCCTGGACTGCTGCAGGAGGTAGGCCTCAAGGCCTCCCATTGTAGGGGCAGTAGGTTTGTGCACTGCAGGCAGCCCCTGAGACTTGCCAGGAAGCATTTTTATGTGGATTTCTTTTTTTTTTTATTTTTTATTTTTTGAGACAGAGTCTCGCTCTGTCACCTAGGCTGGAGTGCAGTGGTGCGATCTTGGCTCACTGCAACCTCCGCCTCCTGGGTTCCAGCGATTGTCATGCCTTAGCCTCCTGAGTAGCTAGGATTACAGGCGCCTGCCACCACGTCCAGCTAATTTTTGTATTTTTAGTAGAGAGGGGGTTTCACCATGTTAGCCAGGCTGGTCTCGAACTCCTGACCTCAGGTGATCCATCCACCTCGGCCTCCCAAAGTGCTGGCATTACAGGCGTGAGCCACCATGACCGGCCATTTTTATATGGATTTCTGATATCCCAATTAGACCTGAGAGACTCAGGCTCCCTTCCTGAGCTCCTGGACCTTATCTCCCACAGGAGGCTTTCCAAGGATCACTTCCAACTGTCATGGTCTGTGTCCCCATAAAGCCAAGCAGTTCATCTGAGCTGAGGCTGGTAGAGAAGTGCTAGGGGATCATTGCCTCTTCCTAAAATATTCTCAACTGTTCTTACTGTCTGGCAAGGAGCAATTTATCAGTAGGGACTGTCATGAGTTTTCATTTGAGCTTTAATTAAAACACATGAAGGGCCAGGCGCAGTGGCTCAAGCCTATAATCCCAGCACTTTGGGAGGCCAAGGTGGGTGGATCACCTGAGGTCAGGAGTTTGAGACCAGCCTGGCCAACATGGTGAAACCCTGTATCTACTAAAAATACAAAAAGTAGCCAGGTGTGGTGGTGCACACCTGTAGTCCCAGCTACTTGGCAGGCTGAGGCAGGAGAATCGCTTGAAACTGGGAGGTGGAGGTTGCAGTGAGCTAAGATCGTGCCACTGCACTCCAGCCTGGATGACAGAGCGAGACTCCATCTGAAAAAAACAAAACAAAACAAAAAACACAAAAAACAAACAAACAAAAAACCCACATGAACATACACGCCACCTACACACACACACGTACACATACCCCCCACCCCTCATCAGCTGGAGAATGAACAGAGCTTCTGTACAAATCAGAGATTTGCTCATGTACCTCACAGTCACTTTGTTCGATAGTGGAAGAAATAATGGGGTGGTGGAGACAAGGAAACACCAGGCATAAACTCTGCTCAGGATGCTGACCCAGGGGTGACCAGTGTGGAGGTTGGTTTAAAAGCAGTCACTGAGGCCTGAGGAATGGAAAGTCCCAGTGCTGGCACATGTCCTAAAGGAGGACAGAGTTTGTGGACTCAGTTGTACAGTTCAAGTCAACAAATATTTACTGAACAATCTTTGTCATACGCCATGCCAGATGTGAGGTACATAGATTGGATATGGGGTCTCTGCTCTCCTTCAACTCACTCAGAAGTGAATGTAGCAAGGAAGGTGAATAAAGGAGCAAATAAATAAAGAATGTTTCCCTCCTATCCCAGGCCTCTGAGATGGCTGTCTGGCCTGGGATACAAGACTTTTCTTTTGACCAGTCAGCACTTTGCACAGTTGCCACTATAGTTCTGAAACCCACCTGATATGAGGCTGGGGTTAGGATTTTGCAGCATCAAAATATTCTACCGGCTGCAGAATAACGAGATCTACTTTTTGCACAAAGATATTTTTGCCTCTGGTTTGAGAAGCATTTAGCAGTTTGGATTGTAGAAAGCATTTGGCATATTCCACAATGCTTCTCTAACCCAAACTACTCATTGTTTTTGCTGGGATTCTTTGAGGAGGAAGTTGGAGGGCAGGTGGAAATGTTTTCCTTCTTTCCTTCCTTCCTTCCTTCCTTCCTTGCCTTCCTCCCTCCTTTCCTCCCTCCCTCCCTTCCTCTTACCCTCTCTTCCCTCCCTCCTTTCCCCACTTCTCTCCTTAATCACAAAATTGAGATAACTATGACTATTAACTGTTCTTGGTACCAGGAAGAACAGACATATTTCCCACTGCGATCCTAAAAAGTAGTTATTGTGATAGAAATTAATAGTGTTCTTACACAATCTTAAAATAAATGCAACAAATGTTATTTCCCATAACACTCAATATACATTGTTGACATCACACAAAAGTGCAATTTGATAAAAACTATACTTTGGGAAACTATGACACTGTCTAGCAAGGTACCAGCTGTCTACTGATCTGGTTTAATCCATGGATGTGTTTGAGACTAGACTGTCTGAAATAATCCTTATATGCTTCAAATAATCCTCTCTGAAAATTGCTTCTCCTTACTGAGTTTTTAATAAATATTTGATGACAGGATGAGATTATACTCTCAGCGAAATCCTGGAATTCTATTCTGTGTTGTTTAAAATTCAGATCCATATGCCTTAATAGACAATTCAAACGTAGGTTTGACCTGTTGTGAAAGCTGAGGTACCTAAGAACAGCTGGTTGTATCAAAGGCTTTCTCACCCACAAGGGAAAACCAAAGTCAGGTGTAAGCTTTACCCCAGGAAATTGTTTTGAGTCTGCATAGCACACAAATGAGACCCTACAAGGTCACATCCATAGAACAGGACCAAAATAGTATTTCCCCAAATTTGCAAATAGAGAAAAGTTTAAAGAATGGGTACAATGAACTTCCAAATAATCCAACTAGATTTGACATCAACATAATTTTAACATTAAACAAAATTTAAAACATTAACACCAATAGAAAAAAATCTTAATTTAATCAAGAGTTATTAGTATGAGTAGGGCTACTTCCTGTCACGCCCTCCAGGATTATTTGTGATGTACAGGAAGGTAATTAAACAAAGTGACTTTTATAACATTGTTATTTCTAAATCAATTAAAAGATGAAAAATACCTACCAGATACCTACCAAATGTAAATTTGCAAATATAATATATATTTTATTTTGTAAATATCAAATCTTTCTGACAGTGATTAGCCAAAAGGGTTTTATCAGGAGATCTGAGTTTCAGATAATAAGAATTATCTTATCTGCATATAGAATAGTGCATGCCTTTCTGTTTTCTACACTAGAAAGGAGTTGTGTTGCTCATCTAGGAAAACTTTTCTATTGTTCAGGTTCGTTCTTTTTTTCTTTCTTTTGAGACAGAGTCTTGCTCTGTCATCCAGGCTGGATTGCAGTGGCATGATCTCAGCTCACTGCAATGTCTGCCTCCTGGGTTCTAGCAATTCTCTTGCCTTAGCCTCCCGAGTAGCTGGGATTACAGGCGTACGCCATCACACCTGATTAATTTTTTTTTTTTTTTTTTGAGACGGGGTTTCGCTCTTGTCGCCCAGGCTGGAGTGCCATGGTACAAACTCAGCTCACTGCAACCTTCACCTCCAAGGTTCAAGCAATTCTTGTGCCTCAGCCTCCTGAGCAGCTGGGACTACAGGCACCTGCCACCATGACCAGCTAATTTTTTTGTATTTTTAGTAGAGATGGGGTTTCACCATGTTGGCCAGGCAGGTCTTGAACTCCTGACCTCAAGTGATCCACGTGGCTTGGCCTCCCAAAGTGCTGGGATTACAGGCATAAGCCACCATACCCGGCCATGTTCCTTGGTTCTCCACATAGTCAAAGGTATTATGTAGAGAGTCACTACACTGCTTGCCTCTCATGAGCGGTGAATCAGGAGTGTCAAATGCATTTATTTTGCATAACTCTAAACAGTTCACGTCAAGGACTATCAGTGTTCTCCATACTATTAGAATTACAGCCCTTAGCATTTTGGGGTCTTATCATATTAAGCAGCCAACCCCAGAAACCCAAAACCAACAAAAGAACTCCATCCTTAATATTCTGTTCCTCTAGAACCACTCCTGGTACCAAAATCTGTATTAGTCATGGGTCTCTAGAGGGACAGAACTAATAGGATACACACACACACACACACACACAGACACACACATGCACACACATGTATATATATAAAGGGAAATTTATTAAGTAGTGTTAACTCACATGATTACAAGGTCCCACAATAGGTTGTCTACAAGCTGAGGAGCAATGAAGACAGTCTGAGTCCCAAAGCTAAGAGCTTGGAGTCCGATGTTCAAGAGCAGGAAGCATCCAGCACGGGAGAAAGATGTAGGATGGGAGGTTAAGCCAGTCTAATTTTTTCACATTTTTCTACCTGCTTTATATGCTGGCAATTGATTAGATGGTGCCCACAGATTAAGGGTGGGTCTGCCATTCCCAGCCCACTGACTCAAACGTTAATCTCCATTGGCAACACCCTCACAGAGACACTCAGGATCAATACTTTGCATCCTTCAATCAAGTTGACACTCAGTATTAACCACCACAATACCCAAGTCAAGATCTAGAATATGTCCAGCACCTCAAGTGCTTTACTGAATTTGCATTTTAAATCAGTTGCTTAAAGTGGGAGACCATTACTGAGCTCTGGTTAAAGACTGGCTTGGTGGCTCCAAAAATCTGGGCTATTGACTATGGTTTGTAGAGTTAGGTAGAGTGGGCTTCCTATGAGCCAAGTTACATCTGGGATGCCAATCCTTCATCTTTCCTTGGAGATTGTTCACATTGCCAAATCCTCAGGTCCTCCCACAAGTTCACAGCAAAGGATGTTTTATTGTTTATTGCTTATTTGCATGAAAAATATTGAACATCTTTTTTTTAAATTTTATTTTACTTTAAGTTCTGGGATACGTGTGTTGAACATGCAGGTTTGTTACGTAGGTATACATGTGCCATGGTGGTTTGCTGCACCTATCAACCCCATCATCTAGGTTTTCAAACATATTTTTAAAAATCAAACTCTACCTAAGAGAATAGAAAAATATACCCAAAGTATCTATCACTCAGCTTCAGCAGTAAATCCATGGCTAATCATGTTTCATTTTTGTCCCCTGCACTGCTTCCCTCCTCCACTAGTCTACTTTGAAGTAAATTCCAATATCATTTCATTTCTTCCTGAAAATATTTCAGAATGTCTCTACAAAGAATAAGGAGTCTAATTAAACTAAAGAGCTTCTGCACAGCAAAAGAAACTATCACCAGAGTGAACAGACAACCTACAGAATGGGAGAAAATTTTTGCAATCTATCCATCTGACAAAGATCTAATATCCAGAATCTATAAGGAACTTAAACAAATTTACAAGAAAAGAGCAAACAACTCCATTAAAAAGTGGGCAAATTACATAGGCACTTCTTGAAAGAATACATACATGTGGCCAACAAACATGAAAAAAGTTCATCATCACTGATCATTAGAGAAATACAAATCAAAACCAAAATGAAATACCATTTCATGCCAGTCAGAATGGTGATTATTAAAAAGTCAAGAAACAACAGATGCTGGAGAGGCTGTGGAGAAATAGGAAAGCTTTTACACTGTTGGTGGGAATGTAAATTAGTTCAACCATTGTGGAAGACGGTGTGGTGATTCCTCAAAGACTAGACCCAGAAATACCATTTGACCCAGCAATCCTATTACTGGGTATATACCCAAAGGAATATAAATCATTCTATTATAAAGATACATGCACAAGTATGTTCACTGAAGCACTATTCATAATAGCAAAGACATGGAATCAACCCAAATGTCCATCAATGATAGACTGGATAAAGAAAATGTGGTATATATACGCTATGGAATACTGTGCAGCCATAAAAAGGAATGAGATCATGTCCTTTGCAGGGACATGGATGGAGCTGGAAGCCATTATCCTCAGCAAACTGACACAGGAACAGAAAACCAAACACCACGTGTTCTCACTTGCAAGTGAGAGCTGAACAATGAGAACACAGGGAGGGGAACAACACACACTGGAGCCTGTCGGTGGGAGTGGGGGTAGGGAGAGCATCAGGATAAACAGCTAATGCATGTGACGCTTGATACCTAGGTGATGGGTTGGTTGGTGCAGCAGACCATCATGGCACACGTTTACCTATGTAACAAGCCTGTATGTCATGCACATGTATACTGGAACTTAAAATAAAATTAAATTAAAAGAAAAAAGAATAAGGAGCCAGGTGCAGTAGCTCATGCCTGTAATCCCAGCACTTTGGAAGGCCAAGGTAGGTGGATTACTTGGGCCCAGGAGTTTGAGACCAGCCTGACAATATAGTAAGGCCCCATCTTTACAAAAAGTAAAAAAAATTAGCCAGGTGTAGTGTTGCACACCTGTAGTCCCAGCTACTTGGAGGCTGAGGTGGGAGGATCAGTTGAGCCCAGGAAGTTGAGGTTGCCATGCCACTGCATTCCAGCCTGGGTGACAGAGTGAGACCCTGTCTCAAAAAAAAAAAAAAAAAAAAAAAGAATAAAAAAAGAATAAGAACTGTTCCTAGCAATGGCTTTTGAGCCAAAGGAAAATTATAGAAAATCTTTAATTTTATATGGGTCGAATAGCCATTCCAGATTTTGGTTTTATTCATTCATCAATTTAAATTGGTAAATAAAGATGGTATATATTTATGATGTACAACATGATATTTTGAAATATATATACATTGTGGAAAGGCTAAATCAAGCCAATCAACATGTGCATTATCTCACATACTTACTATTTTGTAGTGAGAAAATTTAATATCTATTTTCTTAGCAATTTTCAAATACAGAATATGTTATTAACTATAGTTAATACTTAGTAGACAATAATTAATTGTCACCATGTTGTACAACATATCTTTTTAGCTTATTCCTCCTGTTTATTGAAATTTTGTATCCTTTGACCAACATCCCATCCCACCCAACCCCATCCCAAGAGTGGTTACCACTCCTGGTAACCACCATTCTACTCTCTGCTCTTATGAGTTCAGCTTTTATATATTCCACATATAAGTGAGATTGTGTGGTATTTGTCTTTCTATACCTGACTTATTTCACTTATGATTTTTTGTCATTAATCCTACTAAGTTTTCTTGGCTACCCAGCAGTCCTTGACAAATCATTTAACTAGGAAGATGATACCCTCATTTGCAGTGAAAACTGGCAATGAGTTTTCTATATCCAAAGCAGTTTATTTAAAATTCAGCTAATGATAAATTACCAGGTATCTGAACGCTCTCAGCCATTTCACTCTTCTCAGTGCCCTGACCACTCTAATCTCCAGGTATGCTGGCCCTGGGAGAGGGATGCTCTTAGTTAAACCAGAGAAAGGATAACTCTGTGTAATTCATAATAACCATTCTAAGGATGGTAGGAAGCATAGTAGCAATAACATATGCTATAACTACAATCTATGAAGCTATCCCTATGATTAGAGAGAAAAATAGGAAAATTTCCCCAATTATATTCAATATCACAAACTTCCATGTGTAATAAATAAAAGTTTTCAGCCTAAACATTGGTGGAAAAACTAGTAGAATCGAATAAAGTCTGTAGTTTATACTATTGTGCAATTCTTAATTTCTTAGTTTTAACAAATGTACCATGATTATATTAGATATTAGAGGAAGCTGAGAGAAGGGTATATGGAAACTCTCTACTATCTTTGCAACTTTTCTGTAAATCTAAAACTATTCCAACACAAAAAATTTATTTTAAAAAGCACTTGATTCCTACCTCTCACCATATACAAAATGATTCATCAACCTAAATGTAAGAGCTAAAACTATAAAAGTCCTAGAGGAAACATAGGAGTGAATCTTTGTGACCGTGAATTAGGCAATGGTTTCTTAGATATGACACCAAAAGCACAAGCAACCAAAGGAAAAATAGATAAAATAGACTTCATCAAATTAAAGTTTTGTGTTTCAAAGCACACCATTAGGAAAGTAAAAAGACACCTCATGGAATAGTAGAAAATATTTGCAAAATTTGCAAATAATATATCTAATAAAGAATTTGTATGCAGAATATATAAATAACTCTTACAATTAAGCAATAAAAAGCAAATAACCCAATTTTTTAAATGGGCAAAGGATTTAAGTAGACATTTTCCAAAGAATATATATGAAGGGTCAATAAGTACATGAAAAGATGTTCAACACCATTAGTCATTAGGAAAATGTAGATCAAAACCACAGTGAGATTCCACTTCATACCCACTAGGTTGGTTAAAATAATAAAAGACATAAAGTGTTTAGCCTGATTTAATCATTCTACATTATAAACATATATCAAAACATCACATTGTACCTTATAAACATATATAACAGTTATTTTTCAATTAAAATAAAATTAAATAATATTAAAAAAACAAAACAAAGGAAAAATAGTAAGTATTGATGAAGATGTGGAGAAATTGGAGCCCTTATCATATATTGCTGGTGGGATTGTAAAATACTTCAGACACTCAAAACAGTTTGGCAATTCCTCAAAATGTTAAACATGGAATTATTGGCCAGGCGCGGTGGCTCATGCCTGTAATCCCAGCACTTTGGGAGGCCAAGGCGGGCGGATCGCGAGGTCAGAAGATTGAAACCATCCTGGCTAACACGGTGAAGCCCTGTCTCTACTAAAAATACAAAAAATTAGCCAGGCATGGTGGCAGGTGCCTGTAGTCCCAGCTGCTCGGGAGGCTGAGGTAGGAAAATGGCGTGAACCCGGGAGGCGGAGCTTGCAGTGAGCCGAGATAGCGCCACTGCACTCCAGCCTGGGCGACAGAGCAAGACTCCGTCTCAAACAAACAAACAAAAAACCATGGAATTATTATATGACCCAGCAATTCTACTCCTAGGTATATGCCCAACAGAATTGAAAACCTATGTCCACATGAAAACATGTACATAAATGTTCATTGCAGCATCATTCATCATAGGAAAGAAATGACAACAGACTAAATCTTCATTAACTGATGAATAGATTAACAAAATGAGGTATACCCATATGATAGAATATTATTCAGCAAATAAAAAGAAAAAAACAATGAAGCACTAATAGATGCTACAACATGGATGAGCCTCAAAAAATTATGCTAAGTGAAGCACACACAGAAAGCCACATATTCTATGATTCATTTATATGAAATGTCCAGAATAGGCAAATCCATAGAAACAGAAAGTAGAATAATGGTTGCCAGGGGCTGAGAAGAGGAAATGGTAAGTAGTTGCCAGTGAGTATTAGGTTTCTTTTTTCATGCTGAAAATACTCTGAAATTAGATAGTGGTGATGGTTGTACAACTCTGTGCTGTACTATGCAATTGTACACTTTAAAAGGCTGAATTTTATAGTGTGTGAATTATATCACAATAAAGCCATTGTTTCTAAAATGTACTCAGAGTACTTGTTGGCACAGAGTAAGTACTATGTTTCCAAATAGTCACTGCCCTCTCCCTGGGATGTCTTAGCATGTGACTTACCTTAGCCAATGAAATGTGCCTCTGGTCGTGCGTGGTGGCTCACGCCTGTAATTCCAGCACTTTGGGAGGCCGAGACGGGTGGATCATGAGGTCAGGAGTTCGAGACCAGCCTGGCCAACATAGTTAAACCCTGTCTCTACTAAAAATACACACACACACACACACACACACACACACACACACACACACACACACAAATTAGCCGGGCATGGTGATGCACTCCTACAGTCCCAGCTACTCGAGAGGCTGAGGCAGGAAAATCGCTTGAACCCGGGAGGCAGAGGTTGCAATGAGCCGAGATCGCGCTACTGCACTTCAGCCTGGGAGACAGAGTGAGACTCCAGCTCAAAAAAAAAAAAAAAAAAAAAAAAAAAAAAAAAAGAAATGTGCCTCGAAATGATGTATATCACATCCAGGGAGAAGTTTTGGGAACGAGCATGTGGTTCACTGTATCCCTTTGCCCTCTGCCACAACACTCAGCAATGTTCAAAATAGAAGTAGCATCATCAGCCTGGGTCCTAGAGTAAAAACAGCATAGAGCAGAGCCACAGCCAGCATTTGATGGACACACAGCATGAGTGAGAACTGATGTAAACCACTGAGATTTCAGAGTATTTGTTAACACAGTAAAATCCAGCCTATCCTGACTAATGCAGGATATTACTGTATAATAATAACTACTATTATCATTACCACTACTAGCAATCAGAAAGTAGAGACTGTTGTGCAATCACCTCAAACAATACTTCCAATGTGCCACACATGGCAAACATGTGGAGATACCATGTGGACAGAGGACACAGATGAGAAGTCAAGTCAGAAGGAACATTCACATCAATAACTCCTTACCAAGCAGGCTGTACTGGTTCTGGGGAATTCAGAGATGCCATGCACAATCTTTCTCAGGGAACTCAGCTAACAACAGCAGCTGCTGTTGATTGAACACTTACTATGTGCCAAACCCTTTAGGCTCCAGTACACGCATTGTCTCCAGTCTCACCAAAGAGCAGTTTGGTGATGAACAAGAAACGTCTCCAATTTTCACCCACAAATAAACAATTCTATTTTAGAGAAATTAGTGAAGCAAATGAAAGGTTGTGGGATCCGTTTAAAATAGCTGCAGAGTGTCAGCGGCTGTGAGCCAGACCAAACAGCACACCTTCCCACACACCCTACTTGGGCCTGTGATTACTCAAATCCCAGCACTGGCCTGGGGAGCTGCCCACCAGGAACATCCCTCCACAGCACAACTAGAAGGCAGCTTGCCAGAAAAGGGCAGAGCTGGACCTGCCTTCAGCCTCTGAATGGACTAAGAGTTAACAAGTGGAAATGCATGAAATTGTTCTTTAAAAATTTGTGCTTAACATCATGACTCCCATGCTTTGGTTTTCTACCACTTCACCCGGCAGCTTGCTTTTGTAGTTCTGGCACGAATTCAGCCGGGCCGAGGGAGCTGGGAGAGGGAAATGGCTCACGGACTCCTGGGAAGCCGAAGCTTGACCTTAAGAGTATTTGGTGGTAAGGAGGCTGCAGAGACAAATATTCATTCATGTGCTAAAGGTTTTAAAACTCTCTCTTTGTAAATGGAGCATGGTTAGTCTAATTCTGCACTCCAGTGACAGGCACAAGGACAGATGCTGGACCTTGAGACATACAAAAGTGACAAAGCAGGCTGATGAATAAGATGTCATCTCTTCTACCCACGACGAAGTCATCCTGGTTGAGGTTAGGCAGGGACACACAAAATTGTGCCTTGAATGTAGAAGTACAGCAAGCACCAACGGGGTGTATCTGTTCCTGTCCTGGGACAGGAAGGGCATAGGTGACACCAGAGACTAGGAAAGCCTCTGCTGGAGGGGAAGAGCCCCTTGGTGGGGGGGAGAGACAAGGCTTGACTGGTTTGCTGTGGAGGGGGTGGTGTGCAATGGCTGCCGTCCCGCCCTCTGAGGCAGAGGCAGGGAACAGTTAGGAGCTCCCAGGTGCATCTCAACTGCCACAGCATCTCAGCCTTGGAGTCTCTCATGTGTACAGTATGCATTTCCTTTAAAAAAAAATCAGAGAAACAACATCTTTAAAGCCAACCAGTTTCTTTCCACCTGACCCTGCTTTCTCCTGTAACTGAGGACAGCCTCAGAGAAGACGCTATGTGGTCTCTGAAAAGGTGGCCAACCGTAGGCAACAGGGGAGTGAGGACACAGCAGCCTTCTGATCTCACCGTGGACACAGTGAACTGACAGTCAGTTCAGGAGGAGTTAAAAAGTTCTCTGGGCCTGGTTTAAGATGCTCATTTTCAGACATTCTTGGTAAAATCTGGAGTGCAGGAGAGATGCAGCTATAGACCCAGTTAGGTGACATCAGCAGGTCACCTCTGAGCAGGTCATAGGGTAGGAGAGAATGGGGCGTGGTACATAAAGGTTGTGGCAGGGTCACGGGCACCATCCTGTACACAGGGTGGGGAATGGGCAGGGAGGGGGTAGGGACGCAAAATAAGCCCCTCCCCCAAGTTGAAGGTAACCTCTGAATTCCCACGGCAGTGCTTCTGTTCTCCTGTATCTCTTGCCCCATGCATGAGGGTAGGAGTTGGTCTGGTTCATCTTTGCTTCCTCAACAGTGACTGATCTGTGCCTTGTGCCAAAGCAATATTGTGTAATTAGAGGACTCTGGAGCTAGGCTGGCTGCATTGGAATCCTGGACTTTCTACTGATATTTGTATTTCACAGATGTTTACCTCGTTTCAATAATGAAGACATTGAGGTAAAATGACTTCTTCAGTTATTCATGCATTCATTCAACAAATATTTATTGAGAGCCAAGGCACTGCTGGGATAGAGATAAAAATCTCTGCACTCATAAAGCTTGCATTCTGGTGTGGAGATAAACAATAAACCAACAAATATGTAAAATGGGTAGGATGTCAGACTGTAATCACTGCTATGGAGAAAAGTAAAGCTAGGAAGAGGCTTTTTCAACGGAAGGATCAGAAAAGGCCTCCTGTGCAGGTTGAGCAGAGACCTGGTGGAGGTGGGGAGCTGCCTTGTGGTATTTAGCTGAGCATCCTAGGAAGGGCAGGGTCCTGATGGGAGTCTGGTGTGTCCATGGATCAGCAAGGAGGTCATAATTTTTTGTTGTTTGTCCAGGATTAATCAATACAAAGCTTGAGTCCCAGTCTAGTGCTCTAGTGCTAGAATTTTACGCCTAAACATTTTCTTATTTCATGGGCGCTGCAAATTTTATAACCGCAGGTTTTACTTTTTTTCCTTCTAAATATCTTTATTTGAATATCTTTAGTAAATAAGTTGACTTTAAGTTCTTTATTTCTTTTGAGATGGGGTCTTGCTATGTTGCTCAGGCTGGTCTTGAACTCCTGGGCTCAAGTGATCCTCCTGTCTTGGCCTCCCAAAGTGTTGGGATTACAGGCATGAGCCACCATGCCTGGCTGATGCTAAATTCTTAACATGCCTAGTATTTTTTTTTTTTATCATTTTAACCATTTTTAAATGCACAACTCAGTGGCATTAAGTACAATCAGTGTCATGCAGCCATGACCACTATCCATCTCCAAAACTTTTCCAGCATTCCAAACAAAAGTTCTGTATTCATTATGCCGTTAACTCTCTTCCCTCACCTCCACTGCTGGGTAATGTCTACTCTATTTCTGTCTCTATGAATTTGCCTGTTCTAGATATCTCATATAAGTGGAACCATACTATGTGTCTGGCTTATTTTACTTAGCATGTTTTCAAGGTTCATCTATTTTGTAGCATTATACTTTTACTTTTTTATGGCTGAATAGTATTCCGTTGTATATGTAGTATATACCACATTTTACTTATCCATTCACCTGTTGGTCATATGGGTTGTTCCCACATGTTGGCTATCATGAGTAATGCTGCTGTGAACATTGATGTACAAGTATCTGAGTTACTGCTTTGAGTATATGTCTAGAAGTGGAATTGCTGGGTTACATGGTAATTCTACAATTAACATTTTTAAAGACCACTGAACTGTTTCTCACAGAGGCTACACCATTTTCCACTCCCAGCAGCAATGTACAAGGGTTCCAGTTTTTCCACATATTTTGCCAACGGTTTTTTTTTTTCTTTTGAGCTCCCGGGTTTTCACAGGGCATATTTTCATTTTTTAAATAGCCATCCTAATAGGTGTGTAAAATGGTACCTCGTTGTGGTTCAGATACTACTTTTTTCACTTACTGGAAACAGAGTCAAATTTGTGATGCATCTTTAATAGGGGTGTGTGTATATATATATGTGTGTGTGTGTATGTGTATAAATATATACATATAATTTTTTTTTTAAAGAGACTGGGGCTTGCTATCTTGCCCAGACTGGTCTCCAACTCCTGGCCTCAAGGGATCCTCCCATGTCATCTTCCCCAAGTGTTGGGATTACAGGCATGAATCACGGTACCTGGCTGGTGTGTGTGTGTGTGTGTGTGTGTGTGTGTGTGTGTGTGTGTGTGTGTAGTTTATGTTTTTGTATTTTACAAACCCTTGTGTCAAGGGCTGACTTTCAATAGATTGCAGTGAGGGAGCTGCTCTGCCATTTACAAAACCCCAAATGATGTATATATTCTTATGTTTGGCCCGAGTGGCTCTTTTTATGACCCAATTCTAAATTTATAGCAGTGGTTCTCAACTAGCAGTGATTTTCATTCTCTGTCCTTCCTGCTGGTGACATTTGCCCATGTTTGGAGACATTTTGGGTTGTCCCAACTAAAGGAGGGGGTGTTACTGGCATCTACTGGGTAGAGGCCAGGGATGCTGCAAAACATCCTACAATGTACAGGGCCTCCCAAAACAGAATTATTTGGCTACTTCCAAATGTCAGTGACAAAGTGGAGACTCCCTGGATTATATAGCTTGTCATATTTCAGGTATCTACAAAACGTACCTTAATTCCTGTTGGGAATAAAGCAGAATATATAGTAAGCTCTTGCTTGTGAACTAAATGACATTAACATTGTGATAAAGATGCAGAAGGTATAACTTTCCTTTTATGATAGTAGCTATATGTGTACTCAAATTATATATAATTGAATGTATTTATTGAATTAGTTGCTAATTAATAACCTAAAGTACAATGTGAGATGAAAATACTGCTATTGAGATTTCCAAAAAATTACCATGTTCCTGAAGGAAACAAACCTAGACATCTTTCACTAAAGATGGTCTTTCATTAAATTAAAAAATATTTACTGGGCCGGGCGTGGTGGCTCACGACTGAAATCCCAGCACTTTGGGAGGCTGAGGCGGGCGGATCACCTGAGGTCGGGAGTTCGAGACCAGCCTGACCAACATGGAGAAACCCCGTCTCTACTAAAAATACAAAATTGCCGGGTGTGGTGGCGCATGCTTGTAATCCCAGCTACTCAGGAGGCTGAGGCAGGAGAATCATTTGAACCCAGGAGGAGGTTGCAGTGAGCCGAGATCTTGCCATTGCACCCCAGCCTGGGCAACATGAGTGAAACTCCATCTCAAAAAAAAAAAAAAAAAAAAAAAAAAAAAAAAAAAAAAATTACTGAATGCAATCACGTGCCAGATTCTCTGTTTAGCACTAAAAATATGTGGGTGGACCAGGTGGATGTAGTCCCTGCACCTTCGGAGCACAAACCTTGCTAATGAACGTTTCACATCAGGCCAACCTTTTTTTTTTTTTTTTTTTGACATGGAGTCTTGCTCTGTCGCCCAGGCTGGAGTGCAGTAGTGTGATCACGGCTCACTGCAACCTCCACCTCCCGGGTTCAAGCGATTCTTCTGTGTCAGCCTCCTGAGTAGCTGTGACTACAGGCATGCACCACCACACCTGGCTAATTTTTGTATTTTTAGTAGAGAGAGGGTTTCACCATGTTGGCCAGGCTGTTCTCGAACTTCTGAGCTCAAGTGATCTGCCCGCCTCGGCCTCCGAAAGTACTGGGATTACAGGTGTGAGCCACCGCGCCCCACCCATTTGTTAACAGTGTTTTGATGCCCCTCCTCTTTTAAAGTTGAAAAGCTGAAGGAAACAGAAATTCTTATAAAATGGAAAACTTTAATTGTTTAAAGAAAAGGCACAAGTAAACATTTCAGGTTATCATACAATGTTACAATAAAAAATTCCAATAGCAAAATGAAACACATTATAACTTTGCTTCTTGGTAGTATACTGAATGTATTATTCTATCATCTCCTCTTTGGAGTAAAAAGAAGGGATAGGCAGATCAATGGATGTGATGTAAAAACTTGGATCATAAATAGCATCCACTATACCTTTAACCAGAAATTAAACTTCAGTAGAATTAAAATTAATTTTTAAAACTTAGTTTTGTTAATAATAGAGCAGCAGTAACTTTCAAGCTAAAACTCATTGTTTTGGTAAGTAAATAACTGATTTCATGAAATGTTCGCTGTCAATGTCTGGTATGTTAATATACATTAATCAAGCTGGTCATGAAACAGTTTTACCAAAATATAATTCATATACTTATTTTACTTTAAACCTGAATATTACAGTACATTATATAAAAGATAAATGAGAATAAGGAACTAAATTATTTCTTACGATGTCAGAAATAATATACTTAAAAAGGTGTAGACCTTATTTTCAATCAAAGGCACTATCTGGAGAGTTAACAAGCTGCATCATGTTCAGAATTGAGAAAAAGTTTTTCTCCTTCCCAAATAACTGGCTGATTAGTAGAAACCTGTCATCTCAGCAAACACTGAATACCTAGTATCTAGCCAAAAAACAAACAAACAAACAAACAAACAAAAAAGACGGTGGGGGCAGAAATTGTGTAAAATTACATCTTTGACTTCTTTTCCCAGGATTTTTTTTTTTTTTAAAGAGACAGGGTCTTGCCATGTTGCCCAGGTTGGAGTGCAGTGGTTATTCTTTCACAGGTGTGATCATTACACACTACAGCCCCAAACTCCTGTACTCTAGTGATCCTCCTGCCTCAGCCTCTTGAGTAGGTGGGACTATAGGAGTGTGCCAATTTCTAAAAAGGCTGTTGAAGTGTTTTCTTGATCTAAAAGTGTCTGTTTCATTAACTCAATGCAATTTCCATTTTATTCACATCACTTGTATCCTCTACTCTCAGCTTGTCAACCCAGGATGGCAATGACACCAGGAAGGTAACTGTCCCAAGGGAGCAAGCTTTCTTATTATGAGTCATTTCATTCACTTTTCTCCCCTGAATATACTCAACTCTAAGTGTTTAACTTAATAACATTCAAATATCACAAAATGTCAGTAATTAAATAAAATTCATCGAGAACATTGTTCAATGCTTCAAAGTCTTGAACAACATACTTACATTAATTTGAATGAAAAGGAGTCAAACCAAGGCATAATATCCTATTGCATCCTAAAGGCCTGGGAGATTTTAAACTCTTCTAAGGTGTATTTGAATCAGATCTTCAAAGAAAAGAGTGTTATTTCTAGTTTTTTGTTGTCCAAATTACAAGAGTTTCAACGGATTAAGGTTTCCTTACCATGATTCTTTTAACACCTAATTCCTAATCAGAAATGGTACTTAAGAATATCAACGTTTAGAATTCAAACATGATTCTAGAAAATTTCTTATCTTAAAGTCAAACTATAACCTTTACTCAATAAAGCATACTCTTAAAGGTCTGTGATGCATGCTTTAAAGAACAGTGATGGGATTCTGGAGTTCTTTCCTTTCTTTCTCCTTCTCCAAAGATACAGATATCTTTCTACAGTTTTCTATGGAATAAGAGACTTCATCATATAAAATGGCTGGCATGTTTTCCCTTTTGAATAGTTCTGATTATAATATCCACCATGAAATTTTACGTTTCCAAATCATAAGCTTAATAGCAAAAGCAAACAATTTGACCTACCACTGAGCTAAATTGAAGAAGAAAAACCTGCATTTTAGAGTATCTGTTATCAAGGGTTAGCAAACTTTTTCTGTAAAGGATCAGATAAATATTTTAGGCTACCTGGGCCATATGGTCTCCCTTGCAATGACTCAACTCTGCTACTGTAGCACAAAGCGGCCATACACAATATTTAAAAGGGTGAGCATGGGTGTGCCCCAATAAAACTTTACTTATGGACACTGCAATTTGAATTTCATATAATTTTCATGTGACACAAAATATCAGTCTTTGGAATTTTTTTCCCAACTATTTAAAAAAGTAAAAACTGGCAGCTGACTGCAATAGCTTGTAGGCTGCACTTTGCTGACCCCTGGTCCAGATCATTCAGATTTCTTGATGTGAGGGTCAAAGCAATAATGTGGCCATGCATCATCTCACTTCACTTGGACATTGATAGCTTTCTGGGCTGATAGTATAGAACTCCGAACAAAAATCCCCAAAGCACAAGACAATCCTACGAGTAAGTAGTATCTACACTCACAGACTGTGTAGAGCTTGTAAGTGTTGATACTCATCTATCTATCTGTATATATATTCAGGAAACATTTAAATCAAATTCATTTAAATTATGTTGTCAAAAAAGCAGGGAATTGCCAGGTGTGGTGGCTTACGTCTAGTAATCCCAGCACTTTGGGAGGTCAAAGTGGGTGGATCACCTGAGGTCAGAAGTTTGAGATCAGCCTGGCCAACATAGCGAAACCCCATCTCTACTAAAAATACAAAAATTAGCCAGTTGTGGTGGCGTGCACCTGTAGTCCCAGCTACTTGGGAGCTGAGGCAGGAGAATCGCTTGAACCCGGGAGGTGGAGGTTGCAGTGAGCCAAGATCGTACCACTGCACTCCAGCCTGAGTGCAGTGAGACTTCATCTCAAAAAACAAAAATAAAAACAAAACAAAACAGAGAATTGAGAAATTCTTCAGCTGAACCCTTTCAAAAGCTTTGGTGTTAGGGAGATCTAGGTTAAAATCTTGGCTCTTGCTGGGAGCAGTAGCTCGCACCTGTAATCCCCACACTTTGGGAGGCTGAGGCAGGAGGACCACTTGAGGCCAGGAGTTCAAGACCAGCCTGGACAACACAGTGAGACACCTGTCTCTATATTAAAAAAAATCTTGGCTCTGCTACTTACTAGCTTGTAACCACAGATAAGTTATTTAACCACCAGAATTTAGCCTGGTGTTAAGGACAGACACGCAGGGGTATGTTTTCAATTTCATTTCTCAGGCAAGCAAATAGCTACAAAAACCTTGCTGGAAAGCCTAGTCCACAACGTACCTGAAGGCTTAACTCCTAGTTTTTGACAGAAAACTACTTTTATCTCTTCTACTCTATTTCATATTTTTTTTTTTGCCGCATGCAACATACTGTGCAAAACTGTGCCTCCATACATACTGAATTCTACTTTTCTCTTCCAAGGCTTTTTCCATAGGTTAACAAAATGTTTTTTTTTTCATAGGCTAACAAAAATGAGAGTAGAAAGTACCCAGTCAACATATTCATGTCGTCTTTCCATAGTGCAAGTATAATTTGGGTGTTTTCTCTAACTTATCAGTGACAGGCATCCTGTTTTCTAGGAAATAATATCTAAATGATATAGGAAAAACTGGTAGGAAAGGATTCTTATGGCTTTATCTATAGAACAAAAACTAGAGATTCTGAAGATCATGTTAATAGATTATTTGTAGATATAATTGCTATGTTTCTTGGACCTTAGCCCATTGCTTAAATTATATTCAGTAGAATATTAGCACTAACTAATATGTGCTATAACCTCTTCAGTCATGAAAAATTTAGTAGTTACATACACATGAAATAAAAGATTCCACCAACAGTGTTTTTGAACAGGCATCAGTTATGAATCTGCTAGTATTGAATGCTAAGCAAAATACTAAAGCTCTTAAAACATTAGTGTTTTATTTTTAACTTTTAACCTATTATTTACAGAAGTCCTGTTAGATGCTGAAAGCAGTCATTTTGCAACATGTATGTTCTTCATATAAAATGATGTTCAATGTTAGGTGGTACAGATTTATAAATATGTACAAACAAAACAGTATGTCTGTAGTTAACCTACTACTCTAGTAACCAACACATGGAAGCATCATATGCACATAAAAGTTAAACATTAAAACAAAACTTAAAACTCTCAAAACAGATAATCATGAATTTGTGTTTATAAAATTATATAGAATAAAGGCTTTGTGTGTGGGGACTTTCAGTGGCCCACCAATAATTTTCATGAAAAAATAAAAATAGAAAAAAAAAACCTCCCAGACACAAACAGACAAGGTAGGCTGGGTGCAGTGGCTCACACCTGTAATCCCAGCACTTTGGGAGGCTGAGGCGGGTGGATCACTTGAGGTTAGGAGTTCGAGACCAGCCCAGCCAACATGGTGAAACCCCATCTCTACTAAAAATACAAAAAATTAGCCAGGCGTGGTGGTGCGCACATATAGTCCCAGGTACTCGGGAGGCTGAGGCAGGAAAATTGCTTGAACCTGGGAGGCGGAGGTTGCAGTGAGCTAAGATCACACCACAGCACTCCAGCCTGGGTGACAGACTGAATCTCTGTCTTAAAAAAAAAAACAACAATAAAAAAAAAAACACAAGGTAAATCAGATGTATGTCTTGGTCAAATGTCTGTAGACAGCCACCTTGAGAACAAATTGATAAACATAAATACACAATTTGCTCACTGAGCATAAAATATTGCACAAGAGCAGTTTTGTCTGAAGAAAATTCAATTTTCCATAGTTTTGAACTTCAGAATGGTTCCCACATATAGATATAGTTGCATTTTCTAAACAAGAAACATTAATATTCAGTAATACTGTTAGAACCTTGTTTTACACATTAACCATATACCAGTCTACTTTATGGCAATGGTAAATCAGTGGTAAAGATTTGGCAAAGATAAAAAGGCAGATAAGACTGTAAAATATATATATATATATATATATATATATATATATATATATATATATATATATATATGTACATATGAAACAAATTATTTCCAAAAAGCCCTAATCATATGATAACTGATCCCTTAAATAAATCCATAGTCTAGGTCACAGTGATGGTCAGACAGTGGTTGAATACGACTCTCTTCTTCTCGGGGGCCGCTCCTTTTGAACCACTTGGTTGCTCTCTCTGGTCTCCAGCACACTGTCTTCTGTTTCGCTCTCACTACCATCTGCCACTGCGGGGTCCAAAGACATCGAACCAGATTTTCCGTGCAAAGGAAAACCAACACCAGTTTCCTGTAAGGAATTATCTATAAAATCTTCATCGGAGGAATGGAATGATTCATCATCTCCTATTAAATGGTTGACAATGTGGATTCCATCAAAAGGAGGTTGGCCTGAGAAGCCCCTCTGGCCTTTTAGGCACCTGAGCTGTTAAAACAAAATCCAAGTTAATACAGTCAAATGGGGGAAACACACACACGCCAAAAAGCAAACATTCCATGTTTAAGGAAGAAGATGCCTTATTATTTTTCTATTTACAGGTATAATCATAGTTACTAATTTTTGAGTGCCTTCTATGTGTTATATATAATGGGCTCATAATTATTTTTATTTTATTTTTTTTGAGACAGGTCTCAGTCTCACTTTGTCACCCAGGCTGGAGTGCAGTGGTGCGATCTCGGCTCACTGCAACCTCCGCCTCCCAGGCTTAAGCGATTCTCCCACCTCAGCCTCCTGAGTAGCTGGGACTACAGGCGTGTGTCACCATGCCTGGCTAATTTTTTTGTATTTTTTGTAGACACGGGGTTTCACCATGTTGCCCAGGCTGGTCTCAAACTCCTGGGCTCAAGCAATCTGCCTGCCTCAGTCTCCCAAAGTGTTGGGATTACAGGTGTGAGCCACCACACCTGGCCTGTAACTTACTTTAATTGAATAATAACAACCGTCCTATGTGATAGATTTTAGTATTTACTTTTCTCATTCTACAGATTAGGAAATGGAGACTCAGGAAGAGTAACTTGCTAAGGACATATATAGCTAGTAGCAAAGTTTAGATTCAAACTAAATCTTCATTATACTAGAGATAATATAATGGACTCCATGTACCCATCACCTAATTTCAACAAGTAACACCCATCATGGACAATCTTTTTACATTACACACCTCTTGTTCCTGGATAATTTTGAGGTAAACCCCAGACATCCTATCAGTTTATCTGTAAATATTTTGCTGGTATTTCTAGAAGGTATGAACTTAAAAACCATACTATCACACACACTATCTTGAGAGAATGTCTCCATAGTTCTGTAAATGATGAAAATGATTTATAAATCATTAAAACTTTGCTAAGAGTCTCCATCCTGTTATAATAGCCCAAAGGCCAGCATATCACCGTCACTTACTGTGGGAGAGGAATGCTGCTTCCCACTCATGAGGTTTCCTTCTGCATGGGGGGAGTGCCAGTCCGGTATAACATTTCTGCCTTCTCTCCCCAACTCCCCCTGGGGAGAAGGTGAGGCTTCTCTTAGTGGGGAGGAGGAGAGAGGAATGGTATGCCTCACTCATCTCTTTTCCCTTTCTTCCCATCTTTTAGAATGAGGCTCTAGTCCTCAATCCCTGGAGTTTTATAGTACAAGACCCTCACATAAGGAGGCTTAAGGAGGTCAAAAGCTACCTGTTACTGGGTGGGCAAGTCTGACTAATTCTAGAGTTTAGTATTGAAAAAATTGTGCCACATTTAAATCTAAACCACATTTTCCAAAACCAGTTTTATCAGAATTAAAACTGATTTATTTTCATCATCTGCCACTTCTTTGCTCAAGTTTCCTCAAACTCCCAAATCCACAACCATGACAGTACCAGTTCTACTCACATACAATTAAGTCATCAGCTCTGCCCTCAAGAGTTTATGTTTTAAAGTTTGATTTTGACATTCTGTCACTTATTTCATTTCTCTCATGCACCATGAATTTTCTCCTACAATAAAGTGGAAGAGTAAAAAACCAAAACCAAAAACAAGAATTAGCTACCAAATATCTACTCTGACTATTAAGAATCTTGCTAAAATATGCTCCACGTCTCCTACCCTCATCCTTGTTTCTCAGGGACAAACTCCTAGTCACAATCTTTCAATTCTTTAGATAAAGGCAATGTGAAATATTCAGGAAATATTACATACACTTTCAAAACTAACGGTCCTGAGAATAAAGACATTACAGCCTCACCATAATACCTCCCAGCTTTCCTGAAAGACTTCCAGGAAGAAGTGAAGAAACCTCAGCACTTCCCTGCTTGTATATGACAACAAGAATCAGCAGGGATGCAGGGACTCAGAACAATGATGTCTGGCCCAAGCAGACCTTCAACTATATTCCTGTGCCCTAGACCAAGTGGACAAATTTATAGTGAGGTACAACGTAATTTAAATAATACCATTCTCCTTGGCAGAACAGAGGGATCTATACTTGGAGTTGAATCTTTAGGAAAAGGGCATATAGCACCACAAAGGCCTCCTCAAGGTTATGATACCCACTGCATTGTTACAACTGCCACGTTCTGATGCAACATCCTATCGCAATATTGCAACACACAATTTATAGCTCCAAGTGTTAAATTAAGTCAGTTAATCTCTTCCTTTCTCTTTTTCCCCCAGACCTTTTTGAAGAAATCATATGGAACATGTGTCTTCCTTCTTCCTGGCTGTTATAAAGGAGGAGTATGGCAGAAGAACCACAACTTCCCAACTGTTTGGAAAGCTGCAGCTTTCCTTTGCTCTAACAAAATTTATTGCAATTAAAACACTGCAGCCTCATCATCAGATGTAATTATAGAAAATTAACTATAGGTTGAAGGGTCATTTCCTCAACATCAAAGGAATCTCATTGAGAGCTGTTAATATGGAATAGCAAACGTAAAGGAATTTATTGGTGGAGAGAAAAAATGGTGAAGGTAAGCGACTATGTGGTAAAACTGAAGCTATCCCTTGGTTATCTGTCCCTTAGACTTAGGTGTGTGCACACTGGATCTGATGAGGGAGGAGTCCTGTACTAGGTCTGGAAGTGGGCATTTGGGGAAGGAATTCCAGGGTACTGACTACCCAGAATATGTTCTAGAAGGGGCTGCATGAACTTCAGGTAGACATGTCTTCTGGGAGTCCTCATCCTGTGGAAAGGGGTTTGGCTAGAAGAAAGCCACAGCTGGGCCCTCTAAAGTGCAGTCCTGGCTATCTGATCTAAATGATATACTGCTTATCCTTATTACCAGACTTTCAGGGGCAAACTATATTTAAGCAACAACAAAAAGCAGGCAGACAATCAACCTTTCCAACTCTCCCTTTCCTCCAAAAAAAAAAAAAGAAAAAAATCCTTATGGGTATTATCAGTAGCAAACTGAGATTAGCATATTTCAAAACGT
Source organism: Homo sapiens (assembly GCF_000001405.40). Taxonomy (NCBI): domain Eukaryota; kingdom Metazoa; phylum Chordata; class Mammalia; order Primates; family Hominidae; genus Homo; species Homo sapiens. The sequence goes on from NC_000001.11 coordinate 92,516,957, forward strand.
AATCCACTAGTCATCTGCATAAGAACTGAGGATCTCTGTCAAAAATGTAGAATCCCTCTTGAGATCCAAGGATTTTGAATCCTTTTGAAAAGTGAAATCCCAGAATATACATTTTTTACACGCATTCAGGAAATTTTGAAATATGGTCGGATCTCTGTATCAGTGCGACCCACATTCATGGATTCAAACAATTGTGGGTCCAAAATAATTAGGAGAAAAAAGGATGGTTTCCTCTATACTGAACATGTACCGACTCTTTTCTTGTCATCATCACCTAAACAATACAGTATAACAACTATTTACATTGGATTAGGTGCTAAAAGTAATCTAGAGATGACTCAAAGTATATGGGAGGATGTCTGTAGGTTATATGCAAACACTACATCATTTTATATACAGAACTTGAGCATCCATGGATTTTGGTATCCATAGGGATCCGAAACCAATCCCCCATAGATACCAAGGGATGACAGTGCTCTAAACTCTCAGAATCACCGTGGTAGACCCTCTGGTTCAAATAAAATGGGGCTGAGACAGAAAAAAGTTGATTTAGCTGAAATGGAACTCTTAATTATTTAGGACAAAAGTGCTTCTGAACTATGAACATCTGACTAGTGTCTGGTATGTAGAAATGGATGCGATCTTTCCAGTAGTACAACCAAGCTGTTCCGGGCCAATTCTACCACCTGATGGTTGACACAAGGAAAACTGTTTAAATGAACGTTTTCTGCAACTTTCTTCTTGTGGTATAGAGGTAGGGGCTAAAGACCTGAATAACTCTGATGCACATCTCAGAATAGGGACCACTACTCTAGGCAATGGCTTTTGTTTGTATTTTGGTTTTGTTTGAAATCTCTTTGGGCTTATTAGGGAATCAGGAATCTGATAAAAACTATCCACTTGAAAATTACACATACAATATTATATGCTTTTTTTTTTTTTTTTTTTTTTGGTCGGGGGAGACACGGTCTGGCACTGTTGCCCAGGCTGGAGTGCAGTGGTGCAAACTCAGTTCATTGCAACCTCTGCCTCCTGGGCTTGAGCAATCCTCCTGCTTCAGCCTCCCAAGTAGCTGGGACTACAGGTGCATGGCACCACACCTGGAAAACTTTTGTATTTTTTGTAGAGACGGGGTTTCGCCATTGTTGCCCAGCTGGTCTTGAACTCCTGAGCTCAAGCCATCTGCCTGCCTTGGCCTCCCAAAGTGCTGGGATTACAGGTGTGAACCATCATGACTGGCAAAGCATATGCTTTTGAGGCCCATTGTCTTTCCTAATTTTTGAATACATACTACATGAGTATCTTCAAACACTGAGCAACAACAAAAATTTTTTGTGAAATGCCAGTAAAAACAAAAAGTATTATATTTCCAGGTAAAATGAGACACGGGTTTTTTAAAGTCACTGAATGTGCATGGAAGTATTTTTGAGACTCACTAAGGAAATAGAGGCACCAGCACTCTCTGTAATTTTTAGTAAAAGACTCCTATCTGAGGGAATCTGGGATTCCCCCCAAAAGGATCTCAGTTTGATCACCCTACAATGAAGGTCAACAAGTCCTACCCAAGAATTCAAAACACCTGTCAGTCTTTAGTTCCCTAGTCTTGAAGTTTGAGCAGAGTCACATATTACCAGAGAATTCGAGGATAGTATCTCCGAGAAGCCGGGAAAAAACTCAGTTAAGAGAGAAGGGATGCTTTAAAAAAAAAAAAAGAGGTCTTAGACGTAAATTTCTCTTACCTGAAAGTCATGAGCTTCGAGACTGAAAAGGCCTAGCAAGTGTCCAGGACAGTGGATCAAAGTGGACCTATACCATGATACATCTCAGTGAAGTTTCAGGACACTTGAAAGAAAGAAAAGGTAAAGCTTCCTGCCAAAAGCAAAAACATGTTTTGTATAAAAGATTTAAGAATCAGAATGGCATCAGACTCTCCAACTGCAAAAGACAGAGCAGTGCCTTCAAAATTCTGAGAAAAAATAATGTCTACATTAAAATTTTTATAATCATCTTCAATTTTTAAGATACTCACTCAAACTATCAAATAAATGTGAGGCTAAGTAAGAGTTAAGACCTACAAGGCCTTTTTTTGTTTTGTTTTTAAAACGTCTTTTGGATCAATCATGAGATGTAGAATCTAATAAAACCTTTTTATGATTTATCTCCCATAAACCATTTTTTCAGGAAAGTAGATAATATGCTCCACCAAAATAAAGTACATCAAGGAAAAAAGGCATCTTTTGTCTTTGATGGAAGAAAGAGGAAGTCCAGTACAAAAGTATGGCAAAGGGAATCATCCCTAGGGTAATGAAAAATGTCCCCAAGATGACAGCTGTACAAGAGACCTAGAGGCATCCAGCCCAGACTAGAGACTGGAGCAGTCAGAAGAAAGATTTCTTCAAGAAGATGAAATTCATAGAACACCTAAATTGTTTGGATAGAGGAGATTAACACATAAAAGGAGATTTCGTGACACTAGAGGAGAGTTACACATAAAAGAACACACCAAGCAAATGAAAAAACCAAGGCAATCCTTTGGGCAAATGTATACCAGCAAAACACTCACATTAAAACACTATTTCCATACAACTGATGCTATTTGGCAATAAAAAGGAATGAAGTGCTGATATATGGATGAACTTCAAAAATATTAAGTTGGCCGGGTGCAGTGGCTCATGACTGTAATCCTAGCACTTTGGGAGGCTGAGGTGGGTGGATCAGCTGAGGTCGGTACTTCGAGACCAGCCTGGCCAACATGGGGAAACTCCGTCGTCTCTACTAAAAATACAAAAATTAGTTGGGTGTGGTGGTGCACGCCTGTAATCCCAGCTACTTGGGAGGCTGAGGTATGAGAATTGCTTGAACCCCAGAGGCAGAGTTTGCAGTGAGCTGAGATCATGCCACTGCACTCCAGCCTGGGCAACAGAGTAAGACTCTGTCTTTAAAAAAAAAAAAAAAAAAAGAATATGAAAGCTAAGTGAAAGACACAAGAGACAATATATTATATGATTCCATTATATGAAATGTCCAGAACAGGCAAATCTTATAGAGACAGAAAGTAGATTAGTGGCTGCCTAGGACTGGGGGAGAGAAAAGAAAGGGGGTGATCGCAAATAGGCATGCAGTTTCTTTTGGGGTGTTCTAAAAGTTGTGCATATAGTTGCAAAACTATGCAAACATGCAAAACCCATTGAATTTTACACTTAAAATATTATAATATGTAAGTTATATCTTAATAAAGCTTTTTTTTAAAGTAGAGCCAGAAAAACAAGAACATTATTTTCCAACCCCCCTCATAACACCATCTTGGAAACTTGTGAAAAATAAAATTTCCCAGGCCTGTCTTCAGTCTCCATTCCAGAAGAGAGGCCTGAGAAGAGGCATACTTAAGCACCTATAAGCTTGCTGTTCTGTTGTGAGTGACAGTTATATAATTCTAATGATGTAAATGTAAACTAATGATGTAGATCCTGTAAATTAATCTAACAAAAATCATTACATTAGTAGCATGGTGGGATAAAAAGTCTGTGGGTTCATGGTGGGGGTGAGGAGAATGAAAAAGAGATAAATCTTTCCCCGTGTAAAGATGCCAAAACTGAACACTCAAGAATTAGCGGCCAGGCATGGTGGCTCACATCTGTAATCCTAGCACTTTGGGAGGCTAAGGCGGGTGAATCACTTGAGCCTAGGAGTATGAGACTAGCCTGGGCAACAATGTGAGACCCTGTCTCTACAAAAAACACAAAAATTAGCTGGGCGTGGTGGCGTGTACCTGTAGTCCCAACTACTCAGGAAGCTGAGGTGGGAGGATTGCTTGAGCACAGGAGGTCAAGGCTGCAGTGAGCTATGATCCCACCACCACTGCATTCTAGCCTGGGTGATAGAGTGCAACCCTGTCTAAAAAAAAAAAAAAAGAAATTAGTTTGAAAATAGTGGCCTGCAAAAAGCAAGTATGAGATTGCTTCTTCTTCTTTGGCCTGCAAAAAGCACGTATGAGATTGCTGCTTCTTCTTTTTTTTTTTTTTTGAGACAGGGTCTCACTCTGTCACCCAGGCTGGAGTACAGTGGCACGATCTCAGCTCACTGCAGACTCTACCTCCCAGGCTCAGGTGATCCTCCCACCACAGCCTTCCGAGTAGCTGGGACTACAGGCGTGGGCCACCACACCTGGCTAATTTGTGTATTTTCTTTACAGACGGAGTTTCGCTATGTTGCCCAGCCTGGTCTCAAACTCTTGGGCTCATGCAGTCCACCCACCTTTGCCTCTCAAAGTGCTGAGATTACAGGCATTAAGCCACCCTGCCCAGCCAAGACTGCTTCTTTTTGTAAAAGCCTTTTAATTATTCTTTGACTTTTTAATTTATGTGTATGATAAATGTAAACATTAAAAAATTAAAACCTCCAGTTCAAAAGAAGAAATAAAATATATGCTTTATCCAAAATTCAAAGACTAACAGCTGGGTGTTGTGGCTCACGCCTGTAATCCCAGCACTTTGGGAGGCCAAGGCGGATGGATCACTTGAGGTCAGGAGTTTGAGACCAGCCTGGCCAACATGTTGAAACCCTGTCTCTACTAAAAATACAAAAATTAGCCAGGTGTGGTGGTGTGTGCCTGTAATCCCAGCTACTTGGTAGGCTGAGGCAGGAGAATCACTTGAACCCAGAAGGCGGAGGTTGCCAGTGAGCTGAGATTGCGCTACCTCACTCTAGCCTGGGCGACAGAGTGAGACTCCGTCTCAAAAAAAAAAAAAAAATTCAAAGACTGACATTAAATAATAATCAAATAATGTCAAAAAATTATCAATGATTTCATGGACTTCTTTTTTTGAGGGCATTTTAAAAGCTTAACAGCATAAGAAACTACTGGAAATTGTCAAAAAATGGTCTTCCATATAATTTTAGTTTTATTATTTACTACACAAACTATACCTCAACTAAAGGCACCTTAGAAAATAAAGCAATTCTACAACCCACAATCCGGAGATAATCCATTAACATTTTAATATAGCTTTCAAGATAATTTCTCTAACCTTATTGACTTTTCAAAAATGGATTGGTCATTACACATGTTGTTTAATAACCTGCTTTTTCACTTAATAACATATCAAACATTTCTTGTTGTCATAATCTTTTACTGGCTGCACGGTATCTCATTTAGCAACATGTCATCATCTGCTTAACTGATTTTGTTTGGAAATTTAGCTTTCCATCTCCTCACAATAGCACTGCCATGAACTCAGTTTCTGAACTCACAGTTCTTCAGAGCCGTCTTATTCTTTCATTAAGATATATGGCCAGAAATATAAAATACAGCATGAGTTTTAACACTGAACTTTGAACACAGAACTTTGATTTCTATGTTTAAGCTGTCCTCCAGAAAGGTGGCTAAGAATTTATACCTTTGCCAGGCGTGGTGGCTCGTGCCTGTAATCTCAGCACTTTGGGAGGCCAAGGCAGAAGGATCACAAGGTCAGGAGCTTGAGACCAGCCTGGCCAACATGGTGAAACCCCATCTCTACTAAAAATACAAAAATCAGCCGGGTGTGGTGGCAGGCACCTGTAATCCCAGCTACGCGGGAGGCTGAGGCAGAACTGCTTGAACCTGGGAGGCGGGGGTTCACTAGCCGAGATCACGCCACAGCACTCCAGCCTGGGTGACAGAGCAAGACTCCATCTCCAAAAAAAAAAAAAAAAAAAAGAATTTACACCCTCAACAACACTGTAAAGTTCTGGTTTCCCTACAACTTTGCATCACTTTTTTGCTTTTTCATTTTTGTCAGTTAGGTAAGTAAAAAGTTTAAAACATTCATTCATTCATTTATGAGACAGGGTCTCCCACTGTCACCTAGGCTAGAGTGCAAGGACACAATCACAGCTCACCGCATCTTTGAACTCCTGGGCTCAAGTGATCCTCCTGCCTCAGGCTCCTGAGTAGCTAGGAATACAGGAACACTCCACCACACTAACTAGTATTTATTTTATTTCTGTAGAGATGAGGTTTCACTCGGTTGCCCAGGCTGGTCTTTAACTACTAGCCTCAAGCAATTCCCTCACCTCAGCCTTCCAAGGTGGTGGGATTACCGTCATGAGCCACTGAACTTAGCCTGTGACTAACTTTTTTTGTAGAAGCAAGGTCTATGCTCCCTAGGCTGGTCTTGAACTCCTGGCCTCAAGCAATCCTCCTGCCTCAGACTCCCAGAGTGCTGAAATTATAGATGTGAGCCACGGTGCCTGGCCTTTAACTTTTTATTATGGAATATTTTTTTAAAAATACAGTGAATAATTTAGTGAACCCCCATGTTGTCATCACCTAGCTCTAACAATCATTAAAATATGCACTTTGTTTCCATGTTAACATCCCCCCTTCACCCTCACCCTGGCAACCATGGACTATTTAATTGGAAGCAAATGAAAAAGGATTTTTAAATAACAACCTTGGCCTGTTGAAATAGTTATATTTCAACATTTTAAAAAATTTATTAATATATTTTTTAAAAAATATATTACATAATCAAATTCAGTCCTTCAGATTATTTTATCTTCAAATACGGGTATATAAAGTAAGTAAAAACAAGTTTATGTTACAATCTTTGTTTCTTTCTAATGAATGTCTTCTAGTTTCTGTAACATTTAAAAATAATGTATTTTAGGTATTCATTAGATTTGCTATCTTCCAAATAACATCAGCAAAGAGTCACAACTACCAGAGAGACATTCTCACTGGCTATTCAACTCAGCGAGCTGCTCTGGAGTCCTTACTTCTGTGAGAATATTAGAGATGTTAAGAGTACCCTTCTGACTTGCTAATTCTCTACACCAGTAATTTGGTATGTATAATTACTGCTTGGGTGACTGGACATGGTGACTTACGCTTGTAATCCCAGCACTTTGGGAGGCCGAGGCTGGTGGATCACTTGAGGTCAGAAGTTCGAGACCAGCCTGGCCAACATGGTGAAACCCTGACTCTACTAAAAATATAAAAATTAGCTGGGTGTAGTGGTGCATGCCTGTAGTCCCAGCTTAGTCCCAGCTACTTGGGAGGCTGAGGCAGCAGGATTGCTTGAACTTGGGAGGTGGAGGTTGCAGTGAGCCGAGATAGCGCCACTGCACTCCAGCCTGGGTGACAGAGCAAGACTCCATCTAAAAAAAAATAAAAGAAAAAAAAAAAAGAAACTGCCTGGGTTTATTATTTAAAAAAAAAAAAAAAAGATTCTTGAGCCCTACTCTTGAACATATGAATTCAGCAGGACAGGCCCAGGAGTTTGTATTTTAAACAAGTACTCCAGGTGATTCTGAAGACGGTGGTCCATACACTGCTCTAAAGGAACTGGATTTGGGAATTGACTATATTAGACCATGTTAAGAAAATCTGATAAGGGTAAATAAATTTAGATGTAAAGATTCCTTGTTAATTTATCACTTCCATTTTCACACTGTCCACTGTCATATTTTTAAAATACTCTGGCCTAAATGTGGCCACACAACCAACCAGAGCAGGGAAAAATCAAAATGAAAATAAACATGAGGCTAGTAAATATTACCTTTAAGATATGACCTATTCTTTGGGGTTTACAGACACCTTCACCATCTAGTTTCAAGTCTAGGCCCATTAAGGTGTTTTGTGGGATTCATCACTGAAGCGCACCACCCAATTTTAGACATCTCAACAATCACAGTCTACACTTGAGAGAACATGTGTGTTTGGGTGAAACAGCATCAGAACCTTTTCTTTTCTTCTTCCTACTAAGTGTCAATCTTCAAGTTTTATTCCAAGGATCAGCTTCATATCCAGGTGACAAGCCATATTCTTTAAGGAATAACATGTCTACCCTTAGGAATATAGTCTTAGTTTACAGACACTGATAGATTAACTACTTTTTTTTTTTTTTTTTTAGACAAAGTCTCACTGTGTTCCAGGCTGGAGTGCAGTGGCGTGATCTCAGTTTACTGTAAGCTCTCTGCCTCCCAGACTCAAGCAATTCTCCTGCCTCAGCCTCCTCAGTAGCTGGGATTATAGGTGCCCACCACCACACCCAGCTAATTTTTGTATTTTTGGTAGAGACAGGGTTTCACCATGTAGGCCAGGCTGCTCTCGAACTCCTGATCTCAAGTGATCTGCCCGCCTTGGTCTCCCAAAGTGCTGGGATTACACGCAGGAATCACTGGCGCCCAGCCAGATTAAGTATTTTTTAATACAACTCAACAGCCATAGGAGAGACACATACATCGGGGTGTGCGTGTGTGGTAGGTTGCAAGGGACATTTTGTTATAATAAGATATGAGTCAGTTCAGAATCAGTGCCAATGACAATGCCTTTTTTTTTTTTTTTTTTTTGAGACAGAGTCTCAATCTGTTGCCCAGGCTGGAGTGCAGTGGCACAATCTTGGCTGACTCCAACCTCTGCCTCCTGGGTTCAGGCAATTCTCCTGCTCAGCCTCCCGAGTAGCTGGGATTACAGGCCTACGTCACCATACTTGGCTAATTTTTGTATTTTTAGTAAAGATGGGGTTTTGCCATATTGGCTAGGCTGGCCTTGAACTTCTGGACTCAAGTGATTCACCTGTCTTGGCCTCCCAAAGTGCTGGGATTACAGGGGTGAGCCACTGCACCCGGCCAACAATGCTATTTTGATAAAATCCCACTAATGTATCTTGATGTTTGTTGACTAGGTTAGTAATTTTAGGTTGACTTTTGGAATATTCTTATAATAATTTGTTTGAAATTTGTGGAATAAAAATGATTAGGTACCACTGCCAACATTTTAAAAAACATTCTTCATGATTAGCTCATCGGACGCTGGTACTATTATTATACCATCAGTTTACTGCTTCTTTCGGACCCAGGCTCTCATTAGAACAGTAGGAAAGTTTTGCTGTAATTATGTTCCCATTTTATTTATTTTTACTTTTTTCTTAGACCAGATATCCATACCAACCCAGTTTTAGATAGGTCTCAGAAGATTATCTCTATGGAAACCCAGGAGCTTTAATATAAACGTATACACACACAAACATACAAATGAAATATATGTTTCTTAAGGGCAGGCCCTTTCCAAGACTTTGAGTAGGGTTCTGGCTTCTAGAACAATGGAATCTGTACCTATTATTGTTTTTGTTTTTTTTTGAGATGGGGTCTCCCTGTGTCATCCAGGTTGGAGTGCAGTGGCACTATCACAGCTCACTGCAGCCTCCACCTCCCTGGCTCAAGTGAGCCTTCTGCCTCAGCCTTCTGAGCAGCTGAGATCACAGACATGTGCCACCACGCCCAGCTAATTTTTAAATTATTTGTAGAGATGAGGTCTTGATATGTTGCCCAGGCTGGTCTTGAACTCCTGGGCTCAGGTGATCCTTCCACCTCAGCCTCCCAAAGTGTAGGGATTACAGGCATAAGCCGCCGTGCCCAGCCACCAATTATTCTTTCTAGCTAGAAATTATCACATGGTGTCACATCTGAAAAGCCTAATTAGATACAGAAAGCATGTGCTTAAAATATGGAGGCAAGAGAGCATGGTAGGTCTGAAGAGCTGTTAAGCAGTTTAATGAAGAGCTGTTAAGCAGTTTAATATTAGTGTATGAGGGTGTTTGGGTTAGGGGGAGTGACATGGAGGAACCTTAAATGCATATTGCAAAGCAAAAGAAGCTTATCTGAAAAAGGCCAGATAGTGTATGATTATGACTACATGACATTCTGGAAAAGGAAAAATTATGGAGACAGTAAGCAGTGGTTGCAGGAGTTCAGGAAGGAGAAGAGGGATGAACAGGTGGAACACAGGGGATTGTTAGGCAGTGCAACCATTTTGTATTCTACTGTAATGGTGGATACATGTCATTATACACTTGTCAAAACATATAGAATGTACAACACAAAGAATGAACCCTAATGTAAACTATGGACTTCAGTTAATAATAATGTGTCAATGTTGGCTCATCAATTGTAACTTATGTATTAAGCTACTGCAGGATGTCAATTACAGGAGAAAGGCAGAAGGTGTTGAAGGGGCATACGGTAACTCTCTTAATTTTCCACTTAATTTTTAATTATTCTGTAACTCTGACTGTCCCCCAAGATGAAGTCTACTGATTAAGATGTTCAGTGTTTTTTTCCTATGGCCATAACGCTCTAATAGCAAAACCGCTTGAGAAAAGTTTGAGGCTATGTGTGTTTCAAGAATGTATTTAGGGCCAGGTGCGGTGGCTCATGCTTGTAATCCCAGCAGTTTGGGAGGTGGAGGCAGGTGGATCACTTGAAGTCAGGAGTTCAAGACCAGCCTGGCCAAAGTGGTGAAATGCTGTCTTTACTAAAAACACAAAAATCAGCCAGGCAAGGTGGCACACGCCTGTACTCCTAGCTACTTGGTAGGCTGAGGTAGGAGACTCGGTTGAACCTGGGAGGTGGAGGTTGCAATGTGCTGAGATGGTGCCACTGCACTCCAGCCTGGGTGAAAGAGTGAGACACTGTCTCAAAAAAAAAAAAAAAAAAAGAAAAAAAGAAATAAAAGAAAAGAAAAAAAAAGTATGTATTTAGGCTCATTTTTAAGTGAAATATAACACAGCAAAATGTACAGATTTTATGTGTACAAGTTGGTAAAATTTTACTTACATACATAGTCATGAAATTATCACCCAGATTGAGCCATAGTGCATTTCCCACTCCCCAGAAGACTTCCATGTGTCTTCCTCCAGAAACTGCCCTACACTCGTCCAAAGGTAACCACCATTCTGATATCTACCATCACACAATAGTTTTGTCTATTCTTGTATTTAATATAAAGGATTATATGGTATGCATTTGTTTCTGTATCCTGTTACTCAGCATTGTCTGTGAGATTCACCAATGTTGGCATATAGCATGGTAGCTTATGCTTTTCCGGTGTGGCATAGTATTGCATTTGTGATTACATCATAATTTATCCTTTCTAATGTTAATGGCCATTTGGGTTGTCTCCAATCTATTATATATAATGCTGCTATGAGCATTCTTAAACATGTCTTTTGGTCAGTATATGTACTCATTTCTCTAGAGTGTAACTTCTGCGTAATAAAGAAGATTTAGTAAATACTGCCAAACCATTTTCCACAGAGTTTGTAATAGGCTCCTTACTTTTTGCAAGAGAACTTTTACCTTACCTTCTGCCTAGTTAACTGTCAAAGCCAATTAATGGTCCCTTAACTGACCACACTGAATAACTTAATTCTGTGTTCTTAATAGAAAATACAACACTGAATTTTCAGCTATCCAATCACGTTAGTGAAGATACGGAATAGGAAGTCTTGCACATTGCTGGTGGGAGTGTAAACTGGTATAAGCACTTTGGAAAATGGCTTCGCAGTATCGACTAAAGTTGAATGTCTACACACTTTATACCTAGAATAACTATACACTTCAGTGTGCTTGGGACAGTCCTGGCTTATGCCTGTTGTTACACAGTAATTTTTAATTATTTTCATTCTCAAAAGTGTCCTGGCTTGAACAATTATAGTAGTCACCCAGCAATTCCATTCCTAGGCATATGAAAAATAGAAGTAAATACATTACACCAAAAATTTTATAACAGGGCTCATAACAGTTTTATTCATAATAACCCCAAATGGAAATAACTCAAATGTTTACAATAGTCAAATGCACAAACTACAATATATTCATATGAGATACTACTATACAGTAGCAAAAATGAACAGACTACTGCTGCATGGAACTACGTGGGTAAATCTCAGCATTGAGTGAAAGATCCAAAACCCCAAATAACTCATTCTATATGATTTCATTAGTAAAATGTTAAAAACCAGGGATCTCGTTTGTCATGTTAGAAGTCAGGAAAATGAGGAGATGAGAGAGAGAGTGTGGGAGGAGTAACGAGGGCCTTCTGAAATTCTGGTAATGTTCCAGTTCTTCACCTGAGTTGAAATTAAATGGGCATGCTCATTTTTGTGATAATTCATCAAGCTAGATACTTATGGTGTGTATTTTTCTGTACATATCTCATACTTCAATAAAAATGTATCCTAAATAAAAGTCTAAGAAATAATATCTATAAAAGATTGTTGGAAAGACATGCAACTGCCATTCATTCTTCCACTAGCATACCTCTTGATCTAACCAGATGACCAGTAAGTTATGTATTTAGATCCCACTGTTTTTGCCCATTACAAAATTGCTCTTTATATGTTAGACCATTAGCCTAACACTTTCCTGTTTAGTACATTTTCTTATCCTCTTCATATAGACCCATAAGAGAAACTTCTTTCAAAGTTTAGAAATAGGAAAAGAATAACTGGTTTGGCTTTGTCTTACTAGACACACTCTTCAACATATTATGCTCCTTACTTTGCTTTGGCTACCAAATATGTGACCTACTTTGATACTGTATGCATTTCTGTTTGCTAACATGAACTCTCATCTTACCAGATTTCACCTTAGCAGTGATTCTTTTAACTGTCAGACTGAAGCATACATTGCCACTTTTTAAGTGAATGTCAAGTATCAGTAATTTATTTTGGTTTAACCTAATGTTTGATTATTTTTGTGTCATATGTATTCATGCAAACTGCCTAAAAATCTATGGGGAACAAGGTAGGGTATAAATATAAAAATAAATATTTGTCACTGTGCATAATCAGTCTCAGTTTCAATTATTTGTTTGGTTGTATTCTAAGAATAAGGTGATTAATAAAACAATCAAATATGGCTCCACATTTATTGGTAGCTTGACCATTTAGACAATAATAGAAAGACTAGCCAGAACCAAATCCCTAATCCAATAACAAAATAAAAACAAACAAGAAACCTGCTTCTTTCATTTTAAAAGTCTTTTTTTGTTTTCTAGTATTATGCTGATATTGTTAAACTATTAGCATTTTTATAAGCCATTTTAAAATAATGTTTATAGTATTTAAAATAAATCAATGGGCATATTTTCATAAATACTTTCATAAAAATTATGCTTACTGTATTTTCATAAATACTTTCATAAATATTGTACTTATTAACACATGATTGAATATATGTAGATAAATTTTTTCTAAATCATATGATTTGACATTAGAGCTAAATATTTAAAATAAGCACTGTTTAGAAAAATATGGAATAATTGGTAGGTGTGGATGTATTCTCTCTCTTCTGTTAGACCCTTGATGGTAGGGATTATTTCTTAATCATATTTATATCCTAGAACTTAGTACTCTGACTTGACAAGAGCAGGCACATGAACTATACTGAACAGACGGTAGGATTCTTGAAAAAGCCCTAGTGGTAGCAAGGCCACTGAGGCCAGACTGCCTCTCCAGATTCCCTCCTCTCTGGGCAGGGCATCTCTGAAAAAAACGCAGCAGCCCCAGTCAGGACTTATAGATACAACCCTCACCTCCCTGGGACGAAGCACCTGGGGGAAGGGGCGGTTGGGGGCACAGCCTCAGCAGACTTATACATCCCTGCCTGGCAGCTCTGAAGAGAGCAGCGGATCTCCCAACACAGCGTTCGAGCTCTGATAAGGGACAGACTGCCTCCTCAAGTGGGTTCCTGACCCCTGTGTGTCCTGAATGGGAGACACCTCCCAGTAGGGGCCAACAGACACCTCATACAAGAGAGCTCTGGCTAGCATCTGGCAGGTGCCCCTCTGGGACAAAGCTTTCAGAGGAAGAAACAGGCAGCAATCTTTGCTGTTCTGCAGCATCCACTGGTGATACCCAGGCAAACAGGGTCCAGAGTGGACCTCCAACAAACTCCAGCAGACCTGCAGCAGAGAGGCCTGTCAGAAGGAAAACTAACAAGCAGAAAGGCATAGTATCAACATCAACAAAAAGGACATCCACTCAGAGACCCCAGCCAAAGGTCACCAACTTCAAAGACCAAAGGTAGATAAATCCACGAAGATGGGGAGAAACCAGTGTAAAAAGACTGAAAATTCCAAAAACCAGAACATCTCTTTTCCTCCAAAGGATCACAACTCCTTGCCAGCAAGGGAACAAAACTGGATGGAGACTGAGTCTGACGAATTGACAGAAGTAGGCTTCAGAAAGTGGGTAATAACAAACTCCTCTGCACTAAAGGAGCATGTTCTAACCCAATGCAATGAAGCTAAGAACCTTGAAAAAAGGTCAGATGAATTGCGAACTAGAATAACCAGTTTAGAGAAGAACATAAATTACCTCATGGAGCTGAAAAACACAGCATGAGAATTTCATGAAGCATACACAAGTATCAATAGCCAAACAGATCAAGCAGAAGAAAGGATATCAGAGATTGAAGATCAACTCAATGAAATAAAGCAAGAAGACAAGATTAGAGAAAAGAGAGTGAAAAGAAACAAACAAAGCCTCCAAGAAATATGGGACTATGTAAAGAGACCAAATCTACGTTTGACTGGTGTACCTGAAAGTGATGGGGAGAATGGAACCAAGCTGGAAAACACTCTTCAGGGTATTATCCAGGAGAGCTTCCCCAACCTAGCAAGGTAGGCCAACATTCAAATTCAGGAAATACAGAGAACACCATAAAGATACTCCTCAAGAAGATCAACCTCAAGACACATAATCATCAGATTCACCAAGGTTGAAATGAAGGAAAAAATATTAAGGGCAGCCAGAAAGAAAGGGTGGGTTACCCACAAAGGGAAGTCCATCAGACTAACAACGGATCTCTCAGCAGAAATCCTACAAACCAGAAGAGATTGGGGGCCAATATTCAACATTCTTAAAGAAAAGAATTTTCAACCCAGAATTTCACATCCAGACAAACTAAGCTTCACAAGCGAAGGAAAAATAAAATCTTTTACAGACAAGCAAATGGTGAGACATTTTGTCACCACCAGGCCTGCCTTACAAGAGCTCCTGAAGGAAGCACTAAACATGGAAAGGATCAGCCAGTACCAGCCACTGCAAAAACATACCAAATTGTAAAGACCATTGACACTATGAAGAAACTGCAACAACTAACGGGCAAAATAACCAGCTAGCATCATAATGGCAGGATCAAATTCACACATAACAATATTAACCTTAAACATAAATGGGCTAAATGCCCCAATTAAAAGACACAGACTGGCGAACTGGAGAGAGGCAAGACCCATCAGTGTGCTGTATTCAGGAGACTCATCTCATGTGCAAAGACACACATAGGCTCAAAATAAACGGATGGAGGAGTATTTACCAAGCAAATGGAAAGCAAAAAAAAGCAGGGGTTGCAATCCTAGTCTCTGATAAAACAGACTTTAAACTAACAAAGATCAAGAGACAAAGAAAGGCATTACATAATGGTAAAGGGATCAATTCAACAGGATAAGCTAACTATCCTAAATATATATGCATCCAATACAAGAGCGCCCAGATTCATAAAGCAAGTCCTTAGAGACCTACAAAGAGACTTAGACTCCTACACAATAATAGTGGGGGAATTTAACACCCCACTGTCAATATTAGACAGATCAATAAGACAGAAAATGAACAAGGATATCCAGGGCTTAAAATCAGCTCTGGCCCAAGCAGACCTAGTAGACATCTACAGAACTCTCCACTCCAAATCAACAGAATATATGTTCTTCTCGGCACCGCATCACACTTATTCTAAAATTGACCACATAGTTGGAAGTAAAACACTCCTCAGCAAATGCAAAAGAACGGAAATCATAACAAACAGTCTCTCAGACCACAGTGCAATCAAATTAGAACTCAGGATTCAGAAACTTACTCAAAACTGCACAACTACATGGAAACTGAACAACCTGCTCCTGAATGACTACTGGGTAAATAACAAAATGAAGGCAGAAATAAAGATGTTCTTTGAATCCAATGAGAACAAAGACACACGTACCAGAATCTCTGGGACACATTTAAAGCAGTGTGTAGAGGGAAATTTATAGCACCTAAATGCCTACAAGAGGAAGCAGGAAAGATCTAAAATTGACACCCTAAAATCACATTGAAAAGAACTAGAGAAGCAGGAGCAAACAAATTCAAAAGCTAGCAGAAGGCAAGAAATAACTAAGATCAGAGCAGAACTGAAGGAGATAGAGACACAAAAAACCCTTCAAAAAAATCAATGAATCTAGGAACTTTTTTTTTTTTTTGGAAAAGATCAACAAAATAGACCACTAGCCAGACTAATACAGAAGAAAAGAAAGAAGAATCAAATAGGTGCAATAAAAAAAATGATAAAGGGGATACCACCACTGATCCCACAGAAATACAAACTATCATCAGAGAATGCCATAAACACCTCTATGCAAATAAACTAGAAAATCCAGAATAAATGGATAAGTTCCTGGACACATACACCCAAGACTAAAGCAGGAAGAAGTTGAATCCCTGAATAGACCAGTAACAAGTTCTGAAATTGAGGCAGCAATTAATAGCTTACCAACCAAAAAAAGTCCAGGACCAGACAGATTCACAGCTGAATTCCACCAGAGGTACAAAGAGGAGATTGTACCATTCCTTCTGAAACTATTCCAAACGATAGAAAAAGAGGGAATCCTCCTTAACTCATGAGGCCAGCATCATCCTGATAACAAAACTTGGCAGAGACACAACAAAAAAACAAAATTTCAGGCCAATATCCCTGATGAACATTGGTGTGAAAATCCTCAATAAAATACTGGCAAACCGAATCCAGCAGCACATCAAAAAGCTTATCCACCACGATCAAGTCAGTTTCATCCCAGGGATGCAAGGCTGGTTAAACATATGCAAATCAATAAACGTAATCCATCACACAAGCAGAACCAATGACAAAAACCACGTTTATCTCAATAGATGCAGAAAAGGCCTTCAACTATATTCAACAGCCTTCATGCTAAAACCTCTCAATAAACTAGGTATTGATGGAACGTATCTCAAAATAATAAGAGCTATTTATGACAAACCCACAGCCAATATCATACTGAGTGGGCAAAAACTGGAAGCATTCCCTTTGAAAACTGGCACAAGACAAGGATGCCCTCTCTCACCACTCCTAGTCAACATAGTGTTGGAAGTTCTGGCCAGGGCAATCAGGTAAAAGAAAGAAATAAAGGGTATTCAATTAGTCAGAGAAGAAGTAAAATTGTCTCTGTTTGCAGATGACATGATTGTATACTTAGAAAACCCCATTGTCTCAGCCCAAAATCTCCCTAAGCTGATAAACAACTTCAATGAAGTCTGAGGATACAAAATCAATGTGCAAAAAATCACAAGGATTCCTATATACCAATAACAGACAAACAGAGAGCCAAATCATGAGTGAACTCCCATTCATAACTACTAGTAAGAGAGAAAAAACCAGGGAATACAACTTACAAGGGATGTGAAGGACCTCTTCAAGGAGAACTACAAACCACTGCTCAAGGAAATAAGAGAGGACACAAACAAATGGAAAAACATTCCATGCTTATGGATAGGAAGAATCAATATTGTGACAATGGCCATACTGCCCAAAGTAATTTCTAGATTCAATGCTATCCCCATCAAGCTACCATTGACTTTCTTCAAATAATTGGAAAAAACTACTTTAAATTTCATATGGAACCAAAAAAGAGCCCGTATAGCCAAGACAATCCTAAGCAAAAAGAACAAAGCTGAAGGTATCACGCTACCTGACTTCAAACTATACTACAAGGCTACAGTAACCAAAACAGCATGGTACTGGTGCCAAAACAGATATATAGACCAATGGAACAGAATAGAGGCCTCAGAAATAACGCCACACATGTACAACCATGTGATCTTTGACAAACCTGACAAAAACCAGAAATGGGAAAAGATTCCCTATTTAATAAATGGAAAACTGGCTAGCCATATCCAGAAAGCTGAAACTGGATCCCTTCCTTACACTTTATACAAAAATTAACTCACGATGGATTAAAGACTTAAACGTAAGACCTGAAACCATAAAAACCCTAGAAGAAAACCTAGGCAATACCATTCAGGACATAGGCATGGGCAAAGACTTCATGATTAAAACACCAAAAGCAATGGCAACAAAAGCCAAAATAGACAAATGGGATCTAACTAAACTAAAGAGCTTCTGCACAGCAAAAGAAACTATCATCAGGGTGAAAAGGCAACATACAGAATGGGAGAAAATTTTTGCAATTTATATTTTGCATCTGACAAAGGGCTAATATCCAGAATCTACAAAGAACTTAAACAAATTTACAAGAAAAAAAAACCCATCAAAAAGTGGACGAAGGATATGAACTTCTCAAAAGAAGAAGTTTATGCACCCAAGACATATGAAAAAAAGCTAATCATCACTGGTCATTTGAGAAATGCAAATCAAAACCACAATGAGATACCATCTCATAGAATGGTGATCATTAAAAAGTCAGGAAACAACAGATGCTGGAGAGGATGTGGAGAAATAGGAACACTTTTACACTGTTGGTGGGAGTGTAAATTAGTTCAACCATTGTGGAAGTCAGTGTGGTGATTCCTCAAGGATCTAGAACTAGAAATACCATTTGACCCAGCAATCCCCTTACTGGGTATATACCCAAAGGATTATAAATCATTCTACTATAAAGACACATGCACACACATGTTTACTGCGGCACTGTTCATGATAGCAAAGACTTGGAACCAACCCAAATGCCCATCAATGATAGACTGGATCAAGAAAATGTGGCACATATACACCATGGAATACCTTGCAGCCATAAAAAAAAATGAGTTCATGTCCTTTGCAGGGATATGGATGGAGTTGGAAACCATCATTATCAGCAAACTAACAGAAAAACAGAAAAACCAAACACTGCATGTTCTCATTCTTAAGTGGGAGTTGAACAATGAGAACACATGGACACAGGGAGAGGAACATCACACACCGGGGCCTGTCGTGGGGTGGGGGGCTAGGGGAGGGATAGCATTAGGAGAAATACCTAATGTAGATGACGGGTTGATGGGTGCAGCAAACCACCATGGCACGTGTATACCTATGTAACAAACCTGCACGTTCTGCACACGTACCCCAGAACTTACAGTATAATAAAAAAAAAGAAAAAGCCCTAGGTACTAATTATTTATCCCACCCTTTTAAATGCTGAAGGAGAACATTAATAAGCAGACAGATGGGAGTACTAACAATACAAGACCCAAATAACATATTCGTTCTTACCTGATGTGGACTGCTTCATCATGTTATGCATTAAGAGACAAAGTATAAAAAGTAAAAACATGTAGAATTTATTTAAATAATATTTAAGACATCTGACACACTCAGCACAAGTTTAATAGTTAACAAAATCTTTTTTTATAACATCTAAATCTACTTTAATGGAATCTTAACTTTGCATTATCAATAAAGAGATCGGATTTTAGAATTTCTCTGTGTGTATTAAACAATGCTGGTCCCCCAAAAACATTTAGTAATGAGAAAAGGAAAGCGATAAGTTATTATACAATTTACAAAGAATAAAGCATAAAAATGCAGTATAGTTAATAAGAAAACAGGAAACTGTCATGTTCATAGTCTGATGAAAGGTTTTGACAGGAAACAGCAGAGTTTCTTACTGTATGATAGTAAAAATTCAAACACTAAAAAAACACTATTTATAAAAGATTACAGCTATTCCACGCAAGTTATCATTGAAATTCTACAGCAGGGATAACCTGTAAAGATGAATATTCTGAAGCCCCAAAGGACTTCATCATCATTAAGGATACATAAGTATTTTTAAATTTTTCATTAGTCTACTTTATTGGCTAAACCAGTAGATATTAAGACAGAAATTTCTTTTGTGAAATAGAGAAGTGTCATGGTTTTAGAGTTTTGTAGTCTTTAAATGTAGGTTCTTTATAAGTGATAAAGAAATCTGTGCCGAGAAAATATGATCACCTGGGCAAGTGTCTGTGTGGCTAGAGGAGACAATGTGCTGTGTGTCTGCTTTCTTTTAGCACATCATAGGACACTGGTAACTTAAAAAATTACAGTTGATTTTTTTTTACACTTGGTTTTAAAGAGACGTAACAAGTTATCCTTCAATTTTAACATTGGGGTAATGGAATTAATAATACAATCTTATAATTATATAATGCTTTACAGTTAAAAGTGCTTTCATGCATATTATTTCAACTTAAAAAAAATTTCCCCTGTGTGTGACTGGAGGTTGCACTGTGCAGACAACTACCACTTTCTGAGATTCAAAAGAATAAGAGGAAGGGCTGCATTGGGTATTTTGAAAGACAATCAATCCACAACAAAGTGGAAAAAAGTCATCCACACACCAAAAAAAACCCCTAACCAAATGAACTTTGATCACTACTAGACAGGGTTTAAACCATTGAAGTGAATCATGTGACACCAAGTGAACTGCAAAACAGTTGCAGTAAGTTTCCAAGACTGAGTCATATCAGATTATAAAAGCTCCTATTCGTACATTTGAGTTTGTATAATTAATCTTTATAAAACAAAGAGCTATAGCTTTTTGAGCTAAATGTAGCATTTCTGTAAGTGATATGTAATATATACAATTTTAAATAACAATGTATTTTACTTTTCATGGAAAGATCTAATAATCACATAGTTTGTATTTCTAAGTTCTAGAGGCTTTACTTTTTTTTCCATCCTCAGAGTTTGGTCAGTAATTTTGTTGGATTCCTTATAGAATACCTTTAATAGTTTTCTGTTTTCAAAATCTAAAATAAATGTAATGGGAGATGATATGCAAAATTTATTCTCAATTATCAGCTTCTTTAAACACTGAATTGTAAACATGACAAAGGTTAGACTAGTAATAACCACACAAACAAAATGATTTCCAGAGAATCAGAACAGGAAATCAGTAAAAGTGATCGACTGGAGGTCATGATTTCTTCATTACTTTATTACACAGACAAGAGCCAAAATTCTAATCTACAGTACTTAAAAAAAAAAAACTAAAAAAAATTCAAGAATTTTATTGAAATAATACTAGGTACATAATGCTGAAAATGTTTTTGGTTTTAAGCTAAGTAAATCATAAAAAATATAAAATTTAGAATGAAAAAATTGTAGATTTCATGTAAAACTGTATATAATGCAATAGTTAAAGCTGACGTTTTTAGAAGGAAAAAACATGCACCCACATTAATAAGTAAAAAAGGTAGAAAGGAAAGGAAAGTTTGGAATAGAAGAAACTTACAACTGCACACTTTTTACCTGAGAAGAAGAGAGGGGGAGTCATTTACAGAGAATTCTTAGTCTTTCTACAGTGCATACTTAGATGTATTCAGTATTGTGGGCAAACAAAATGAAACTGCCACTGAATGTCTTCTTCCTGGCAGCTGACACATCTTGATAAAATTGAAACCATTAACATTATTTAGAAGGTACTCTAAGGTCAACGCTGATGAGGCTACGAATATGTGAGGTTCTATGTAAATTTATGACCAATTACAGGAAATAAATCACTTCACACTTGTTTCACTCTGAACTTTTAAAGCTACATCAAAGTACCATGTAGATTTCCTTTGATTTAACCTTCAGCAAAATGAAGCATTTAAAAATTCAAACCTTTAGCAAAACACCCTCATGAAAATGAAGTACTTCTTTTCTATTTGGATTGGATTCTGTTCAGAGGAAATTCTTGTTCTCTAAAGCTATATCATGTGTTTTTTCAGTCCATCAATCAATTAACCAAATATGCACCTAGTGTTTAGGTGACAAGTGTTGTGATGCTGGAAAGGCAAAGACAAATGACAAGGCTCCTGCCCTCAGTTAAAAATCTGAAGGGCAAGACAAAAAAACTAAACAGCTGATTCCAAGGTGGCACACTGTTAAGTAAACCCACAGGAGAAGCAATACACTGGCTAGAAGGGAGAATTCTTAGGGAAGGAGGAAGATGATGATGTTCGAGTTGGGTCTGTAAGGATGAGCAGAGGTGGAGGGAGGAGAAATCAGGCACAGGTGGCATGGGGAAAAGCCTAAGGCCAGAGAATGTATTATGTGTTAGGAAACTGCAAGTGGTTTGGTGTGGCTGGATATAGGTCTCAAAATGAGAGGTGAGAGATGAAACTTGAAAGAAAGCTGGGGCTAAACTATGAAGAATCTTATGCCATGTTAAAGAATTAGAACTTATCACGAAGGTTATGGGTGAGTCACTGAGGCAGTGGAGTAGTGTCATTAGATTTTATCTAATCCTTTATAATATCACACTGTGACTACATAAGTATTTTGTGGTATAGCTGGAACAATAAGAGCACTTATTTAGCCCTTACTATGTCCCAGGCTCTGTTTTAAGTGCTTTTCCAGCATTAATTTACTTAATTCCCCCAATATCTCCCACAAGATAATTGAGGGATGGAGGAAAACTTTTTTTTAGGTGTCAAATCACTCAAGAAATCTGAAAAAATCTTGAACCCGGCCGGGCGCAGTGGCTCACGCCTATAATCCCAACACTTTGGGAGGCCGAGGCGGGCGGATCACGAGGTCAGGAGATGGAGACCATCCTGGCTAACACTGGTGAAACCCCGTCTCTACTAAAAATATAAAAAATTAGCCGGGTGTAGTGGCGGGCGCCTGTAGTCCCAGCTACTTGGGAGGGTGAGGCTGGAGGATGGCGGGAACCCGGGAGGCGGAACTAGTAGTGAGACGAGATCATGCCACTGTGCTGCAGCCTGGGCGACAGAGCTAGACTCCATCTCAAAAAAAAAAAAAAAAAAAAAAAATCTTGAACCCATTCTCCCAAAGATCCGCCTATGTTTATACATAAAATATTTGTAAATACTTTAATAGACCCCATCCATGGGCCCCAGGTTAGGAAACTGTCCAGAAGAGAAAGACTATGAATTTTTAAAATGACCTTGAGATATAACTTGCCTTCCATACAATTTACCCATTTAGAGTGTACAATTTGATGGCTTTTAGTATATGCATAGAGTTGTGCAACCATCACCACAACCAATCCTAGAATATTTTTATCATGCCATAAATAAACCACACACCTCTTAGCTGTCATCCCTTAAAACCCCTCTCTTCCCCTCCAACCCCAAGGAACCACTAATCTACTTTCTTTCTCTATAAATTTATCTATTCTGGACATATAAATGAAATCATACAATATGTGGCCTTCTGTGACTGATTTTTGAAAAATTTATCATCCATGTTGTGGCATGTGTCAGCACTTGATTCCTTTTATTGCCTCATAATTGATCATATGGATATACCACATTTTATTTATCCAGTCATCAGATGATTGACATCTGAGTTGTTTCTACTCTCTAAATATTATTAATAATGCTGCTATGAACATTTATGCAGATGTCTTAGTGTAGACATGTTTTCATGTTACTTGGGTATATACCCAGGAGTGGAACTGCTAGGTCATATAGCAACTCTATGTTTACCATTTGAGGACCTGCTATATACTGTTTTCAAAGTGGCTGTACCATTTTACCTTTCTATCAGCTGTGTATGAGGGTTCCAATTTTTCTACATCCTTGCAACATTTTTATTATCTGTTTTATTATAGCCATCCTAGTAAGTGTGAAGTGGAATCTCACTGTCATTTTGGTTTGCATTCCCTTGATCACTGATGTTGGGCATATTTTCTCATGTCCACTGGCCATCTGGTATATCATTTTTGGAAAACAGTCTATTCAGATCCTTTATCCATTTTATAACTGGGTTATCTTTTTATAATTGAATTGTAAGAGTTCTTTATATATTCTAGATACAGGCCCCTTATCAGGTAAATGATTTGATTTTTTTCTTCCATTCTCTAGGTTGTCTTTTCACTTTCTTGATGGTGATCTTTGAAGCACAAAAGTTTTAAATTTTGATGATGTTCAGCTTATCTATTTTCTTCTCTGCTGCTTGTGCCTTTAATGTCATATCTAAGACAATGAATTTTTCCGTAAGTCTCATTTCCTTTTCCTATAAAAACAGAAGCTTGGCCAGGCACAGTGGCTCATGTCTGTAATCCCAGCACTTTGGGAGGCCGAGGCGGGAGGATCACCTGAGGTCAGGAGTTTGAGTACAGCCTGGCCAACATGGTGAAACCCCGCCTCTACTAAAAATACAAAAATTAGCCAGGCGTGGTGGCAGGCACCTGTAATCCAAGCTACTTGGGAGCCTGAGGCAGGAGAATTGCTTGGCCCCGGGAGGCGGAGGTTGCAGTGAGCTGAGATCGTGCCACTGCACTCCAGCCTGAGTGACAGAGAAAGACTCTGTCTCAAAAAAACAAAAAACAAATAAACAAAAAAGCAGAAGCTTAATCTATAAAGTCAACCACTCTCACTTTTAGTGTTCCATAGAAGAAAGCCTGAAAATCATTCTAGTCATATAGTTGTTTCAGTTTAAAAAATATAGTGAAGAAAAATATTTAAAAATCAGAAATAATGTATCTGATAAGGAACACATATTTAGAATATGTAAAGAACTCTTGCAACTCAATTATAAAAAGACAATCCAATTTAAAAATAGGCGAAGGATCTAAATAAGACATTTCTCTGAAGAAGCTATAAATGGCCAATAAGCATATGAAAACATGCTCAATATCATTAGCCACCAGGAATGTACATCAAAACCATAATGAGATACTACTTAATCGAAAAAATAAATAATAAATGTTAGTAAGAATGTGGATAAATCAAAACACTCATACACAGCTGGTGGGAATGTAAACTGGTACTGCTACTTTGGAAAACAGTAGGGCAGTTCCTCAAATAGTTAAACATACAGTTACCATATGACCCAGTAATTCCATTACTACGCATATACTCAGACCAATGAAAACATACGTTTATATGGAAACTTGTAAATGAATGCTCAAAATAATATTATTTATGATAGCCAAAAAGTGGGAATAAAGCAAATATCTATCAACTGATGAATGGATAAATACAAATATCAGAATAAAGCGAGTCACATGAATTTTGTTTCCCAGTGCATATAAAAGTTATCTTTACATTATACTGTAGTCTGTTAAGTGTGCAACAGTATATGTTTAAAAACAATGTATATACCTTAATTAAAAATGGTTTACTCCTAAAAAATGCTAATGATCACCTGAGTGGTCAGCAAGTAATGGATCTTTTTGCTGGTGGAGGGTCTTGCCTTGATGCTGGTGGCAGCAGGCTGGCCAGTTACTGAAGGTTGGGGTGGTTGTGGCAATTTCTTAAAGTAAGACAACAATAAAGTTTGCTGCACTTCCTCACTCGGCCTTGCATGAAGTATTTCTCTGTAGCATTAGATGCTGTTTGATAGCATTTTACTCACAGTAGAACTTCTTTCAAAATTGGAGTAAATGCTCTCAAACCCTGCCACTGCTTTATCAACTAAGTTTACGGAATATTCTAAATCCTTTGTTGCCATCTCAACAATGTTCACAGTATCTTTACCAGGAGAAGATTCTAGCTCAAGAAACCACTTTTTTTTTTTGCTCATCCCTAAGAAGCAACTCCTCGTCCATTCAAGTTTGATCATGAGATTGCAGCAATTCAGGCACATCTTCAGGCTCTACTACATTACTAATTCTAGTTTTCTTGCTCTTTCCACTACATCTGCAGTGACTTCCTCCACTGAAGTCTTCAATCCCTCAAACGGTTGGAATCAACTTCTTCCAAACTCCTGTTAATGTTGATATTTTGACCTCCTCCCATGAATCACAAATGTTCTTAACGACATCTAGAATGGTGAACCCTTTGCGGAGGATTTCAATTTACTTTGCCCAAATCCATTAGAGGAATCACTATATATGGCACTATATGTCTTCTGGATAACCTGCTGCTTCTACATCAGCACTTGCTGCTTCACCTTGTACTTTTATGTAATGGAGCCTTATGAAATGATGTCTTAAATAATAAGACTTGAAAGTTGAAATTACTCCTTGATCCACGGGCTGCAGAATGAATGTTTCGTTAGCAGCATGAAAACAACATTAATCACCATGTACATCTGCATCAGAGCTCTTGGGTGACTAGTTGCATTGTTTCTGAGCAGTAATATTTTGGAAGGAAATCATTTTTTCTGAGCAGTAGGTTTCAACAGTGGGCTTAAAATATTTATTTTACCATGCTGTAATGAGATGTGCAGTCATCCAGGCTTTGTTTTTTCATTTACAGAGCACAGGCAAAGTAGATTTAGCATAATTCTTAAGAACCCTAGGGTTTTCAGAATGGTAAATGTGCACTTGGCTTCAACTTAAAGTCAACAGCTGCATTAGGCCCTAACGAGAGAGCCATTTGAAGCTTTGAAGCCAGATATTGACTTCTCTGTCGCTAGGAAAGCCATAGAGGGCATCTTCCTCCGGTATAAGACTGTTGCATCTACATTCAAAATCTGTTGTTTGGGGTGGCCTCCTTCATCAACGATCTTAGCTAGATCTTCTGGATAACTTGCTGCAGTTTCTACATCAGCACTTGCTACTTCACCTTGTACTTTTATGTGACGGAAATGGCTTCTTTCCTTAAACCTCATGAACCAACCTCTGTTAGCCTCCCACTTTCCTTCTGCAGCTTCCTCACTTCTCTCAGCCTTCAAAGAATTGAAGAGAGTTATGGCCTTGCACTGGATTAGGCTTTGGCTTAAGAGAATGTTGTGGCTGGCTTGATCTTCTATCCAGATCACTCAAACTTTCTCCATATCAGCAATGAGGCTGCTTTGCTTTCTTATCATTTGTGTTTTCAGTGGAGTAGTAACTTTAATTTCCTTCAAGAACTCTTCCTTTGCAATCACAACTTGGCTAACTGTTTGGTGCAACAGACCTAGCTTTCAGGCTATCTCAGCTTTCAACATGCCTGCCTCACAGCTTAATCATTTCTGGCTTTTGACTATATGAGTGCAATTTGTGGCACCCAAAAACAATTACAATAGCAACATCGAAGATCAATGATCACAGATCACCAGAAGGTATAATAGTGAAAAAGTTTAAAAAATTGTGAAAATTACCAAAATATGACACAGAGACATGAAGTGAGCACACGCTGTTGGAAAAACGGCATTGAAAGACTTGCTCAATGCAGGATTGCGACAAACCTTCACTTTGTAAAAACACAGTAGGATATAACAACCATTTATTGAGGCGCAATAAAGCAAAGCATAATAAAGCCAGGTATGCCTGTTTATCCATACAGTAGAACATTATTAGGTGACAAAAATAAATAAAAGCACTGACACATGCTACGACATGAATGAGCCTTGAAAACATTATACTAAGTGAAAAAGCCAGTCACAGAAAACCACAGGTTCTATGATTCCATTTATATTAAATGTCCAGAATTGGGAAATGTGTAGAGACAGAAAGTAGATTAGTGGGTTGCCTAGGGTTGGGGGAATAAGGCTTGGAGAGAAATAGGGAGTGACAAGCTAAATGAGCATAGGATTTCTTTTTGGAGAGATAATGTTCTAGAATTGACTGTGATGATAGCTGCATAACTGTGACTATATTAAAAACCACTGAATTGTAAACTTTACGTGGGTGCATTGTATCATATGTAAATAATGTCTCAGTAAAGCTGTTATACAGATAAAATCAGACAGCATTTTGTATGTTTCTAAGGAAAGGATACCAGATTGAAAATAAGTAATTTTCTAATTAGAAAATGTAGAAATAACTTTTAATATATTTAAAAAATATTCACCAACAACATAAATCTTCTACATCCAGTTTTTTCCTCAACAGAAAAGACATATGATGACCTCCTACAACTTCATTTAAAATTTAAAATGAAGTTGTAGGAAAATATTTGCAATAAAAAGTTTAATGGTTTAGACTGAAATATTAATAAGTAGAAGGAGATGAATGCATTTGTAGTATTCACTTTTTTTCAGAAATTATAACTCCTGATAGAAAAATAATTTTTAAAATATGTAATATAAACATATAGCCACATACCCACACTATTCTGCCACTGAACCCAAATAAGCTTGCAAATAAAGTTAGTATCCCTCTCTTCCTCCTCCTGAGGTGCTCACAGGCTGCTCAGTCAAGATTGGGCACTTGCAAACCACATGACCTCATGAATGCTATCTTATCATATCACAGGTTCCTCAGACTGACCACAATAACTTAAATCAGACAGGCAGCAAAGTAGCACTAAGTCTTTGACACGTACTATTGGCATGACATTTCTAGCTGTCCAGCTTGTGGGGAGTGAAAATCTGACTATCTCGTGTCCACCTGCATCTGTAAGATATGGTTCATAAGAAGCACATGATTTACTGTATGTACTACAGACTCCCAACCACAATTTAAA
Organism: Homo sapiens; assembly: GCF_000001405.40. Taxonomy (NCBI): domain Eukaryota; kingdom Metazoa; phylum Chordata; class Mammalia; order Primates; family Hominidae; genus Homo; species Homo sapiens. Next base: position 92,545,096 of record NC_000001.11, read on the forward strand.
ATTTTAGTTTTTGTAAATCTGAGAGAGCTACATATTCATCTTTTATCAATTACTCTTTAATTGACACTTAGTAAATTAGTGGAGCACATTTTCAATTTGAAAAACTGTCAATACTGTTATTGTTTATTTTTAAAAATAACATTATTAATTAATTTTTTAAAAGAGAGACAGGGTCTTGCTTTGTTGCCCATGCTGGTCTTGAACTCCTGGCCTCAAGTGATCCTCCTGTCTCGGCCTCCCAAAGTGCTGAGACTATAGGCCATTGTGCCTGGCCTGTTTCTTTTAAAAACTAGTATTTTAAAATCAAACTACTTGATGTAAAAAAAAAAAAAAGGTTTTTAAAGTGAATTACTATATTTCAAAAATCATGGTATAGTCAAAGAAATAAGACTTTTATATTTAAGAACATAGAGAATTAAAAAAGAAGCATGATGTATTGGGTAGCTTCGTGGATAACAGTATTCAGATTGGCTCTGAAACACACCTCATATGGACCAAGACTCCAGAAGTAACACAATCCCAAACGATTTTTAAAAACACAATCAAGAAAGTAATTATATTTTATAGATTTCCTCGTTTGATTAAAAAAGCTTTACTTTCAGCCATTAGATCAATCTCTATGAATGTTATTTTCGGTACCACACTCTAAAAACAAACTGAGCAGTGCAAGTCTCTCTCTCACTTTGGCTTCAGGAGTGCCCCTCTCTACTCATTTTCCTCCTACCTTTCATACTAATCCTTCTCAGTCTCCTTTATGAAATCTTTACTTGACTCCAAGCCTCTGCATATACGCCTCTCTGCTTGAAATATCCTCTATTCTCCTTTTCCTGGCAATCTTCTACTCCTTCTCTAATACACGATTTAGGCAGCCCCATGATCAGAGATTTTCTGACATGTTTCTAGGCCATGGTGCCGTGTGATTCTACTACAGTACTGCCCACACGAACTGCTTTTCCTTATCAGTCTAAACTCATCAACTGGAACTATGACTTTTATACACCTAGCACAGCACTGGGATGGAAGGGGCTTTAAGTACCATTTAGTATAACTGCTTTGTGATCAAGAAACTGAGGCATGGCCTAAGGCATGCGTGTGAACTAAAAGATGTTCAAATATTCACTGATTAAATGGATATACGAAGTGAATTGGCATCCTAAGGTCACCCAGCTAATCAGTGACAAAGACAGAACTAGAATCCAGGTCCCCTGACTGAAGTCCACTGTTATAAAGATGATAGTTTCTCAATCACCTGTAGTATGACGGAGAACAAAGACACACAAAATCTGGAAACAAAACTAAACTTACCAAATGAAAAAAAATAGGCTGGGCGCGGTGGTTCACACCTGTAATCCCAGCACTTTGGGAGACCGAGGCGGGTGGATCACAAGGTCAGGAGTTCAAGACCAGCCTGGCCAACATAGTGAAACCCCGTCTCTACTAAAAATATAAAATTAACCGGGCATGGTGGCACACGCATGTAATACCAGCTACTCAGGAGGCTGAGGCAGGAGAATTGCTTGAATCCGGGAGGCGGAGGTTGCAGTGAGCCGAGATCACGCCACTGCACTCCAGCCTGGGCAACAGAGCAAGACTCTATCTCAAAAAAAATAAATAAATAACAGACTTTAAACCAACAAAGATCAAAAGAGACAAAGAAGGCCATTACATAATGGTAAAGGGATCAATTCAACAAGAAGAGCTAACTATCCTAAACACGTATCACCCAATACAGGAGCACCCAGATTCATAAAGCAAGTCCTTAGAGACCTACAAAGAGACTTAGACTCCCACACAATAATAATGAGAGACTTTAACACCCCACTGTCAACATTAGACAGATTAACGAGACAGAAAGTTAACAAGGATATCCAGGAATTGAACTCAGCTCTGCACCAAGCGAACCTAACAGACATCTACAGAACTCTCCACCCCAAATCAACAGAATATACATTCTTCTCAGCACCACTTCACACTTATTCCAAAATTGACCACATAGTTGGAACTAAAGCACTCCTCAGCAAATGTAAAAGAATAGAAATTATAACAAACTGTGTCTCAGACCACAGTGCAATCAAACTAGAACTCAGGATTAAGAAACTCACTCAAAACTGATCAACTACATGGAAACTGAACAACCTGCTCCTGAATGACTACTGGGTACGTAACGAAATGAAGGCAGAAATAAAGATGTTCTTTGAAACCAATGAGAACAAAGACACAACATACCAGAATCTCTGGGACACATTTAAAGCAGTGTGTAGAGGGAAATTTATGGCACTAAATGCCTACAAGAGAAAGCAGGAAAGATCTAAAATTGACACCCTAACATCACAATTAAAAGAACTAGAGAAGCAAGAGCAAACACATTCAAAAGCTAGCAGAAGGCGAGAAGTAACTAAGATCAGAGCAGAACTGAAGGAGATAGAGACACAAAAAACCCTTCAAAAAATCAATGAATCCAGGAGCTGTTTTTGAAAGGATCAACAAAATAGATAGACCGCTAGCAAGACTAATAAAGAAGAAAAGAGAGAAGAATCAAATAGACACAATAAAAAATGATAAAGGGGATATCACCACCGATCCCACATACATACAAACTACCATCAGGGAATACTATCAACACCTCTACACAAATAAACTAGAAAATCTAGAAGAAATGGATAAGTTCCTGGACACATACACCTTCCCAAGACTAAATCAGGAAGAAGTTGAATCTCTGAATAGACCAATAACAGGCTCTGAAATTGAGGCAATAATTAGTAGCCTACCAACCAAAAAAAGTCCAGGACCAGATGGATTCACAGCCGAATTCCACCAGAGGTACAAGGAGGAGCTGGTACCATTCCTTCTGAAACTATTCCAATCAATAGAAAAAGAGGGAATCCTCCCTAACTCATTTTATGAGGCCAGCATCATCCTGATACCAAAGCCTGGCAGAGACACAACAAAAAAAGAAAATTTTAGACCAATATCCCTGATGAACATCAATGTGAAAATCCTCAATAAAATACTGGCAAACCAAATCCAGCAGCACATCACAAACCTTATCCACCATGATCAAGTGGGCTTCATCCCTGGGATGCAAGACTGGTTCAACATACGAAAATCAATAAATGTAATCCAGTATATAAACAGAACCAAAGACAAAAACCACATGATTATCTCAATAGATGCAGAAAAGGCCTTTGACAAAATTCAACAGCCCTTCATGCTAAAAACTCTCAATAAATTCGGTATTGATTGGACGTATCTCAAAATAATAAGAGCTATTTATGACAAACCCACAGCCAATATCATACTGAATGGACAAAAACTGGAAGCATTCCCTTTGAAAACTGGCACAAGACAGGGATGCCCTCTCACCACTCCTATTCAACATAGTGCTGGAAGTTCTGGCCAGGGCAATCAGGCAGGAGAAAGAAATAAAGGGTATTCAATTAGGAAAAGAGGAAGTCAAATTGTCCCTGTTTGCAGATGACATGATTGTATATTTAGAAAACCCCATCGTCTCAGCCCAAAATCTCCTTAAGCTGATAAGCAACTTCAGCAAAGTCTCAGGATACAAAATCAATGTGCAAAAATCACAAGCATTCTTATACACCAATAACAGACAAACAGAGAGCCAAATCATGAGTGAACTCCTATTCACTATTGCTTCAAAGAGAATAAAATACCTAGGAATCCAACTTACAAGGGATATGAAGGACCTCTTCAAGGAGAACTACAAACCACTGCTCAACGAAATAAAAGAGGACACAAACAAATGGAAGAACATTCCATGCTCATGGATAGGAAGAATCAACATCATGGAAATGGCCACACTGCCCAAGGTAATTCATACATTCAATGCCATCCCCATCAAGCTACCAATGACTTTCTTCACAGAATTGGAAAAAACTACTTTAAAGTTCATATGGAACCAAAAAAAGAGCCTGCATTGCCAAGTCAATCCTAAGCCAAAAGAACAAAGCTGGAGGCATCACGCTACCTGACTTCAAACTATACTACAAGGCTACAGTAACCAAAACAGCATGGTACTGGTACCAAAACAGAGATATAGATCAATGGAATAGAACAGAGGCCTCAGAAATAATGCCACATGTCTACAACCAGCTGCTCTTTGACAAACTTGACAAAAACAAGAAATGGGGAAAGGATTCCCTATTTAATAAATGGTGCTGGGAAAACTGGCTAGCCATATGTAGAAAGCTGAAACTGGATCCCTTCCTTACACCTTATACTAAAATTAATTCAAGATGAATTAAAGACTTAAATGTTAGACCTAAAACTATAAAAACCCTAGAAGAAAACCTAGGCAATACCATTCAGGACATAGGCATGGGCAAGGACTTCATGTCTAAAACACCAAAAGCAATGGCATCAAAAGCCAAAATTGACAAATGGGATCTAATTAAACTAAAGAGCTTCTGCACAGCAAAAGAAACTACCATCAGAGTGAACAGGCAACCTACAGAATGGGAGAAAATTTTCGCAACCTACTCATCTGACAAAGGGCTAATATCCAGAATCTACAAAGAACTCAAACAAATTTACAAGAAAAAAACAAACAACCCCATCAAAAAGTGGGCAAAGCATATGAACAGACACTTCTCAAAAGGAGACATTTATGCAGCCAACAGACACATGAAAAAATGCTCATCATCACTGGTCATCAGAGAAATGCAAATCAAAATCACAGTGAGACACCATCTCACACCAGTTAGAATGGTGATCATTAAAAAGTCAGGAAACAACAGGTGCTGGAGAGGATGTGGAGAAATAGGAACACTTTTACACAGTTGGTGGGACTGTAAACTAGTTTAACCATTGTGGAAGACAGTGTGGCGATTACTCAAGGATCTAGAACTAGAAATACCATTTGACCCAGCCATCCCATTGCTGGGTATATACCCAAAGGATTAAAAATCATGCTGCTATAAAGACACATGCACATATGTTTACTGCAGCACTATTCACAATAGCAAAGACTTGGAACCAACCCAAATGTCCATCAATGATAGACTGGATTAAGAAAATGTGGCACATATATACCATGGAATATTATGCAGCCATAAAAAACAATGAGTTCATGTCCTTTGTAGGGACACGGATGAAGCTGGAAACCATCATTCTGAGCAAATTATTGCAAGGACAAAAAGCCAAACACCGTATGTTCTCACTCATAGGTGGGAACTGAACAATGAGAACAGCTGGACACGGGAAGGGGAACATCACACACTGGGGCCTGTCATGGGGTGGGGGGAGGGGGAGGGATAGCATTAGGAGATATATCTAATGTAAATGAGGAGTTAATGGGTGCAGCACACCAACATGGCACATGTATACAAATGTAACAAACCTGCATGTTGTGCACATGTACCCTAGAACTTAAAGTATAATTAAAAATATATATATATTAAGGCAGGAGGATCACAAGGTCAGGAGATCGAGACCATCCTGGCTAACACAGTGAAACCCCGTCTCTACTAAAAACACAAAAAATTAGCCAGGCATAGTGGTGGGCGCCTGTAGTCCCAGCTACTTGGGAGGCTGAGGCAGGGGAATGGTGTGAACCTGGGAGGCAGAGCTTGCAGTGAGCCGACATCTGGCCACTGCACTCCAGCCTGGGCAACAGAGCGAGACTCCGTCTCAAAAAAAAAAAAAAAAAAAAAAAAAAAAAAAAAAAATATATATATATATATATATATATATATATATAACAAAAAAAACAAAAGATATATTCAATTAACTTAAAATATACTCTTTGAAGTTCTCAACAGATTAAGAAAATCAATATTCAGGAAGAATATAATTAATTTAATTAATAAAATGATTTAATAGATGTATATTAAGAAAAATAAAATAAAAAAAACCCAAAATCCAGAATTAAGATTAAGAACCAGATAAATTGCACTAATTTCTTTTTTCTTTTCTTTCTTTCTTTCTTTTTTTTTTTTTTTTTTTTGAGACTTAGTCTCATTCTGCTACCCAGGCTGGAGTTCAGTGGCATGATCTTGGCTCACTGCAACCTCAACCTCCTGGGTCAAGCGATCCTCTCACTTCAGCCTCCCAGGTAGCTGGGACTACAGGTGTGCACCACCACACCCAGCTAATTTTTGTAGAGACAGGGTTTCTCCATGTTGCTCAGGCTGATCTTGAACTCCTGAGTGATCCACCCGCCTCTGCCTTCCCTAAGTGCTGGGATTACAGGCGTGAGCCACTGTGCTCGGCAACTGCATGAATTTCTATTCCTCCCCCTTCTCCATTTTATGGATATGCTTAGAAGTACTGACATGATAATGGAAGAAAAGAATGGGAGTTAGATGAAGAGTAGGAATAATCAGCTTTGAATGAATGGAAAAAAATTTAAAAATGAACACTCAAGCCCTAAAACCAGAGTAAGTTCACAAGATTTTAAAACTGTAGCTCATTTTAGCATCCCATATATCAAGTTGAATGACACATTTGAGCACATCCTATTAGTATCACTCAAATGATAAATATGCATAATACTACAGTCATGCTAAAAGTTTAGATATAATTAAAATGGTTTTAGATGTTTATATTTCATTTTCTCATGTCTGCGACCTAGTAAGAGTATGTTACCAGTATGGTCTCTTCCTGGGAATGCTAAAAGAAATAGAAGTCTCTTTCACCCTTACTGAATTAAATCTGCTTAAGAATTGCTGTAAAAAACTATAAAACCTGTCACTACAGGCTTGATAGTTAGCTCCATTTCCTTCAAAAAATGCTTATCACCATCTGCCTTTATTTTTCATAAACACTTGACTTCCAGTTTCCCTTGAAGTGGTTTCTCATGATTTATATTTCCATTCTAATTGTCAAAGAGTAATTGTTGGGACCATCTCTTCAGAAATTTACTGATAAGTATTAATAAACAGTTTTTCAGTTTTTTGGCTACATTTGAAATCTAGCTCTACCCATGTGATGTAAAGTACTATTAAAAATACTTGCCATCTAGTGCCAGGAAACACAGATGTGTTCGAGGACTAATGGGGCTGTAGGGAAAAAAAAAAAAAAAAAAAAAGACACTGGAGCCAGCTTCAAAGAGTTCCCACTGGCCAAATTTGGGACAATATGAACACCAAGAGAACTGACTGAATTCATGAGTTCAGACTACTGTGCCAGGACTTTCAAAAGACCCTAAGAAATATAAGGCTGAATAAGATAATCTTTGCTGTCAAGAAATTCACAATTCAGCTTGACTCTGAACATCAGAGAGGATATAACAACCATTAATTAGAATAAATGAAATTAAGTGCTGTGTTATCTCCCATTTCTGAACTATTAAATACTCTCTATCAGTGCCAACCACATAGTCTTTATCAAATTAACTTTTCCACTTTTCCCCACCAAACTAAAAGTTCCCTGAGAGTAGGGCCACTCTTCTCATTGTGTCTAGGACAATGTTAGAAAAAATTCCATCTAATGCAGCTTAATATCCAAGACTGACTTTACAATTCCACCTGGTTCTGTTTCTTGACCAGTGTGATATATCCCTTGAAGATATTTATTTGGTCCTCTGAGTATCAGATTCAAATCCCTTGTTTTACGTTGATTCTGTATTCTTTAAGTTGGCTGCGCACTCGAATTTTTTCCTAGAAATCTCTTAACAAACCCTCTGGAGGCATACCCTACCTTAGTTAATATTCCTAAGAGACTTCCTTACTTGGTTTCTTACATTTTTAAGTTCGAATATTTTTCCTCACCTGATTTTTAATTGCGATTTTTTTCTTTTCTAGGTGGTTTCCTTATCTAGCATCTTACCCCTCTCCTACTAGATCTTTGTGTTCATGTTTTCATTAATTAACCCCAGTTTCTTAATGAAATTACTATCATGAGAGGCACATGTTTTCATTAACAAGTTAAAATTTTTTTTTTTACCCATTGCAGGAATTACATACACAGATGCATAAAATGGGTAGAACACCAATTATACTTTATGAATATAACATAAAACTGAAAAGTGGTCTGAAAGTCTTGAATAAAGTAAGGTATCCTGTGTGGGATTATTTATTTATTTATTTATTTTGAGACAGGGTTTCGCTCTGTCACCCAGGCTGGAACGCAGTGGTACAATCTCGGCTCACTGCAACCTCTGCCTCCCAGGCTCAAGAGATCTTCCCATCTCAGCCTCCCAAGTAGCTGGAACTATAGGGGCATGCCACCACACCTGGCCAATTTTTTTTTTTTTTTTTTTTTTTGAGATGGAGTCTCACTCTGCCACCCAGGCTGGAGTGCAGTGGCACAATCTCGGCTCGCTGCAACCTCTGCCTCCTGGGTTCAAGCGATTCTCCTGCCTCAGCCTCTCCAGTAGCTGGGATTACAGGCGTGCACCACCACGCCCGGCTAATTTTTGTATTTTTAGTAGAGACAGGCTTTCTCCATGTTGGTCAGGCTGTTCTCGAACTCCTGATCTTGTGATCCCTCTGCCTCGGCCTCCCAAAGTGCTGGGATTACAGGCGTGAGCCACCGTGCCCAGCCAATTTTTGTATTTTTTTGGTAGAGGGTTTTGCCATATTGCCCAAGTTGGTCTCAAACTCCTGGGCTCATGCAATCAGCCAACCTCGGTCTCACATAGTGGTGGAATCACAGGTGTGAGCCACCACGCCCTGCCCCTGTATGTGATTATTACAGTTTTTCCCAGACTACAGTATGTTATACATTCTTTTAAATGGCAAGAAATACATGGAGAAACATATTGCCTTGGAGATTTAAAAAAATTAATCTGGAAACATTGGTGGAAGTTTGCCACCAGTTAAACTTCAAACTCTTCAAACAGAATGCTTTTAACAGCAAAGCTAATTTGTGTCTTTGAATAAGCTTGTATTTCCTAAATAAGAGGCATATATGAATTGGATTGACTTTTTGTCAAGTTCTGTGTTTCTCAAAACATCAAACATGGCTAGGAAAACTGCCTGTTTTCAGAAAGTCATCAAATATTTAAAAGCTACAATGCTAGTAGCACCAAATGGAAATTGAAGCAGAATCTGAATGTCAAGTTGGACAAATTCTGCAGTCTTAGATAGAATAGAAGTGCAGAAGCTGCTACAGAAAGAAAAATAAAGAATATGAGCTATGAGTAGATTTTTACTAACTAGATGTTAGGTTCTCATCTGAGAGAAGCAATTCAATTTAATTCAATTAAACAAATGCTTATAGAACTCCTACTATGTTTAATATGTCGCCATTAAATGGGCCAGCAGGATCATGGTAGGGCAGTGGGATGCAGCAGATCAGAAGTTAGAATGCCCAGGCATGAGTTCCATCTCAGCTACGAACTAGCTTTGTAACTTTGGGTAAGTCCCTTAACCAGGACCTCAGCTTCCTCATTTATCAAATGAAAAACAAGATAAATTTTAAGAACACTTCTGGTTTAAAAAATATGATTCTTAAATCTCAGCTTTAAGTATTTTACATAGCGCTATTGTTCCAAATATAAAAATCTGCACAATAATTTCTAAAATGGACTTTAAATAAGATAAACTGCTTATCCAAGATAAAACAGAACATATAAGAGGAAAAGGAGTAATAGCTACTCATTTAAAGAAGTCATTAAGAATGAGTTTTTGCTGGGCACAGTAGTTGATGCCTGTAATCCCAGCACTTTCAGAGGCCAAGACAGGGAGATCCCTTGAGCCCAGGAGTTCCAGACCAGCCTTGGCAACACAGTGAGACCCTGTCTCTACAAAAACAAAAACAAAAACAAACCAACCAACCCAGGTGCAGTCTCGCACACCTGTAGTCCCAGCTACTCAGGAGGCTGAGGTCGGAGGATCACTTGAGCCCAGCAGGTTGAGGCTGCAGTGAGTGGTGATGGCACCACTGCACTCCAGCTGGGCCACAGAGCAAGACCTTGTCTCCAGAAAAAAGAAAGAAAGAAAGAAAAGAATGGGTTTTTAAAATATAAGTGGAGGCTGTAAGATTAAAAAGCAGTGTATGCATTTGATGGGCTTAAAGCAATTTTCACAGAATGGCAAATACAATCTTTCATTATCTACATGGGACCTTCTGGGTAGGGGGATAAAAACCCTATTTACTTGGTTGTATGAGATCCTGAAACTTCTGCATGGTACTTTACACTGCTCTAATTAGAGAAAGAACAAATTTAAGGGAATAATTTCTTTTATTAAGAAGCTGCCACACTGGGAAAACTAATACTTTCTATTATAAAAATATTCAGGATAGCTTGTAACTCCATACACTGAAGTTCTTCTTAAACATTAAAATTTTCTTAAAAGTTAAAATTCACTCACCAGTACAAATAGATAGCACTGTTTTTAATTCTTATTTCTGTTTCTAGAAGTAGACTATTGTTATCAATGAAGTTTTACAGTAAGAATGTTAATTCTCTTCTTGAGTACCACTCTGTAAACTAGGTAACATACTTGGAACTTTGTGTTACCTAAAAGGAAATAAAGACTGGTAGAAATAGAAATAAGAATAAGCATGGCCGGGCGTGGTGGCTCATGCTTGTAATCCTAGCACTTTGGGAGGCCGAGGGGCACAGACTGCCTGAGCTCAGGAGTTCAAGACCAGCCTGGGCAACACGGTGAAACCCTGTGTCTGCTAAGATACAAAAAATTAACCAGGTGTGGCGGCATGTGCCTGTAGTCCCAGCTACTTAGGAGGCTGAGGCAGGAGAATCACTCGAACCCAGGAGGTGGAGGTTGCAGTGAGCCGAGACTGTGCCACTGCAATCCAACCTGGGTGACAGAGTGAAACTCGTCTCAAAAAAAAAAAAAAAAAAAGGAATAAGCATGAAGTTAAATAAACCAAAAAACAGTATCATTCAGTATGAAATAAAGAAAAAAAATAGCTGCCAACAACTACAGAACCAGATGACTAAGTTCTTTTCTACCTTTAGTATTTTAGTTTTAATCCCTAGATGAAGAGCAATGCTGAATGAGCCTTAAAAAGATCTTATTAACCACTTTTTTCTTTCTTTCTTTTTTTTTTTTTTCTGAGATGAAGTCTTGTTCTGTCCCCCAGCCTGGAGTGCAGTGGTGTGATCTTGGCTCACTGCAACCTCCGCCTCCTGGGTTCAAGCGATTCTCCTGCCACAGCCTCCCCAGTAGCTGAGATTACAGGTGCACACCACCATGCCTGGCTAATTTTTGTATTTTTAGTAGAGACGGGGTTTCACCATGTTGGCCAGCCTGGGCTCAAACTCCTGACCTTGTGATTCACCCGCCTCGGCTTCCCAAAGTGTTGGGATTACAGGCGTGAGCCACTGCTTTAAATAGAAAAATACAAGCATAAGGAAAAAAAAATCCAAAGAAATATAAGAGGACATATAGTAAGTTCTCACTTAAAGTTTTCCATAGGTTCTTGGAAACTGTCATTTTAAGTAAGATGACATATAAAGAAACCAAACTTTTCCCCTCATCATCATAAACAAAACGACATTATTCATGGACATGTTATATGTCTTTCACTCTGAAGTCTCAGTTTCCAAGAACCTACTGACAATGTTAAGTGAGGACTTAATGTATTGTCATCTGATTGTTAAAGTTCCTTATTTCAAAAATTCCAGTTTAGTAACAAAATGAGTACATGTATTAAAAACTACATTAAGAATATCTAGGACATTAAAAATACTTTTTGATATATATTTAAATCCATAGCTCAGGTTTATATAAACAGATATCAGAATTTAAAAACTTAAGGAATATTCACATAATTTTTTTCTTACCCTTTTATTTTTTTTTTAGAGTTAGGGTCTCACTGTCACCTAGGCTGGAGTGCAGTGGCATGATCTTAGCTCACTGCAACCTCAAACTCCTGGGTTCAGAGCAAGCCTCCTGCCTCAGTCTCCCAAGTAACCAGAACTACAAGGCCCACACTACCATTCCTGTCTATATAAACATTTTCTAAGTCAAACTTCAGTAAAGGCTTTATTTAGATTTCTTTTTATTTACTCAAATTCCTAATCACCTACTTAAAAAAAGCTTCCTGTGACACATAATTTAACTTAGAAAAATTGCCTTCCCAACAAAAAAGACAGGATGACAGAAGACCTTCTGGGTAGTAGAAACCAATACAATGATTATTCCTACAAAGTAAGTTGGTTTTATCTACCTGAGTTTTATTTTGTTTATAGCATACCAAAATAGTTCTTTTTTTTTTCCAGCTTTATCTTGAAATAGCTTACATTTCTCTTTTTTCTTTTTCTTTTTTTGTTTTTTTGAGACGGAGTCTCTGTGGCCCAGGCTGGAGTGCAGTGGTGAGATCTTGGCTCACTGCAACCTCCGCCTCCCAGGTTTAAGCCATTCTCGTGCTTCAGCTTCCTGAGTAGCTGGGGTTACAGGCACGCACCACCATGTCCTGCTAATTTTTGTATTATTTATTTATTTATTTTTAGTAGAGACGGGGTTTAGCCATGTTGGCCAGGCTAGTCTCAAACTCCTGACCTTAGATGATCTGCCTGCCGCAGCCTCTCAGAGTGCTGGGATAACAGGCATGAGCCACCATGAAGGGCTGTTTCTCTAATTTCTTCAGGAAGGGTGTTTCAGTCAGTAGTATTTAGAGATAGAACATTTCTCCTTTCAAGTTCTTTCTTAAATCATCCATTGTTCTCTGACAAATCATAAAAAATTCCGAAGAAAACTTTTTTTTTTTTTCTTGAGACAGGATCTCACTGTGTCGCCCAGGCTGGGGTGCAGTGGTGTGATCTCTGCTCACTGCAACCTCTGGTTCCCAGGCTCAAGCAATCCTCCCACCTCAGCTTCCCAAGTAGCTGGGACTACAGGCGCGCACCACCACGCCCAGCCAATTTTTGTATTTATTTATTTATTTATTTGTAGAGACAGGGTTTCTCCATGTTGGCCAGGCTAGTCTCAAACTCCTGACCTCAAGTGATCCACCTGCTTCAGCCTCCCAAAGTGCTGGGATTATAGGCATGGGCCTCCGTGCCTGGCCAAAAAATCTGTCTTAATAAGTTTATTCTTCAAAAGGATCAGGGAAGTTTAAAATCTGATTTAAATAACTACGCTGAAATGATCCCTTCCTCCTTCTGGGACTCCTGTGTCTTCATACTCTCCAGTTTCCCGCCTATCTCCCTGGTGGTTTTGGTCCTCTCCTGGCTCTCTTGACCCTAAAGGTTGGGAGAACTTCAGAACTTGCTCCTGGACACCCTTCTCTTTATATATGAACGCCATTCACATGCCAGTGATGGCTACAATTATTTTTAGCCCTGACCTCTCTTCAGAATTTCAGACTCATATCCACTGCCTATCTGATATCTTCATTTGCAGTAAGGAATCTCAACCTTACTACAAATCTTAGCATAAAAATAGAGCTCTTGTTTACCTTTCTCTATGCTGGTCAATGGCACCAACCAATCATTCACTCAATTACTCAAGCCAAAACTCTCTGGAGCCAATGAATGTTTTTTGTTATGAGATAAACATACTTCTAACACAGCCGCATTACATTTCCACTTCTTCCATCCTTCTAAGCCATGTTTGATCTTATCTGGACCATTGTAACAGACTCCTGATGAATTTCCCTGTTCTCACTCTTTCTCTTCTACAATCAGTTCACTGTACAGCAGGCAGAGCAAATGAAATTATAAAATTTTCTGTATGAAACCATCCAAAGAAGGCAGGCATGGTGGTGCAGCCCTGTAGTCCCAGCTACTCAGGAAGTTAAGGTGGAAGGATCACTTGAGCCCAGGAGTCAGAGGCCAGCCTGAGCAACATAGTGAGACCCCCATCTCTAAAAAAAAAAAAAAAGGGCAAAACAAAACAAAACAAAAAAACCCAAACAACACCAACCAAAAAAACCCCTAACAACAACAACAAACATCCAAAGGCTTTCCACTATACACCGTGGTTTACAAAGCACTATACAGTTGTCCCTCAGTATCTGTGGGAGAATGGGTCCAGGATGTCCCAAGGATACTAAAACCCATGGATGCACAAGTCCCTTATATCAAATGGCATATTTGCATATAACCTATGCCTGACTTCCTGTATACTTCAAATCATCTCTAGATAACTTATAATACCTAATACAATGTTAATGCAATATAAACTGTTATACTGTATTGTTTAGGGAATAATGATAAGGAATAAAATTTGTAGATGTTCAGTACAGATACAGATGCAATAGTCTTTAAAAAATATTTTTGATCCACGATTGGTTGAATCCACTGATGCAAAATCCACGGATACAGAGGACCAATTGCAATCTGACCTCACTTGCCTCTCTAATTTTATCTTATACCATTTTTCCTACCCTTCACTATACTCCAGCCACACTAGCATTGTTTCTCAAAATAACCATTTCATTTTCTTCTAGGGTCTTTGGGCTAGTTGTTTCTTCTGTCTGGAATACTCTTTCCACTGATTTTCACACATTAAGAGGATTCTGGCTGGGCATGGTGGCTCATGCCTGTAATCCCAGCACTTTGGGAGGCTGAGGCAGGCGGATCACAAGGTTAGGAGTTCGAGACCAGCCTGGTCAACATGGTGAAACTCCGTCTCTACTAAAAAAATGCAAAAATTAGCCAGGCATGGTGGTGTGTGCCTGTAACCCTAGCTACTCGGGAGGCTGAGGCAGGAGAATTGCTTGAACCCGGGAGGCAGAGGTTGCAGTGAGCCAAGATCGCGCCAGTGCACTCCAGCCTGGGAGACAGAGCAAGACTCCCTCTCAAAAAAAAAAAAAAAAAAAAAAAAAGCTTCTTGGCATTCCCATGCAACTTATATGTGACCTCATCTGCAAAACCTTTCACAAACATCATTTTTTCATTAGAAACATTTTCACATAGTACCTACTACATGCCATCATTGTTCTATATACTGGGGGAAAAGTACTCAATCTCATTAATAATCAGGGAAATGCACATTAAAACCATAATGAGAAATCTCTTCATAGTCACAGAATGGCTAAAATAAGAAAGACTGACAATTCCACATGTTGATGAGGATGTAGAACAGTAAGAACTTTCTTCACTGCTTATAGACAGTATAAACTGGCATAAATCACTTAAAGCAATGTTCTTAACAGACCAACTGGAAATAATCCAAATGTTCACCAACACAGTAGATGAATAAATCATGGTATATTTATGCAAAGGAAAATTACACAGTGATGAAAATGAACAACCTACAGCTACATTTTAAAATGACAAAGTAAAATCTCACAAACAATGTTGAGCAAAACAAGCAAGACACAAAAGAAAACATACTGCAAGAATCCATTTATATAAAGTTCAAAAAGTTAAACTACTGTATTAGAAGTCTGAGATCATGGTTACCTTTGAGTAGAAGGGAGAGAGTACGGGTTGAAAGAGTATGAACAGGGCTCTTGGGTCTATTTCTTGGACCTAGGTAGTACCTACATGAGTGTGATCATTTTGTGATAATTTATTGAGCTGTAAACTTTTGACTTGGACACGTCTCTGTATGCTATGCTGCTATACAAAACTTTTTTTTCTTTTTTTTTTGAGACAGGGTCTTGCTTTGACACCCAGGCTGGAGTGCAGTGGTGATCACGTTTCAGTGATCACGGTTCACTGCAGCCTTGACCTCCTGGGTTCAAGTGATCCTCCTGCCTCGGCCACTGGAGTGGCTGGGGCCACAGGTGCATGCCACCAGGCCTGGCATTTATTATTATTATTTTTAATAGAGATGGGGTCTCCCTATATTGCTCGGGCTGGTCTCGAACTCCTGGGCTAAAGTGACCCTCCAACCTCGGTCTCCCAAAGTGCTGGGATTACAGGCATGAGCCATTGCACCCAGCCTACAAAAGCTTTTTTTTTTTTTTAAAGCTTCTGTTCTTTATCTAACTTTCATGATTATGAAGCCATTCAAATGTTAAGGATAATAACCAGGGAACTCACTAGGTCTCCTTTGTGAGGAAGCAGTGGAGAACTTGTTATTTAATCTTAGTATCAGGAATAGATGTGGCTCTTCTAGCTAATTGGTCTGTTTTCATCACATAGACACTCTGAAATGTTTAAGTGACCAGGTTTTCTTTTGCGTTGGCTGCTAAAAGCCTTAGAGCCAAATCTGAGGCCCACTTACAGGAAAGAGATATTTTTATGGTAAGCATTTTTATAATGGTCTTATTCATGCTTCCATATTATATTTCTACAGTTTTTTTCTTTCCTTTTTCTCCCAAAATTGTAGTTTATTATTTTGTAGCAGTTGCAAATTTCCTTAATTCTATCTGCAACAAGGAAGGGTATTAATAAATAAAAATGCTTTAAAGGTTTTTTTTCCTTTCTTTTCAAAAAGATGCAGTTTGGTTTCCACTCTTTAAATCTGCACAATCTAGCTTTTAATTTTAACAGTAGAAAATTCTACTCTGTTGATTAATTTTCTTTTCATGTTTGTATAAGGTAAGACTGCTTTCTTAGGCCACACGTAAAAAACTGACATTAAAGTTAAACTTCATGTGAGTTATTTTCTGGCAGTCCTGATGAGACTGACTATCTATCTATCTATCTATCTATCTATCTATCTATCTATCTATCTAATCTATCCTATCTATCTATCTATCTATCTATCTATCTATCTATCTATCTATCTATCTATCTATCAGAGTCTCACTCTGCTGCCTGGAGTGCAGTGGCATGATCTCAGCTCACTGCAACCTCCGCCTCACAGGTTCAAGCGATTCTCCTGCCCCAGCCTCCCCAGTAGCTAGGTTACAGGCACACACCACCATGCCTGGCTAATTTTTGTATTTTTAGTAGAGATAGGGGTTTCACCATGTTGGATGGGCTGGTCTCAAACTCCTGACCTCAAGTGATCTGCCTGCTTCAGCCTCCCAAAGTGCTGGGATTATAGGCGTGCGCCCACACCTGGTCAGAATATCATTATTTTTAGTCAAAGCATATGACAGGGAAAGTTAATGTTTGTTGACTGACTTTTACATTAGTTTTAGAAATAAAGTCAATCTATACGTAACTTTCTTGTTTCAGCAACATTAAAGCTTCCTTATAATGAGACATCAAAATTTTAAATGGGAGGTTGCTTTATTTTAATCACAATTTCCTCTGAGAACACCTTTTGAACATAAATAATTCCTGGGGTTCTCAAAAGAATAAAGATTTCTACAACACACTTAATTGTAACTTGTTCTTTCACACTATGGCTATCGATTTAAAAATATTATAATAGGCCAGGTGCAGTGGCTCATGCCTGTAATCCCAGCACTTTGGGAGGCTGAGACGGGCGGATCATGAGGTCAGGAGATCAGGACCATCCTGGCTAACACAGTGAAACCCCGTCTCTACTAAAAAAATACAAAAAATTAGCCAGCCTGGTGGCGGGCGCCTGTAGTCCCAGCTACTCAGAAGGCTGAGGCAGAAGAATGGCATGAACCTGGGAGGCGGAGCTTGCAGTGAGCAGAGATTGCACCACTGCACTCCAGCCTGGCCGACAGAGCGAGACTCCGTCTAAAAAAAAAAATTATAATAAATACACACAAATAGGTAAAGATTATATGTAAGATCCTGAATCCCTCATATGTTATCATGGCTGAAAATTGATATTTACAGGAATGATTCCCCAAATTTCAAAACAAATTAAACTGAGCCACATCTAAGATTTACTGTTTTTGTTTATGTTTTGTTTCTTCTTCATTTAGAATTAACTCTTAGACTGACTACCTCCAGGAGGTATTACCCAAAACATACAGACTTTAACTGAAGGGTGTAATACCAGGAAAGGGTAACGTCTAAACTTTTTCCTGTGAGGTTTAAATTCATCTAGTGGTCAAAATTTCTCTTTCTTCTTCTTTTTAAACAAATAAAGGTTATACTACCCTCTCAAATCTCATCACTGTGAATAAACATTATTTTATAAATAATTCAAAACAAGAAAGATGGTATTCCATTAGTGTTTAGCCAAATATTATCATTAAAACAGAAAATAATAAAGGATAAGAAAATTGACCTCGAGCCACATTAACATATCTCTCTAATCAAAACATACTAAATACTTTAAATTACTCAGTATAGTACTTGGTAAAACTGAAAATTTTGTGAGTTGAATCTCACAGATTCAAGGTAGTACCAGTTTAAAAAGCATTCAGATACTAAGAAATCTGTTAACTGATATTAGGCAAGTATCCTTTTTTGCAATCTCAGTAATACCATCATGAGCGGTAAAAGAAGACAAGAGTAAAAAGACTTCCTTCTGCATGCAACGGTAAATACCACAAATCTATTCTATAGGTATAAGCAAAATTTTAGTTTAGTTAAAGTAACTTTGACATCTATGCAAACTATCAAGAGTTTTTACACCACAATAAAAAAATAAAATATTTGCCATGAAAATATTAATTTATCATTCTAGGTCATGCTAATGAGGTTAAGGGAAATAAATCCCCAATATTAGAACAGAAGATCCTTGCTAAAAAGACAATTTTCAAAAATGTTATTAATTATAACCAATAATTCACAGAAGATATTCAGCATGAAAGTGTCAGTCTTATAACCAGTAATAAAGTGTTGTTACAATACAGAGGAAGGAAGAAAGCAATATGTGAAGATCAAAATTTATCACTTACCTCATGATTCAGCTCTGCTATCTGATCTTTCAGTTCCCCAATATACTGGTTAGAATCAGACTTGTTAAGCTGTCCTTGAAGCTTTCCTTCTTCTTTCTGTTTTGTGACAAAACAACAAAGCAAAAACAAGAGGCAATTTTTCACAGCATGTACTCAAATAGTTCAAGGTATAGGAAAAGCATAGGCACATACCCTTTAATCACCTGAATTCTGAACAAATCCATTCTCAAACTACCTCTGACAAACAATTCATAATGAACTATGCTTTAATTAATTAATTAATTTATTTATTTAGAAACAGAGTTTCGTTCTTGTTGCCCAGGCTGGATGGAGTGCAACGGTGCCATCTCGGCTCACCGCAACCTCTGCCTCCCGGGTTCAAGCAATTCTCTTGCCTCAGCCTCTAGAGTAGCTGGGATTAACAGGCATGTGCCACCACGCCTGGCTAATTTTGTATTTTTAGTAGACACAGGGTTTCTCCATGCTGGTCAGGCTGGTCTCAAACTTCTGACCTCAGGTGTGATTATTTCTTTAAAAATGCTTAATAAAGGTTGTTTATAATAAATATAATTTATAAAATATATCTTTTGAAAGAGTCTCAGAAATCAGTAATTGAATGGATCTACTGATGAAAAAATTACCCTAGAATTTCAAAGTAATTTATCTAGTTATTTTGAGGGCAGATGATTTTCTATTCATACCGTAAGGGATTCAATACTTAGTCAAGAAGATGGCAAGCTTCCCATATTCTTTCATTCTTGGGAATCTGCTTTTGCTTGGGGAACAGAAAAGGGGGGAAAAAAAAGAAAAAGTTGTCCAAATCACTCTAAAAAGGGGAGGACAACTTTGAGTCTCCTCTGGTTAATTAGCTCTCGATGTGGACTGGAAGTCCCAGATACAGCTGATTAAAAGCTGCTTCTGATCCTAAGAGTTTGTTTCAGGTGAGCACTGGGACTATTTTCTAGGGATATAGATTGGTGAAGAGAGGCACTTTTTCTTATACCACCTGAAAACGAACATAAATTATTTTTCAGATAAAGATTTTTTTTTTTTTTTTTGAGATGGACTCTCGCTGTCACCCAGGCTGGAGTGCAATGGCGCGATTTCGGCTCATTGCAACCTCTGCCACCTGGGTTCAAGCAATTCTCCTGCCTCAGCCTCCTGAGTAGCTGGGATTACAGGTGCCCAGCACTGCGCCTGGCTAATTTTTGTATTTTTAGTAGAGACAGGGTTTTGCCATGTTGGCCAGGCTGGTTTCGAACCCCTGACCTCAGGTGATCCGCCCACCTTGGCCTCCCAAAGTGCTGAGATTACAGCGTGAGCCACCATGCCTGGCCTAGATAAAGAACTTATTAAACAGTGAAACTAGAATTGTTTTTGATGTCTCCAGATTATTTATAATTAGGAAGCCATGTGTTGATGCTTAAAATGTTAAGCAGCTCTGATCCGGAGCCATCTACTGAAACTACTGAGTAACTCCTGATACCAAAAGAGTATGGGCTTACTTTTAACAGTTGCCAATCACCCAGTTTCCTTTCATGGAGACAACAATTGTTAACAGTTTTTTGGTGTAGTCTTTCCACGATATTTTACACATATATAATCAAACACACATGAATACATGCACACGTTTATCCATACTACAGACACTATGTATGCTACTCTGTACTTTGCTATTATCTCTCAATAATACAACTTGAAGATCATTCAATATCAGTACATATGGAGCAGAAAGATACACATTCTAACTTTAGAGAGCTTTGAAATTCCTGTAAAAGTTACCTTAGTAATATCCAAGTATTTACAGGTTTTTTTAAAAGCAGGTTTAAAACGTGTCTTACAATTACCTTGAGAGAAATGGGTTGCTGTGAAAAGCATTTGTCAATGTGGAGATTCCTCCCATATTTAAAATCACAGTCAGAAGGGACCTTGAACATCCTCTGACTTAGTCCTCTGACTGGTCAACTCTACCCTCCAACTTCATCCTACATACTGTATACTAACATCATTGGCAGGAAGTACCAAATAGAACTGTTCTAGCAACAGGCCAGGCGCGGTGGCTCATGCCTGTAATCCCAGCACTTCAGGAGGCCGAGGCAGGTGGATCACCTGAGGTCAGGAATTCAAGACCAGCCTGGCCAACATGGTGAAACCCTGTCTCTACTAAAAATACAAACGATTAGCCGGGTGTGGTAGTGTGTGCCTGTAATCCCAGCTACTCAGGAGGCTGAGGCAGGAGAATCGCTTGAACCTGGGAGGCGCAGGTTGCAGTGAGCTGAGATTGCGCCACTGCATTCCAGCCCGAGCAAAAAAAAAAAAAAAAAAAAGAAATGTTCTAGCGACAGAGTGGGTAGCACTCCTATAGGGTCAAGCATCTTTCCAACAACACTGCTGTTCTGTGTTAACTGTCCTCCCTACCCAAATTGTATCTCTAACTACCCTTAGTTTGTTCTTCAACTCCTTTCATCGACTTATTCCTAAAAACTCCCTGTTTTTTGTTTGTTTTGCTTTGTTCTCTTTCTTTTGACAATCTGTCTTAAAAACCTTTTACTAGAATATGGCCTGCTGAAGTGGTTTAGTGTAATTAATATTTGCATAGATATAAAAGCCCAACTACAGCTTCTATAGACTTAAAAATTTTTTCTTATGCAGTCATGTTCCACATAATGATGTTTTGGTCAATGACGGAATGAATACATGATGATGGTCCCATAAGATTATAATAAGAAATTCGTAATGCCTAGTGACATTGTAGTTGTACAATGTCATAGTAAAACACATTACTCGTGTTTGTGGTGGTGCTGGTGTAAAGAAATCTACTGTGCTGCCAGTTGTATAAATGTATGGCATATACAATTATGCACAGTGGATAATAATTGACAATAATAAATGACTATGTTACAGATTTATGTATTTAACATACTATATTTTTTATTATTTTAGTGTATTCTTTTTATTTATACAAGAAAAATTAACTGTAAGCTTCAGCCTGGTCCTACAAGAGATATTCCAGAAGAAAGCATTGTTCTCATAGGAGATGACAGCTCCATGTGTAATACTATTGCCCCTGAAGATCTTCCAGTGGGACAAGATGTAGAGGTAGAAGACAGTGATCCTGATGATCTTGACCCTATGTAAGCAGAGAATAATGTGTGTGCCTGCTTTTTTTTTTTTTTTTTTTTTTTTGAGGCAGAGTGCCCCTCTGTCCAGGCTGGGGTGCAATGGCACAATCTCGGCTCACTGCAACCTCCACCTCCCAAGTTCAAGCGATTCTCGTGCCTCAGCCTTCTGAGTAGCTGGGACTACAGACGCACACCACCATGCCTAGCTAATTTTTATATTTTTATTAGAGACGGGGTTTCACCACATTGGCCAGTCTGGTCTTGAACTCCTGGCCTCAAGTGTTCCGCCCACCCGCCTTGGCCTCCCAAAGTGCTGGGATTTACAGGCGTGAGCCACCACGCTCGGCCATGTGCCTAAGTTTTTAATAAAAAAGTTTAAAGAGTTAAAAAAACAGCTTATAGAATAAAGACACAGAGAAAGAAGATATTTTTGTACAGCCATACAATATATTTAAACTAAGTGTTATTATAAGAGTCAAAAAGTTAAAAAAAATTAAGTTTATAAAGTGAAAAAGTTACACTAAGCTAAGGTTAATTTATTATTGAAGAAAAAGAAAATAAATTTACAGTATAGATTAACTGTACTGTGTTTATAAAGTCTACAGTAGTGTGCAGTAATGTAGGCCATTCACTCACTGACTCACCCAAAGCAACTTTCAGTCCTGCAAGCTCCATTCATGGTACCATGCTCTATACAGGTGTACCATTTTAAATCTTTTATATCATATTTTTACTGTACCTCTTCTATGTTTAGATACACAACTTCTGACCATTGTGTTACAACCGCCTACAGTATTCAGTAGAGTAACATGTTGTATAGGTTTGTAGCCTAGGAGAAATAGGCTATACCATATAGCCTAGGTGAGTAGTAGGCTATACCATCTGGGTTTGTGTAAGCACACTCTATGATTCACACACTGATGACATTGCCTAAGTATGAATTTCTCAGAACATATTCTAGTTAAGCAATGCATAACTGCATATTTACACATACTAATATCAGATACAGTTATCTAAGCCAAAACTGTCTTATTTAACAATTACTATATTCCAAATATGCTAGGCTTCTAAAATATATACAAAATACACCTTATGCTTTTTAGCCACAAGCCCATATTTAGGAAAAATATATATTATTCTTTTGAAAATTTGGTTAGAAATATTAGTTTGACCCAACTGCCAGAGAAAAGGCTGAACTAACAGAATAACTAACAGAGATACTAAGTCAGAGTCCTAATCAAATAATCTCTGAGGCCTTCCCTGTTTTCTCATTTACATGGAACAATAAAGTCTCTTTATTATTTAAACCAGTTTAAAAATAAATTTCTGGCTGGGCGTGGTGGCTTATGACTGTATTCCTAGCACTTTCAGAGGCCAAGGTGGAAGACTGCTTGAGCCCACGAGTTCAAAACCAGCCTGGGCAACATGGCAAGACCCTGTCTCTACAAAAACATTAAAAAAAATTAGCTGGGCATGGTGATGGGCACCTGTGGTCCCAGCTACCAGGGAGGGTAAGGCGGGCGGATTGCTTGAGTCTGTGAGGTTGAAGCTGCAGTGAGTTGTGTTCATGTCGCTACACTCCAGCCTGGGAGACAGCAAAAACCTATCTTAAAAAAAAAAAAAAAGGAAAAAAGAAAAAGAAAAAAATACAGATTTTTGCCACTTGCAACCAAAATAATAATAGCTATTATATATTGAACAGGTACAACACTTATGAGCCCTTCTCATTTGAGATTCCCAAAGGATTAAGCCCTAACGTCTAAAGCATCATTGTATGTGTATGATTTCATGCCTGTGCATCTAGAGTACTACCAGGTACCATCCTTGGAAGAACTGAGAAAATACAGTTGACCCATAACATGGCTTTGAACTGTGCAGGTCCACAAATATGTGGACTTTCGTCTGCCTCTGCCACCCTGAGACAGCAAGACAACCCCTTCTCTTCCTCCTCCTCCTCAGCCTAATCAATGTGAAGATAAGAATGAAGACTGTCGCCATGATCCACTTCCATTTAATGAATAATATATTTTCTCTTCCTTATGATTTTCTTAATAACATTTTCTTTTTTCTAGCTTATTTTAAGAATACAGTCTATGATGCATGTAACATACGAAATGTGTTCATCAACTGTTTATGTTATCAATAAGGCTTCTAGTCAAAAGTAAGCTCTTAGTAGTTAAGTTTTGGGGGAGTCAAAAGTTATACATAGATTTTCCACTGTGCAGGGATCAGCACCCTTAATCCCTGTGTTGTTCAGGAGTCAATGTAGTTTACTCAAACCATTTTCTGTAGAGTTTAATTCTCTTGTGGAGCTCTGGTGGAGAAATACTGGCACTTATAATGTGCCAGGAGTTTTCTAAGCTGCTTATGTGTAATCATCACAATGATCCTGTGTGACAGGTAATATTATTATTCCTACTTCATAGATGAGGAAACGTAAATGAAAGATTGAGTGAACTGGTTGCCTAAGAGTCATACAGATGGTCAATACATTTTTCACCTTAATTTATAGCATTCTGAACATGAGAAACAATTAAGCAGATAGAGATTTATGCAAAGAATCAAGCAAATTTTCTTTCTTGGATTTGTTACAAAAGTCTATGTATTTACTTTAATATTTATTTTAGCCTCTGATAATTTAAATGGGAACTACAATATATAAAGAATTGAAGATGAAATGCTACAGCTACTTGCATTAACGGCACTAAGCTAATGACTCATATTAAACACACAAGCTGTCCAATACCATTTACATGCGCTTATGTCTGCCTCTTGTTTTTAATCACCCATTTTTAAAATGAAATATTTTGGGCCAGGCGCGGTGGCTCATGCCTGAAATCCCAGCACTTTGGGAGGCCGAGGCAGGCGGATCACGAGGTCAAGAGATCGAGACCATCCTGGCCAACATGGTGAAACGCTGTCTCTACTAAAAATACAAAAACTAGCCAGGCATGGTGGCAGGCGCCTGTAATCCCAGCTACTCAGGAGGTTGACGCAGGAGAATCGCTTGAACCCGGGAGGTGGAGGTTGCAGTGAGCCGAGATTGCGCCACTGCACTCCAGCCTGGCGATGGAGGGAGACTCCATCTCAAAAAAAAAAAAAAAAAAAAAAAAAGAAATATTTCAAAGGCACAGAATAAGAACAAAAGAGTAATATAAGAAAGATAAACTCACCATTAAAATTCAGTCTGTTTCATAACTATCTCACCCTAAGATTTTCCTTGGCTCTGGACTTACTCCATTGTCAGTTCTGTCTGTATACCCTCAAAGTGGAAAAGGATGACATCAAACAGAGAATAAGAGAGTGAGTGAAACAGGAAGAATGTAGAAATAAGGGGAAAAAAAACACGAGGAAGAATGCTCATTCATATAAAAGAAACAAAATCATTATTCTCATAGGAGGTATTCTCCAAATCCCATATGTGACATAAGAAGTGTCTGAGTAAGCATGTCAGTAAACTGATATACTTCCAAGGGGGACTAATTTGATAAGAATCACCCATTTGGATACATATGCTCAGCTGTCCTTTTAGGTGTTTTTTTTTTTTTTTGGCGGGAGCGAGGGCAGGGGGGGCCTAATTTTGGTATGAGGTCATACTCACTCCCTTGGTTGGTTAGATGAAAAGTGAAATCCACTACTAGGAAGAAACCCGTCTGGATGAGATAGAAAGGTTAGATGTTTGCAATATGGAATCCAACTTGGAGAAAAGTATCTTTGAATCTCGTCCTTAATAAAGGTAAAGTTCTTGAGGATTTTGGACATCTCATAGCAATAATATGTGGGATAATATAATATTTTCAGGGCAAATAAGATGACAAAGGCCAAGGTAACCTCTAACATTGTAAGAGAGAAGTTCAAGAATGCAGAAAGACTTTAGGTTTGAAAGGCTGTAGAATGACTAGTAACAATAATTAACACCAATTCTTTCCTCCAGAGAAACTTGCAATGAAAAAAAATTCTGGTAAAACAAAAATCATTAAAGTTGTTATACAAAAGCTACCAAGTGACTCCAAAGATGTTTTTTCCAAAGGTGGGTCTTAGTAGGGTCTAGCTAAAAACTTTGTAATAGCACTTTGATTTCTTTGGAGGAAAGATAGCATTTGATGAAAAACAGTGAAGCTAAGAAATTTTACAACAATAAAGATGGATAAAACAGGGAAGCTAAGAAACTTTATGATAAAACAGATGGAATATTTTTAACTTTAAAAGTGTTTCTTGAACTTCTATTCACTGTGGAAAAAAGAATTTCAAAAAGGAAAACTATATTTTTTATTAAATCCAATTATATAGTTGTCTTATTTAGATTTAAATAAAATTTAATAAAGCTTAATGTTGGGTTTCTTCCGCAAAACTTTTACAAACAAAAAGTTGGACTATAATGACCATTAAGTCATTGCTTCTGTGGTGAGGCACACATACATAAACACATGCACACACACTCAGAAAACAACTTCTAAGGCACACTAGATAAACTGAGGAAAGAGAAAGGGTGATTAAGCAGCTCCAGGCTATGGCAGTAACCCCTGGGCAAGAAAATTACTATCTCAGCTTATTTGTCACACATTAGTGGCACACCAGTGTGACGGACCAGTTAGAAAGCTCTGAATGGGATATTCTGATTCAACAGTCTGCCTTAAGGAAATATAGCTGACATTCCAAAAACAGAAGTAAAAAGTGAGATGTCCTAAATGCTATTTAATAAATTAAAATGTATCAATAACCATTTATCAAAAGTCTGTGATTTTTATGTTCTACATTTTATGCTCTCATTTAAACTTGTTAATTCAAAGCCTTTTAGGATCCTCTTTAAAAGTTAAAACAGGGTAACTATATTTACAATACCAAAAGACATAGCAATGAATTACTATATTCTAAGTGGGTATCAATTTAATTTTAGTTCTGGGACAGTTCATTCAATTATCTAATGTTTACAATTTTTTCCTAAGTATTTTTATAACTTTCTATTTTCAAACAGTGTCCACATGGTTGTTTCTGATAAGCAGGTGGGAAAATGTCAACTACACTAATAAATTTACCAGAAACCTGCATTTTCTTGAGGTTTTCTTTTGGTCTAGCTGATAACAACAGATTGCCAGTTAACTGGTTTCCTAAGTAAAACTAATTAGGTAAGTAACAAACTTAAAGAAAAAGACGCCCAACATATCAACAACTTTGGTATTCCGTACTTTCACTGAAGAGACCTTAAATACATACGTTTTGTCATATACCACAAATGAAACTTTATAAAGAGGGCATAACATAACATGTGTAAAAGGTGTAAATGCATATTTCACTCTTGGTTCTATCTTTGAATAATTCTTTCAGAAATTACCATTACAACGTCCATACAAATCTGATTCATATTAAGGCCTTAAGCCAAGAGAGCTTTGTATGTATGAGGTTCTTAATCAAATGGTCATCAATAACTCAATTAATGATATGCATATTTAAGTGTTTAGGGGTAAAGTATAACAAAGTAACTTTGAAGTGCATTAAAAAATAAGATCCCTACAATGGAAGATGAACAGCTGATAAAGCAACAGAAAAAGAAAATATACCAAAATATTAATAGAGTGGAGATAGTGGGTTTATAGGTGTTCACTGTACAATTCTTTCAAATTCTATGTTTGAAATTTTTCACAGTAAAATACTGGGAGGAAAAGTTATTGATGAAAAACAATTCATCCCCTCTTTCCTCCTATCATCTGCTAAAAAGTAAACACTGGTCTACACTGCACTTCATTTACATATATGAAAAGATATAAGTCCCCCAAAGATTACTTTAGAGTAGGCTCCGTTAGTTTATCCCTTTAATATTTTACAGTAGGTTTTGTGATTATTACTTCAAGATCTATATGCTCTCCCCCATTATGTAGTGGTGATAGGATTGGAATGATACCACCCTAACTCCATGGGTAGGATCTGACTGGTCAAGTCTAAACCAAACAGGATAACCATATCTGTTTTGTACAGTGATGGGTTCGGGGGTGTTCAAATAGTGTGACTCACAACTTTTGCTGGTAATTATAGAGTACAGCTTCTTATTCTGGACACTATGATATATGAATATAAAGCTCATCTGTTAGCCATTTTAATATAATGAGGAAAACCTCCTGAGGATAGAAATGACAAAAACAGCAGAGCCTTCAGAATCATGATTAGTTGCAAGTTGGAGCCCAAATCAAACTTTTTCTGAAGCATATTCTACTTCTAGACTTTTTAGCTATATAAGCCAATAAATCCCCTTTATTACTTAAGCCAGTTTGAACTGGATATTCTATTATCTGCAACAAAAACATACTACCTAATAAATATTTTTTAAATGGCTAAGGAAATGAATATAGTAATATGAACAACATACCCTAGAAAATATTTAAAACAGTGATCCCCAAAGATAATTAGAGAAGTATCACTTTAGGAGTTTTACAAACATACAGATTAAGGAAACTCACCCCGACCTCCTAATTCTAAATATCTAGGAACAGGACTTGAAAATAAGTGTATTTTGAAAGCTACACAAAGAGTGATTCTGACACAGCCAGTGACCTACATTTGAAGTGTACTGGTTTGAATAACCTTTGAAAATTAACTATTTTTTAAAACATAAATTCAAAATTCTATGTATATGCTAATAATAAATGCTTTTATCCTATTTCCTGAGGATCTCAAATATTATTTTATAAGTTTAATCTCATTACAGATTTTTAGTATAGGTTTACATATAACAAAGAGATAAATATTTCCTTTAACTACCCCCACCATGGTAAATGTGGCCATGACCAAGGCTCACACACTTATTTACAAATGGTCTCCACATTTCCAGAGTGAATATATCTAAAAACAAAAATAGAGGAAAACTGTCAAGGGTCCTTAAATTAATTTCTTTCAATTCTGCTATCAGTTTCACTTCACATTATTTCCATGTTAGTTTTCAGCTGGTCAGTTCCCTGTCTACAGAGGTTGGTTCAATTTTGAACTCAAATCCCCTTCTTGGTTAACCCAGCTCTCAAGCAGAAAATATTATTTTAAAGTTTAGTAACATATGATGATGAACTAAATAAAATATTTAGGATCTGAGAAAATTCCACATATATGACTTCCATCACTGAAAACTAAGATAATCATTCTAAGGAACAAAGAAAACCCAAACATTTGGGGACCAGCAAAATAATTCTTTTAGCACTCAAAAGTGTTGTATCTGTAAAGAGACCATGGCAATAAATATGGAAACAATGAATCTTATTTTCTAACCTATATATTATATAGGTAATAGTAAAAAGCTGTGTTTTCTAATATAACACATAAGAGTATGTAGAAGAATATTGTACCAAGAGCAGTAATTCTGGTGTTTGATTACCTGGATTGTTTGATAACGACCTACGCACACACATTCACTTGTTTTATCCCTGCAATCATGGAGAGCTGTAATTAGAGAAAGGATGAAGACAAGATGGAATGTGCCCAGGATGTGTCACATATTCTGTTTGTTGAAAAATCAGTAAATGCTGCAATCCACAGGAAAATAAAAAGTGAATATGTATTTGTGCAATGTGTATATGGCCACAGTAGAAAGTGGGCATTTTATTCAGAGGTGTCTTCACCTGTATCAGCTGCACTACAACATACCACTTAAAAAGTTGAACAATTAAATGTGATGGTGCATCAACCTAAGAGATTGAAGAGAAAATGAGAAAGGTTTTCTCTACAGTTCTAAGTAGCATGGTTTTAACATGTTATAGTGCAGCAAAACTGAGACGAATAGAATGTCAAGTTGCTTTGAGCAAGTGTTTGGGATAAAGGTGGGGTTTAGTAGTGTATAATATTGAAAAACACTGGGGAGGTAAGAGAAAGAAAAGAAGTGGATCTCAAGCATGTTTAAATCCATACATTTAGTCAGGCTCATTTTTAAAGAGAAGTTGTAAAGGGTATCCTTAAGAGTCCATTCTTGTTTTTTAATCTGTTTGTGCTTGTTTTTCTATAAACAGAGTGGGGGAACATTTTAAAACATACAATAAACTGTTTATAAATAAATCTATACATAATTTATAAGGTCCTAAAAATGAATTTTTAAAAATCTGTGTTTTTAACATTGGTTATAACTTACCCTATCTTGGAAACTTTCTTAGGTAGGAAGACAGCAGATTTTAAAAGCTATGTTTCGAGCCATAGGTTTTAAAATACACTACACAATTGGACAGGTTGCTTACAAGTTGTGATTTTATTTTTTGAGCATTTAATCAGTTAACACCTAGTTAGTGTATCAGATGCATAACTGAAGTAGTAGAAAGTGCCCCAGACTAGGAGGCAAATATAAAAGCATCGAGTCCATTATTTTACAACTTACAAAATTTTCCCCTAGTTTTCAAACTTTTCAAATCTATAGAAGAGCAGAAATAATAGTACAATGACACCCATATACCCTTCAGCTATATTCACCAATTACCATTTTGCTACGTGGGCTTTCGTTCTTTTGCTCTCTATGTGTACATATGTGTGCACACACACAGATTTTTTTCCTGAACCACTGGAATGTAAATTGCAGGTGTCATGACATTTTACTACCGTATATTTCATCATGCATCCTCTAAGAATAAAGAACTGCCCTATGTAACCAAATGTCATCATAACACTTAAATTTACAGTAAGTCCATAATATCACTGAAGATAGTTTTTTTTCAGATTTCCCCAAAATGACTCAAAATATTTTATAACTGCCCATAATCAAACCAAGGTTCATGGTTACATTTTGTTATTATATCCCTTTAGCCTCTTTTAATCTACAAGAGTCCCTGTGCCTTTTTTTTTTTTTTTTTTTTTTTTTTCTGAGACAGAGTCTCACCCTGTTGCATAGTCTAGAGTGCAGTGGCATGATCCTGGTTAACTGCAATCTCTGCTTCCTGGGTTCAAGCGATTCTCATGCCTCCCGAGTAGCTGGAAGTACAGGCATGCACCAGCACACTTGGTTAATTTTTGTATTTTTAGCAGAGACAGGGTTTCACCATGTTGGCCGGGCTGGTCTCAAATTCCTGACCTCAAGTGATCCACTCACTTCAGCCTCCCAAAGTGCTGGGATTACAGGCATAATCCCAGCCACCTTGCCTGACCTTATGCATTTTAGAATTTTTATCATATTGTTAATTTTTTGGAAGAGTCCAAGTCTGTAGATTGTATATTATCTAAGCTGAAACAGAAACATTTTCCATTCCAACATTATTCCAAATAAAATACTGTTTTTATTCCTTGTTCCCAAACCAAATAGGCAGCAGAGTAAACTAATACAATGCATATTTAAGGGTTGGGTAAATCAAAGGATTAAGTATAGAAGACATGGGCACTAAAACTTAAATATCTGAAGTGAAGGACTCAGAAAACATAGGAACAGTGCTAAAAGACACTGGTAAATATGTATGACATGTATTCTACCTTAGAGTCATATGTATGATATTATGTATACATGTCCTACACATATGTATGTCATGTGTACATATGTATATTAGTTAACATACATATTTTGTATATGTACATTAAAAGTTAAACATAATATTGGCAGTTACAATTTTTAAATTTTTTTGCCTTATGTTAAACACAAGTATTGGTAGTTATAATTTTTAAATTTTTTGCCTCTTATTAAGAGACTAACCTATAGATTTAACCTTTCAGTGCTATGAAGTCCAAAGAATTCTCTCCATATTTAACATGACTTTATTTTTAAATTTTTACTAAAATATAAGTAAAATTATTAAGAAGAATATTGATAAAATGTATCAAGAGAGATAGCTAACAGGGGTAGAGTAAAAAGGTCAAATACAAAATACTGGTAGGCAAGTAACTGAATAATTTTTAGAGCAGCATTCCTACTAGAATGTCTGGTACAGAAGTGGCTTTTGAATGGCTGATTTTTACATACAAATTTACCTGTAGTTTAAGACATCTGACAGACTGCTAGCCCACTGATTCTGGTTCCTAGTTCTGTCTATATCGCTGGGCAAATACAAGAGTGATATGTATTCTCCCAGTTAAAAATAAGAATCTGAGCCCTTTGATACAACTCTTAATGGCTGAGCCTCTTGTCAATCTTACATTTTCATTGTCATCTTTGGTAGTTCAATGATAACCACTGGAATATTCACTGGAATAACATGGGGAGCATTTAAAACTTGTCAGAAACCTGGAATTCCCTTTGTAGCTTTGGGGCTAGGATTGCCAGTAATGTCCAAAGCATGAAAATAAGTGCTGAGTGCCACAAAAGGACATGAAAAAAACCTTGTAAGATACTTAAGACTTCAGAATATACTGAGAAAATGGCATTATCTCTATAACAGGGTGAGAGAACTCTAGGCCATACTCTTGCCAAGTCCAAATCAGCCTCTATACATGTTAGTCTACCAGTTCAGCAGAAGGGCCCCAATATAATTCCCTTTAAGGAACAAAGGCTTCCCTTTTCACCCCATGAAGCTTCTCCTGTTCTGTCAGGCATAGGCAGACTTAGGCTTGCTCATCTTCCCCAGGATCCTGCCCATTTCTCCTCCTCCCTTAATTTTCACTTCAGAATATGCTGGTCTGATTTGAAATATAAATTTAAGGGAT
This sequence comes from Homo sapiens, assembly GCF_000001405.40. Classification (NCBI taxonomy): domain Eukaryota; kingdom Metazoa; phylum Chordata; class Mammalia; order Primates; family Hominidae; genus Homo; species Homo sapiens. Next base: position 92,577,351 of record NC_000001.11, read on the forward strand.
TAGCTCACACCACTTGTAGGGACTGGCAGCCTGGAAGTTTTTGTACGGCTTGCCGGCAGGGCAGAAGTCCAGGAAATCCAGGTCAGACTTGATGCTGCAGGGTAGCATCAGTAGGGCGGGCCAGCAGGCTGTCTTGAGGAAAGCTGGTTAGTGAATGCTTCATAAGTTTTCATCTGAACCAAAGCCGGTTCCTAAGATGCCTTCTTCAAACTGTTGGGATCACTTTAAATACACAACAAAGCCTTTCAGCCTGTTCTATCATTTGTCTCTTTGCAAAAAATATTTTATAGAGTAGGTGGATGACTTTAAATTCTGGGAAAGCATAGGGTTAGTCACAAAGAAACCTCTAACAAAGGGAGGATCTGCCATAAAAGGAAAGCATCAAATATCCACTCATTAAGCTTCATTTTGCTCATGAGACATTGCTCACACAGCTGGAAAATTCTGTAGCTGAAGAAAATGTGATTCATCTTCTAGACAGATATTTTAATATCTTCATATTCCACGGCATGGGATTATCTCAGTGAAAGTTTTAGACCCATTTTTGCTTTCTGGCTTTGTTGTTGTTTTTTTGTTTGTTTTGGATACCATAAACTCTAAACAGATGCTTTTGTTTAGTGCAAGGTAGCTTTTGTCTTTTCCCTGTAAGGAAAGGCGCTATGGTGCTATATTTCATTTACTAGTGATAAACACTGTCATGCTAGATTAAGTTAAGATTCTGACAAGTCTTTTGGGTGGTGGTGCACTGCATACCATGACTTTTAAAGAATTAGTTTGAAAAGCCCTTTCTGGATCCATGTGAACGCTATTTCATCTTTCTGTCATTCTACTAATCCACATTGTTATTTCTCTAGATGCTCTTCTCCCAGCTTGATGACTATTATGGTCTAGAACTATTACCCCCATATGGTGGATTCTTGTCACCATTTCTTTCTTTTAGCAAAACTAAAGTGTGGAGAAATTCTGGAATGAAAAATTAATACTAAATCCTCTTTTTTTTGGCATGGCCTCTTTACCTGTGTGTATCCTCATAGGTGGCTTGAACTGAACATAGCCTGGGCCTGGCCCCAAAAGCACTAGAGATTTAAAATGGACGGCCGGGCGCCTGTAATCTCAGCACTATGGGAGGCTGAGGCGGGCGGATTACGAGGTCAGGAGATCGAGACCATCCTGGCTAACACGGTGAAACCCCGTATCTACTAAACAAAATACAAAAAATTAGCTGGGCGTGGTGGCGGGTGCCTGTAGTCCCAGCTACTCGGGAGGCTGAGGCAGGAGAATGGCGTGAACCCGGAAGGCAGAGCTTCCAGTGAGCTGAGATCGCGCCACTGCACTCCAGCCTGGGAGACAGAGCAAGACTCTGTCTAAAAAAAAAAAAAAAAGAAAAGAAAATGGACTCAGTGGTTAAGTAACTTATCAAGGACCACATGACTAGCCAGGAAAAAGCAAGGAGTAGAAGCCAGGTTTCACTCTTAGTCCCATTCTCTTTATATCATTATAAATGGCTCCAATATAAACCATGGTTTTGTTTGTTTGTTTTTAAATAGAGACCAAGTCTTGCTACATTGCCCAGGTTGGTCTCAAACTCTTGGGCTCAAGTGATCCTCCTGCCTCAGTCTCGCAAAGTGCTGGTATTACAGGTGTGAGTCATCATACCCAGCCTAAACCTAAAATCAGGATTTTGATTTGAGACAGATCATAGCAGGACATGTGCTAGAATTGTTTTTCTAAAAATGCAGTACTTATTTTATGTTATTCATGTATCTTTTCTTGAGCCCTCTGTAAAGAGTGATATCAAGTCAAAGTTGGGAAGCAAAGCTGTCAAAGTTTCTCGTGTATCTTCTGTAGCATTGGATGATCAGATGGCTCCTAAATATTCATCTTATTAATAAACCATTCCCTTCCCTAGTCTGTCTGAATGGCCTATGAAGAGTTTATTTTGCCAAAAAATATTTAAATCAACTGATCAGACTATTAGTGTATTCAAATTTAATAAGAGAGCCAATGGAAGGAGGCCAGTGTGGAAAACCAGATTATAATTACTTACGAATCCCTTCTCATATGAAGTCAAGGGAGACCAAGGTACAAAAAATAAAACAAAGATAAATCAAAGACAGCCTATAAAAAATATCAATGGTATTTTATATATTTCACGGAAATAATATACTATAAAATTAATTTCCTTTTTCAGCAATTTTAATGTGATGGTTTGGTTTTACTGTGACTAATACAGTTATTAATAGCCATTTTTCCCCTCTGTATACATTTCTCCATTACTATTTATTACTTTTAGCTTATAAATGGGAGTTCACCTTTTGTATAGAAAGATCTAAATGTTTGAGGGGAAAAAACTAGAAAAAATAGTTTTAACTAAAAAACAAAAGAAAGATATGAGCTCTCAAACTCCTGGGTTCAAGTGATCCACCCGTCTTGGCCTCCCAAAGTGCTGAGATTACAGGTGTGAGCCCCCGTGCCCAACCTAAATTATTTAACTTAAACGGTCGCTTGTGATTAATAAACAAAGTAGAAATGTATTATAGTTTGTACTATCTATTTTACAAATGATAATACTGAATCTTCAAGCTTCTCTTTAACCTTTCATTGTGAATAAACAATGACTCAGGGAGAAGGAACATTTAGAATAATAATCATATATGTATTATTAAAGTAGAAACAATGAAACCTTCAGAATGACAATGTATTTTTGTTGGAATTTTGTATCTATCATTATCGCTATACACTTATCTGATCAAGCTAAAGAAAACCCATGAGGCTAATGCTTGAACAAGAATGGCATTTAAAATTAATTTATATGTAAACATTTTTTTCAGCAAAATTCTAGAAGTTTGTCCATTTTAGAGTCATTCTTTCCTGTTTAATCCAAAAATCAAATTCCACCCAGCAAGGACTGCTATTCCAATAATGTTGTAATCTTTTGCAATTGTCTGCTAGTGATCCTGATTCATATATTGCATTCATAACAACCAAAAATAAAAGAATATTTAATTAACACTAGGCATTCTAAAAGCTTCAAAGCTTAAGTAATAAATTTTAAAAACCAATCAATGATAGTTAAAGTAAGGGGTTCTCAATTTTACATATTTTGTTAAGCTTTATTGTACAGACTAAAATTTTGGTTTTGTAGGCTCAGTATTACTAAGTTGCTTATTGTATTTAGTAGTTTCTTGTATCACCTCTTGTAAGTATCCAATTCGTTCATCACCAAAGTCATTAGGTTTTTCTTCTGAGAGGGAGGTGCCAAAACATGCTTTTTCAGTTGAATTTTGTGTTTTATCTTGCTTGCCATAACATTGCTGCATACACCTTCCATTCCTGCAAATACACTGAGCCTTGTCAGAACCAACAGTCTTATGTCTCCTAAATTAGTCCTTCATGCACTGGTTGCCCAGGGCTTTGATGTCTGGGGGCAGAACCAGGTGCAGCTGCAAGATATGTCTATACAAGGCCTGGACACAGCACTCTGTGGGTGGACTACCAGCCACTTGTTCAAAGGGCTATCTTATCTTTCAATCTGTTAATTTTATTGAATTAATGTTAAGTTGTTTTACAGTGTGAAGCAACTGTAATTCTTCTTATCCTTGAATTACCTTTCTTCTTGGTTGGGATTTTTGGTTTTGTGAATGGTATTTCTTTCTGCTAAATAATAATCAATAATAATTAATAAATAATATAAACTAAATTGTTGTGCTATTTCTTTTCACCATGTTCATGGCTAGGTGATTGTCCACATATTCCAAGTACGCTAATGATATGGATGACACTAACTATCTCTCCACCATATTTGAGATCTATTTCCTTTGCCTTCCAAGCTCAAGCTTGTTCTCACTTTTCTATAGTCTCAGGAAAATGCACAGTGAAAGAAAAAACCTAGCTAAACAAGGGCTCTTCTTACTCTTCTGAGATTTTGTTAAATATCTTGTACTACCTAGTTGGGGGAATATATCACAAAACCTGAGTTTTAGGATTCAGATCATTTCCCATATTCAGTGTGTTGCCCTAGGGCCTTCACTTAAGAGTGAGGTGTCACTTTTCTGATCTCTTTCACTTGGTTATCCTTTGCAGAAGTTTCTACCACTCCTCAGTCAGAAGATTACATACTCATTTTCCTTCTCTCCACATGTGAGATATAAATGAATTCTCCTGGGATTTTGCTGACTTACACAGCCTGGAAATGGGATAGATAGTCAAGGTTAGAAGCCAAGCCCTGGCAGGCCTCTCTGCTCTACCACTGTCTGCTTCTTTTGTTAGCTGTCACTTTTTAAAGTTTATTGCATTAGGTTATGTTCCTTTTCCTCTCAGGTTTATTGGGCAAGTTTTTGCTTAAAAAAAAAAAAACTATTTACTATTTTGTTAGATAGTTGGGGTAGGTAATTCTGGGAGTTTCAAGCCATCTTTGGTGCAACATTTATTTAAATAAAGTATGTAAAGGAATCTTTACACAGAAAGTACTTAAAACCTGCTACCTGCTCTTATGGCATAGAAGGTCAATACATGACTATTTTCTCCCTCCTAAAATTCATTCAGCAACTATTTGTTGAGCACCTGTGATATGCCAGGCACCAGGCATACAGCAGTAAATAAGACAAACAAGGTTCTAATGTAGTCACGACTCGCTTAACAATGGGGATACATTCTGAGAAATGTGTTGTTAGGGGATTTCATCGTTGTGTGAACACCGTAGGGTGTATTTACACAAACTTAAATGGTAGTGCCCACTATACATTTAGACTATACAGTATAGCCTACTGTTCCTGGGCTACAAATATGTACAGCATGTTACCGTATGGAATACTGTAGGCAACTGTAACACAGTGGTTAAGTATTTGTGTGTCTAAATATTTAAACATAGAAAAGGTACAGAACACATACTGTCTCATAATCTTATGGGACCCAGATGATATATGTGGTCCATCGTTGACTGAAACATCATGGGGTGTGAGAGTTAATTTTTAAAGTAAAAATAATTTCAGGCACTGACAAGAGCCATAAAGAATATAAGACATGATAATGAGACACAGTAACAATGTGAGGGGCCTACTTTACAAAGGTGGTCAGGCAGTGACTTATATCTAGGCTGAGATTTAAATGATGAGAAGGTATCAGTCATGGGAAGATTAGGGAGCACAGAATTGCAATCATAAAAAAGAGCACAAGCAAAAGCCTTAATGTAGGAATGAAAGAGCTTGATTCAAGAAAAAAAAAGGAGGTGAGTAGTTGCTAGAACTAACTGGTGAAGGAGAATGCCATTTAAAATGGGTCAGAGAAATGGGCAGGAGCCAGACAACACTCAGGGACTTTAAGGCCAGAAAAAAAGGTGGCCCTTTTGCTTGGTAGCCCAAGTTTCCTTTGTTACTTTTTCCCTATAATTATCTGGAAGTTCTAGTTCTTATTTCCTTTCTAGCAACAGTTACTTTAAATGTCATTTAAATATACATAAAATATTATAATGATAATCATATAAATTCATAAAGAATAAAAAGTGAACTCATATCCTCTACTCTTTTGCACCAAGCCCTTTACTATCTCCTGAAGGAATATTTCAACAGTTTTGACAGGATCACTGCAGCCAATTTCAATGCATTTAAGTACATATGCATGTAACATATATACATATTAACATGCACATGTACTTAATATATATAAATACAATACATATACTCACAAATGCTTTTTAATACATACAAATGGGAATATATATTCTGCTTATAATTTGCTTTTTTCACCTAGTATGTCTTGTAGATCTTTATTCTTTCTGAAAGACGCAGAATATTCCAGAGTATAAATATACTATAGTGTAACCATTCTCCTACTGATGGGTAGTTACTATTTTTTCTAAATATTAAAAATAACCTTGGGGTCAGGCGCGGTGGCTCATGCCTGTAATCCCAGCACTCTGGGAGGCTGAGGTGGGTGGATCACTTGAGGTCAGAAGTTTTGAGACCAGCCTGGCCAACATGGTGAAACTCCATCTCTACTAAAAATACAAAAAATTAGCTGGGCATGGTGGCACGTGCCTGTAATCCCAGCTACTTGAGAGGCTGAGGCAGGAGAATCGCTTGAACCTGGGAGGCGGAGGTTGCGGTAAGCCGAGATCACGCTACTGTGCTCCAGCCTGGGCGACAGAGTGAGGCTCTGTCTCAAAAAAAAAAAAAAAAAAAAAAAAAAATTAGATTTTTCATCCACCTTCATCAGTTACATAAAGAATACAAAGAAATCTAAAATAGAAGGAAAAAATCAGAATAGGAATAAAATTTTTAAAAAGATGGCTTATTTAAATTTGCAATTATTTTCTAGTATTGTACTGGCCAATGGTATTAGAAGTATAAGCTACTGGAAGTACCAATGCCTTCTCTCTCTCTCTCTTTTTTTTTTTTTTTACATTCTTTCCAGATATCTAATATAACAAACTGAAACTTATAATTAGTTATTAAATTTTCACATATTAACTTTAGGATAGGAAACCACTACTTAATATATTTTAACATTTTACTCCTGGCTATTAACATTTACAACATGGGTTACAAATAGGTATCATACCTCTAAAGGAAGTAACAGAAACAATTAGTAATCTCTCTCTGTTCTTTTTCATAGAGATTTCAAAATAAATCTAAGGTTATGCATAGGATGTGGGTTTTTCTCCGGGAGTAGTATTACAGAAGGTTTGTGGTATTAGAAGGGTCATGACACAATGCAAGTTGCTTAGTCTCAAACACAAGCGTAAAGCTTTCATTTTAAGAATATTTTATATTATACCCACAGATGAAAAATCTAACAAAAAGAGACACGGTGGTACATAAAGATATATTCAAGTGCTCTCTCTTTCGTAAAAAATCAAACCTTTTTAGAGACAATTTAAAAAGCAATCTCTTGATTGTTTAAAAGGTTAAATAATGCTTTTTTTTTTCCAGGCTTTATTATGAAACTATGTTCAACGGTCACAGAGGCAACCACATTAACTTGCAGCATGGATACAAATTTTAAGTTCTACATTGATATTTTCAACGCACATATGAAGCAAAATGTCTTAAGCAAATTATTACTGCATATGAAATTACTATAGTAGAAGAAAACCCAATAATTTGAGTAAATCTGTAACACTTGGTAAGTAATCACTCTGATTAATCAACATCACCTTACTGAAATATCAATAGCAACCACTAGGCTTTAGTAGGTTATTACTGATTTGTACTTTGCCAAAAGAAAAATTAATCAGAATGGTAAATGTGGTAAGCGGTAGCCTCTCCATGACTTCAAGGTGACTCATTTGAAACTTCTAAAAACAAATCATACTCATATCATGTACTACTGATAAGTTTTTGAAACAGTTTCCTGTAATTTAAAGTCATGGACAAAGGTTTGAATATTCTTCTTAGTAATTAGAAAAAGTAAAAGTACACATAAATGTCTTTTAAAAACCAATAATGAAATCTGAAAAATATATAAGGGATAAAAGAAATCAAATATTTGGCTAGTATTTTTCAGTATTAAGACTGATTTAATTCCATTTCAGAAGAGAAATATACATATACACAGGACTAGCTAAAGGCACAGTTTAAAAATACCAGCCCAAGGCCGGGTGTGGTGGCTCACACCCATAATCTCAGCACTTTGGGAGGCCGAGGTGAGCAGATCACCTGAGGTCAGGTGTTCGAGACCAGTTTGGCCAACGTGGTGAAACCCCATCTCTATTGAAAATTTAAAAATTAGCCAGGTGTGGTAGCAGTCACCTGTAATCCCAGCTACTCAGGAGGCTGAGGCAGGAGAATTGCTTGAACCAGAAGGCTGAGGTTGCAGTGAGCCGAGATTGCACCATTGCACTCTAGCCTAAGAGACAGAGTGAGACTCCATCTCAAAAAAAAAAAAAAATCAGCCCAGTGCTTTGCAGGGCTGAGTCAGGATTATTTGAGGCCAGAAGCTCAAGATCAGCCTGAGCAACATAGCAAGACCCCATCTGTACAAAAAATTTAAAAATTAGCAGGGCATGGTGGGGTGTGCCTGTATTGCTAGCTACTAGGGAGGCTTAGGTAGAACTGCTTGATCCCAGGAGTTCAAAGCTGTAGTACGCTGTGATTGCACCACTGAACTCTGTCCTGGGCAACAGAGCAAGACACTCTCCCTCTCTTAAAACAAGTCAGCATTCACACAAGGTCTAAAAGGTAGAAAATATTCCTCATAAATCATAATTTAATTGGAAACAAATCAATTTTGTGACCAATACTTAAAATTTGATATAATTCCAATGGCTCCTAAAAACTATGGACTCACAAACTAGTTTTAAAAAAAATTAGATACTTTTTAGAAAAGTTTTAAATTTACAGAAAAATTGAGAAGATAGAGAGTTCCCACATACCCTCCCACAGTTTCCCCTATTATTAATATATTAGTGTGGTACCTTTGTTACAATTAATGAACCAATATTGATACATTACTACTAAAGTCCTTAGTTTATTCAGATTTCCTTTGCCTTTGTTTTTTAACCTGTTTTTTTTTTTTCCTGTTTCTAGAATTCTATCCAAGACACATTACATTTAGTTGTAATGTCTCCTTAGGTTCCTTTTGGCTGTGACAGCTTCTTAGACTTTGCTTGTTTTTGATGATCTTGTCAGCCTTGAGTCATTACTATTCAGGTATTTTGTAAGATCTCCACAAGGGGAATCTGTCTGATAGTTTTCTCATGGTAAGACTAGGGTTATGGGTTATCAAGAGGAATACCAGAGAGGTAAAGTGCCATTTTCATCATGTCACATGATATCAAGGGTATGTACTATCAGTGTAATTTATGACTGTTGATGGTAATCTTAATCACCTGGCTTAGGTAATCTTTGTCAGGTTTCTCCACTGTAAAGTTACTCTTTTTGTCCCCCATACTTTTCCTTTGGAGGGAAGTTGCTAAGTGCAGCCCATGCTTATGGAGTGGAGATTTATACTTCCCCTCCTTGAGGGTGGAGTATCTACAAAAATTATTTAGAATTCTTCTGCATATTTGTCTCTTAACTCACATTTATTAATTTAATCATCATTTAAATCAATATAGGCTCATGGATATTTATTTTATACTTTGGGTTATAATCTACTTTGGGTTATTATACTTTGGCTTGTGTATTTCAAGTATGTAATACTTCAAAATTTTTTTTTTCTCAAATTGTTCTACCTTTGGTCATTGGGAACTCTTTCAGTTGGCTCCTCTGTCCCTTCAACACACTCCAATTAATGTAGGTTTTTTTTTTTTTTTGGCTGTGTGTGTGTGTGTGTGTGTGTGTGTGTGTGTGTGCATTTTGAGTACTTCCTTACTTATTGGCATTATAAGGTGCTCCAGGCTTATCTTCTATATTTCCTGTCCCCGTCCTAGAATCAGCCATTTCTTTTTTTTTTTAATTTTATTATTATTATACTTTAAGTTTTAGGGTACATGTGCACAATGTGCAGGTTAGCTACATATGTATACATGTGCCATGCTGGTGTGCTGCACAGAATCAGCCATTTCTGTGAGAAGCCCTGGTCCCCTTCACTGGAGAATGGTATTAAAAACCAAAATCTGGGCACTAAGTGTACATAAACTAATTTTTAATAACACCAAGTGAGCATATATATTATGGTACTTAAGAGTCCAAACTCCCCTAATTCTTAACTGAGATCTTACTATGAGCTCATCTTGGGGGATCCAAATGATGTTCTTCAATTCTAGATATAGCAATATCCTAAAAACCTCTAGATACTTCATCCCTTTAAATTTAACTGTGTACTGAAGTTGGACACGAAAGAATCTCTGAACACTTCAGAAAAAAGTTTTTAAACAGAATCTCGCAATCCCTAATGACTAGATAGCAAGCTAGGTAAAGCAGTCTATGTACGTATTTTCCTGACAATTAATATTAAGACAAGATACAATTACAGAAGATATTTTTTCAAATTAAAAATGCTTAAAATTGAGAAATGCCTTAAAGAAAAATGAAAAATATTTTAATATTTAGGTAAATTGCTCAAAACGAAAGCCATAAACGATTGTGCTTCAGGGGCAAAAAAAAAAAAAAAAAACTATTAACAAGTTAGCTCAGGAAACTGGAAAGTACAAACTAATCACAAAGCTTTATGATAAATTCCATCATTTAGTAATGTCATGGTAATTTCACATAATTAAAAAATATAATATTTTTAAGTTAATGGTAAAGGTTTTATCACTTCCTCTCCATCTCTGTCAAAACTACATACTGATCTGAGCACAGTGATTTAAACCTAGCACCCTCATTCTATGTCAGAACAGAATTTTGAGTGGGCGTTTTTAAGCCAAGAGTGGTTGGGGTATTGCCCATCTGAGGCATCCCTAGAGGTTATCTGTTGGGCAAACTAATCAAAATGGGTAAATGTTACTGGGTACCAGGAAAAAAACCAAAAGTTGGATTTGAGTAGACCTACACTCTTTTAAATGAAAAACTTTCCATTACTTGTAACAAAGTGGCGTTAATTTTATAGATGTGCTTAGCCCACAGAAGCTTTTAACATAGTTACAAAAATCAATATGCTTATCTTTATAATAACCAAAATACAAACTCAATCCCAGGTTAAATACTAGAAGGCTTGGGTTTAATTCTCACCTATTTTCCTTAACTAACTGAGGAAAAAATTGACTTTTCTATGTTTTGTTCTACTCCATGGAATTTAGAGATAGCTCCATTTAGTATTAATGTAAAAATAAAGTCTTCAAATAATAAATAGCATTTAGATGGTGGAAAACTCCAGTAATAAGAGGAAACTTAATTTTTTAACCTCATTTCCCTCCAAACTAAATACCATGAATTCTTACAAGTATTTTTTGAATCAGTTCAATTAAATCTTTTTAACAGCTTAAATGTCATCTAACTGATCACTCCCATGCTCAAAACCCTCCAATGATTTTCCATCTGAGTCGGGAAAGGTCAAAGTTTTAGGTCCTACATAATTGGCTCTATTTACCTCTCAGACTTCCTCTAATTCCCATGTCTCACTCCACCCAGACTCTACTTCAGACTTGCTCCTTATGTCAGGCCCTTTGCCTGTACTATTCTCCTAGTAAGTAGTTCTTCCCCCAAATCTTCATGCCTCATCTGATTCAAATGTTTGTTTAAATAAATATCCCCTTCTAATGAACCTTTATAAACCACATTGTGAAAATAGCAACAGTCCTCCATCCCTAATACCAATATCTTCTCATTCTCACATTTTTCTCCGTTGTCTTCCACTGTCTAAATTTCACACCATAAGATTTATTTTTTTCATCTAACTTCTCATTCTACCATAAAGCTCAATGAGGAAAGGGATTTTTGTATTTTGTTCACTAATCCAGGTAGTGTTTAGAATAGTGACAGGCACATAGTAAGTACCCCATAAATATCTACAAAATTGAAACCAATACTTCATTTAAATTAGAAACTTAATCTGTTCTTCACATGTGGGTTTTAAAATTAGAATAACATTTAAAGTCTAATTGATATTTCAAAAAATAAACTATTACATACAAATTATTTCAGTAAATAAACATATTTTGACTGTGGCTAGTATGCCGATATTGGAAATATAAAGTCAAATAATGGTCCTTACCCTCAATGAACTTCAGCTGCACATGGTGGACAGAAAAATTGAAAAGAATTAACTACAGTAGTGTGAGATGGTATAAGAAAGATCTCTAACAAAGGGTATTAGAAGAGCAGAGATACACGAAATCAGGTAAGATGGCATTAACAGGGAATGCTGATCACAACTGGTCAAGCTTAAGCTGACTTTTGGGGGTGGAGCCAATATGGCCGAATAGGAACACCTCCAGTCTACAGCTCCCAGCGTGAGTGATGCAGAAGATGAAAGATTCCTGCATTTCCAACTGAGGTACTGCGTTCATCTCACTGGGGATTGTCAGACAAGGGGTGCAGGACACTGGGTGCAGCACACCGAGCGTGAGCCGAAGTAGGACGAGGCATCACCTCACCAGGGAAGCACAAGGGGTCAGGGAATTCCCTTTCCTAGCCAAGGAAAGGGGTGACAGATGGCACGTGGAAAATCAAGTCACTCCCACCCCAATACTGCACTTTTCCAATGGTCTTAGCAAACAGCACACCAGGAGATTGTATCCTGTGCCTGGCTTGGAGGGTCCTACGCCCACAGAGTCTCGCTCATTGCTAGCACAGCAGTCTGAGATCAAACTGCAAGGCGGCAGCGAGGCTGGGGGAGGGGCGCCTGCCACTGCCGAGGCTTGAGTAGGTAAACAACACAGCCGAGAAGCTCCAACTGGGTGGAGCCCACTGCAGCTCAAGGAGGCCTGCCTGCCTCTGTAGACTCCACCTCTGGGGGCAGGGCATAGCCAAACAAAAGGCAGCAGAAACCTCCGCAGACTTAAATGTCCCTGTCTGACAGCTTTGAAGAGAGTAGCGGTTCTCCCAGCACGCAGCTTGAGATCTGAGAACCGACAGACTGCCTCCTCAAGTGGGGCCCTGACCCCTGAGTAGCCTAACTGAGAGGCACCCCCCCGTATGGGCAGACTGACACCTCACACGGCCGGGTACCCCTCTGAGACAAAGCTTCCAGAGGAACGATCAGGCAGCAACATTTGCTGTTCACCAATATCCGCTGTTCTGCAGCCTCCGCTGCTGATATACAGGCAAACAGGGTCTGGAGTGGACCTCCAGCAAACTCCAACAGACCTGCAGCTAACGGTCCTGACTGTTAGAAGGAAAACTAACAAACAGAAAGGACATCCACACCAAAACCCCATCTGTACGTCACCATCATCGAAGACCAAACGTAGATAAAACCACAAAGATGCGGAAAAAACAGAGCAGAAAAACTGAAAATTCTAAAAAGCAGAGCGCCTCTCCTCCTCTAAAGGAACGCAGCTCCTCACCAGCAATGGAACAAAGCTGGACGGAGAATGACTTTGACGAGTTGAGAGAAGAAGGCTTCAGACGATCGAACTACTCCGAGCTAAAGGAGGAAGTTCGAACCCATGGCAAAGAAGTTAAAGACCTTGAAAAAAGATTGGACAAATGGTTAACTAGAATAACCAATGCAGAGAAGTGCTTAAAGGAGCTGATGGAGCTGAAAACCACGGCACGAGAACTACGTGATGAACGCACAAGCCTCAGTAGCCGATTCGGTCAAGTGGAAGAAAGGGTATCAGCGATGGAATATCAAATGAATGAAATGAAGCGAGAAGAGAAGTTTAGAGAAAAAATAATAAAAAGAAATGAACAGTCTCCAAGAAATATGGGACTATGTGAAAAGACCAAATCTACGTCTAATTGGTGTACCTGAAAGTGACGGGGAGAATGGAACCAAGGTGGAAAACACTCTGCAGGATACTATCCAGGAGAACTTTCCCAATCTAGCAAGGCAGGCCAACATTCAAATTCAGGAAATACAGAGAATGCCACAAAGATACTCCTCGAGAAGAGCAACTCCAAGACACGTAATTGTCAGATTCATCAAAGTTGAAATGAAGGAAAAAATGTTAAGGGCAGCCAGAGAGAAAGGTCGGGTTACCCACAAAGGGAAGCCCATTAGACTAACAGCTGATCTCTCAGCAGAAACTCTACAAGTCAGAAGAGAGTGGGGGCCAATATTCAACATTCTTAAAGAAAAGAATTTTCAACCCAGAATTTCATATCCAGCCAAACTAAGCTGCATAAGTAAAGGAGAAATAAAATCCTTTACAGACAAGCAAATGCTGAGAGACTTTGTCACCACCAGGCCTGCCCTAAAAGAGCTCCTGAAGGAAGCACTAAACATGGAAAGGAACAACTGATACCAGCCACTGCAAAAACATGCCAAATTGTAAAGACCATCAAGGCTAGGAAGAAACTGCATCAACTAACGAGCAAAATAACCAGCTAACATCATAATGTCAGGATCAAATTCACACATAACAATATTAACCTTAAATGTAAAGGGGCTAAATGCTCCAATTAAAAGACACAGACTGGCAAATTGGATAGAGTCAAGACCCATCAGTGTGCTGTATTCAGGAAACCCACCTCAAGTGCAGAGACACACATAGGCTCAAAATAAAGGGATGGAGGAAGATCTACCAAGCAAATGGAAAACAAAAAAAGGCAGGGGTTGCAATCCTAGTTTCCAATAAAACAGACTTTAAACCAACAAAGATCAAAAGAGACAAAGAAGGCCATTACATAATGGTAAAGGGATCAATTCAACAAGAAGACCTAACCATCCTAAATATATATGCACCCAATACAGGCGCACCCAGATTTATAAAGCAAGTCCTCAGAGATCTACAAAAAGACTTAGACTCCCACACAATAATAATGGGAGACTTTAACACCCCACTGTCAACATTAGACAGATCGAGACAGAAAGTTAACAAGGATATCCAGGAATTGAACTCAGCTCTGCACCAAGTGGACCTAATAGACATCTACAGAACTCTCCACCCCAAATCAATAGAATATACATTCTTTTCAGCACCACACCACACCTATTCCAAAATTGACCATATAGTTGGAAGTAAAGCACTCCTCAGCAAACGTAAAACAACAGAAAGTATAACAAACTGTCTCTCAGACCACAGTACAATCAAACTAGAACTCAGGATTAAGAAACTCACTCAAGCCGGGCGCGGTGGCTCACGCTTGTAATCCCAGCACTTTGGGAGGCCAAGGCGGGCGGTTCACAAGGTCAGGAGATTGAGACCATCCTGGCTAACATGGTGAAACCCCGTCTCTACTAAAAATACAAAAAATTAGCCGGGCGTGGTAGCAGGTGCCTGCAGTCCCAGCTACTTGGGAGGCTGAGGCAGGAGAACGGCGTGAACCCAGGAGGCAGAGCTTGCAGTGAGCCAGGACCTTGCCACTGCACTCCGGCCTAGGTGACAGAGCGAGACTCCGTCTCAGAAAAAAAGAAAAAAAAGAAACTCACTCAAAACTGCTCAACTACATGGAAACTGAACAACCTGCTCCTGAATGACTACTGGGTACATAATGAAATGAAGGCAGAAATAAAGATGTTCTTTGAAACCAATGAGAACAAAGATACAACATACCAGAATCTCTGGGACACATTCCAAGCAGTGTGTAGAGGGAAATTTATAGCCTTAAATGCCCACAAGAGAAAGCAGGAAGATCTAAAATTGACACCCTAACATCACAATTAAAAGAACTAGAGAAGCAAGACCAAACACATTCAAAAACTAGCAGAAGGCAAGAAATAACTAAGATCGGAGCAGAACTGAAGGAAATAGAAACATTAAAAGCCCTTCAAAAAATCAATGAATCCAGGAGCTGCTTTTTTGAAAAGATCAACAAAATAAATAGACCACTAGCAAGACTAATAAAGAAGAAAAGAGAGAAGAATCAAATAGATGCAATACAAAATGATAAAGGGGATATCACCACCGATCCCACATACATACAAACTACCATCAGAGCATACTATAAACACCTCTATGCAAATAAACTAGAAAATCTAGAAGTAATGGATAAATTCCTCGACACATACACCCTCCCAAGACTAAACCAGGACGAAGTTGAATCTCTGAATAGACCAATAACAGGCTCTGAAATTGAGGCAATAATTAATAGCTTACCAACCAAAAAAAGTCCAGGACCAGATGGATTCACAGCCGAATTCTACCAGAGGTACAATGAGGAGCTGTTACCTTTCCTTCTGAAACTATTCCAATCAATAGAAAAAGAGGGAATCCTCCCTAACTCATTTTATGAGGCCAGCATCATCCTGATACCAAAGCCTGGCAGAGACACAACAAAAAAAGAAAATTATAGACCAATGTCCCTGATGAACATCGATGCAAATATCCTCAATATAATACTGGCAAACTGAATACAGCAGCACATCAAAAAGCTTATCTACCATGATCAAGTGGGTTTCATCCCTGGGATGCAAGGCTGGTTCAACATAGCAAATCAATAAATGTAATCCAGCATATAAACAGAACCAACGACAAAAATCACATGATTATCTCATAAGATGCAGAAAAGGCCTCTGACAAAATTCAACAACCCTTCATGCTAAAAACTCTCAATAAATTAGGTATTGATGGGACGTATCTCAAAATAATTAGAGCTATCTATGACAAACCCACAGCCAATATCATATTGAATGGGCAAAAACTGGAAGCATTCCCTTTGAAAACCGGCACAAGACAAGGATGCCCTCTCTCACCACTCCTATTCAACATAGTGTTGGAAATTCTGGCCAGGGCAATCAGGCAGGAGAAGGAAATAAAGGGTATTCCATTAGGAAAAGAGGAAGTCAAATTGTCCCTGTTTGCAGATGACATGATTGTATATCTAGAAAACCCCATCGTCTCAGCCCAAAATCTCCTTAAGCTGATAAGCAACTTCAGCAAAGTCTCAGGATACAAAATCAATGTACAAAAATCACAAGCATTCTTATACACCAATAACAGACAAACAGAGAGCCAAATCATCAGTGAACTCCCATTCGCAATTGCTTCAAAGAGAATAAAATACCTAGGAATCCAGCTTACAAGGGATGTGAAGGACCTCTTCAAGGAGAACTACAAACCACTGCTCAATGAAATAAAGGAGGACACAAACAAATGGAAAAACATTCCATGCTTATGGGTAGGAAGAATCAATATCGTGAAAATGGTCATACTGTCCAAGGTAATTTATAGATTCAATGCCATCCCCATCAAGCTACCAATGACTTTCTTCACAGAACTGGAAAAAACTAAAGTTCATATGGAACCAAAAAAGAGCCTGCATTGCCAAGTCAATCCTAAGCCAAAAGAAAAAAGCTGGAGGCACCATCCCACCTGACTTCAAATTATACTACAAGCCTACAGTAACCAAAACAGCATGGTACTGGTACCAAAACAGAGATATAGATTAATGGAACAGAACAGAGCCCTCAGAAATAATGCCACATATCTATGACTATCTGATCTTTGACAAACCTAACAAAAACAAGAAATGAGGAAAGGATTCCCTGTTTAATAAATGGTGCTGGGAAAACTGGCTAGCCATATGTAGAAAGCTGAAACTGGATCCCCTCATTACACCTTATACAAAAATTAATTCAAGATGGATTAAAGACTTACATGTTAGACCTAAAACCATAAAAACCCTAGAAGAAAACCTAGGCAATACCATTCAGGACATAGGCATGGGCAAGGACTTCATGTCTAAAACACCAAAAGCAATGGCAACAAAAGCCAAAATTGACAAATGGGATCTAATTAAACTAAAGAGCTTCTGCACAGCAAAAGAAACTACCATCAGAGTGAACAGGCAGCCTACAGAATGGGAGAAAATTTTCGCAACCTACTCATCTGACAAAGGGCTAATATCCAGAATCTACAATGAACTCAAACAAAGTTACAAGAAAAAAACAAACAACCCCATCAACAAGTGGGCGAAGGATATGAACAGACACTTCTCAAAAGAAGACATTTATGCAGCCAAAAGACACATGAAAAAATGCTCATCATCACTGGCCATCAGAGAAATGCAAATCAAAACCACAATGAGATACCATCTCACACCAGTTAGAATGGTGATCATTAAAAAGTCAGGAAACAACAGGTCCTGGAGAGGATGTGGAGATAGGAACACTTGTACACTGTTGGTGGGACTGTAAACTAGTTCAACCATTGTAGAAGTCAGTGTGGCGATTCCTCAGGGATCTAGAACTAGAAATACCATTTGACCCAGCCATCCCATCACTGGGTATATACCCAAAGGATTATAAATCATGCTGCTATAAAGACACATGCACACGTATGTTTATTGCGGCACTATTCACAATAGCAAAGACTTGGAACCAACCCAAATGTCCAACAATGATAGACTGGATTAAGAAAATGTGGCACATATATACCATGGAATACTATGCAGCCATAAAAAAGGATGAGTTCATGTCCTTTGTAGGGACATGGATGAAGCTGGAAACCATCATTCTCAGCAAACTATCACAAGGACAAAAAAACAAACACCGCATGTTCTCACTCATAGGTGGGAATTGAACAATGAGAACACACGGACACAGGAAGGGGAACATCACACACCGAGGCCTGTTGTGGGGTGGGGGGAGGTTGGAGGGATAGCATTAGGAGATATACCTAATGTTAAATGACGAGTTAATGGGTGCAGCACACCAGCATGGCACACGTATACATATGCAACAAACCTGCACGTTGTGCACACGTACCCTAAAACTTAAAGTATAATAATAAAAAGAAAAGCTGACTTTTGAAATAAAAAGCAAGATCAAAGGAGGAGGGAGAAAAACATGGAGGAAAATGAGATGACAGATTTGAAGGATTCTTAACTGGTATACTGGGCCTCAAGTACCGGGTATATATATGTCGGGGTAACTGGGAAATAAAGCTAGAAAAGTAGGCAACAATTCGAGCAGGAAGGATCTTACAAGGAGGGCCAGAGTTTGAATTTTGTCCCCAACGCTAGGGGAAACAACTGAAAAATTTTAAGTAATGAACAGGGAACTAATAGTAACTTTAGTTGTATAATAAGCAAATTCACAGGAAGCTGTCAATATGCTATTAAGAAAACTTATATAACTACCATGACAGTATGTTGAAATACTGAAGAAAAGAAATTCCTTTTATTCCTGGAAAAAATTCAAAAGTGGGTTTTCATACAAACAACAAAATCTCATTTTAAAATTTTCTCTATGCCTCAGTTTTCTCAACTATAAAATGAAGATATTAACAATATTTTGCTGGGCTTGGTGGCTCATGTCTGTAATCCCAGCACTGTGGGAGGTCAAGGTGAGTGCACTGCTTGAGCCCAGGAGATCAATACCAGTCTGGGGAACATGGCGAAACCCCACCTCTACAGAAAAAAAATACAAAAATTAGCCGGGCATGGTGGCATGTGCCTGTAGTCCCAGCTACTTGGAGGCTCAGGTGGGAGGATCTCTTGAGCCTGGGAGGTCGAGGTTACAATGAGCCGTGACTGCGCCACCGCATTACAGCTTGGATGACGAAGTGAGACCCTGTCTTGAAAACAATAACAAAAATAGCAACAAAAAAAACCCCAAAACCAATATCTCCTATGATTTTTGTGAGGATTAAATATGTGAATATCCTCAAATGGCTTAGAACACTGCCTGGTATGTACCAAGTGTTCAGTAATGCCAGCTATTATTACTCTTATTATTAGTATCCTGGAATAATTAAAGTTGTTAAGTAATAAGCTCTATATTTCCAAATACAGCAAATACACAAAAAATGAAGTGTAACTAAACAGGGTTTCATGGTGGACAGAAAGAAGCTTACTTAAGTATATATTACAGAAAAAACAAAAAGCCAAGATAATTCTTGAACTCTTGACCTCAAGTGATCAGCCTGCCTCAGCCTCCCAAAGTGCTGGGATTACAGGTGTGAGCCACCACACCTGGCCCCAAGATAATTCTTAATTTCAGGCTTTATATAATTTTTGGAAAGGGATATATATTCAGTATCTGAGGTTGTTAAAGACTATCTTTAAGGAAACTCAAAGAGTTTCAGAACTTTCTAGTTTGGTTGTAATTTTGGGGACTCTACAATATTGAATGTGACTTTTTACATAAGGTCTACGAGCTGTTTTTCCGGATATTATGTAGGCAAGAAAGAACACTTTACATGAGTTTTCTCATTTGATCCCAACAACTATAAGGCAGATAGCTTTAGAATCCTCAGTTTTGAATGAGTGAACCAACAAATACATTAAAAAACTTGTCAAAGATAAGAGGCTAATAAGAGGTTGGACTCAAAAATCCATTCTTTTAACCAATACAGAATCTCTAGCAATTAGAAGAAAACAAAAAGACAAAAAGTTGGGACCACAGAGACATTCAGGATTTTAAAATCCTCTTGTTCTTCATAACTAAATTTCTTGAAGCTCTTTATTCTGATTAAGATATGTCATATTTATTTTTGCAGGCTACTAAAAGAAGTTCCTTTAGACTGAGACATTCAAACAGAAAACTGGGTTCTAAAGCATATGTGAGGATAGCAAAAAAATTCTGATAATAGTTGGCATCTTCTTGCATGTTATTACAGTCATTAATACCAACAATAAATATACATTAATTTTCAGAGGTTTAAATTCCATTAAAAAACATTTCAGAGAAGGGACCTAAGCTCAGTCACTCCTACTCTGTAATGGTAAATTCATTTGGACAGAGGCTGAATTCATTTTCTCCTTCCTAACTGGTAGTGACCTAATAATAAAAGAACATATACAAGTTGATAAATGTGTGAATATAGTGACAACTGCATACATTAAAAATCATTTATTGTAGAAACAACATCAGAAGATGAATGAATTATTGTCAAAATTCAAATATCTACTGGTCAAATTTGGTCAAATACAAATATCTACTGAATGACGGTTATGTACCAGACATTATACAGTAAGCACCCAATATAGCAACGAGGCTGTGTGCAGTGGCTCACACCTGTAGTCCCAGCACTTTGGGAGGCCCAGGTGGGCAGATCGCTTGAGCTCAGGAGTTCTAGATCAGCCTGGGCAACATAGCCAAATTCCATCTCTACACAAAATATAAAAATTAGCCAGGTGTGGTGGTGTGCTCCTGTAGTCTCAGGTACTTGGGAGGCTGAGGTGGGGGGATTGCTTGAGCCCAGTAGGTCAAGGCTGCAGTGAGCTATGATCACACCACTGCACTCTGGTCTGAGCAACAAAGTGAGACCTTTTTTTTGAAACAGAGGCTCGTTCTGTCACCCAGGCTGGGGTGTAGTGGCGTGATCTTGAGACCTTGTCTCCCCCACCACTGCCCAAAAGAGAATATAGTAATGAATAAGACAGATAAAAATTCCACTCTTGCACTCCCATGGAGCTTATGCTCTAGTGGGGAATGTGGAAAATTAAAAATAAAAATATGTTGAGGGGGAAGCGTAGGAGGAGGGAGTGGAGCAGAAAAAATAACTATTGGGTACTGAACTTAATACCTGGGTGATGTAATAATATGTACAACAAACCCCCATGACATGTGTTTATCTACAAACCTTCACATGTACCCCCACATCTAAAATTTAAAAAGAAATGTATAATTTATGAAAAAAGTAGTAATTGTTATGAAGAAAAAATAAACCAACATAAGAGTCTAGTAACTAGAATAGGAATGTTATTTAAGGTAAAAATTTGGCCAAAGAGAAAGTCATGGAGGTATTAATAAAGTGAGATGAGTACATAATAATTAAAATTCATGGTAACTCAGAATTGTCAAAAAATATTTAAATGCTATACATGGCATAGTATTGTTTTATATGTGATAGAACCTTAGAGTTCAACTCCTTAATTTTACAGGTTGTATAATCTGTTCCCAACTGAGCATTATAGCACAACAGTGTAATAATTTTATAGCAAAAAACCCACCAATAAATAATTGTCATTCATTTAGAGAAGAAAACTAGGTAATAGTAACTTTTAAAAACAGTTCTAGGAAAATGTCTAAAATTTGAAAGCTGCTACACTTAAAAATGGTTAAGTTCACTGTAAGACGCGAATACAAAGACAGGGTGGTGGAGGAGGCATTATTATAAACAATATAACTAGATTACAGATGTAGTTATGTCAGAATAACAACATGGCAGTAGATGATAATTCTTAAATTAGACCTAAAAGTTCTAAGTAGACTGAATAATCTTTGAAAATAAATTTAATAAATTTCAGTCTACCTATATCTATATACTACATAGCATGTATATAAATATACTATATATCTATATGTAAGTATCTATATATTACAATGTTATAGTATTTATAAAAATGAGTATTTCTTCATGTAATGTATTTTCTCATCTAAATGAGATGTTTACAAAAGTATAATTTTCATAACTACATTAAAAAGCAGGCTTTCATTATATGAATAACAGATTAAATAATAATTTATTAAAAGAAGAGTTTGAAAGAATTCGGTTTGTGCAAAAACATTTTACTCGCAAGAGAGTACCAGTAATTGGAAGAGTTAATCTGAAGACATCTGAAGTACAAAAATCTTAGACTAAGTTGAGTTCTCCCCCTAGTGGAACTTGAATATGATCTAAGATATTTCCATGACTAAGAAAATAACCTAAAATATATTACTTTGATAACTGAAAAAAGTTTCAGGTTTTAATGAAAGATCTATTTATGAATCTTAATCTGTATTAAAAATATACCTCTATATATCTATATTTATATAGACATATACATATAATTAAATATTGAAACCTTAAGACATCTACTGAAAACTCATTTACTAAGCAAATTAACAGCAAGTTAGCCAAAAAGCACTCAGTCCTAAGACCTGAAAGAGAAACAGAAATACTTCAAAAGTAGAGGAGTAAGAAGTTCAGAAAAATACAGCAATTTAGGAAGATGCAGCAACATGCAGAATGGCACAGAATTCTGAAAGAATGTGATAGGTGCAGGAATAGGATAATTCACAGTGGGCAGAATACAGCATGTATGTGTAGGTGATGAGGATGGGGAGATAATGGTGAGAGATGAAGCTACAAATTCAGTTTGGGCAATAATAAAAAGGATTTTATGCTAAGGAGTTTCGATATGATTGGTATTTAAAAGGTAGTCAATGAAATTTCTATGTTTTAGAGAGACAGCTTTTTTAATCTGTAGAAGAGCTGAAGCTGGAGAAAAGGAAACTGGATGGGAGGTTACAACAACAGTTCAGGTAAGGGGTAAGCAGATGAACTAACGGAGTGGTAGGGAGAAGAGAAATGTTATTATAGACTCAAAAAAGTTTGAAAAATGACTCAAATTACCTTTTATTTAGTTTTATACTTACTTAGACTTTTCTATTTTGAAAGATTGAAGAGTTGGCGATATGCAAAACTGAGAAGCTGGGAAAACTAAACTGTATAGATCAGAAATGTATAGGAAGATGACACAATCATAAGGAAAGGCAAAAGAGTGATTGTCATAAAAGTCAGGATAGGGAACAGGGTGTGACTGAATAGACTTCTTGAGTACAGGCAATTTTGTCTGTCTTAACCTTGGTTAGAAGTTTTATGTATAATATTTGTACACATACAATGTAACTTTGTTTTATTAACTTCTCTGTACATCATGTTTCATAATTTTTAAATTATTAAACCATTTAGAAAATTATTGGTAAGGGGAAACAGGCTGGGGCTGGAGATAAATTATGATTCACTGTTGCAACAATTAGTGGTCCCCAACCTTTTTGGTACTAGTGACAGATTTCGTAGTCCATAGAGAGGGTGGGAGAATGGTTTCAGGATGAACTGTTCCACCTCAGATCATCAGGCATTAGATTCTCTCATAAGGAGAGTGCAACCAACACCCCTGACATGTGCAGTTCACAATAGGATTCGTGCTCCTGTGACAATCTAATGATGCCACTGATCTGACAGGAGGTGGAGCTCAGACAGTATGCTGCTGGCTGCCCGCTCACCTCCTGCTGTGCGGCCCGGTTCCTAACAGGCCATGGACTGATACCTGTCTGTGGCCTGGGGGTTGGGAAACCCTGGTAAAGATGGTTCCTGAAGCCATGTAAGTGAGACCCTTCATTTGGGTATAGTTTGTAAAAGCCAAAACCTCGGATTTCAGAGGAATACACACATCCACGACTGATAAAGATGACTGTAAACAACAGTTAAACAAGAAAAAAGAGAGTCAAAAGTAAGTGGTGGTAGCAAAGTTAGGGGAGGTGAGAATGCAAGGAGGACGAAATGGTCAAAAACAAATGCAATAAGCATGAGCAGGCAAATACTGAAAAAATAGCAACAAATTTGGCAATTAGGATTCCAGTGACCACTTTATCAAGAGCCAGTTGATGATAATATACCCCTACTATAATAACAGTAACAATTCTATCACCTCACACCTGTTAGAATGGCCATTATCAAAAAGATGAAAGACAGTAAGTGCTGGAGAGGATGTGGTGAAAAGGGAACTCTTACACACTGTGGGTAGAAATGTAAATCCTCAAAAAATCAAAAACAGATGATATGATCTAACAATTCCACTACTGGGTATATATCCAAAGGAAATTAAATCAGTATGTTGAAAAGATATCTGCACTCCCGTGTTCACTGCATTATTCACAATAGCCAAGACATGCAACCAACCTAAATGTCCATCAGTAGATGAATGAATAAAGAAAAAGTGGTTTACATATACACAATGGAATATTATTCAATCTTAAAAAGGAAGGAAATTCTGTCATTCACAACAACATGAATGAGCCTGGAGAACCTTAAGTGAAATTGAAATAAGCTAGGCTCAGAAAGACAAACACTACATGATCTCACATGTGGGATACAAAAAGTTGAACTCAAAAGTACAGAGTAGAATGGTGGTTACCAGGGGCTAGATGCGGGGTTAGGGGTAAAGGATTGGAAGATGTTAAAAAAAATTCCATGAATTTTCTATTTTTCAAAAATAATGTAACACATTACATTTCATTTTAAACAAAAATCCTGCATACCAGGTTCTTCGTTTTAATAAATATTTCAGAATCAACAAAAAGAGTGATTTAAATTTTACTATTTTGTGATTAAGATGTATAGAAATATGGCAAATTCTTAGGATTTTCTTGATGTTTAGAAAAGTACAGACTAATGCTAAAATCACATACGATAGCATGATTTAAACAACTGATTACAAATATATTATGCAGTTGGCTCATGTCTGAGGTTTTTCTGAATATGTGCACTTTATGGGGACTACTACCAGCAGAACATAAAGGATACCTTTTTATAAACATACAAATCATAATGTGTTGTGGTTACTTTTGATCCAGATCAAAAAATGAAGTTATAATATAATATGTAAGTTTGGAAATTAATTACATTTGAAATTGAAATTTAAAGACAAAAGGAAATTTCAGGTGGGAAGAAAATTCTAGATGTTACAGCAAAGACTATTGTGACTTGGAGTACAATATAATTAAAGACTTTGAAAGACATAAGATTTTAAACATAGTATTTTGTCCATAGGGAAAACTTACTACTTTTATCATATTATACAAGAAGTAAGGCATAAGAAGTGACAAAACACATTTATTTTTATTAAAAAAATTTTTTTTTGAGACAAGGTCTCATTCTGTCACTCAGATTGGAGTGCAGTGGCTTGATCATAGCTCCTTGTAATATGGAACTCCTACTTCTGGCCTCAAGGGATCATTCCACCTTAGCCTTCCAAGTAGCCAGAGCTACAGGAGTGTACTATCATGCCCTCAGCTAATTTTTAAAAATTGTTTTGTAGAGACAGGGTCTTATTCTATTGCCCAGGCCGGTCTTGAACTCCTGGCCTCCAGCAATCCCCTGACCTTGGCCTCTCAAAGCACTGGGATTACAGGCATGAGTTACTGTGCCCTGTAAAAACATATTTATTTTTAAAGCTTTGAATTTTCTTTTGAAGATAGTTTTGATAATATAGAAATATGATAAATTTTCACTAAAAAATGGACTTGGAGCACAGTCAACACCACCAAAAAAAACAAAACAAAACAAAACCCAGGTACGTTGATTCAGCAAAATTAAAAACTTTTGTGATAAAAACACTATCAACAAAGAAAAGGCAACAAACATAATGGGAGAAAATATTTGCAAACCATATATATGATAAGAAAGTGATACTGAGAATATATAAATAACTCCTATAACTCAACAACAAAAACAACAAACAACCTGGTTCAATTAAGCAAAGGACCTGAATAGCCATTTCTCCAAAGAAGATATATAAATGCGAAATAAGCACATGAAAGTATGCCCAACATAGCTCATCATTAGGGAAATGCAAATCAAAACCACAATGAGATACCACTTCACACCCATTAGGATGGTACTTATAAAAACAACAACAGAAAATTAACAAGTGTTGGTGCAAATGCGGAAAAAATGAAATCCTCATGCATTGCTGGTAGAAATGTAAAATGGTGTAGGTTCTGTGGAAAATGGTATGGCAATTTCTTAAAAAAATTAAACAATTACTATATGATCCAGCAATTCCACTTCTACGTACTCAAAAGAAGTTAAAGCAGGGACCTGAACAGAAATTTGTACACCTGTATTCATAGCAGCATTATTCACAATAGCTCAAACATGGAAGCACCCTAAATGTCCATCAATGAATGAACAGATAAAAAATGTGGTATATACATACAATGGAATATTATTCAGCTTTAAAAATGAAGAAAATTTGTAAATATACTATAACATTATAAAAAATGGTTTTTCTTTCAATAATAAATTAACTTACTGTAAGTTTATTTATAAACTTCCAATTTTTTAAACTTTTTGACTCTTTTATAACATTTAGCTTAGCAAACATTGTACAGGTGTATAAAATTTTTTTTATATCTTTATTCTATAAGCTTTTTTCTATTTTTAATTTTAATTTTTAATAAATATATTTTTTGAAACAGGGTCTTACTCTGTGGCCCAGGCTGGAGTGCAGTGCTGTGATCATGGCTTACTGCAGCCTTGACCTCCCAGGCTCAGGCAACCCACCCACCTCAGCCTCCTAAGTAACCGCGACTGGGACTATAGGTGCACCACCAGGTCCAACTAATTTTATTTTGTATTTTTTGTAGAGAGGGAGTCTCACTTTGTTTGTCAGGTTGGTTTCAAACTCTTGGGCTCAAGATCTGCCTGCCTCAGCCTCCCAAAGTGCTGAGATTACAGGCATGAGTCATTACACCTGATGAACAAAAAATTTTTTAAGTTAAAAAAAAATTAAGGCTGGGCGCAGTGGCTCATGCTTGTAATCCCAGCACTGTGGAAGGCAGAGGTGGGCGGATCACTTAAGCCCAGGAGTTCGAAACCAGCCTGGCCAGCAAAGGGAGACCTCATTGCTACTAAATAAATAAATAAATAAATAAATAAGCTGGGTGTGGTCATGTGTGCCTGTAGTCCCAGGTACTCGGGAAGCTGATGAGGACTGCTTGAGCCAGGAGTTGGAGTCTGCAGTGAGCTATGACTGTGCCACTAAACTCCGGTCTGGGCAACAGAGTGAGATCCTGCCTCAAAAAAAAAAAAAATTAAAACATTTGTGTTAAAAACTAAGATATTAGCTTAGGCCTACACAGGGTCAGCACCACCAATATCACTATCTTCAACCTCCACATCTTGTCCCACTGGAAGGTCTTCAGGGACAATAACACACATGAAGCTGTCATCTCCTATGAAAACAATGCCTTCTGGAAAACCTCCTGAAGGATCTGAGACTGTCTTAGAGTTAACTCTTGTTTTGTATAAGTAGAATTAGACTCTAAAATAGCAATATTAGTATAGCAAAACAACAAATAGTATAGCAAACATATGAACCAGTAACATAGTCATTTATTATCAAGTATTATGTGCTATACACAACTGTACGTGCTACACTTTTATAAGAGTGGCAGTGCAGTGGGTTTGTTTATACCAGCCTCATCACAAACACATGAGTAATGTGTTGCACTATAACATAATGATGGCTATAGTCACTAGGCAAAAGGAATTTTTCAGCTTCATTATCATCCTATGGGACCATTACCATATATGCTGTCCGTCACTGAAATGTCCTTATGCAGCATATGACTGTATTGTATGATCCCACTTATATGAGGTAACCAGAGTGGTCAAACTCATAGAGACAAAGTAGAATGGTGGTTTCCAGTTGCTGGTGGTTGCCAGTTGCTGGGGAATGGGAAGTTAGTGTTTAATGGGCAAAGAGGTTCAGTTAGGGAGGATGAAAAAGTTCTGGATATGGATGGTGGTGATGGCTGCACAACAGTGTCAAATATACTTAATGCTGCAGAACTGTATACTTTAAAATGGTAAGTTTTATGTCTATTTTACCACAATAAAAAAAAATTGGAAATGAATGATTACTGAAAAAAGAATCACAGTCACGAGGATAAAGAGTAAGTTACTGTTCAGACAAAGAGGATAGAAGAAACTATATTTTTACATGTACTTTATTATTTTCATATGGTACCTGGATTTCAAGCTCAGCAATGTGTTGTCGTAGTTCAGCCACAGCAGCTATGCTATCTGCTTCCCGAAGCCTCACAGCCATCACTTCTTCCTTATTCTAGTGTGGTAAACCAAACCGAAACAAAATAAACCAGGTGTGTTTGGAATTCAGATTTTAGAAAAGTAATAGGTTGCATAAACCATACGTTAAGTATTATCTAGCAGGGTCTAAGGCAGCATCCATAATGAAACAATATGCTCAATACATACAACGAAGCAGTGAGATATAAATGTTCACATCAAGTGGAATAAATAACAATTATAAATGGCCATATATCAATTCAAATTAAGTTTTGCCTCCAAAGGAATTTGTGTGAAATTTATGAAAAAACTCCAGGGTTTTAGAGTGTTTTGCATTTTGAAACTGGGGTTCACAGGCTTGTAATATTTCAACTTTAAGTGAGAACATTCAAATTAAGTTGAGAGGGAAAATAACATTAATATTATAAACAATATCCACACATTTTACACAACTAAAAATAAAAAAGCTTTAATAATTATAAATTAATCATAAGCTATAATATTATAATACTAAATGAAAATGAATCAGATTTACATAATTCACGGACTGGCTTTCTTGAAAAATTAACTTTGTTCCCGAATTATTCCAACATAACAGGGTAAAACATACACATTTAATCAGAATGTACTAGGTGCTAGGGTAACAATACATTGGTCATTCTCAAAACCTGCAAAGGCATCACGAAAGATTGAATAAATTAACACACAGCTTAAACACAGGGGAGATATCAGAGTTTGCATCTGTAACATACTTCACAGAGGTATTAATGAACAATTAAAAATTAAATAAAATCCCATATTAGTTCATAAAATCCTCTAATATTCTAAATCTGAGCCCATTACTTAGACAAGTTCAAAGAAAATTATTATTTTCAACAGCAAGTTCCTCAAAGATTTATTTCCAAAGAACACTTTACTTTGCTCAACAGGTACTAAGGCATTTGAGGAGCAATATTTAATCTAGTAACACCATTATCAAAATATGTTTAAGGAAAACTAACACCAATAATAAATAAAAGATTAAATTTAGTTATCTATAAGATGTCAACACAGACAATTTAGCATCATAAAAACTCAATCAGATATTGGTATGACAAATCAGACTGATACAACCTCATTTAATATTATTTTATTTATAGTTTAGTCATATCCTTCAAAAGTGACTGTGCTTTTAGTAGGAATTTCAGTACTGCCTACAGATTTCTGTCAGTATACATTGTAACAGCCATGCATATTTATAAGGATGTAATTTCATCTCTGGATTTCAGTGACACTGATAAACCATTCAAGCTTCACTCTTGGTTTTTAATGTCACCAGAATAAGCTGATGGAATTACAGCTTTACATGTGCCATCAAAAGTCTTATTTCTTATACAATAATAAGGCTGGAATCTTTAAAGGGCATCATTCCTACTATCTCACCATGGAAAGGTGGATGCCTAGTTTATTTTTTTAAATCCCATAACTTGCCTTTAGTAATCCATTCTAATGCCCAGTCTACAGTCATCTCTTTAGTTATTTCACACACACACACACACACACACACACACACACACACCCCCCCAAACCCTCCCTCCTCTCCTTCCATCTCACTGCCTTTCCCCCACTCTCTCACCACTGCTATATTGTAAATTTATTTCAGGAAAGAATGTACTTGCATTCAAATACTTTTGATGCTTTTTGAATCCAAACACTTCACAAAAAAGTAAAGTATATAACTGATTAAAATAATAATGGGTAATATACCCATTTTTCCCAACACACTGGTACATACACATTTCTTTTGCTCTCTAGTCTATCCAGAAAACATGTATCAATGTTATTAACATTACTGCCCACTAATAAGATACCAATCAAAGCAGAGGAGCCCTAACCTCTCTAAATGACCCATCTTTTTTGATCAAGCCATTAAAAGCTCTGGTTTTAAAGGGTTACCAGTCAAAAGAAAAACTGTAAAGAAATACTAGTAAATGCCAATCCAGGAAATTAAATTAACCAAGGAAGTGACTGAAAATGTTTCTTGACTAAAATCCACCCCAGAAGCAAGATGAGCTGACCTGGTCTGAAAGCAACTACCAAAACAAGTTCAGGAAAAGTAGAAAATAGGACGAGCTTTTTTGTTTTGTTTTTAAGATAATCTAATCACGATAAAACAAACAAAAAAAAGGCATTATTATATTGACAAAAAACAAAATCAGTTAGTTGACATATTTACCTTGCATTCAATCTCTGCTTGTTTACGCTTTGCTTCACTTAATTGAGTAAGGAGTCCTTTGTTCTGTGCAGAAAGATACTGCACTTTCTCCTGTAGGCTAATCACCTCTTGTTCTGCTCTTCGAAGATGGTTACTATTGATCTGGTTCTAATAATCAGAAATATAAATACTGAGACTATAGATACAAGACCTAAAAATTAAAAAAAATTACCTATCCATTTTATACCATAACATTATTAAAAATGTTACTAGTTATAGGTCACTGTTATTCAACAAAATCAACATTAAAAAATAAGATAAAACTGCCTTTAAAATCAAGTCATTCAAGGCTGAGGCGGGCGGATCACAAGGTCAGGAGATCAAGACCATCCCGGCTAACGCGGTGAAACCCCGTCTCTACTAAAATTACAAAAAAAAAAAATTAGCCAGGCATGGTGGCGGGCACCTGTAGTCCCAGGTACTCGGGAGGCTGAAGCTGGAGAATGGCGTGAACCCAGGAGGTGGAGCCTGCAGTGAGCGGAGACTGAGCCACTGCACTCCAGCCTGGGCGACAGAGCGAGACTCCGTCTCAAAAAAAAAAAATTAAAAATAAATAAATAAATAAATAAAATCAAGTCATCCAAAGGAATGCATACTGTCAATATTAGAGACTCTCAATATAGCTCAATATACCATTTATACAAAAAATAGGTGTAAACTATAAAAATTCTTATACACAACTTGAAGGTATTCCTTTCTAAGATTGGCAATGGGAGTACAAAATGGATAGATACAGGAATGGTGAGTTTAATTCCTCTTTCCAGTTCCAGAAAGAAAGCACAAACCAGTCAAAAGGTACCATCATGGCCAGTGCAGTGGCTCATGTCTAATCCCAGCATTCTGGGAGACCAAGGTGGGCAGATCACTTGTGGCCAGGAGTTTGGGACCAACTTGGCCAAAATGGTGAAACCCCGTATCTACTAAAAATACAAAAATTAGTCAGGCATGGTGGTGCACGTCTATAATCCCAGGTACTTGGGAGGCTGAGGCACAAGAATCACTTGAACCCAGGAGGCAGAGGTTGCAGTGAGCTGAGATCACACAACTGCACTCTAGCCTGGGTGACAAGAAGACTCTGTCTCAGAGAAAAAAAAAGGAAAGGAAAAAAAAAAGGTACCATCACTATTTATTGGGCTGTAAACTTGATGTCACACAATACGGCATATGTGTATTTCTACATGCTCTCAATGTCTAGCACAGTCTCTTTTTATGAAGCACACAGATTTTGAATCCTGGTTTTAATATTTGGTCATTAAGCAAACAAGCTAGTATCTCTGAGTCTCTATTTCCTTATTTGAAAAATGCATATAAAATAGTTTCTATTTCTCAGTTTGGTGTCTTCAGAATTAAATGAGATAATATGCGTAACAGGGCCTAAATATGTAGCAATAAATGCTAGCTGTTTATTGTATTATAATTACAGAATGTGCTAAAAAAACATATAGACCTTGAACTAACATGAGGTAGTTTTCACACTCAGGTATGACCCAGCCAGAATTCTCTCAACCCGAAATTATTCTATCAGAGGCCTGAAAGAAATAGTAGGGACTTTCATAACAGAAAGAAGTAAAAATCTAACTTCTCATTTAACAGTTCTTAAAACTTGGCCAAGTTATTTAATCCTACCAAATTTCAGTAGAGATAGTACTACTTGCCTTTTGAGACTATGTTGTGAAGATTAGATTATGGGCGAAAAGTTTATGAAAGCAGTCTCACACAATCATGTCATGTCATGTAATTTCATTTCATTTTTTTTTTGAGACAGTCTCACTTTGTTGCTCAGGCTGGAGTGCAGTGGCACGACCTTGGCTCACTGCAACCTCCACCTCCTGGGTTCAAGTGATTCTCCTGCCTCAGCCTCCCAAGTAGCTGGGATTACAGGCACCCACCACCATGCCCAGCTAATTTTTGTATTTTTAGTAGAGACAGGGTTTCATCATGTTGGCCAGGCTGGTCTCGAACTCCTAACCTCAAGTAATCCGCCCGCCTCAGCCTCCCAAAGTGCTGGGAGATTACAGGCATGAGCCACTGCACCCGGGAAATTTTAGATACTTAATAAATGTTCAGTTGTTGCCATTATTATACCTACTTTACCTCGCCCTATGAAAAAGACCCCCCTCCAGTTTTAATGAAAAAATGTAGATCATCTAATAGATGTAAGCTCCAAAACTTTCAACCACTTAGAACTTTCTTCATCTTTACTTTTACTTGTCTTCCTGTAACACATACTCTAGTCGTTCTCATTCTCTCTCTCTTTTTTGTTTTTTTTTTTTTAGATAGGGTCTCACAGGAGCTTGCTCTGTTGCCCAGGCTAGAGTGCAGAGGCACAATCATAGCTTACTTGTAGCCTCAATCTCCCAGGCTCAAGCTATCCTCCCACCTCGGTCTCCTGAATAGCTGGGACCACAGGCATGTGCCACTACGCCCAGATAATTTTTTTTATTTTTAGTAGAGACGAGGTCCTACTATGTTGCTCAGGCCAGTCTTGAACTCCTGAGCCCAAGTGATCCTCCCATCTTGGTCTCCCAAAATCCTGCGATCACAGGCATGAGTCACTGCACCTGGCCTCTTTCTCATTTTGAATCAACAAATAAGTCTGTCTACAAAATTAACTAAACTTCTTAGTGCCGTATTCAAAATGTATCACAGCCTCTTTTTACTGTCTTACCTGCTACCATTAAAACAAATAACTACACTTCAGAGGGACCCATCTTTGACATAAGCTGCAAATAATGTCCATAGATAAAACCCTTCCCTGCATCCCTGAACACAAGACCATAATTCAACATTATGGTTGATAAATAATACACATAAAACCCAAGAACTGACCATGAGTGAGAGACAGCAGACAGAAAAAATATATTTTAAGAACTCTAGAGATAATTATAGGACTTTACCTAACATAGGTTATGTCTAAAATTACAGTATTAATGACATAAAAGGAAAATGCCAAAACATAAGCAAAGAACAAGTCACTATCAAAAAAAATTAAGCAAATCAGAAAAATAACCAAAGAAAATTTCTATAAATACAGCCACTGAATTCAATGAATGGGTTAGATTGGAGATTAGCTATACTGAAGAAATAATTAGTGTCCCAGAAGAGGTTATTAGACACAGAAAAGAGAATAAGGTCCAAAATATACCTAATATGGGTTGCAGGATAAAATAGAAAAAAAAAAGTGAGATATGATGGTTTAAGAGATGGTAACAGTTGAGAATTTTTTACAATTAAACCAAACACCACATATTCTCACCCACAGGTGGGAATTGAACAATGAGATCACATGGACATAGGAAGGGGAATATCACACTCTGGGGACTGTTGTGGGGTTGGGGGAGGGGGGAGGGATAGCATTGGGAGATATACCTAATGCTAGATGACGAGTTAGTGGGTGCAGCGCACCAGCATGGCACATGTATACATATGTAACTAACCTGCACAATGTGCACATGTACCCTAAAACTTAAAGTATAATAAAAAATAAAAATAAAAAAATAAATCCCCCCAAAAAAAAGAAATAAAAGATATAAATCTACAATTTAGGAAACACAACTAGTTCCAACCAGGATAAAAACAAATAAATCCCCACCAATATATACTGTAACAAAACTTAGAATGCTAAAGAGGCAAATCAAGGGAAAAACTGAGATCTATAAAGGAAGGGTAATGAAATGTCTAGCAGATATTTCAATGGCAAAAATTCATAATGCTTAAAAAAGAATCTTCACCCTATAGTAGTATACTGAGCTAAACTATCATACAAGAAAGAAAAGTAAATTTATTTTAAGAAAGTGGGCCGGGCGTGGTGGCTCACACCTGTAATCCCAGCACTTTGGGAGGCCAAGGCAGGCGGATCACAAGGTCAGGAGATTGCAACCATCCTGGCTAACACAATGAAACCCTGTCTCTACTAAAAAAAAAAAAAAAAAATTAGCCAGGCGTGATGGCGGGCGCCTGTACTCCCAACTCGGGAGGCTGAGGCAGGAGAATGGCGTGAACCTGGGAGGCAGGACTTGCAGTGAGCCAAGATTGCGCCACTGCACTCCAGCCTGGGTGACAGAGTGAGACTCCGTCACAAAAAAAAAAAAAAAAAAAAAGAGTGACAGATTTAGAATGCAGGATGGAAACCAGAAACTGTCAAATATAAGAAGAGAGAAGAGCCTGTAGTCCCAGCTACTTGGGAGGCTGGGGCAGGAGAACTGTTTGAGGTCAGGAGCTTGAGGCTGTAGTGAGATACGATGGAGCCTATGAACAGCCACCGCACTCAAGCCTGGACAAAACAGTGAGACCCTATTTAAAAAAGAAAAAAAAATTAAATAGAAAAAAAAGAATTCAGAGCAAAAATAACTGACTAACAGGTGAACAAATCCAGATAAGCTCTGACTCCATAAAATAATAATATCTAGTAGTTTGGAGGTATTAAAAGATGTACAATAATAACTTGTAAGACAGAAGAACACATGAAGTTATTCACAGGCCCTTCTAAATGTTTGGAAAGGATACAGAGATGATGACTAAGTTTAGACTTTGTTCACCCAGGTAAGCATTTTCAACTTTTTTCAGGTAGCAAACATTAATAGAAAACAAAAGGAATTATAAGAGTCAAACCAGTACAGAGAAAGTGAAAGAAAAAACTAAATCCAATAAAGAGGAGGAAAGGAAGAAAAAAGGAACAAAAAAGAAAGAAACCAAAAGTACCAAACAAAACAATCACAAATACATCATAATCAGGACTTTTGATTTGTGATCTGGGATGTAGAAGGTCAAAGAACTGCTCCTACCCTTCCAATGAAAAAAGAAGGAAGGCCAGGCACAGTGGCTCATGCCTGTAATCCCAGTACTTTGGGAGGCCGAGGCGGGAGGATCACTTGAGGTCAGGAGTTCGACACTAGCCTGGCCAATATGGTGAAACCCCTGTCTCCACTAAAAATACAAATATTAGCCAGATGTGGTAGCATGCGCCTGTAGTCCCAGCTACTCAGGAGGCTGAGGCAGAAGAATCGCTTCAACCCCGGAGGCGGAGGTTGCAGTGAGCTGAGATCGCGCCACTGCACTCCAGCCTGGGTGACAGAATAAGACTCCATCTCAAAAAAAAAAAAAAAGGAAAAAAAAAAAAAAAGCCAGCCAAACTAAGTTCAAACCCGGAGCCTTCCAGGAGAGATGCAATGGGATTTAAGCACTTTCTCACCTGAGGCAGATACGGCCACAAGCTAAGAATGATACAGCTAGAATAAATATCAGACTGGTGGAAGCTAAGTATTGGCTGGCTAGACAGTGTGAAGGCGCAGGAGGCAGCAGACTTAGAGTCTAAGTTCACAAACTCTTGCACACTTTTCTTCAGGTACCCCAACGGGTACACACACAAAAGACTGGTGAGTCTTGAGAAAGAAACCTTCATGGTACAGGACTCAAGAAGGGGAATAGCAGTCACTATAGGAAGGCGCTAAACCTTGCCTGTCTCCTCTAGGGAATATATGCTTTCATCTGTGTGGATCAGGGCCAAGAAACGCTGCTGTCTTTGGGGCACTGGTGAAAGCCATTGCATCTTGGGGAAGGGGCAGAACTGCGTTTTGTGCCTAGTACTACATCTGGGGTGGGCAGGAGCACTAAAGACCAAACACACCAGATCAAAGGACATAATGAAGCCTAAGACTGAATTTATTTATTTATTTATTTAATTTATTTTTTTCTTTGAGACAGAGTTTCACTCTTGTTGCCCAGGCTGGAGTGCAATGGTGCGACCTTGGCTCACTGCAACCTCTGCCTCCCAGGTTCAAGTGATTCTCCTCCCTCAGCCTCCCAAGTAGCTGTGATTACAGGCATACAGCACCACGTCTGGCTAATTTTTGTATTTTTAGTAGAGATGGGGTTTCACCATGCTGGTCTTAAACTCCTGACCTCAGGTCATCCACCTGCCTCAGCCTCCCAAAGTGCTGGGATTACAGGCGTGAGCCACCACGCCCAGCCATTTATTTTTTTTTAATTTAGAAACAGGATCTTACTTTGTGGCTTAGGCTGGAGTGCAGAGGTGTCATAGTTCACTACAGCCTCAAACTCCTGGGCTCAAGCGATCCTCCCACCTCGGCCTCTCAAGTAGCTGGGACTACAGGCACATACTACCACACCTGGCTAATTTTTAAAAATTTTTATACAAGACAGGGTCTCACTATGTTGCCCAGGCTAGTCTCAAACTCCTGGCCTCAAGTGATCCTCCTGCCTGGGCCTCCCAAAGTGTTGGGGATTATAGGCATTAGCCACTGTGCCTGTCTAAGACTGAGGCTTCATCAGAACAATAGAAAACACTGTTGCCCCTCCAACTCTTCTGTAATAAGTAACAAATGGAATACTGCTGAAGACAGACCCTTTTAAAATGTTATGCAAAGGGAAAACCTAAAGACACAAAATTCCTCTGGCAAACAGCTCCTACTCTAAAAATAAGGTATTACTAAGGGAAAAATAAAGTATTGCTAAGGGAATTTGAAGCCTATGGTGCACTGATGATACCACAGAAACAACAAACCTCAAACTCAACCCATCTCTGGACTATATTAACTTGAATCTCCCACTTTAAAGGCCTAGCAGAAGGAAAAATGTGCCCATTTCCAGGCAGAAAAACTATTTGACTCAGTCTGCAGTCCTACACAAGATATCCAGCTTTCAACAAAAAAATTACAAAGCATAGGAAAAGGCAAGGAAAAACAAAGCACTCCCAAAAGACAAAGCAATCAACAGAACCAGCATTACATATGGCACAGATGTTAAAAATATCTGTGATGGTTAATACTAAGTGTCAACTTGATTGGATTGAAGGATATAAAGTATTGATCCTGTGTGTGTCTGTGAGGGTGTTGCCAAAAGAGATTAACATTTGAGTCAGTGGGATGGGAAAGGCAGATCCACCCTTAATCTGGTGGACACAATCTAATCAGCTGCCAGCGAATATAAAGCAGGCAGAAAAATGTGAAAAGGAGATACTGGCCTAGCCTCCCAGCCTACATCTTTGTCCCGTGCTGGATGCTTCCTGCCCTCAAACATCAGACTCCAGGCTCTTCAGTTTTGGGACTCGGATTGGCTCTCCTTGCTCCTCATCTTGCAGACGGCCTATTGTGGGATCTTGCGATCGTGTAAGTTAATACTTAATAAACTCATATATATATATATGAGTTATATATATGTATGTGTATTATATATAATATACATGTATTTTATGTTATATTTTATATATATATATATATATATATATATATATATATATATATATATCTCCTATTATTCCTATATATATCCTATTAGTTCTGTCCCTCTAGAGAACCCTGACTAATATAGATTTTGGTACCAGGAGTGGTTCTAGAGGAACAGAATATTAAGGATGGAGTTCTTAAATTGGTTTGGGGGTTTCTGGAGTTGGCTGCTTAATACGGTAAGACCCAAAAATGCTAAGGACTCTACTTCTAACAGTATGGAGCACACTGATAGTTCTTGGCATGAACTGTTTGTAGAGAGTTACGCAAAATAAATGCATTTGACACTCCTGATTTACTATTTGTGAGAGGCAAGCAGTTTAGTGACTCTATACATAATACCTTTGACTATATGTGGAGAACCAAGGAATGTAATGAAGTTGGTTGGTTGCTCCTAAGTTCACTGGACAAATTGATGAAAGAAAATGATGAATTCAGGGGATTCTGTCCCCCTGCTTCAGAAGCAGATACTACGCCTCAAATCTGCTAAGATTGCCCTGAATGAGAGTAGACAGTCACAAGCTCTTCATGCGAGTGGCTGACCTGCAACGAAAGATGCATGCACAGCCTTGCCAGGTGTCTACTGTTAAAGTGAGGGCATTGATTGGAAAAGAATGGGACCCTAAAACTTGGAATGGGGACATGTGGGAGGACCCTGATGAAGCTGGGGACATAGAGGTTTGTAAACTCTGATGAACCTTTTTTGTCAGAAGGAACAACTTCCCCATCCCCAGTAGTGGAAACAACCCCTCCCCAACCCATGCTGCCATCAGCCTTTCTGCCTTTGTCTGAGGAGATGAACCCTGCGCTGCTTGAGGCAACATTGATGCCCTCCCCTGAGGCAGTTGCCAGGGAAGATAATGTTGATTCTCCTCAGGAGCCACCCCCAACACCTGTTTGCTTCTAGACCTATAACTAAGTTAAAGTCTCAGTGGGACCCTAGAGGGTGAGGTTGAGTGTGACCCATGAGGAGGTGTGCTACACTTGAAAAAAACCAAGTTCTCTAATTTATATAAACAGAAATCTGGAAAACAAACCATGGGAATGGATATTAAGGGTATGGGATAATGGTGGAAGGAACAGAGTTGGATCAGGCTGAATTTATTGATTTGGGCCCACTAAGTAGGGATTCTGCATTCAATGTTGCAACTTGGGGAGTTAAAAAAGGTTCTAATAGTTTATTTGCTTGGTTAGTTGAAAGACGGACTAGAAGATGGCCCACTGTGAGAGAGCTGGAAACGCCTGATCTCCCTTGGTTTAATGTAGAGGATGGAATCCAAAGGCTTAGGGAGACTGGGATGGTGGAGTGGATTAGTCACTTTAGACCTACTCATCTCAGCTGGGAGGGTCCAGAAGACGTACTCTTGACCAATGCCTTTTGAAATAGATTTGTGAGGGCAGCACCTGCATCTTTGAAGAGGCCTGTAATTGCTCTTCTTAGTATGTCAGATCTAATGGTGGGAACCGCAGTTACTCAACTACAAAATTTAAATACAATGGGAATAATTGAATACTGAGGTGCCGGGGCCAAGTGGCAGCACTCAACCATCAAACGCAAGGTAGGCATAGCTACTGTCATGAACAGCAGCGGCAAAGCGGCAATCAGAATAGTCTGACTTGTGTAGAGCTCTGGCATTGGCTAATTAATCACGGTGTTCCTAGAAGTGAAATTGATAGGAAGTCTGCTCATTCCTACTTAATTTATACAAGCAGAAAACTTCTAGGTCAAATGAGCAAAATACTAATTTGAATTATAAAAACAGAGATTCATGGCCCCCATAGGTGAATCACAGCAGAGACCTCTAGGATTTTGGAGCGAGACCCTGCCATCTTCTTCAGATAACTACTCTCCTTTTGAGAGACAGCTGTTGGCCTGTTACTGGACTTTGGTGGAAACTGAACCATTGTTCATCATAGTCATGAAGTGACTATGGGTCATCAAGTCACCACGCGACCTGAACTGCCTATCATGAACTGGGTGCTTTCTGACCCATCTAGCCATGAAGTGGGCTGTGCACAGCAGCACTCCATCATCAAATGGAAGTGGTATGTACGTGATCAGGCTTGAGCAGGTCCTGAAGGGACAAGTAAGTTTCATGAGGAAGTAGCTCAAATGCCCATGGTCTCCACTCCTGCCACCCTGTCTTCTCTTCTCCAGCCCGCACTGATGGCCTCATGGGGAGTTCCCTATGATCAGCTGACAGAGGAAGAGAAGACCAGGGCCTGGTTCACAGATGGTTCTGCACGATATGCAGGCACCACCTGAAAGTGGACAGCCACAGCACTACAGCCCCTTTCTAGGACATCCCTGAAGGACAGCGGTGAAGGTAAATCTTCCCAGTGGGCAGAACTTCGAGCAGAGCACTTGGTTGTGCACTCTGCATGGAAGTAGAAATGGCCAGATGTGTGATTATATAATGATTCATGGGCTGTAGCCAATGGTTTGGCTGGATGGTCAGGGACTTCAAAGAAGCATGATTAGAAAATTGGTGACAAAGAAATTTGGAGAAGAGGTATGTGGATGGACCTCTCTGAGTGGCCAAAATCTGTGAAGACATTTGTATCCCATGTGAGTGCTCACCAACGGGTGACCTCAGCAGAGGAGGAGTTTAATTATTGAGTGGATAAGATGACCTGTTCTGAGGACACCACTCAGCCTCTTTTCCAAGCCACCCATCGTCGCCCAATAAGCCCATGAACAAAGTGGCCATGGTGGCAGGGATGGAAGTTACACATGGTCTCAGCAACATGGATTTCCACTCACCAAGGCTGACCTGGCTACAGCCACTGCTAAGTGCCCAATTTCCCAGCAGCAGAGACCAACACTGAGCCCTTGATATGGCACCATTCCTCACGGTGATCAGCTAGCTACCTGGTGGCAGGTTGATTATATTGGACCTTTTCCATCATGGAAAGGGCAGAGGTTTGTCCTCACTGGAATAGACACTTACTCTGGATATGGGTTTACCTATCCTGCATGTAATGCTTCTGCCAAGACCACCATCTGTGCACTCACGGAATACCTTAAACACCATCATGGTATTCCACACAGCATTGCCTCTGACTAAGGCACTCACTTTATGGCCAAAGAAGTGTTGCAGTAGGCTCACGTTCATGGAATTCACTGGTCTTACCATGTTCCCCATCATCCTAAAGCAGCTGGATGGATAGAATGGTGGAATGGGCTTTTGAAGTCACAATTACAATGTCAACTAGGTGACAATACTTTGCAGGGCTGGGGCAAAGTTCTCCAGAAGGCCATGTATGCTCTGAATCAGCATCCAACATATGGTACTGTTTCTCCCATAGCCACGATTCACGGGTCCAGGAATCAAGGGGTGGAAGTGCAAGTGGCACCACTCACCATCACCCCTAGTGACCCACTAGCAAAATTTTTGCTTCCTATTCCCTCAACATTAATTCTGCTGGCCTAGAGGTCTTAGTTCCAGAGGGAGGAACGCTACCACCAGAAGACACAACAACGACTCCATTAAACTGCAAGTTAAGATTGCCACCTGGACACTTCGGGCTGTTCCTACCTTTAAGTCAACAAGCTAAGAAGGGAATTACAGTGTTGGCTGGGATGACTGACCCGGACTATCAAGATGAAATCAGTCTGCTAATCCACAACGGAGGTAAAGAAGAGTATGCATGGAATACAGGAGATCCATCAGGGCATCTTAGTATTACCATGCCCTGTGATTAAGGTCAATGGGAAACTACAACATCCCAATCCAGGCAGGACTACAGATGGCCCAGACCCCTCAGGAATGAAGGTTTGGGTCACTCCACCAGGAAAAAAAACATGACCTGCTGAGGTGCTTGCTGAAGGCAAAGGGAATACAGAATGGGTAACGGAAGGTTAGTCATTAATACCAGATACCACTACGTGACCAGCTGCAGAAACAAGGACTGTAATTGTCATGAGTATTTCCTCCTTCTTTTGTTAAAATCATGTTTGTGTATGTATACATTTGTACTAAGAAAATATATTTTATCATGTGACATAAGATTTATTGACTTCATATCAGCATTTAAGTACTGTTAACTTTATGTAATAGTATTTGAGTCAGGGATTGGTGTGTTTCCAGGTGTACAAAGGATAGTTGTATTATGTTAGGCATAATTATTACCTCATTATTGTCTTTATTTGAAGATTATGTATGATCTCAGGAGATGTGCATAGGTTCAAGTTCAAGCTGACAAGGGGTGGACTTGTGATGGTTAATACTGAGTTAGTATCCAAGATCAATACAAAGTACTGATCCCGGATGTGTCTGTGAGGGTGTTGCCAAAAGAGATTAACATTTGAGTCAGTGGGCTGGGGTAGGCAGATCCACCCTTAGCTGATGGGCACAATCTAATCAGCTGCCAGTGAATATAAAGCAGGCAGAAAAATGTGAAAAGGAGAGACTGGCCCAGCCTATATCTTTCCCCCATCCTGGATGCTTCCTGTCCTTGAACACTGGACTTCAAGCTCTTCCGTTTTGGGACTTTGACTGGCACTTCTTGCTCCTCAGCTTGTAGGCAGCCTATTGTGGGACCTTGTGATCATGTAAGTTAATACTTGAAATAAACTCCCATATATATATATATATATATCCTATTAGTTCTGCCCCTCTAGAGAACCCTGACTAATACAACATCTGACAGAGAATTTAAAATAACTGTGATTAATATGCTAAAGGCTCTAAGGGAAAGGTGAAAAACATAAAATTAGATAGGTAATAGCAGAAAAATGAAAACTATGAGTCAAAA
Organism: Homo sapiens; assembly: GCF_000001405.40. Taxonomy (NCBI): domain Eukaryota; kingdom Metazoa; phylum Chordata; class Mammalia; order Primates; family Hominidae; genus Homo; species Homo sapiens. The sequence goes on from NC_000001.11 coordinate 92,619,622, forward strand.
AGAAAAGCTAGAGATGAGCTGGGCACAGTGGCTCGTGACTGTAATCCTAGCACTTTGGGGAGGCTGAGATGGGAGGATCACTTGGGCTCAGGAGTTCGAGACCTGGGCAACACAGTGAGACCTTTTCTCTTTGAAAAAAAAAAAATTTTTTTTTTGTTAAAGAAAAGCTAGAAATGAAAAACAGTAACAGACGTAAAGAATACCTTCAGTTGGCTCATCAAACAACTTGACAAAGCAATGGAAAGAATGAGTGAACTTAATAATTTGTCGGTAAAAATGTTTTAGTCAATGGAAACTGAAAACACAGAGAAAAATGATAGGGGCAAAACGAACAGAGCAACCAAGAGTTGTTAGACAACCTTGAACAATCTAACACATGTATAATTGAAACCCCTCAAGAAGGGAGCATGAGAAGAAATACTTGAAGAAATAACAACCAAGGGCCGGGCGTGCTGGCTCACGCCTATAATCCTAGAACTTTGGGAGGCCGAGACGGGCGGATCACCTGAAGTCGGAAGTTTGAGAACAGCCTGACCAACATGGAGAAACCCCGTCTCTACTAAGAATACAAAATTAGCCAGGTGTGGTGGCACATGCCTGTAATCCCAGTTACTTAGGAGGCTGAGGCAGGGGATCATGGCTTGAACCCAGGTGGCTGAGGTTGTGGTGAGCTGAGATCACACCATTGCACTCCAGCCTGGGCAACAAGAGTGAAACTCCATCTCAAAAAAAAAAAAAAAAGAAAGAAATAACAACCAAGAAGTTTCCAAAATTTGTGGCATACACAAATCTATAAATCAAAGAAACTCAGAGAAAAAAAAAAAAGAGAGAAAAAAAAACCCAGATCTGGGTATATCATATTCGACCTGCTACAAACAAAGAGAAAAGCTTGAAGGCAACCAGAGGAAAAAATACATTACATGTTGAGGAACAAAAATAAGAATTACAACAGAATCCTGGCTGGCATGGTTTCTGACAAGAAGATAGCAGAGTGATTTAAAGTGTTAAAAGAAAAAAACTGTCAAGGCAGAATTCAATATCCTGCAAATATATCTTTTAAAATTGAAGAAATAAACATTTTATCAAACAAAAACCAGCACTAAAGGAAATGATAAAAGAACTTCTTAAAGCAGAAAAGATAAGATACCAGACAGAAACATGGATCTGCACAAAGAAAGAGTGCTGAAACAGAATATCTTGAAGGAAAAACACATTTCATTAAAAGTTTTTCAATTTCTATGAAAGAAAACTTTAATGCAAAATTAGTAGCATATATATTTGGACAATATGTAAAATGTATGACAATTTCACAAAAGAGGTAGAAAGATTTGAAAACACACTGTTGTAAGAGCCTTAGATTACACATGAAGTGTATAGTTATTTATTCATTTATTATTATTTATAATTTATTATTTGAAGGTAAACTCTATTTATTGTAAAACCTGGAACAACCACTAAAAAAACTCTTGAAAGATGTATAAATAAATAAGTCAAATGTGAAGATAAAAATGGAATCACAATAAATATCTAATAAATCCAAGAGAAGGTAGAAAAAAAGAAACAAAGAAACAAAGAACAGATGGAATAAACAAAATAGCTAGCAAGGTGACAGATATCAATCCAAGTAAAATTACAAAACTGAGACCAAACTTGACAGCAAAAGAAACTATGAGACTAAATTGTTTTTAGTTTTTTGTTTTTCTTTGAGATGGAGTCTTGCTCCGTCACCCAGGCTGGAGTGCAGTGGCGTGATCTTGGCTCACTGCTGCAACCTCCACCTACCGGGTTCAACCGATTCTCCTGCCTCAGCCTCCCGAATAGCTGGGACTACAGGCATGTGCCACCACACCTGGATAATTTTTTTGTATTTTTAGTAGAGATGGGGTTTCACCGTGTTGGCCAGGCTGGTCTCAAACTCCTGATCTCAGGTGATCCACCTGCCTTGGCCTCCCAAAATGTTGGGATTACATGCGTGAGCTACTGCACCCAGCCAGTTTTTATAGCTTTATTGAGATACAGTTCACACATTATAAAATTGACCTCCCTCAAGTGTACATATATTCAGTGGTTTTTAGCCTATTGAGAGTTGAACAATCATTTATCAGACTGCATTTTAAAAAGTACCCATCTATATGTTGTTTATCAGAGATATAAACACATAAACTGAAATTAAGATGGGAAAAAATGTAGTACAATTTATCTTAAGAAATCTAAATCAAGGCAGGGCACGGTGGCTCACGCCTGTAATCCCAGCACTTTGGGAGGCCAAGGTGGGTGGATCACAAGGTCAGGAGTTCAAGACTAGCCTGGCCAACATGGTGAAACCCCGTCTCTACCAAAAATACAAAAATTAGCCAGGCGTGGTAGTGGGCGCCTGTAATCCCAGCTACTTGGGAGGCTGAGGAGGAGAATAGCTTGAACCCGGGAGGCAGAGGTTGCACTGAGCTGAGATCTGGCCACTGCACTCCAGCCTGGGCGACAAAGCAAGGCTCCGTCTAAAAAATAAAAATTAAAAAAAAAAAGAAATCTAAATCTAAAATATTAAAAACCTGAATCTAGCAATGGGAATGTGTTGTATCTCTATGTGATCTACAGCACAAACATGTTTTTAGTATTTTGATAACTGTACCTCAGTAGAAGTGGCTTCCTTTGCAATCCTTTGTACTTGGTTTTACGCATTAAAAAATATTATTTTAAGAAGGGGTCCACAGGTTCCAGACTGCCAACAGTGTTGATAGCAGACACAAACACAAAAACGGTAAGAACCTTTGTACTTAAGAAACTCTTGAAGATATACACAAGGAAACATAAGCAAGAATGTTCAGAGTAGCACTGTTTGCAAGAGCAAAAAGGAGAGTGGATCAATAAATTGAGGTATAGTCACTGACAGACTTTTCTAAAAGTCCTTAAAATGACAGAACTGGAGTTACATGTATAAACATGGACAAATTTCTTAATCTAAATACATGGGTGTTTGATACAATAATCTTTAGATTACTACACACCACCACCATTACCCTATACTATTTTTATTTATTTATTTTTCATTTATCAATGTAAAAATTTCATGGATTACCACCAGTCCAAATACTGGCATTTAGGAACCAGTGCCTATTACCATCCTGCTTCCAGCAAAATCCATCCAAAATCACACTTATTAGTCAGCAATGGTATTAAGCACAATACAAATTCCTTAGGAAATCTTTCTCCAAACCACCTAGTTGAAATTAATTTTCCCCGCCTAGTCTCCGTAGCAATTCCTATCTAACTCTCTACTTACCAAATTTCTGAATTATATTAAATATAGTCTATGCATACCTGATTTCTCAAGTGTAAGTCCTTTAATGGCTGAGACAGTGCTTTGTGTTTCACAAGTTCTCAAAATCATGTCTACTGGATTTGATTTATTCACCTCTACCCACTGTGAAATAAATCCTCAACAATGGCTTAAAAGCTGTGTTTTCATCTTTAGTATCTATACTAAAATAAAATCTGATTACAAAAATAAAACTTCCCATTGTAAAACTTAAGATTTCTACTATTCATAATCTCAATAGTACCTCTTCCTATTTTAATTATACTGAATAAAATAACGTGTGGAAAGTATTTTATATAGAATAATACAAGAAAAATATAAGAAAATAACTTTGAACAATGTAAAACAAGATATATTTATTCTGAAGAAATTACATATTCATGTTACCATGTTTGAGATTATGATCATTTTGCACTGGAATACAGAATGATGTATGAGTTAAGTATGCCCCCTACTGACTGAATAAATACTTTAAAAGCCAAAAAACAACATTCACAGAGTATAAGAATATGGTCCAAACAAATGTACCACATGAAAACCAAATGTGCCTTTACCATGCAAATGGGTTTCATAAAAAGACCTTTGCAGATCTTAAGTATATTTAAGATAGAATTTATTGGAGAAAAGAGAGACCTGAGAAGAAAGAAGGGCAATTTTGAATTCACTGCCCAGGGTCACCACATTAAACAACTTTAGGAAGCATCATTCACATTATAGTATACATCTGTGGTTCCCAATTGGGGCAATTTTGTCCCCCAGGGGACATTTGGCAATGTGTGCAGAAACATTTTTGGTCATCGCAACCTGAGGTAGGAGAGCCGTTACTGGCATCTAGTGGGTAGAGGCCAGGGATGCTGCTAAACATCTACAACGCATGGACCAGCTCCGTAAAACAAAGTATCTTCTAGCCAAAAATGTTAAAAGTGTTGAGGTTGAGAAATTTTGCTCTGCATGGTGTTCCTTCTCAAGTCATGCAACAGGGCAATGCTATGAGTTTTACCCAAAAAAGTCAAATAAAATTTGACTTCCTTGAACTTTGTTGAATGGGTCAAAGAAGGATTAAATCTCTGAAATCCAATATAATAATTTTTTGCCATCTTCATTTGGGCTAGAAAACTGCGGTCTATACAGCTTCATATCTTTACCTTTTATCTCTGTTCTAGGGATGATACAATCTGTGCACAAACCCTTGATCAGCTAATGATACTTTTTAAAGATACTGGGCTTTCCCATCATACCTGTGTTTCCATTTCCATCATCCTTTGTTTTATTTCTCTTATTTCTGCTTGTGTTTCAGCTTCTCTAAGTCGAATGGTCATCAGTTCATCTTGTAACTCATTCATAGCATTTTTCTTGGGTGGGTCTTTCCATCTCCCAGTAGTACGAGCTAAGTGGCGCTAAAGCATAAAAAATTATATTGCAACAAATACTCTCAGTATCAAAATAAGAGCTAATATTACTGAGCGCTTATTTCAGGCCTGTGATATATAAAACACTTTCCACACATTATTTTATTTAATCCCTAGAAAATCCTATTAATCAGGCACTATTATCATCTGAATAAAAGGGTTTCATAAAAAGACCTTTGCAGATCTTAAGTATATTTAAGATAGAATTTATTGGCCAGGCGCAGTGGCTCTCACACCTGTAATCCCAGCACTTTGGGAGGCCAAGGCGGGCAGATCACCTGAGGTCAGGAGTTTGAGATCAGCCTGGCCAACATGTTGAAACCCTGTCTCTAGTCTCTACTTCAAAAAAAAAAAAAAAAAAAAAAAAAAAAAAAGAATTTATTGGAGAAAAGAGAGACCTGAGAAGAAAGACAGGCAATTTTAGAATTCACTGCCTAGGGTCACCATATTAAACAACTTTAGGAAGCATCATTCACATTATTGCCATTATTGGTTCCCAACTGGGGCAATTTTGCCCCGCCAGGGGACATTTGGCAATGTGTGTGGAAACATTTTTGGCTTTTCACAGGTAAGAAAATGAACACTGTGATTAAGTAACTTTAGGAGGATCACACACAGCCAGTGCAGATCTGGGATATAAACTCAAATACAGTTCAAATTTTTTCTCTATATACTGAGGATTAATTCTTGAAAAGATTACAATTTTCACTGTAATTTTTTTAATGAGAGATTTTTCATATTATCTTCAATGAAATCCCAATACATTAGAAAAAAAATGGGGCCATTAAGGAAGGAATGTTAGAAGTTAAGGGCAGTGTTTCTCAAAATATCTGTGATAAAAGACAAGTTTTGTCTTTTTTGTTTTAAAATTTCAAGTTTATTGCAATCTGATACTTTGTCAAAACATGTTTTAAAAAAAGGCATGACAATGTCAAGGCCTAATTTCGGTCCTTATATAGAATATGTATTTTGTTCCTTGTCAACATTTCCCTCATACATGAATAAATTTGTGGTCACATACCAGATAAATGTCATTTATCTGGTGAGGTAACTAAGTTACTAATTTATACATTAAATTTATAATGTTGTCACCCTTCTGGTGTTTCACACTAACCAACAATGGACTTAATATCAAAGTTTAAGACAAAATATGTATTATATAGAACACTTTCACAGTTTGCAGAAAAAGTTACACAAGGCACAATGGTACAATGACAAAAATATTATCTGATGTCTACTGTATCTTTTATTTTATTATAAGAATTAAAGAGGGAGAAACAGCTTAAGTGCACTTTCAGTTTATAAATACTCTCAATTTTGACATTAAACAGGGTCTCTCTCACTTTAAACTCATCTACTATAGGTCATCAGGTACTTCAAACTCTTACAAATTGGATATTTCGGTTTTACTCTCTTTTAAAAAAGCACACAAAATATATTAATATACCTGCCAGTGTTCCTCTAAATCCTTGACTTGCTGTCTAAGTTCTTTCAAACCCATAATGGCTTCTGCTTCTCTAAGTTTCACAGCAATGAGTTCTTCCTGAAGCCTTGCAATATTATTCTCATCAGGAAGGGAGTTATTCCTCTAAAGAAGAAGAAAATTTAATTTGGGATTTTTAAATTTAAGGAATAAAATACAGCACACACAACAGCTATTGTGTTCCACACTTAAATGTATTTAATTTTATACAGCTATACTGAAATATAATTCACAAACTATGAAACTCACCCTTTTAAAATACACAAGAGCCAGTGGTTTTTAGAGTATTTACAGGGTTGTTTAAACATCACCATGACCTAATTTCAGAATATTTTTATCATGCAAAAAAGAAAACCTATACTCATCACCAGTCATTCTACATTCCCCACTTCCCCATCCCCTGGCAACCACCAATCTACTTTTTGTTTCCATGAGTTTGTCTACCTGGACATTTCTTATAAGTGGAATCATATGTATTTATAGCTTTCTGTGACAACCTTACTTCACTTAGAACAATGTTTTCAAGGTTCAATCTTTTTTTTATGCCAAATGATATTCCACTGTATAGATATACCACATTTAATCTATTTATTCATCAGTTAATAGAAATTTGGGTTGTTTCCACTTTTTGACTATTATAATGTTGCTATGAACATTGGTGCAAAAGTTTTTGTGTAGACTTAGGCTTTCCATGTTCTTAAGATATACTTAGGAGTAGAACTGCTGGCTCAGATGGTAATTGTTCTATGTTTAACTTTTAAGAAACTGCCAAACTTTTCCAAAGCAGCTGTACTGCTTTTCATTTTCACTAGCAATGTATGAGGGGAACTGCACTTAATTTTGAGAACACAGAAATCTAACTCTGATTTGTTAATAAAATACTAATCAGAGTTACGGAGCAACAGGATTAAAATTTTTTTCAATATGGCAATAAACTTACTAACTTCTGATCAGGACTCCAGATAAAGCATGAACATCATTTACTTTTTAAATATTCATAGAAAATAGTAGTCCAAAATCTGTTTTTGTTGTATTTCCTCAGCATGTTATTTTTGAGAGGCATCAAATCTCTGTGTATTAGTCACTATTTACATCAACAGTCAAGAAATTAATACAAATTAAACAATTTACCAATTGATTCAAATGAAATGACTGAAATTAACTTGATTCATGGATACAAGGTTTATTTATATTTTTCCGTAAGTTATTGGGGTACAGGTGGTATTTGGTTACATGAGTAAGTTCTTTAGTGGTGATTTGTGAGATTTTGGTGTACCCATCACCCAAGCAGTATACACTGCACCTTATTTGTAGTCTTCTATCCCTCACTCCCCTCCCACTCTTCCCCACAAGTCCTCAAAGTCCACTGAATTATTCTTATGCCTTTGCATCCTCCTAGCTTAGCTCCCACATATCAGTGAGAACATACGATGCTTGGTTTTCCATTCCTGAGTTACTTCACTTAGAATAATAGTCTCCAATCTCATCCAGGACACTGCAAATGCTGTTAATTCGTTCCTTTTTATGGCTAAGTAGTATTCCATCATATATATACATATATACACCACAGTTTCTTTATCCACTTGTTGATTGATGGGCATTTGAGTTGGTTCCACGATTTTGCAATTGTGAATTGTGCTGCTATAAACATGCGTGTGCAAGTATCTTTTTCAAATAATGACCTTTTCTTCCCTCTGGGTAGACAGATACCCAGTAGTGGGATTGCTGGATCAAATGGTACTTCTACTTTTAGTTCTTTAAGGAATCTCCACACTGTTTTCCATAGTGGCAGTACTAGTTTACATTCCCACTAGCAGTGCAGAAGTGTTCCCTGTTCATTGCATCCACGCCAACATCTACTGTTTTTTGATTTTTTGATTATGGCTAATCTTGTGGAAGTAAGATGGTATTACATTGTGGTTTTGATTTGCATTTCCCTGATCATTAGTGATGTTTAGTATTTTTTCTTTTTTTTTTTGAAACGGAGTCTTGCTCTGTCGCCCAGGCTGGAGCGCAATGGCACAATCTCGGCTCACTGCAACTTCTGCCTCCCGGGTTCAAGCAATTCTCTGCCTCAGCCTCCCGAGTAGCTGGGATTACAGGCGCCGGCCACCATGCCTGGCTAATTTTTTGTATTTTTAGTAGAGACAAGGTTTCATTATCTTGGCCAGGCTGCTCTTGAACTCCTGACCTTGTGATCCACCAACCTCGGCCTCCCAAAGGGCTGGGATTACAGGCGTGAGCCACCGCACCCAGCCGATGTTTAGTACATTTTCATGTTTGTTGGCCATTTGTATATCTTCTTTTGAGAATTGTCTATTCATGTCCTTAGCCCACTTTTTGATGAGATTGTTTTCGTCTTACTGATTTGAGTTCGTTGTAGATTCTGGATATTAGTCCTTTGTCACATGTATAGATTGTGAAGATTTTCTCCCACTCTGTGGGTTGTCTGTTCACTCTGCTGACTGTTCCTTTCTCCGTGCAAAAGCTCCTCAGTTTAATTAGGTCCCAGCTATTTATCTTTGTTCTAATTGCATTTGATTTTGGGTTCTTGGTCATGAAATCCTTGCCTAAGCAAACGTCTAGAAGGGTTTTTCCAATGTTATCTTCTAGAATTTTTATAGTTTCAGGTCTTAGGTTTAAGTCCTTAATCCATCTCTTAAGTTGATTTTTGTATAACGTGAGAGAAGAGGATCCAGTTTCATTCTCCTACATGTGGCTAGCCAATTATCCCAGCACACGGATACAAGACTTAGATCAATTTCCCACCATATTAAAAGATAAAAAGGATACAGGGTAGCCCAGTATCAAACTTCTCTGGAGAGTTACCAAGAGATCCAAAATGAGGCCGTAGGGAAAGCTCCCTAGATAAAAAGGTAAACTGAGGTAACACTGAGATTTCAAGGCCTGATTCTATGAAATTTTCTATCTCTAAATATTTCACGGTACACATGCAAATTTTTGCTCATAGGGATGATGGAATGAAGTTATTCTCACCAATTACACTTTCTTATAATGGACTTTAAATATTTTCTCAATTGAAAACCAAAAATTTACTGCATATTCATTTAAAAGACTGCTGGAAGCAGAAAAAAAGAGGATGCTGCAGGAAGAAATTACCATAGGAAGCATGCTACCTTTCAAATTCCTTTCTACTTTATAACATGAAAAACAACACAGCCACTTACGAAATCCATTTTTGAATGGAACCCAAATACACTTCTATCAAATATTCAAAATCTTTCTAATTGTAAGACACAGATTCTGCTCTAAATCATGTAACCCAGAATACGCCTAAGTTAAAGACCAAATATTCTGTTAGCCATTTCTTTCAGCATTCTTGCTGGCTTTTTTTCTCAACAAATCGAGATAATACATTATCCAGAAATATAAAAATAGGAAGGAGCTTTCTAGCAAAATTATTCCATTACTGATTCTAGTTACACTTGTTCTGTTTCATTAAGAAAATAGTTAAAAACACCTGAGACTGTTATGTCCATTATCTATCAGGTTTTTGGATTCAGTAGGTAGCTATTACCTAAGAGTAAAAAGGAACAAACGACACAGAGCCCAGGCCACCAATAAATTTACAGATAAGGAAACAAGAGATTTGGAGTTTGTAATCTAGAACTTTTAAATCTGAAAGCTATAAGAAACCTGAAGTTCTTCTACTCCCATTACTTATCTCATCTTTGATGTTCTTTAATATCCTTGAAAAGAAGTTAGCTTCTGTAAGTACATTCAGGCTAAAAGGAACTTCCTACATATCCTGAGGTAACTTGTTCTAGATTGGACAGTTCTAACAACTACACTCAGATGAAATTTTCTTTTTTTTTCTTTTTTTCTTTTATTATACTTTAAGTTTTAGGGTACATGTGCACAATGTGCAGGTTTGTTAAATATACATACATGTGCCATGTTGGTGTGCTGCACCCATTAACTCGTCATTTAACATTAGGTATATCTCCTAATGCTATCCCTCCACCCTCCCCCCACCCCAAAACAGGCCCCAGGGTGCGATGTTCCCCTTCCTGTGTCCATGTGTTCCCATTGTTCAATTCCCACCTATGAGTGAGAACATGTGGTGTTTGGTATTTTGTCCTTGTGATAGTTTGCTGAGAATGATGGTTTCCAGCTTCATCCACGTCCCTACAAAGGATATGGAACTCATCCTTTTTAATGGCTGCATAGTATTCCATGGTGTATATGTGCCACATTTTCTTAATCCAGTCTATCATTGTTGGACATTTGGATTGGTTCCAAGTCTTTGCTATTGTGAATAGTGCCACAAGAAACATACGTGTGCATGTGTCCTTATAGCAGCATGATTTATAATCCTTTGGGTATATACCCAGTAATGGGATGGCTGGGTCAAATGGTATTTCTAGTTCTAGATCCCTGAGGAATCGCCACACTGACTTCCACAATGGTTGAACTAGTTTACAGTCCCACCAACAGCGTAAAAGTGTTCCTATTTCTCCACATCCTCTCCAGGACCTGTTGTTTCCTGACTTTTTAATGATCACCATTCTAACTGGTATGAGATGGTATCTCATTGTGGTTTTGATTTGCATTTCTCTGATGGCCAGTGATGATGAGCATTTTTTCATGTGTCTTTTGGCTGCATAAGTGTCTTCTTTTGAGAAGTGTCTGTTCATATCCTTCACCCACTTGTTGATGGGGTTGTTTGTTTTTTTCTTGTAAATTTGTTTGAGTTCATTGTAGATTCTGGATATTAGCCCTTCGTCAGATAAGTAGATTGCAAAAATTTTCTCCCATTCTGTAGGTTGCCTGTTCACTCTGATGGTAGTTTCTTTTGCTGTGCAGAAGCTCTTTAGTTTAATTAGATCCCATTTGTCAATTTTGGCTTTTGTTGCCATTGCTTTTGGTGTTTTAGACATGAAGTCCTTGCCCACGCCTATGTCCTAAATGATACTGCCTAGGTTTTCTTCTAGGGTTTTTATGGTTTTAGGTCTAACATTTAAATCTTTAATCCATCTTGAATTAATTTTTGTATAAGGTGTAAGGAAGGGATCCAGTTTCAGCTTTCTATATATGGCTAGCCAGTTTTCCCAGCACCATTTATTAAATAGGGAATCCTTTCCCCATTGCTTGTTTTTCTCAGGTTTGTCAAAGATCAGATAGTTGTAGATATGTGGGATTATTTCTGAGGGCTGTTCCATTGGTCTGTTCTGTTCCATTGATCTATATCTCTGTTTTGGTACCAGTACCATGCTGTTTTGGTTACTGTAGCCTTGTAGTATAGTTTGAAGTCAGGTAGTGTGATGCCTCCAGCTTTGTTCTTTTGGCTTAGGATTGACTTGGCAATGCAGGCTCTTTTTTGGTTCCATATGAACTTTAAAGTAGTTTTTTCCAATTCTGTGAAGAAAGTCATTGGTAGCTTGATGGGGATGGCATTGAATCTATAAATTACCTTGGGCAGTATGGCCATTTTCACAATATTGATTCTTCCTACCCATGAGCATGGAATGTTATTCCATCTCTTTGTATCCTCTTTTATTTCATTGAGCAGTGGTTTGTAGTTCTCCTTGAAGAGGTCCTTCACATCCCTTGTAAGTTGGATTCCCAGGTATTTTATTCTCTTTGAAGCAATTGTGAATGGGAATTCACTCATGATTTGGCTCTCTGTTTGTCTGTTATTGGTGTATAAGAATGCTTGTGGTTTTTGCACACTGATTTTGTATCCTGAGACTTTGCTGAAGTTGCTTATCAGCTTAAGGAGATTCTGGGCTGAGATGATGGGATTTTCTAGATATACCATCATGTCATCTGCAAACAGGGACAATTTGACTTCCTCTTTTCCTAATGGAATACCCTTTATTTCCTTCTCCTGCCTGATTGCCCTGGCCAGAACTTCCAACACTATGTTGAATAGCAGTGGTGAGAGAGGGCATCCCTGTCTTGTGCCCGTTTTCAAAGGGAATGCTTCCAGTTTTTGCCCATTCAGTATGATATTGGCTGTGGGTTTGTCATAAACAGCTCTTATGATTTTGAGATACGTCCCATTGATACCTAATTTATTGAGAGTTTTTGGCATGAAGGGCTGCTGAATTTTGTCAAAGGCCTTTTCTGCATCTATTGAGATAATTATGTGGTTTCTGTCATTGGTTCTGTTTATATGCTGGATTACATTTATTGATTTGCTATGTTGAACCAGCCTTGCATCCCAGGGATGAAGCCCACTTGATCATGGTGGATAAGCTTTTTGATGTGCTGCTGGATTCGGTTTGCCAGTATTTTATTGAGGATTTTCACATTGATGTTCATCAGGGATATTGGTCTAAAATTCTCTTTTTTTCATTGTGTCTCTGCCAACCTTTGGTATCAGGATGATGCTGGCCTCATAAAATGAGTTAGGGAGGATTCCCTCTTTTTCTATTGATTGGAATAGTTTCAGTAGGTATGGTACCAGCTCCTCCTTGTACCTCTGGTAGAATTTGGCTGTGAATCCATCTGGTCCTGGACTTTTTTTGGTTGGTAAGCTATTAATTATTGCCTCAATTTCAGAGCCTGTTATTGGTCTATTCAGAGATTCAACTTCTTCCTGGTTTAGTCTTGGGAAGGTGTATGTGTCGAGGAATTTATCCATTACTTCCAGATTTTCTAATTTGCATAGAGATGTTTATAGTATGCTCTGATGGTAGTTTGTATTTCTGTGGGATAGTTGGTGATATCCCCTTTATCATTTTTTATTGCGTCTATTTGATTATTCTCTCTTTTCTTCTTTATTAGTCTTGCTAGCGGTCTATTTTGTTGATCTTTTCAAAAAACCAGCTCCTGGATTCATTGATTTTTTGAAGGGCTTTTTATGTCTCTATTTCCTTCAGTTCTGCTCCGATCTTAGTTATTTCTTGCCTTCTGCTAGTTTTTGAATGTGTTTGCTCTTGCTTCTCTAGTTCTTTTAATTGTGATGTTAGGGTGTCAATTTTAGATCTTTCCTGCTTTCTCTTGTGGGCATTTAGTGCCATAAATTTCCCTCTACACACTGCTTTGAATGTGTCCCAGAGATTCTGGTATGCTGTGTCTTTGTCCTCATTGGTTTCAAAGGACATCTTTATTTCTGCCTTCATTTTGTTATGTACCCAGTAGTCATTCAGGAGCAGGTTGTTCAGTTTCCATGCAGTTGATCGGTTTTGAGTGAGTTTCTTAATCCTGAGTTCTAGTTTGATTGCACTGTGGTTTGAGACACAGTTTGTTATAATTTCTGTTCTTTTACATTCGCTGAGGAGTGCTTTACTTCCAACTACGTGGTCAATTTTGGAGTAGGTGTTGTGTGCTGCTGAAAGAATGTATATTCTGTTGATTTGGGGTGGAGAGTTCTGTAGATGTCTATTAGGTCCACTTCGTGCAGAGCTGAGTTCAATTCCTGGATAACCTTGTTAACTTTCTGTCTCACTGATCTGTCTAATGTTGACAGTGGGGTGTTAAAGTCTCCCATTATTATTGTGTGGGAGTCTAAGTCTCTTTGTAGCTCTCTAAGGACTTGCTTTATGAATCGGTTGCTCCTGTATTAGGTGCACATATATTTAGGATAGTTAGCTCTTCTTGTTGAATTGATCCCTTTACCATTATGTAATGGCCTTCTTTGTCTCTTTTGATCTTTGTTGGTTTAAAGTCTGTTTTATCAGAGACTAGGATTGCAACCCCTGCCTTTTTTTGTTTTCCATTTGCTTGGTAGATCTTCCTCCATCCCTTTATTTTGAGCCTGTGTGTGTCTTTGCATGTGAGATGGGTTTCCTGAATACAGCACACTGATGGGTCTTGACTCTTTATCCAATTTGCCAGTCTGTGTCTTTTAATTGGAGCATTTAGCCCCTTTACATTTAAGGTTAATATTGTTATGTGTGAATTTGATCCTGACATTATGATGTTAGCTGATAACGAGCATATTTTGCTCGTTAGTGGAAGCAGTTTCTTCCTAGCCTCTATGGTCTTTACAATTTGGCATGTTTTTGCAGTGGCTGGTACCAGCTGTTCCTTTCCATGTTTAGTGCTTCCTTCAGGAGCTCTTTTAGGGCAGGCCTGGTGGTGACAAAATCTCTCACCATTTGCTTGACTGAGGAGGATTTTATTTCTCCTTCACTTATGAAGCTTAGTTTGGCTGGATATGAAATTCTGGGTTGAAAATTCTTTTCTTTAAGAATGTTGAATATTGGCCCCCACTCTCTTCTGGCTTGTAGTTTCTGCTGAGAGATCAGCTGTTAGTCTGATGGGCTTCCCTTTGTGGGTAACCCGACCTTTCTCTCTGGCTGCCCTTAACATTTCTAAAACTTCATTTCAACTTTGGTGAATCTGACAATTATGTGTCTTGGAGTTGCTCTTCTTGAGGAGTATCTTTGTGGTATTCTCTGTAATTCCTGAATTTGAATGTTGGCCTGCCTTGCTAGATTGGGGAAGTTCTCCTGGATAATATCCTGCAGAGTTTTCCAACTTGGTTCCATTCTCCCCGTCACTTTCAGGTACACCAATCAGACGTAGATTTGGTCTTTTCACATAGTCCCATATTTCTTGGAGACTTTTTTCGTTTCTTTTTATTCTTTTTTCTCCAAACTTCTCTTCTCGCTTCATTTCATTCATTTGATATTCCATCGCTGATACCCTTTCTTCCACTTGATCGAATCGGCTACTGAGGCTTGTGCATTCGTCACGTAGTTCTCGTGCCGTGGTTTTCAGCTCCATCAGGTCCTTTAAGGACTTCTCTGCATTGGTTATTCTAGTTAACCATTTGTCCAATCTTTTTTCAAGGTCTTTAACTTCTTTGCCATGGGTTCGAACTTCCTCCTTTAGCTCGGAGTAGTTTGGTCGTCTGAAGCCTTCTTCTCTCAACTCGTCAAAGTCATTCTCCATTCAGCTTTTTTCCGGTGCTGGTGAGGAGCTGCGTTCCTTTAGAGGAGAAGAGGCACTCTGCTTTTTAGAATTTTCAGTTTTTCTGCTCTGTTTTTTCCCCATCTTTGTGGTTTTATCTACGTTTGGTCTTCAATGGTGGTGACGTACAGATGGGGTTTTGGTGTGGATGTCCTTTCTGTTTGTTAGTTTTCCTTCTACCAGTCAGGACCCTTAGCTGCAAGTCTGTTGGAGTTTGCTGGAGGTCCACTCCAGACCCTGTTTGCCTGTGTATCAGCAGCGGAGGCTGCAGAACAGCAGATATTTGGTGAACAGCAAATGTTGCTGCCTGATCGTTCCTCTGGAAGCTTTGTCTCAGAGGGGTACCCGGCCGTGTGAGGTGTCAGTCTGCCCCTACTGGGGGGTGCCTCCCAGTTAGGCTACTCGGGGGTCAGGGCCCCACTTGAGGAGGCAGTCTGTCGGTTCTCAGATCTCAAGCTGCGTGCTGGGAGAACCACTACTCTCTTCAAAGCTGACAGACAGGGACATTTAAGTCTGCAGAGGTTTCTGCTGACTTTTGATTCGCTATGCCCTGCCCCCGAGGTGGAGTCTACAGGGGCAGGCAGGCCTCCTTGAGCTGCAGTGGGCTCCACCCAGTTGGAGCTTCCTGGCCGCGTTGTTTACCTACTCAAGCCTCGGCAATGGCAGGCGCCCCCGCTGCAGCCTCGCTGCCGCCTTGCAGTTTGATCTCAGACTGCTGTGCTAGTAATGAGTGAGGCTCTGTGAGCGTAGGACCCTCCGAGCCAGGCACAGGACATAACCTCCTGGTGTGCTGTTTGCTCAGACCATCGGAAAAGCGCAGTATTAGGGTGCGAGTGACCCGATTTTCCAGGTGCCGTCCATCACCCCTTTCCTTGGCTAGGAAAGGGAATTTCCTGACCCCTTGCGCTTCGCGGCTCAGGCTCGGTGCACTACACCCACTATCCTGCACCCACTGTCCAACAATCCCAATGAGATGCACCTGGTACGGCAGTTGGAAATGCAGAAATCATTCGTCTTCTGCGTCGCTCACACTGGGAGCTGTAGACAGGAGCTGTTCCTATTCAGCTATCTTGGCTCCACCCGCTCAGATGAAATTTTCCCGAAATGTCTATGTATTAGTCCTATTCTATCTCTTCCACATGAAAATATTGCAATATTTGATGATAACAGTTAATTTCTGTCACCTGAGTTTCTCTCTTCTGCAACATTTAGATACTCTTTTTATGAAAATTATTCTGGTCGTTTTCCTCCAAAAGGGCTCTAATCTCCATTTTTATCCTTAAATACGGGGCTGTGATTAGTATGAAGGCAACAAGGAATAACTGGCAATTTTAAAAATCTTTTTTTCCTTTTCCTCTTAGTAACTAATATGTAAGGCTTCTAATGTATAAAAACACCAAGTCAATTAAATTGCTCAGTAAGTACTTAATAAATATCACATATCCCCTCTAATTTGGGAATGACTGCATTTGTGTAGGTTTCTTACCTTCTCTATATCCAAGACTTTATCCTGCATCTCTTTTAATGCACACTGAGACTCAGCTTCACTCAGTCGGGCTTGGACCAATTCCTTCTCTAGCTGTAGCACAAAATCTTCGTTGTAGTTGGAACTGCATTTATGCTAAAGGTTACAGACATACACTGAAATTTCATGAAAGTATAAACATGTATATACAATAAAAACAATGCAACCACATAATACAGTTATATTACATTAAGGGCAACTAAATAGGAGAAGTTCCATCTACCCAATATTTCCAATGTATCTCCTCCAATTAACTTCTCCAATGAGTAAAAAAGCCCACCTTTGATATCTATAAAGATGACCACATTATTGGGTTTTGGTAACTAGTTATTACGCTGATCAAATCTGATTCATATAAGATAAACATCTCCTTTTATCTGTCCATCCATCCAGATACAAAGAATTTTTTCTGACTTTACAGACCTACACTGCACAATAAATAGGATAGCAATTAGCCACATGTGGCTACTGAACACTTGAAATGTGGCTAATACAGATTAAAACAAGTTATAAGTATAAAATACAAACTGGATTTTGAAGAATTAATATGAAATAAAAAAATCTCAATGATTTTTATATTGATTACATTAAAATAATATTTTGAATATACTGAGGTAAATAAAAATATTAATTTTACCTTTTTTTGCTCCTTTTAATGTGGGTATTAGAAAATCTTAAATTGCATATGTGACACATTATATTGCTATTTGATAGTACTGTTATATACTACAGAAGACATGTAAAGATTACTGAAAAATATATTTTAATCTAATAGAAAAAAAACAGGGTACCTACAATAATGTGAACCATCTAAATTCCAAAATAACAAAATTGTATTTGTCCTTAGAAATGTAGAAATCTTCTTCAAAAGATATGCATGGTTTCCCAGCACTTTGGGAGGCCGAGGCGGGTGGATCACTTGAGGCCAGGAGTTCAAGATCAGCCTGGCCAACGTGGTGAAACCCTGTCTCTACTAAAAATACAAAAATTAGCTGGGCATGGTGGCACACGCCTGTAATCCCCGCTACTAGGGAGTGTGAGGCAGGAGAATGGCTTGAGCCCGGGAGGTGGAGGTTGCAGTAAGCCAAGATCATGCCACTGTACTCCAGCCCAGGTGACAGAGCAAGACTCTTGTCTCAAGAAAAAAAAAAAAAAAAGATATACATAGAAATAATTGCTGGAAGTAGAGAAGACGCAGATGCTGCACAAAGAAATTAACCACGGAAGCACGCAACTTTCCCATTTGCTTTCCTACTCTATAAAACATGAATATTGATGCAAACACTTAAGTCGTCATTTTTAAGCCAGTGCCCATAGAAAAGCTTCTGTACAAAAGCAATATGTAATTCATCATTATAAAATACTTTCTAAAATAAATTGTCTATCACTTCACATTTAATTTATGTAGTAAAGAAAATGTGGCAACTCAAAATTTCAAAATAAAGTCATAAAAAACAATCTTCTACTGAACTAGCATGAATAAAGCACAGTTATTTTTACTCTTTAATATGTTAGGAACAAAACAGATGTCAAATCAAAACTATTAAAAATAACCAGATGCTTAATACATGGTACTCTCCTGCCCCAGTTACCAAAAAAAGATGTGCAAATGAGGACTTTAATTCAATGCATTATACATTATTTCTTCTAGTAATTTTGATACTATTGAAACAATATTTCAATACGAGAAGTGCATCTGCAACAGACACATCATCTTAGCAAATACTTACCTTTTATCAATTAGGAAAAAGGCATTCTTTTGGAATGACCACATCCAAACTAGATGTGCCATAATTTATTTAATTAGATCACAGTTATTTCGTGGGTACTGGAAGAATTTTTTTGCCCTCAACTTAAAGCCCTGGCAACTGTAGCACAGGTTTGTTTGCAAAGACTTTATATTAGAAGATCCCCAAGAAAACATCAAACTCAAAGGCCCATATGAGAATGGAATTCTTGATTGGCATAAACCAACTAATCCAATCAAGTACAAAAAGCTATAGTAATGTTGGGCACAAATCTTTATTAATAAAATTTACAGAGAGCTGAAATGCTCTGATAACAAGTCATTCTGGATAATATATATCTTATGCTTTTTATACTCTAAAACATATTATTTTAGTCTTCTGGATTAAAATAACTCTAAACGTATTATGTAAATTTTTTTGCCACTGACAGAGTTTACAGAATATAATTCCCAGGTCATCATGATGGTGGCCAATTAACATACTGCAAATTACACAGTGTCTAAGGAAAAGATGCTGCTGTGAACTATAAATTACCTGAAGCTAACCACTGTAGTTTCAATTTATTCTATTTTCCACAGGGGGAAAACAGTTTTATAAACATGTTTTAATGTTTGACAGAAATGACAATTATGACAGCAGCTAACATCTACTCACCACTTACTATGTGCCAGACACATGTTAAGCACTTTATATTCTCCTTTAACCTTCACCACAATTACTGTCTTACTAATAAGGAAACTAATAGGGTACACCAAGGTCAAACAGCAGTTGATAGTGCTATTAATTGACAGTTTGTATTACAGAGCCCATGTTCCTCACCTTTAAGCCATATAGGTGTTGAAGAGTTTAATATATTGTTTTAATATATACTGTTCTAAAAATTAATTATATAATATTAAAAAAATCCAAACCTCTAAAAAAAATCTAAGCATATAGATCTCACATAATGTTCTTGTATTAAGAAATTCCTAGAAGAGTGCATTTCATATTCAAGTGAGTAACTTGGACAGACACACAATTTGTTTTACCAAATGACAACTGCCACAATTATGATGGCTGGCAGTCTCAGCAAGGGGAGCCGTTTATTTAAAAGCATAGAAATGACAGATGACTTCTCTATACTTACATCAAGTTAATTTATGTAAATGAATCTCATAATGTTTCTGTGATACCAGCAATCCCATTCCAATGAAACTGACAGAAATTCTTTTTAGTAAGCAGAGTCTGCTTTTCAATCCTATGTGCTTTTCTGGTGTTGCAAAAATTACAAAGGTAAAGGTAAGTTAGAAAGTCCTCAGTAATCCTTTTTGCTTGTGTCTTGAGCTTAAAAAAAAATCTTCAATATTTGAAGGAAATAGGAGTAATACAGTAAAAAGTAAATATTTGTATTGGGGGAAGTTTCTCATATTATTAAAAAAAATTTCAATATTTGAAGGAAATAGGAGTAATACAGTAAAAAGTAAATATTTGTATTGGGGGAAGTTTCTCATATTATTAAGTGAAAAAAAATTGAAATTAGAAAAAGGGTTGTCCATGCAAATGTATCCAATATTGCTTGAATTTAAGTATACATTAAGCTTTTAACTAAGTTCAAGATATGACATTTATATGCTCTTTTCAGGAACCCAAACATTTCATGGAACCCTGTTCTCATCTCTTTTGTAACACTTATCACAACTCTAAATAAAAAATTGTGCATGCTGCCCAAAGTAATTATAGATTCAATGCTATTCCCATCAAACTACCATTGACATTCTTCACAGAATTAGAAAAAAACTACTTTAAATTTCATATGGAACCAAAGAAGAGCCTGTATAGCCAAGACAATCCTAAGCAAAAAGAACAAAGCTGGAGGCATCACGCTACCTGACTTCAAACTATACTACAAGGCTACAGTAACCCAACAGCATGGTACTGGTACCAAAAAGACATATAAACCAATGGAACAAAACAGAGACCTGAGAAATAACACCGTACTTCTACAACCATCTGATCTTCAACAAACCCGACAAAAGCAATGGGGAAAGGATCTCCTATTCAATAAATGGTGCTTGGAAAACTGGCTAGCCATATGCAGCAAACTGAAACCGGATCCCTTCCTCACATGTTATACAAAAATTTACTCAAGATGGATTGAAGACTTAAATGTAAAACCCCAAACCATAAAAACCCTAGAAGAAAACCTAGGCAATACCATTCAGGACATAGGCATGGGCAAAGACTTCATGTCTAAAACACCAAAAGCAATTGTAACAAAAGCCAAAACTGACAAATGGGATCTAATTAAAGAGCTTCTGCACAGCAAAAGAAACTATCATCAGAGTGAACAGTCAACCTACAGAACAGGAGAAAATTTTTGCAATCTACCCATCTGACAAAGGTCTAAAATTCAGAATCTATGGGGAACCTAAACAAATTTACAAGAGAAAAACAACCCCATCAAAAAGTGGGCAAAGGATATGAATAGACACTTCTCAAAAGATGACATTTACACGGCCAAAAAACATCAAAAAAAAGCTCAACATCACTGATCATTAGAGAAATGCAAATCAAACCCACAATGAGATACCATCTCATGCCAATCAGAATGGCAATTATTAAAAAGCCAAGAAACAACAGATGCTGGTGAGGCTGCGGACAGATAGGAATGCTTTTATAGTGTTCATGGTAATGTAAATTAGTTCAACCAACACGGTTCTAGAACCAGAAATACCATTTGACCCAGCAATACCATTACCAGGCATATACCCAAAAGAATACAAATCATTCTACTATAAAGACACATACATACATATGTTTACCGCAGCACTGTTTACAATAGCGAAGAGTTGGAACCAACCCAAATGCCCATCAATGATAGACTAGATTAAGAAAATGTGGTACATAAACACCATGGAATACTATGCAGCCATAAAAAGGAATGAGATCATGTCTTTTGCAGGGACATAGAAGCCATCATCCTCAGCAAACTGACACAGGAACAGAATACCAAACACCGTATGTTCTCACTCTTAAGTGGGAGCTGAGCAATGAGAACACATGGACACAGGGGAGAGAACAACACACACCAGGGCCTGTTGGGGGTTGAGGGAGAAGAGGGAACTTAGAGGATGAGTCAATATGTGCAGCAAGCCACCATGGCACACATATACCTATGTAACAAACCTGCACATTCTGCACATGTATCCCAGAACTTAAAAGTAAAATTGAAAAAAAAAATTGTGTGATTAATTTTTAAAATGTTTATCTCTATATATACTATACAAGCAAATGCTGGAGACAGTTTGACTGACTTACCATTATAAATCAATAACTGCCTGGTTAACAGAACCAAACAGTGCTTTTCATAGGTAGGTTAGCAAAATATTAACTGCTGAATCAATCAGTTAACTCCTGGTTTAACAACAAAATCCCTGTATTATATAATTTACATTAAACATAGGAAGTGGAAGTTGAATGCTGCAAAAAAAAATCTATAAAACTGATGGTTAATCTATTTTTAATTGAAATGCCTATGTAGCAATCTTGAACCACTTTCCCAAAACAAAATAATGATACAATGTTTCCATTTGTTCCAGAAACAAAATTTGTAATAATGTGGGAAGATGGCACATTTGGACCGCCATATCCAAAAGCATCTGAAAAAAGTTATACAAGGCAAGTACTCTGGAATAGGTTTCTACACCACAAAATCACAGCAGAAAAAGATAAAAAGTTGTATCTTCCTCTCCCTCAGCATATGACCCCAAAAGGATGTTTGTAATCCTCCCTACCACATGCTGTAAACAGGATTTAAAAAAACCCAAGCAATACTGTTGTACTATTTAAGTATTTGCTACACTAAAATTGTTGAAAAATAGGCCGGGAGCGGTGGTGCACGGTGGCTCACGCCTGTAATCCCAGCACTTTAGGAGGCTGAGGCGGGTGGATCACGACGTCAGGAGATCAAGACCATCCTGGCTAACACAGTGAAACCCCGTCTCTACTAAAAATACAAAAAATTAGCCAGGCATGTACCTGTAGTCCCAGCTACTCAGGAGGCTGAGGCAGGAGAGTCACTTGAACCCAAGAGGTGGAGGTTGCCGTGAGCCAAGACTGTGCCACTGCACTCCAGCCTGGGCAACAGAGCGATACTCCATCCCAAAAAAAAAAAATTGTTGAAAAATCTATAATTTTTATATGATTTGCGCTCAACATCCAAAAATTACATCCTTTAAGAAGACATTTACCTCTGGTTATTTGTGTAACTGTAAGATTTTGTTGTTATTGTTGTTAATGCTAAGAAAATGTTAAGAAAACAATTTCCATTAAAGTAACGCCTCATTTATTATTTAAAAGGAAAATATAATCACATACGAATGTAAAACATTTTATCTTTAGACTAAGGTCAAAATTAGTTCTGGAAAAAATCTCCGTCCAGATTTATAGGTATAGTGACCAAAAGTTAAAGAATTTACCAAATTATAAGTGTAAAGTCATCTATCTATCTTGGATTTTTAGAGAGACCTATATCAACTAACTTCCATTTTCCTAAAGAAAAACAAACCCACCAGGTATATCAGGTGTGAATAATTCCTAAATGCTGCTGAACAAACATTTTCTAAAATACATTATCTAGAAGAATTCACAACTTCACTGATAAACAGGTAGTTTTAATTTTATTAACATTTATTCATGTGTTTAATCCAGGTAAGATGGGTTTATATTCTTCATATCAAATCCTTGGTTCTTAAAAGTCCTACATAATTCTTTGATGTTCTCTCTAGAATTATAGAAAAGGGAGGGAAGGTCAGAAGAAATCCTGTCTAGCCTCCCATTAAGTACTTCCTAGTATGAAGGTCCCAATAACTTCAAACGGCAGTCATTTCAGCATTCAGCAGCTTTTAACTCAAATTCCTCCTTATTTATGATGAACTAAACTGCATAATAAAAATACCTGAATGGTAAGACCAAGAACAGCTGGATAAAACTGCATAATAAAAACACCTGAATGATAAGTAGTCATAGGTAGGTCACAAAGCTTTTAAATGGATCAAGCTAGACTTAGACAGTTGGTCTCATCAGGAAAAGTTGTCCAACATAAACACATTTGTTATACCCCACATTAGCAGGAGTCAGATGTGCAACTGTGTGAAATATCACTGGAGGATTTCTACATCTAGGGGCTTCTTGGAAAAACTCATATGGAGCATGTAAAATACTTAAATGGAAAGTTTAATCTATATCTCAGTTTGATCTTATACTTATTTACTTAATTTATTTAGTGCACTAAATACAAATTCAATAATAAATTAACTCAAATCTTTTTTTTTTTTTTTTTTTTTTTAAAGAGATAGGGTCTTGCTCTGTCACCCAATCTGGAGTGCAGTGGCATCATCAATGATCACTCAAGTGATCCTCCCACCTCAGCCTCCCCAGTAGCTAGGACTTTTAGGCATGTGCCACCATGCTTGGCTAATTTTTTTTATTTCTTGTAGAGACAGGGTCCTGCTGTGTCGCTGGTCTTGAACTCCCGGCCTCAAGCAATCCTCTTGTCTTGTCTCCCAAAGAGCTATGGTTACAGGCATGAGTCACTGTGCCTGGCCTTCAATCATTTTTGAAAACTAACAATATTAGGTTCAAACTACCAAGTGCCAGCGTAAAATGGAAGCAGTGATCTACTAAAGACAATCATTCTATAACTGGAACTGCAGAAACACTTGTTAAATAATGCCAATACTCAAAATTAGTTAAAAATAAACTTTACCTTTTAAAAAACTGCTGTTCTGAAGTTTAATATTCTATTGTAACATAACTATATAGCATATCACTGTACCAATAGCATTGAAACTATTAAGAATTATATGACATATTGAACAAAAGTCAATAAATCTGGAGTAACATGAAAGAGTTCATAGTGAGTCAGAGGGAGCTAGAGATATTAAAAGAAAAAAAGAGAAAGATTCTTGTTTATAACTAATAAATGTAGAAAAATGAGAGAATATGAAAGTCACCATTCTGGAAACCTAATGTAATAACTGATTCCATAAGGATCATTTGTGGAGGGTAAAACCATTAGGTAAAAGGTGGATGGAGAACAAGATAGTTATTTGGTACAAAAATATTTCCAACAGATCACTTAATAGTGGCAAACATGAAATCATAGCTTTTACAAGGGAGAGAGTCTGGGATAACCAAACCTAGCATGGAAATCAAACTCAGCATCACTAATAATGGGCACAATTTATATCATGTGCCTTCCTGATTTAAAGCAAAAAGAAGTTTACAACATCATCTATAATCTAGATGTCTGAGTCCAGTTGACAAGAAATACAATGACACCACGAGGAAGGAATTAGACAAATCTAGAATATGAAATAAGACAACTGGGCCACACCTGTAAAAAGTTAATGTCATTCCTGACATTGGTTGTTTCTTCCATCAGTCTGGACACAGATCTGTCAACTTTACTGATCATTTCAAGAAGCCAGCTTTTGGTTTGACAAAGTTTCTCTACTTTTGTTTTCAATTTAACTGATTTCTACACTTTTTATTATTTGTCCATTCTGCTTGGTTAGCTTGAATTTCTTTATATGTCTAGTTTATTAAGGTGGGAGCTTAGATTATTGGTTTGAGACTTACTGACTTGCCTAATAAGCACTTAATACATTTTCCACTTAATATTATAAGCACTTAATACATTTTCCACTAAGCACTGCATTAGATGTGTCCCACAAATTTTTAGATATTGTGTCTTCATTTTCATTTAATTAAAATATGTTCTAATTTCCTTTTAGACTTCCTCTTTGACCCATGGGTAAAAACGTATTAATTTCCAAATATTAGGGGATTTTCCAGATACCTATTATTAATTTCTAATTGAATGATATTAGAGTCAGAGAAGATCCTTTGTATGATTTCAATTACTTCAAATTTGATAAAGTTCCTTTTAAGGCCCAGAATATGTTCTATCTTCATAAATCTTCCATGTATGTTTGAAAGGATATGTATTCTGCTGTTATTAGGTACAGTGTTCCATAAATATCTATCAGGGCAGGTTGGATGATAGTACTGTTCAGGTCTTCTGCTACCTACTTGCTTCATCAATTACTGAGACAGGGATGTCGAAGACCTGAACTTGTTCACTCTACCTTTCAGTTCTATCAGTTCAAGTTACTGTTCCTGTTAGCATACATATATTAGGTGACATACATTCCTAAACACATACAATCTTAAATAAGATTGTTATGTCTTCTTGGTGAACTATCATTATAGATAGTTCTCTTTACTCTTGGTGCTATTCCTTGTTCTAAAGTCCACCTTGTCTATGATACTAATGCAGACACTCCAGGCTTTGTTTTGATTAGATTTCCATATTATATCTTTTTCATCCTTTTAATTTTTTTCCAGTTGTAATTAAAATATTATGTCCAATAATTATAGGCAGACCATCTTGATCCTTCACTCCTAGAAGTCCACTGTGGGGGAAAGTCACTGTCATTAGCTATCAAGCTCTACACATTTCCATAGCTACACAGCAACCTACTTTGGCCTCTGTAATTTCTAATCTTTGCAACTGAGACTATTTCACCCCTACCTACAGGCTCAGATTCACTGATATTTTGGGACCAACCTTATTTCTAACTAGAGGAACATAAAGAACCTTATGTCTGCTCTACTCTGGCACATTAAATTGAGCTATCCTATCCAAATATCACATCCCCAAATCATATCAAATCTTAGCTGTGGGTAATAGCCCCCATATTCATCCTTGTCCAAGCTGCTCTCCCATTAATCTAGTAAATGCTGATACTCCAAATTAATGTCTCTTATATCTAAATCCCCTTGCCTTTGGGCTACAGGTCATTGGTCTGATAATCTGTTGCAACTCACTTCTCTTGCTGCCACCAACCTGCTCTGCTTCACTTCACGTTGCATTCTCCTTTATAAGTCTCAAGGCAACCACAACTCTGATCAAGACATGCCCAACCCCAGCCCTGAGTGAATCTCCTAATCCTCCCAGGCTCCCCCTGCAAACCAGATCACTTGTTGTTGGTTCTAACCTGACCCTCACCAATGGGTTCTAGCACAGGGACTTTACACGTTCTCCCATAAACTCGTCTTCTACTGCAATCACTTAAATGTGTCGAGTTTCTTTGAGCTTTATATTATCATTTATTTAGTCTTTTTAAAAACAATTTATTGAAGCAAAATTCTAAAATCATTTTTAACACTATTTAACTTCAAAAACATTTCAGCATTCTAAACATACAAAAAAAACCCCAGAACACTGAAAATCACATTTAAGTACAGAAGGTTCTTTCTTGAACTTTCATTGATGCAGTGGCTCTTTACTTTGCTGACAACAGTTCTACAGCTTGTTCAAAAAGTTTATAGACAATGCACTTAATTAAAAAAATCCCAACACTTCTCAGGCCAGCTGACCCCTCTTTGTCCACAGCTAAGAATGGTAGCAGACTGTTATATTACCGTTTGTAGAAACAAGACAAGCTGAAGCTAAATGGCTGAACATTACAGGGGAAACAGGACTAGCCTCACAGTGCACGCTCTAAGCTACGACCCCTCCAAAAGGCATTGTCCCCCACAGGCTCAGCGCCAAGAAACGAGCACCAAGAGTTTGTCTTGGTTGTTTTGTTCTTTTTATAAACTATATATATGTACAGTTGATAACAGGATTTCTAGCCAATAACCGTATAGTTAATACCACCTTACAAATGTTTTTTAAAATGTCAGAAATATCTTTAAATGCTTTGTCACACCAACAGCAAAGTGCATAGAGTGAGGAAAACATGAGATTATCTTTTCGTTTTGGGGATGTTTGGAAATATGTACAACTTTGATACAATTTCAGAGTGTTCCAGACACACATGACCACTTCAGGTAAACCACTGACAATTTTTAGAGCACTCTGAGAGACTGCAATATGATTGTGATCAAATTCTGTAATTAAACCTAATGAGGGCAACAGACATTTCTCAAACAACAGATGTGTCAATCATGGCCCTCCCCTACTCTAAGGTATTCACAAGGAGACAGATGAACAGTTTTTTATTCATCATCACCTTCTTCTTCCTCTTCCTCCTCCTCCTCCTCTTCCTCACATCTTCTTTGACTACTTCTTCCACCTTTTTCCAAGGAACTTTAAGCAGGACCCTTTGCACCAGACTTGCCGTTAGACTTAAAGTCAGCAACATCCTTCTCGTATTTCTCCCTCAGCTTCACTGCCTTAGTGATGCAAGGCTGCTTTTCACTGACATTTAAGTTATCCCACACCTCACACAGCTTTTTTGCTACATCTCTAATAAAGATGCCAGGGTTTGTGGATTTGATCTTGGGGTGAAATTCTGAACGGTGCAGGAAGAATACAGACATGTCTCTTTTGGAGACATGAAGGTCCTTCTTCTTGCCTCACTTAACTGGTTCACAATCCTGCACCTTCCAAGCATAGCATACTTTATCTGCCTTTGTCATTTCACCACATTTAGGATTCTCTTTGCCAGACACTGTCTTCCACCTCTCAGAGCACTTCTTGGAAAATTCTGCAAAATTGACAGAGACCTCTGGGTTTCTCTTATGTTCTTCTCTGCATGTCTGCACAAAGAAGGAATAAGCAGACACCTTTCCCTCTGGTTTCTTGGGATCACCTTTAGCCATCCTGACTAAATTGCTTCTTCCTTCCTGGTCACCTAGCAAGAGGGAAGGTGAAGGGGGCAGGAAGGGTGCTTGGAGGAGAGGTAGGAGGTCAATAACATTTTTTGAGGGGGTGGGGGGTATAGAATTTCTCCCTGTCGCCCAGGCTGGAGTGCAGTGGCGCAATCTTAGCTCACTGTAAACTCCACCTCCTGGGTTCAAGTGATTCTCATGCCTCAGCCTCCTAAATAGCTGGGATTACTAGACCACCATGCACCACCATGCCCAGCTAAATTTTGTATCTTTAGTAGAGATGGGGTTTCACCATGTTGGCCAAGCTGGTCTCAAACTCCTGGCCTCAAGTGATCCGCCCATCTCAGCCTCTCAAAGTGCTGGGATTACAGGCATGAGCCACCATGCCTGGCCTCAAATAACCATTTTAAAGTGGCCAGGCACGGTGGCTCACGCCTGTAATCCCAGCACTTTGGGAGGCTGAGGTGGGTAGATTACAAGGTCAGGAGATCGAGACCATCCTGGCTAACACGGTGAAACCCCGACTCTACTAAAAATACAAAAAAAAAAAAAAAAAAAAAAAAAAAACAAAAACCAGCCGGGCATGGTGGCAGGTGCCTTAGTCCCAGATACTCGGGAGGCTGAGGGAGGAGAATGGCGTGAACCCGGGAGGCGGAGCTTGCAATGAGCAGAGATCACACCACCGCACTCCATCCTGGGCAACAGAGCGAGACTCAGTCTCAAAAAAATAATAATAATAAAAATAAAAAAATAAAAAAAATAAAGTGAACAATTCAGTGTCTTATAGTATATTAAGAATGTTGTATGACCATCCACATCTAGTTCCATATCATTTCCATCATTCTAAAGTAAAACCCCTTACCTATTAAGCAGTTTCTTATCTTTCCCCCATCACCACCTTCTGGAAACCACTAATCTGTGTTCTGTTCTCTTTAGATTTATCTATTCTAGATATTTCCTATAAATGGAGTCATACAATATGTGATCTTTTGGGTCTGGCTTTTTTCACTTAGCTTAAGGTTTTGGAAGTTTATCTACTTTATACCATATATTAGTACTTCATTCCTTTTTATGGCTGAATAATATTCCATTGTGTGTATACGACAATTTGTTAATCCATTCACCCACTGAAGGATTTTTGGGTTGTGTCCACTTTTCTGTGAATGCTGCTGCTACAAACGTGTATACACATACTTGTTTGAGTACAAGCATTCTCTTATTTGCGGTACATACCTCTGAGTTGAATAGCAGGGTACCATGATAATTCTATGCTTAACTTTTTGAGGAACTGCCAAACTGTTTTCCACAGCAGCTTTATATTTTATTTTATATTCCTACCAAAAAGAAATGTATGAGGGTTTCAACTTTTCCACCTCATTGCCAACATGTCTCTTAAAAAATTATAGCCATCCATTATAATGGATGTGAAGAGGCACCTCATCATGGTTTTGCTCTGCATTTCCCTCATGAAAAATGATGTTGAGCATCTTTTCATTTGCTTTTTGGCCATCTGCATATCTTCTTTGGAGAAAAGTCCACTCAAGTCTTTTGCCCACTTTATAACTGGGTTGTCTTTTTGTTGTTGAGTTGTAAGAGTTCATGATATATTCTGGATGGTAGATCCTGATCAGCTACAAAACTTGCAACTATTTTCTACCATTCTACAGGTTGCCTTTTCACTTTCTTAATCTCCTTTGATGCACAAAAAGTTTTCATTTAGATGAAGTCCAGTTTATCTTTTGTTGCTCATGCCTTTGGTGCCTAAGAACCAATATCTAAAACCACTGACAAATCCAAGGTCATGAAGATTTATCTCTATGTATTCTTCTCAGGGTTTTATGGCTTTAAAAACATAAACATGTTATTTTTAAATCATAAAGTTGGCTGAGCACAGTGGCTTATGCTTGTAATCTCAGCACTTTGGGAGGCTGAGGCAGGCAGATCGCTTGAGTTCAGCTTGAGGCCAGCCTGGGCAACATGGCAAAACCTCATCTCTATTAAAAAATATGGAAATTAGCTGGGCATGGTGGCATGTGCCTGTAGTCTCAGCTACTCGGGAGGCTGAGGTGAGAGGATCATTTGAGCCCTGGAGGTTAAGGCTGCAGTGAGCTGATTGTGCCCTTACACTCGAGCCTGGCGACAGAGAAAGACCCTGCCTAAAACAAAACAAAACTGTAAAATCTATGGAATATTTTTAGTTAATTTTTGTATACAGTATGTTAGGCATCTAATTTCATTCTTTAGCAGGAGAATATCCAGTTTTCCCAGCATCATTTGTTGAAGAGACTATTCGTTCCTCATTGAATGTTCTTAGCATCCTTGTGGAAAACCAACTGGCCATAGATGTATGGGTTTATTTCTGGACTCTCATTTCTATTCCATTAATCTATGTGTCTATCCTTATGCCAGTACTACTTTGACTACTCTAGCTTTGTATTAAGTTTACAAATCAGAAAGTGTGAGTCCTCCAACTTTGTTCTTTTTTTTCAAGATTGTTTGGCTATTCAAGGCCACTTGCAATTCCATGTGAATTTTAAGATCAGCTTTTGCATTTCTGCAAAAGTCCATGGGAATTTTGATAGGTTTGATAGGATTGAATCTGTAGGTGATTTTGGGTAGTACTGACATCTTAACATTAAGACTTCCAATATACAAATACGAGATAGATTTTCACTTATTTATATCTTCTTTATTTTGACAAATGAGTAAACATCCTTTTTTTCAGAGTACAAGTTTTCAGAGTACAAGTCTTTACCTTCTTGGTTAAATTTATTCTTATGCATTTTATTCTTTTGGAAGCTACTGTGAATGGACTTTTTTTCTTAATTTCCTTCTCTAGTTATTCATTGCTGGCGCATTCTTTTACTTTTAACCTAACAAGATCTTTGTATTTAAAGCAAATTTCTTACAGATATGTTTTAACTTTTTATCCAATCTTATAATTGGTATATTTAAAATACATTTAATATAATTATTGATATGGTTGGAATAAAATCTATAATCTTCCAAATTTTCTATCTGATCCACTTACTTGCTGTTCCTTTTTTCTTTTTCCTGATTAAATAATTTCTTAAATTACTCAATTTTATCTCTGTTATTTGCTACCTAATTATATATTTTTCTCTAAAAAAATTTTAGGTGGTTTCCCTATGGTTTATAAATATACATTTTACTGTTCCTTGAAAACCACAAATTTATTCCTTGATAAAGGCCTTTCTACTAAGTGTATGCTCTATCTGGAATGTTTCTTCCCAGATCTTCAAATAGTTTCCATCTTCATATCATTGAGTCTCTGGTCAAATCTTAGCTCCTCAGGGAAGCTCTCCAAAACTAGCTTACCTACAGTAGCACCTGCACAAACCACCTCTCCTCTGCTTTATTTTTATTTTTCTTCATCACCTTATTACCACCTGAAATTGTATCTGTTTAATGTGTCTCCCCAACTAGAACACTTCACGTAACAGCAGTCTTCGTTTTTCTTGTTTACTATTATCGTACCCTCTGCACTTAAGACAATACTTTGCACATTAGTTTTCAAATAAATATATGAATAAGTTCATTCCATTATAAGATTAACACATATAGGACTAAGGAAAATACAAAGTATTTACACAAATTGAACCTGATATATTTACAATAAATTACAGAATAAAGAAATTAGTTGTTATCTTTCCCATGACTAAATTGGCCGCTACTTATATTTGGAGAAAAGGAGAAAGAGAGGAACCATAAACAAAATCTCGGTCAAAAAATTATTTAAATGTCTATTTGATATAGTCTTTGCATTGAAAGAATTTTAAAGTTAAAAAAAGATTTGAACCACAATGAGATACTACCCCACACCTACTAGGATAGCTATTACTTAACAAACAAAAATCAGAAAATAACAACAGTTGGCAAGGATATTAAGAAATTGGGGGCCGGGCGCAGTGGCTCACGCCTGTAATCCCAGCACTTTGGGAGGCCGAGGCGGGCGGATCACGAGGTCAGGAGATCGAGACCATCCCGGCTAAAACGGTGAAACCCCGTCTCTATTAAAAATACAAAAAATTAGCCAGGCGTAGTGGCGGGCGCCTGTAGTCCCAGCTACTTGGGAGGCTGAGGCAGGAGAATGGCGTGAACCCGGGAGGCGGAGCTTGCAGTGAGCCGAGATCCCGCCACTGCACTCCAGCCTGGGCGACAGAGCGAGACTCCGTCTCAAAAAAAAAAAAAAAAGAAAGAAATTGGAACCCTTGTACACTGCTTGTGGGAATGGAAAGTGGTACAGTTGCTATAGATAAGTCTGACACAACCTCAAAAAATTAAACATAAAATTACATATGATCCAGCAACTCTACTTCTAGGTATATGCTTAAAAGAATTAAGAGCAGGAACTTAAACAGATACTTATAGGGCAATGTTCATAGCAACATTATCCACAATAGCTAAAAGGCAGAAATAACCCAAATGTCCATCAACAAACAAACGGATGAACAAAACGTAGTATATACATACTATGGAATTTTATCAGCCATAAAAATGAATGAGATTCTGATACCTGTTATAACAATGATGGACTTTGAAAACATCATGCTTAGTGCAATAAGCCACACACAAAAGGACAAATATTATGTGCTTCCACTTAAATAAGCTACCCAGAATAAGCAAATTCATAGAGACAGAAAGTAGAACAGAGGTTACCGGAGGCTGGGAAGATGGGAAAAGATTATTGTTACTAGATACAGAGCTTCTGTTTCAGACAATGAAAAGGTTCTATAAATGAACAGTGGAGATGGCTGCACAATATTATAAATGTACTTAATGACACTGAACTGTACACTTAAATGGTAAATTTTAGGTTGTATATATTTTATCACAATGAAAAAAATCAGATCCAACAATCCCACTGCTGGCTCCAAAAGAAATAAAATCAGTATGTTGAAGAGGTATCTGTACTCCCACATTTATTGCAACACTACTCACAAAAGCTAAGATATGGAATCAACCTAAATATCCATCAACAGACAAACGGATAAGGGAAATGTGGTGTGTATGCACAATCAAATACTATTCTTGGGGAGAGGGTTCGAGATGAATGACTAGAGGTGTCCAATGCCAGTTCTCTTCAGAAAGAAGAACCAAGGTTACAAGTGAATAACCATAATGTGAATAGACTATCCAGAGAATGCTGGAGGCTAGTAGAGAACTCATGTGAAGAAGCTGGGGCACAGAAAAAGAAGGAAGCAAGAAGCTGGCAGAGATCGGCTAGGAACCCCGAGGGATTTGGTATCTAGTCAAAAGGGTAGTTGGGAGTGTTTGGGCTCCTCTTTAACCTGTGACAAACCACTGGTAACTGAACTGTCGGAGATCTCCTCTACCCTGCAAACCCAAACACTGGTGTGGGCAGTGATTTGGGGACTTCTTGAGGGCACTGCACCAGATTACCAACTTGCACTGGGTTGCTCACTCTGCCCCCGGACTTGAGCAGCAGCGATAGGGTGCTATACTGGGAGCACAGCCATCAGGGGTCTGTACCCTGCCCAGGGAACCTCAGCCTTTGTGTCTCCACATCACCAGAGCCCCATAGACATTCCCTGGCATCTGCTCAGATTGTGGCAGCAGCAAAGGGATGGCTGGACCCAGGGAGCTGCAGGGTTCCTCGGCAACTGCTGCCCCGAAGAGAAGAACAAGTATTGCACGCCAAGGGAGCACCCACTGGGACAAAGGAAACCAGAACACATACTTTCCTGTGCCCAAGAGCTCACCACCTGTGGACTCTGAGTGACTGCACTGCCTCCAGCAAAGATGTGGGCACTGTGCTTGGCTCTACAAGGCTTTGCAAGTGTGATTTCATCCCAGGGGCCAACCTAGTATGAGTGCTCAGACCCAGGCATGGAGATGGGGACTCCTCCTCAACCCCACTGCTGTAGGCATAGCCATGGCTGATACCACAGGAAACTGGCATGGGTGCATCAGAGCACACAGACTTTCTGGGGCAGACAGGGGTGACTGTGGTCTTACTGGCAATCAGTCCACCATATCTAAGCTTGTGCAAAAGGTGGGACCCCCTCCCCCTCTCCATGCAGAGCAGCAGCGTTCCTGCAAGGGAGAGGAGAGCCAAAAAGCTGTGTGTTTTGGACTGAGGAAGAAGACTCCAAAACAAAGACATTCTGGCAGCAAGCCAAGGGGCAGTCATCTTTTATGGCTCTCAGGTACATTGCAGCCTGGAGATAGACAGTGGTGTCTGACCAATTTGAGTGTTCTGAGTTTGGGGACAGGGGCATGACAGGGAGAGAGATTACATTCCTGCCTGCCCGGGCTATGGAACTGGGGTGGCTCCCTGCCTCTCTGCAGAGACCTCAGTGTACTTACCAGGAGCTTCCCTGCCACCCCCACTCAGGTCTTCTGCTTGTGCTCATCATTGGGGAATCCAAGGGCCGGCTTGGCTGTCCATCTCTGCCCTGACTTGTCCCCTGCTAGGGGGTGAGCAGAGAGCTCAAGCCACTGTACATTCCACAGCCCAGCCCATTGCCTGAAGCAACAAAGAACTTCCCCCATTAAACAAAGATCAAGCACCTGTCCATCTGCTTCTGTTGCAGCAGGCTCTTACCCACAACCACCACCTACTGTCCTGGAGGCTGAAATGCACAACCCAACAGAAAATCTGCTGACACAAGTGCACAGTGCTGGGAAATGAGATAAGATTCTTGAGACTTCCGCCATCCCAGCCCTGCAGGAAGCTGTGATACTACTCACACAGCCAGTACACTACTACTACAACTAGCATTTGAGAAAACCACCACACAAAGGCTATCTATATTCAAAGAACTCATACATTCTGCCAAGGAAGCACCCAGAACATACATTGTAGTTATATCCTTCAGAGGAAAAAAATTCCTGTCCAAATGAAAGTAAATTCAAAAATAAGAAGAAAAGATAAGTTTCTCCATATGAGAAGGAAACAGCCAAACAATTCTGGAAGTATAAAGACAGTGTTATGACATTCTCAAAAGATCACACTAAATCTCTAGCAATAGATCCTAACTAAAATGAAATCTCTGAAATACCATATAAAGAATTAAAAATACTGATTTCCAAGAAGCTCAATGAGATCTAAGAGAAAGCTGAATGAAAATCAACACCAAGAAATCTGAAAATCAAGTCTGGAAATGAAAAATTCATTGAAGAAATTATAAAATACAGGTAAAAGCTTTAACAGTAGACTAAACCCAGCAGAAAAAACAATCTCAGAGCTTAAAGACAGGTCTATTGAATTAGTCCAGTCAGACGAAAATAAAGAAAAAATAATTTTCAAAAATGAACAAAGCCTTTGAGAAGTATAGGGGTTATATAAAATGTCTAAACCTACAAGTCATAGGTATTCCTGAGGGAGATGAAAAAGCAAAAAGTTTGGAAAACCTATCTGAGGAAGTAATTGAGGAAAACTCCCTACTCTTGCTAGAGATTTAGACATCCAAATAGAAGATGCTCAGAGAACTCTAGGAAAATACAGTGCAAGAAGGACTTCACCAACACATATACTCATCAGACTAATGACAACATGAAGGAAAAAAAAAAATCCTAAAATCAGCAAGAGAAAGGTGTCTAATCATCAGTAAAGGAAATCCCCTCAGACTAACAGTGGACATACTGGCAGAAACTTTACAAGCCAGAAAAAAAATCACAATCCCATTTTAAGACTTATTAAAGAAAAAAAAAAACCTGTCAACCATGAATTTTTTATCCTGCTAGAACAAGCTTCATAAATGGAGAAAAAGTCTTTCCCAGACAAGCAAATGCTAACAGAATTCATCACCATTAGACCAGCCTTACAAGAAATGTTCAAGTGAGTTCTAAACATGTAAACAAAAGGTCAATACTCAACATCATAAAAACAGACAAAAGTATAAAACTTACAGGTCTTACAAAAAGGATGATCCAGTAATATGCTGCTTACAAGAAACCCACCTAATACAGACTGAAGGAAAAAGGGTAGAAAATGATATCCCACACCAACAGAAACCAAAAGCAGGCAGGAGTAGCTATCTTTGTATCAGATAAAACAGACTTTAAATCAACAACAGTGAAAAAAGACAAGGAAGGTCATTTTAAAATGATAACGGGATAAAGTCAACGGGAAGATGTAACAATCCTAAATATATATGTACCCGATATAGGAGGTACCCAGATTCATAAGACAACTACTACTGGGGCACATGTTCTCAGGACATCCTGAGACAGTGCCTTGGAAACAAAAATAAATAAAAAGAAAAAGAAAAGAAAACCAAAGAAAAACTACTCTATCTAAGAAAAGAGACAGCAAAACAATAATAGAGAAGGACTTCAACACCCCAATGACAGCATTAAAGATCACTGAGACAGGAAATCAACAAAGAAATACTGGACATAAATTGGACTCTAATAGACATTTATAGGACATTCTATTCAACAACCACAGAATATACATTCTTCTCATCAGCACATGAAATGTTCTCTAAGGCAGACCATATTTTAGCCCATGAAACAAGTCTCAATAAATTTTCAAAAATCAAAATCATATCAAGTCTCTTCTTGGACCACAGTGGAATGTAACTAGAAACTGATTCCAAGAAGAACTCTCAAAACTATACAAATACATAAAAATTCACCTGCTCCCAAATCATCTTTGGGTCAGCAACAAAATTAAAATAGAAATCTAAAACTTTTTTGAAACAAATGAACATGGAGACACAACATACAAAAACCTCTGGGATATAGCAAAAGCAGCACCAAGTGGGAAGTCTGCAGCATTATATGCCTAAATAAAAAAACCAGAAGGATCACAAATTAACAACCTGGCATCGTACCTCAAGAACTAGAAAAACAAGAACCTAAAGCAAGCAGAAGAACAGAAATAACAAAGACCATAGCAGAACTAAATGAAACTGAGAACAACAACAACAAAATATACTAAGGATCAAAGAAATGAAAAGTGGGTTCTTTGAAAAAAATAAACAAAACCAATATACTGCTCAATTAACCAAGAAAAGAGAGAAGACCCAAATTAACAAGTGATCAGAAATGAAAAAGGAGACATTACAACTGATACCACAGAAATACAAATGAACAGAGACTACTATGAACATCTCTACACTCACACTAGAAAACCTAGAAGAAAGGGATAAATCCCTGGAAGAATAAAGCTTTCTAAGGCTGAACTAGGAAGAGACAGAAATCCTAAAAAGACTAATAATGAGTAGTGCAATTAAATCAGTAATAACAAATCTCCCAACAAGAACAAGAAGCCCAGGATCAGATGAATTCACAGCCAAATTCTACCATACATACAATGAAGAACTAGTACCAATTCTCCTGAAACTCTTCCAAAAAACATCAAGGAGGGACTCCTCCTTAACTCATTCTATGAAGCCGGCATCACCGTGATACCAGGGAAGGACCCACAAAAATAACAAAACTACAGACCAATATCTCTGATGAACACAGATGCAAAAATCCTCAACAAGATCCTAGCAAACCAAATCCAGCAGCACATCATAAAGATAATATATCACAATCAAGTGGGTCATACTGCAGGGATGCAAGGATGGTTCAACATAAATAAATCAATAACTGTGATTCACCACATAAACAGAACTAAAAACAAAAACTGTATGATCATCTCAACAGATGCAAAAAAAAGCACTTGATAAAATTCGGCATCCCTTCATGATTAAAAACAGAAAAAACCCAACGAAACAAAAACCAAACATACGCCAGGTACGTCGGCTCATGCCTGTAATCCCAGCACTTTGAGAGGCCAAGGCAGGTGGATCGCTTGAGCCCTGGAGTTCAAGGCCAGCCTGGGTAACATGGCGAAAACCCATCTCTACAAAAAATTCAAAAATTAATGAGGTATGGTGGTGTGTGCTTGTAGTCCCAGCTACTCAGGAGGCTAAAGCAGGAGGATCACTTGAACCTGGGAGGTTGAGGCTGCAGTGAGCCATGACTGTGCCACTGTACTCCAGCCTAGGTGACAGAGCAAGATCCTGTTAAAACAAACAAACAAAAAAAAACTAAAAAACCTAGGTTCTCCTTGCATTGTTATGAAGAAATACCTGAGGCTGGGTAATTTATAAAGAAAAGAGGTTTAATAGGCTTATGGTTCTGCAAGCTGTACAGGAAGCACTGGCATTTACTTCTGGGAAGGCTTTTACTCATTGAGGAAGGCGAAGCAGGAGCAGGTATGTCACACAGTGAGAGTGGGAGCAAGAGAGTAGGGGAGGGGGTTGCCACACAGTCTTAAACAATCTGATTTCACAAGGACTCACTCACATGAGGACAGCACCAAGTCATGAGGTCTTTGCCCCATGATCCAAACACATCCCACCAGGTACCACCTCCAACAATGAGGATTACATCTCAACATGAAATCTGGAAGGGAGATCCAAGCCATATCATAGGCATTGAAGGAATATACCTGAAAATAATAAAAACCATATACAACAAACCCACAGCCAACATCATAATGAATGGGGAAAAGTTGAAAGCACTCCTCTAAGATCTGGAACAAGACAAGGATGCTTACTTTCACCACTCTTATTCAACATAGTACTAACAGTCTTAGCCAGAGCAACCAGGAAAGAGAAAGAAATAAAAGATATTCAAATTGGAAAAGAGGAAGTCAAATTATCTGTTTGCTGATGTTATGATCTTATACCTAGAAAACCCTAGAGATTCCTCCAAAAGGCTCTTAGATTTGATAAAAGAATTCATTAAAGTTTCATAAAACCAATGTACAGAATCAGTAACATTTCTGTACACCAATAACAATCAAGCTGAGATCCAAATCTAGAAGTAAATTCCATTGACAACAGCTACAAAAAAATTTAAATACCTGGGAATACTGTTAACCAAGGAGGTGGAAGATCTTTACAAGGAAAACTTCAAAATACTGATGAAATAAATTGCGGATGACACCAACAAATGGAAAAAACATTCCATGCTCATGGATTGGAAGAATCAGTATCATTAAAATGACCATACTGCCCAAAGCAGTCTACAGAGTCAATGTATTTCCTATAAAAATACCAATGTCTTTTTTCACAGTTAGGAAAAAAAAATCCTAAAATTCATATGAAACCAAGAAAGACCCAGAACAGCCAAAGCAATCCTAGGTAGAAAGAACAATACTGGAGATATTGCATTACTTAACTTCAAATTATACTACAAGGCTATAGTAACCAAGACAGCATGGTACTGGTATTAAAAACAGACACACAGATCAAAGAAACAGAACAGAAAACCAGAAATAAAGTCACATACCTACAGTTTCCTGATCTTCAACAAAGTTGATAGAAACATACACTGAGAAAAGGACACCCTATTCAATAAATGGTGCTGGGAAAATTAGCCATATGAAGAAGAATGAAATTGGATTCATATCTCTCATCATTTACAAAATTAACTCAAGATGGATTAAAGAGAAGGAAAAAAATATGGATTAAAGACTTAAACTTAAGACCTGAAAATTTAAAAAGCCTAGAAGAAAACCTGGGAAGAACCTATCTGCTCATTGGCCTAGGCAAAGAATTCATGACTAAGACCTCAAAAGCAAATGCAACAAAAACAAAAATAGACAAATAGGACTTAATTAAACTATAAAGCTTCTGCACAGCAAAAGGAATAATCAACAGAGTGAATAGACAACCTACAGAATGGGAGAAAATATTTGCAAACTACACATAAGACAAAAGACAAATATCCAGAATCTACAAGGAACGCAAACAACTCAACAAGAAAAATAAAACTCCATTAAAAAGTGAGCAAAGGACATGAACAGACTTTTTCAAAAGAAGACATACAAATGGCTAACAAACATATGAAAAAAATGCTCAACATCACTATCATCAGAGAAATTAAAACCACAATGAGATACCATCTTACACCAGTCAGAATGGCTATTAAAAAGTCAGAAAATAACAGATATTGGTGAGGATGTGGAAAAAGGAGGACACATATACACTACTGGTGGGAATGGAAATTAGTACAACCTGTATGACAAATGGTATGGAGATTTCTCAAAGAACTAAAAACAGAACTGCCATTCAGTCCAGCAATCCTACTACTGGGTATCTACCCAAAGGAAAAATCATTATATCAAAGATACCTGTACTCATATATTTCTTGTAGATTTATTCACAACAGCAAAGATATGGAATCAACCTAAGTATCCATTGATGGATGACTGAATACAAAAAAATGGTGTGTATATACACCATGAAATATTACTCAGCCATTAAAAAGAATGAAATTATGTGTTTTGGAGCAACATGGATAAAACTAGAGGATATTATCTTAAGTAAAATAACTCAGAAAGTCAAATATTGCATACCGTCACTTATAAATGAGAAATAATGTATACACATGGACATAGAGCATAGAATAATAGACACTGGAGACTCAGAAAGGTAACATGGTGAGAGGCGGTGAGGAATGAGAAATTAACTCATGGATACAATATATACTATTCAGCTGATGGTTACACTAAAAGCCCAGACTCCACTACTATGAAATATATCCATGTAACAAAATGCACTTGGATCCCCTAAATGTATAAAAATAACACTATTGAGCCATTTTAAAAAATGAAATTGTCATTTGTGACAACATGGATGAACCTGGAGGACATTATGTTAAGTGAAATAAGCCAGACACAGAAAGACAAATACCACATGATCTCACTCATATGTGGAATCTAAAAAAGTTGATCTCATAGAAACTGAGAATACAATAGTGGTTACTAGAGACTAGGGAGGGAATTGGGAACATGGTGATGGGAAGAGAATGGTCAACAGGTATGAGTTACAGTTAGATAGGAAGAATAAATTCTGGTGTTACATTGCACAGTAGAGTGACTATAGTTAACAATAACGTATTGTATATTTGAAAATAGCTAGAAGAGGGGA
Organism: Homo sapiens; assembly: GCF_000001405.40. Classification (NCBI taxonomy): domain Eukaryota; kingdom Metazoa; phylum Chordata; class Mammalia; order Primates; family Hominidae; genus Homo; species Homo sapiens. Next base: position 92,660,575 of record NC_000001.11, read on the forward strand.
TTTTGAATGTTCTCACCACAAAGGAATGTTCGAGGCAATCAATGTGTTAGCTAATTACTCTGATTTGATGTGTCAATTAAAAATAAAACTTTCAAAAATCATCAAAAAAGTGAATAGATATGCTAAGTGAAAGAAGCCAGACATAAAAGTCACATACCTTACAATTCTATTTATTTGAAATTCTAGAAGAGGTAAAACTATAGTGAAAGAAAGCACACAGGTTGCTGGGGTTGGGGGGTGGTGAACCATAAAGGGAATGATAGAAATATTATTTGTTTTGATTGTGGTAGTGTTTCATAACTACATACATTTCCAACACATCAAGCTACATACCTACATTTGATGAATTTTATTACATATAAATTATACTTTAATAAAGTTAATTTTAAAAGTGAAAGAGAGAGACCTGAGAAGGTCTAGCCCTATTTAATCATTTGGGAAAAAACACACACACACACACAAAACTGTCTTTGAGTATACAAGATCACATAGTTGGCAAAACAGGACTAGAATCTAGTTCCATAAATAAAATCCAAAGCTCTTTATATCATATAAATTGCCACTATTTGGCAGTAGGGAGTGGTGGCGGTGGATGCTTATATTGGTAATTCAATACCTCCTGCTGGAATACAAATTTAAAACCCTTATTCTGAAACTTTGAAGAATTCATAAAGTTATATTGGAAGGCTATAATTAAAACAATGAGCAACAGATGTTCACTTTCTAGCCGTAATATGCTCATTCACTTTATTATGGCCATTTTTGCTCACCAAGTTAAATTTTTCACTATAAACCAGCATTCTATCCCTTTGATATACATCTATCAATAAGTCTCAATATTTGAAAAACAATGTAAAAAATTTAATTCATGATTCTAATGTATTATGACTGTAGCTTATGCTAAATGCAAACAATACTTATTGTGTTTTCTTTAGAAAATCACATTGAAGTAACTTATTTCAGGTAAATTCCTAATATAAATCCACAATTGTTTTTTTCTTTTTAATGCTTTGATATTATTGACATTACATACAAAAGTGGAGCAAAATATGAGTTCCCTTCTTTTTAGTATTATTTTGTCACTCTCCTATTCATTTTTCTTAGCAATCTTCAATAACAGAAAAAAAAAGATGTTTATGACCCTTTCAACTGCCAATTTTTCTTTTTGCTTCTGGTTTTCTGATTTTTTTGTACCGAGATGACGATGCTGTTTCTTAATTTTATTGAATAAAAAGAACGTCCTACTTTGCAGTCACTCTATTTGCCTTCCAGATCTGCATAGAGTTCCAGGATTAACACAACTTCTTCTGCTTACTTATTACAATCTAGCGCCTACTTGAGGATGGAAAACTGAAACAAGAAATAATATGTTTTCAAAGATAAACAGTTGGCTTTTCTTTTACCCTCATATTCCTGATTAAGATCGCCCTTGTCTGAATTTGCCAATGGAAAATGTCTAAGCTGCAAAAGATACCTGAGGCTAGATGTACAATTAGTAGCTGTTTAGTACGCACCCTAGGTTGATTAAGATAATTAGAAATACACCCTAGGTTAATTAAGATAATTTTTAAAGGGTTAATCTTTTTCATCTTTGCAACTTCTCTCCCTTTGAAATATAGGCATACACCTTAACCCATAATTCAATGTCTTGATGTAGGAAGTCTAAGCAATAGTATTTCGTAAGACACAAATTGCCACACTGTCGAAGCTTTAAATGAGATAACTGCATATATTCTGCATGCTGGATAATGTTTCATCTGTACAATGAACAAAAACTAGCTGAAGTTGGGATTTAAAAATTACTGTTAGCAAAATGATACCTATTATGAAAACAGATTTCTAAAAACTTAAAAGCAATTCTGACATACACTGCTTATTTCCCATTACTTAAAACACAGTGTAAGGAAAGAAAATATTACCTATTTCTAACAAAACTATGTAGACAGAAAAAAAATTAGAACAGGAGTCCTTAGGCCACAATAAGACCCCTAAATATCACAGAACATAAAATTGTATAATTTAAAAGTTCAAAGTCTAAAACAAAATTATTTAAAACAACAGCACAAAATCTGTGCTATGAAAAAAAAAATGATTGAAAGGAAGGGGGATGAGAAAGATGAGAAAAGCACTACCAGACTCCTTACCCATTGTTGTTGGTGCTGGAGCTTCCTGATGGTATTTTCAGCTTGCTCCAGCTTAGCACTGGCCTCATCACTCTGCTGTTTGATGGTGGCCAACTCCCGTTTTATGAGGTAGTTTTCCTCAGCCTCCTGGGCTCTTGTCACTTGTCCCTTAGGACATAATTTTTGTGTGTGTAAAGCAATTTAGGATAGATTCAAGAAAGACTGCCTTTGTGAGGTTTAGTTATTTACTTTGACATGTTAAAAAAAAAAAAAAAGTCACCTCAGCGAATAGAACAGCCTACGTAATCATTAGCTAGCAGCTTGTTATTGCTCCAGCAAATTTTCGGAAACTAAACGAAAAATTCACCTGACAAGAACAATTCTTTCAGTCAATAAAAATTTAATTCATGCAATATTACTGAGTTGTACATGCAGGACTAAAATTTTCAATGAATAGTAGTTAATTTCACAGAATCCACTTATTGCCATTTTGAAATAAATACTTTAAAAAATAAGGTTAGCTTTAAAACGTGCAAAAATAAACCAAGATAACACCTTGTTACAAAAAATTAAATTTATACCCACATATACCACCCAAAAAATTATTTCTAGAAAAACGCATGTAAAATTGCATGCATTAAAATATGAATTTCGAGGTTTAGGACTTTCCTTAGAAGTTAGAGAAGATGTTTTAAAAAACTAAAACAAAACAAAAACTATACCTGTATCAATCTATCTGCCAAGGAAGCACTTTCCTACAAAAGGAAAAATTCAGATAGAAATATAAGAGAAAGAAATAAAAGTGATAAAATTAGGAAAAAAGAAACAAATATACCCAAATTCCATCTACTTTTCATTGCTAATTAAAATGGACATTTAAAGTTTAAAACCATTTTTTACTGAATGTTTTTATTTTTAAACCTTAAGAAAAATATATAAAAACAAGGATAGGTGGTTGAAAATCATGTGTTTCCAGAAGATACCAAACACAAATTCCAAGTGGGTTTTCATTACCTGGAACAAGCAAATTTTTTTGTTTGTTTGTTTTGTTTTTTTAAAATAGAGACAGGGTCTCACTCTGTCACCCAGGCTAGAATGCAATGGCATCATCATGTAGCTCATTGTAACTGCCAACTCCTCGGCTCAAGGAGTTGGTCCTTCTGCTTCAGCCTCCTGAGCAGCTAGGACTACAGGTGTGTGCCACCACATGTAGCTAGTTTTAAAATTTTTTGTAGAGATACAGTCTTGCTATGTTACCCAGGCCAATCTTGAACTCCTGGCCTTACGCAATCCTCTTGTCTCAGCCTCCCGAAGTGCGGGGATCATAGGCGTGAGCCACTGCACTCAGTCAAATATTTCCTCTTCCTCTTTTGGTATATTTACATCTTTTAGACTTAATCCATATTGTCAACCCACTTACATGAAAGGGAGAAGGAATTTGAGTAAGCAATTCCAATTATAAAGTGTGACAGCAATTTGTGCAACCACAACTTTCAAAGAAACAAAGCAAGGAAAATATGACAAATAAAATTAATGAGCTAAACTTAAACTTTAGCAATAACTGAGAAAGTATACTTTTTTATTACAGAATTCAATTGATACATAGTATTTATAGAATTCTAAGTGCTAAGTGACACATCTGGGCCATCTAAGCCAATAAAAAAAGGAACTTAATTTTCTAGAAGCAAAATCCAAACTTAACACTTTCTTACAGCATCATTCTCATTCCGAAGGTTCAATGAAATATTATAATCCTTTCCCAGTTTAAATGTCTTACTCCAAAGATTTAAAAAAAAAAAAAAACTAAGAAGATGCATATTTGACTGTAAGCTAGATATTTAGTGGGAAAAAAGAGTATATAATTAAAACAACTTAAAAGCAAGCTCAATCTTCCTGTGGAGTCACCAAAAGTAGAATTACTCTCATAGCAACCCTAACATGATGAGAGAAAAACAGGGAAACTATTTTTGACTTAATATGATGTATCTGCAATTATTATACAACAAAGGCAGACATGTAATAAATATCCTGTCCTTACGCACTTCTATTTAATATGAAATCATCAATACTTTTCAAACAAACGACAAATACTGCAAAATATCCATATTTCCATTTATTTATTTCTTGATTGTAGATTTTCAGGGAAGATTTTAAGATCCTTGGCAATATGATGAGGGGTATGTTTAAATCTACTTACTCTTATCTCTAGTTAAAGAAAGAAAAAAGTGGCTGGGCACGGTGGCTCATGCTTGTAATCCCAGCACTTTCGGAGGCCGAGGCAGGCGGATCACGAGGTCAAGAGATCAAGATCATCTTGGCCAACATGGTGAAACCCTGTCTCTACCAAAAATACAAAAATTAGCTAGGCGTGGTGGCGCACGCCTATAATCCCAGCTACTCAGGAGGCTGAGGCAGGAGAATCCCTCGAACCTGGGAGGAGGAGGCTGCAGTGAGCCAAGATTGAGCCACTGCACTCCAGCCTGGGCAACAGAGCGAGACTCTCTCTCAAAAAAATAAAAAAGAAAAAGAAAAAAGCACCAAAAGAGTTTGTGAATTCAGATGTCTTTCTTTTAATAAAGCAAAATTCTTAAACCATACTTTTACTACTCAATTCATTCTTATAGCATCTGTAAATGACTACAAAAGATTTTTCATCAAAAGCACACTATGAAAAATAATGCAAAATTTCCATATTTGCCCACTCTATATAAAACAGAGAAAATGTAACAAGTAGATACTAAAATAATTATAAGAACTAAAAGTTTATGCACAATTCCTTTGTGCTGAAAATCAACATGAGTGAATTTTTATATAAGGAATCAGTCACTTCGACTAAAAGCAATCCTAGGCCTTAAAGGAATCACTGCCACACTTCCAATATGCTAGAAAGTCCAGGGCAACATTTGAAACTCATCTTTAAAATGCTATATCAGAATGGACTCCCAACTAAATTATAAAAGAACATACTTTTTAGAAATTATGTGTAAAGAAAACAAATAGTATCAATATGTTACTGTTAATCTCAGTTAAAACCTGAATACTAAAGTTTAAGAACCAGTACAACTGATCAATTTTTATTAGTAACAAGTTATCTGGCTAAATAAATAGTAAGGTAAGCAAGCTAAGCAGTCAATACTACAACATAGGAGACATGTGCCAGAATTTTTGAGGATTTTTAATAAATATACAGAAAAAACACCAGGCATTCAACAGAAGCTTGCATAAGTAGTCACTTACTTACTTTTTCTAATGTCTCGATGCGCTGTTTTAAAAGTCTATTTTCTGTGCGTAACCTCTGCCAAGAAAAAAAAAGTTTTATTTGCAAGCATTTTTGAGAGGAAAAAAAAGATTTCTAAATCACAGTCCTGAAAATGTATCACCTTTTATAAATAAGAAAGGAGTCTAAGGAATGATTACATTATCAAATGTCAAAGACTCAGAGTAAGAAATACACAGAAGGCAGGGCACCATGGTTCACGCCTGTAATCCCAGCTCTTTGGGAGGCCAAGGCCGGCAGATGGCTTGAGCTCAGAAGTTCCAGATGAGCCTGAGTCTGGGCAACATGGCGAAACCTCGTCTCTATGAAAACTACACACACACACAATTTAGCCAGGAATGGTGGTGATGAGCCTGGGCAACAGGGTGAAACCTTGTCTCTATGAAAAACACACACACACACATGCATGCATGCACACACATACACACACAGAATGGTGGTGCGAATCTGTCGTCCCAGCTACCTGGGAGGCTGAGGTGGGAGGCTGGGAGGTGGGGGCTGAGGTGGGGGGCTGGGAGGTGGGGGCTGAGGTGGGGGTGGTGGAAGTTGTAGTGAGCCGAGATTGGACCACTGTACTCCGGCCTGGGAGACAGAGTGAAACCCTGTGTCCAAAAAAGGGAGGGGAGGGGAGGGGAAGGGAGGGGTTGGGAGGGGAGGGAAGGGGAGAAGAAAGGAAAGGAAAGAGGAAAAAGAAAAGGAAAAAGAAGGGAAAGGAAAGGGATAAAGAAAGAGAAATAAATACACCACAGCAAAGGAAATACTCACATTCATCATTCCAGCTGTGATTAAATTTAAATACACTCTACAGTACATATAGAAATAAGCCCTTCCATTTCTATACATACTTACCATAATGACTCATAATCAAATATTTTCTTATGTGTTTTAACATCCTCATTAGACAAAAAAGATTCTAACTTGCCTACCTCCAACAGAGCCTACCTATATAATTAATATTCAAATGTCAGTTGAATGAAGAAACAGGAGATCTAAAAAATGCACGTTCATAGGCTAAACATCAAATTTTCCATTTAGGGCCTGGCTCAGTGGCTCACACCTGCAATCCACTTTGGGAGACCAGGCAGGTGGATCACTTGAGCTTGAGTTCAAGACCAGCCTGGACAACATGGCAAAACCCTGTCTCTACAAAAAATATAAAAATTAGCTGGGCGTAGTGGCATGTGCCTGTAGTCCCAGCTATTCAGGAGGCTCAGGGGGAAGACGGCCTCAGCCCTGGAAGTGGAGGTTGCAGTGAGCCAGTATCACATCACAGCATTCCATCCTGGGCAACAGAGCAAGACCTTGTCTCAAATTTAAAAAAAAAAAATTGCCCATTTAGACTTCAATAGTCTCCATTTATTATACAGTATAGATGACAAGTTGCAAAATTCTGAAAATACAAAGAATTTATTAATTTTTTCTGAGAAAACAACTCCAATTACTAGTATCTCCTCATAGTTCAAAAAGTAAAACCAGATTTTTTTGAAAAGCACTTTACCTAATTATTCAATGCCTGGTTCCCAAAAAACTTGTCTAATTACTGTCATTAAGTATTAAATCCAAGTCACTCTACATTTTTAAAAAGTTATTTTTGCATATCCACCAGTATAATTGCTTATTAATCCCCTTTATAAGTTATCTTTTCATTTTCAAATTCCTCAGATGTTGTCCCACTCTGTCGCCCAGGCTGGAATGCAGTGGTGCGATCTCAGCTCATTGCAACCTCTGCCTCCCAGGTTCAAGCGATTCTCCTGACTCAGCCTCCTGAGTAGCTGGACCTACAGGCACATGCCACCACGCTCAGCTAATTTTTTGTATTTTTAGTAGAGAGGGGGTTTCACCGTGTTAGCCAGGATGGTCTTGATCTCCTGACCTCATGATCCGCCCGCCTCAGCCTCCCAAAATGCTGGGATTACAGGCATAAGCCTCTGTGCCCGGCCTCAAGGTGATAACTTACTTTTTTGTACCAATTTGTTCCAGAACTCAATCAAGGGCCTTCTTCCAGCCCCACCTTCCTATAAATTTCTGCTAAAAAATGTCTGTCTCAGAAAATTCTTCCATCAATTCAACCTATTATTTTGCCAGTAAAGACTTAAATATGGCTTTATATAACATATAAAGTATTAGTTCAGGGAAATGAGAGACTCTATGAATTACTGCATCTTATTAAAGTGGATCACAAATTGAAACAAATCTTAGAGTTATTACAAAGATACTTGGCAAATTAGATTTCTTGTTCTATTCACTAAAATTCAGATGATCTGAAATAGACATTATGATATACAGGAAAGTTAATAACTAATCTCAGACAAAATAACAGCTTGAGAAGTAGAAAATGTTCTTATGTCTTGGCTCCTCCTACTGTGTGCAGCATAGTAGTCTACACAAATAAGCAATTATTAAATGCTGCTAAAGTCTAGAGAGCCAAAGAAATAAATGGGATTCTCAAAATGTTCTCAATCATATTTCATCAACAAAAGGTAATGTTTTATCTTAAAAGATTTAGAAAACTAAGTTCCCACCAGACAACTGAGTGAATAAAGTTATGACAGAAATCATGCTAAAATAAAATTTAGAACTGAAAACACTCATCTGGATTTCCTTCCCCAACCCCTTTTACGGCTTCTGAAATCTATTTCATTATAAATAAAAATCTAAATTGATTTTCTCCCACAAACAACTAACCAAATGCTTAACACCATTTAAAAAATAAATCACCACTTCCTCATTTGTATAATATTTACATCAGGAATTGATCAATAGACTTTTTCAGTTAATACAGACCATTTCAGGGTTACTTTTACGTTTCAAGTGTTACTGTCTTCTTTTTTTAAAACTAATATCACAGTATTTTGGTAATTATAGCTTTGCTATCTGTTTTAATACCTAGTAGAGCTAATATCCCCTGTTCTTACATTTGTTTATTGTTCCCAAACCCCAAATACTAGTATACTAAAGTAGCTAAGAGACTAGGTTTTGAAGTTAGGCAGATTTAAGTTCAAATTCTCATTCTACAATTAACACTTGCACATGACATTCAATGTTTTAGAATCTCCATTTCCTCATCCAGAAATTAAGAGTAATCAAACCTACAGGGAACTGAAAAATTAAATGAGATAGCATAGCACCTAATATATGCCAAATACTCAGTTAATGATAAGCACTGCCCACAATAGTTTTGAAGTTAGGCATGAATATTATTTTACTACTTTTGTCTATTTTTAGAATTATTCTTAAGATTTTTTTATTGCCCTGGAATTTTACAAGGAATTAAATTTCACTGAATTTGAGGGCCAGGTACAATGGTTTACAGCTGTAATCCCAGAACTTTGGGAGGCCAAGGCAGGTGGATCACTTGAGGCCAGAAGTTCGAGACCAGCCAGGCCAACATGGCAAAACCCCATCTCTACTAAAAATACAAAAATCAGCCTGGCATGGTGGCGCATGCCTGTAATCCCAGCTACTTAGGAGGCTGAGGCAGGAGAATCACTTGAATCCAGGAGGTGAAGGTTGCAGTGAGCCAAGACCATGCCACTGCACTCCGGCCTGGGCAACGGAGCAAGGCTCTGTCTCAAAAAAAAAAAAAATCACTGGGAAATTCATATCTTTATATAACATGGAGCTATTTTTGTCTATCTTTAGTTATCTTTTTAAAATGTCTGTGTGTAAAGTTTTCCAGTGTTTGTTAGGTCCTATTCTATTTTTCATTTAGGTTACTCCTAGATATACTTTTATTTTTATTTCAAATGGAACTTCTTCCAGTATATTTTTGAACTGTTTATTGACGATACATAGAAAGGTTAATAACTAAAATCTACCACCTGATTGATTCTCAATAATTCTTCAATATCTTCCTCACATTTTCTAGAATAGAGTGCTTCCTAAACTTTAAAGTGAAAACCACAGAGAGGAAGATACCTAGATATAGCTACATACAAATGTTTATCTTGTACATTGAAAAAGAAAATAGAGACAATTTTTTGACCTACCAAATTAGAAAAAAAAGAGACTAAAAGTGAGAGCAAGAATGAAATACTTAGTGTTGGCAAAGTAGTCATTAAATGGAAACTTGTTGCTAAGACAAACATACCCTGGACACATTCTTTAGGAAATTTACGTATTATACATCAAAAGTCTTTAAAATGCTAATATCTTGTAACTTATTAATTCTACTTTTTATAACTGGCTATGGAAATAATAATAGGAGACAAAAAACTTGTTATATACAAAGATGTTAACCATTAGCATTATTTTTAATAAGAAAAACTGAAAACAACCTTATATCCTGAAATAGGATAATCTCATTTCAAATAACCCACTCTTCAATCACTATTTCCTATTCTTTCCAGCTTACTCAGTTTACAAAGTAACCCAACCCCAACAATTGTTTTCACTGAGACAGTCTAGTGATCCCAACAACTTTTCACTGTCCCTCAATCCTTGATGTTCTCTATTCCTTCTTGACAAAGTTTAATTTGCAATCATTATACGGCTCCCTTGCTTTTAAGCCCCCTTGCCCTTCTCTCCCTTCGTAGTATAACTGCCTGGAAAAAACACTACTCTGGATCAACTATCTGACAATTTTGAGTCTGTACCTATGCCAGTAAATATGACTGAACAAAAACAAAACCATGACGTTTATTTAAATTACTGATCACTAAATTCAATATGGTTCTTAGCAATAATAATGTCCTTCTTCTATCCCCCTAGGTCACTATTTCATACCTATTCCTCTTTCTTCAAACCAGCAACCCTCCAATCCATTGTCTCTCAGTTGATAATCTGGCATATGATTTCACTGAAAAAAACTGAGGCAATTAGAAGAGAATTTCACAAGCTCCCAAAACCACATCCTACATCCTACCTGCATTTTTGCCCATATATTTTGATTTCTTGTTATTGTGTATTAACTACTCATGCTAGCATACTAAGTTACATCTCCTAACTTCGCACTAAATTCCGTATCTTCCTGACTCCAGTGATTATCCCCCATTCTTAATGATAAATTTTTCCTACTTGATTATCACCATAAAAGCATGCAGTTATTTCTCCTATCTTAAAAAAAAAACAGAAAACAGAAACAAAAAATTCAACATAATTACCCTCTCTAGCTACTGTCCCATTTCTTTTATCCTTATAGTAAATTCCTTGAAAAATATCTCTAATTTTTCTTCTTCTATTCCAGTTAGGTTTTAGTACCTACCATTCTGCTCCACTCGTTTCTAGGATAAATTATAATCATGCTGGAAAATGCAATGGTCATTTCTCCATCCTCATTTCACAAAAACTCTTCAGTATTTGACATGGTAAATCCTTCTCTCTTTCTCACTGTCTCTTGGCTTCTGGGAACTACACCTACCTGGTTTTCTCCTAGTTTGCTACTTTCTACTTGTCTTCCTCATCTTTAAATGTTGGTTTATTCTCAGGCTCAATTCTTGAATTCTTCTCTATTTTATCTACAATCCTTTCCCAAGTAATCTCACCCATTCTCATGGCTTTCAATACTATGACCCCGCCAATAACTACCAAATTTATATTTTGAGCTTGGCTTCTTTTAATTTCAGATCTGAATATTTAAGAAGCTAACTGGACATCTCCTAGGCATCTCATTCCCAAGATACCCAAAATTGGGCTCCTGGTATCCCCACTAAACCAAATCCTTCTGGAGTCTTTCCCATCTCAGGTAATGGGAACACCATTTATCTACCTGCTCAGACCACAAGGCTTGGTTCCTCCTCCTCACACATCTCTACATTCTAGCTGTCCACTTTATATTTGAAATCTATTCAGAATCCAATTACTTCTTACCTCAGTCCAAGCCACCATCATCTTTTTTTTTTTTTTTTAAGACAGGATTTCACTCTGTCACCCAGGAAGGAATGCAGTGGCATGATCACAGCTCACTGCAGCCTCAAATTCCCTGGTTCTAGTGATCCTCCTTCCTCCGCCTCCTGAGTAGCTAGGACTACAGGCATGCACCACCATGCCTGGCAATTTGAAAAAAAAAATTTGTGGAGACAGGGGCCCACTATGTTGCCCAGGCTGGTCTTGAACTCCTGGGCTCAAGGAATCCGCCCACCTTGGCCTCCCTAAGTGCTGGGATTACAGGCATAAGCCACCCTGATGGTAGGCATGCCTGGCCCACCATCATCTTTTGTCTGCATTACCACATCAGCGTTCATCAGAAATGCTCTCAATCCCTGCAATTTACTCTTAACACAGCAACCAGAATGATCTACTGAACTTAAATCACATTTTGTCCTTCTCTGCTGAAAACTGCCATCTAACCAGAGTAAAAGCCAAAGTCCTTACCACTGTCGACAACATCCTACATTATCTGCAACCTGCTCCATCTTACTTCCTACCACTTTTCTCATCATTCATGCTGTCCCATCCACAATGCCACCTTACTGCTCCTCACCAGGCACACCCCGAATAGGTTCTGCCATTCTTCCAGATAGTCACATATCTAGTCCCATCACTTCCTTCAGGTCTTTTTTCAAAAATCACCTGGTTAACTTCTCTAAATTTTCTACCCAAACACTACCATTTTACATTCTCTTTCCCTGAGGTTATTTTTTCTCCTTAAGACTTTACCACCATCCAAAATACCGTACATTTGACTTTTCTGTTTATTGTTATTTCCATATTAAAATATAATCTCCATGAGGACAGATCATGGTCTACTTCATAACCACATTTCAAGTGCCTAGAACAGTGCTTGGGCATCTAGGAGGCACTATGAATTATCTGTTAAATGAAGTGTTATTGAATAAATCAGGCTAGCATACCTCCCTTGGATATTATGTAGCCATTAGTTTTTTTAATGAAAAGTTTGATATGCCAGAGAAAAATGGGCATCCAAATCTTACATCACAAATATATCAAAGTCTCTCTTGGAAAGCAGCAGCAGCACAGTGTATATACTGAAGAATACACATGGGCCTTAGAATAACACAAATCAGACTTCAAATCCTTGACTCTGTTTCCTCGCAATGTGACCACTGGCATAATATTTGAGCTTTCTGAAGCCTAATTTCTTCACAGGTAAGGATAAGAACCCTTTAATAATGCTGTTTTAAGAATAAGGGGAAATAATGCATGTAAGTGACCCATCATATATTAAGGGCTAAATAAATGTGAGCTTCAATTCTAATACTTCACATTGATTGTTAAAATGTAATTCCTGGGCAACTTAGATAACACTTCTCTTTTTTTTTTTTTTTTTCATTTTTATGCCAGGCAGTGAATATGTGAGCACTTTTATATTATTTTCTGGCTTTCAGCATATCTGAAATGTACCATAGTTTTTAAACAGGAAAAAATACTTTACTTTTGACTAAAAACTGGCCAGAATTTCTCATACTTCTCATTTTAGGGCTTTAGATCTCTGCGTCCCGAAGCACAAATTTAAATATAAAAATTAGATTAACTGTTCGTATGTCTATCAGAATCAAAGTTTTTTTCCTTTTTAAAGATTTGTGGGTTACCCTAATATAAGCTAGAATTTTAGTTTTATAATTTTTTTCTTTTTTAAAATTGAGATGGGGTCTTGCTATGTTGTCCAGGCTGGTCTCAAACTCCTGGGCTCAAGTGATCTGCCTGCCTCGGCCTCCCAAAGTGCTGGGATTATAGGCGTGAGCCACCGCGCCCGGCCAAACTAGAATTTTAATATTTTTCACCTCCTCCCAATCAGGTAGAACATCAATAGACTGGAAGAAGATACTGATAAAGATGTTTCTATTAACAAAAAATTTCACACGCAAAATTTAAGATTTTCCATATGAAGACATTATTATCAAAATCTTCCTATAACACTTTTAGGGAAGAGGTGAAAAAATATTTAAAAGTCGCATCTTAACCGGGGGCTCACTGACAGATATAGTTCTTAGAATAGAAGGTCATCACCCCAAAGGTCTTATAATTTAATTAAAGTAAAAACAACAGAGACCTTATAAACACATTTCACAACATCAAAGGCTAATTTTATACTTCCATATCAAAACATCAAACAATTTGATGATCATACCAATGGGCTGTAAAAATAATGGCACAAAACTATCTTCCCATGGACTTTTAAAAAGAACCAAGGCAAGAAAGTACTAGTTTACAACCAGAACCCATTCTCTTGTAAAAGAGACTTTTGCGGGAGGGAGGGAGTGTGTGTAAGAAGTAGCATTTCCCATTTTACAGCAAGGCTCAATTAATATTATACCTGGCTAATGAATTGTAAATAAGGTGGTCATCTGATCATGATTAGAATGAGTTGTCAGGGTCTAAGTAAAAAAATCAGACACCCTGGAACCAACCCAAATGCCCATCAATGATAGACTGGATAAAGAAAATGTAGCACATATACACCATGGAATACTAAGCAGCCATAAAAAAGGATGAGTTCATGTCCTGTGCAGGTACATGGATGAAGCTGAAAACCATCATTCTCAGCAAACTAACACAGGAACAGAATACCAAACACCACATGTTCTTGCTCATAAGCAGGAGTTGAACAATGAGAACACATGGACACAGGGGAGGGGAACATCACACACTGGGGCCTGTCAGGGGGTGGAGGGCTAGGGAAGGAATAGCATTAGGAGAAATACCTAATGTAGATGACGGGTTAATGGGTGCAGCAAACCACCATGGCACGTGTATACCTATGTAACAAACCTGCATGTTCTGCACATGTATCCCAGAACTTAAAGTATAATTAAAAAAAAAAAAGTATTCAGTTGAAAAAAAAATCAGACACCCCTAAATATGAAGTTTAAAAAAAGTATAGTCATTCAAAAGTTGTTTTGGTTTTTCTATCTGGTGGAACTGGGGAGTGAAGAAAGAGATGAAAATGGTATAAGAAAGAACTACATGGAAACAATATTATAAAAAGAGAACAGACTACCTTTGAGATCAGCACTTTATTTACCTGATATGTTCCACTAACTTTCTAAACTCTTTTTTCCGATTCTTCTCTATAGACAATTTTATGCCAACTGCCTGAGACACATGGAGCTAGATTCAAAAACATTTCTTCAGGCATATGAACTATATATTTCCTCAAAAAACAAAGTATAGAAAATACTGCAAATGGCTGGGCGTGGTGGCTCATGCCTGTAATCCCAGCGCTTTGGAAGGCCAATGCAGGTGGATCGCCTGCACTCAGGAGTTCGAGACCAGCCTGGGCAACATGGTGAAACCCTGTCTCTACCGAAAATACAAAAAATTAGCCAGGCATGGTGGTGTGCACCTGTAGTCCCAGCTACTTAGGAGGCTGAGGTGAGAGGATCGCTTGAGCGCGGGAGGTCAAGGCTGCAAATGAGCCAAGATCATGCCACTGAACTCCAGCTTGAGTGACAGAGGGAGACCCTGTCTAAAAGAAAAGAAAATACTGCAGGTATAGGTGAAAGTCTGCTAAAAATCTGTTTTCTGAAAATGCCTTTTGGTATTCCTATATTCATGTACTTAATTTTATAAGAAATTTCTTCAAGAGTAAGGATTGTTCATAGAACTGTGATTTTTTTTTCAATAATATAGTGTGGTGAAATGAACAGGATGGCTTCCCCATCCTCAGATTCTTGATTTGCAGTTCCGAATATTCGTAGTATGTGAAAACTCATACTCTCTCCCCACTCATCAGGATGACGTACTTTTTACTTGCAGTAAAAGTACCCTTACTCATAGTACCTAAAAGAAAAGCAAATAGGGCTGGACGCGGTGGCTCACGCCTGTAATCCTAGCACTTTGGGAGGCTAAGGCAGGTGGATCACGAGGTCAGGAGATCGAGACCATCCTGGCTAACACGGTGAAACCCCATCTTTACTAAAAATACAAAAAATTAGGCGGGCTTGGTGGCGGGCGCCTGTAGTCCCAGCTACTTGGGAAGCTGAGGCAGGAGAATGGCGTGCACCTGGGAGGCGGAGCTTGCAGTGAGCCAAGATCGCACCACTGCACTCCAGCCTGGGCGATACAGCGAGACTTCGTCTCAAAAAAAAAAAAAAAGAAAAAGAAAAAAAGCAAAGCAAATAGCAGAGCAGCAGTTGGGTGACAGAATTAAAAAAAAAAAAAGGAAGGAAAAAACATCCACAGGGGTCTTTTCTATATATATAAAAAATGTGGAAGTATCTACTTCCATTTGATAAGGAAAAGGTGACAGAAATGGGAATAGAACCTCTAGAAAAGGGAGGAGAGTTGATAAGAGAGAGTTAACATAAGAAAACTGGAGAGACTGTCTCCCTAGAGGCTTTTGAGGAGGACCAAGGCAGGAAAGAGTATTAGTTTAACAGAACCCATTTCCTTGTAAAAGGAGAAAAATAAGGTGGTCATATAATGTCTCGCCAGATCCAAGTCAAAAATCAGACACATTCAAACACAAAGTTTAAAAAGGGAGGAGGGAGTCACTCCACTAAAATTATTTTACTTTTAACCCTTTCTCCAGGGGTTGGGGGTAGGGGGTGGAGGGGAATAAAGAGATTAGAAAGTGAATTGGCCAATCACTAAGTTCTTTGACTCATGCTTCCACTTATCAACGCCATCCTACAATATCAGCATAAAAGGCAACACAATTTTTCTCAAGTCCCAGCTCCAACAGTGCCACAGACCCTCACCTCAAGAATTCCGTGTTTTATGGAGGGGGGTACAAATTTTATATTTTTAGGGTACATATAGGGTATTTATATGCCCTTCGAATTGAAAATCTGCTTGATTTTCTGGAGAGGAGTAGTTCAAAAGTATAACCCTTGCTTAGAGAAGAAAAAGTCGTATCAGTCAAAGCTTTCTGCAGCTCTAGAGCAACCATAATTAGTTCTAGTGTAATATATGCTCTATTTAATGTTTGCCTGAGATTACACTCTTGTTGGTCTCAGCATAGAAAGTGTTATTATAGATTGTCTTCTCTGCAACTTTAAAAAACATGCTTAAATGGAATGATAATTTTCTTCTCCATGGAAGTGTTTTCTCCTGATGAGCCACCAACAAATCTAGAAAAAGGGAAGAGCTTGCTCTCCTTCATACTGGAATGAAAGCCACTTCAGTCGCATTATTCTGCTTTTTTGAAATGTCTATTTTTAACTATAATCTAGTAGGATGGTAAATACATTTATGAATATAAGAAGTACAAACTTTAAACATCTACTGTCCAATAATTGATTTCAATCAATCAGTACTTTAAAAAGCCCCCAACTGCTTACTTTAATTTCAACTTGCTCTTCCATTTCTTTCGTTTTTATTGTAGTGTATTCCTTTTCAAGCCTAAGAAAGGAAAAAAAAAGAGTTAAAGGTAATGTTTTCATTCAAAAGTAGTTATTAAATTACAAAATTTAAAAATACATATGAACATAAAATACAATTTCTTTAGTTTCTTCTAGCTTATAACTTGGAGATATTTGATGTGAGAAAAATCATGTGGCTTCATGAGTTCTTATTAAAAACTCACTTTACAAATGACAAAAATAAAAACCACACAAAAAGAAAATTTACAAACTGAAATGTATAAAGCACAAAATGCAACTTAGTTTACAGATTCTTTTCAGCCCTAAACTTACAAATGAACCATTATTCTTATTTCTCAAATTAAAACACACCTGTAGGTTCAACTGGCTCTTAACTTAAAAATCCTGGTACCAACATTGACTTTGAAAATTTTAATGAGGGAAAGGGGACAACTCTTCCTTATAGAATTCCAATTAATAGACATAGGAGGAATAAGGTTAATATAAAAATCACCATTAGAATTCCTCAGTAATAACTACTGCGGGAGGAACCACTAATGGATGCTAAAATTAGTGGGTGAAAGTTTAAGCATAGTCTCAAATTATCTCTCCTAAAATATTTAGTAAGTGTTAAAGGAAAATACTAAATTTACAGTACAGAATCCTAGTAGACTGCACCTGAACTAACTGATTAAGGTTAACATCACCAGTAATACATACTGACATCATGCACCCCTGTTAAGATGTACTGAGTTAAGTGAATTAACACAGGAACAGAAAACCAAAAACCCATGTTCTCCCTTACAACTAGGAGCTAAACACTGGGTACTCATGGACATAAAGATGGGAACAACAGATACTGAGGACTAATAGAAGGCGAAGGCAGGGAGGGGGACAAGGGCTGAAAAACTAACCGTTGGGTACTATGCTTGCTATCTGGGTGATGGGATCATTCATATCTCAAACCTCAGCATCATGCAATATGCCCATGAAATACATATGTGCATGTACCCCCTGAATTTAAAATAAAGGTCAAAATTATTAAAAAGTAAAAATAATTTAAAACATGACACTGACCACGGTGGATCATGCCTCTAATCCCAGCACTTTGGGGGGCCAAGGGGGGCCAAGTGCTTGAGGCCAGGGGTTCAAGACCAGCCTGGGCAACATGGTGAAACCCAGTCTCTACAAAAAATACAAAAATTAGCCAGGTGCGGTGGGTGCATGCCTGTAGTTGCAGGTACTCAGAGGCTGAGGTGGGAGGATTGCTTGAGCCAGGAAAGTCAAGGTTGCAGTGAGCCATGATCTAGCCACTGCACTCCAGCCTGGGACCCTTCCCTGCAACGCCCAGAAAGTGATAAACCATTTTTTTAAAAGAAAAAAGATGTCCTGAAAAGGGCATATCATCTCTGTGGTCTGTCACTGATTGGAGGAGAGTAAGCACGATATGCAACTCTATGGTAAGTCTAAATTTACCTTTATAAAAATGTATAGGCCACACAAAAATTAGTACCACCAAATTTTTTTTATCTTGCTCTTGACAAAAAATATCAATACCAAGGTTACTCCAAATATAAACCAGACCAGGCTCCAAATAACTTACAGCTGCTTTCAAAAATAAAATTCTCCCTCAAAGGACAGAAATCTATTACTTATCTCATTTAGCTCACAACAACTTTTTAATATAAGTTGTTATACCCACTCTGGGGTTTAGAAAGCTTGAGAAACTTCTGTATAGTCACAGATTTGACTGCTACATTACTCTGTCTCTCACTAAAGTGTATCTTAAAACAGCAGTCCCCAACCCCTGGGCAGTGGACCAATACCAGTCTGTGGCCTGTTAGGAACTGGGTCATACAGCAGGAGGTGAACGGCAGGCAAGTGAACATCACTGCCTGAGCTCCACCTCCTGTCAGATCAGTGGCAGCATTAGATTCTCAAAGGAGTGCAAACCCTATTGTGAATTGTGCATGCTGGGGATCTAGGCTGCGGGCTCCTTATGAGAATCTCATGACTGATGATCTGACATGAGGTGGAACAGTTTCAACCTGAAGCCATACCCCCAGCCCCCATAAGTGGAGAAATGGTCTTCCACGAAAGCGGTCCCTAGTGTCAAAAAGGCTGGGGACCACTGTCTTAAAAGACTATAAGATAGCCGACAGAATTTATTAAAGACTCCAAAGAGCTGCAAAACATTTTCAACAGCTGCACTACTGAAATAAGTTTATAGCCTTCACAAATGACTACTCTGAAGTAGTTATCATTATGCATTATGTAAAAATATCACTCATTTATACACCTAAAAATAAACCCTACTTATTTAACTCCACTGATAGTGTTTTTCAATAAACTTAATTTAAAAAAAAATATTTGGTTTACAAAAAGATTGTGAAGATAGTACAGAGATTCCATGTATCCCATCCCAGTTTACCCTATTATTAACATGTTACAGTAGTATGGTACATTGTTATAATTAATGAACCAATATTAACACATTGCTGTTACCTAAAGCCCATGACAGTTTTGATGAGAACCTTGACAGTTTTGAGGAGTACTGGTCAGGTATTTTGTAGTTATCATTATGTGATCTTCAAAAGGGACCATTCCGTCCTTCAAATGGGATTTGTCTCATGTTTTTCTCATGATTATACTGGGGTTATTGGGTTTTCAGGAGGAAGACCACAGACATAAATGCCGTTTTCATTGCCTCATACTAAGGGTACAAACTATCAACAGAACATCACTATTGATGTTGACCTTGATCATCTGGCTGAAGGAGTACACACCAGGTTTTTCCAGTGTAAAGTTATTTGTTCCCCCTTCACTGATAGTGTTTTTAGACCCGCATTATGATTTGTCTAAATTACTGGAAAATACTCATAATTGTTCTTTCTATGGCCAGTTTCATAACTCAATATTTTCTATACACTATTAACAGAGTGATCTTTTTTTAAAATGTTGATTTGGATCACGCCACACCCAGCGTGTCAGTGGTTACTCATCACCTTCAGACTAAATTTCAAAGGCTTACAAAAAAGTAATCAAAGCTCTCTGGAGAAATAGCTCATTACTGCGCAGGAGCCAAGAAGGTATAAGTTGAACCTGGAATATTTTGTTGCCCCAAAGAAAGGAAATTCCCAAAGAATAATGGGGAAAATATCAAAAGAACAAAGCACCCAGGTTGCAAGGGTTCCCACTGGACAAATCAGGGATAATTTAATAGTAATGGATTATAGCTCACTGAATAAAATAATCCATGAATTCACACTGATGTAAATAAATGAATAAATAAATGAGGGTGAAGGGAAAGCTCTTCCTTACAGTAGAATGCTGATTAATAAATAAAGAATGAGGGAGTGGGAAAATCATAAATGGATATAAAACTGGTATGGTTAAGTTTGGTAAAGAAAGAGGTTACTACATAATCTCAAAGTAGCCTGCCACAAATTACTTATTACAAAAGGGGAAATAATAACTTTACAGTAGTAAAACCCAGCAAACATCACCTTAATCAAGTGACCAAAGCTAACATTACCAGTTCTGAGAGAAAGTAATATCATATATATCGTATGGTGAAATGAGAAGATATAATATCAGGGGTATACCTGCCAAAAATGCACAACCTGAATCTAATCCTGGGGAAATCCCAGAAAAACTCAGACTTTGAGATTTTCTACAAAATAATTGGCCTGTACACTCTTTAAATATATCAGAAACACAAAGACTGAGGAAATATGTCAGATTAAAGAAAACCAAATAGGTATTAACACCTAAATCCTACACATGATCCTAGAGCGGACCCTGGACGGAGGGTGGGGGAGATAGTTATACAGCATATTATTGGGACAGCATATATACAGCATATATTGGTGATAAAATCTGAACATACACTGTGGATTAGATAATAGTATTGTATCTATTAGGTTGGTCCAAAAGTAACTGGTTTTTGCCGTTGAAAGTAATGCAAAAACTGCAATTACTTTTGCACCAACCTAATATAATTTCCTTGTTTTGATTAACTACTGGGTTTATGTTAAAGGAGAGAAAAGTTGTTGTTCATAGGAAGTACACATTCAAGTATTTACAGATAAAGGGCACAATATCTCAATTTACTCTCAAATGGACCTCCCCCAAAATGGGAATGGATTTTACACACACACACTATATTTATATACGCATACAGAGGAGAGAGGATAATAAAGCAAATGGGATGAAATGTAAACAATTGGTGAATCTTGGTAAAGAGTATATCGTACCCCCTTAAGTTTAAAAGTATACCAACGTAAAAATTCATCAAAAAAAAGTCAAAGGCTAAGATTCAACTCTTACAACTGTCATGTAGTAAGGGAACCTATGAGCCTTTGTACCTATTACCGTTCTTCTTAAAATGCCCTCCTTCTCTTCACCTGGCCAACCTTCATTACAGCAAAGAGTAAAACTTTTAAAACCAGATCATGTCACTTTTCGCAAAATCCTCTACTGGTTTCCCCTCAGATGTGGAAAAAGTCTGGCCCATGAGGAGGACAATAACCAACAAAACGTTTGACAATGACGAAAACGTGCTAGATCTGTATTGTCCAATAGAGTAGCCATTAGCCACATGTGAGTGACTAATTAGCACTTGAAATATAACTGATGAAATAAATTTTAATCATATTTAGACTAGATAGTCACATATGGGTAATGGCTACCACAGTAGATGGCATTGCTCTAAATACCCCTAGCACCCTACCATGTTTCTGACTTCACTGCTCACCACACTCCTATTTGCCTATGCTACTACAGTCCCATTGGTTTTCCTCCTTTTCATTTTTGCAGAGATGGGGTTTTACTATGTTGCCCAGGCTGGTCTCAAACTCCTAGGCTCAATGGATCCTCCCACCTCAGCCTCTCCAAGTGCTGGGATTATAGGTGTGAGCCACTGTGCCCGGCCTCTCACTGGTTTTCTATTCCTTGAATGTATCAATCACATTCTTGCCTCAGTCTTTACATTTACTGTTATTGTACTGTAGGACACACTTCCCCCAGATAATCCCATGACTCGCACTCTTACTTCCCTCTGGTGTCGGCTCAAATAGTATCTTACCGGCCTGTGAGCCCTATCTCTGCGTGCCCTGTCTAAAAGAGTGCTCATCTCTCCATGTCCTTTATCTGGCTTTGTTTTCTTCATGGCACGTTCACTGATGGATGTTACACTGTATATCATTCTGTCAGTCTTCTGTATTTCAGTAAGTTCCATATCAGCAGGGATTTTCTGTTGCAGGCATAATTTAACCCTAGCAATTAGAAACAACAGTCTTCGGCCAGGCATGGTGGCTCATGCCTGTAATCCCAGCACTTTGGGAGGCCGAGGTGGGTGGATCACCTGAGGTCAGGAGTTCGAGACCAGCCTGGCCAACATAGCGAAACCCAGTCTCTACTAAAAATTTTTAAAAAATTAGCTGGACATGGTGGCATGCGCCTCTAGTCCCAGCTACTCAGGAGGCTGAGGCTTGAACCTTGGAGGAGGTTGCAATGAGCCAAGATCGCACCATTGTACTCCAGCCTGCAAGACTTCGTCTCAAAAAAAAAGAAAGAAACAAAGGTCTTCAAAATTGTACTCAGGTATCATCTCCTTCAGAGAACTACCTGAAATTTCCTCCTCTGCCATCATCCTATGCCATCCTGTGGTCTTATTTTTCTGCTCATGTATCTGCTAAAAGAATGTTTCCTCATATACATTTTAAAGACTTCTAAATTTTGTTTTATCTCAAGTGTAAATATAGTTAAAAAGGACATACAGTTGTAATTTATATGTACTTTAAAATTTTTCCACTGAAACTTAAGTGACATTTATCTTATTTATGGACGTCTAATCTAGGACCTAACTGGCAAAGGCAGTCATTATTATTAAACCAATGAGCCAAATTACATTTACTTCCTGTCATTAAAGTGTTGCCTTCACTTTTCAATTCAAATAAACATGAGTTAATAATCTGCCCCATGATCACAATTCTACTTCTGAATTCTAATTCAGAAATTTTTTCTGAATTCTAATTCAGAACACCAATATTTGCTGTTCTGCAGTCTCCGCTGATGATACCCATGCAAACAGGGTCTGGAGTGGACCTCCAGCAAACTCCAAAAGATCTGCAGCTGAGGGTTCTGACTGTTAGAAGAAAAACTAACAAACAGAAAGAAATCGCATCATCAACAAAAAGGACTTCCATACCAAAACCCCATCCATAGGTCACCAACATCAAAGACCAAAGGTAGATAAAACCACAAAGATGAGGAGAAACCAGAGAAGCTAAAAATTCCAAAACACAGAGCACCTCTTCGCCTCCAAAGGATCACAGCTCCTCGCCAGCAAGGGAACAAAACTGGATGGAGAATGAGTTTGACGAGTTGACAGAAGTAGGCTTCAGAAGGTAGGTAATAACAAACTTCTCTGAGCTAAAGGAGCATGCTCTAACCCATCACAAGGAAGCTAAAAACCTTGAAAAAAGGTTAGATGATTGGCTAACTAGAATAAACACTATAGAGAAGACCTTAAATGACCTGATGGAGCTGAAAACCATGGCACAAGAACTTCGTGACACATGCACAAGCTTCAATAGTTGATTCGATCAAGTGGAAGAAAGTGACTGAAGATGAAATTAATGAAATAAAACGAAAAGACAAGATGAGAGAAAAAAAGAGTGAAAAGAAATGAACAAAGACTCCAAGAAATATGGGAGTATGTGAAAAGACCAAATATACATTTGATTGTTGTACCAGAAAGTGATGGGGACAATGGAACCAAGTTAGAAAACACTCTTCACGATATTATCCAAAAGAACTTCCCTAACCTAGCAAGGCAGGACAACATTCAAATTGAGGAAAAACAGAGAACACCACAAAGATACTCCTCGAGAAGAGCAATCCCAAGACACATAAATGTCAGATTCACCAAGGTTGAAATGAAGGAAAAAATGTTAAGGGCAGCCACAGAGAAAGGTCGGGTTACCCACAAAGGGAAGCCCATCAGACTAACAGCGGATCTCTAGGCAGAAACCCTACAAGCCAGAAGAGATTGGGGGCCAATATTCAACATTCTTAAAGAAAAGAATTTTCAACCCAGAATCTCATATCCAGCCAAACTAAGCTTCAGAAGTGAAGGAGAAATAAAATTCTTTACAGACACAGAAATGCTGAGAGATTTTGTCACCACCAGGCCTGCCTTACAAGAGCTCCTGAAGGAAGCACTAAACATGGAAAAGAACAACTGGTGCCAGCCACTGCAAAAACATGACAAATTGTAAAGACCAGTGACACTGTGAAGAAACTGAATCAATTAATGGGCAAAATAACCAGCTAACATCACAATGACGGGGTCAAATTCAAACATAACAATATTAACCTTAAATGTAAATGGGCTAAATGCTCCAATTAAAAGACACAGACTGGCAAATTAGATAAAGAGTCAAGACCCATCAGTGTGCTGTATTCAGGAGACCCACCTCACGTGCAAAGACACACATAGGCTCAAAGTAAAGGGATGGAGGAAGATCTACCAAGCAATTGGAAAGCAAAAAAAAAAGCATGGGTTGCAATCCTAGTCTCTGATAAAACAAACTTTAAACCAACAAAGATAAAAACAGACAAAGAAGGTCACTACATAATGGTAAAGGGATCAATTCAACAAGAAGAGCTAACTATCCTAAATATACATGCACCCAATACAAGAGCACCCAGATTCATAAAGCAAGTCCTGAGAGACCTACAAAGAGACTTAGACTCCTACACAATAATAATGGGAGACTTTAACACCCCACTGTCAATACTAGACAGATCAACAAGACAGAAGGTTAACAAGGATATCCAGGACTTGAACTCAGCTCTGGACCAAGCAGACCTACTAGATATCTACAGAACTATCCACCCCAAATCAACAGAATATACATTCTTCTCAGCACCACATGGCACTTATTCCAAAATTGACCACATAGTTGGAAGTAAAGCACTCCTCAGCAAATGTAAAAGAACAGAAATCACAACAAACGGTCTCTCAGACAACAGTGCAATTAAATTAGAACTCAGGATTCAGAAACTCACTCAAAACGCACAACTATATGGAAACTGAACAACCTGCTCCTGAGTGACTACTGGGTACATAACAAAATGAAGGCAGAAATAAAGATGTTCTTTGAAACCAGTGAGAACAAACACAATGTACCAGAATCTCTGGGACACATTTAAAGCAGTGTGTAGAGGGAAATTTATAGCACTAAATGCCCACAAGAGAAAGCAGAAAAGATCTAAAATTGACACACTAACATCACAATTAAAAGAACTAGAGAAGCAAGAGCAAACACATTCAAAAGCTAGCAGAAGGCAAGAAATAACTAAGATCAGAGCAGAACTGAAGGAAATAGAGACACAAAAATCCCTTCAAAAAATCAATGAATTCAGGAGCTGGTGTTTTGAAGAGATTAACAAAATAGACCACTAGCAACACTAATAAAGAAGGAAAGAGGGAAGAATCAAATAGATGCAATAAAAAATGATAAAGGGGATATCACCACCGATCCCACAGAAATAAACAACCATCAGAGAATACTATAAATACCTCTGTGCAAATAAACTAGAAAATCTAGAAGAAATGGATAAAATCCTGGAAACATACACCCTCCCAAGACTAAACCAGGAAGAAGTAGAATCCCTGAATAGACCAATTAACAGGTTCTGAAATTGAGGCAATAATCAACAGCCTACCAACCAAAAAAAGTCCAGGACCTGATGGATTCACAGTCAAATTCTTCCAGAGGTACAAAAAGGAGCTTGCACCATTCCTTCCGAAACCATTTCAATCAACAGAAAAAGAGGGAATCCACCTTAGCTCATTTTATGAGGCTAGCATCATCCTGATACCAAAGCCTGGTAGAGACACAACAAAAAAAGAGAATTTTAGGCCAATACCCCGATGAACACTGATGTGAAAATCCTCAATAAAATATTGGCAAACCGAATACAGCAGCACATCAAAAAGCTTATCCACCATGATCAAGTTGGCTTCATCCCTGGGATGCAAGGCTGCTTCAACATACGAAAATCAATAAACATAATCCACCACGTAAACAGAACCAACGACAAAAACCACATGATTATCTCAATAGATGCAGAAAAGGCCTTTGACAAAAGTCAACAGCCTTCATGCTAAAAACTCTCAATAAACTAGGTATTGATGGAACGTATCTCAAAATAATGAGCTATTTATGACAAACCCATAGCCAATATCATACTGAATGGGCAAAAGCTGGAAGCATTCCCTTTGAAAACCTGCACAAGGCAAGGATGCCCTCTCTCACCACTCCTATTCAACATAGTGTTGGAAGTTCTGGCCAGGGCAATCAGGCAAGAGAAAGAAATACAGGGTATTCAGTTAGGAAAAGAGGAAGTCAAATTGTCCCTGTTTGCAGATGACATGGTTGGATATTTAGAAAACCCCATCATCTCAGTGCAAAATCTCCTTAAGCTGATAAACAACTTCAGCAAAGTCTCAGGATACAAAATCAATGTGCAAAAATCACAAGTATTTCTATACACCAATAATAGACAAACAGCCAAATCATGAGTGAACTCCCATTCACAATTACTACAAAGAGAATAAAATACCTGGGAATACAACTTACAAGGGATGTGAAGGACCTCTTCAAGGAGAACTACAAATCACTGCTCAATGAAATAAGAGGACACAAACAAACGGAAGAACATTCCATGCTCATGGATTGGAAGAATCAATATCATGAAAATGGCCATACTGCCCAAGGTAATTTATAGATTAAATGCCATCCCCATCAAGCTACCACTGGTTTTCTTCACAGAATTAGAAAAAACTACTTTAAAGTTCATATGGAACCAAAAAAGAGCCCACATTGCCGAAACAATCCTAAGCAAAAAGAACAAAGCTGGAGGCATCACGCTACCTGACTTCAAACTATACTACAAGGCTACAGTAACCAAAACAGCATGGTACTGGTACCAAAACAGATATATAGACCAATGGAACAGAACAGAGGCCTCAGAAATAACACCACACATCTACAACCATCTGCTCTTTGACAAACCTGACAAAAACAAAAAATGGGAAAAAGATTCCCTATTTAATAAATGATGCTGGGAAAACTGGCTAGCTATATGTAGAAAGCTGAAACTGGATCCCTTCCTCACACCTTATACAAAAATTAATTCAAGATGGATTAAAGACTTAAATGTTAGACCTAAAACCATAAAAACCCTAGAAGAAAACCTAGGCAGTACCATTCAGGACATAGGCATGGGCAAAGACTTCATGACTAAAACACCAAAAGCAATGGCAACAAAAGCCAAAATTGACAAATGGGATCTAATTAAACTAAAGAGCTTCTGCACAGCAGAAGAAACTATCACCAGAGTGAACAGGCAACCTAAAGAATGGGAGAAAATCTTTGCAATCTACCCATCTGACAAAGGGCTAATATCCAGCATCTACAAAGAACTTAAACAAATTTACAAGAAAAAGACAACTCCATCAAAAAGTGGGCCAAGGATATGAACAAATACTTCTCAAAAGAAGACATTTATGCAGCCAACAGACATGTGATAAAATGCTCATCACCACTGGTCATCACAGAATGCAAATCAAAACCACAATGAGATACCATCTCATGCCAGTTAGATGGTGATCATTAAAAAGTCAGGAAACAACAGATGCTGGAGAGGATGTGAAGAAATAGGAACGCTTACACTGTTGGTGGGAGTGTAAATTAGTTCAACCATTGTGGAAGGCAGTGTGGCAATTCCTCAAGGATCTAGAACTAGAAATACCATTTGATCCAGCAATCCCATTACTGGGTATATACCCAAAGGATTATAAATTATGCTATTATAAAGACACATGCACATGTATATTTATTGCGGCACTATTTACAATAGCAAAGACTTGGAACCAACCCAAATGTCCATCAATGATAGACTGGATTAAGAAAATGTGGCGCATATACACCATGGAATACTATGCATCCATAAAAAAGGATGGGTTCATGTCCTTTGCAGGGACATGGATGAAGCTGGAAACCATGATTCTACACAAACTATCACAAGGACAGAAAACCAAACACCGCATGCTCTCACTCATAGGTGGGAGCTGAACAAAACCTGTACGTTGTGCACATGTACCCTAGAACTTAAAGTATAATAATAATAATAAAGAAAACTTCCATTTTTCTTGCTTTGCTCTCTCAGGGGATGCTCTCTCAGGGGATACTCCCTCAGGAGCAAGTCATTCTGAAATTGTTCATTTTGTTTGGAGCCACAGAGATTTTTTATAAACTAAAGTAAGGTACCATAGTAAGATCTAGGTTGGGTGACAGGTTTTCCTTCCTTCCTTTAATAAAGTGGGAGAAGGCATGCTGTAAAAAGGAAGGTGCGAAGAAGAACCGAGGCACCTCTACTACAGAAATGTTATCAGAAAGATAAATTGTAGGAAAGACTATAGATAGAAATTGAAAGTCTACTTAACCAAGCTCTGAACATTTTCCTGACACCCAGCAGTCTGTGTATGCCAGTCTGAAGACATACGGGTTAGGTATCTCTAACATATAATTTTAATAATCTGTTACATATTTGCATCTAACAAGCCATTTACTTTTCTGTGCTGCTACCCTCCAACCAACAGGAAGCTTGAGCATTTTTGAGAGGTAGGTCCAATTGTTGAGTTTATTATATATTCCAAAACTGATACTTAGTAGAAATGGACAAGACTTATCTTTTAATGCTGACAAAAGATTACAACCCAGATCATAAACAACTAGTAACCACTAACAAGTCAAAGCAGTATGAAGTAGACACTGCAGTAAAAAAGGGAGGAAAAAAATAGAAGAAAAACATGAGGCCAATAAACATATGAAAAGATGCTTAGTCTTATTAACAATCAAGGAAATGTAAATTAAGTGGAAAATGAGACATTTTATACTGGCCACAATGAGAACACATACACTGCTGGGTTAGACTACAAATTAGTGTCACTTTGGCAAAATTCTGTGATGCTGAACACAGCTTACTTTGCAACCTTAAAACATTCTGAATATAAACCTGTAAGTCCTTAATAATGCCCCCTGCTACTGGTAAAAATTAAGTAGATTGGCAAAAATTAAGAATAACCAAGCACTGATGACAAAGTAGAACAATGAGACTTTTTTTTTAGACAGGGTCTCACTCTGTCACTCAGGCTGGAGTGTAGTGGCACAATCATGGATCACTGCAGCCAGGACCGCCCAGGCTCAAGTGATCCTCCCACCTTGGCTTCTTGAGTAGCTGGGACCACAGGTGTGCTGGCGCCACCACATCCAGCTAATTTTTCTATTTTTTTGTAGAGACAAAGTTTCACCATGTTGCCTGGGCTGGTCTCAAACTCCTAGGCTCAAACAATCTGCCTGCCTCAGCCTCCTGAAGTGAAAGGACTACAGATGTTAAACCACTGCACGTGGCCACAATAAGAACTCTTACACTGCCGGGTTAGACTATAGATTAGTGTCACTTTGGCAAAATTTTGTGATGTTGAACACAGCTTACTTTGCAACCTTAAAACATTCTGAATATAGGCTGTAATTCGTTAATAATGCCACCTGCAAAAGAATAGACTAATTTAAAAGAACACCATTCCCACTAACTCTTTTCTCTGGAAATTGGTAATTAAAGGGAATAATAAAGTTGTTTTGTTTTGTTTAAGAGAGAGGGTCTCACTCTGTCACCCAGGCTGGAGTGCAGTGCTGTGATCACAGCTCACTGCAGCCTCCAACTCCAGACTCAAGCAATCTTCCCACCTCAGCCTATGGAAAAGCCAGGACTACAGGCACCTGGTTAGCTTATTTTATTTATTGCAGAGATGGGGTCTCGCTATGTTGCCCAGGCTGGTCTCAAACTCCCAGGCTCAAGCAATCCTCTTGCCTGGGCCTCCCAAAGTGCTGGTATTGTGGGTGTGAGCCACCACGCCTGGCTGAAATAATGAAGTGTTTATATGTGTTTCCAGTAGAATGAAGTTAGCTGCAGTTAAAGAAGAAAAGGTTATGAAGAAAGCTGACTGATAAATGTAAGAAGAATAACATTTTTAAAATCATGCTTTTGTTATCCTAAATGAAATAATTTAACATGAAAAGTATCCCCAATGATACTTTTTTTTTTTTTTTGGAGACAGGGTCTCACTCTATTGCCAAGGCTGAAGTACAGTGACGCAATCACAGTTCACTGCATCCTAGACTTCTCAAGTGATTCTCCCAACTTAGTATCTTGAGTAGCTGGAACTAAAGGTGTACACCACCATACCTGGCTAATTTTTGGTCTTTTTTTTTTCTATACAGTCAGGATTTCACCACGTTGCCCAGGCTGGTCTTGAATTCCTGGCCTCAAGTGATCTGCCTACCTCGGCCTCCCAAAGTACTGGGATTATAGGTGTGAGCCACTGTGCCTGGCCCTCAATAATAACTTTTGAGCAGACTGAGCCAAGAGGTGGAAGGTCATAATGAACTGGATATTCTTACAATGCCAAAGTATCAACTTACAAAGTACTTACTGGGTGCCAAGAGGGAAAACATAACCTCATAATAAAGAAATCTGTCATTACCTTAACCTAGTCACCAATCATGGCATCTCTAATAACAGTGAGACAGACATTATGCATCTTTTAAGATGAATAAAGTACATGGTATCACCTATTAAGTATTCTTGTCAGAAATGTTTGCACTTAATTAGATTAAGTCTTCACATTAGCTCCCAGTTTATAGAAAACACAAGAGATACAGAAGTTAAATGAGATAACAAGGAAATAATCAGATGAATCCTTCAGGTTGGATATTCTCGGTATAACTGACTTGGTCTCTTCAACAAGCCAATATATTAAAAAAGAAGATTGGAATAGGTGGTGCTGATCTAAATTTTTAAAAATGTAAGTGAACAACTGAATACAATGAAATCAATGGCAAAGACATTTTTGGCACAACTGAGGAAATGTGAACATAGACTGAGTATTAGGCAGTATTATGGAACTACTGTTAAGTGGTGGAAGCAATGTGGTAAATGAGGCAAATTACTTTATGGACATGAATACTGATGTATTAAAGAGTGAAGTGTCACAATTTCTGAGCTTTACTTTGAAAAAAATAAATATGACAAAATATTAACAATATTTACTTTGAAATACTTTGAAAAAAATAAATATGACAAAATATTAACAGTTGTTAAATACAGACAATAAGCAATGGATATTTATTATTCTATTTTTGTTATGTCTGAAAATTTTCCCAAGTGAAAAAAAGCAAATAGAATGTGATCTGTAGCTAATGAGTAAAATCTATTCTTTCCTTCACAGCTAAGCTTCATAAAAGGAAAATGAAATGCTATGTTGAGGAAGGTTTTGTTTTGTTGCTTCTAAGTCAGAACTCAAAATTATCTTCTTAGATTGAAGAAAATGAAACAACAGAGAGAGAGGTTGAAGATAGAGAAGGAATAATTAATGGAGCAAAGACCTGGAAGAGATGGAAATGAGTAACATCACGTATTCTGAATTAGCATTATAAAGGAAAAAAAAATACTGTATTCTAAAAAGAGAAGAAAAAGAACATAGCTAAGTCTACAAGCTGGAAGACAGCAAGTTTAGGAAGTTTGGAAATGACTGCTGAATTAGGAATAAGGTAATCTGGTGAGAGTTACATATAGCAAAAAGGGGATGGGAGTTTGGGAAGAATGGTAAGGTTTGAAGTAACCACTGTGAGGAATGAGATAATTAATCAAAGTCAATATAAATATACATGGAAGGCCACTGGAAACATAATTTACTGTCAGCAATCTCAGTAACTATGCAATAACAATTGGATACATGAATACAGGAAACAAAAGGGCAGAGGAAGCACAGTTGTTCATATCAGAAGAAGGCTTTTAAACCTCAATCTAGAGATCTTGATAAAGCAGAATGGGGAGAGCACGAATAAGGAAGTGAAAGAAATAGAGGGCCAGAAATCTGATAAGTAAACAGGATTAATTGAAATTTCAGAAATGGATTGTACATATGACAAGATCTATGCAAGGAGAATTAGTTACCAAGAAGGTTAAGGAACCTCATTCTCTATCAGACTTTTAAAGTCAAATAAATTCTCTGCCTGGCTAGTGTGAGTTCAATGTGGTTTTACCAAGTGACAAAAATTGAGATAATTTGTTTTTATCAGTTACAAGGCACAGCGGCTTTTTGTCTATATGATGTCTCCACACATGGTAGTTATTTAAAACGTATCAACATGATGGTGGTTATTTAAAACATCACAAGTAACTTAATAAAAGCTGAAGCTCAAAAATCGGCTTGGCTTGCTTTTGTCAATTAGAGCTAACTTTTTAATTTTTTTAAAAGAGATAAGGTATCACTATGTTACCTAGGCTGATTGTGAACTCCTGAGCTCAAGCAATCCTCCTGCCTCAGCCTCCGGAGTAGCTGGGACTACAGGTACACATCATTGTGCATGGAAAAGCTAACTAATTTTAATAACATTAATTCTCACTCATATTTAAATATACTTTGTGGAGTAGGAATATCCATGGGAGTAGTATGTTGTACATGTTAATGTAATTTCATATTGCAGCAGAAAAACTGCTAACTGCTAGCATACAGTACTGTTATCATTTTAAAGCATTTTATACCATAGAAAGTACAGTATCAGAAATGCTAACTATGACCGCAGGCTAAGAATTAAGTACTGGAAGCTAGAGAAATCACAGCTATTATTTTAATTAATACACTTAATCTGTTTCAAAAATAAAACTAATGAGCAGAGACTTTATTTTGAACTTTTAGGACATGAATGCCAAAAAAAGCTTCATTAGAAAGTAGTACAAAAAATAAGATTTGACCAGGTGCAGCGGCTCACACCTGTAATCCCAACATTTTAGGAGGCTGAGGTGGGAGGATCACTTGAGCCCAGGGGTTCGAGACCAGCCTGGGCAACATAGTGACACTCTGTCTCTACAAAACAAATTTTAAAATTAGCCAGGCATGGTGGTGTGCGCCTGTAGTACACCTGTGCTTTAGTAGAGACAGGGTACTTCCTGTACTCAGGAAGCTGATGTGGGAGGATCACTTGAGCCTAGGATTTCAAGGCTACAGTGAGCAGCCATAATCACACCACTGTACTCCAGCCTGGGTGACAGAGCAAAAGCCTGTCTCTAAAATAAATAAATAAAATTTTAAGTTCTCAATCCATACCTCATGTCTATCTTGCTGGTTATGCTAATTTTGAACTTAAGTGACACTGTGGGGTCAAACTAAGAGGAAAAGAATGTCAATGAATGGGACCACACCAGAAAAGTGGTTTTAAAAATAACAGCATCCTCATATATGTATATCCATTCCAGGCTCCTAATTCTAGTCAACGTGGAAAAGGAGGAAAGTTTTAAAGGTAGTACATGCTAGTCCCATGCACCACTGTTAAAAGCAGTATATTCCAACATTAGCTTTATGCTATATTGAAACCAATACCACCGAAGAAAATAATATAGTTCTATAACCTAAGGAGGAAAACTGTATCACTAGAATGTTTTGCAACTTCCACTGAATTTCCAACAAAAATATAAAATACTTACTTTTTCATTTTTTTTGAATTGTATTTGACTTGGTAAGCTGCTTGGATTAGCTTGTCTGGGACACCATCAAACTGATGTGGAATGACCTTTTGAAAGTGCTAAGATACAATTAAAAAAAAAACATAAGAATGACTTAGTGCTGTTAATAGTGAAATCCAAAGACATTCAAGAAATTATGGGCTGGGCGTGGTGGCTCATGCTTGTAATCTCAGCATTTTGGGAGGCCAAGGCAGGCGGATCACTTCAGGTCAGGAGTTCAAGACCAGCCTGGCCAACATGATGAAACCCTGTTTCTACTAAAAATACAAAACTTAGCCAGGTGTAGTGGTGCATGCTTGTAATTCCAGCTACACAGAAGGCTGAAGCGGTAGGAGGATCACTTGAACCTGGGAGGCAGAGGTTGCAGTGAGCCAAGATCACGCCACTGCACTCCAGCCTGGGCAACAGAACTAAACTCTGTCTCAAAAAAAAAAAAAGAAAATAAATTATGAACTTACCTGTAACATCCCTTCCATGTCAAGTTGCATCAGTTCTGCCTGATTCATCTGAAGAAGTGCTAATCCTACACGAAACACTATTTCTAAACCCTGAGGAAACAAATTAAATAAATCCAAATTTATGTTACTCTTCCATCAACAAAAACGAGTCATTTGAAATAATACTAAGGTAAACATTTAGGGATCTAAACTAGGGGCTGGCAAACATTTTCTGTCAAGAGTCAGAAAGCAAGTATTTTAGGTTTGGTGGGCTATATTGTCTGTCAAAATTACTCAGTTCTGCCACTACAACCCTAAAGCAGACATACACGACATATAAATAAATGGGCAGGGTTGTGTTCTAGGAAAACTTTATAAAAAACAGGTGTGGAAGAATGGATTTCGCACAAAAATCTGTCCATCTGATTGGTACATGAATCACAGCTGACCAACTGTGATCTGAACTAATTTAGATAGGTAATACAAATTGATTTTCCCAAGATGTAATTAATAACAACATTGAGTTCACAGACTAGAAAACAAAGGATTACCTCTATGTGCTACTGACAAAAGGACAACAACCTGCAATGTGTTCATAGAAGAAACATGCTTATTACTTCTTACTCTTTGGATGACAGATGCATTTCAACAATATTAACTGTAAGACAAATTTTACCTCTCACTAACTTTCACTGTATGAGTTAGGAGGTGATAAAGAGGTATGATTAACAGTGTAGGCTCCAAACTGCCTATGTTTGAATCCTGGTTACAACACCACTTATGTATTGTGTGTCCATAGACAAGCTACTTAACCTTTCTCTAAGTCTCAACTTCCTCATCTATCATCTAACAAATGCAATAAAAACAGTATCTACCTGATAGGGTTATTATAAGGTTTAAATGAGATTATCCATGTAAGCAGTTTTGCATGGGACACATGGCTTTCCTTCATTGCTCTCCTCATTGCCCTGCTCTCACTAACTCAGTGACCCCTTTGCTCAGCTCCTGCTCTTTGTCTGCCCATTAGCTTACCTCAGACATAAAGATATCAAATATCCTTGTTGCAATTGGTAGTGGAAAAGTTGTAAGAAAGATAGTCAGAAACCAGGATGATGCATACATTGAGGTATGAAAACTCTGAGATTGAAAATGTACAAAGAGCTCTGGAAGATGCTCCTAAAGAGAAGAAAATAATTAGTTATAACACAGTAAAACTGAGTATTTTAAATTAGATTATATTTATACTAGATTAGCCTATACCAAACACAGATTAGATCAAGCATCATATGGAAAAGGTAAGACATAGACATTGAAACATCTGGGACAGTGGCTAGTATCTAGGAAAGAAAGAAGGGGGAAAGAATGTGAAGTTGGAATTTTGAGTATAACATTTAATTTATTAATAAAAAGAAACTGAATAAAAGTTTTATATTTGTTTAATCCTGTTGGTGGATACAAGAGTGACTGACATTTTCTATACTCTTCTATCAACTATAATATTTTAAAAAGACGTTTAAAAAGAAAATAAATGGTATGTTAAAATACTTTCAGGCACTATCTACCACTGATCACCCATTCTTACCTTCCTAAAGAATAGGAAAAATATTCAAAATACAGATGTTTCAGCAACTCTAGTAATTCAAAACATAAATGAGACTTTTTTTTTTTTTTGAGATGGGGTCTCACTCTGTCACCCAGGCTAGGGTACAGTGGTGTGATCTTGGCTCACTGCAACCTCTGCCTCCCAAGCTCAAGCAATCCTCCCATCTCAGCCTCCCAGGCAGCTGGTACTACAGGTGCACACCACCATGCCCAGCCAATTTTTTTTATTTTTAGTAGAGGCAAGGTTTTGCCATGTTGCCCAGGCTGGTCTCAAACTCCTGGGCTCAAGTGACCTGTCCACCTCAGCCTCCTAAAGTGCTGGGATTACAAACATGGGCCACTGCGTCCAGCCATAAATGACACATTAATTGAAAATATAACATTAAGAGAGTTTAAGGCTGCTAAAAACAAGCTTACTATTTCAGAAAAGAATTAATTAAGAATCATCTCAAGTCCAGGCACAGTGGCTCATGCCTGTAATCCCAGCACTTTGGGAGGCTGAGATAGGAAGATCACTTGAGCTCAGGAGTTCAACACCAACCTGGACAACAGAGTGAAACCCTGTCTCTACAAAAATTAAAAAATAAAAAATCAAAATAGATAAAAAACTATTCAGGTGCAGTGGTATACACCTGTAGTTTCAGCTATCCAGGAGGCTGAGGGAGGAGGATGGCTTGAACCCAGGAGGTCAAGGCGGCAGTGAACTGTGATTGTGTCATTGTACTTCAGCCTGGACAACAGAGCTAGATAGACTCTGTCTCAGGAAAAAAAAAAAAATCATCTCAAAACCTATTCTGGCTTTTTCTTTAAAATATATAAAAACAAAAAATATGTACCCCATAATGTACAACTATTGTATGTCAATTAAAAAATTAGCCAGGCACAGCGGTGGCTCACGCCTGTGATCCCAGCACTTTGGAAGGCCAAGGCGGGCGGTTCATGAGGTCAGGAGATCGAGACCATCCTGGCTAACATGGTGAAACCCCATCTCTACTAAAAAAATACAAAAAATTAGCTGGGCGTGGTGGCAGGCACCTGTAGTCCCAGCTACTTGGGAGACTGAGGCAGGAGAATGGCATGAACCCAGGAGGCGGAGCTTGCAGTGAGCCGACACCACGCCACTGCACTCCAGCCTGGGCCACAGAGCGAGACTCCATCTCAAAAATAAATAAATGAATAAATAAAAAATAAAATATAAGAACATTTTACATATCCCCTTGCTCCCACCACAGATGGGAAAAACTGGAGTTTATAAGGCTGCCAGGAGAGAGGAAACTAATAAAAATGGCTCTCATGCCAGCTGATTCATTCACCTATTTTCTTAAATTCTGCTCATTTAATTGAAATTGAAATTGAAATAAATGAAAATATTTACATTATAGCAAACTTAAATATATAAAATATAAAAATTAAATCCAGAAAGGTAAAATACTTCAAAGGTATTTTTCCCTTGATTTTGATTCTGCTCCTATTCTCTCCACCTTCATACAGTCACTAGATAACTTGAGTCTTAAACTAGCAACATAAGAAAACATTACAGGAAAAAAAATTACGGGCTAGCAAAAAATAAAAATAAAATAAAAGTAAAAAGGCAGAGGAGAGGACTCAAAGAGACAGTCTCCAAGTAAATGGACTGATGTCAGTGTAATATCATAAAGCTCCTGTAAGAGAGCTTAGACTACGTAACAATAATAGGATATAATAAGGAAATTCATGTGCTTAGGTAAGGGGTGTATAGTACATTTGGCAGAAATGCTTAAGGATTGAATATGAAAACTGGAGTCAAGTCCTAGACTGTGATCTACCTAATTTGAAGGGTCAAATTGTACATTAACCAACCAAAAAACAATCATGTAATTAAAACACTTACTTCTTCAAGTGCTTTAATGCTTTTAACATTAAATTTGCTTAGTTGGCACTCAGAACAAGATATAAAAAATATAAAGGCAATATGCCTTTTTATCAACACTGCACTTTTACCTGTATCATACATTCAAACTGGTACATACAAAGGCCCAATTCTGCCATACTTGGTTTAAAAAGTTCACGAAGTCTATAATCTTGCATTAATTTAACAAATACACAGAAAGCTTCTTCTTCTGGCATCTACATTGGAAGAAAAAAAAACAACATAGGTTAATGTTCTCTGATACACAAATAAACCAATGATATTTAAACTAAGTACACAGCCAACCACAAACATTGTTTGAGTGGCTGTGTGCTGCAATGTTAAGAGCAATGAGGTAAGAATCAGAAAGTTCTAGTCTCCCATTCTATCACCAAGAATGAGAAGTTAAACAAATCTTACAACCTCTGAAACCAACTGCCTCAACTTGCCTCATTCATTAATTCAACCCAAAATACTGATTTACAGCCAGATACTTTTCTCTCTCTGGGTATACACCAGTGAACAAAATAAACACAATCTCTATTCTCAAGGAACCTGAATTTCTAATGGAGGGAGACAGACAAGACATGGAATAAATCAACTAATATATATGTCAGATGGTGATGGATGCTACAGAAATAAAATAAAGTAGGGAATGCTGGGGAGACACACGGCTATTGATATAGATCAGGAAAGGTCCCCTGATACGGTAACAGTTAAGCAGAATCCTGAAGAAAGCAAGGGAGCATTTGAGGAAAGAACAGTTCCAGAAGACCAAAGAGTACAAAGGTCCTAAAATGGAATCACACTTGGCATGCTCAAGAAACAGCAAATAGAGAACTACTAAATTAGAATACTATGAGTGAAGGTTACATCATGGAGGAGAAATAACAGGGAACCAAAATGCAGAGGACTGTAGAGGCCACTGTAAGGATTTCGACTTTTACCTTAAGTGAGAGAGAGGGATTTTTGAGGATTCTGAGCAAAAAATCATATGACATGGTACAAGTATTAAAAGGACATATAAATTAAGTTTTCACATTATCTGAAATTGGGGTTTAAAGGTACCAATTTCACATTTTATGTGTAAATCACTAGGAAATCATATCAAATAAGATAATGAATGTGAAAGCTCTGTAAAGAGCTACAAAGATATTCAGAATACTTAGGCAAATAACTATCCAAATTGTTAAACCATCTTTCTCAAAATAATAAAATTTGCTAATTCTCATTCATTCCCGTTATACCAGTGTGTTTCAAAAGAGAACATCCCAAAGGATCTCCAGGCCTTCTTCTTACTGAAGACTGCTGCTAATAACAAGACATTTTTCCTGGCCTTGACACAGCCACGGACAGGGGGCCAAGAGTCACTCTTGGCAAAACCTGCACTTCTTCCTTCCTCTCAACACAGATGGCCACAATTCTACTTAGGAGACTATCTCTATTAATTCTATCAAGCCCCACAGCCCCACTGAATTATGTCAGTCACTACGAGAAGCCCCAAATCCCAGGACTCTCATCCTAAATGATTTTACTGTTCTCCTAATCTGACCCCATTTCCAATCTTTCCTAAATCTTTTCCACAGCATTTTCTGGAACCCATATCCTACCATCAACAGAATAGTCTACCTATATCCTCAATCTCTTTTCCAAATGTTCCTCTCTTTCTTTAGCTGAAATCTGTATCTCCCCTAAGAATATTTCAACACTGAAACCTGGCTCTCTCCTAAGGTAGTTGTTTTCTCTTTTCTCTCCCACAGCACTGGAAGGGGACAGAGATTACTGAGGTATATGTCCTCAGGCGATTTAATCATTGTGCGAACATCATAGAGTGCACCTACACAAACCTATACCATATAGCTTACTATACACCTAGGCTATATGCTATATAGCCTATTGCTCCTAGGCTACAAACCTGTATAGTATGTTACTGTACTGAATACTGTAGGCCAACTGTAACATGATGGCACATGTTTGTGTATCTAAACATAGAAAAAGCAAAGTAAAAATAGGGTATTATAATCTTATGGGCGCACCATCACACATGCAGTCCACCGTTGACCAAAATGTCATTATGCAGTATGTAATTATAATTTCCCTTTTTGTCTTACAACAATTTCTTCTCTTCTGAACATATCAAAACAAGTTTCATTCCCTCTCCTCTTTGCAATAGCATTGATATGGGAACTAGAGGAGAATTTTTTTTAATGGCAACATTTTAAAAAATAAGTTGAGGTAATTTGACAAAAGAGGAAAAGGAGACAGAAAAAGTATCACTAGGTCCTTCTCAAAAAAATTGAAACCATGGTGACAAAATGAAAAAATGTGACACGGAGTGGCATACACCAAGTTGTTTTATAGTCATTCCTTTCCATTAGAAAGAAATCAAGACACTTGAGTCCTAGAGCAATGTGCTGCTACATAACTTTCTCTGTGACTCTGAGCTGATAAGAATCCATGTCTTTTGCAAAGGTCTAATGCAGACAATATACCTAATATTATAGGAGTGAGATATATACAAAACATACATACTTCTAACCATTTTGATAAAGTATGTACTAATTTTGCAAATTTTATCAGACTCTCTGAGTTACATTTCTAAACTGAAGTTATGGGAGAATATAGCATAAGGTGTCGGCATAAACTTTAGAAACAAAAAGAGGAGCTTTTCTACCTTATGGCCCTGGGCCATAAGTGACTACTGTTCTTGTGTTAATATACTGCTGCCACTGACAACAGCTAAGTAGATCAATCACCAAAATATTATTTATTACTCCAATGGTGGTAATAATACTTATTGAAGTTAATATCTCTACCACCACTGCTTGCCCTGTCTTGAAGGAAACTGTGATTCCTAGAGGATTCACAGGATCCACAGGATTCCTAGAGAGCTAGGTCAGCTGTTGAGAGATTCAGACCTCAAGCAGAGAAAAACTGCTCTTTAGATGCCCAAGAGAAATGACTACTAAAAGGTTATTGTGGAGCTAACAGGAAAATAAAAGGAATAGAACAGCAGCAAAAATCACTAGACTGATAATAAGGATGTCTGAGTTCAATAATGAAGGATCTACCAATACTAAATAAAGTAGGAAAATCATAATTTCAATTAGCAATAATTGCGCCTCGGATAAACCTCACTGGCTACGATACTGCCACTGCGCAAAGCTGGAAAATCATAATTTTGTTAAACAACTATACCTTAACATTAACAAATCTAGTTTTGCATTGTATTATTTATAACCTAATTCCACTTAGAAATCAATAACCACTGGGAGCACTTCTTATGTGTTCTTATATATGCTGTAACACAAAGTAAAAATTATTTTTATTATAAATCAGTGTCTCTGACATCAGGTCTCTTCTACTTAGAAAAGTGTATACTCCTGACAGCAACAAGAGCTTTAAAACTCAAAGCAGTTGGGAAGCTGAAGCAAAGCATCAGGAAACGGTTTCTGATTCCTACTTTGCTTTTATCTACCAGGATGTGTGATCTTGGGTAAGCCACTGAACTTTCACTGCCTATCTCCTATGAGCCAAACACCATGCTAGGCTTCTACATACATTACCTCAAATAACCCTCACAACTAATCTGAAAGTAGATAGTATTATCTTACTAAGGCTCAGAGAGAGGTTAAATAATCTAGCCTAAATTCATACAGCATGTGCAGAACTGAGTTGCAAAACCACCCTATATGACTCAAACCAAGTATCTCCATGATTCCTTTTCAGGACTAAAATCTGAGACTAAATAAAGAGTAAGATGGACTTAACATTTCAACAAAGCTGAAGAGATAATACTATATGCCATTTCCCTTCAAAGCTATGATTATCCTACCCCCGAATTCTGAAAACATTCCACCCAAACCCACTGCACACTCAATAACAAAGTTATATCCCTAGGGGGTAAAAGTGGCTGAGTACCACTATTTTAGGGCATGCAGTGAGGTATGCATAACAAGCTTTTAGCTCCATGATAAATTAAATTCTCTATAAATCTCTAAAGATGTTGTACAATATAAATAAGATTTTCTTACCAACACTTTAATTATTTCCTCCTTGGTTAGAAAAAGATTACTCTTCATTAAATGTTAACAAATAAGATTTTAAACTACTGTAGATTCAAGCTTTAGTAGAATATTACAGTAAAAATGTATCTATCATGAAGTTGAAATTTCATTTGGTGGTAAGATATTACTATGTTATTTTAACATGTTTAATCTTTTAAAATGCAAACTAAATATTTGTATTCAAATTATGCCTAGGAAAAAATACCCATATCCACTTACATTTAATAAAACAAAGATGCTTTTTAAACTCTCCAATCCAACTTAATAAAAAATTTCATTGGACATTTAATACTTATATTAACTTACCTGCATAAGCAACAATCCAACTATAAAAGCACTTCCTTGACAGTAACCAACCTCACGATCTACTAAAGAGTAAGCCTAAAAAGTAAAAAAAAGTTGTTCAAAATACATGGTAAGTTATACCTTCCTTCTCCAAAAAACCTAAAATTGGCAAGACAGACAGATTAAAAAACATTTATTTTTGAGAAAAGCTCTTGCTTGCTTGTTATAGATGTTATCCTATACATATTTAAAAAGCAAATGTTTTATTACATGAAATTTTATTTTGACAATTTCCCAATCCAAACTTGCTAGCTCTAAAGACATAAAATAAAATAAAATAAAATAAAATAAAATAAAATAAAATAAAGGAATTTGTAACAGGGCTTAAAAATCAAGTAAAATTGAGCTGGGCACAGTGGCTCATGCCTATAATCCCAGCACTTTGGGAGGCAGAGGCAGGCGGATCACCTGAGGCCAGGAGTTCGAGATCAGCCTGGCCAACATAGTGAAACCCTGTCTCTACTAAAAATACAAAAATTAGCTGGGCGTAGTGGCGGGCGCATGTAATCCCAGCTACTAGGGAGGCTGAGGCAGGAGAATTGCTTGAACCTGGGAGGTGGAGGTTGCAGTGAGCTGAGATCACACCGCTGCACTCCAGCCTGGGCAAAAAGAGTGCAACTCCATCTCAAAAAAAAAAAAAAAAATTCAAGTAAAATTTATATTGATGTATATAAAACTAGACTAGGTTTAAGGCAAAGGATTGGCGAAATTGAAATGATTTAACAAGAAGTCAGTATTTCAAA
Source organism: Homo sapiens (assembly GCF_000001405.40). Taxonomy (NCBI): domain Eukaryota; kingdom Metazoa; phylum Chordata; class Mammalia; order Primates; family Hominidae; genus Homo; species Homo sapiens. The sequence continues at coordinate 92,702,923 of NC_000001.11, forward strand.
GAAGTAGCTAAAAGAAAAAGTAACTGTGGGAAGGGAAATGGCAATATTGAAGAAAAAATGACAATGGTACACCTTTCAAGGGCTAAGTGCTCTTAACAGTGCTGGCCATAGAAAGCAGAAAAATTTGCTCACTGTAGGAACACAGATATGATAGGAGAAACCCACATCCCAGGTTTTGAACTTCACAGATGGTGAATTATTCCTTTTCATGAGGATCCCTCTATGATATGTGACTTTTAAGCTATTCCATTTCCATCAACTAATGCTAAATAACGTAGTAAATGTTCTAACAAGTTCTCTATACTAGATAGTAATGTAGCATAAGAATTAAGGCAAAAATGATGCTAAAACCAATTTCACTGCCAAAGCAACTGATTATTGTGGTGGGAGGTCATGCTTCATCATGAAAAATGTATAATTTCAACCTTCCAGGAATTCATTTCATTTCAAAAAATGAATAAATAAAACTTACCTTCATTACATTAAATAAAACCTCCTGTCCAAGGCTATCTTTTTCCTTAAAAAAGTTGTGTTCAGGGTAAGTTCTAGCAATGTCCCTTCGGATCAATTTTTCACAAGGCGAGGTCATTTTCAGGAGTTCTGAATACTGATCCTTAATTGGCATACTTTGTGCACTGCATAAAAGTTGCCAAACTATTGCTCTAAAGTGATGGGGTATCCCTTTATGAACAAGTTCCTAAAAATAAAATAAAATTACAAAAATGAATTATTTAAGTGTCCTATCTTGCAAGCCAAGGAAGACTTATTAGGGGGTTGGAATGAAGTAGAAGACATCATTAAATTTGTAACTCACAAAGCTAGCTTTATAATAAGACTAGGGAACCCTGTAAGTCAAGGGTAAGATTGGGCCCTGGGTGTATCCTCTTCTGGTCAGGGGATTAATAATGATCATTTCACCTCAGTGTGTGACCTCTTAAGGTAATGGACTTGAAACCTGCAGAGCTGTGAATGATGGTACAGTACCCAACATTCAAAGGGCTGTTGAAGGCAAAAAAAAAAAAAAAAAGGAAAATACTGTTATTCAAGAATGCAGGATATCACAACTTCATTTCTGAATCAATAAAATGAGAGAATTTAATTTCTAAAACAATTTTCGGGCCGGGTGTAGTAGCTCACAACACTTGGAGAGGCGGAGGTAGGAAGACTGCTTGAGGCCAGGAGTTTGAGACCAGCCTGGGCAACAAAGCAAGACCCTATCTCTACAAAAAGGAAAATAAAAAATTAGCGAGGTGTGGTGACACACACCTGTAATCATAGCTACTCAGGAGCCTGAGGCAGGAGAACAGCTTAAGCCCAGAAATTCGAGGTTATAGTGAGCTATGACTGCATCACTGCACTCCAGCCTGAGCAACAAAGTGAGTCTTTATAAAATAATAATAAGTAAATAAAATAATTTTCAGTTATATATTTCTATATGATCAGGACCTCTGTAACAACTGATGTCTACAAATTAAAACTTTTAGGGGTACAAGTAAGTGAAAACAAATAAAGCAGACCTCTTTAATATATAGCTTGGAAGTTGTATTTGGGGTTTTTTTCCCAATCCTCTATTAAGTTATGTCTGACGCACTATGGAATAAGAATAAGAACTTCAACAAAGAACATGAATACCTTAACTTGCTTTTCCTTCTTTTTGCGTACATCTTCCCATTCATTAACAATTCTTCCCCAAAGAATCCAAGAATCTTCTTCAAGGTGACTGAGGTTGCTAGAGGCTGATGAACTCGACACAAGAGAAGAGCCACTGTTTCTTCTTGACCCATTTACAGATCTTAAAGACTTACTATCCGTTTCTAACAATCTAAAATATAATTAAAAACTGTTCAAGATCTAATCGGACAGTGATATTAGAAGAGGCATTGATGATACTTAGAGCTTTATTACTGCAATTTAACCATTGTTTTAAAATATAGTTTTAATAATATACATAATTTAAATAAATTTTGGTCACATCAATAAAATTACTGCTATATTTTTTTCACCTATTATAGCAGTTTGAAAATTTGAAAAAGCAAATTACGTTAAAAATTTTTGAGCTACTAGCCCCATTATAATTTCCCTTCGTCTCCATTAAAAATTCAAATTAGGGGAAATCTGATGAGAAAAGTATTTGGGTAGGCTTCAGGAAAAAAGAACTTATACTTGGAAGAGGTACAACAAATCTATGAAATAACCAATCCTAAAACGTTTACAATGTGTCTAAGGCTTAAAAGTAAGGCAGAGCCCCCAAAATTAACCAAATCACTTCTCTTTTTTCATTTTGCTTCACACATGCATAACCAATCTGCCCAAACAAAAAGTATTTATTTGGCCTATGCAGTGTTTGTGTAAAAACTGAGCTATTACTAATATACTAAAATTGGAGGATTTCACATATTTGCTTATATGCATTTATACTTTATTTATAATTCTAGATTCTCTTGAAAAATAAAAAGATAAGGCAAAACCGGTCCATATTCCTGCACAGTAAGAACAGGATATAGCTGCGTGGGAGCTTCTTCCTTCAAATGCAGAAGGACTTTAATCTGCTCACTTTCCATAATCCCTACAGTCTCCCCTAAAACTCAGGCCAGCTAACAGCTGCTATTTATTACTAGGTTTACACTGTTAAACTGGGACCTCCTCACTCATAAGGTCCCTGTTGAATTTTGAGCTTGCAACCCTGTGTTAGGCCTCCTCCTTATCTGTTGAAAGAAGGGTTAAGATAATTTCCAAGATCCAATCCATGACTAATCACTACATTAAGTCTTTTATTTATAAAAGGAAGGTGGAAAACGTAGCTCTATCACTATTTTATATAGCTACTACTCACTTCCAGTAATTCTTCAGGAAAAGTCATCTGCTTAGGCTACAACAAAAGCTCACAATACTAATTCATAAAATACAAAAGCTGAGAAAGAAAATAAACATATAGAGGTCAAATCCTATTTAACAGATTATACAACCACCCTTTGAGAGCCAGATTTATATGCTACTCATCTTTATATCCCTTAGAACATTTAGCTCAATGCAAAGTATATTATCAAAATGAAATAAAATCATAAGTCCAAATTTTAAAATTCCAAATTCCAGGTATGTCATTTTCAATAATACAACAGTATAAACTGAACAAACAAATTCTATCCTTACTGAAGGAAAATTTAATATATTTTCATGGCAACAATAATTAAAATAAAATTTCCCAAATATTGCTAAAAACATAAAAACATACCAAACAGCCAAAGTGAGCATCAACTAATTATTATAAATAATTTTACTTGAAAAAAATTATTTCAGAACAAGGTCTCTGAGGAAAATAAAAAGATAAAAAAAGAATTAATGATGATGTTTTACTTTAAATACTGTTTTAAAATACATATTATTTCAGTAAGTCCGTAATATATCTTATGGAAAAATTAGTTTACATAGGTAATTTTCCACATGATTCTAAACCCTAAGAATTGTAAATGCAATAAAGAAACAAATTTTACTGAAATAACCTGAATCCTAGTTATTTGCCATACTTATTTACTGACTGCTTGCTACATCTCAATTAAATTGCATCACTATCAACAGAGATATGCAGTTCAAAGAAAATAATGGTTTTCCTAAGTTAAACCTAAGTTCGAGGTGTAATCCAAGTATAGATGAAGAAGCACCTAAACAGAAGGCTTTTAGAGAGTCAAAAAGTCTTGGATTGCTGAGTTATTAATACAACTTCTAGGATAGGCACAAATATCAAGTGAATTCGTGGCATTCGTGGGTTAGAGAAGATTAAGCAGTTAACCTTCCGAGAACATTGAAATAGCACATCCAATTATACAAAGCTGTGAGGAACGTTTACAAATAAAATATCTCAAGACATTACACTATTTAAAGATACTGTCCCTGCTTTATCTTATAAAATGGTTTAAAATAGATAAGCCTAAATATAACAAAACTATAAAACTCCTAAAAACAAAATACAGGAAAACCATGGCCGGGCGTGGTGGCTCATGCCTGTAATCCCAGCACTTTGGGAGGCCGAGGCGGGCGGATGACCTGAGGTTGGGAGTTCGAGACCAGCCTGACCAACATGGAGAAACCCTGTCTACTAAAAATATAAAATTAGCCGGGCATGGTGGCACATGCCTGTAATCTCAGCTACTAGGGAGGCTGAGGCAGGAGAATTGCTTGAACCTGGGAGGCGGAGGTTGCGGTGAGCCGAGATCGTGCCATTGCACTCCAGCCTGGGCAACAAGAGCGAAACTCTGTCTCAAAAAAAAAAAAAAAAAAAAACACAAGAAAACCTCTTCACAGCCTTTGGGGTAGGCAAAAATTTGTTTGCAGGACATAAGGAAACAGTAACTACAAAAGAAAAAATTGATTTAAAAACTGGACTTCACCGAAATTAAAGAGCTGTGCTCCTCAAAAGATACTATTTTAAAAATGAAAAGGCAAGCCAGACCAGAGAGTAAGAAGAAAAAAAAAAGTCTAAACACAGGTATCTGACAAAAGATAGTATACAGAATATATGAACCACTCTTAAAGTCAATAACTAAGAAACCAAACACCACACTTTAAAAAATGAGTAAGAGACGTAAACTGATACTTTCTAAACAAGATAATCAAATGGTCAATAAGTACTTGAAAAATGTTAGCATCTTTAGTCATCAATGGAAATGCAAGTTAAAACCAAACTATATACATATTAGAATGGCTACAATTCTAAAGACTGACCATACCAAATGTTGGCCAGGATGGAAGCAATTCTATCAATATTAAAAGTACAAAATAGTATAACACATTTGAGAACTGTTTGATAATTCCTCATACAGTTGAAATACATATCCATATGGTCCAGCAGTAAAATGAAAACATATGTACAAAGAAGACATAGTTGAAAGTTCATAGCAGCTTTATTCACAATAGCCCCAAACCAGAAACAATCCAAATGTTCAGAAAAATAAGTGATCAAATTGTGGTACATTCATTCAGTGTGATACTACTCAGCAATAAAAAGAAATAAACTGCTGACATGTGCATCAACATGGATGAATCTGATAGATGTTAGAACGAAAGAAGCCAGGTGCAAAAGAGTACATACGATATGATTCCATCTATATAAAGTTCAAGAACAAGCATAATATAGAAGAAAATACAGGAATAAATCTTCATGACTTTGAGTTAGGTAAAGCCTTAATTATGACCAAAACTACAAGTGACAAAAGAAAAAACAGATACACTGGAATTCATCAAAATTAAAAACATTTTGTACTTTATTGGCTACCACCAAGAAAGTGGAAAGACAATCTACAGAATGGGAGAAAATACTTGCGAATCATAAGGGACTTGTATCTAGAATATAGAAAGAACCCTTACAAATCAACAATAACGTGATTTAAAAATGGACAAAAGATCTGAATAAACATTTTTCCAAAGAAAACGGCCAATAAATACATAAGAAGATGTTCAACATCACTAGTCATAGGGAAAAAGCAAATTGAAAACACAATGAGATATTTTACAACCATTAAGATAGTTACAATCGAGATGACAAATAACAAACAGTTAAGTGTTTGTGAGAATATGGAGACAATGGAACTCTCATACACTACTTGTGGGAATGTAAAATGGTACAAGCACTTCAGCCTGGCAGTTCCTCAAATGATAAGCACAAAATTACCATGACTCAGCAATTCCACTCTTAGGTATATATCCAAAAGAAATGAAAATTTATATCCATCAAAAACTTATATACAAGCATTCACAGAAACATTATTCATGATATCAAAAAAAAGAAAAATCCAAGTGTCCATCAACTGATGAATGGATTAAAAAAACATGGTATACCCAAACAATGGAATACCAGCCACGAGAAGGAATTATATTCTGATACACACTATGACATCCATGAACCTTGAAAACATGATGTTAAGTTAATGAAGCCAGTCACAAAAGGGCACATATTCCATGAATACATTTATATGAAATATCTAGAAGAAAGAAAATAGATCAGCAGCTGCTGAGGGTTGTAGTAGGAGTGAAGGTAGTCAGGAAAACATAGACTGCTAATGTGTGTGCAGTTTCTTTTTGGAGTGATGAAAAAAATTCTAAAATTGATTGTGTTGACAATTGCACAATTCTGTGAGTAGACAAAACACAACTGAACTGTAAACTTTAAGTGGGGGAATTAAATATATGGTATATGAATATCTGAATAAAGCCATTATACAAAAAAGAACAGGTAGAAGAGAAGTTTTGACAGAGGGTGGGGTTGCTAGAAAGGACACAAAGGAATTTTCTGAGATGATGGACATTTTCTAATATGATAGAAACTTTCTAAGTCTTAATAGGTATGTGGGTTATACATAGGTATATACATTCTTTGAAATTCAAACTTTACACTTAAGAACTACACATTTCTCTGCATATTATTCATCAATTTTTATCACTTCATCAATATTTGTAAAAAATATTATCTACTTAATGGCACTAGGGATAGTAAAAATTCGGTGAGAAATGACTGCATTTTATTATTGTAAGCCCTTCTGAACTTTTTAAAACCGTAACTATTACTTTTTGTAAAAGATTATTTTGGGCATATTTTATAAATAAAGGAAGATATAAACATGACTTCATATTTGCCTTTTCAAATTTCCTGGTCATTCCAGCAAATTTTAAAATTCTCTAAAGAAAAACTTTAGAATTTTTATAATGAAGAAGTCTTTCTCTGTGAGAGAGTCGGAACATTTTGCAGAAGTAGTAACACTTGAATTGATACCATGAAGTCTCTCCCCAGTGAACTATAGCATGTATTTTCCTATAGCATGTAGAAAAATAATTTACGTGTTCAAGAATATGTAAACTTTATAGACTATGTAGTTAGAATCAAGCATTTTTATTCCTTATTGCTAAACGTGATGAGGAACAACTCAAGAAGGCTTTTAAACAGGTTTCCACCTAGTTTCAGTATAATTAAGGTAGTCTGGCATGGTGGGGGAGGGGCGCACTGCCTGAAAGTCAACAATTTACAAAGCCTTGAGCTTGGCAGCTGGGAAAATGGTAATACAGCATTACTCATAGGTCTGTGGGCTAGTGAGAAGTATATCTAAAACTTTTTCACATATTTTCCTCCTCCCAGATCACATGGGTGCACTGCCTTACATGGATTTATTGCAAAGCAAAAAAAAAAAAAAGGGAGGCCGAGGCAGGTGGATTGCTTGAGCCCAGGAATTTGAGACCAAACTGGGCAACATGGAGAAACCCCATCTCTACTAAAAATACAAAAAATTAGCCAGGTGTGGTAGTGCACACCTATAGTCTCAGCTACTGGGGGGCTTTGGTGGAAGAATCGCCTGAGCCCCGGAAGTTGAGACTGCAGTGTGCCATGATTGCACTGCACCACTGCACTCTAGCCAGGGTGACAGAGTGAGATCCTGTCTCGAAAAAAAAGCAGGGGGGATGGTGGGGGAATAATTCACCTCACTTCCCATCCCATCCCATCATAATCTCCTTCTAACACAAGAATTCTGACTATCACAGATTAAAGAAAAAGAATACTGTCCAAGCAGGAATATTGTACATTGTAATCTAAGGTGTCCCTATAGGTTTGTGTAGCCTCCTGGCCATTTCTAATATTCCACTTTTATACAGTAAATAATTCACAGGCCTAAATTCATTCATTCTCCCAGAATGACAGACTAGGACATAAGACATTGTTTTTCTATCAACAAGGGAACACACAATCCTGTCTCCTAACTGGGTCACTACAGGTTTCTCTTAGAGTAGCTCCTGATCCAAGGGCAGCCACTGAAACTGGCTACAGCCACACAATAGTGAGATTGGGGTTGGGGGGGGGGTGCCAATATACCAACTGGACTCCAAACAGTATTAAAGATCGAGAGTCTAGGAGTGGTTGCTTCTGGAAGTTTGGTAGACTTTGTAGGGAGAAAGCATTTCCAGTTCCCTAATGGGTGGGACTGGGGAATAAGTTGAGAACAAGAAAATATTCCAGCATGGAGAACAGCCTCGGTCTTATCTTAGACAGATGACCTTCACCGTATCTTTGCTTCTGAGAATCAAAACTTCTTATCGAGATGCCACCTATGTAAGGAAAATGACAGAGTACAGACTTCACGATGGCCATATAAGAAAAAAGAATAGCTTGTGTATGGCAGCATGCAGATGATAAACAGCCCCCCAAAAAGGCTTATCTATAATACTATGATTTGAAAATACAAGGGAGGAAAGGGAAAAGAATGAGTTCTCTTTTGAGTATTTGGAGTTTGAAGTACTTGGGGGAAAATCCATGTAGACAATAAGCACAGCAGTTGAAAAGACAAATCTGAAGTTCATAAGCAAGGTGAACGCCACAAACAAAAATCTGGTAATTATCTGAAAACAGTTGATATTAAACTTCTTGAGTATCCTATTGTACTCAGCATAATGTTTTCCTATGGATACCAGAACTCAGAAAGCAGGATACAACAGCAACTGGTCAACATGCCAGTTGGTAATTTATAAACTGCTAAGATAATTTATAAGGAGCTAAGAAAGGATCTAAGGAAGAAAAACGCTGTATGATACAAACACCTGGGAAGCTAAATACACTGGCACTTACAAGTGCAGTAGTCCCAGCTACTTGGAAGGCTGAAGTAGAAGGACTGCTTGAGCCCAGGAGGTCAAGGCTTCAGTGAGCCATGATCACACGACTGCACTCTAGCCTACGTGACAGAGCAAGACCCTGTTTCAAAAAAAAGGCAGAGAGATTTATTACGGAGGAGGCAACTTTTCAAACACAAGGTTCAAACATCTCTTTGTAATGTAACACCAAAGAAACAAGATATGAATGTGCAGCAACTTGCCAGGTAAAAGAATGGAAAATGATTAACAAAAAACTTATTTTAGTCCATTTGAGCTTCTATAACAAAATATCTTGGACTGGGTAATTTTTAAACAACAGAAATTTATTGCTCACAGTTTGGAGGGTGGGAAGCCCAAGATCAAGGCACCAGCAAGTTTGGCATAAGATAAGGACCCATTCCTCACAGATGGAGGCCTTTACGGGCCCTCACATGGTGGAAGGGGCAAAGGACTCCCTCAAGCCTCTTATAACCACACTAATCCCATTTATGAGGATTACAGACTCCCAAAGGCCCAATATATTAATACCATCACCTTTGGGATTAGCTTTCAACGCATGAATTTTAGAGGGTAACAAAAAGACCATAGCAAAACTACATGCCTAACCCAGAGAGGAATCACATCCTTTCACATCAACAACACCAAGCACAAATTCATGTCTCAGAGCAATAGAAATACTGTAACAATGAGAGAATTCAGAGAAGACACAAGGAATTAGGACAGGAAACAACTCAGAGACAACACAGAAGAAAGATACCTAAATGACAGGGATTTCTCTAGTTCTGAAAAATAGAATTTTTTTTTTTCTGTGTTTAAGATCAGGGCTTGGAGAAGGTTTATAGGCTCCTCCCAAATATTATGATCAGAAACTAATAGTATGGAGATTATTTTATACAGACATTCCAGAAAAACAAGCCTAGCCGACTTCAGTCTTAAGATTTCTTAATTTCAAGAGACTATCTTAGGCTAAGCTAGTTGCCACAGAAAAGGTAATATAATAAATTGTTTAATTAATTATACCATCAAATTCTTTAGGAAATCAGAGAACTGATAAAAAAATTTAAAACAATCCTCAATGAAAATAATAAGAACAAAGACTTCAAATGAAGATCTACAGACCTTTCCTATGATTAAAAATACAAGAATTTTTAAATAGAGACTTGAAAATATCTATTTTGCTTGCAAGCTCTTCACTTCCTTGGTGTTGCTGGATGTTTTATGGAGAGTATCCTCAGGAAAACTGAGGTAATGCTATGGTGGTAAAATTATAAATATAAGATGGACATTAGGTCATCTAGATCAGCCTGTCCAAAAGAGATATAATGCAGTCCACTTATGCAAAGCTAAATGTTCTAATCACTACAATTAAAAGCTTTTTAAAAAAGATGAAAAATATATATATAAGATATATATATTAAGATATATCTTAAATAGAGATGGGGTCTTGAGAGGCTGGTCTCAAACTCCTGGGCTTAAGCAATCCTCCCACCTAGGCCTCCCAAAGTGCTACCATTAGAGGAGTGAGCCACCAGGCCCAGCCTGAAATTAATTTTAATAATTTATTTTATCAAATACAGTTGAAATGTCACTTCAACAGGTAAACAAAATTTTTTCAATTACCAAGATAGTCTCTTTTTCAAATCAAGTTTTAAAATCTAGTACATATTTTACTCTTACAGCATATCACAAGTCAAACCAGCCAGATTTTGGGTACTCAATTGCTACATATGGTTACTGGCTACCATACTACACAATACTAGTATTGTCTAGTATTGCCTTTTCTTTTTTCATTTTATGGTAGACAATATGGTCGACCATACTAGACCATACTAGATCTAGATTTTGGTAGGATATAAAGATACATAAATTAAGTTTTCAAAGATTCCTGTTGACTATATTTTTAAAAATCATAAAATACATTTGCTAGTTTAAAAAGAACCCTTTCTGGCCAGGCGCAGTGGCTCACACCTATAATCCCAGCACTTTGGGAGGCTGAAACGGGCCAATCGCTTGAGGTCAGGAGTTTGAGACCAGCCTGGCTAACATGGTGAAACCCCATCTCTACCAAAAACTACAAAAATTAGCCAGGCACAGTGGTGCATGCCTGTGATCCCAGCTACTTGGGAGGCTGGGGTCAGAGAATCACTTGAACCCAGGAGGCAGAGGTTGCAGTGAGCCGAGATTGCACCACTGCACTCCAGCCTGGCCGACAGAGTAAGACCCTGTCTCATAAATCAATAAACCACTTCTTTTTCTTCATTCTCATATCTCAGCCCCCAAAATATGCTAAAAAGCAAAATATGATTCCAAATAACAGAATATAAAAACGGAACAAATATGGCTGCAATGCCAAAGTTTTAAACCACGCAAATAATGGCTCACTCAAAATTTAAATTAGCAACATTCCCCTCCTTAATTAAAATGCAATCCTATTATACTTGAGACTTACCTCCATAAATTCATCTCTGCCAAAGCCTTTGTGATTTTAAAATGAAAAAAGAAAAGCACATTTAACACACAAGGGGGAAAAAAAACTATCCGATTTCAACTTTAAAGCTATCAATTATTAACTTTCATCAAATAGATCTTTGACATTACATTAAACCATTTCTTCACATCTTTCTGGGGTTGCTACATGCACTTATTTTTAAAAAGTAATAGCCGCAGTAAAACTATGAAAAGAAAAAAGTTTCTTCATAGAATTTGATATTTTCATGTTTCTTAAATTTTAATTTTCTAAAATGTTATTTTTATACTTTCTGAATCAAAGAGAGTGAACACAACCAGAGAATCATCTACATTTGGGGAAGGGAAGAATAAATCCTAAATAAAAGCATCTACTTTGTTATGCTACAAAGTGTAAGTTGTATCTCATAATTTTTACTTTAGATATATAACTTACATATCTATATTACAAACCACAGAAGTAGAGAGAATTCAAATTATTATCCTTGCAATTTTTCCCCAGACTTACTAGTTGGTGGGGCGATAGGACAGAACAGGAAGAAGAGCACTAAAGCTTAGTGTTTGTCATTTTACTTTACTTAATCTTATTTTTCAAAGAGAGGGTCTTGCTCTGTCTCTCAGGCTGGAGTATAGTAATGTGATCAGAGCTCACTGCAACCTTAAATTTCTGGGCTACAGCAATACTTCTGCCTCAGCCTCCTAGGTAGCTAGGACTACAGGAACATGCCATCACACCCAGCTAATTCTTTTATTTTCTGTACTGATGGGGTCTTGCAAATGTTGCCCAGGCTGGTCTTGAACTCTTGGCCTCATGCAATTCTCCCACCTCGGACTCCCAAAATCCTGGGATTACAGGCATGAACCACTGCACCTAACCTTTACTTTTAACTAAAGTCAGAGAGATGTTTTTCCACCAGGATTGTTCTCCCAAGGCAAAACAAGACTCATTCTCTACATATAAATCCTTCCCATGGATTCTGAGTTTTAATGATTTTTTTTTCTTTTTTTTTGAGATGGAGTCTCACTCTGTCACCCACGATGGAGTGCAGTGGCACGATCTCGGCTCACTGCAACCTCCGCCTCCCAGGTTCAAACAATTCTCCTGTCTCAGCCTTCCAAGTAGCTGGGACTACAGGTGCCTGCCACCATGTCCAGCTAATTTTTTTGTATTTTTAGTAGAGACAGGGTTTCACCATATTGGTCAGGGCTGGTATCGAACTCCTGACCTCAGGTGATCCACCCGCCTCGGCCTCCCAAAGTGCTGGGATTACAGGCATAAGCCACCGTGCCCTGACAGTTTCAATGATTTTTAAAAATACACACACGCGACTCAAAATTTGAACCCAAAAGTTCAAATTTTTTAGTACTTCCACACAAGAATAAAGAGTGACTTAAACTTCTGCTCCTTTTATTTCTTCAAGTTCTTGTCAAAATCTCTTTTCTGAACATCTTTCAACAACTCTAGTAAGGAGGCGTGTTCCAAGATGGCTGAATAGGAACAGCTCTGGTCTGCAGCTCCCAGCGTGATCGACGCAGAAGACGGGTGATTTCTGCATTTCCAACTGAGGTACCTGGTTCATCTCACTGAGACTGGTTGGACAGTGGGTGCAGCCCACAGAGGGCGAGCCAAAGCAGGGCGGGGCGTCACCTCACCCAGTAAGCACAAGGCTTCGGGGGATTTCCCTTTCCTAACCAAGGGAAGCAGTGACAGACTGTACCTGGAAAAACGGGACACTCCTGCTCAAATATTGTGCTTTTCCAACAGTCTTAGCAAATGGTACACCAGGAGATTATATCTCGCGCCTGGCTCGGTGGGTCCCACACCCACAGAGCTTTGCTCACTGCTAGCTCAGCAGTCTGATATCGACCTGCGAGGCAGCAGCCTGGCAGGTGGAGGGACATCCACCATTGCTGAGGCTTGAGTAGGTAAACAAAGCGGCCGGGAAGCTCAAACTTGTCGGAGCCCACCAAAGTGCTGCAAGGCTTGCTATCTCTATAAACTCCACCTCTGGGGGGCAAGGTGTAGCTGAACAAAAGGCAGCAGAAACTTCCACAGACTTAAATATTCCTGTCTGACAGCTCTGAAGAGAGCAGTAGTTCTCCCATCATGGTGTTTGAGCTCTAAGAACAGACAGACTGCCTCCTCAAGTGGGTTCCTGACCCCCATGTAGCCTAACTGGGAGACACCTCCCAGTAGGGGCCGACTGACACCTCATACAGGCAGGTGCCCCTCTGGGACAGAGCTTCCAGAGGAAAGATCAGGCAGCAATATTTGCTGTTCTGCAGCCTCTGCTGGTGATACCCAGGCAAACAGGGTCTGGAGTGGACCTCTGGCAAATTCCAACAGACCTGAAACTGAGGGTTCTGACTGTTAGAAGGAAAACTAACAAACAGAAAGGAATAGCATCAACATCAACAAAAAGGACATCCACACCAAAATCCCATGTGTAGGTCACCAACATCAAAGACCAAAGGTAGATAAAACCACAAAGATGAGGAGAAACCAGAGCAGAAAAGCTAAAAATTCTAAAAACCAGAGCGCCTCTTTCCCTCCAAAGGATCGCAGCTCCTCGCCAGCAACGGAACAAAGCTGGATGGAGAATGACTTTGAGGAGCTGACAGAAATAGGCTTCAGAAGGTCGGTAATAACAAACTTCTCCAAGCTAAAGGAGGATGTTCAAACCCATCACAAGGAAGCTAAAAACCCTGAAAAAAGATTAGACGAATGGCTAACTAGAATAAACAGTGTAGAGAAGACCTTAAATGACTTGATGGAGCTGAAAACCATGGCATGAGAACTACATGACGCATGCACAAGCTTCAATAGCCAATTCGATTCTAAAAACCAGAGCGCCTCTTCCCCTCCAAAGGATCGCAGCTCCTCGCCAGCAACGGAACAAAGCTGGATGGAGAATGACTTTGAGGAGATGACAGAAATAGGCTTCAGAAGGTCAGTAATAACAAACTTCTCCGAGCTAAAGGAGGATGTTCGAACCCATCACAAGGCAGCTAAAAACCTTGAAAAAAGATTAGACGAATGGCTAACTAGAATAAACAGTGTAGAGAAGACCTTAAATGACTTGATGGAGCCGAAAACCATGGCATGAGAACTACGTGATGCATACACAAGTTTCAATAGCTGATTTGATCAAGGGGAAGAAAGGATATCAGTGACTGAAGTTCAAATTAATGAAATACTCCTCAAGAAGAGCAACCCCAAGACACATAATTGTCAGATTCACCAAGGTTGAAATAAAGGAAAAAATGTTAAGGGCAGACAGAAAGGTCGGGTTACCCACAAACGGAAGCCCATCAAACTAACAGCTGATCTCTCAGCAGAAACTCTACAAGCCAGAAGAGAGTAGGGGCCAATCTTCAACATTCTTAAAGAAAAGAATTTTCAACACAGAATTTCATATCCAGCCAAACTAAGCTTCAGAAGTGAAGGAGAAATAAAATCCTTTACAGACAAGCAAATGCTGAGAGATTTTGTCACCACCAGGCCTGCCTTACAAGAGCTCCTGAAGGAAGCACTAAACATGGAAAGGAACAACCGTTACCAGCCTCTGCAAAAACATGACAAACTGTAAAGACCATCGACACTATGAAGAAACTGTATCAATTAACGGGCAAAATAACCAGCTAGCATCATAATGACAGGATCAAATTCACACATAACAATATTAACCTTAAATGTAAATGGGCTAAATGCTCCAATTAAAAGACACAGACTGGCAAATTAGATAAAGAGTCAAGACCCATCAGTGTGCTGTATTCAGAAGATCCATCTCACGTGCAAAGACGCACATAGGCTCAAAATAAAGGGATGGAGGAAGATCTACCAAGCAATTGGAAAGCAAAAAAAAAAACCAGGGGTTGCAATCCTAGTCTCTGATAAAACAAATTTTAAACCAACAAAGATCAAAAGAGACAAAGAAGGCCACTACATAATGGTAAAGGGATCAATTCAACAAGAGCTAACTATCCTAAATATATATGCACCCAATACAGGAGCACCCAGATTCAAAAAGCAAGTCCTGAGAGACCTACAGAGACTTAGACTCCCACACAATAATAACAGGAGACTTTAACACCCCACTGTCAATATTAGACAGATCAACAAGACAGAACATTAACAAGGATATCCACGACTTGAACTCAGCTCTCGAGCAAGCAGACCTAATAGACATCTACAGAACTCTCCACTGCAAATCAACAGAATATACATTCTTCTCAGCACCACATGGCACTTATTCCAAAATTGACCACATAGTTGGAAGTAAAGCACTCCTCAGCAAATATAAAAGAACAGAAATCACAACAAACGGTCTCTCAGACAACAGTGCAATCAAATTAGAACTCAGGATTCAGAAACTCACTCAAAACGCACAATTATATGGAAACTGAACAACCTGCTCCTGAATGACGACTGGGTAAATAACAAAATGAAGGCAGAAATAAAGATGTTCTTTGAAACCAATGAGAACAAAGACACAATGTACCAGAATTTCTGGGACACATTTAAAGCAGTGTGTAGAGGGAAATTTATAGCACTAAATGCCCACAAGACAAAGCAGGAAAGATCTAAAATTGACACCATAACATCACAATTAAAAGAACTAGAGAAGCAAGAGCAAACAAATTCAAAAGTTAGCAGAAGGCAAGAAATAACTAAGAACAGAGCAGAACTGAAGGAGATAGAGACACAAAAAACCCTTCAAAAAAAATCGGTGAATCCAGGAGCTGGTTTTTTGAAAAGATCAACAAAATTGATAGACCTCAAGCAAGATTAATAAAGAAGAAAAGAGAGAAGAATCAAATAGACATAATAAAAAAATTATAAGAGGGATATCACCACCGATCCCACAGAAATACAAACTACCGTCAGAGAATATAATAAACACCTCTGTGCAAATAAACAAGAAAAATCTAGAAGAAATGGATGAATCCTGGACACATACACCTTCCCAAGCTAAACCAGGAAGAAGCCGAATCTCTGAATATACCAATAACAGGCTCTGAAATTGAGGCAATAATTAATACCCTACCAACGAAAAAAAGTTCAGGACCAGATGGATTCACAGCCGAATTCTACCAGAGGTACAAAGAGGAGATGGTACCATTTCTTCTGAAAATATTCCAATCAATAGAAAAAGAGGGAATCCTCCCTAACTCATTTTCTGAGGCCAGCATCATCCTGATACCAAAGGTTGGCAGAGACACGATGAAAAAAAGAGAATTTTAGACCAACATCCCTCATGAACATCAATGTGAAAATCCTCAATAAAATACTGGCAAACCGAATCCAGCAGCACATCAAAAAGCTTATCCACTATGACAAAGTGGCCTTCATCCCTGGGATGCAAGGCTGGTTCAACATACACAAATCAATAAACGTAATCCATCACATAAACAGAACCAACGACAAAAACCACATGATTATCTCAATAGATGCAGAAAAGGTCTTCGACAAAATTCAACAGTCCTTCATGCTAAAAGCTCTCAATAAACTAGGTATTGATGGAACATATCTCAAAATAATAAGAGCTATTTATGACAAACCCACAGCCAATATCATACTGAATGGGCAAAAACTGGAAGCATTCCCTTTGAAAACCGGCACAAGACAGGGATGCCCTCTCTCTCCACTCCTATTCAACATACTGTTGGAAGTTCTCGCCAGGGTAATCAGGCAAGAGAAAGAAATAAAGGATATTCAATTAGGAAAAGAGGAAGTCAAATTGCTCCTGTTTGCAGATGACGTGATTGTATATTTGTAAAACCCCATTGTCTCAGCCCAAAATCTCCTTAAGCTGATAAGCAACTTCATACAAAATCAATGTGCAAAAATCACAAGCATTCTTATAAACCAATAACAGACAGCCAAATTATGAGCAAACTCCCATTCACAATTGCTACAAATAGAATAAAACACCTAGGAATCCAATTTACAAGGGATGTGAAGGACCTCTTCAAGGAGAACTACAAACCACTGCTCAACAAAATAAAAGAGGACACAAACAAATGGAAGAACATTCCATGCTCATGAATAGGAAGAATCAATACTGTGAAAATGGCCATACTGCCCAAAGTAATTTATAGATTCAATGCTATCCCCATGAAGCTACAATTGACTTTCTTCACAGAATTGGAAAAAACTACTTTAAAGTTCATATGGAACCAAAAAAGAGCCCACATTGCCGAAACAATCCTAAGCAAAAAGAACAAAGCTGGAAGCATCATGCCACCTGACTTCAAACTACACTACAAGGCTACAGTAACCAAAACAGCATGGTACTGGTATCAAAACAGAGATATAGACCAATAGAACAGAACAGAGGCCTCAGAAATAACACCGCACATCTACAACCATCTGCTCTTTGACAAACCTGACAAAAACAAAAAATGGGGAAAGGATTCCCTATTTAATAAATGATGCTGGGAAAACTGGCTAGCCATATGTAGAAAGCTGAAACTGGATCCCTTCCTTACACCTTATACAAAAAGTAATTCAAGATGGATTAAAGACTTAAATGTTAGACCTGAACCATAAAAACCCTAGAAGAAAACCTAAGCAATACCATTCAGGACACAGGCATGGGCAAGGACTTCATGACTAAAACACCAAAAGCAATGGCAACAAAAGCCAAAATTAACAAATGGGATCTAATTAAACTAAAGAGCTTCTGCACAGCAAAAGAAACTACCATCAGAGTGAACAGGCAACCTACAGAATGGGAAAAAATCTTTGCAATCTACCCAACTGACAAAGGGCTAATATCTAAAATCTACAAAGAACTTAAACAAATTTACAAGAAAAAAACAAACAACCCCATCAAAAAATGGGCAAAGGTTATAAACAGACACTTCTCAAAAGAAGACATTTATGCAGCATACAAATGAAAAAATGCTCATCATCACTGGTCATCAGAGAAATGCAAATCAAAACCACAATGAGATACCATACCATCTCAAGCCAGTTAGAATGGCAATCATTAAAAAGTCAGGAAACAACAGATGCTGGAGAGGATGTGGAGAAATAGGAATGCTTTTACACTGTTGGTGGGAGTGTAAATTAGTTCAACCATTGTGGAAGACAGTGTGGCAATTCCTCAAGCATCTAGAACTAGAAATACCACTTGACTCAGTGATCCCATTACTGGGTATATACCCAAAGGATTATAAATCATGCTACTATAAAGATACATGCACACGTATGTTTATTGCGGCACTATTCACAATAGCAAAAACTTGGAACCAACCCAAATGTCCATCAATGATAGACTGGATTAAGAAAATGTGGCACATATATACCATGGAATACTATGCAGCCATAAAAAAGGATGAGTTCATGTACTTTGTAGGGACATGGATAAAGCTGGAAACCATCATTCTGAGCAAACTATCATAAGGACTGAAAACCAAACACTGTATGTTCTCACTCATAGGTGGGAATTGAACAATGAAAACACTTGGACACAGGGAGGGAAACATCACACCCTGGTGCCTGTCAAGGGGTGGAGGGCTGGGGGAGGGATAGCATTAGGAGAAATACCTAATGTAAACGATGAGTTAATGGGTGCAGCAAACCAACATGGCACATGTATACCTATATAACAAACCTGTACGTTGTGCACATGTACCCTAGAACTTAAAGTATAACAATAATTTTTTTTAAAACTCCAGTAATTATTCCTTAGTTGTCAACATATATATTAAACACATCTGGTATTCTGGGGTAAATTGTGAATTGTATGGGAATAAGCAATTCATCTACAACCACACCTTACCTACAACAATTTTAATATAACGCTTTGTGTATTTTAGTTGCACAGTAATTACTGATCACAACCGTAAAAATAAATTCAACTTTGGTCACTTACAAAATCTATACCAGAAGTTATCTTTACTGGAAACTACTTCATCCTTGTATATAATAACCAACTGAACACTTAAAAATCCTTTATACCCTTTAGCACTGTCTGTAAGTGCTTTACTTTGTCAGTCCTGCCCCAACTTCATGTCCCACTATTTTAATTACTTAAAATTATATTTTATGCTGACAAATACAAATTGTATATATTTATCATGTACCACATGGCTAAATCAAGCTAATTCACATACTCATTACCTCTCATACTTTTTTTTGTGGTAAGAACACAAAAGCTACTCTCTTAGCAATTTTCAGGAATATAATATACTGTTATTAACAATAGTAACTGTATTATACTATAGATCTCTTGAACTTATTCCTCTTATCTAACTGATATTTCATATCCTTTGATCAATATCTTTTTTTTAAATTTTATTATTATTAGACTTTTAAGTTTTAGGGTACATGTGCACAACGTGCAGGTTTGTTATATATGTATACATGAGCCATGTTGGTGTGCTGCACCCATTACCTCGTCATTTAGCATTAGGTATATCTCCTAATGCTATCCTTCCCCCCTCCCCCCACCCCACAACCGTCCCCAGTGTGTGATGTTCCCCTTCCTGTGTCCATGTGTTCTCACTGTTCAATTCTCACCTATGAGTGAGAACATGCAGTGTTTGGTTTTCCCACTATTTTTCTATCACATATCTCCTTTTGCTCTATTTAATAGTCCCTTTCATTTCCTTTTCTGAGAACCTATTTGCTCATAACAGCCCTCACACAACCTAACACTCCACTTTGATCTTTCAAGATCCTCTTCTAATTTCATCTTATCCAAGAAACTTTCAGAATCTACATATTATTTTAAAAGACTATCTCTTCCCAAAACTTCTGACCAGAGGATTTGCTCAAAATCTTTCAAATGTAGTAAACAAAGGGGTAAAAAGTTAAAACCAAAACACATATACACACACTAAACCCACAAAAAGTTATGTGGCACACCCAGCTTTCTACCTTACCCACTGAGTGCTGAGAGCCAAAGAAAACCTTTAAAAGGGCTTCCTAAGAAATGATAAGAAAGCAGTATTTTCTATCACCAGGTTTGCATGAGTTGATATTAGGTCCTATTCCTGGGGCTCAATTAAGCCAGACTCAAAATCTATAGTTCCTAATCCTGTTCCCTGTGAATTTCCTTCAAGCTACTGTTGTCTGTCTCCATCTCAATAGGAAGGGACCAAGTCTGAGGACAGGTCTATTTAAAGTAAAAATAATCTCAGCAGTAAAATTATAAAATTACTTCAATAATTACCTCAGCAGTACATTTTTTTAAAGCTAAGCAGAAGTAACATTCACAATATATTTATACATGATATTAAGTCCAATATCTAATTGTCAAATAATATAAATCAATTTTTCTAATTCTATTCAGACTTCTTCCCATGCTGTTGCGGGAAGTCAGGGACCCTGAACGGAGGGACCGGCTGGAGCCAAGGCAGAAGAAGATAAATTGTGAAGATTTCATGGACATTTATCAGTTCCCAAAATTAATACTTTGATAATTTCTTACACCTGTCTTTACTGCAATCTCTGAACATAAATTATGAAGATTTCATGGACATTTATCACTTCTCCAATCAATACTCTTATAATTTCTTAGGCATGTCTTTACTTTAATCTCTTAATCCTGTTATCTTCGTAAACTGAGAATATACGTCACCTCAGGATCACTATTGTACAAATTGATTGTAAAATATGTGTGTTTGAACAATAGAAAATCAGTGCACCCTGAAAAAGAACAGAATAACAGCGATTTTCAGGGAACAAGGGAAGATAACCATAAGGTCTGACTGCTTGCGGGGTCGAGCAGAACAGAGCCATATTTTTCTTCTTGCAGAAAGTGAGTAGCAGAAATATCGCTGAATTATTTTCCCAGCAAGGAATAACCCTGGGGAAGGAATGCAATTCCTGTGGGTAGGTCTATGAACGGCTGCTCTGGGAATGTCTGTCTTACGCGGTTGAGATAAGGACTGAAATACGCCCTGGTCTCCTGCAGTACCCTCAGACTTACTAGGATTGGGAAATTCCAGCCTGTTAAATTCTAGTCAGACTGGTTGTCTGCTCTCGAACCCTGTTTCCTGTTAAGATGTTTATCAAGACAATGCGTGCACAGTGGGACATAGACCCTCATCAGTAATTCTAATTTTGCCTTGCCTTGTGATCTTTATTGCCCTTTAAAGCATGTGATCCTTGTGACCTACTCCCTGTTCCACCCCCTCCCCTTTTAAAATCCCTAATAAAAACTTGCTGGTTTTGCAGCTCGGGGTCATCATCAAGGTCCTACCAATATGTGATGACACCCCCTGAGGCCCAGCTGTAAAATTTATCTCTTTGTACTCTTTCTCTTTATTTCTCAGACCGGCCGACACTTAGGGAAAATAGAAAAGAACCTACGTTGAAATACTGGGGGCTGGTTCCTCCGATACCATGCCAAAGGAAAATACAAAACTTTATATGAAAAATTATTTCATTCTTGCCGTGATTAAATAATAGAGACTAGCTTTACCCTCTTTCCTGAAACCAAAAAATATTGAACAAAATACATTAAATTATATCGAACAATGATTTTCAAGACTTTAGGCTTGGCACACTCATTCATGCCTGTAATTCCAACACCCTGGGAGGCCAAGGTGGGCAGATTGCTTCAGCCCAGGCGTTCGAGACAAGCCTGGACAACACGGCGAAACCCCATCTCTATAAAAAGTACAAAAATTAGCTGGGCATAGTGGCACACACCTATAGTCCCAGCTACTCGGGAGGCAGAGGTGGAAGGATCACCCGAGCCCAGGAGGTCAAGGATGCAGTGAGCTGTGATGGCACCATTGCACTCCAGCCTGAGCAACAGAGTAAGACCCTGTCTTTAAAAAAAATAAATATATATATAAATAAAGACTTCAGACAACAGGCAGCATTGGAGAAGAATTCCTGAGACTCGGGACATAAGTAAAGTAAACTCTGTGACTGCCATTTTAACCACCTTGAAATTCAGTTTCAGGGCCCTATAACAGGTGGGGAAAATTGAGATACAGTCTTGTGTGCTCCCTGAACTGAGGAGATGATGAGAAGAGTCATTGCAAGTCAGATAAACCATATTTCAGGTACTCAATGGCAGTGAGACCAAGGTGTCTAGAGTTCACAGGTCATGACCAGAGATGAAAGAACTATACAGAGATCTTCAGAGATAGGTAGATCTCCATCAAATATTCAGCTGGGAACTGATCAATGCATTCATGTAAGGAAACTATCCATGGCCAGAGAATCAACCACCAGAAAAGATTAGATGTAACCATGGCTAACATTCACACATGGTAGAAAATTATACCTATCCTCACCAGCCAGACTGGAAAAGTTACTGTTTCAAGACACATTGGGAAGAGTACACAAAAGGGTCTCGCCTCAGTAGGGGGGAATAATAGTCCTAGGTTCTGTATTACTCCAGAACAAATTCTTTTGAAGTAATTTAACTGCATGCCAGAACAAAATTCAAGAATATTTATAGGAAAATAGAAAATAGTCAAACACGACAAGATAAAATTCACAATCTCAGGTATTCAATAAAAAATTATCAGGCTTTGAGACCAGCCTGAATAACACGGTGAAACCCCATCTCTACAAAAAATACAAAAATTAGCAGGGCATGATGGCACACACCTGTAGTCCCAGCCACTTGGGAGGCAGAGGTCGAAGGATCACCTGAGCCAAGGAGGTCAAAGCTGCAGTGAGCCGTGGTCACGCCACTGTACTCAAGCCTGGGTGACAGAGTGAGATTTTGTTTAAAAAAAAAAAAAAATCGGGCATGCAAAGCAGAAGAAAAGCATAACCAATAATGAGGTGGGGGGGAAATCAATCCATCAAAAGCAAACCAGCATTAACTCAAATGTTAGAATGACCAGAGAGCCCATTAAAAGTTATTATAACTGTATCCTATATATTCAAAAGTTTAATAGAGACATATTAAAAAACACTCAGCTCTAGCTTCTAAAGATAAAACTATAACACAATGTGAGAGATAAAAAATACACTAGATGGGATTAATAGCAACTTAGATATGGCAAAAGACAGTATTAGTGAATTTGAATACGTAGCAACTTTCCAAAAAATGAACAAAGCATCAGTGAGCTGTGGAACAACTTCAAGTGGCCTAATATGTGTGTACTTAGAGTCTCTAAAGAAGAGGCAAGAAAGGGACAAAAAATTATCTGAAGAAAACATTGGCTCCAAAATTTCCACATTTGAAGAAAACTATAAATCCATAAGAAGTTCAATACATCACAAATGTAAGAAACATGGAAAAAACAATGACACCTCAGAATCAAATTGCTTAAAACCAGTGATAAAGCAGAGAAAAGAGACATATACAAAGAAACAAATGTGCTTGAGAGTAACAAACAAACAAAAAGACAAGGAACACACTGAATTTCTCACTGAAAACACAAGAGAGAAATCAATGAAATCGCAACATTAAAATATTTGGAAAATAAAAACTGTCAACCTATTAAATAGAATTCTATAGTCAAAGAAATATATGTAAAAATCAAAGCCAAAATGATGACCTTCTCAAACATACAAACGCTAAATAATTCATCACCAATACCACCAACTACATGAAATGTTAAAGAAAAAGTATTTCAAGAAGGAAATATCAGATGGAAATCTGGATCTAAAGAAAGGACAGAAGAGCATTAGAAATGGTAACTAAATAGGTAAACACATAAAAGTTTTTTCTTATTATTTCAATCTCATTTAAAGATAATTGACTGTTGAGTTAAAAAATAATGTAGTGTAGAGTTTATAACACATATAAAAGTAAAATGCATGACAAAACTGGTACAAAGGACTGGACAGGAGAAATGCAAGTGTGCTATTATAAGGTGCTTACAGTACATGTGAAGTGGTATAACCCTCAAAGTCAGACTGATAAGTTAAAGATTTATATTATAAATCTTAACACAACCACCAAAATAACAGTTATAGCTTATAAATCAATAAATGAACTATAACAAAATCATAAAAATATTCAATAAAGTCAAAGATGGCAGAATTAAAGGAAACAATATAAGACAAGTTTAAATATAACAATATTAATAATCACCTTAAATGTAAATAACCTATTTTCCTCAAAAATCTCAAAAACATTATGTTGTATGAAAGAAGTCGGTTACAAAAGGCCACTTATTGTATCCATCATAATGAAATGTCCAGAATAGGCAAATCCATAGAGACAGAAAATATATTAGTGGTTACCAGGGGCTGGAAGGAAGGTGAATGAGGAGACTAATGGGTACAGAGTTTCTTTTTGGGGTGATGGAAATATTCTGAATGGGAGTTTGGATAGTAGTAATAATGGCACAAATTTGTGAACATATTAAAAACCACTAAACTGTACCCTTTAAAAGTGTGAATTTTAGATCCATCCCTGCTAGATTTGCTCATAAAAGGTTTGGCCATCTGACTTACTTTGGCCAATAAAATTTAAGTAGAAATTATGTATACCACTCCCTAGGGGATGCTTTAAG
The DNA here is from genome assembly GCF_000001405.40 of Homo sapiens. NCBI lineage: Eukaryota > Metazoa > Chordata > Mammalia > Primates > Hominidae > Homo > Homo sapiens. Next base: position 92,727,463 of record NC_000001.11, read on the forward strand.
GTATTTCAACTAGATCTCTTTTCTGTCTGTCATGAGTCTGATTTATCCCAGATAGATGCCGGCTGCGGTCACAGAACAAAGCACAGTAAAGCAAAGATGTATCCAACCTACTAATTGAGATGAATGTAAATGTGAGCAAAAAATAAAACTTTAATTTTTTAAAAAAATAAAATGGCTTAAATAACCCAATTAAAAGACAAAGATTGTCAGATTGTATTTTTAAAAGCAAAACCCAACTAAATGCTACTAACAGACAAACTCCAAAGATTTTTTCTAGGTATGATGGCTCACACATGTAATCCAAACATTTTAGGAGGCTGAGGTGAGAGGATTGCTTGAATCCGGGAGTTCAAGAACAGCCTGGGCAACATAGTGGGACCCCATCTCTTAAAAAAATAATAAAATTTTGTAGTCCCAGCTACTTGGGAGGCTGAGATGGAAGAACTGCTTGAGTCTGGGAGATGAAGGCTGCAGTGAGCCATGATCATACCATTGCACTCCAGCCTGGGTGACAGAGTGCGACCCTGTCTCAAAAAAAAAAAAGTTAAAGATAAACAAAAAAAAATAGAATACAAGCAAAAGGCTGGGAAAATATATAAGATGTTAACACTATTCAAAAGGAAGCTAGAGTGACTATATTAATATAAGATAAAGTAGATTTCCAAGGAAACAACATTACCAAAGATAAAGAAGGTCATTTTACAAGAGGATATAACAATCCTAAATGTTTATATACCTAAAATAGAACTCCAAATTACATGAAAGACAGAATTTAAAAAGAAATAGATAAATCCACAATTATAATTTGAAGTTACTGCTCTTCTCTCAATATCTGATATAACATGTAAACAGAAAGCCAACAAAGATGTACCAATAATAGTCACCCCTTATCCACAGTTTCACTTGCCATGGTTTCTTTTTTTTCTTTTTTTTTTGGAGACAAAGTCTCGCTCTGTCGCCCAGGCTAGAGTGCAGAGTACAGAGGCGCGATCTCTGCTCACTGCAATCTCTGTCTCCTGGGTTCAAACAGTTCTCCTGCCTCACCCTCTGGAGTAGCTGGGATTACAGGCACCCGCCACCATGCCCAGCTAATTGTTGTATTTTTAGTAGAGACAGGGTTTCGCCATGTTGGCCAGGTTGGTCTTGAACTCCTGATCTCAGGTGATCCGCCCACCTTGGCCTCCCAAAGTGCTAAGATTACAGGCATGAGCCACCGGGCCCAGCGAATCATGGTTTCAATTATGCACAATCAACTGTAGTCCAAAAATATTAAACAGAAAGTTCCAGAAGTAAATAATTCAAAAGTTTTAAATTGTGTACCATTCTGAGCAGCACGATGAAATCTCATGCCATGCTACTCCGTCCTGCCTGGGAAGTGAATCATCCCCTTGCCCAGTGTACCCATGCTGTATGTGCTACCAGCTGGCTAATATTTAGTAACCATCTGAGTCAGTTATCAGATATACTATTGCGATATCACAGTGATTGCATTCAACCCACCCTTATTTTACTTAATAACGGCCCCAAACCACAAAAGTAGTGATGCTGGCAATTTGAATATGTCAAAGGGAAGCTGTTAAAGTGCTTCCTTCAAGTGAGAAGGTGAAAGTTCTCTACTTAATAAGGAAACAAACAAAATTGAATGCTGAGGCTGCTAAGATTTATGGTAAGAATAAATCTTCTATCTGTGAAACTGTGAAGGAAAAATAAATTCATACTGATTTTATTCTTGCACTTCAAACTACAAAAGTTATGGTCACAATGTATGATAAATGCTTAATTAAGATGAAAACAGCATTAAATTTGTGAGTAGAAGTCATGAACAGAAATACGTTTCAGTTGATGACAATGAGGTCTGAAACTATCCACAGTTTCAGGTATCTCCTGGGTGTCTTGGAAAGTATCCCGCACACATAAGGGGGGACTACTATATAGCACTAAATGACTTTATTAGAAAAGAAAGGTCACACAGACATTACAAGGTGACAACATATTACCGATAAAGGTCAAGGACTTTTGAAGACAACTTCATATCCATTTCCCTCATGAACACAGATGCAAATACATTCAACTCTCCATATCCTTCAGGGATTGGTTCCCTGATACCAAAGATACCAAAGATACCAAAATGTGTGGGTGGTGACGTCCTTAGATCAAATGGTATAGTATTTGCATATGACCTATGCACATCCTCCTTATATTTTAAATCAGCTCTGGATGACTTTTAGTACCTAATACAATGTAAACATTATATAATAGTTATATGTATTTTTTATTTGTATTATTTTTATTGTTGTATGTTATTTCTTATTTTAAAATGTATTTTCCATCTGTGGTTCTGCAAATGCAGAACTTGTGGATATGGAGCGCAGACTGTATCACAAACAAAATTTTAGCAAATTGAATCCAATACTTTACAAAGAAAAGATATAATGATGAAGTGGGGTTTATCCTAAGAATGTAAAGTCGGTTTAACATTGAAAAATCAATGTAATTTGCCGTATTATCAGACTGAAAGAAGAAAACCATTAATGATCATTTCAGTAGAGGCAAAAAAAGCATTTGACAAAATCCAAAATCTGTTTTACATAAATTCTCAGCAAACAAGAAATAGAAAGAGGTGTCAAGTGCAATAGCTAATGCCGGTAATGCCAGCCTTTGGGAGGCAGAGGCAGGAGGATCACTTGAGCCCAGGAGTTTAAGACCAGCCTGGGCAATATGGCAAAACCCCATCTCTACAAAAAAGTACAAAAGTTAGCCAGGCATGATGGCACGTGCCTGTAATCCCAGGAGGCAGGGCTTGGAGAATCACTTGAGCCCAGGAGAAGGCTACAGCAAGCCCTGATTGTGCCACTGCACTACAGCAGCCTAAGTGACAGAGCAAGACCCCCATCTCTAAAAGAAAGAAAGAAGGAAATGGAGAAAGAAAGAAATGGAAAGCGGCTGGTCACAGTGGTTCACGCCTGTAATCCCAGCACTTTGGGAACCCAAGTCCTTGAAGCCAGGAGTTTGAGATTAATCCAGGCAACGAAGCAAGACCCCGTCTCTACAAAAATATTAAAAAAAAAAATTAACCAAGTGTAGTGGTGCATGCATGTAATTCTAGCTACTCAGGAGGCTGAGGTGGAAGGATCACTTGAGCCCAGGAGACCAAGGCAGCAGCAAGCCATGATTATGCCACTGCATTCCAGCCTTGGTGACAAAGCAAGACCTTCTCTCACAAAAAAAAAAAAAAAAAAAAGGAACTTCCTCAATCTGACAAAGGCCATATCCAAAAAATACAGTTAACATCAAGCTTAATGCTTTCTTCTTAAGATCAGAAAAAGAACAGGTATGTCTGTTCACCACTTCCATTCAAATTTATACAGGAGGTTCCCAGTTAGTAGCAATGGTCAAGAAAATAAATAAAAGGCATCCAGATTGGAAAGAAGCAAAAGTGCTCTTATTCACAGATGATAGGCTCATCTACATAGCAAATCTAATGGAATCTAGACAAAAACCAAAAAAAACTACCAAAACAATAACTGAGTTTAGCAAAGCTGCAGGATACATGAATCAATATAAGAAAAACAATTGTAGAGCCAGGCACAGTGGCTCAGGCCTGTAATCCCAGCACTTTGGGAGGCCGAGGTAGGCAAATCACTTGAGGTCAGGAGCTCGAGACCAGTCTGGCCAACATGGTGAAACCCCATCTCTACTAAAAATACAAAAATTAGCCGTCATAGTGGCACATGCCTATAATCCTAGCTACTCAGGAGGCTGAGGGAGAAGAATTGCTTCAACTCAGGAGGCAGAGGTCACAGTGAGCAGAGATCACACCACTGCACTCCAGCCTGAGTGAGTGAGGCCCCATTTCAAAAAAACAAAAAAAGAAATACAATTGTATTTTCTTTTTAACACAGAAGGTGTTGACAATTGTAGTTCTATATGCCAGCAATGAAAAATTAAAAATGAAGTTTACAAAAACAATACCATTGACAAATAATAATTGAGAAATACATTGTGTTCATGGGGAGGAAGGCAATATTGTTAGAGATTTAATGCAATCCCAACCAAAATTTCAGCAGGCGTTTTTGTAGAAATTAACAACTTGATTGTAAAATTCATTTGGGGATGCCAAGGACCAAAAATAGGCCAAAAAAAGAACAACAGTGGAGGCCTAACACTATCTGATTTCAAGACTCAGTATAAGCCTACAATAATCAAGGCAGTATAGTGCTAGTATTAAGATAGACATGTAGACCAACAGAACAGAATAGAGCCCAGAAATAGACTCATACACATACAGACAACTGATATCTGACAAAAATGCAAAAGTAATTAAGTAAAGAAAGAACAGCCATTTCAATAAATGGTACAGGAATAATTAGATGTCCATATTCAAAAAATGAACTCCAAATGTATCACAGAGCTAAATGTCAAACTTAAAACTATAAAACGTTCAGGAAAAAAATAGGAGAGAAACGGTATAATCTTGGATCACCGAAAGCACAATCCATAAAAGAACAATTTGAAATTGTAACTTAATCAAAATTTAAAATTTCTGTTCTTTAGTGGCACGAGAGAGATGGCACAGTTGAACACTGGGCAGCACTGCCAGATTTTCTTTCATTTGTGTGTGATACTCAGGAATATTTTGCCTTGAATACAAAAGCTGGCGGCAGTCTCATGGTTGTCCTGAGATGACTGTAATCAATGAGAGACTGAAGACATAAACATAAATTTTACCCATGCTCATTCAAGGACCGTGTTGAAAAACTTGTGGCAGTTATACGTCCTTACTGTGAGAATAATTTTTGCCTGAGACACCATCATCAGTCAGATCACAAGTGTGAAAAACTGGAAATCCCAAAGCCTTACATGACTGCCACTCAGTAACTTGTTAAAGACATTGATTCCAAAACAGGAGAGACAGCAAGCAAAGAAGGGAAAGGTGACAAAAAATAGTGAAACAGCTGCAAAGGAATTGCATTGAAATTGAGGATATATGCTGATGGAGATATATCACTGCCACAGGGAGAAACTATTTGCTTTCAAGTTTTCTTACCTAAGGGGAGCAAAGAGAAGGGCAAACCAATGTTCTTTTCCATGGATGAAGCATCAGAAAGGTCACAAACTTTGCCACTTCTCTGGCCAGTCTTAAAGCTTTGACAATAGGCTGGGCACGGTGGCTCACGTCTGTAATCCTGGCACTTTGGGAGGCTGAGGAGGGCGGATCACAAGGTCAGGAGTTTGAGACCAGCCTGGCCAACATAGAGAAACACCGTCACTACTAAAAATACAAAATATTAGCTGGGCGTGGTGGCGGGCACCTGTAATCCTAGCTACTTGGGAGGCTGAGGGAGAAGAATTGCTTGAACCCAGGAGGCAGACATTGCAGTGAGCAGAGATCGCACCACTGCACTCCAGCCTGGGAGACATGTGAGACTCCATCTCAAAAAAAAAAAAAAAAAAAAATTACACTAACAGGCCAGGCACAGTGGCTCACACCTGTAATCCTGACATGTTGGGAGGCCGAGGCAGGAGGATCACTTGAGACCAGGAGTTTGAGACCAGCCTGGGCAATACAGTGAGACCTCGTCTCCATTTTATTTAAAAAAAAAAAAGAAAAAAAAAATTAACAGCTAAGAAATTAAGGTTGTGTCACATTACTTCAGGAGAAGCCTTATCCTTAGAACTTACTTTGGAAACCTGGATTGCTAAATTGGATTGTCCTTTATAAAATGGTGGAAATAAAATCTTGGAGTATCTTAATGATGAATGATAATTTTGTAAAAATGTTGAATCTTACTTGGAATAGTCATTCAAGGATTCGGGCCAGAAATCACAAGGAAAATTCTACATACATGGTTAAGTCAATTTCTTTTACTACAATTTCTTTTTTTAATTCTTAAAAGTTGCTTTTTAACTTATTTCCACTGATGTCGTATTTTACATTATCATCTTTTTTTTTTTTTTAAATGAGACGGACTCTTACTCCATAGCCCAAGCTGGAATGCAGTGGCATGATCTCAGCTAACTGCAACCTCCACCTCCCACGCTCAAGCAATTTCCTGCCTCAGCCTCCCGAGTAGCTGGAACTACAGGCACGCGCCACCACACCCAGCTAATTTTTTTTTTTTTAATTTTAGTAAAGATGAGGTTTCACCATGTTGCCCAAGGTGGTCTCGAACTCCTGAGACTGGGCAATCCGCCCACCTCAGCCTCCCAAAGTACTGGGATTACAGGCGTGAGACACAGCACCCGGTCTACATTATCAGCTTTCTATTAAATTTGAGTGTTTGTGTTTTAACTATGTGCTGATCCTCAATTATTTGCAAATTATTATAATTAATTAGCTTTCATTAGGTTATGCTGCAGTTAACAACAACAAAGGTGCGTTTCCTGTTGAGTACTGTCAGCTGTTGACTGGCTGTAGCACTGCTCCAAGTCATCTTCACTCCAGGATCAAAAGTGAAGCAAAGTCCCTTTTGGGACACTGTCATTCTTTTGGCAGAGGAAGCAAGAGATGAAAGAAACTTCAGTTTTCTCTTACAAGACACATGTACCATATTTGCTTTAAGCAAGTTATATGGCCACGCCTAGCATCATGGGGGCCGGAAAGTATAGCCTCGCTGTCTACCTACATCATGATGTATAAATTGATGTATATACATTAATTGTAGGAACTTACAGATCATATTCATTCAATCTCCTAATTTTTGCATGAAGAATGTTAGGCCTAGGATGAGAGAATGATTTTCTTGGTATCACTTAACTGCATTGGGGCATATTTCTGATAAAGACCCACTTCCAGTAGGATTCATCTTTTTTGTTTGTATGAATGTGTTACAAATGAGAAGAAAGATGGGATAGCTCAACTTCATTACGGTCCGTGTATAAATACCAAAGCAAAACACTTGCCGAAAGTAACTACATTTTACCAACAAATTCAGATAAATGCTCTTGACTGATGTTTTCTATTGACACCCAGAAAATACTACTATAAGCAGAACAGAAACTATTTCTTTTTCTTCTTTTTTTTTTGAGACGGAGTCTCACTCTGTCGCCCAGGCTGCAGTGCAGTGGCATGATCTCCGCTCACTGCAAGCTCCACCTCCAACAGAAAATATTTCTATTTATCCTTTGTCTCTTTTCTATTCTAATTGTCATGGACATGTATAGTGGCTTTAGATTTACTTAAAGGAGTAAACTTGGAATGCTCAAAGATAAATAAAATAAGATAAAACTTCTGCTTTTTGAAAGACACTTTTAAGAGAATGGTAAGCTGCCAGCTGGGGGAAGAATTTGAAAGTCATGTGCTTGATACAAGACTTTTACCCCAAACATATAAAGAACTCTCCAAACATAGTAATAAGAAAGCAAATAATCAAATTTTTTTTTAAAAATCAAAGAATATATACAGATGACAAATAAACACATAAAAAGATGCTCAAAACCAACAGAGAAATGCAAATTAAAACCAGAGATACTAATACCTAATAAAATGGCTTAAACTAAAAAGACTGATCATACCAAGTGTTGACAAGGATGTAGAAGAACTGGTAATTTCATACACTGCTGGCGGGATATCAAAAATACAGGCCCTTTGAAAAACAGTTTGGCAGTTAAACATATACCTACCATATGATCCAGTCATTCCATTCCAAGAGAAATGAAAGCATATATCCATGCAAAGGCTTAAACACAAATGTTTATGGCATTTAATAGCAACAGGTGAGTGAATAAACTGTGCTATTTCCACATGATGGAATACTATAAAAAGGAATCAACTATCAATATGTGCTATAACATGACTTTCAAAATTATGCTGAGTGAAATAATCCATACCAAAAAAACTACATACTGTATGATTCCATTTCTACAAAATTCTAGAAAATGCAAACTACAGTGGCTGCCTGGGGACAGCGACGGGGATAATGGAGATGTTCATTTTCTTGATTTTGGCGACAATTTCACAGGTGTATACATATGTCAGAATGTATCAAATTGTACAGTTTACGCATAGTTGATTACAACAATACATCAAAAAACCTGTTAAAAGTTATTTTTGTTATGATTTTAAGCCAGTAGCATTATATAGCTTGACTGAGCACAAAAGGGTGCTCTTCCATATGTATATAATGTATATATTATATTATGTATTATATATAATTATATGATATATGATATATGTCATATATATATATAATTATATAATTCAACAAAATATATTATATATAACATATATATGATTGAAATATACAATATTATATTATATATAATATAATATAATATAATCATATTAAAATATAATATGATATATGTTATATATAACATATTATAAAGTATATTATATATTTTGTATATTATATATTATTATAATATAATCTATTATAATATATATTATATATATATAAATAAATATATAAAAGAGATGATGCCCTAAAGAGCCTCTGACAATAACATGGTAAGGAAACAAACGGAGTCCGGAATATGCATTCCTAGCAGAGCAGAAAACTATTCTATTTAATACCATTAGGAGAAAAGGATATTTTGCTTTCTATGAATAATTTATGAAAAGATTTTGCACTCTAAACCACAAATCAGATATCTATACTGGATTAAATTATTTTATGCTTTTACCAAAGGAGACTGTTCAGAGAGTTTAAAATTATAAAGTTATAGTTTCATTTACTTTTTAAAAAATTGATAAAATTCAAGAAGGATTTAGGGAATTTGCTATATTAAGAAAACAAATCTCTAAAGCTATTTGAGCCAGAAGAAAATGTTAGTCTCTTTTAAGACCAATCTCCCCCCAAAAAAGATGAACACTTCTGTAAATAACTTTGATAAATAAGAAACCAAAAAATAGAAAAAAAAATTCTAGTGTAAGTAAATATGAATGGCTGGATTTGTATAATTGGAGAGAAAAAAGCTAAGCAACCTCACTCACCTATTCTGTTCTTCCAGTTTAGCCAGGAGTTCTAAGTCGTCTGGACTCAACTGTGATGGGGAAGATGGTGAAAGGGCTGGTGTTGATAGTGTGGTAGATGAGGATGTGGTATGTAATGAAGTAGATGGACTTGCCACCTGACTGGCCATCTGACTGACTGTATGCGATACTGTGTTCTTCACCCATGAGAGAGTAGAGCTCAGCTTTTCTGCAACTTTGTCTGTCGCCACCTAAGGACAAAAATAAAAGTTGCATATACTTTAGTTACACTGTATTCATTACCGAGAACTTAATAATTCTGTTAGGATTTACTTAATAACCATCATCAGAATATTCTCTTTGAGGAAGTAAAGGTAAAACCTGTTTTAGCAACAATACCCTAATATCCAGCTTTTGCAAACTGTTTATTTCAGTTCTGCAGCATGAACAAATCAGAACAGTGTTCCAAACTGAGACCCATCAGGAGTGACAAAAATCAACCAGCATGTTTCAAAAATGAAAAAGAGCAAAAATATCAAATTAAAGATATGCTGTCTAATGAAATTTTTGTTATTTTAAAAATACATCCTACATGTATGTATGTATATGGGTGTATTGAGTGAGGATGTAAAATGTATTCTTGGGGTTTTAGTCAAAAACATATGCAAGTCAAGGAATTAAAACATGTCCATTAGATGATCAGGGAAATCCTGTAACATGACTAACAATTCAACAAAAACTGGGTGTATTTAGCATAAATAAAATGTAGTGAGGCCCTTGATTGATCTCTCTTCAAACCACTAAAGAGTGTTGTTATAGAAGAGGGACTAGCACCCCAGGAACAAAATTATGGTAAATGGCTGGGTTAATAGAATGAGAGGGGTTCAAGGTAGAATTTCTAATAGTTGGCTTATTCAGAAATAGAATGGGATGCCTAGGAAAGAGTAGTACATTCTCTACCAATAGCTACGTTAATGTGGCAATTGTAAAAGCCAAATGTCAAGCGTTGGTTAAGGGTTAAGTTTCTGTTTTAGGTGGCTAACCAGGAAGAAAAAAGCCTTTAAGATTCCTCTCTTTTCTAAGATTCAACGAATTATACATATGCTCACATATTTGTCATAAACCATGCCAACCTCCTAAGCAGATATGTATACAACAAATTCAGCTGAAAAAGAAAATGTACATACTGTTCAAAGCTAACACTGGTTTATATATGGCAATCCATATGAACATATGTACACACACAAAAAAAAATCCTGTCCAGGTCCTGGTAGTAGGTACCACTCTCCTCATTGGTTACCCAAGCATTTCCTCCTGCCCTCAATATATACATGGCTTTTTCTCTGTCTCCACTTCCTCCACTTCAATTTAGCAGGGAAATTCCATGTACGGAAAGGATAAAATGGAAAAGCAATTCTAAGGACATAGTTAAGCCACTTAACCTGAGGATGGAGCATCTAAAAGGACAAAGATTCCATTACAAGTGCTGAATAGGGGCAAGAGTTTTATTAAACTCAAGATGCCTCTCATTTTCTTTCCATTTGCCAATAATTTTCCCCTTTTAGAACTTACTTCCTTTAGAAATGATATTATAGAAAGGATCAGTGGGCTGTTACCGTTGAGAGACGAATCCCAAGAAAGAAAAGTTGAATGGCATAAGAGACCTAAGAAAGAGAAGCATGAGGTGATCGTTTATGCCTGCTTCCAGGCAAAAGAAGTCCTTCCTGTCAACTCATAGATGAAAACAGCTCATCAGGGCAAAAGGCCGTATAGGAACCAAATAATAATTTAGCCAAAACTTTATTTGTGCCACGAAATGACAGAAGCCATAGTAGGCACTAAGATAGCCTACTGTGTGATTTGTTATCCTATCGATCTTAGGATAACAACTATAAACTCAATTGTGAAAATGGCACAAATTCGCATCCCCAAAGCACACTCTAATATTTAAAAAGAGAAAACCTAATGTATAAAATTTACAGAAAAACGGAAGAAAACCTAATGTATAAAATTTATAAAAAAATGGTACACTTTACCAATAATTTCAAATATACTTACAATTTTCAATAATTAATGCTTTACATTTTCATTATATTAAACTCCCCTACTCAGTAAGTTAATTGCTGCAAAAGCAAAAGACACCTATTAATTGCTTTATTAAAAGAAATTTATATCATACCCCTTCTGCACACTGTAGCAACAGGCTTCGATTTAAAGAGTCTGAAATAATCAAAAGCACAATTCTGACATGCTTTAGACCTCACTGAAATGGAATTCAGCCTATAACTACTAAAGACTGAACTTCAAGTTTTAAGTTCTTAAATATAGTTAGAGTATTTAATTGCATCTGCAATTTAATAAAGTTTAATATTCATAGAATCTAGAAATCCCACAGGGCTAAATTATTTTTTCATATATCATCAGGTACTATTTTTCCTTTAATTTTACTTTTCCAAACTTCCACCCTGCCACCTCTGAATCTCTTTTCCTCAACCTAGGGTAAATTGAGGTCACATAAATAAATATAAACAAATCTGACAATGTAAATATGTCACAAAGTTCCTGTCTATCTCATAGAGGTGTTATGCATTTATTTTAAAAAGTGAACATACTGGCCGGGCACGGTGGCTCACACCTGTAATCCCAACACTTTGGGAGGCCAACGCAGGCAGATCACCCTGAGGTCAGGAGTTCGAGACCAGCTTGGCCAACATGACAAAACCCCGTGTCTACTAAAAATACAAAAATTAGCTGGGCATGGTGGCGGGCGCCTGTAATCCCAGCTACTCAGGAGTCTGAGGCAGGAGAATCACTTGAACCCGAGAGGCAGAGGTTGCAATGCACCAAGATCACGCCACTGCTCTCCAGCCTGAGCAACAAAAGCGAAACTCCGTCTCAAAAAAAAAAAAAAAAAAAGCGAACACACTTTGAAAATGCTAAAACCATCATTAAAAAGGCTTAGTAATCACACACAAAAAAGGCCACATATTGTATGATTCCATTTACATAAAAGTTCCAAACAGGCAAATCCAGAAGTAGATCAGTAATTTCCAGGGCCTGGGAAAAGGGATGGAAAATGACTACTAATGGGTACAGGATTTCTTTATGGGGTGATGAAAATAATCTGGGATTGGTCAGTGGTGAAGGTTGCACAACCTTGTGAATATAATAAATGCCACTGAATTATACACTTTAAAAGGAGCAAATTTATGGTATATAAATTATATCTCAATTTTTTAAGTGTAGTAAAAGCGTTACATACTATTACAATAGTTGAATACAATCTCCCATGAGAAACAGACATGATTATATCACTTTATATTTTATTAAAAGGATGCTCTTAACTTCCCTAAAATAGATCTATTTTTAAAGATTCTGATTTTAGATCAAAAAATCATGAGGGAGAAAAGGACATGGCTATGGTTAATTACTTCCTGAATCATACTGTGAAACTGAATCACATTTCTAGAGTATAATATTCCCCCCTGGGTAAAGGGTACTATTGTGGGTAAAGAGGAACTATGAGTATGGGTACCTGTGCCATCACCGAGAGTCAAAAACCCAACAGATCTTTAAATGTCAAAAGTCAAGTTACCTTTAAAAAAAAAAAAAAGGGGCAGTGCGGCAGAACACATTTCATAATGTCAGGACTTCAGCTATATACAGATGTCACAAAGATTCACCAATCATTTTGCAGTTCTATCTTTTTACCCTTCCTTAGAGCCAGGGAATATTTCCTAATACTTTTTCATATCTGTTTACTGAATGAACACATGAGATGATTTTAAAATATAGTTACCATTAGTGTACATACAGCTTGCTTATATAAACATTTCACTATCTATTATCATTTTACAATCTTCCTTCAAAAAGTACAGGAACCAGAGACAAGTAGCTTTTAACACAGAAGCTCAAACACTTTCAAGGGCTATTGAGGACTAAGAGACTTTTCCACCACCACACCACAATGCAAAACTGCTTTATTTTCCGTCTCTTATTAGCTTCTCCAAAGTACCTGCTGTTTATCCCCACCCCTCTAATCTGTGTTACACTCATTTTTATCTCCGCTTTTTCTTTTCTTTTCTGGTTTCTTGTCTCTTGACAATTTTCTTACACTCTTTGATTCTCACAAAACTGGCCATTATGAGGGACTGCCAACCAGACATCTCATGTTCCTTCCTCGAGATGAGTGGACCAAAGACACACAGGTCAAGATTTTGGTTTTATTTTTTATTGGGCTCACTTTTACTATGTCAGATATACATATGTGTGTATGTGTGTGTCTGTATACATGTATGTATAAAATCAACTAATATTTACTGAGTATTCTGTGTAAGTCACTATGCAAAGCATGGAGACTGCTATAATTAAAGATAGTACCTTACCCTGTCATTATTCCTGTATTTCTTATAGTCATATGGAAAAGTATCTAAAATAGTATCCCTATCACTCCCTTCAGTATCTTTGTTAATTGTATGGCAGTCTTAGACTTAGTACTGAAAGCCAGTATAACAGTTTCCACATGGTATGGTTTTTAGGGACTCTGATATGAAATTTTGACCAGCCTTCTGCGCTACCTAAACTCTACGTAGATTCCATGCAACTCCCACTGTATGGTGCCAGAGGTTTGGAAACAAAGTTTCAAAAAGGAGGGGAATATATCCGCAAACACTTTTTCAGCATTTAAATCGCACCAGGTACTGTTGTAAACACTTTATATGTATTAAATCTATTTAATTATTGAAATGCTATAAAGTAGGTATTACTATTTTCCACATTTTACAAGTGAAGAAATGATGACACAAAAATGCTATACAACTTACATAAGGTCACAAAGCTAATAAAAGTCAAACACAGGCAATCTGGTTGGAGATTCCTTGCTCTTAACCACTATCAAGAATGAGCAAGACCAAAGGTTGGCAATGGATGTGGTCACTAATGACTTCAGTGAGTCCATTTCACCAAAAGAAGGCAGAAACCAGATTATAGTAAGTTGAGGAGTATCTGAGAGATACAGAAATAAGAGCTGCAAAATATTCCCATTCCTACCACAATGACCTTTATTTTTGAGATTTCTTGAATCAGACTAATTCCTAAAGCCTGCAGATTCCAAAAGGATAGTCAGGATATTATTACATAACAAACTCTATTTTCGAAAAGGGCCTTCAAACAGACAGTAACTTCATTTGATTTTATTTTAAAAAGAAAAAAAAACTGGTACAATTCAGAAAACTGGGCTGATGGGGTTATTCTTTGTCACTGTGGAGTTAGCTTGTTTTATAATATAAAGGCTGATCTGACAACTCAGTATTTTATTTTTTAGGACTTTTCACATTATTTCATATTAACTCATTTTAGTGCTCATTCATAATTCTATAAAGTAGGTAATGTCTCCATTTTAGAGATAAGAAATCAAAGATTCAGCTCATTTAAAAGACCTCTTAAATCACAATGGATTGAAGACCTAAATAATAGAACTAAAACTATAAAACTTAGAAGAAAACGTAAGGGAAAAACTTCATGACAATGATTTGGCAATGATTCCTTAGACTAACACAAAAAGCACAGGCAACAAAAGGAAAAAAAAGATAAATTGGACTCCATCAAAATTAAAAACTTTTGTGTATCAACAGAGTAAAAATAACCCAGAAAAATGAAAGCAAATATTTGCAAATCATATAGCTGTATGGGTTTAATATCTAGAATATATAAAGAACTCCTACAAATTAATAACACAAAAAAAAACAAATAATCTGATTAAAAGATGAGCAAAGGATTTGAACAGACATTTCCCCAAAGAAGATATATAAATGGCCAATAATCACAGGGGCTTTTGAAAATACGTTCAACATTACTAATTTTTTTAAGAGATGAGGTCTTGCTATATTGCCCAGGCTGGTCTTGAACTCCTGGCCTCAAGCAATCCTCCTGCTTCAGCCTCCTGAGTAGCTGGTACTATAGGCACGAGCCACTGTGCCCAGCTAACATCACCAATCATTAATAAAATGCAAATCAGCCAGGCATGGTAGCTCATGCCTGTAATCCCAGCACTTCGGGAGGCTGAAGCAGGTGGATCACCTGAGGTCAGGAGTTCGAGACCAGCCTGGCCAACATGGAGAAACCCCATCTCTACTAAAAATACAAAAATTAGCTGGGTGTGGTGGCGGGTCCCTGTAATCTCAGCTACTCAGGAGGCTGAGGCAGGAGAATCGCTTGAACGCAGGAGGTGGAGGTTGCAGTGAGCCGAGACAGTGCCATTGCACTCCAGCCTGGGCGACAAGACCAAAACTCTGTCTCACAAAAAAAAAAATTAAATTAAAATTAAATAAAATGCAAATCAAAACCACAATGAGATATCATTTCACACACATTTTGATGGCTATTATCAAAAAGGAAAATAACAAGTGTTGACATTGTTAATGGAAATATAAATGGCACAGCTGCTGTCGAAAACAGTATGGCAGTTCCTCAAAAAATTTAACACAGAATTATAAGATCCAGCAATTCCACTTCTGGGTATTTATCCAAAGAACTGAAACAAGGACTTAGACATTTATATACCCATATTCATAGCAGCATTATTCACAATAGCCAAAAGGGATAAACAACCAAGTGTACATCAATGGATTAATGGATAAACAAAATGTGCTATCTCTATACAATGGACTATTATTCAGCCTTAAAAAGGAAGGAGGGCCAAGCGTGATGGCTCACGCCTGTAATCCCAGCACTTTGGGAGGCTGAGGTGGGCGGATCACCTGAGGTCAGGAGTTCGAGACCAGTTTGGCCAACATGGCAAAACCCCGTGTCTACTAAAAATACAAAAATTAGCTGGGCACGGTGGCGAGCGCCTGTAATCCCAGCTACTTGGGAGGTTGAGGCAAGAGAATCGCTTGAACCCAGGAGGCGGAGGTTGCAGTGCATCAAGATCGTGCCACTGCACTCCAGCCTGGCGACAGAGCAAGACTCCGTCTCAAAAAAAAAAGGGAAGGAAATTCTGACATACCACAACATGAACACACCCTGAGGACATTATACGAAGTGAAAAAAGCCAGCCATAAAATGACAAATATTGTGTGATTCCACTTTTATGAGATAGTCAAATCCACAGAGACAGAAAGTAAAATGGTGGTTGCCATGGGAAGAGGAAATAGGGAGTTATTGATTAGTGGCCACAGAGTTTCTTTGGAAAGATGAAAAAATTATAGAGATGATGGTGATGGTGGTTGTACAACAATATGAATATACTTAATTATAGACTTAAAATGGTTAAAACTGTAAATTTTGTTATGAATACTTTATCACAATGAAATCTGGGGGAAAAAATTACCCCTTTCATTCTTGACATTAGTAATTTGTGTCTTCTCTCTTTTGTTCTTGTTACCCTGGCTAGAGGTCCGTCACTTTCAATGCCTTTTAAAAGAAACAGTTTTTCTTTCATTAATTTTGTAATTGTTTTCCTGTTTTCTATTTCACTGATTTCTACTAATTTTTATTATTTATTTTATTCTGCTTGCTTTAGGTTTATATTGCTCTTCTATCTAGTTCCCTAAAGTAGAAGCTTAATCACTGATTTTTGAATCTTTTTTTCTACTATATGATTCAATATAAATCAAACTCTAAGCACTGCTTTTGCTGCTTTTCATTTTCCTTCAGTTCAAAATATTTTTAGTTTGAGACTTCAACTCATGTGTTACTTAGAAGTGTGTTTTTTAATTCCCAAGTATTTTCAGATTTTCCAAATATCTTTCTAACTATACAACACAAGTTGTATAGATAATTGTTAGTGATCTCTAACTTAATTCCACCGTGGTCTGAGAATACAAGTTAAGATGTGTTTTATGTCCCAGAATGTGGTTAATCTTGGCGAATGTTCCATATGAGTTTGAGAAAAATGTGTTTTTTGCTGTTGTTGGATGAAGCAGTCTATATATATCAATTAAATCCAGTTGATAAATGGTGCTATTCAGCTATAGCCTAACTGATTTTCTGTCTGCTACACTATAAATTACTGAGAGGTGTTGAGGCATCCAACTATAATAGTGAATTTGTCTATTACTCCTTACACTGCTATTGGTTTTTGCCTCACAGACTATTTTGTCTTCTTTGAGAACGGACCCATTTATCATTATGTAATGCCTGTCTTTATCCCTGATAATTCTCCTTCTTAAGTTTGCTTTGTTTGAAATTAATATAATTATGCCAAATATCTCTCTCTCTCTCTCACACACACACACACACACACACACACACACACACACACACACACAGAGGACGGCAGACTTGAAGACAATCTGGTGGTTTCTAGAGTGGCTCTGTTTTTGGAGAAGGGGCATTTCTCTTACATTCTTGAAAATACAACTTTGCATTTAAAAGGATGTTTGCATTTTGAGGTGCTTTATAGAGGAAGAGTTTTTCCAAGCTATGTAGTGAATCACATCATTAAAAGCTGAAGTCCGTAAGTAAAATTTTTTTTATTACAGCAATTCTCAGGCATTATTATACACTGTCAAAAGTAGAAGGTAGAGGAATTTACTTTCCAAACTTGACTAGTCAGGAATCGTTTTTCTCTTTTTTGAGACAGAGTCTTGTCACCCAGGCTGGAGTGCAGTGGTGCAATCATGGCTTGTTGCAGTCTCAACCTCCCAAGCTCAAGCAATCCTCCCACCTCAGCCTCCTGAGTAGCTGGGACCACAGGCACACAACTACCATGCCAGGCTAATTTTTTTTTTTTTTTTTTTTGGTAGAGACAGGGTTTCACCATGTTGCCCAGGCTGGTCTCAAACTCCTGGGGCTCAAGCGATCCACCTGCCTCAGGCTCCAAAAGTGCTGAGATGACAGGCGTGGACCACCCACCCAGCCTTTTTCACTCTTTACTGCAAAACAAATTCTGAGAAATGCTGCTCAGTTGCCAACAGTACTCATTCTTTAAGGTGTTTGTGTGCTCTGTGTCATGTTTCTCTTCACTTCTATGGTACTTCTTGTTTATATTAAATATTGTGACATTCATTAATAATGATAATATTCACTGAGTACTTTCACATACATTATCACCTCATCTCCACAGTGCTATATGTGCCATATTATGCTTACACTGTTATATTATAAACCATTAGATGTACTACTGCCTCTCAGTACCTTAAGAAAGAAAAACAGGCCACATATGGTGGCTCAGGCCTATAATCCCAACACTTTGGGAGGCAGAGGCAGGAGGATCACTTGAGATCAAGAATTCAAGACCAGCCTGGGCAACATAATGAGACCTCATCTCTACAAAAAAAATTAGCTGGGTGTGGTGGCACAGACCTGTAGTAGAGGCACTTGTGAGGCCGAGGTGGAGGATCACTTGAGCCCAGGAGCATAAAGCTGCAGTGAGCCATGATTATGCCACTGCACTCTAGCCTGGGCAACAGAATGAGAGCTTGTCTGAAAAATAAAACAAAAACATTATTTCATATATATTCCTGTAGGTCAAAGACAGACCATTCATTACTCTTCATGAATCTTCTTGATGACCTGAAAACAAAATTGGTGAATAGTGTTAAACTAAACTTGGCCTAAGGATGCCCATGTCCTTGAGTCCTTACATAACAAAGAGCAACCTAACTTAGTTGGCAAACTAACTGAAAGCCTAAGTTGGGTGTACAGTATACTTACGTAATAAATAGCTGAGTCTCAATCAATCACAGCAACCAAGCTTTAGGCAGCCAACATTGAACCCATGTTCTAATAAAGCAAATGCCAAGCTGTAACCAAAAGAGCTGTCTCTTTACCTCGCTTCTGTTTTCTGTCCAAAAATGCTGCTTGACCACATTGCAGGTCAGAGTTCTCTGAACTTATTCTGGTTCTGAAGGCTGTCCGAGTTGTGAATCGTTCTTTGCTCAATTAAACTCTGTTAAATTTAATGTGTCTAAGGCCTTTCCTTTTTACCAGTGAGTACTCAATACTTTCTCAATGACTTTTGATTAATTTTGATTGTTAAATAGCACATTTCAATGAAGGTATCTCCTATTCAAAATTCCCTTTGCAGCTATACACACTAAAAATAACTTTTAAAGTACTGTACTGGCTGGGCACAGTGGCTCACGCCTGAAATCCCAGCACTCTGGGAGGCCGAGGTGGGTGGATCACTTGAGGTCAGGAGCTCGAGATCAGTCTGGCCAACATGGTGAAACCCTGTCTCCACTAAAAATACAAAAATTAGCCGGGTGTAGTGGTGCATGCCTGTAGTCTCACCTACTTGGGAGGCTGAGGTGGGAGGATGACTTGAGCCCAGGAGGCCAAGGCAGAAGGACTGCTTGTGTCCAGCAGTTCAAGATCAGCCTGGGCAATAGAGCGAGACCCTGTCTCTACAAAAAATTAAAAAGAAAATTAGCCAGGCATGGTGGCGTGTGTCTGTGATCCCAGCTACTTGGGATGCTAAGGCGGGAGGATCACTTGAGCCTGAGGTCAAGGCTGCAGTGAACTGTGATCATACCACTGCTCTCCAGCCTGGGCAACAGAGCAAGACTCTGGTTCAAAAAAAAAAAAAAAGTTTTTTTAAAAAAGAAGTATAAGTGAGCAAAACAACCATATATTATTATATATTGTTACCCAATACAAGTAACGGGGGAAAAGCTATAGAATAATTTTTATGACACATTTGTAAAAGTCTGTATTTCCCAAAGATGGCCTATATAGTCCACAGGTTCCACATCCGCAGGTTCTGAACCAACCATGCATCACAAATATTCAAAATATAATAATACAATTAAAAATAATACAGATTTTTTTTAAAACAGTACTGTATAACAACTACTTACACAGCATTTACATTGTATTAGGTATCATAAGTAATCTAGAAATGATTTTAAAGTATACAGGAAGATGTGTGTATATTATATACAAATACTGCACTATTTTATATATGGGATTTAAGCATCCATGGTAGTATGAGGGCAGTGATCTTGGAACCAATCCCCTGCAGATGCAGCAAGAAAACTAATTGTTATCTTAGTTTCCTAGTACTGCTGTTACAAAGTACCACAAACTGGGTGGCTTAAAACAA
Source organism: Homo sapiens (assembly GCF_000001405.40). Lineage (NCBI taxonomy): Eukaryota > Metazoa > Chordata > Mammalia > Primates > Hominidae > Homo > Homo sapiens. The sequence goes on from NC_000001.11 coordinate 92,747,424, forward strand.
CAGAAATAAGCCGGGTGTGGTGGCTCATGCCTGTAATCCCAGCACTGTGGGAGGCCGAGGTAGGTGGATCACTTGAGATCAGGAGTTTGAGACTAGCCTGGCCAATATGACAAAACTCCGTCTCTACCAAAAATACAAAAATTAGCCGGGAGTGATGTTGGGTGCCTGTAGTCCCAGCTACTTGAGAGGCTGAGACAGGAGAATTGTTTGAACCCGGAAGGCGGAGGTTGCAGTGAGCTGAGATCACGCCACTGCACTCCAGCCTGGGTGACAGAGCCAGACTCCATCTCACCAAAAAAAAAAACAAAAAAAAAAACCACCCAGAAATGTATTGTCTCACAGTTCTGGAGGCTAGAAGTCCAAAACCAAGTTGTCAGCAGGGTCATTCTCCCTCTAAAACTTGTAGGGAGAATCTTCCCTTGCCTCTTCCTAGCTTTGGGTGGTTTGCCAGTAATGACCAGCATTTCTTGGTTTGCAGTTGCAGCACTTCAAGCACTTGGATCTCAGCCTCCATGATCACATGACATTCTCCCCTCCAGTGACTGTATCTTCCCTAATTACATTTACAACAACCCTGTTTCCAAATAAAGTCACATTCTGAGGTACAAGGGTACTGTGATAGCTGGACTTCAACATATCTTTTTGAAGGACACAATCCAATCTGTAACACGGCCACATTTCCTATCTCACATCTTCCCATAGAGTGGTGAAGTCCACATCCCCTCCCCTTGAGCCCAAGCAAAGCTCGCTGACTGCTTCAACCAAAAGTGGGTACCAAAAGTTATTACTGAGCTTAACTCTTGGAATCTGGCTACCATGCTTTCAAGAAGCCCAAACTAGCCCACGCAGAGACCACATGGAGAGTACAGGCATTCTCACTAACAGTCCAGCTGAGGTTCCAGCCTCAACCACCAGGCACAAATGTGAACATACCCCCAACTGATTCTAGGCCCTAAGTGAAGAGTCAGCCCCAGACTCTAAGTCTTCCCAGCTGAGACCAAAGACGTGAAGCAGAGACAAGTCCTCTTCATAATCCTCTGTCTAAATTCCTGACCCACAGAATCTAAGCACATACTAAAATGATTATTTGAAGCCATTAAGTTTCATGGTGGTTTGTTACACCGCTACAGTAACTGGAACAATATCACATTATCCCACAAAACAAAATTAAAATATTTAACAGTGCTTGAAATAAAACCAAGAAACTAAAAGTATAGAGTATCAGTAAAGACAGCATACCAGACTTATTTTTATTTTGGGGAGACAGAGGCTTCAAATAATTGAGAAAAAAACATCTTTTCACTTGTCTATAGTGTGCTATGAGTAGGTACAAGTACACTAAGAAAATATAAATACATATTGGCCAGTCACGGTGGCTCATGGTTGTAATCCCAGCACTCTGGGAGGCCGATGCGGGCAGATCACCTGAGGTCGGGAGTTTGACACCAGCCTGACCAACAGAAGAAACCCCATCTCTACTAAAAATACAAAAATTAGCTGGGCGTGGTGGCGTATATGTGTAATCCCAGCTACTTGGGAGGCTGAGGCAGGAGAATCACTTGAACCTGGGAGGCAGAGGTTGCGGTGAGCCGAGATCGTGCCATTGCACTCTAGCCTGGGCAACAAGAGCGAAACTCTGTCTCAAAAAAAAAAAAAAAAAAAGAAAAAGAAAACCTTCATAGCTACTTTATTCTTAATAGCCAAATAGATAGGAGATAGGACAAATAAATTGTATTATAGTCATGATGATAAGGCTTCTTCACTCCTCCAGTAGAGGGCACACTCTTGCAAGCAGCTTTTGTAGCCAGTTGCTTCCTGGGTGTTTTACCACTGGTGCATCTGCTGGCAGTTAGCTTTGTACCAGCCATGGTATAGAGCTCTCCTTACTTAACCTCCTCCTTCAGCTGGAGCTCCTAATTTTTAACTTCTTAAAAGGCAACCATTCTACAATATGAACATATAAGCCTGGGCATTCAGAAGCTTTTAATATGGATACTCTAGCACATCTTTAATAATATATACAAAGTTCAGTTTCATCTACTATTTAATTTTCCAACAGGAGAGACTGCCTTGAATACCTCTATATCCCCAGTATCAAAGACCTTGTCTATCATAAACCAGATGCTCAATAAATGTCTCTGTGGAATAAAGGGTAATTTCTACATATATATATAGTATCTATAAATATATGTAAATAAATATATACACCTAGTTAAGCAGGAGAGTACTAACTACTGAATATGAGTATTCACTTAATTAGCCAAATCATGCTAACTTCAGACAAGGAAAAACTCCCTCCCCATTTAGAGCACAGAAAGTGTTATAAAATAATGTACTTTGCCAAGCATTCGAAGAGTCACTAAAATGTAGATCCAACCTTATCACACATAATCTACATCCTGCTAAAAGGGGGCCCACAGCCTCAGATTTCCAAATATCCATACTAATTCATGTTCACATAACTGCTCTCTAAGTCTCTTAAAATGCTCAATCAAGCCACCAAAGTTGACACAGATGAAAATAAGCTCACCACTCAAAAATATAACTCACACAAGAGACAAAACTCAATAAATGACAGCTGAGCATAGAATTAGACCCACAAGCACTTCAACTATTGGAATTATCAAATACAGAATATATAACTACTTTTAAAATGCTTAAAGCAATAAAAGAATTTTTTAAATGAGCAAGGAATAGGATACAAACAAAGATCATGCAAATTTTTGAAGTATCCAAGTGGAACTTATAGAAATAAAAAATTTAATAAATGAAATAGGAAAAAAAGGGAGGTGAGATGTGGGGAAGACAGAGGGATAGAGAATTAAACAGACATAAACAGAAAATCAATGAACTAGAAGAGCCGAAGACATTAACTCAGAAGGCAGCACAGATACAAATCAATACTTAAGAGGTTTATTTTAATACAAAACCAAATAAAAAATGGTATTTGCTTTACCAAACTAAGTCATCTTTCATATAACAAGATAATGAATACATGAAAACATAAAAATAAATCAAGAATCAAAACTAAAACTAACACTTTCACGAACACGCTGAAAAACACCACAATCATCACACTACACTATACTCTTTAGACATTTTAGGGGTCACAAACTCCTTTGAGAAATTCATGCACATATGAACAAAATTTTGCAAATAATTTTTGAACTTTCCTATCATCCCCAGATCCAGAAGTAGAATTCCTGACCCTCCTTTGGCTATAATAAATGTCTACCCCGTTGCCTTTTTCCCCTTACTTTTAATTTTTACCACTTACATGAGGTTATGACCAGAAAAAAAAAAGTAATATTTTATCTGTTGACTTCTTCCTGTGAAAAAGGTCAATTAGTTCTTTCCCCATCATCCATATCATCAACCTTGCCCACCATAACATACAAACACTTCATACATTCCATTATCCCTATGTAATTAAAACATATTTTTGGGCCGGGTGCGGTGGCTCACGCCTGTAATCCCAGCACTTTGGGAGGCCGAGGCGGGCGGATCATGAGGTCAGGAGATCGAGACCATCCTGGCTAACACGGTAAAACCCCGTTTCTACTAAAAATACAAAAAATTAGCCAGGCATGGTGGCGGGCACCTGTAGTCCCAGCTACTCAGGAGGCTGAGGCAGGAGAATGGCATGAACCCGGGAGGCAGAGCTGGCAATGAGCCAAGATCGCACCACTGCACTGTAGCCTGAGCGACAGAACAAGACTCCCTCTCAAAAAAAATAAAAATAAATAAAAAACATATTTTTGGTTACACCAATATTCAGTGTATGCATTAACATGACTATGTAACTTTAGTCACAGTTGTTCTATGAGGTATACTGTGATTACTTTTACTTTCTTGGACCAATTTTTTACTTTCCCTGGAGTTAATAAATGTCTAATTGTTTAGCTTTATTTGTACTTATAAATTCACCCCCAATTCATCCAATTATATAAATCTCCTCAACATATTCGAGCATATCACATGTGCTATCAATCTTATATTTTTGTACAAGTCCTTTCTGCAACCTTCTGACTTGCTCCATTCTGGACTAGTTGCTCTACACCTGGTACACAACTGTGATCCCAGGTATTCCTTTCACCTCACTTGGGTTGGATCATTTGTTTCCTAAACACTATGTCTTCCCTTTGCTCAAAACACTCTTATTTTGGTGGAGTACCTCCTCTACTACCTTCCTGAAAGGGGTTGCATGAGAGGTGAGTTTGAGACACTGCATATGTGAAAATGCTTTTTCTACTGTTACACTTGAAAATGACTGCACTATAAACTCTTAGATTACAAATAATTTTCCCAACCGGGCACAGTGGCTCCCGTCTGTAATCTCAGCACTTTGGGAAGCCAAGGTGGGTGGATCATCTGGCTCAGGAGTTCGAAACCAGCCTAGGCAACATGGTGAAACCCCATCTCTACTAAAAACACAAAAAATTAGCCGGGCATGGTGGTGCACGCCTATAATAATTACAACTACTTGGGAGGCTGAGGCAGGAGAGTTGCTTGAACCCAGGGGGCGGAGGTAGCAGTGAGCCAAGATCACGCCACTGCACTCAAGCCTGGGCGACAGAGAGACACCCTGTCTTAAAAAAATAATAATTTTCCCTTATACTTAAGATATTGCCCTCTATTGTCTTTTGCTTCCAGTATTCTTGTTGAAGAGCCTGTAACTACTCTAATTTTATTAACTAACCCATTTTTCCTTTACCTCTGGGAACTTCTCTATCTTCTCCTTAGCCCCTTAGTTGTGAAAATTCAATAAAATGACGGAATCTCGCTCTGTTGCCCAGGCTAGAGTACAGTGGCACAATCTCAGCTCACTACAGCCTCCGCCTCTTGGGTTCAAGCAATTCTCCTGCCTCAGCCTCCTGAGTACCTGGAATTACAGGCACGTGCCACCACGCCTGGCTACTTTTTGTATTTTTAGTAGAGACAGGGTTTCACCATGTTGGCCAGGCTGGTCTCGAACTCCTGGCCTCAAGTGATTTGCCCGCCTCGACCTCCCAAAGTGCTGGGATTACAGGCGTGAGCCACTCACTGCACCCAGCCTAATGAAACGTCTTAATACAGATATTTTTTTCACCTGTTGTGCTTAGCACTCCAATGGGCCCTTTTAATTTAGAAAAGGACCAATCGGAGTGCTAAGCACAGCAGGTTGTTCAGTTCTGGGAACTTTTCCTTCTTTGTGGGGAGCGGGGAGTCGACCTGAGCATGACGAGGGGCAGCGGTGCAGCACAGCCCTGTTTTCCTAATTTCTTTTATGACATCCTCCTCCATATTTTCTTTCTGAAACTCCTGTCTCCTTGCCAGTCAGCTCACAATAAAGCCCTTTTTCTTTTCTCAAAAGCCGGTGTCATAGTATTGGGTTCTATGAGCATCAAGCAGTGAGCCCACTGCTTAGTAATACCAGTATCACTCACTGAACAAGAATTTATTTAGAATCTACTTTCTAAAAGAACACTTTATTGGGTGCTAAAAGTGTCGTCATAAACAAAATAGACATGGTCCTTTCCCTCACAGAGCTAGTTAAGAAGTCAGACAAATAGTGAATAAATAAATGCAGAGAAGGATACATGACATGAGGGCAAAACACTAAAGAACTTAATTTGATAGGGTGGATAAGGACTGCCTTTCTGAGGAGGCAACGTTTAAGATAAGATCTATGAAATGAGCAGGAAGAAGCCAGATAAACAAAGAGTCAGGCAAAAAAAAAAAAAGAAGGAAAATGTACAAAGGCCCTGAAGAACTGAATATTTTGATGGGTTAAAAACCACTCTCATCCAGTCGACATGGCTCAGGCCTGTGATCTCAGCACCTTGGAAGGCCAAGGCAGGAGGATCACTTGAGCCCAGGAGTTCAAGACTAGCCTAGGCTACACAGTGAGACTTCATCTCAATCAAACAGTCAATCAACCAATCAATCAATCAATAGAAAAGCACTCTCTAATAGAAATATAAGGCAAGCCACAAATGCAAGCCATATCAGTTAAGATTCTCTAGTAGCTATATTCTAAAAAGTAAAAACAAGTAAAACAAATGAAATTATATTTTTTAACCCAATATACTCAAAACATTATTTCAATAGATAAGGAATATGAAGAAATTATTAGTGTAATATTTTACATTCTTTCTTTAATATTAAGTCTGAAATTCAGTATGAATTTTACATGTACACCACATCTCAATTCAGACTAGTCACAGTTCAAGAGCTCACTCATCACATGTAGCTAGGGGCCTCCATATTAAACAACACAGGTTACAAGAACTAAAAAGTACCAAATGTGTGACTCAAAATTACACCTAATTTTGGAATCTAATTTTGGAATATATTTTCTGAATATAATTAGATATAATCCTCTGTAGTAATACTGTCTCTCCATAATCTATAAAAACAATCCACTAGGATATAGTTAAGTACTGTCTCTTGCTACATATACCAGCAAAATCCTAAACTGACAGGACTTTAGGTTTTTTACATTCTTCCATATTTTGAAAAAGAAAAAGGAAAAAATTTAGCTTCAGTTAATATGCCTAGAAGGAAGTCTGAAATGAAAGTCATCTAGGAAAGATTGTATCCTAACCCAAGCCCCAGAGAATAGTAAAGTAAAAGCCACATGCCATAACTTCAAAATCAATGCCATACTCCCATAGCCAGGGTAGCATTAGTAGCTGAGAGGCTTACTTTAACTACTATTCAGAAGAAACAATGTGGTCTTTACATGCTATCCAACAATGACTCATGATTCAAACATCAGGCTATCTCAGCTTTAGGGATTTAATATCCCTTCTAAATTTTTTACTTCCACCAGAATACTATCAATTTCACTCAACAAATACTTACTAAACATAGGCATAAGGCTAGGCATTGAGTGGGAAAATAAGTAAGACATATGGTTCCTGTCCTGTCTTCAAATTGCTCACCAGTAATGAAGTATGGGGAGGCAAACATGGAAACAATTACAAGTCTCTTTCTCTCATCCATTACTACCAAACCTAGTAGCTTAATACATTAAATATTTATTATCTCCCAGTTTCTGTATGTCAGAAACTGCAGTACAGTTTAGCTGGGCGATTCTGGCTCATGGCCTCTCATGAGCTTGCAGACAAGATCTTGGCTAGTGCTGCTGTCATCTGAAGGCTTGACTGGGGCTGGAAGAGCTGCTTCAAAGATGGCTCCCTCATATAGTTATTGGCAAAAGTCCTCAGTTTCTCACCATGTGGACCTTTCCATAAGACTGCTGAGTATCTTCACCTTGTGGCAACTGGCTTCCCCCAGAACAAGAAAGCAAGACAGAAAATGCTTACATGATTTAGCTTCATAAGTCACTCTGATATTTTTGTAATATTCAATTGGTTACACAAGTCAGCCCTATTCAACATGGGAAGAAAGCGCATAACAGCATAAATATAAGGAAGTGGAGACCACTGACAGCCATCCTGGAGGCTAATGACCTCATGTGACATATTATGTTCAACACACAAAGTTGGGCAATAATGAAAATGTAAAAGGGCATGTTTATATGATATACTGTTTATAAACATACATGTAAGTATAATGTTATATCTTAAAGAAGATGGGGATTATGTTTACAAGTACATTTATAATGTTTATTTCTTAAGGTGGGTGATGTGAACATAGGTTTTTTTTTTTTTTTTTTTTTGCATCTGAAATATTCATTATAAAAAACTGATGCTTTGGGCCAGCTGTAGTGGCTCACGCCTGAAATCCTAGCACTTTGAGAGGCTGAGGTGGGTGGATCACTACAGGTCAGGAGTTCAAGACCAGCCTGGCCAACATGTTGAAACCCCGTCTCCACTAAAAAATATAAAAATTAGCCGGACGTGGGTGGCACACACCTGTAGTCCCAGCTATTCAGGAGGCTGAAGCAGGAGAATCACTTGAACCCAGGAGGCAGATATTGCAGTGAGCCAAGATCACACCACTGCACTCCAGCCTGGGCGACACAGCAAGATTCCGTCTTAAAAACAAAACGAACAAACCAAAAAACCCAAAAACAAAAAAACTAATGATTTGTCTAAAGGAAATTAGTATTTTTAAAGACATTATTGCTGAATACATTCATTCATACAGCTGTTTAGAACGACTATTTGGAAGTATCCATGATACATGTCGATGGGCTGACTCAGAAATCTGTCCCAATACTCAAATAAGCAAGGACCTACGTACTGAAATTAATCACAGAATTGGGAGCCGCCTGCCAGTCCTTTAACAATGGGGGGAGCTTGGCCAGAGCTGAGACTGGTGCTTCGCAGCCAACTGTCTGCAGCACCAGTGGGGCCGACGCCAAGGGGACTGAGGCTGTGAGGGCCTCGGGGCGGGACTGTAGTTGTCGTGTCTGGCTGCATGCACCTCAGGGTCCCAGGGAGCTGGAGAAGCAGTGATGGCGAGGAGAGCTGGCTGCCAATATTCACCGAGCACTTGGTACAAAGAGCTGAAGTTGCCCTCATACAAAGGCCAGTCCCCTCAACTGAGTCTCAGCCAGTATTTTGCTGACTTGACTGCCATTGTGAGCGATCACGTCACGCTCTTTCTACACCAGCATCTTGCTATTTACTAGAACTATTTATGGATTGCTATGACATCTCTATCTAGCAGCTGTATTTAGCTGCAGTTTCCCATCTGCTTCTAGCAAGTAAATCTGAAGAAAAAGAAGATAGTGTGCCTAAGCTGGAACAGCTCAACAGCCTAGGTGTTATGACTAATATGAATGTAGTATTAACAAAACAAAATTTGCTACATGTGTAACTCTTATCATTAGAAACCTATCAGTGGAATGGACCTCCGCCTTCCAACAGCTGCCCATTTCATTGAATTTGTTCTCTCTGAAGTAGTACACAAAACAGATCTTCACGATGGCTGGCCAACGATTTGCCTGGAAAAGATTAAACACTACACAGCCAAATATGCAGATTTCCTGGAAGTACTGTTGCAAAATTACCCCTTTCTAAATTATGCACTTTCTTCTGTAGCTGCTACATGTATGGCTTCTTCGAGGATTATACTTCGTCTTTCTCCAACATGGCCTACAAGACTACATCATTACATCATCTTACTGCTTACTCCTGGTATTTCTTAGTGCCGTGTACTGAACAGCTATTGACTGCTCATGATAATGATGTGAAAGAAGCAAAGAGAGGACAAGCAGGACCTCAAATGGCACAACTAAGTGTGTTCTAGACAGTCTCCCAGCCCTCACAGCCAGTTCACTTTCAGCAACCTCAGCATGTCAAACAGTCACATAGACCTCACCGCTGTATCGCCATCCTACATCAACCAAGCTGTTGTTAGCAGATGGTATCTACTATGCACGCCTCATCTTACAAGCTACAGATGTGTCCTCCTGGCTTCCAAACTAGTGTTCAGGGCCTTGGGCACATGCGCACTGGTATTGGGCTGTCCCTCACTGGCAATAGTAGCAGAAGTTAAGCCCTGTCTGAATGTTTCTTATAACCAGAGCTTTCAGACAAATGAACATTACCCTTGTATTACTTCATGCTTTGAAAGGTGATTATGTGTAAGGGTAATAACTGACCCAGACTGCTCTGTGACTTGAAGCTCTGGGTAAGCTTTTTGTAAACTTCCATTCAAAAGTAAAGAGATCCAAATGACATCAGAACTCTTCAGGTACCAGCACCAGGAAGACTGAATATCTCTTTCAATATGCCATGAACACCTGCAAGGACTAAACAAACACTTTGACGGTGCGTGTGTCAAATTTAGTTACAACAAATCCGTGTATGACAAAAATGCTCACGTCCTGGCTAATAGTTCAAATATTTCAAAAATATTCAATACAACAGAAAATTTGGACAGACTCCAATTTGCCGTTTTGAGATTTGACCTATGGTAGATTATGGGCCTAACATTGGCTTATAAGTCAAAAACAAACGTTTATCTTGGGCTTGCCAAACAGTCTTTTATGATGTAAAGTACTAATTTTTGAAGAGGTTTTTTTTTATTCTACAGTTTTGAGTTTTATCTTTGTTCTCTAGAAGAAATTTTGAGTAAGTTTAAAGTCATGAATTCCTATGCTGTGGCAATCTGTACAATAAAAAAAATTTAGATGATTCTACATAACTTCCTATTATAAATAGTATAGGTATATGGATTTATGCACTAAAATTAAGGCTGGAGTAGATCTCTTATTTTTAAAAAGAAAAAAAAAATCAGGCCAAGTATGGTAGCTCACACTTGTAATCCCAGCACTTTGGGAGGCCAAAGTGGGTGGATCACTTGAGGCCAGGAGTTTGAGACCAGCCTGGCCAACATGACAAAACCCCGTCTCTATTAAAGATACAAAAATTAGCCAGGCATGGTGGTGCACGCCTGTAATCCTAGCTACTCAGCAGGCTGAGGCATAAGAATCACTTGAACCCGGGAGGCAGAGGTTGCAGTGAGCCGAGACTGAGCCACTGCACAATCCAGCCTGGGCAAAAGAGTGAGCGAGACTCTGCCTCAAAAAAAAAAAAAAAAAAAAAAAATCACAGAATTATTTATAAGAAAAAACTGGTAATAACCACAATGTTCATCAATCAGAAAATAAGCAAATAAATTATGACACTACCATACAACAGAATGTGATGCAGCCATTAAAAATAACATGGTTCCCAATTTGATGGAGCCAATCAAATATAGGTAAAGAATAGGATATACATACAATATAATACCATATTTTGATAGGCTATGAAACTATTAACAGCTACCTCAAGATAGTGAGAATGTAGCAAGTGAAATAAAAACAGAGAAAGAAAACTTTGCTACTTTAGCGACTTCTGTATTTAAAATTTTTTAGTATCATGTAAGCCTTTTGTGATTTTGTTTTAAAAAGTTGGTTAAGGCTGGGCGCGGTGGCTCATACCTGTAATCCCAGCACTCTGGAAGGCCAAAGCAGGTGGATTGCTCGAGCCCAGGAGTTCAAGACCAGCTTGGGCAACATGGCAAAACCCCGTCTCTACAAAAAATACAAAAATTAGCCGGGCATAGTGGCGCACACCTGTGGTCCCAGCTACTCAGGAGCCTGAGGCAGGACTATTGATTGAGTCTACGAGGTCAGAGGCTGCAGTGAGCCATTATTCAGCCACTGCACTCCAGCCTGGGTGACAGGGCAAGACCCTGTCTCACAAAAAAAAAAAAAAAATCTGGTTAAGACAACAATCAGGCAGACCACATGCAAAATGTTAATGCAACAAAAAGTGAAAAAAGAACTCAAATTACACATATATTCAAATTAGATCAAAGATATAGGCAGAGACATGAAGAAAATACATCAAAATTAAAATAAAGGTTATGTCAGAATACTAAATTTGGGGTCAGAGAGAGTTCTTTCTCTTTTTTCTAATTATCTCCAATATGGTTACATAAAACTTATAATTAAGGAATGAGACCTACACATCAAAAAAAAAAGGTGAAAGATGATCAAGAGCAGATAGAAAAAAAAAGACACTAGACAGCAGCCTAAAGAAGACAAATACTGTCTAATGTAATTTTGTTTTTAAAGTAATTCTTAGCTGGGCGCAGTGGCTCATGCCTGCAATCCCAACACTTTGGGAGGCCCAAGCAGGCAGATCACTTGAGCTCAGACCAGCCTGGGCAACATGGTGAAACCCCATCTCTACCGAAAATACAAAAACTTAGCCGGGTGTGGTGGCGCACGTTCCAGATACTTAGGAGGCTGAGGAGGGAGAACTGCTTGAGCTCAGGGGGCAGAGGTTACAGTGAGCCGAGATCATGCCGCTGTACTCCAGCCTGAGCAACAGTGAGATCCCATCTCAAAAAGAAAAAAAAGTAATTCTTATGTGTAAATGTTTTCATTATAAGTGATCCATATTTATGGAAAAAAAGAAAACCAAGAAGAAAATTTAATTGTCAACAAACTCACCACTCACATAATCAGTACTTTTTTTGAAAAAATGATGGAGCATGAACAATATATAGAGAGACACCTAAGCCTCACTCAGAAGTAAAACTGTGAACTAGCTACAAGTCCTTAACGGTTTCAAACAGACTTTTTTTAAAAGTATGTTTATAGTAAAACATATAAAATTTGCCATTCTCATTATTTTTAAATGTATGATTCATGGCATTTAATACATTCACAATCTTGTGCAACCATCAGCATTCTTTCCAAAACTTTTTCATCATCCCCAACAGAAATACTATATCCATTTCCCTTTCTTGCATCCCTGGGTAAACTCTAATCTACTTTCTGACTCTATGAATTTGCCTATTCTATATATATCATATAGGTGGGATCATACTTATATCATTATATGTAAAACTAGCCTTTTCTGTCTGGCTTATTTTACTTAGCATAATGTTTTCAAGGTTCATCCATGTTGTAGCATGTATCAGAACCTCATTCCTTTTTGTGGCTAAATAATATTCATATTCATACATATACAAATACCCTCCCCCCCACATACATTTTGTCTATGCATTCATCTCTATGCTGAGGAACATTTGGGTTATTTCCACCTTTTGACTCTTGGGAATCATGCTGCTATAAACATGAGCATACAAGTACCAAAGTGAGTTTTAATAGTTTGCTCTGGCTAAACTATAAAGAGAACAGAAGTAACAGAAACTGCCAAAAGCAATTACCACAATAAAATTCAATATAAGACATTAACTTTGTGATTTTTAATATTATTTATACTTCTTTTTCCAAATTTTGTTAAATATGTATTATTTTGCATAAATGAGGGGAAATTAATTTTTGGAGAGTCCTTTGTCATGACAAGAAAAATATGTTCTAATCTGAAAAGATACAAAGTAAGGAAATAAAAGGGAGAGAGCAACACAATGCTGAAGATATCAGGAGATCATTACTGAGGTCAGGATTGCAGGTTAGCAGCACAGCTGAGAAGGGAGCTGACCTGGAGCCTAAAAGCATCTTTTTTTCTTTTTTCCTGTTCTGAATAAGAGAGGGTACTAGTCTTCCCTCCCTAATGACGAGCACAGCAGCTAGTATACACTAAACAACAAAAGTTGGCTAAAAGAAGCGGGGCACAGTGGCTCATGCTTGTAATCCCAGCACACTGGGAGGCTGAGGCGGGAGGATCACTTGAGGTCAGGAGTTCGAGACCAGCCTGGCCAACATGGTAAAACTCTGTCTCTACTAAAAATACAAAAAAATTAGCTGGGTGTGGTGGCACACACCTGTAATCCCAGCTTCTTGAGACGCTAAGGCAGGAGAATTGCTTGAACCCAGGAGGCGGAGGTTGCAGTGACGCAAGATCGCGCCACAGCACTCCAGCCTGGGCGAAGACTGAGACTCTGTCTCAAAAAAAAAAAAAAAAAAGGTGGCATAAAGAATTAATGAATAGGCCGGGCGCAGTGGCTCACGCCTGTAATCCCAGCACTTTGGGAGGCCGAGGCGGGCAGATCACGAAGTCAGGAGATCGAGACCATCCTGGCTAATACGGTGAAACCCCATCTCTACTAAAAAAATACAAAAAATTAAACGGGCGTGGTGGTGGGCGCCTGTAGTCCCAGCTACTCAGAAGGCTGAGGCAGGAGAATGGCATGAACCCGGGAGGCGGAGCCTGCAGTGAGCCGAGATAGCGCCACTGCACTCCAGCCCGGGCAACACAGCGAGGCTCCATCTCAAAAAAAAAAAAAAAAAAAGAATTAATGAATAGGTAATTTCTACAGACCTCTAAGCTCTACCACCTATGTCATATTTTTTTAATTATTTATATTTTTAGTCTCAAATTGACTATTACAAGTACCTCAAGTTTCATAGTAAGTTTTATAGAAACCATACACTAGGGGAAATTGGCAGGTAGGTGAATGACAGGTAATTATATCTCAGGGATCATTATTTAAACTGCAACTTTGCTTAAACAAAATTACAAACCAGAGTGTGCAGACTTATAGCACGATTTTTTTTTAGTGGGTATTTGTCTAAGTATTTGTAACGCCAAATGCATCCACAGTTCTTTTCTTATTTGCCTCCAAAATAAATAGCAATATATCAAACTGAGAAGTACATCCTAAAATGTTTGCTCAAATTTCAAAATGCTGTATCAATGCAAATATAAAAGGTCATTAATTTGTATCTGCATACATCGTTATGTCTCCCACTTTAAGGAGTTTTCAAGGAGTTAAAAACTCTGAGCCCATAAAAAACCTGATATACAACTGAATTAATATGTGGAGAGTTAAAAATAATATTCACACCAGTTCCAGTAAGATTTTTTTAAGAAATGGTGTCTTGCTATATTGCCCAGGTTGGTCTCAAACTCCTGGGCTCTAGTAATGCTCCCGGCTCAGTCTCCCAAGTAGCTTGGACTACAGATGTGTGCTATCACAAATGGCTTAGTTCCAGTAAGATTTAAGGTTGGTACAAATATCTTATTACAGTAGGATTTAAGACTAGTACAAATGTAATACCTATCTTCAATCTTTTAACAGGTTATAAGAATTGTTGTTCCAATTCTGTAAATGGGAATAAACGCCCATGCAATGTCTTGCATATTATAAGTATTACCAAAATACTTGATATTAAAATGGAATATAGGTTTTAAAACATATCCAAAAAGAAGAATTTCAAGTTATGTCTTTCACTTATTTAAGCTAACAACTATCAGAGAGAGATGGAAGTTGCAAAGATACACAGAGCACTGGCTTCAGAAGAAATAAAAAAACACAAGAGTAGGAATTACAGAAAAAGGGAAAAAAGAGGAAATAATGGTAACACGACAATTATCTTTTCTTAGATGTCTATATGGCATGTTTCTCCAAGTTAATATTATCTGTAGGCATATAACATATTTCTATCTCTCTCTGATCCTTCCTGCCTTACAGCTAAATTTCAGGAAACAAAACATGTACACAATGACACATTACTGCTGCTGCTACCACCATCATTTACTATATGCTTTATTATGAGCCAGGCACTGTGACAAGACTTTAGATTCATTATCTTATTTAATCTTCACCATAACCCTGAGATATATTTTACTGAAGCTTATAGAGGTTAAACAACTTACCCAAGATCCCTTAGCTAATTAATAAATGATAGAGCCAAGATACTAAACATTCAGCCCTAAATGTTATGACAACTATAAATCACTGCTAAGAAGGTAAGCTAAAACTAACTGTAGAACATAAAAGTCAAAACATAGCATATCAGAATACGTCATGACCCTGAGGATTTTATTGCCTGCCTAAAACTAATCTTATTACCTATTTAAGAAATTCTATTAACTAAAATATTAAGGCAGAAATTATATTTGAAAAATGAAATTATCAACATACCACATGAAAATTCCCAACTCCTCTGAAAACAGCCTATTATAGACTATACTTAATCTTTTTCTGCTACATCGATGTAGTAAAACCAGTATTTTTTAAAAGGTCTCAGAGTGGGAGGGTGGGAGGCAGGTAAGGAAGGAGAAGTTATTTACTGGGTACAATATACACTATCCAGGTGATGGCTACACTAAAAGTCCAGACCTCACCACTACACAATATAACCATGTAGTGAAAACTGCACTTGTACCCCTAAATCTGTAAAAATAAAAAAAAGGGGCTGTGCATGGTGGCTCACACCTGTAATCCCAGCACCTTGAAGGCCAAGGTAGGAGGATCAATCCCTTGAGTCCAGGAGTTCGAGACCAGCCTGGGCAAAATAGGAAGCCCTTGTCTCTACAAATAAATTAAAAAGTAGCCAAGTGTAGTGGCACATGCCTGTGGTCCCAGCTACTTGAGAAGATGAGGTGGGAGGACTGCTTAAGCCTGGGAGGTCAAGACTGCAGTGAGCCATGATCACACCACTGCACTTGGCCTGGGCAGCAGAGTGAGACTTTGTCTCAAATAAATAAATACATATATAAAATATAAATGTTTAAAGGTCTCAAGAATATCAATAAAAATTTTGATAATTTTTATATTAAATATAAACCCTATAAACCCTAACAGAAACATCGGAAATTTTCCTGATTTTAAAATTAACATTTTGAGGCAGGCACGGTGGCTCACACCTGTAATCCTAGTGCTTTCGGAGGCCAAATTAGCTGGGCATGGTGGTGTGTGCCTGTAGTCCCAGCTACTTGGGAGGCTGACGCAGGAGAATCACTGGCACCCTGGAGTTTGACGCTGCAATGAGCTATGATCATGCCACTACACTCTGGCCTGGGTGAAAGAACAAGACTCTGTCTTTAAAACTAAATTAATTAATTTAATTTAAACATTTGGGGCTGGACATGGTGGCTCACACCTGGAATCCCAGCACTTTAGGAGGCCCAGGAGTGAGAATCACTTGAGGCCAAGAGTTTGAGGCTGTAGTGAGCTATGATTGTGACACTCCACTCCAGCCTAGGTGACAGAGGGAGTCTCTTAAAAAATAAATAATAAAATTTACATGAAAGGAAACCTTCCAACTTCATAAACTATAAGCAACAGTTTCTAAAGAAAGGAAGAAAAGAAGAGAAAATGAGAGAAAATTAATAGAGAAAAAGCATCCAATGGCTACCACATCATAATTACATGCCTGTATCAGAGGCAAATGGAAGTTTACGAAGGGTAAGAGAAACACCAAACTAATCTATGTTGGTTACAGGGCTTAAGTTTAAAAAAAAATCTAAATATAAAATGTCAGGTTTGTGGTTAATTTTTTTATATTTAATGCTCCAGTAGTATGAGTTTGTGTTTTAGCTGCAAATACATATTTATATTCACTGCTAGAGAACTTCACTAAATAGTACCACATGCACTGCTCTCCAGCTAAATAAAACCCCCTAAATCAGCTAAACAGCTCAGAAATATCTTAAGCTACATACAAAGTTACCACACATACCTACACTCATTTTTGCAACAGTTCAAAACATCTGAGTACAGCTGATATTTTTGTGTTATCTGATCAAGACATTTCACGTGAATAAATGAAGTATTACTCAGTTTTAGCATTTTCAATGTTTGTTAATCTAGGAATATTTAAAATGATAGTAGACCACAGGTGTGGCAAGAATTCTTTCCATAATTCCGTTTCTACTCTGAGACAGAACACTTAAACTTCCTCTCCCTGGTCCAATGTAACGAAAAATACCAGCCATATCCTTAGACTCAATAAAACCAGAGTTAGCAGCTGGTGATACTGATTACCAAACTTATTTCAAGATATCCAAAACTGTACAAGATACAGCATGCAATTACCTTGAAGAATTAGGATTTATTTGGCATTTGAAACCTTTTGAACTATACAAGTGCAACTTCATTCAAAAATAATTAATGAAATACTTTAACCAGCCATTTAATCTACTACCTAGTATTAAAAGATTTTTCAAGTTAATATGTCCAGTATAGTCATTGCTAGGTTATACTTATTTCTTATGAAGAAATAATGACCTTAAAACTATAAATAACAAATTACAATTTATTTGTTACAAATAACGAAAATTACCATGGTCTGTGTATCCGAAATAAGTTTCCTACATGCCAAAAAATTATGTCTTATTTAATGTTATATGCTTCGGTAAACACAATCTATAAAAGAATTATACAAACCCAGGACCTTTTCTGCTACTAGGCCAACCTAAATCATCCAACAAATAGAATAATTAATATTTTTAAGCACATACATCAGTTTTATGAGGCGGACAATATAATCCTCCATATTAACATGAGAAAACTGTCATATAGGTAATTTTGGTAATATACTTAACCATTTGGTAATTCAACAAAATTGAAATCAATTCTGCTACCAGACATTCCTTATATATATCTTCAATTTCATCTGAGGTTTCTGCATTTTTTTTCCTTCCTTTTTTTTTTTTTTTTTTTAATAGAGACAGGGTCTCACCATGTTGCCCAGGCTGGTCTTGAACTCCTAGGCTCAAGTGATCCTCCCACCTCAGCCTCTCAAAGTGCTGGGATTATGGGCGTGAGCCACCAAGACCGGCTGCTTTATGCATTTAGCCTTCCTTTAATATCATAATCACAAAATTAATATAGCTGCTATTTATATTGACCACCAAAACATATAGCAAGTACTGTTATAGGCACTACATGCTATTATTTCCACTCCTCATGACCAACTTTACACAGTAAATATCAAGACACATATTTTTCTGATTAAAAAAAAAAAAGACCCAGAAAAGTTATAAACAACAAAGACACGAAACAAAACCCATGCTCTACTACACCATGCCACTTTATTTCCCAGGCATCAATTCTTTTTATAATCAAATTCTTTTCAACACAGAATTTTGCTGGATTCCCTACCAAACCTAAAGTTGTCTTCCTTCATAGAGAAGGAATTATTATTACATGAACCACTTTGCTGTATTACCAAATTACTGACTTCCCCACAAATTCTTTTGTATTAAAACTGGGGGGAAAGGGCGGGGCATGGTGGTTCATGCCTGTAATCCTAACACTTTGGGAAGCCAAGGCGGGAGGGTCGCTTCAGGCTGCAAGCTCGAGATCAGCCTGGGTAACATATTGAGATCTCATATCCACAAAAAAATCTTTTAAAAACTAGCCAGGCATGGTGGCATGTGCCTGTAGTCCTGGCTACTCAGGAGTCTGTCCAAGTGTCAGATGTCTGACACTTGGGATTACTTGAGCCCAAGAGTTCAAGTTTACAGTGAGCTATGATCATGCCACTCCACTCCAGGCTGGGTGACAGAGCAAGACCCTGCAAAATAATAATAATAATAATAATAATAATAATAATAATAATAATTAATAAAATATATTGAATAAGAACACTGGAAAACTGAAATTTGATTATTTAAGCTGCACCTAAAATTGTTATACCTAAGCTGTTCAAGCTCGCAAGTGAGGAGCTAAGCCTATTCCCTAACCTCAACCTTCCAACGCCACAAACACAAAATTGTTTTGTTTCATTTTGTTTTTTTAAAAAAAGGATATCCACACACAATTTTTTCTTGACAGCAGCAAAGGTATTAAAATACCTGTTTCCTTATGTTTCATGCTAGTCCTTAAAAATACAAATTCAGAACAAGTAACTCTTAAAATATAGCATATATTATATGAATTTTAAATTTCAGTATACACAATATATCGAGCACTATGTTAAGTATGCTCAACAGCACTATCATTCCCTGCCCAATGTGAAATAAGAATTACCACTGTTTTGAAAAATCCTAAAATGTCAATAAAAATCTCAATATAATCCTCCAAAAGGGTAAATAGTGTCTAGATCATAGCAAAGGCCTAAAAACTCTATTTTAATGCTAGCCATTTTAGTTACTTTAACTACACAGGTACAGTAGTTCCTCCTTATCTGAGGTTTCACTCTCCATGGTTTCAGCTACCTGCCATCAAGCTGGTCCAAAAATATTACATGGAAAATTCCAGAAATAAACAATTCATTAATTCTCGGCCAGGCGCAGTGATTCAAGCCTATAATCCCAGCACTTTGGGAGGCCAAAGCAGGCGGATCACTTGAGGTCAGGAGTTTGAGAACAGCCTGGCCAAAATGGTGAAACTCTGTCCCTACTGAAAATACAAAAATTAGCTGGGCGTGGTGGCACACACCTGTAATCCCAGCGACTCGGGAGGCTGAGGCAGGACAATCACTGGAACCTGTGGAGGCAGAGGTTGCAGTGAGCTGATATCACACCACTGCACTCCAGCCTGGGAGACAGAGCAAGACTCCCTCTCAAAAAAAAAAAAAAAAAAAATCCAATTCATCAATTCTAAATTATATGCCATCTGCCCTGTTCCACCTGGGACATGAACCATCACTTTGCCCAGTGTATCCATACTGTATATGCTATCCGCCTGTTAGTTACTTAGTATGCATCTCATTTATCAGATCCACTATTGTTGCTGTATGACAGTGCTTGTGCTCAAGTAATCCTTATTTTACTTAATAATATTTGACTAGTAATAATTATTAATTGTTGTCTTTACTCTGTTACTGTGCCTAATTTATAAATAAAACTCTATCATAGGTAGGTATGAACAGGTAAATACATGCTACGCATAGGATTTGGTCCCATCCACAGTTTCAGGTATCACTAGTAGTCTTGGAATGTATCTCCCGAGGATAAGGGGGAACTACTATATACGTAAAAGAAAAGAGTGATGAAATTATGAGGTGGAAAAAATGTTCTCTTAATCAAAACTGGAAAAAGATACATGTGAAAAATCAGGGAATCCTGGCACAAATATACTAAATATCAATAAAATAATTTTTTAAAGGTCTTCAGCATCTCACCAGGTAAAGCACCATGTTCTATTAACAAGATGTATGGCTCTGACAAGTTATTTAAGCTCTTTGAATCTTGGTTTCCTTGAATTAAGCAATAATTCTAATGCTTTACTGTTGTAACATTCCAGGAAATTTATACAGACTCAAATAAGCAGATTTTTTGGCAGAGCACAGTGGTTCACGCCTGTAATCCCAGCACCTTGGGAGGCCAAGGCGGGTGAATCACTCGAGGCCAGGAGTTCGAGACCAGCCTGGCCAATGTGGCGAAACACTGTCTCTACTAAAAATACAAAAATTAGCTAGGCATGGTGGCAAACGCCTATAATCCCAGCTACTTGGGAAGCTGAGGAAAGAGAATCACTTGAACCTCGGAGGCGGAGGTTGCAGTGAGCCAAGATCACACCACTGCACTCCAACCTGGGCAACAGAGCAAGACCCTATCTCAAAAAAAAAAAAAAGAGAACTCATATAAGCAAATTTTTTATGCAATGGTTAGTTTCAAATATAACAGGAAAAAAAAAATCCTCAAAATGCTGCACTATAATAGAAAACTAAGGTCTTAATTCCCTGAGCTCCATATACTAGGTTACAGAAAAAATCAGACATTTCTGGGACAAGTCAATACAATGAGAGTACATAAGCAAGACTAAAGATACACAGCTACACAATAAAAGACTTTCAGAAGACGCCAAAAAAGCATTTAGGACTGCAAGAGGTTTTTTTAAATCTGATAATATTAAAGGAATCTAAAGTGTTACATACTCAACTCCAACACATCCACACCTTTCTAGTTCTCACCTGCCATAGGCAAGTAGGTATTCTGTCTAAAGTCAGAAGACTTCCGTCAGAGCTTATGCTCTTTGGACTCTCCTAGAGCTCAGGTGATTGCTCCCTTCTTCCCAGTTTCTGCTCTCAATTTTTAAACCTGCTCCTCTGCCATATTTAAAAATCTTGGCTGGGTGTGGTGACTGACTGACATCTGTAATCCCAGGACTTTGGGAGGCCAAGGCAGGTGGACTGCTTGATCCCAGGAGTTTAAGACCAGTCTGGGCAACAAGATGAAGCCCCATCTCTACAAAAAATACAAAAAGTAGCCGGGTGTGGCAGCACATGCCTGTAGTCCCAGCTACTCAGGAGGCTGAGGTGAGAGGACTGCTTGAGCCCAGTAGATCAAGACTGCAGTGAGCCATGAACGCACCACCACACTCCAGCTTGGGCGACCGGGCAAGACCCTGTCTCAAAAAAACAAAACAAAAACAAAATCTCGCTGAATCTTACATCCCCCTAAGTACCCTGTGTCTCACTGTATTCTCCCTTCCCCATAGCTAAGCAACTACAAAAAATGTTTAGCTTTTCACTCTTTCCTTTCTCACCTCCCACTTTTTCATTGCAAATTCTATTCTGCCATTTTTCTGAAACCACACTTAACCAAGGTTACTTACCAAGAACCTCTTTGTTGCTAAATCAAGTAAACACTTGACAGTCCTTATCTTAACTTGATCTCTCTGCAACATATGCCCCAGTACCATTCTCTCCTTTTATTCTGATTTTTCTGATTAGAAAATACATGTTAAGAACCCAAATATCCAGAAGAAAATGGAAGTCCAAGTACTCTGTAATCTCACTCTCAAAGACAGTCACAGTTAACAATATGGTATATATTCATCAAGATTTCTTTTCTAATAATACATATGACATTTAGGTATATATGTAATGTTTTAAATTTTACAAAATTAGAAAATTTTACATATTTCCTTGACAATTTATTTTACTTAAAGTACTTTGATCTTCTGTCCTTGTCAGTATTTGTGGTACGAAGATTAATTCCCTCCCTCCTCTCACGCCCCCTGCCACCCTACCTGCCCCAGGCAAAGAGCTCCACATCCCAATACCTGGAACCTGTGACTATGTTATCTTATACGGCAGAGGGTGCTTTGCAGCTATGATTAAGTTAAAGATCTTGAGGTAGGCTGGGCACGGTGGCTCACGCCTGTAATCCCAGCACTTTGGGAGGCCGAGGCAGGCAGATCACAAGGTCAGATCAAGACCATCCTGGGTAACATGGTGAAACCTCGTCTCTACTAAAAAAAATATATAAAAAATTAGCCGGGTGTGGTGGTGGGCATCTGTACTCCCAGCTACTCAGGAGGCTGAGGCAGGAGAATGGCATGAACCCGAGAGGCAGAGCCTGCAGTGAGCCGAGATGGCACCACTGCACTCCAGCCTGGGTGACAGAGTGAGACTCCCATCTCAACAACAAAAAAAAGATCATGAGAAGGGAGGTTATCTTGAATTATCTGGGTTGTGACTGATATAATCACATAAGTCTTTATGAGAGAGAAAACAATGTGAAGGCACAAACAGAAAAAAATTTGAAGATGCTATGCTGCTGGGTTTGAAGATGGAGGATGGAGACAAGGAATGCAAAGTAAGGAATACAAGGAACGCAGCTCGAGAAGCTAGAGAAGATTCTCCCCCAGAGCCTCCAGAAGAAACCAGCCCTGCTACAATCTTGACTTTAACCCAGTGAAACATTTTGAACTCTGACCTTCAGAACTGTGAGAGATTAAATTTGTTTTAAGTCACTAAGTTTGTACTAATTTGTTACAGCCGCACAGGAAAGTAACACAGTATAGACACCATACTCCATCAGCTGTATAGCATTCCATCATATAAATATAAATGTACTATACTTGATTTAACCAATCCTCTATTGATGGATACTTGGAGTGCTTCCGATTTTTTACTATTATTAATATATGTTAAAGACATTTCTCCACATGTGTACGTTTCTCTAGGATTTATTCCATAAAGTATAACTACTGGGACAAGTAACATAATACTACAAGTTTTAACAGATATAAAAAGAAACTGGCCAGGCGAGGTGGCTCACGCCTGTAATCCCAGCACTTTGGGAGGCCAAGGCGGGCTGATCACGAGGTCAGGAGATCAAGACCATCCTGGCTAACACAGTGAAACCCTGATTCTACTAAAAATACCAAAAATTAGCCGGGCGTGGTGGCAGGTGCCTGTAGTCCCAGCTACTTGGGAGGCTGAGGCAGGAGAATGGTGTGAACCCGGGAGGTGGAGGTTGCAGTGAGCCGAAATCGCGCCACTGAACTCCAGCCTGGGCGACAGAGCGGGACTCCATCTCAAAAAAAAGAAAAAGAAACCTCCAAAAGTCTGGGTTTTTTTGTTTGTTTGTTTTTTCGATCTGCCACCCAAACTGGAATGTAATGGCCCGATCCCGGTTCACTGCAACCTCCGCCTCCTGGGTTCAAGTGATTCTCCTGCCTCAGCCTCCCAAGTAGCTGGGATTACAGGCACCTGACACCACTCCCGGCTAATTTTTGTATTTTTAGTAGTGACAGGGTTTCACCATGTTGCCCAGGTTAGTCTTGAACTCCTGACCTCAGGTGATCCACCCACCTCGGCCTCCCAAAGTACTGGGATTACAGGAGAGAGCCACAGCGCCTGGCGAGAAGTCTGTATTTTTACTCACACTAACAACATTCCAGCCGCTTCCTCCCTCTTCAAAGTTCTATTCTTTTAACTTCTGTTAAATCACTTTCCTTGGTTTCCTTTTATAGTGGCTACTCCTTTTGTTCTTATGCAGACTCTTCATCAGCTCATTTCTTAAATGTTACTGGTCCCCAACATTCCAATTCTACTCCATCCTTCCTACACACACTCCCAGAGATATCTCATACTTCCTTTACTCCCAGTTACTACTTACAAACAAAATGGAACTCATCACTCCTTCCCTTTAAATCTTTTCCTCCACAGTGTTCACTCTATTGTCATACCAACATCCAGCAGCCTATAACAGATACATAGGGGTCACCTGATCCCTACCTTATCCTCACCCCATATATCAAGTCTAAGGATTCCATGTCCTTACAGCGCTAGAATCCATAAGCTTATCTACCTCCCTACCAATTCCTTGGATAAGGAATATATCAATTTTCTTTTCTTTTTTTTTTTTTTTTGAGACGGAGTCTCCCTCTGTCACCCAGGCTGGAGTGCAGTGGCACGATCTCGGCTCACCACAATCTCCACCTCCCAAGGTTCAAGCAATTCTCCTGCCTCAGCCTCCCAAGTAGCTGGGATTACAGACATGTGCCACCACGCCTGCCCGGAATACATCAATTTTCAAGTGTATTACTTTACTGTGTGTTTTACCTATTCCAAGTCTTATACCCCACTGTACTAGAATACTCTTTTTATTATTTTTTTTGAGACGGAGTCTCGCTCTGTCGCCCAGGCTGGAGTGCAATGGTGCAATCTCAGCTCACTGCAACCTCCGCCTCCTGGGTTCAAGCAATTCTCCTGCCTCACCCTCCTGAGTAACTGGGATTACAGGCACACACCACCACGCCCAGCTAATTTTTTATTTTTAGTAGAAACGGGGTTTCACCATGTTGATCAGGCTGGTCTCAAACTCCTGACCTTGTGATCTGCCCACCTCGGCCTCCCAAAGTGCTGGAATTACAGGCGTGAGCCACCACACCCGGCCTGCCCACTGTACCAGAATAATCTTTCTAAAACTCAATTCTGATTTGTCACTCAACTAGATCTTTTATAGATGGCAGAGTGGAATGTAAAATGGTAATTTTACAAATTTCCCCAAGAAATACAAGAAATAATACTACAAGTTTTAACAGATATAAAAAGAAACTGGCCAGGCGAGGTGGCTCACGCCTGTAATCCCAGCACTTTGGGAGGCCAAGGCGGGCTGATCACGAGGTCAGGAGATCAAGACCATCCTGGCTAACACAGTGAAACCCTGATTCTACTAAAAATACCAAAAATTAGCCGGGCTTGGTGGCGGGTGCCTGTAATTTCTTGGGGAAAATTGTTTAGCATTGTCTTCTAAAGTTAAACATACATCTTCCCTACAACTCAGTAATTCCACCACTATTCATTTATCCAAAATAAATGAAAGTGTATGTCTACAAAAAGACTCACAGCCAAAACTTCATAGCGGCTGGGTGCAGTAGCTCATGCCTGTAATCCCAGCACTTTGGGAGGGCGAGGCAGGTGGATCACCTGAGGACAGGAGGAGTTCAAGACCAGCCTGCCAAAGATGGTGAAACCCTGTCTCTACTAAAAATACAAACATTAGCTAGGCATGGTGTCAGGCACCTGTAATCCCAGCTACTCGGGAGGCTGAGGCAGGAGAATCACTTGAACCTGGGAGGTGGAGGTTGTACTGAGCCGAGATTGCACCATTGCACTCCAGCCTGGGCGACAAGAGAGAAACCCCATCTTAAAAAAAAAAAAAAAAAAGGGCCAGGCATGGTGGCTCACACTTGTAATCCCAGCACTTTCAGAGCCCGAGGTGGGCAGATCACCTGAGGTCAGGAGTTCAAGACCAGCCTGACCAACATGGAGAAACCCCATCTCTACTAAAAATGCAAAATTAGCCGGATGTGGTGGCACATGCCTGTAATCCCAGCACTCGGGAGGCTGAGCCAGGAGAATCTCTTGAACCCAGGAGGCAGAGGTTGCAGTGAGCCGAGATCGTGCCATTGCACTCCAGCCTGAGCAACAGGCTGTCTCAAAAAAAAAAAAAAAAACTTCATAGCTACTTTATTCATAATAGCCAAATAGGAGATAGGACAAATAAACTGTATTATATTCATACAATGTATTAATATGCATGGATTAAAAAGAACTACTGATATGTACAAGATCACGGATGAATTTCAAAAACATTATTTTGACCAAAAGAAGCAGACACAAAAGAAAACACACTGTTATTCTACTTATGTGAAGTTCAAGAACAAGAAAAACTAATCTATGGTAAAAGATATCACAATTCCAGACTGGGCAACAGAGCAAGACCCCCAAAAATTAGCCAAGTGCGGTGGCACAAACCCTGTTGTCCCCACTACTTAGAAAGCTGAGGCAGGAAGATCGCTTGAGCCCAGGAGCTCAAGGCTGCACTGAGCTATGATCACACTACTGCACTCCAGCCTGGGAAACAGGGCAAGACCTCATCTCTGAAAATAAAACAAAAAAATCACAACAATGGGGATTAACTACAGCAACCACAATAGGAATGATTCACATAGGTGTATAACTTTATCAAAACTCATTAAATTGGTCAGGTGCAGTGGCTGACGCCTGTAATCCCAACACTTTGGGAGCCTGAGGCAGAAGGATCACTGAAGCCCAGGAATTCGAGACTAGCCTGGACAACATAACAAGACCCCATCTCTATGAGAAAAAAAAATTTTTTAATTAGCCAGGTGTGGCAGCACATACCTGTAATCCCAGCTACTCAGGAGGCTGAGGTGGGAGGATTGCTTGAGCCCAGGAGGTCAAGGTTGCAGTAAGCCATGATCACCCCACTGCACTACAGTCTGGGCAACAGAGCAAGACCCTGTCTCCAAAAAAAAAAAAACAAAAAAAAACTTACAAATTATTTCTGGAATTTTCCATTTAATATTTTCAGACTGTAATTGACCACAGTTAAGTAAAACTGCAGATAAGGGAGGACTACTGTATTCAAAGACATTACATTATTCATGACTTATCCCCAAAATTCATTTTCAATTTACTTCAAGGTCTTTTCACCATCAAATTATGCTCAGTTTTCCAAACTATCCTGATTTCTGGTATGCCTGAAGATATTACATTTTTCTTCTACCTTTCTCATGTATTTCATTCAAATATATTATATAATTAATCATTAAAGCTACACTTTTATACAGTATCTGCTAACGCTGTTCTGATAAAGTCACTAGCATAATTTATGAGCATACTGGATTCATTTCTGACATACAAAAGATTCAGGCCAAAGACAACAGCAAATAATCATTTGAGCACCAACTCAGACAAAATCCCCATCCTTCCTTCTATCTCAGTGCTTACGCTTTCCTATGAACAAACAAAAAAAGCATTATCCATAATAAAGCAAGTTTTGTTCCTATCTCTCATCAAGGTCCCTTTCAAGAACAAAGGAGCTAGCAGTTACTTAAGAGGAGTCCTGATAACAAACTTACAAGACACTAAATAGCAAAAACAACAACAAAAACCCAGATAATAGCCAGTTTAACTAACTTTAGGGAACACTTTTCAGAGAGTTTAACTGTGTGAGTTGGATGAGCACAAAGAACAATGAACAAGGCACTAAACCCACATTGGTTTTGGCCACTTAAAAGGATAAACTGCAAACAGTACAAGCAGAGAAAGCTCTCTTGAAGTAAACAGCTAAAAATGCAAAATAAACATACCAGGCTAGTAGCAATACCTAGTGAGAAATGAGATGACACTTTGCAAGCAAACTTAGGGGGTCACAATCAACAGGTTCTAACAACAATTAATCAATCTACATTCTTCCAATGAGGAAGGACTATCGTAACACCATGAGAGATAGTAAAAATTCCCCATGTCATCTGATTGATATCTTGAATTTTATATACAAACACAAAAGTAAAATACAGTCATGCACCGCATAAGAACATTTCAGTCAATGGATACCACATATAAGAGGGTAGTCCCTGCCTGAGCATAGTGGCTCACGCCTGTAATCCCAGCACTTTGGGAGACTGAGGCAGGTGGATCATTTGAGGTCAGGAGTTCAAGACCAACCTGGCCAACGTGGTGAAACTCCATCTCTAATAAAAATGTAGAAATTAGCCATGTGTAGTGGTGTGTGCCTATAATCCCAGCTACTGGGAGGCTCAGGCAGGAGAATAGTTTGAACCCAGGAGGCAGAAGTTGCAGTGAGCTGAGATAGCGCCACTGCACTCCAGCCTGCGAGACACAGCGAGACTGCATTTCAAAAAAAAAAAAAAAGAGGGTGGTCTCATGAGATTATAATATAGTACTTTTGGTGTATCTTTGCTGTTTAGATACACAAGTACCACTGTGTTACAACTGCCTACAGTATTCCATACAATAACATACTGTACAGGTTTGTAGCCTAGGAGCAAAAGGCTATACCATATAGCCTAGGTGTGTATAGTAGGCTCTATTATCTAGCTTTGTCTAAGTGTATTCTACGATGTTCATGCAACAGTGAAATTGTCTAACAACTCATTTCTCAGAACATATCCCCATTGTTAAGCAACACATGACTGACTGTTACTAACTTGTGGTAGAAAGAAAAGGCCAATGGGGATTTTGTGCAGTTGAGAAGCAGGCTTCTGTATTTTATAAAACTTGTTAAAAATTAATTTGAGGCCGGGCACGGTGGCTCACGCCTGTAATCCCAGCACTTTGGGAGGCCGAGGCAGGTGGATCACGAGGTCAGGAGATCAAGACCATCCTGGCTAACACGGTGAAACCCTGATTCTACTAAAAATATCAAAAATTAGCCAGGCGTGGTGGTGGGCGCCTGTAGTCCCAGCTACTTGGGAGGCTGAGGCAGGAGAATGGCGTGAACCCGGGAGGCGGAGGTTGCAGTGAGCCAAAATTGCGCCACTGCACTCCAGCCTGGGCGACAGAGCAAGACTCCATCTCAAAAAAAAAAAAAAAAAATTAATTTGAAGAGCAATATGTAGAGCTCGCAGGTTTTTATTTTTTGCCAAATATTAGAAGGAAAAAATCTATCTACTATCTAGAATCACAACTTCATAAGAAAAAGGGCATTTTAACACAGAAAAAGGATGGATATAATTTAAAGGTGAATAAATTGTATAAACATTGATAACATTTCTATTTCATCATGAACTTCATGGTAAAAATTCTAACTCAAAGAGCAACATTTGGGAAGCTACTGACTTAGTGTTTTAAAGAAAATAAAAATATAGAATGTCAAAGAATAACAAAGCTATTAGAGATATTTAAAATAGAGACTTTAATGGGTGGTTTTATCATTCACTTTATGTTAACTATACACTAAAATCTCCACAACTTTATTAATCTTTAGTAATAGCTCATAACTTTTTCTAGTCTAGAAGCTTTTTTCAAAATAAAAAATTCTGAGTACTACCTCTCCCCATGATTGGATTTAAGCATTACTAAATGAAATGATAACACCATCATGACTTTTTTTTTTTTTTTTGAGATGGAGTTTCACTCACTGTCACCCAAGCTGGAGTGCAGTGGTATGATCTCGACTCACTGCAGCCTCTGCCTCTCATGTTCAAGTGATTCTCCTGCCTCAGCCTACCAAGTAGCTGGGACTACAGGTGCACACCACCATAGCCAGCTAACTTTTTTTTTTTTTTTTTTGAGACAGAGTCTCGCTCGTCGCCCAGGCTGGAGTGCAGTGGCAAGATCTCAGCTCACTGCAAGCTCCGCCTCCCGGGTTCACGCCATTCTCCTGCCTCAGCCTCCCGAGTAGCTGGGACTACAGACGCCCGCCACCACGCCTGGCTAATTTTTTGTATTTTTAGTAGAGACGGGGTTTCACCATGTTAGCCAAGATGGTCTCAATCTCCTGACCTCGTGATCCACCCGCCTTGGCCTCCCAAAGTGCTGGGATTACAGGTGTGAACCACTGCACCCAGCCAATTTTTTGTATTTTTAGTAGAGATGGGGTTTCACTATGTTGGCCAGGCTGGTCTTAAACTCCTGACCTCAGGTGATCCAGCTGCCTCAGACTCCCAAAGTGCTGGGATTACAGGCGTGAGCCACCACCACGCCCGGCCCATTATGACTTTTTAATAAATTTTATTATATATTACAAATATGCAAGAACTATTATTCATGCAACATTTAATGTACACATGGATTTCCAGACCCCTTGCAGAGATCTACAGCCCAATCCATTTCTCCAGGCACTCATCTCCTCCTACCACAAGTTTCTCACATTTTAGGCTGGACAATTCCTTTAGAGAAGGTATCAAATAGCTCGTTAAACCGGATTATCTTCAAAATCACTTCCAATCTTGAGATTATAAGATCCTGGGACAACGAGTACTTCTAAAAAGAATTTTGAGACTCCTAAAGAAATGATATCTTGACCAATATTTAGGTCCTCTACCTCCTGACACTCTTTTCAGACAACTATGAAGAAATTTAAAAGGTATAACCCCATAAGGAGGAGACAACAATGGAGGACAGGTGGCAACAAGTTTCTGTATAATGGAAAGCAGACAGTGGACTTCCAAGGTGAGATGGCAGATTGAACACACACACATCTAATTTTGCTTCCTCCCAAAACGTTACTAAAACAAGGATAAAGAAAGTTGTGTTATTGTTGTTTGTTCTGTTTTTAGGACACAAGCCATTATGACAGGGAGAATGAGACAATAGCAACAAAATTTTGGAAGCTGGAAAGCAGCTGGATAACTGACCTAGTCAAAGATGCCAAAATCTTTTTTTTTTTTTTTTTGTGACGGAGT
This sequence comes from Homo sapiens, assembly GCF_000001405.40. Taxonomy (NCBI): domain Eukaryota; kingdom Metazoa; phylum Chordata; class Mammalia; order Primates; family Hominidae; genus Homo; species Homo sapiens. The sequence goes on from NC_000001.11 coordinate 92,777,937, forward strand.
GTCACTCTGTCGCCAGGCTGGAGGTGCAGTGGCGCAATCTCAGCTCACTGCTACCTCCACCTCCTGGGTTCAAGCAATCCTCCTGCCTCAGCCTCCTGAGTAGCTGGGACTACAGGCGCACGCCACCACGCACAGCTAATTTTTGTATTTTTAGTAGAGACGGGGTTTCACCATGTTGGCCAGGATGGTCTCGATCTCTTGACCTCATGATCTGCCTGCCTCAGCCTCCCAAAGGGCTGGGATTACAGGGGTGAGCCACTGCACCCCGCCAAAGATGGCCAAATTCTAAGCCAGCAATGCTGACAACTAAGAACAAACCGGTTTATGCCATAGATTCCTCAAAAGGCTCAGGAACTGCCAGAACAAAGAGTGGAAGGGGGACTAAAAGAAAGGAGCAAGTGAATGCTGAACAGTTAGAATCCCAGATTTCTTCCAAGCTGCTGAGTGGCCCCACCCTCAATGTGGCAGGTGACAGATTTCTCTTCTCAAGAGGGTAAACCATACAAGGTGGAAGACATAGGCATCCTAACAGAGACAGATTGTGTGAGCCCAATATACTAAATGTTCTTTGGCTCCTTACCCAACCCTCTTTTCCTGAGTTCCCAGATACTGACAACCAGACCTCAACTCTCCAAGCAGAAAACTGGAAGATACTCTCTGGAAAATATGACTGGGACAAAAGGAAAGATAAATACAGTGGAGACAGCCTCAAACAATCCACCCAGATCAATTATTTCAATCTTGGCTACACACTGGAATTATCTTGGCAGCTTTAAAAAATACTGGTGCTAATCTTCGGAGATAGAAATCAGAATAGTGGTCACCTCTAGGCTGGGAGTGAGACAACAGAAGAAAGGGATATGAAGGAATTTTCTAGAATTTTTTGCCATGCTCTACATCTTATATCGGTTACATGGTAAAAATCAAACTATACACTTAAATTCTGTGCATTTTACTGTATGTAGCCACACCTAATTTTTTTAACTATCCCTACCTGGGACCTAGTCTCAGAGATTCTGACGTATTAGCAGCAGGGATTTTTTTTTTTAATTCTCCATGTGATTATAATGTGCAGCCGAAGCTGAGAATCACTGCTTTAGACTCTAGAATATAGGGTAAAACAACATGTCCTTAAGTCCTACTTACAAGTTCAGGACTTCCCATCAGCTTTCAGTAGCCCACTGTTAATCATGAACAGACAACCAAGGATTACCAGTCTTCCGAGGAGGGCCTCTACTAATAAGACTATACCAAATAGGAAAAAAAGTAACTTGGAAGAAACTATGCAAGGAAAAGAAGGTCTAGGCCAGGTGCAGTGCCTCACAGCTGTAGTCCTAGCACTTTGGGAGGCCAAGGTGGACGGATCACCTGAGGTAAGGAGTTCAAGACCAGCCTGGCCAACATGGTGAAAACCCGGCTCTACTAAAAATACAAAAATTAGCTGGGCATGATGGCAGATGCCTGTAATACCAGCTACTTGGAGGGCCGAGACGGGGAATCGCTTGTACCCGGAAGATGGTGGCTGCAGTGAGCCGAGATCACGCCACTGCACTCTAGCCTGGGTGGCTGAGACTCCGTCTCAAAAAAAAAAAAAGAAAGGCTTAAGAAAACGATTTTTAACATTCTCAGAGAGATAAGAACAGATATGGCACCCATGAAACAAGAAGAGATGGAGAAATAAGTGACTGAGTAGAGGAGGCTGAACCTACTGGCCTGCAAAAGGGAATACAATCAAGAAACAAGCTGAGGAGTCTCTCTGAGCCTATTCTGGCTCAGAAGAAGGCTGCCAGATAAAGTGATATAAAAATTTTTTTAATTTAAAAAATAAAAAGAAGCAAGCTGATTTGGCTAACTCACAGAATCACAGAAAGGCTCAGAATCTAGGAGCCTAGGAGTTCCCAGGTATAGGGTCAGTGGAGAGGCATGGGGCTAAAGAGAAAGTAAATGGTTTAAAGTTTATGTAAGGTACAGTTGGACTCTAGTCTAGGTTCCCTCCTCTGCCACCATTCCTATCTCATAAATTTATTTTCTAGAAACTCTGACCTGGTGATACGATTTGGCTCTGTGTCCCCACCCAAATCTCACCTTAAATTGTTAATAATCCCCACATGTCAAGGGCAGGACCAGGTGGAGATAAATGAATCAAAGGGGCAATTTCCCCCACCCTGTTATTGTGATAGTGAGTGAGTTCTCACGAGATCTGATGGTTTTACAGGGGGCTTCACCCTTTGCTGGGCATTCATTCGCTCTCCTGTTCCCCTGTGAAGAGGTGCTTTCCACCATGGTTGTAAGTTTCCTGATGCCTCCCCAGCCATATGGCACTGTAAGTCAATTACACCTCTTTTCTTTATAAATTACCCCGTCTTGGGTATTCTTCATAGCAGCATGAGAACAGACTAATACACCTGTGAGACTCCAGACTCAAGAAAAGTAAAGTAAGGCTCAAGGCTGAAAGCCAAGGGGTTAAACAGAAGTGTGTTTGATGAAAAGCAGCCCCTGCCCACAGCCCACTTTCTTTGCCCACCTCTCAAAGTTGGAGAGCTTATATTACCACATATCAAAGCTTATTATAAAGTTACATTAATACAGTGATATTAGTGCAAGGATGACAAATATACAAATAGAACAAAGTATCCAGAAACAGACCCACACTAATTTCATAAATTAGCTGACCATACTGTTATCTAATTTATGAAAAAAAGTGCCACACAGTGCAGATGGACAAGGATGGTATTTGCAATAAATGGTGCTGGATCAAACAGACGTCTATATAGAAAAAAGTGAATCTTGGCCCGGTGCAGTGGGTCATGCCTAAATCCCAGCACTTTGGGAGGTCAAAGCAGGTGGAGATCATGTTACTGCACTCCAGCCTGGGTGATACAGTGAGACCTTGTCTCAAAGAAAAAAAAAAGTAAATTTTTTTTTTTTTTTTTGAGACCGAGTCTCACTCTGTCGCCCAGGCTAGAGTGCAATGGCACAATCTCGGCTCACTGCAACCTCTGCCTCCTAGGTTCAAGCGATTCTCCTGCCTCAGCCTCCTGAGTAGCTGGGATTACAGGCACCCGCCACCACGCCCAGCTAATTTTTGTATTTTTAGTAGAGACAGGGTTTCGCCATGTTGGCTAGGCTGGTCTCAAACTCCTGACCTCATGATCCGCTCGCCTCGGCCTCCCAAAGTGCTGGGATTTCAGGCATGAGCCACCACGCCCGGCCTAAAAAGTGAATCTTGACCCCTGCGATTCATCAAGAATTTACTCTAAATTATATACCTTAAATGCAAAAAGTAGGGGATGGGTACAGTGGCTCACACCTGTAATCCCAGCACTTTGGGAAGCCGAAGAGGGCAGATTGCTTGAGCCCAAGAGTTTGAGACCAGCCTGGGTAATATGTTGAAACCCTGACTCTACAAAACATACAAAAATTAGCCAGGCATGGTGGCATATGCCTGTAGTCGTAGTCACAGCTACTCAGGAGGCTGAGGTGGGAGGAATGCTTGAGCACAGGAGGCGGAGGTTGCAGTGTTCTGAGACTGCACCACTGCACTTCAGACCCTGTCTGAAAAAAAAAAAAATTTTTTTTGCAAAAAGTAAAATAAAATTGCTATAAGACAACACAGAAAAATATGTTCATATTCTCAGGTTAGGCATTGATTTCTTAAATAGGACACAAAAAGCAGTAACCATAAAGGACAAGATTGATAAAGTATACTTCATTAAAATTAAGAATCTCAGGCTGGGTGCAGTGGTTCATGCCTGTAATCACAACACTTTGGGAGGCTGAGGCTGGTGTAGGTGTATGACTTGAGCCCAGGAGTTCGAGACCAGCCTATGCAACATGGCAAAACCCCATTTCCACTAAAGATACAAAAATTAGCTGGGCATGGTGGTGCTCATCTGTAGTTCCAGCTACTTGGGGGTTAAGGCAGGAGGAATACCTGAGTCTTGGGAGATCAAGATTGCAGTGAGCCGTGATCGTGCCACTGCACTCCAACCTGGGCAACAGAGTGAGATTCTGTCTCAAAAAAAAAAAAAAAAAAAAAAAAGGCCAGGCACGGTGGCTCACACCTGTAATCCCAGCACTTTAGGAGGCCGAGGTGGATGGATCATGAGGTCAAGAAATCAAGACCACCCTGGCCAACATGGTGAAGCCCTGTCTCTACTAAAAATACAAAAATTAGCCGGGCATGGTGGCACACACCTATAGTCCCAGCTACTCAGTAGGCTGAGGCAGGAGAATTGCTTGAACCCGGGAGGCGAGGGTGCAGTGAGCCGAGATCGCGCCACTGCACTCTAGCCTGGCAACAGAGTGAGACTCCATCTTACAAAACAAACAAACAAAAAACACACACACACACAAATTAAGAATCTCCAGGCATGAAAAAAAACACCATTAAAAGACTGAAAAGGCAAAATACAGACTGAAAAAAATAAAAATGCAATACATATATATCCTAGAAAGGACTCATATCCAGAATAAAGCATTATAAATGAGAGAAAAATAAGCATATCAACGAAAACTGGGCAAAAAGACTTAACAGGCACTTCACAAGAGGAAATATAAATGGTCAACAAAAGATACTCAACCTCAGTACCAGGAAAATGCAAAATGAAACCACACTGATATATTACTGTACCTCTACTAGACTAGCAAAAAAAATTTCAACTGACAAGCACCAGCAAGGATGTGGGGTAACCGGAACATTCCCTGCTAATTGGTAGAACCACTTTGGGAAAATGTTCAACAATTTCTAATACTAGAGTTTTATCACCCACGTACCTATAAAACCAACAATGCCACTCCTACGTACATACTCCAATCTAGTAATGTCCTATTTCTTGATCTTTGGTGGTTCACTTAGTAAAAATTCATTACCTGCGATGTTTTTTGTTTTTGTTTTTTTTGAAAGACGGTCTCACTCTGCCGCTCAGGCTGGAGTGCAGTGGCATGATCAAGGCTCACTGCAACTTCGACCTCCCCGGCTTTGGTGATCCTCCCACCTCAGCCTCCTGGGTAGCTCGGACTACCAGCGCACACAACCACACCCAGCTAATTTTTGTATTTTTAGTAGAAAATGGGGTTTTGCCACGTTGCCCTGGCTGGTCTCAAACTCCTGGGCTCAAGTGATCCACCTGCCTCTGCCTCCCAAAATGCTAGGATCACATGCGTGAGCCACCGCACCCAGACCACCTGCACATTTAGAATTGTGAACTTTTTCTCTATACTTCAATAACTTAGTTCTAAGATTTATTTGACACAAAGTTCTCGGAAATCGTAGTTATCATTTTAGAACAGAAAAAAGACCACCTGGGCCAGGTGCGCTGGCTCACGCCTGTAATCCCAGCACTTTCGAAGGCCGAGGCGGGCAGATCATTTGAGGTCAGGAGTTCGAGACCAGCCTGACCAACACGGTGAAACCCCGTTTCTACTAAAAATACAAAAAAAAAAAAATTAGCCGGGCGTGGTGATGTACGCCTGTAATCCCAGCTACTCGGGAGGCTGAGGCAGGAGAATATATCCAGCCTAGGCAACAGAGTGAGACTCAGCCTTAAAAAAAAAAAAAAAAAAAAAAAAGAAAAGAAAAGAAAAGAAAAAGAAGGCCGGGCACGGTGGCTCACGCCTGTAACCCCAACACTTTGGGAGGCTGAGGCGGGTGGAACACGAGGTCAAGAGATCAAGACCATCGTGGCCAACATGGTGAAACCTCATCTCTACTAAAAATACAAAAATTAGCTGGGAGTGGTGGCGCGCGCCTGTAGTCCCAGCTACTCGCGGGGCTGAGGCAGGAGAATTGCTTAAACGCAGGAGGTGGAGGTTGCAGTGAACCAACGTCGCCACTGCACTCCAGTCTGGCGACAGAGCGAGACTCCCTGTCAAAAAAAAAAAAAAAAAAGAAAAGAAAAGAAAAAGAAAAAGAGCTTCTGGTACACTGGTGAAATTCTACTAACAAAATTTTAAAACAAAAAAAGTTACTTACATCAGCTCAGAACAAAGATTAAAAACTACCAGCAGATCACTTTTCTTTAACTTCAGTAAGCACTGGAATTCATTCTTTCGGCAAAGAAAGGAGTTTATTATTCAACACTGTAACCCAAAGAAAAGATACCACTTCAAGAAAATACTTCTTTTCGAAAGCAGCTCTACCAGCAATAGATAGGAGGAAAGCGAGGAAACCATTCCAAAAGGCTTGGTTTAACTCTTGGGTGAAAGGATGCCAAATGAGATGATCTAAGAAGCCCCAAAGACAGACAGACAGACAGACACAGGGAAATCACAGCAACTCTTTTGAGTGGAAACACCAACACCACAATCCAACCTACCGGAAATCCTGAGGTTAATTTGAGGCTTGCCCCACTAGTCATAAGGTGATTCAGGAATGGCTACAAACTCTTCTCAAGTTCATTCTGGACCTGGCACATCTGTCTTGCCCATCAGCAGCCTGGAGACACGCCATGCGCAGAATCCCGGAGGCCAAGTAAAGACGCCAACTTTGCAAGTCAGGGGGGCGAGTGCTCTCGCCCCTCAGGTCCCCAAAGGGAACCGACTTCTGGCCTCGAGGGTGGGGTGCAGGGTCAGTGTCCTCCACGGGATTTACGAGGACGTGCCCCCGAAGCTGCTCCGTCCCTCCACCGCCCTGGGACGCCACAGTTAGACCCGCCGACGAGTTTCTTCCCCAGCGCCCACGAGAAGGAGGGCTGCGGGCGGCGGCGGCGGCGACAGGCGAGGAAGCGAGTGCAGGGAACTTAGGCCCTGGCGGGGCCAGGCGCGCCCGCCCCGCTCCCACAGCAAAACTTGCGGCGGCCCCCGCCCGCCGCGCCTCGGCCCAGCTGTGCGCCAGCGGAACACGGACTCACCGCCCGCCCGGCCTCCCGGCCCGCCCGGCCTGGCGCAGCGCCCCTCACCTTGGAAACGTTGAGTAGACTTCGCCGTAAACATTAACTTCCCATCCAGCCGGCAGCCGCGCCGCCGCGTCTCAGCGCCTCGGCCCCGCTCCTGGCTCCACGGGTCGCCCGTCCCGAGTTCCCAAAAGCACCACGCTCACTCAGAAGCTCAGGGCCGCCTCGCGACCCTCACCTACCCCTCCCGGCACCGCCGCTGTCGGAACTGCAGCCAGCCCCTTGCCAGCTGGCCAGCTGGTTCCTCCGGGGTCCGGCCCGGCCGCGTCAGGAGAGCCCAAGGCGCAGGCGCGGGAGGGCCTTAAAGAGACCCGGCAGCCTCTACCGCAGAATGGGTTGGAGCAGGTTAGGGGCCGGGCGGGCCGGCCGAGAAAAGGAGAAGGCGAAGGGATTGGACGGAGTGCAGAGGAGGCGGGGAAATCGCTCTCGCCCTCCGCCTCTCTTTCAAAGCACCAGCCTTCAGTCCTGCAAGTCGCCGACTTCCCCGGCCACTGGAACCGCCCCTTCCATGTTAAAACGGTAGAAGACACACCCCCTCGGGGGCCCGAAGCGACCCCGAGCTTAGGACTGCAGGCCTCGCGCTGCCGCACCGACGCGGAGCCTGACTTTCAGGGCCCTGGCACGCGGTGCTGACGCGCATGCTTCGGAAGGCAGCCCCGAGCTCCCCCAGAGGTGGCCTTAGGGCACTCGCAAAAACAATAATCAACGCGTAAATGACACTTGTAATTGTAATGTACTCTTACACGTGTCTTCGCATTGGGTTTATGCAGACTACTGCAGGGGGCAGAACATGGGCACGAATACGTAAGATTCAGCCGGGCAGCCCTCCAGCGTCAACGAAGACATTCTTAGAAGGAAAGTACTTTGTTTGGGACGGAAACAGCCTATTAATTTCTGGTCCAGGAAAAGCAGGCAAGAAAAAGTAAAAAGGCAATACAGATTACTTTCATTATATGTTTAGAAGTGACAGCCGGGCGCGGTGGCTCACACCTGTAATCCCAACACTTTGGGAGGCCGAGGCGGGCGGATTGCCTGAGGTCAGGAGTTGGAGACCAATCTGGCCAACATGGTGAAACCCCGTCTCTACTAAAAATACAAAAAAAAAAAATAGCCCGGCGTCGTGGCGTGCGCCTGTACTCCCAGCCAAGCTACTCTGGAGGCTGAGGCAGGGGAATTGCTTGAACCACGGAGGTGGAGGTTGCAGTGAGCCAAGATCGCGCCACTGCACTCCAGCCTGGGCGACAGAACGATACTCTGTCTCAAAAAAAAAAAGGGACAAAAATTATAATAATTAGCAGCACAAGAAACTCCGGAATTATTTGTCTAGAAATTAGTATCCCTATTTTTAAATTTAAATTTATAAGACAGAATTCGCAGATGGGTTTCCACTGAACTAAGCATTTCAGAAAAAAAAAAAAAAAAAAACCTTACTTTTTTTTCAACAAGATTAGGAAATACCAAGAAATAGGAAGTAAAGCCATGCCCTCCACCCAGCTAAAAACTTTGAAAACTTGAACTTTTATCTGAGGCATATGTTTGCATAACTTTAGGTTGTGCCATTATTTAAAGAAATTTCAATTAACAATTTTATTGCAACTCAATCCTTGTATAAGAAAACTAAGCTACATCCTTGATAATGTACCTCTCCCCTCTTATATTCCATCCGTCAGCAAATTCTATTGGTTTTTCCCTTACAAATGGTCCTTGAATCTGTCCTCTCCTATTTCCTCCATCACCACCCTAGTCTAGGCTACCTTCACCTGGGGAGTGGGGGTGGAGGGATTACTGACCTAGTCTTCTTGTGGTTTACCCATATTCCCTTTATCCCCTCTCTAATCTCAACACAACAGGCAGAGTGACTTTTTCAAAATAACAGTGTGACCCTGTCACTTCCCAGCCTAAACCACTTAAACACTTTCCCATTCTCTTAGAAAAAACCCTCCTAACTAACCAAGCCCTGAATGGCCAGGTGCCTTGCCCACCTCTCCACCTCTTCTCACTGCTCAGACCAATTCCACCCTGCTGTCTGTGCTCCAGCCACGCTAGCCTCTTTTATTCCCTATTTACCGGCTTCCTGGCCTCAACAGAGCTTTTACTCATGCTTTGCTCTGTGCCCAGAAAGTTCTCCCAGTCCTCATCCTTTGACAACGGCTCTAGTATCCACCTCTGAGAAGCATCTTCTGACCTCCCTATGGTGGTCTCTTACTCCTTTCACATCGCATGAAACTGTAATTGGGTAGTTATATTGGTGAATTTTTTACTATTAGCTCCTTAAGTCCAGGATTTGATTTTGTTTGTTTCATGGTTGTATTTTCATATTTGTTAAATATATATTTGTTCAGTAAATGAAAATTATAGATGCTAAAACTTAAACTAAATTTGGCATAAAGTCAGAGAAAGGTAAAATGTCACCATCTGACATTTGGAATCAGAATCTAAAAACTTCAGTTATGTTAAAACTGATTTTATATCATTTTAGCTGGGTTGTCACAAGATTCTTTGGGTAACCTTTAAAACAGTTCTCAAAGAGCCTTTTGTAAGCACCTGAATTAATAATGATAAGACATGGGATGGCCCACATAAAACTAATAACATTGATTGCTTCAAGAGAGGAAGACTGAGCCAAGCACGGTGGCTCACGCCTATAATCTAAACACTTTGGAAGGCTGAGGCCGGCGGATCATTTAAGATCAGGAGTTTAAGACTAGCCTGAGCAATATGGCAAAACCCTATCTTTACAAAAAAAAAATACAAAAAAAAATTTAGACAGGTGTGGTGGTAGGCACCTGTAGTCCTGCTACTTGGGAGCCTGAGGCAGGAGGATTGCTTGAGCCTGGAAGGGTGAGGCCGAAGTGAGCCATGATCGTGCCACTGCACTCCAGCCTGGGCGACAGAGAAAGATCTTGTCTCAAAAAAAAAAAAAAGAGAGAGAAAGAGAGAGGAAGACTGGGTGACTGGTGGGTACCAGTGGGAAGGAGATTTTTACTGCATGCCCAAAAGGTTTAAAATTGTACCTTTTTTATCTTAAAGTATGTGAATTATCTATGTGAAGATAAATGACACAAAGTATGTGAATTATCTATGTGAAGATAAATAAATGACACAAAAGAGTGTCATACTGTTCCATTTATTTGAAATTCTAGAAAAGAAAATTAATCTGTGGTGAAAAAAAATCATAACAGTGGTTCCCTGTGGCAGGGGATTGACTGGGATGGTACATGAGTGAAATTTCTGGGTGGTAAAAATGGTCTCTATCTTGATAGGGATGTGAGTTACATAGGTATATTCACTTATCAAAAAATATGCAGGTAACATTTCAGTGAATGTAAATTTTACCTTAAAAACTATAAAAAATAGTGGCCGGGCGTAGTGGCTCACACCTGTAATCCTAGCACTTTGGGAGGCCAAGGTGGGTGGATTGCCCGAGCGGAAGAGTTCAAGACCAGCCTGGACAACACAGTGAAACCCCATCTCTACTGAAATACAAAAAAAAAATTAGCCGGGCATGGTGGCGTGTGCCTGTAATCTCAGCTACTCGGGAGACTGAGACAGGAGAATCACTTGAACCCGGGGGGCGGAGGTTGCAGTGAGCCGAGATTGCACCATTGCACTCCAGCCTAGGTGACAGAGTGAGAGACTCCATCTCAAAAACAAAACAAAACAAAACAAAACAAAAAAAAAACTAGGCAGGACATGATGGCTCATGCCTGTAATCCCAGCACTTTGGGAGGCCGAGGTGGTGGATCACAAGGTCGGGAGTTCAAGACCAACCTGGCCAACATGGTGAAACCCCATCTCTACTAAAAATACAGAAATTAGCTGGGCGTGGTGGTGTGTGCCTGTAGTCCCAGCTGCTCGGGAGGCTGAGGCAGGAGAACTGCTTGAACCCAAGAGGTGGAGCTTGCAGTGAGCCGAGATCGCGCCACTGCTCTCCAGCCTGGGCAACAGAGCAAGACTCTGTCTCAACAGCAACAACAACAACAAAAAAAACCCCATAAAAATTAAATAAAATTTTAAAATCTAATAGCTAACACCTGGTTGAGCACTCAACATGTATGGGTATTGGCTAAGGCTGTATACATACACTATTTCGTTTAATCCTCATATTGTCCTCATGGGGTAGGTATTATTATCATAACCCCCTTGCATATGAAGAAGCTGAAATTTAATAAATACCAAATAACTTACCTCAATTTATACCCCTGGAAAGTGGTGGCAGAGTTTTTAACACAGTCAGTTGAATGCCAGAAGTGGTTAAACATTAGGCCCTGTAGCACTTCTCTGAAATTGTAATATTTTGGTTTATATACATTACTCATCTACTAGATCGAGAGCTTCACAATGATTGAAATCCTGTTTTGTCTTTTTGTTTGTTTGAGGTTTGTGGTTTCATTTTATTTTATTAATTTAAAAGACTGGGTCTCACTATGTTGCTCAGGCTGGACTTGGACTCCTGAATTCAAGCCATCCTCCTGCCTCAGCTTCTTCTTCTTTTTTTTTTCTCGCTCCGTCGCCCAGGCTGGAGTGCAGTGGCAAGATCTTGACTCACTGCAAGCTCTGCCTCCTGGGTTCACGCCATTCTCCTGCCTCAGCCTCCCGAGCAGCTGGGACTACAGGCGCCTGCCACCACACCTGGCTAATTTTTTGTATTTTTAGTAGAAACGGGGTTTCACCATGTTAGCCAGGACGGTCTCAATCTCCTGACCTTGTGATCCGCCCACCTCAGCCTCCCAAAGTGCTGAGATTACAGGCATGAACCACCGCGCCTGGCCTTCAGATAGTTTTATTTGCGGTAAATTCAGTGAGCAATTCAAAGTTTTCTATGTTCTGATACTGTACAGCCTTAGCATTGATTTGGGTCACTGTCTGGGAGGGGAACCCCTCTAAACTTGGCAAGGGTTAAACCCTGGAACACCGTGCTCTAAACTGCCAAAGGTGTTTAAGTCAGTCATGTTAGCTCCATTGTTCACAGAAAGGAAATGCAAGGGAGACAGTCCTCTGAAAGGCAAAAAACAACCCAAGGTACAAAGAAGGAACTCACCAGAGAAGTCAAACCCACTGTGAACAATATTCCTCCCTCACCCTGGGAGCTTTTTAGAGAACTAGACCATCTCAGTTACATTCTAGGTTTGCACTGTCCAATACAGCAACCACTAGAGATACTAGCAACATGTGACTATTTACATTTAAACTTAAATTAAGCCAGGCATGGTGGCTCATGCCTGTAATCCCAGCACTTTGGGAGGCCAAGACAGGAGGATCACTTGAGGCCAAGAGTTTGAGGCCAGCCTGAGCAACATAGTCAGACCCTATCTGTACAAAAATAAAAATAAAAAAATTAGCTAGGTATGTTGGCACAACTGTAGCTATTCTGGAGACTGAAGTGGGAGGGTCACTTGAGCCCAAGAGGTGGAGGTTGCAGTGAGTTAAGATCACACCCCTGCACTCCAGCCTGTGTGCCAGAGTGGGGCCCTGTCTCAAAAATAAATAAACTTAAAAGTTCAGTTTCATAGTCACACTCACATAGTTCAAGTGCTCAATAATAGCACATGTGGCTAGTGGCTACTGTCTGACAGCACAAATATAGAACATTTCCACTCATCAGAAAGTCCTATTGGTAGCACTATTAAAGAAAAAGGAGACATAACACTCCATTTCAACTCCTACTAATGTTCAAAACTGGTTTTTTTTTTTGGTTTTTTTTTTTAAATGAAGGCTCACAATGAAATAGTGACAGCTATTCATTACTAGGCTCATTACTTTCTACAATATGAATCTGAAAGGTACTCAAATAAAAAGCTATGGCCTCCATGCACTGGAGTTATAAGAATAGCTTTAACTTAGCAGGGCATGGTGGCGTGCACCTGTAGTCCCAGCAACTAGGGAGGCTAAGGTGGGAAGATCACTTGAGCCCAGGAGGTGGAGGTTGCAGTGAGCTGACATCACGCCAATGCACTGCACTGCACCCTGGGCAACAGAGCAAGATCCTGTCTCAAAAAAAAAAAAAAGGAAAGAATAGCTTTAACCTCACCACTTTACCACTTTACCTCCACCGTATGCATTCTTTAGAAGACTCTGACATCATCTTAGGAAAGAACATTATTAAGAGACACACAATTCTGTTTATCTCTTGATACTTGTGCACAGGTGGAGACTAGATCTGCCATGACTATGGGAAAGAACAAGCTCTCTGGATCTACAGCTCAGACATCATTTCTATATGTGATACTACACATTAACACTGTCAGCCCAAAAAACTTTCGAAATTGAGTCACCAGAATGGGACATCAATAGTGTGCCAGTTTCTAGCCTACCCACCAAAAGGAGAAATTCATTCATTTCTTGACTTTGCAAAATACTTGTTTTAAAGCAAGAGAAAATTTGGTGGAACTAGAGGTAGTAACTCCACTTAAACTATCCAATTATCTAGGAACTAGTAACTTCTACATTCATGCAAGTGACTAGACTGTGACCTAAAATTTCAAGTGTTCTTGCCAAAAACGTGATCAACCCCTTTGAGCTCTTCAAGCTCCAATCTTCTCATTCATAAACTGGAGATAATAATATCTACTTAAGCACTGAAGTGACAGTTAAGTGGAATAATATATGCCATGTGTATAACAAATATTCAAAAATAATAGCTATTGTAATTGCTATTTTCCAAAGCCACAAAACACCAATGTGCAAAAACAAAAAGACAAATAAAAAAGACTGAATTAGAAGAATCCTGATTTTGACACCTGCTAATAGTCTGGCTTTTAACCTCTGTAAGCTTCAGTCTCTTCATCAAGCAAATAAAAATAAGAGTCCCAATCATAGATGCGACGTGAGATGTGTTTTGATTTCGTGTGAAATTGTCTAATTAAAGCCAGGTACAAACATTAGCTAATGTTAATTAGCAGTTTCTCCCACCTCCACCAAAAAAAAAAAAAGGATGAGGTGAGGAAACTATTTTAGGAACATGATACTTTACAGAAAAATTTATGTAGCTTTTATTATGAACTGTGTTCCCAAACACGACGGGAGGCAACACTTCTGAAATCATTGAGAGGCCATGCAACCATCAACACTGTCACCAAATAGAGTTTGTGAACAAATGCTATGGTAACCAGTCATTTTCTTCTTCTCCATATGAGAAATGTGAAGCCCATACAGACATGCTAGGTCTCCTCTGTGAATGTGTATATTCAAAGAAACGTAAACAGCAGCCAATTACAGCTAGGAGAGAATTGCGGCAAGTGTTGAATTACAAAAAGCCAATTACTAAAATACCTTTCTTGCAGGTATGGAATTAAACCTAACACTTCATAAATTTTGTTCATCACTCGAATGGCTGCAGTACAATGAGATAACAGTCTTAAAATAAAACTGAAGAAATGTTAACAAGCTGTTCCTGTGTTTTGAAGATTAAGCGAAATATACAAATCCTAACTCAATAACAAATTACTTTCTGTTACAGCAATTACATTTTTATAAGTTTTAATATAAAATCAAACATCGTTTTACACATTTACCTGTTTCCCACTAGGGTTTCTAAAGGCAGCAGTCATTTTGTTGGTAACCATGATAAGCAGAGAAGACAGAGAGACTGGGGATTTGAATTGAATTTATAGCTGACTCATAGGCAGTGTTAACAAAGACATTGCCACTGGGATCCACCCATTTAACACCCTTTCAGTTCCACCTTATACACTTGTTAGGTAGTAGGGAGCTGGGAATGTGGAGGATTAGGAATGCTGAAACCAAAGCCTTTTTGTCTTAGGTATGCTAATTGATTTTGGTTTTTCATTCCTTCTTTCCTTCTTTTCTCCCCTTCCTCCCTCCCTTCCTTCCTTCCTTCCCTCTTCCATCTTCCTTCTTCTGTCCCTCCTTCCTTCCTTCTATGACTTATCTCAGAATGACGTTACAATTGTTATTGTGTTTGAGTGCCGACGCTGAGGCATTGGCTAGAAACTTCTATAATTAGGTGTTTTCTGACACTAGACAAAATTATTAATTTGGTAGAACTTTCCTCTTTGTCTTTTTTTTTTTTTTTCTCATTCTTTACCTGAGGTTTTGGAATTCTGCAGGCTATGTTGTGTTCTATTAATGGATATTGCAGTTTGTTACTCAGAGGCTATTGAGAGTTTACTATGCAGTACAGAAGCAAGTGATATAGCTTGTGAGAGGTACCTAAATAGAGAGAAAGCCACTTCTCCAATTCTTTTCTAGGAGATCTGATATATTGGTTTTAAAGGATTACCTCTCTCATGATGGCTCCCATTTTGTTTCATTTTTTAAAGACAGGGTCTCGCTATGTTTCTCAGGCTGGCCTTGAACTCCTAGGCTCCAGTGACCCTCCTGCCTCAGCCTCCTGAATGGCTGGGACTGTAGGTGAACACCCCCAAGTTGCTGATGGCTTATGCTTTTAAAGCACTTACCATAGCTGGGCACTGTGGAAGCGCTTTTCATCTATCATCTCACTTAATCTTTATCATAATCCTATTGTTATCCCCATTTACAAGTGAATCCCCAAGCCAGTCGCCAAGAATGCTGAATTTATTTACTCCTTCATTTATTCACAAATATATTAAAATTATTCAACTATGTCAGCTACTTTCCTAAGAGGAAGGACAGTAACTAACATTTTCAGCTCCTACAGCATGTCAGAAATAATGTTATGTGCTTCCACATGACACAACTATTATTTGGCCCATTTAAAAGACAGGGAAGCTATGCCTGGTCCAAAGTCACATTGTTAGTAGAAGGAAAAAGCAAAAATGCAACCATGAGTCTCTCTTGACTACAAAACCTATATCATTTGGAGCTACAAAAATGTGGTACCTGTGTTCACATTCTAGTGTAAGAATGTGTAGTCTAGTATAGAAGACAAACATATGAACAAGTAAATGAACAATAACATTATATGTTCTGTTGTACCAAGATATAATGGTGGGAACATAGAGAAAGGGGAGTACCTAGCATGGCTGAGTTGTACTATTTTTATTGTCAATACCCCCTTCCATCTTTTTCCATTAACAGGTATAGATGCCTGACTCAAACAAAGCCAGTCACATTACCTTAACTCCCTGATCATACTGATTGATTCAAGGGGTTATGCCTGGGAGAATCCTGCCCTGGGGTTTTTCAAACCAGAGCTGGAAAAGTAAAAGCCCTGTGCCCTCTCATTATAAAGCTCTAAGGATGAAACTCTAAGGAGATCCTGGCTATACTCAGAGAAGCTAAATGAGATGGAGAATATCCTGAGGATATTAAAATCCCCGGTTCCAGTAATCCTGCCTTTCCTAAGCCTTTGCTGTTCTAATCTTTCTTTAATGCTGTGACCACCCCCATAACCTTCAAAGGAAGGAGAGAAGGAGGAAGGGAAAAAGGAAAGAAGGAAGGACTCATGTACTTATCAAACTTTTTTTTAACATATTGTACCAGGCATTGTTCTAGGCACTGGAAATATGTACAGGTGGTAGCCATTCTGATTTGACCCTGAGTGATCCTTGCTTTTGACCCCCAGTGATCCTCTTTGCCTGGTATTCATTTATGTATCCATGTGTAATCCCTCCTACATCGAATAAGGCTTGTCTGTGTGACCAATAAAATATGGCAAAAGTGACCAATTATGGCTGGGTGTAGTGGCTCATGCCTGTAATCCCAGGACTTTGGGAGGCCAAGGCAGGTGGATCACCTGAGGTCAGGAGTTCCAGACCAGCCTGACCAATATGGTGAAACCCCATCTCTACTAAAAACACAAAAATCAGCCGGGCATAGTGGTGTGCCCCTGTAGTTCCAGCTACTAGGGAGGATGAGACAGGATAATTGCTTGCACCTGGGAGGTGGAGCTTGCAGTGAACCGAGGTCACGCCACTGAACTCCAGCCTGGGCGACAGAGCGAGACTCTGTCTCAAGAAAAAAAAAAAAAAGTGACCAATTATAACCTTTGAGACTAGGTTATTGCACTTTTTGCCTTGTTTTCTTAAATTGCATGCTTTAGGGGAAGCCAGCCACCATGTGTGAACAGCTCTGTGAAGGAAAAGAACTAAGGCCTCCCATCAACATTCAGGACCAACTTGACAGCCATGCCAATGAGCCACCTCAAAAGCAAATCTTTCAGCCCCAGTCAAGCCTTCAGATTACTTCAGTACCAGCTCACATCAGACTGAATCTCATGAAAAACCAAAAGTCAGAACCAGTCAGCAAGCTGCTGCTAAATTCCTATTACATAGAAACTGTGAATGCACCATTGCATTCTAGCCTAGGCAACAGAGTGAGACCCTGTCTCAAATTTAAAAAGGGTAGGGGGTAGCAAAGAACTTGAACATTTCTCCAAAGAAGATATGCAATGAGCACGTGAAAAGATGCACCGCGTTATTAGTGATTAGGGACAAGCAAATCAAAACCAAATGATACACCACTTCACACTTACTAGAACGCTGTTATGAAAAAAGCAGAAAATTACAAATGTTGGTGAGATGTGGAGAAATGTAAACCCTTGTGCATTGCTGGTGGGAATGTAAACTGATACAGCCACTGTGGAAAACAGTTTGGCAGTTCCTCAAGTTAAAAATAGAATTACCATATGATTCAGTAATTCCACTCCAAGCTGAAAGAATTTAAAACAGGAGCTCAAATAGATACTTCTTCACCAATATTCATAGCAGCACTATTTACAATAGCCAAAAGGGGGAAACAATCCAAATGTCTATCAAAAAATAAATGGATAAAGAAAAAGTGACACACTGAGGTCAGGAGTTCGAGACCAGCCTGGCCAACACAGTGAAACCCTGTCTCTACTAAAAATACAAAAAAATTAGCCAGGCGTGGTGGCAGGCACCTGTAATCCCAGCTACTCAAGAGGCTGAGGCAGGAGAATCGCTTAAACCCTGGAGGCGGAGATTGCAGTAAGCCAAGATCGCACCACTGCACTCCTGCCTGGGTGACAAAGCTAGACTCAGTCTCAAAAGAAAAAAAAAAGAAAATGTGATACAATTAAATATATTATTCAGGCATACAGAGGAATGAAGTTCTGCTACATGCTATAACATGAATGAGCCTTGAAAACATTATGGTAAGTGAAATAAATCCATCGTGAAAGGACAAATATTATATTCTTCCACTTATATGAGGTATCTAGAGTAGTCAAATTCATAAAGAGAGAAAGTAAAATGGTGATTACTAAGGTCTGGGGGAACAGGGAATGAGGAGTTAGTGCTTAATGGACAGTTTCTGGTGGGGCAATAAAAGAGTTTTGCAACTAAGTAGTGATGGTGGTTATCAATACTGTAAATATACTTAATGCCACCGAATTATACACCTAAATATGGTTAAATCAGCAAACTTCAGGTTATGTATATTTTTCCACAAAATATACATTAAAAATATATCTATGAACAAAATATACATGAAAAAAGAAAATGATACCTTCTGGGAATTTAGATCATCTTGGAAAAGAAAAATAAAATAGAAAAATAATCTTGATTTGACTTAGTCGAAAAAATAAGTTGAACACATTAATAAATACATATATAATATATATGATATGAGATGGTATGAGTGAAGGAGAAAGGGAGTATGAAGAAAGGTTATTACAAATTTATTTTATTTTATTGAGACAGGATCTGACTGTGTTGCCCAAGGTGGAATGAGATCAGAGCTCACTGCAGCCTCAACCTCCTGGATTCAAGCAATCCTCCCATCTCAGCCCCCAAGTATCTGAGACTACAGGCACATGCTACCATGCCCAGCTAACTTTTATTTTTCATTTGTTTGGGTTTTTTTATTTTTTGGGTTTTTGTTGTTGTTGTTGTTTGTTTGTTTGGTAGAGACAGGGTTTCACCATGTTGCCCAGGCTGGTCTAGAACTCCTGAGCTCAAGTGATCCAACTGCCTCAGCCTCCCAAAGTGCTGAGATTACAAGCATGAGCCACTGTACCTGGTGGTTATTATAATTTTAAACAGGACAGTCAGGGAAGACCTCACAAAGTAGGTGGTGGGGGCTGGGCACAGTGGCTCACGCCTGCAATCCCAGCACTTTGGGAGGCCAAGGCAGGTGGATCGCTTGAGCTCATGATGTTCAAGACCAGCCTGGGCAAGTTGGCAAAACCTAGTCTCTACAAAAAATACAAAAATTAGCTGGGTGTGGTGGTGCATGCCTGTAATCCCAACTACTTGGGAGGCTGAGATGGGAGGATGGCTTGAGCTTGGGAGGCGGAGGTTACAGTGAGCTGAGATCGTGCCAATGCACTCCAGCTGGGCAACAAGAGTGAAACTCGGTCTCAAAAAAGAAAAAAAAAAAAGGTGACGGTGGGCAAGCAAGCCATATCTAGGAAAGAGCATTCTAAACAGAGAGAACAGCAAGTACAAAGGCTTTGAGGCAGAAATGCACTGGGCATATTCAAGGAACAAGGAGACCAGTGGTGTGGTTAGAATGGAGTAAGCAAGACAAATACTAGGATATGAAATCAGAGAAAACAGAATCAGATTACATAGAAGGCCCTATAGGCCTTTTTAGGACTTTGGTTTTTATTCTAAATTGGATGGATAAGCAAAGTGACATCTGACTTCTATGGGGTGTGTGTGTGTGTGTGTGTGTGTGTGTGTGTGTTTGTGTTTTAAGAGGCAGAGTCTTGCTATATTGCCTGGGCTGGAGTGCAGCAGCTCTTTACAGATGCAATCAAAGCACACTGCAACCTCCCAAGTAGCTGAGATTACAGGTGCATGCAGCTGTGCCCAGCTTTCTGACTCATGTTTTATGTTTAAAAGCATTGGCTGCTGTGAAGTAAATTCTCTAGGGGGTAGCAGTATAAACCTGGAGACCAGTTGGAAGATATTGAGAGATGATGATTGCTTGAACTATGGTGGAAAGTGCAAGTGATGAGAAGTGATTAAGTTTGGATATATTTTCAGCCAACATGATTTGCCTTCAGACTGGCTATGAGATAAAAGAGAGAACGCAAGGTTAACTTTGAGATTTGGGGCTTGGGCAACTTTAAGGATGGAGTTGCCATTTACGGAGACTGGGAGGGAGGAGCAGGTTGAAAGGTTGGGTTGGGTTTCTGTCATATGCAATCAAGAGTCCTGACTAGCCTGGGCAACAACGTAAGACCCCGTCTCTAAAAAAACTAAAAATAAAAATTTAGCCGAGCATGGTGGCTAATTTTATTTTATTTTACTGAGACAGAGTCTGACTGTTACCCAAGGTGGCACTTGTAGTCTCAGCTACTCAGGAGGCTGAGGCAGGAGGATTCCCTGGGCCCTGAGTTAGAGGTTTCAGTGAGCTATGATGGCATCACTGCACTCCAGCCTGGGAAAAAAAGGAAAGAAAAGAGTTCTGACTAAATACTTGAGTAGCCAGAGGAACAAAGTAAGTAATGTTTGAGGCAGATCTTAGTGAACAAGAATTCCATTCTTTCTGTTAGGGAATGAAGTGTGTGGGTGTAGTTAATGCTTATTGAACTATCTTTGGAATCTCATCTGCTGGTCCATCTGTATGTGTATATTATATATGCCGTATCATTGAGCTTTTGCTGGTTATGTTACATTAACAAAAGCCCCAAAATCTTAGCACCTATACGTACAAAGGTTTATTTTTCATTTGCATTTTCTTTTATGACAGGTTGGCTGTGACTCTGCCCTACACAATCTATTTTATTTGTTAGATGGTAAAACCTATAATACTTGTAGAATTGTTAAATGTGGTATCAGTATTTTCATTCATTCATTCATTCATTTAACAAATATTTATTCGATATCTGTTTCATGCAAGACAAGGTCAAGTACTGAGAATAGAGTAGTGAATAAGATAGACAAAATCTTTGATTTCCAGGAGCTTATATTGCAAATGAGATTAAACACATACAAAATAATCACAATAACAATAATGAATGCTATATTCGTAAATAATAGCTGTAAGAGATTTTAGTACCTTTTTTAAGTTAGAAAAATATAAAAATTATTAAAACTAAAATGGCCAGCCGGGCACGGTGGCTCCCGCATGTAATCCCAGCACTTTGGGAGGCCGAGGCGGGCGGATCACGAAGTCAAGAGATCGAGGACATCCTGGCCAACACGGTGAAACCCTGTCTCTACTAAAAATACGAAAATTAGCTGGGTGTGGTGGCATGCGCCTGTAGCCCCAGCCTGGCCAACATGGCGAAACCCTGTCTCTACTAAAAATACAAAATTAGCCGGGCGTGGTGGTGTGCACCTGTAATCCTAGCTACTCAGGAGGCTGAGGCAGGAGAATCACTTGAACCTGGGATGCGGAAGTTGTGATCTCAGCCGAGATCGCGCCACTGCACTGCAGCCTGGCAACCGAGCAAGATTCTGTCTCATTAAAAAAAAAAAAAAGAAACCTAAAATGACCAGGTGTGATGGCTCACACCTGTAATCCCAACACTTTGGGATGCCAAGGTGGGAGGATCACTTGAGCCCAGGAATTTGAAACCAGCCTGGGCAC
Organism: Homo sapiens; assembly: GCF_000001405.40. Classification (NCBI taxonomy): domain Eukaryota; kingdom Metazoa; phylum Chordata; class Mammalia; order Primates; family Hominidae; genus Homo; species Homo sapiens. The sequence goes on from NC_000001.11 coordinate 92,799,278, forward strand.
CATAGAAAGACCCTGTCTCTACAAAAAATAAAAAATCAGCCGGGCATAGTGGTGCATGCTTGTAGTACCACCTACTAAGGAGGCTGAGGTGGGAGGACTGCTTGAGCCTGGGATGTCAAGGCTGCAGTGAGCCAGGATCACGCCACAGCACTTGAGCCTGGGTGACAGAGCCTGTCTCAAAAACAGAAAATCTAATCAATGTAGACCTGAAATTATTGTGTAGAATACTATTGTCTATATCACATCACATCAGCCCTTTAAATGACTTAACACTTATTTAGGTATGATCCACAAAGTTTTCCTGGTAATTAAGTATACCTAAGTACAATTAAGTATAAAAGAGTTAATGCCTTGACAAGAATATTGTAAAAATTTTAAAAAGATAAATAAAAAATAAATAAATAAAGAGCAAAAACTGTAGCTTTGTGAGTCTCATTGTCTAATTCACATCACACTGAACATCTAGAAATAATTCTGAACACCATGTAATTCACTTAATACATTTTGCCTGAATGCCCAACAGATCTGAGTTACCAACACCTGCATGTAGCCAATAAATTGACAATCATTTATAAATGATCACTTATGACTCCATCCACTCTACCCACTTATTTTTTTAAACTTTCATTTATTTATTTTTATATATTTATTTTGAGATAGAGTCTCCCTCTGTTGCCCAGGCTGGAGTGCAGTGGTGCGATTTCAGCTCACTGCAACCTCTGCCTCCCAGTTTCTAAGCGATTCTCCTGCCTCAGCCTCCAGAGTAGCTGGGATTACAAGCGCACACCACCACGCCCGGCTAATTTTGTATTTTTAGTAGAGACAGGGTTTCACCATGTTGGCCAGGCTGGTCTCGAACTCCAGACCACAGGTGATCCACCCACCTCGGCCTCCCAAAGTGCTGGGATTACAGGTGTGAGCCACCGCGCCCGGCATTCTTTTTTTTTTTTTTTTTTTTTTTTTTTTTGAGATGGAGTCTTGCTCTCTTGCTCTGTCGCCAGGCTGGGGTGCAGTGGCGGGATCTCAGCTCACTGCAACCTCCGCCTTTTGGGTTCAAGCGATTGTCATGCCTCAGCCTCCTGAGTAGCTGGGATTACAGGTGCGAGCCACCACACTCAGCTAATTTTTGTATTTTTAGTAGTGACAGGGTTTCACCAAGTTGGCCAGGATGGTCTCCATCTCCTGACCTCGTGACCCGCCCACCTCAGCCTCCCAAAGTACTAGAATTACAGGTGTGAGCACCGCACACGGCCAATTTATTTATTTATTATTTATTATTTGTAGAGACAGGATCTCACTATGTTGCCCAGGCTGGCCTGAAACTCCTGGCCTCAAGAAATTCTTCTGCCTCAGCCTCCCAAAGCACTGGGATTACACGCATGAGCCACTGCACCCAGCCTATTTTTTTAAATTATAACTATTTCTTTTACATTTTTATCTTAGATCTTCCCACACCTATACCACAAGAAAAATTCTGAATCTATCCAAAGTTAGAAACATTGTAATAAAACTGAAGAATATCAAAGAAAATATCTCAACAGCAGCCTGAGATAAATGAATAGCAGACTTAAGAGCAAATAAAGCAAGCTAGAAGACGATAAAGTAAGATCATTAAAAATGCTAAGAAAAAGTAATTATTGGCCGGGCACAGTGGCTCACACCTGTAATCCTAGCACTTTGGGAGGCCGAGGTGGGCAGATCACGAGGTCAGGAGATCGAGACCATCCTGGCTAACACGGTGAAACCCCGTCTCTACTAAAACACAAAAAATTAGCAGGGCGTGGTGGTGGGCGCCTGTGGTCCCAGCTACTTGGGAGGCTGAGGCAGGAGAAGGCCGCGAACCCGGGAGGCGGAGTTTGCAGTGAGCAGAGATCGCGCCACTGCACTCCAGCCTGGGCGACAGAGCAAGACTCCGTCTCAAAAAAAAAAAAAAAAGAAAAAGAAAAAGTAATTGTTAGGCCGGGCATGGTGGCTCACTCCCGTAGTCCCTGCAGTTTGGGAGGTCAAGGCAGGTGGATCACCTGAGGTCAGGAGTTCAAGACCAGCCTGACCAACATGGCGAAACCCCGTTTCTACTAAAAATACAAAACTTAGCCTGGTGTGGTGGCACGCACGCCTGTAATCCCAGCTACTTGGGAAGCTGAGGCAGAAGAATCACTTGAACCTGGAAGGTGGAGGTTGCAGTGAGCTGAGATTGCACCATTGCACTCCAGCCTGGGCGACAGAGTGAGACTCTGTCTCAAAAAAAAAAAAAAGAAAGAAAGAAAGAAATGAAAATAAATAAAAATAATTGTTAATGTAGAATTGTGTGCCCATTCAAGAATGGTGAAATAAGGACCTTTTTGGATAAATAACAACTGTTTACCACAAGAGATCTGCACTAAGAGAATTTCTAAAAGGAATACTTTGGGACAGTGCTTTTCAAACTTTAATGTACATACAAATCACTTGGAGATTTTATTAAAATCAGATACTAATTCTGCATTTCTCATAATTAACCAGCTGATGCCAACGCTGCTGGCCTTAGAGCCAGAGCAGCAAAAGAGGTAAGAAGAAAACACTTAGTTGGAAGGTAGGAGATGAACTAATGAGCAAAGGTATAGATAAGCATGTATTAAACCTAAACAAATATCTATATAACAATAAACATTTCTAATTTGGAGGTTTAAGAAAAAACTAAAAAACTGGAAATAATAAATCAACAGAGAGTAACTACATAATGAAAATCTACCAATTCACCAAGAACAAATATAGCAACTCTATTTTTAAAACATTGTTATGGAAATATTCAAACATACACAAAAATAGACAGAGTAGTATAATACAGTGGTTCTCAAACTTTGGCATGCATCAGAATCACCTGGAGAGTTTGTTAAAACACAGATTGCAGGGTCCTGTCCCCAGAGTTTCTGATTTAGTAGGTGTTAGGTGGGATCCAAGTATTTGCACTTCTAGCAAGTTCCCAAGTAATGTTGATGCTAATGGTTGAGAGACCACACTTTCAGAAACCCTCATATGATGATGAACCTCTAGGTATTACCATCCATTTTGACAATCTTGTTTCAGATATTTCCCCAATTTTTTTCAGAGGGTGGAGGTGGTGAGTGAAAGGAACTGGATTTTTTTTTTTTTTTTTTGAGACGGATTCTTCTCTGTTGCCCAGGCTAGAGTGCAGTGGCGTGATCTTGGCTCACTGCAACCTCTGCCTCCTGGGTTCAAGCAATTCTCCAGCCTCAGCCTCCTGAGTAGCTGGGATTACAGGCGTGCGCCACCATGCTGGCTAATTTTTGTATTTTTAGTAGAGACCGGGTTTCGCCATATTGGCTAGGCTGATCTTGAACTCCTGACCTCAAGTGATCTGCTTGCCTCAGCTTCCTAAAGTGCTGGGATTACAGGCATGAACCAACGCGCCCAGCCTGGAACTGGAGTATTTTAAAGCAAATTCTGACAGCATATCATTTCACCTGTTAATACTAAAAAATTTTTGTAAACACAGTAATTAACAGCCTTAATTTATTATGTGAAGATAGAATCCTATATCCAACATTTTGAAAATATTCATTCTTCTAAAGCACACATAGAACATTTATAAAAATTAATGTGAGACTGGGAGTAGTGGCTGATGCCTGTAATCTCAGCACTTTGGAAGGCTGGGGAGGGGCAGATGGCTTGAGCTCAGAAGTTCAAGACCACCCTGGGCAACATGGTGAAACCCCTGTCTTTACAAAAAAATACAAAAATTAGCGAGGCGTGATGGTACATGCCTGCAGTCCCAGCTACCCGGGAGGCTGAGGTGGGAGGATTGCTTGAGCCTGGGAGGTCAAGGCTGCAGTGAGCCAAGATCGCACTACTGAACTCCAGTGAGACCCTGTCACAAACAAAACAAAACAAAACAAAATAAAACAAAACTGGGGATTCTCGAATCTCAGGTTCTCCCATTGTCTTTCCTTAGGGAATGCCCCTAACTCTCAGTTACTCAATGCCTGGGAAATATAAGTAGGCCCCATCCAGGAAAATGCACGCAGATTGGCAGAGTTTTTGATGACCAAAGCTTTTTCTCTCCCAACTTTAAGGAATTGCTTCAACTCTGCGTGCTTCGCATTCATTTCCAAAGTGTTCTGATGCTTAGGGTGGGAAGGAAATGTTTCAAAGTTCATTGAGTAAGTTTCTCTGCACTCTTCCAGCCATACATCCTTTTTGTTTTGTTTTTTTAGTCTGATTAAAGAAATATTACATATTAATTGTGTAAAATGTGATTACAGAAAAGCACAAAGATTAAAATCACTTGTAACCTAGCTGAGCCAATGGCGGGTGCCCGTAGTTCCAGCAACTAGGGAGGCTGAAACAGGAGAAACTCTTGAGCACAGGAGTTGACCACAGTGGCTATGATCATTTCTGTAAATAGCCATTGCACTCCAGCCTGGGCAATATTGCAAGACCCCATTTCCAAAAAAAAAAATCACTTCTAATCTCATCACCAAATGATAATCACTATTGATGTTTTGGTCTTTTTCCTTTCTATTTCATTTCTGAGTATATACATACGTATAATTTATTTGTTTACAAAAAATGGGATAATGAAAAAATGGAATAATACATAATACTTCCTCATATATATAGTGAGAGATTGAGAGAGAGAGAGAGAGAGACAGAGTCTCCCTCTGTTCCCCAGGCTGGAGTGCTGTGGTGCAATCTTAGCTCACTGTACCCTCCGCCCCCTGGGTTCAAGTGATTCTCCTGCCTCAGCCTCCCAAGTAGCTGGGATTACAAGCCCGGGGCACCATGCCTGGCTAATTTTTGTATTTTTAGTAGCGATGGGGTTTCACCATGTTGGCCAGGCTGGTCTTGAACCCCTGACCTCAGGTGATCCGCCCACCTTGGCTTCCTAAAGTGCTGGGATTACAGGCGTGAGCCACCGTGCCCGGCCATTTCTGATATATTTAAAGCTATTAAATCGAATGAGATCTGAGATCCATAAGGGTATGAGTATAGATGGAAAACAGAAGTTCAAAGGCTGAGTCTCAACTAGAGCACAATTAGAGGTTGGAGGAAAGAGGAGCTAACAGACTGAATGGCCAGTGAAGTAGAAGGGAAATCAGGAGAGTGTAGTATCTGGGAAGACACACAGAAAAAGGTACACAGAAAAAGGTACTACAAGAATATTGAGTTGGCCAGGTCCAGTGGCTCATGTCTGTAATCCCAACACTGTGAGGTCGAGGCAGATGGATTGCTTGAGGCTAGGAGTTCAAGAGCAGCCTGGGCAACATAGTGAGACTCTATCTCTACAAATAAAATAAAAATAAAATAAAATAAAATAAAATAAAATCATTGCTACTGATGGGTCAAGAGAAATGACCATTGGATTCAGCAACATGGAAATGTCAACCAAAGGAAAAAAACACTAGAGAAAATGATCTCTAAATATGTTGAGTTTACGCAGGAATATAAATAAGGATTCTAATCTGGAATGCACAGAATGGCAAGCCACCAGTGCATTCCGTGAGAGACGAGTGAAAGGAGCTTTTATTAGCAAAATAGAGATTTACATAAACTGCCTAGAAACAGAGTTCATTGGTTCCAGAGGTTCAAACCAGAGTTATTGTCAGTTCTTTGGTGGAGATGCCGTTGCCGGGCAAGTGTTCTTTCGAGAACATCTTATCTGAGTTACTGCAGTTCTAAAGAATGTCTAGTGATAAACCTTATCGAAACAGGATGTGCTGGCTGGCCTAGTGGCTCACGCCTGTAACCTCAGCACTTTGGAATGCTGAGATGGGAGGATCACTTGAACTCAGGAGTTCAAGACTAGCCTGGGAAACATAGTGAGACCTCATCTCTACTAAAAATCAAAAAAAGTAGGAGATGCATAAAGGATCAGAAAGGGTCTTTAGAAAGTACTAGAGGCCTGTGTGGTGGTTTATACCTATAATCCCAGCACTTTAGGAGGCTTAGGCAGGAGGATCCTTTGAGCTCAGAATTTTGAGTCTGCAGTGACCTGTTTTGCCACAGCACTCCAGGTTTGGTGACAGAACAAGACCCTGTCTCTCAAAAAAAAAAAAAGGGGCTTGGAAACAGTTTTTGTCTCAGACATGTAGGCATGAACTGCCTCTACTTTGGGGCTTCCCAGCCCTAGTTTGTTTGGATATAACAAAAGTGATTTCATCCTGCTATCTGCAACTTTCACAGTAGTCATTGGTGACCATGATAGGACCTATTTTCGTGCAATGGTAGAGGCAAAAGCCTGACTGGAGTGAATCCAGGAGAAAACAGGAGGAGAGAGTAGAGTCCAAGGAACAGACAAATCTTTGAAAGGATTTTGTTGTACAGGAAAAGAGAAAAATGGAAGGTTAGTTGTAAGGAAGAGTGTTTTTTGTTGGTTTGTAAAGTGGGATAAATAACAGCATGTTTGCATGCTGATATGGTTTGGCTGTGTCCCCACCCAAATCTCAACTTGAATTGTATCTCCCAGAATTCCCATGTCTTGTGGGAGGGACCCAGGTGGGGGTAATTGAATCATGAGTTCTGGTCTTTCCCATGCTATTCTTGTGACAGTTAATAAGTCTCATGAGATCTTATGGGCTTATCAGGGGTTTCCACTTTTGCTTTTTTCTCATTTTCTCTTGCCACCACCATGTAAGACGTGCCTTTCATCTCCTGCCATGACTCTGAGGCCTTCCTAGCCATGTGGAACTGTAAGTCCAATTAAACCTCTTTTTCTTCCCAGTCTCAGGTATGTCTTTATCAGTAGCGTAAAAACAGACTAATACACATGCTGATAGGAAAATCCATTAGAGGGGGGAATTGAGGGTGCAGTAGAAAAGGGGGAGAATTACTGGAGCAACATCACAGAGTAAGTCAGAAGGGATGGGATCTAGTGCACTGGTGGAAGGGTTAGCCTCACAGCCTCATGTGAGAGCATGGACAATTCCTCTGTTATTACAAGAAAGAAGGCAGGATATATGTACACAAAAGCATGTAGATGTGTGGATATGCTGAGAATTTGTAGACATTCTTTTCTGATTGTTCTTATAATTTCTCAGTGAAATAAGAAAGGTCATCATCTGAGATTGAGGGTAGAGGAAATATTGGCAGTTTGAGGAGCAAACAGAAGGTATGAAATTGTTGTCTCAGTAAGTTTGTGTCCTCCCCTGACCCAAGTTCATATGATGAAAACCTAATCGGCAATGGGATAGTATTAGGAGGTAAGGCCCTTGGTCGGTGATTAGATCATTAGGATAAAGCCCTCATAATGAGATTCATGCCCTTATCAAAGAGGCCCCCAGAGACCGGTTTTGTCTGTTCCACCATGTGAGGACACAACTAGAAGACACCATCTATGAACAAGAAAGTGGGCCCACACCAGACACCAAATCCGCTGGCCCCTTGATCTTAGACTTCCCAAACTCTAGAACTGTTAGAAATAAATTTCTGTTGTTTATAAGCAACCTAATTTATTGTGTTTTGATATAGCAGTCAGAATGGACTACAACACTAGGAGAATGAAAAAGCAGGCTGGGCTTGGTGACTCACGCCTGTAATCCCAGTACTTTGGGAGGCCGAGGCAGGCGGATCACTTGAGGTCAGGAGATTGAGACCAGCCTGGCCAATATGGTGAGACCCTGTCTCTACTAATAATACAAAAATTAGCCAGGCATGGTGGCACACACCTGTTATCCCAGCTACCCGGGAGACTGAAGCAGGAGAATCGCTTGAACCTGGGAAGTGGAGGTTGCAGTAAGTGGAGATCACACCACTGCACTCCAGCCTGGGCGACACAGCAGAACTCTGTCTCAAAAAAAAAAAAAAAAGGAAATTCACTAGAGAAATATAATATAGTAGGCAAAGATACAAATAAGATTAAAACTCAGATTTTGGTCAAATGAACAATATTTTGCTGTGGCTTTAAAACTGCATTTTTCCCCAAATTATTTTTCTTTCTTTCTTCTTTTTTTTTTAATACAAAGAGTCTCGCTCTATCACCCAGGCTGGAGTGCAGTGGCATGATGACATCTCACTGCAGCCTCGACCTCCCATGCTCAAGGGATCCTCCTATCTTGGCCTCCCAAGTAGCTGGGACTACAGGCACATGCCACTATGCCCAGCTAATTTATTTTATTTTATTTATTTATTTTTAGATAAAGTCTGTCAGCAAGGGTGGAGTGCGGTGGCATGATCACAGCTCACTGAAGCCTTGAACTCGTGGGCTTAAGCAATCCTCCTGCCTCTGCCTTCCGAGTACCTGGGACTACAGGCTGCACCACCTCACCCGTTTTGTTTTGTTTTTTTTTGAGACGGAGTCTGTCGCCCAGGCTGGAGTGCAGTGGCGCGATCTTGGCTCACTGCAAGCTCCACCTCCCGGGTTCACGCCATTCTCCTGCCTCAGCCTCCCGAGTAGCTGGGATTACAGGCGCCTGCCACCATGCCCGGCTAATTTTTTTGTATTTTTAGTAGAGACAGGGTTTCACCATGTTAGCCAGGATGGTCTCAATCTCCTGACCTCAGGTGATCCACCTGCCTAGGCCTCCCAAAGCGCTGGGATTACAGGCGTGAGCCACTGTGCCCGGCTAGGCTAAACTTTTTTGGAAGTAATTTTTCCAACTCCCAACATAATTTCCAATAAATACCACTGTCATTACAATGATTTTGCACCATCTTTGGAAATGCTTTTAAAATGGGAAGAAAATTTCATTTTTAATCAGAAAATATGAATAAATATTGCTTACTGTTTTATGTACTTGAAGTTAGAGGAAGCTCATTATTAATCATGATCTGATAAAAGTGGAGTTTTAGAAAAGTGAAACTTATGGAAGCATGGAGAGCAGATGGAGGAAGAAAATGCTGGTCATAAGTTGGAAAATTATCCATGGTGCAGTAATTTAAGTGAGATAAAAGGATGTGTTTGTTTGTTTATTTACTTGAGACAGGGTCTCATTTTGTCACCCATGCTGGAGTACAGTGGCGTGATCATGGCTCACTGCAGCCTCCACATCCTGGGTTCAAGCAATCCTCCTGCCTCAGCCCTCCAAGTGGCTAGGACTACAGGCCCGCACCACTACGCCTGGCTAATTTTTGTAGAGACAGAGTTTTGCCATGTTGCTCAGGCTAGAAGTGTGTTTAATTGGTCATGTTTAATCAGACAGCCATTTAATATTTATAATACCAAAAAAATGTTTCTCACTGAGACCATCCACACTACTACTATGTCTATTAGGTTTTCCTTTGTTCAGATGGTCCTCAAAGCATAGTAATGCTTTGATTTGTAAGTGTTTTTTAAGAATGTGAAGTGAGTAGTTTTTGAATCATTTGGCAAGTTCAATTTTTAAAATCTGAATCATTAATATGAGTAATGTCTGAACAAATCCTGGTTACATAACTGCTCCTTTCCCAGGTGTAACAATTAGTTTATCTGAGTTTTAATCAATAGCTGGGTGCCCTTTGGGACTCCAAAATTGCAATTTCTAACTTGGATCCCAATCAATATGTTATATCTATAGTAGTTTTGGAAACGCATAATGGCTGATATATGACATAAGCCAGGAAAGGTCTATCACTTGAAATCTTTAGAGGTTGGAGGCTATTTCTGTTCCCTATGCTTTTTTTTTTTTTGTCTTTACCTTTTGTCCTTAAGGAATAGGATGCTAAGAGGGCCAGTCTTCCTGCAGTGATCCTGGTACAGTGGGATCCGCAGTCTAACTGTAAAGTCCCTAAGCCACGAGAAAAGAGGCATCTCTGACAGCTCCTCCCTGGGGATCCCAGAGGCCACAGAGGAAGGTGGCAGAACAAGCAACTCATAGTGGACAAATGTTCTCAGTAACAGTGCAGTGAAAGTTCTCTGGAGGGACCAGGCCCAGCTTTGTGTAGCCACTTTGCGTTGAGCACTAGTTGAGGGTCTCCCATTTCCTGTGGGAGTTCTCATTTGGGTCCTATTTTTATTAGAACTTTTCTTGCATTATCTCCCTCCTTTTAGTGTCTCTACTGGATTTTGTTGACATTGTGTTGACCTATGCCCAAAGTATACCCCATGTATCAGAGAAACAGAACCAATAAGACACACATCCAGCCTACCCTACACACGATTCCTTTATTTTAGGAAACTGGCTCATGCGATTGTGGGGGTTGGTTAGTCTGAAATCTGTAGGACAGGCTGGCAAGATAGAAAATCAGGTAGGAATCGATGCGTCAGTCTTGAGTCTGAAATTTGTAGGGCAGACTGGTTGGGTAGAAACCCAGGCAGAATTTTATGCTGCATTTCTTTTTCTCTAGGAAATCTGTTTTACTCTTTAGGTTTCCAACTGATTAGATGAGGCCTACCCACATTACAGAGAGTAATCTCCTTCACCCTCAGTCAACTGATCGTAGATGTTAACCACATCTACAAAATATCTTCATACAACTTCTGCATTAGCACTTGATTAAATAACTGGGTATTATAACTTAGCCCAGTTAATACACATAAGGCTAACCACCATACCTAACATAAAAAGAATTACAAAAATAACTATGTGCCAAGTGTAAGGCTAAACACTTCAAATGAACTATATTATTTAAGTTCAGTTGAACTTAAATACTCACAACAAACCCAAGAGGTAAGTATTATTATCATTATCATTATTTTTTAATAATACAACAAACCGAAGAGGTAAGTATTATTACCATTATTATTATTATTATTATTTTGAGACAGAATCTCGCTCTGTCACCCAGGCTGGAGTACAGTGGCCCAATCTCGGCTCACTGCAAGCTCTGCCTCCCGGGTTCACACCATTCTCCTGCCTCAGCCTCCCGAGTAGCTGGGACTATAGGCGTCTGCCACCATGCCCAGCTAATTTTTTGTATTTTTAGTAGAGATGGGGTTTCACTGTGTTAGCCAGGATGGACTTGATCTCCTGACCTCATGATCCGCCCGCCTCGGCCTCCCAAAGTGCTGGGATTACAGGCATGAGCCACCGTGCCCGGCGGTAAGTAGTATTATTAATCCCATTGTACAGATAGGGAAACTGAGGGTTAGAGTAGTTAAGCAATTTGCTTAAAGTCACACAATGAGTGAGGCATTGAGTCAGTACTCAAACTTAAGTCTGTCTAATTCCTGAGTTCACGTTCTAGGAAGTTCTTTATAACTAATAGATCTCCTGTGCTTAGTTCCCAAATCTCCAGTAAAATCACTGAAACTGCCTCAAAGCTGAGAGCCACAAGCCTGAGAGTGGCCAACACACTGTGATTCTTAGTTCTAGTTCTTAGCCTTCAAGACCACGTGAGCTTCCAGAGATATTAGCCCAGAGGAATTCCAACAGTATGGTTAAGCAACATAAGAATGAAAAGCAGGTAGGCAAGCCTAACCACTTACTCTGGTTTTGAAGGCAATACCCACAGAGGGAAGTTTCCACTCTCCATTTTGGCTTATCTAACATTGTCCAGATTCATCATCTACTATACTGTTAAGATTTTGAAGATGGACTCTCTTAATTCCTAACATTTTAATCACTAAATCCTTCAAGTTCTTCAAGTTTGCCTTTGGGACCCTCCTCTTTTTTTTTTTTTTTTCTTTTTGAGAGGGAGTCTTGCTCTGTCGCCCAGGCTAGAGTGCAGTGGCGCGATCTCGGCTTACTGCAAGCTCCGCCTCCCGGGTTCACGCCATTCTCCTGCCTCAGCCTCCAGAGTAGCTGGGACTACAGGCGCCCCCCACCACGCCCGGCTAATTTTTTGTATTTTTAGTAGAGACGGGGCTTCACCGCGTTAGCCAGGATGGTCTCGATCTCCTGACCGAGACCGCGCCTTCCTGACCGCGCCCGGCCGACCCTCCTCTTTTTTCTATTTGTTTTTTCTCTTTTTATCATTATCAAAAGCCCATTGTCCCATACTTTCTCCTTCCTAATTTCATTCAAAACCTTTCCTCTTAGGAAAAGAATGTTTAAAATTATTCACTCCACGGTGTGAATAATTGTTCATCCCAAGGTTATCTCTCCTAGCAGCCTTTGCATTTGCATTGAAGGAAAACCTTCATTTAAATGACTAGATTTCTAATTATGGGATGTTAGGCATTAGCCAAGGAGGCATTTAGTAGCTATGGAAGCTTCCAGTTGAGGTCATTCTGAGAAATTCTTTGTTATCACTGCCTGCCTTGTTTATGTCTAGCCCTATTCGGAAGAAACTCTCTTTGTGTTCAAGTACTGACACTTTCCCCATATCCATTTCAAGAGATAAACTTGAAACTAAGATGATAGTGAAATAATAGGGTAGGAATTAGGCTTATATGTTGCTGTGGTTTATGTTACTTTCAAAATTCATGGTGAAATTAATTGTCGGCTGGGCGTGGTGGGTCACATCTGTAATCCCAGAACTTTGGGAGGTCAAGGCAGGCTGATGACTTGAGCCCAGGAGTTTGAGACCAGCTGGGAAACATGGCAAAAACCCATCCCTAAAAAAAAGACAAAAATTAGCAGGGTGTGGTAGCACACACCTGTAGTCCCAGCTACTTGGAAAGCTGAGGTAGGAGGATTACTTGAGCCTGGGAGGTCAAGGCTGCAGTGAGCCGAGATCACACTACTGCACTCCAGCCTGGACAACATGAGACCCTGTCTCAAAAAATGAAAGAAAGAAGGAAAGAAAAAAAGAAAAAAAGAAAAAGAAAGAAGGAAGGAAGGAAGGAAAGAAAAGGAAAAGGAAGGAAGGAAGGAAGGTGGAAGCTTCCATTTAAAATAAATATTTTTTAAAATGAAATTTAATTAGCATTATAACAGTATTAAGAGGTCAGACCTTTAAGAGGTGATTAGAATCCTCTCCTTGTCTTTGGTTTTTAAGAGGTTGATTACCACATGTCTTGAGGTAGACTTATTTGGGTTGGATCTGGTTAGTGATATTTTACCTTCCTGTAAGATATTTGTATCTTTCTCTAAATTTGGGAAGCTTTCTGTTATCTCTTTGAAGAAGCTTTCTACTCCTTTGGCATTTTCAAGAACCTCTTGAACCCCAACAACCTACATGGTACTGGCATAAAAACAAATAGACCAATGGAGCAAAACAGAAAGTCCAGAAATAAACTCATGCATCTACAGTCAACTGATTTTCAACAAAGGTGCCCAGTACCCAAACTGGAGAAAGAGCAGCCTCTTCAATAAAAGATGCTGGGAAACCTGGCTATCCAGATGCAGAAGAATGAAACTAGACCCTTATCTCTCACCATATGCAAAAATTAACTCAAAATGGATTACAGACTTACATGTAAGACCCAAAATGACAAAACTACTAGAAGAAAACACAGAAGGGGAAGCTCTGTGATATGTGGCCTAGGCAAGGATTTTTGTGTGTGTGTGTGTGTAAAACTCAAAAACACAAACAACAAAAGCTAATGTAGACAAATAGGATTACATCAAACTCAGAAGCTTCTGCACAGCAAAAGAAACAACAGGCCAGGAGCAGTGGCTCACGCCTATAATCCCAGCACTTTGAGAGGCCAAGGCAGGTGGATCACCTGAGGTCAGAAGTTCCAGACCAGCCTGACCAATATGGTGAAACCCCATCTCTACTAAAAATACAAAAATTAGCCAGGTGTGGTGGCGGGCACCTGTAATCCCAGCTACTGGGGAGGCTGAGACAGGAGAATCTCTTGAACCAGAGAGGCAGAGGTTGCAGTGAGCTGAGATTGTGCCACTGCACTCCAGCCTGGGAAATAGAGTGAGACTCCATCTTAAAAAAAAAAAATCAACAGAGAAAAGAGATAACCTACTGAACAGGAGACTACATTAGCAAACTATACATCTCATAAGGTGTAATAACCCAAATATGTAAGGAACTCAAACGACTCAGCAACCATAACAACAAACAAATCATCTGATTTTAAAATGGGCAAAAAACCTGAATAGACATTTCTCAAAAGAAGATATACAAATGGCCAGCATATATGTGAAAAATGCTCAACATCACTAATCATCAGGAAAATGCAAATCAAAACTCCATGAAATATCATCTCAGTCCTGTCAAAATGGCTACTATCAAAAAATAAAAAGATAACAAGTATTGAAAAGGTTATGGTGAAAAGGTTACCCTTATACACTGCTGATAAAACTACCATAAGATCCAGCAATCCCACTACTGGATATATATCCAAAAGAAAGAAAATCAGTATGTCAGAGAGATATCTTTACTTCTATGTTTACTGCAGCAGTATTCATAATAGTCAGGATGTGAAATCAACATAAGTTGATTTTGATAAGTGTCCATTGATGGATGAATGGATAAAGGAAATGTGGTAAATAATACCCAATGGAATACCAGTCAGCCTTAAAAAAGATGGACAGCCTGGCATTTGTGACAACATGGATGAACCTGGAGGACATTATATTAAGTGAAATTAGGCAGATATAGAAAGACAAATACCACATGATCTCACTCATATTTAGAATCTAAAAAGTTTTTATCATACAAGTACAGAGTAGAATAATGGTTACCAGTGGATGGAGAGAGTAAGAAGGAGGAGGGGGTGATGAGAGATTGGTCAATAGGTACAAAGCTACAGTTAGATAGAAGAATTAAGTTCTGATGGTCTATTGTATAGTAGGTTGACTAGAGTTAACAATAATATATATCTCAAAATAGAAAACATTTAAAAATATTCTTATCACAAAAAATGATAAATATTTGAGGTGATGGATATGGTAATTACCTTGGTTTGATCATTAAGTAATTTATATATGTATCTAAATACTACATTGTATCCTATAAATAAGTGTAATTATTGTGTGTCAATTGTATTTCTTTTAAAAGAGGTGACTAGGTCATGAGAGCTCTGCCCTCCTGAATAAATTAATGTTTTGGGTTTTTGGTTTTTTTTGAGACACAGTCTAATTCTGTCACCTAGGCTGGGGTACAGTGGTGTGAACACAGCTCACGGCAGCCTTGACCTCCTGGGCTCAAGTGATCCTCCTGCCTCAGCCTCTCATGTAGCTGGGACCACAGGCATGTACCACAGTGCCTGGCTAATTTTTTTTTTTTTTTTTTGAGACAGAGTCTCACTCTGTTGCCTAGGATGGAGTGCAGTGGCATGATCTTGGCTCACTGCAACCTCTGCTTCCAGGGTTCAAGGGATTCTTGTGCCTCAGCCTGCTGCACAGTTGGGATGACAGGTGCCCACCACCGTGCCCAGCTAATTCTTTCTTTTTTCTTTTTTTTTTTAGTACAGACGGGGGTACCACCTGTTGGCCAGGCTGATCTTAAACTCCTGGCCTCAAGTGATCTGCCCACCTTGGCTTCCCAAAGTATTGGGATTACACGTGTGAGTCACCGTGCCTGGCCTAATTTTTTTATTTTCTGTAGAGATGGGATCTCCCTGTGTTGCCCAGGCTGGTTTCAAACTCCTGGGCTCAAGTGTTCCTCCTGCCTCAACCTCCCAAAGTGCTTGGATTACAAGCGTGAGCCATGATGCCCAGACTAAATTAACGTTGTTATTGTGGGAGTGGGTTAGTTATCGTGAGAGTTTGGCTTTCTTTTCTCTCTGTCTCACATGCTCACTTGTCTTCCACTTTCCACCATAAATTATCCTCACCAAACACTAGACTATGCTGTTGGACTTCTCAGGCTCCAAAACCATGAGCCACATAAACTTCTACTCTTTATGTTATCCAATCTGTGGTATTCTGCCATAGCAGCAGAAAATAGATCAAGACATATCTATTTCCATCAATACTACTTCTAACAATGAATATTGAGCATTTATTTAATCCTCACAATAATTCTTGGAGGTAGTACTATTACTATTGCCATTTTATGGGTAAAAAATTGGGGGCTTAGGGAGGTAGTAAGTGTTGGAGCCACGCAGAAACCTAGAACCTGTTTACTCTCAAGCTCAGGCCTTAACAGGTACAGCTAACATTCATCCCAAAGAACAGGATGCAGAGGGATAGAGCAGGAAAATGACATAAATTACCTCTGGGGGGATTTCTTAAAGTTGACTCGAGTTTATCGAAATTTCAGTCTTAAGCCTCATTTTCTAACAGTTAATTAGTTTAAAATGAGATATATTTCTGCAAAGTTTTGGGGATGGGAGAGAGTGTTTTGGTTTTTTGGTTTTTGGTTTTTTTTGAGACGTACTCTCGCTCTGTCGCCCAGGCTGGAGTGCAGTGGCATAATCTTGGCTCACTGCAACCTCTTCCTCCTAGGTTCAAGCAATTCTTCTGTCTCAGCCTCCCGAGTAGCTGGGACTACAGGCGCTCACCACCATGCCCGGCTGATTTTTGTATTTTTAGTAGAGACAGAGTTTCACCATATTGGTCAGGCTGGTCTCGAACTCCTGACCTCAGGTGATCCGCCCATCTCGGCCTCCCAAAATTCTGGGATTACAGGTGTGGGCCACCATGCCCAGCCACAACCAGTAGATTCTTAAAGGTGATATGGAAAAGCCAATCCTGATTTTGTTTGTTTGTTTGGGTTTTTTTGTTTGTTTGTTTGTTTTTGAGACCGGGTCTCACTCTGTCACCCAGGCTGAAGTGCAGTGGTGTGATCACAGCTCACTGCGGCCTCTACCTCCCAGGATCCATTGATCCTACTGCCTCAGCCTCTCAAGTAGCTGGGACTACAGGCACATGCCATCATACAGAGCGAATTGTTTTTTGTATATAAATATGCGATTTTACTGGCCTAAAATTTGGGAAGGGAAGGAGGATATAGAGAAAGCCTGGGAGAAGCTTGCCAAGATTCCTCTGTTTCCAATAATGGAGGGGCAGGAGCAGGCACCACCTTCTCTCTCTGAGGCACACACTCTCAGTTTGAGAGTGTGTGTGTGTGTGTGTGTGTGTGTGTATTTGTGTATGTAGAGATGAGGTTTCACCATGTTGCCCAGGCTAGCCTCGAACTCCTAGGCTCAAGTGATCTGCCTGCCTTGGCCTCCCAAAGAGCTGGGACCACAGGCATGAGTCACTGTGCCTGGCTACCAATTCTTATTATATGGATTTTAAATTTCCAAATAATAAAGTTAGAAACTAGTTACCCTTCCTTGCGACGTGAATTTTCAGGCCTGAAGATTTGTGTTAGGCAGTGCTTCACCTTCCCAAAATAATTCCCTTTGAGAATTATTTCAGATGTCAACTAGGGAAGCTCTTTCCCCTCAGAAAAGCAGTTAAATTCCACTCAATCTTTCAGTTTCTGAGGTCTGTAAAATCCAATGTCCTAACCAGGATTCCTGCTAATTCCCAGTGACTTATAATTTCATGATCATTTCTGCCTTCAGCTCATATTTTGGGGCGTGCTGTTTTTGTTCCTCTTTCATTCATGCCAGCCCAGAATTTAGCCCCACATGACTTTTCAAAGGAAATTCATTTCCACCAACATTTTACGGATTTTAGTAGACTTCACTGAAGATAGTGGGATCATGGAGAAGAGTCAATTCATAGAAAGCCATCACGGTGGCTTCACTCTCCTCTCTTTCCTTTCCCCCGTCTCATTCATATGACTTCCTTTCAGAAGCAAAGCAAATTCTTCCCCTGGCTCTGCCCCTGATGGAGACAGGGTCTTGCTATGTTGACCTGGTTTGTTTGTTTGTTTTTTAGAGAGATGAGATCTCACTCTGTCGCCTAGGCTGGAGTGCAGCTGTGTAATCCTCCTACTTCAGCTCCCAAAATGCTAGGATTACAGGTGTGCAAAGCAAATTCTTCGCCTGGCTGTCTGCATAGCAGTTTTTCAAGCCTGATGCTTCAGCAAGTCCTTGAGGCCTCACCCTCCACAGCAGCACCTTATCCAAGTATTTCCTCCAGCAGAGGATTCTAGTAGAAAAAAGAAAAAATATAGCTATTCTATTATAGAAAAAAAAAAGCTTATTTTATTCTGGAAAAGAGGACTTATTCTATATTCTTCAACAAGTGTGTAAATAATGGTGACAGTAAAATTTAAAAAGTCTCATCTAGGAAGTCATGTTAAGTTTCTACTTTTGGTGAATGAAAAATTATTGGTGAATGAAAAATTATTCTAAATTGGGTGGGTTTTAAAGGAAAAAATCATCTAGAGATTTTCTTGCCTGGGCCTTTACTTAATCTATGATGGGGACAACACCAAGGTTTAATGATTACTTCAGCAATAAATGACCAAAGAAAGTACACATGGTGATCTAAAGGCAAACATTCTAGTTTAGTAAGTAAGTTAAAACTATATCCACTTTGCCCATACTAATGCTGATCAGAACCTGTTTTTCCAATGTAAATACTGCAACTACACTGGTTGTGTTACACTTAAAATTGGGCAAAGTTCAAAGAATCTCAATTGCACCTACTCCAGGAAGCCAAGTGTTATGGGTCGTTGCAGATGACCAACCAGGGACAGCTTTAGGATTTTTACACAGCAGGAGCATACAGCAGCTTTCTAGGTGGAGAGGTAGGGTGAGAGAACAGGTCTTGAAGGTGCATGTACATAGCACTTTATAAAAATTGAGAAAATACTAATCGTCTGTATCAATGATGGGGGTGCTAATGAAGACTGTAGGGATACTAAAGCCCATTCTCTCCTTTGGTGCTACCCATGGCCCTGGGGGCTGAAATGGTCTGGAGTCTTTCTGACTTGTTGGTTTCAAACTTGAAGCCATCCAAGAATTGTTTCAGCCCCTTTTGGTATTGAGAATATATAAATTCACTACTACTGATAGCCTCAGACATTCTTGAAAAAAGGAGTCCCCACCCAAGGCTGGTCTTTGTCTCAACCAAAGACTGGCAGCAAGGATTCATGGGTTAAAGAGAGGGGCAAGAATTAGGAGGTAGTGGGTCTAGGAGGTAAAATCAATTTCATAGCTGAAGGAAGAATGGCCATTTATGTATTATAGAGGACAAAATGCAAAAGACAGTTGTGGAACACATACAGGTTATACCATATTTTTGGACCAAACTCAGAAGTGCACATGAATATGACCTGTGTACAATCCATGAGGTCCTGTGCTTACTTCCTGGTTTTAGGATAGCAACACTTTGAATTGCAAAGTCACTTACTGACATCTAATGACCCTGTCATTAGCCGCCTTCTCTCTCTGAGGCATTGCCCCAAACACCCACAAACACACAAACTCAAACTCACCTGCTCCTGCCCCTCTGTTACTGGAAACAGATGAATCTTGGCAAGCTTCTCCCAGGCTTTCACCAATATCCTCCTTCCCTTCCCAAATTTTAGGCCAGTAGCCAGTAGCTGCACCCTTCTTCAGGTATACTTAGATGGAAAGAAGTAGGTCATTTGTTCATTTCCCAATTTTCTTTCTGCCCCTAGAAATACAGCTTCATCTTCTGGCAGCTTGCTGGCCACACTCCTCCTTCTGGTGAGTAGAAGCACTGCAAGCAAGACCAAATTACCCCTAATCCACTGCAAATCTCTATTTGTCAAAACAAAACAAAACAACAACAAAACACCTCAAATAAAACTAGAGGCCAGGCCTGGTGGCTCATGCCTGTAATCCCAGCACCTTAGGAGCCCAAGGACATCATATTACCTGAGGTCAGGAGTTCGAGACCACCCTGGCCAACATGGCGAAACCCCGTCTCTAATAAAAATACACAAAAACTAAGCTGGGAGCAGTGGCTCATGCCTGTAATCCCAGCACTTTGGGAGGCCGAGGTGGGGGGAACACTTGAGGTCAGGAGTTCGAGACCAGCCTGGCCAAAATGGCGAAACTCTGTCTCTACTAAAAATACAAAAAGTAGCTAGGCGTTCTGGTGTGCGCCTGTAGTCCCAGCTACTTGGGAGGCTGAGGCAGGAGAATCGCTTGAACCTGGGAGGCAGAGGTTGCAGTAAGCTGAGATTGTGCCATCGCACTCCAGCCTGGGTGACAGAGCAAGACTCTGTCTCAGAAAAAAAAAAAAGAAAAGAAAGAAAAAACCCACAAAAATTAGCTGGGTTCACGTGATGGCATGTGCCTGTAATCCCAGCTACTTGGGAGGCAGAGGCAGGAGAATCGCTTGAATCCTGGAGGAAAAGATTGCAGTGAGCTGAAATCGCACCACTGCTCTCCAGCCTGCGCAACAGAGTGAGACCCTGTCTAAAAAAAAAAAAAAAAAAAAAACTAGAAGGCCAGGCTCAGTGGCTCACGTCTGTAATCCCAACACTTTGGGAGGCCAAGACAGAAGGAGAACTTGAGCCCAGGAGTTCGGGACCAGCCTGGGCAACATAGCAAGATCCTGTCTCTACAAAAAAATTTAAAAGGCCAGATGCAATGGCTTACACTTTGTAATCCCAACACTTTGGGAGGTGGGAGGATTGCTTGAGTCCAGGAGTTTGAGACCAGCCTGGGCGACATAGCAAGATTCCATCTCTACAAAAAATAAAAAATTAGCTGGGCATGGGGGCATGCATCTGTAGTCCCAACTACTCTGGAGGCTGAGGTGGGAGGATCCCTTGAGCCCAGGAGATCAATGCTGCGGTGAGCTCCGATAGCACCATTACACTACAGCCTGGGTGACAGAGTGAGACCCTATCTCAAAATAAATAAATAAGTGTTATTATTTTAAGCCTCTATATTTTCAAGTAGATTGTTATATACTAACTGATAAATGGAACAACTAAAATAAATGGTGAGAGGTTATAATGTGCCTGCCATAATAGTATACCCATTTCATTTACTCATTAAATTTATTTTATACCAAACTCTGCTATGCATGCTGGGAATACAGCAGTGATTGCAACAGATAATGTCCCTTTCCTGACTTCACAGACTGTTTGGGGTAGGGAGGGTAGATGCACTAAACAAATTAACAAATGTGTAATTCCTAGGTTGTAACAAATGCTGTGGAGAAAAAGCAGGATACAGGGAAGAGAGAGTGATGGGGTATTTTATTTTAGATGTAATGATGAGGGAAGGCCTTCCTGAAAAGAAGACCTAAAGAAGTAAAGCAGCACACCAAATGAATATTTGGTGGCTGACTAGTGAAAGCAGAGGGAGCAGCTAGTACAACGACTCTGAGCTAGGAGTGCGCCTAGAGGCCAGTATTTGGAATGGAATGAGGAAAGGTTGAAAGGAGAAGAGGTGAGGTCAGAGAAACATGTGGAGTCCAGAGCATGTAGGATTTTGTGGGCTGTGATGAGGAATTTGGCCACTGGAGAATTTTGAGCAGAGGAGTAGCATACTCTGACTTGTATTTTTAAAATATCAGTCGGGCTGTGTGGAGAATAACCTGTAGAAGGGCAAAGTTTGAAGCAGAGTGAACTGTTGAAGTTAATGCAATGACCTGGGCAATGATGATGGTAGCTTGGACCAGGGCAGTAGCAGTGGAGGGCATGAGAAATGGTTGGCTATTTTATATATACATATTTTAAAGTGCAGCCACTAGGATATGGATGTGGAACTTGAGAAAAAGAGAATCATCAAGGGTGACTTGGGTTTCTGGTGTTATTTGCTCTTTATCAAGTATTCTTAATGTACTTGTCCTGCCTCTTCCATCGGAGCTCCTGGAGTCATTCGGTGTATTCAAACACTCATCTGATGGCTGTGCTGTCAGTGCTAAGTGCCATTCCGATGACTCCTTTAAGCACAGACTCTCTAAGATGCTGACCCCATGCAGAAACATGAAAATGACTAAGAGCATTATGAGCATCACTTTGAGGTTGTCTATAACAAATATAATTACACCTTTATGTTTGCAATATTTCCTTGAAGAAGTTGGCTTTATTGTCATGTGCTAAGGGAAAAAGCCATAATTTATGTTGTTTCTCCCAAAAACTTGGTGAGCTTTCATGTATATATCTTAGGTCCTCTTTATATGCCCAAATAATTGAAGAGGGAGACAGACATTGGTGTAATTTAACAGGTAGATTCTCAAAAGGATTTATAAAGTTTGTCATTAGTCATATATTTTAAACCTTGATGAACTGGCAAAATAAGACCATGGTCACTTTCAATAATTCCAGAAAAGATGTAGACTCACAATTTTAGTTCTCAGGTAGGATTCTTAGCTTGTAACACACTCCCAAACTCACACACACACACTATATATACGTGTGTATATATATATATATATATATATAGGTGTATATATATATATACACACACACACATATATATACACGTATATATACACACTTATATATATATACACGCGTATATATATACATATATATATACACGCGTATATATATACACATATATATACACGCGTATATATACATGTATATATACACACGTGTATATATATGTGTATATATACATATATATTCGTATATACGTGTATATATACATATATATTCGTATATACGTGTATATATATATATATATACGAATATATATTCGTATATATACGTGTATATATATATATATATATATATATTAGACAGGCAGGGTGAAAGAAAACTACTTTATTTACTGATTTATTTATTTTTGAGACAGAGTCTCTCACTGTCGCCCAGGCTGGAGTGCAATGGCGTGATCTCAGCTCACTGCAACCTCCGCCTCCCGGGTTTAAGCGATTCTCCTGCCTCAGCCTCCTGAGTAGCTGGGACTACAGGCGTCCGCCACCACGCCTGGCTAATTTTTTGTATTTTTAGTAGAGATGGGGTTTCACTATGTTGGCCAGGATGGTCTCGAACTCCTGACCTCGTGACCCACCCGCCTCGGCCTCCCAGAGTGCTGGGATTATAGGTGTGAGCCACCGTGCCTGGCTGAAAACTGCTTTTAAAGTGGCATTGACCTCTAAAGTTTAGCAATCCTTGGGCATTCCAACTTTCTTTTTTATGACTTGTTGTAAACTTCACCTCTAGGAAGCCATCTAAATATTACAGAATTACTTAAATATTTTGACTTTTGTATGTTAGGTAGCTGAAAAATTGATGTTTAACTTCCCAGAGTTGTCCTGAGACCACCTTCTTTAGGTTTGCAGGGCTTCCCTCATATTTCTTTCTTTTTTTTTTTTTTTTTGAGACGGAGTCTCACTCTGTCGCCCAGGCTGGAGTGCAGTGGTGCAATCTTTGCTCACTGCAACCCCCGCCTCGCGGGTACAAGCGATTCTGCTGCCTCAGCCTCTGGAGTAGTTGGGATTACAGAAGTGCGCCACCACGCCCGGCTAATTTTTGTATTTTCAGTAGAGACAGAGTTTCACCATGTTGGCCAGGCTGGTCTTGAACTCCTGACCTCAGGTGATCCACCCGCCTCAGCCTCCCAAAGTGCTGGGATTACAGGCGTGAGCCACCGCCTGGCCTGACATTTCTTTCTATTCATAGGGGCTTCCATCTGGTAACAGGACTATGTCCCTTAGTTCATACTGATCAGAGTTTTGAAAGTCTTCATTTTCTGGAAGATTTGTAATGCTTCAGTTTCAGCCTGATGACCTGGGAGATAACAATCAGCTTCCCAGCTACAGTTTCATCTTTATTTTGTCTGTTTGTTTGTTTGAGACAGGGTCTCATTCTGTCACCCAGGCTGCTCAGGAGGCTAAGGCAGGAGAATCGCTTGAACCCAGTAGGCGGAGATTGTGGTGAGCCAAGATTGCACCACCACACTCCAGCCTGGGTGACAAAGTGAGACCCTGTCTCAAAAAAAAAACAACTTTTTTTTTTTTTTGCAGAGATGGGGTCCCCCTATATTGCCCAGGATGGTCTCAAACTCCTGGACTCAAGCAATCCTCTTGCCTTGGCCTCCTAAAGTGCTGAGATTACAGGCGCGAGTCACTATTTGTGTCCAGCCCACTATTTTTAATATATAGAAATCTGGGAGCCCCCTTTCTTTTCCCCATGCACTGTCCCAATCAAGTCTGAGTCATCAACAACAGATCAGTGGAAGCCAGTGAAAGTCTAGCACAAGCCAGGCCAGGCATGGTGGTGCATACCTATAGTCCCAGCTGGTGGAAAGGCTGAGGCCAGAAGATTGCTTGGGCCCAGGAGTTCAGGCTGCAGTGACCTGTGGTTGCACCACTGCATTCCAGCCTGAGTGACAGAGTAAAACCCTGTCTAAAAAAAAATGACAAAAGAAGTCCAGCACAGCAGACCAGCAGGGAGAGGCTCAGGCATTGTGATCTTTGTAGGGTGTGAAGTTTCCATGAAGTATTTCCCTTTGACCCGGGCAAGAGGGAAACTTCCTCTGACCCTGCACTTTATAAAACTCTTCATGTCACAAACATACAGAAAAGTAAGTTTAAAGAATGATGGCTACAGGCCAGGTACGGTGGCTCATGCTTGTAATCCCAGCACTTTGGGAGGCTGAGGCAAGGCAGATCACAAGGTCAGGAGTTCAAGACCAGCTTGGCCAACATGACGAAACCCCGTCTCTTCTAAAAATACAAAAATTACCCGGGGTTGGTGGCAGGCCCCTGTAATCCCAGCTACTTGGGAGGCTGAGGCAGGAGAATAGCTTGAACCCGGGAGGTGGAGCTTCCAGTGAGCCAAGATCGCACCATTGCACTCCAGCCAGGATGACGAGTGAGACTCCATCTCAAAAAAAAAAAAAAAAAAAGAAGAAGAAGAAGAATGCATGGCTACAAAACAAAAACAAAAACAATGCATGGCTATGGTTGCCTCTGTCACTTAGGACTTGGTACTCAGTTCTGACCAGAAACTCTAAGCATCTGCCCTAGAAATCAACACCTTCCAGGCTCTAGGGATATGCTCCTTCTCATTTCTCATGCTGTGACCTGAAAACAAAAGGCGACTGTGTCTGAATGTCATGAAGATTTTGGAGTTGTGCTGCAGTTGACATTTGAAATGGACGCTGCTTTGGAAAGCAGGGAGGTTTGAGTAATGGAAAGTTGTTTACCTAGTAGGGAAAAAACAAATTAACTTATCAAATCCTGTCTTTCTGATAATGGGAATGCAAAGGATTCTTTAATAACAAAGTAGCATGCCTTGAGTAATGAAGAAAGCATATTCATTTTCTTGTTTGTCTTTATGTTCTAATTTCTGGTTCCAAGGGCATTCATCTTGTTGAAACAGATTTGATTTAGACAAGATATGAGATGATCTAGAAGAGTAAAGTGAAATAACGGAAGGTGCTCAAGTAAAGAGCAAATCAGGAGCCTAGGCAGAAAATGATTTTTTTTGAGTGTGTACTCTCTAGTTTTTTGATATGTGGCATTGCTTGCTCTTTTTAATTAATTTATTTTTTAAGACAGGGTCTCACTCTGTCACCCAGACTGGAATGCAGTGGCACTATCATGGCTCTCTGCAGCCTTGGCCTCCTGGGCTCAAGCAATCCTCCCACCTCAGCCTCCTGAGTAGCTGGGGCTACAGGCACTCGCCACCACACTTGGCTAATTTTTTCTATTTTGTGTAGAGACGGGGTCTCACTATGTTGCCTAGGCTGGTCTTGAACTCCTGGGCTCAAGTGATCCTCCTGCCTTGGCCTCTCAAAGTGCTGGGGTTACAGGCATGAGCCACCACACCCAGCCTTGCTTGCTTTTAATAATGTTGATACAGACAGGCACGGTGGCTCACGCCTGTAATCCCAGCACTTTGGGAGGCCAAGGCGGGCAGAACATGAGGTCAAGAGATCGAGACAATCCTGGCCAACATGGTGAAACCGCGTTTCTACAAAAAATACAAAAATTAGCTGGGTGTGGTAGTGCATGCCTGTAATCGCAGCTACTTGGGAGGCTGAGGCACGAGAATCACTTGAACCCAGGAGGCGGAGGTTGCAGTGAGCCGAGATCACGCCACTCACTGCACTCCAGCCCAGTGACAGAGCCAGACTCCATCTCAAAAAAAAAAAAAAGTTAATATAAGTGTTCAAAAACTCAAATAAATTTAAATTGTAAAAGAATTAACATTTTTTAGAGAAATTTTTTTTTCTGAAGTGAATGAAACTGAATGAAAACCAACAAAAGTGACATTCCAATTCAATACAAGGGAATTAGAATGAGGAGACAAAGTTTACATAACTGTAAGGAAGAAAACGTATGTAAAAATAAACCTAAAACTAATTTTTATATTGTTTTCTGAACCTGATAAATTAGTGTATAGTCTAATTGAAAAGATATTTGAACAAATCAAGCAACATACTGCTAGTTTTGTTTTTCTTTATTATACTCCAGCATTGAAATATTGGAAAGGAGAAGAATTTACCAAAACCTTAATGGATGTAGATACAACTACAAGACAGTGAAAATAGCAATCAGGCCAGGCGCGGTGGCTCATGCCTGTAATCTCAGCACCTTGGGAGGCCGAGGCGGGCGGATTACGAGGTCAAGAGATCGAGATCATCCTGGCCAACATGGTGAAACCCCATCTCTACTAAAAATACAAAAATTAGCTGGGTGTGATGTTGCGTGCCTATAGTCCCAGCTACTCAGAAGGCTGAGGCAGGAGAATCGCTTGAACCCGGGAGGGCGAGGTTGCGGTGGGCCGAGATCACGCCACTGCACTCCCAGGCTGGGTGACAGAGTGAGACTCCATCTCAAAAAAAAAAAAAAAAAAAGAAAGAAAATAGCAATCAAAGTGACAATGATTTACATGGCAATATGAAAATATAAAGTAATAGTTTCTGTGAAAACAATGAATGATCGTATGTGATACCATCACATTGTTTAAATGTGATATATAAAAATCATGGTTCGTTTCCAAATCTAAGTATTGCTTTAAGAATTTTATTTAAAATTCCAGTTTCTCTTGCTTCAGCAGAACAAAATTTATTGGAAATAATAAAACTATTTAAGAATGACAATAGGGTGGACTCGGTGGCTCACGCCTGTAATCCCAGCCCTTTGGGAGGCTGAGGCGGGTGGGTCATTTGAGCCCAGGAGTTTGAGACCAGACTGGGCAACATGGCAAAAAGAATGACAATGACCCAAGAAACATTATCTAATTTGGCATTACTATCTGTAGAACATAAATTATGTGATATCTTAATGATAACAACAAAGAAACTTTGCTGAAATGAAGACACAAAAAGGAATTTTTATGAAATGCATATATTATAATTATGAATTGTGTACGTCTTTATTAGTCATCCAAACATCAATAGCCTATTAGCAGAACACCCAGTCATAATCATAATTGTCATTGATATTTTGCTGACTTTCAGTCCCATTAAAAACCATAGATTTACACTTTTTCTTTTTCTTTTTTTTTTTTTGAGATGGAGTGTCACTGTCACCCAGGCTGGAGTGCAGTGGCACCATCTCTGCTCACTGCAAGCTCCGCCTCCCGGGTTCATGCCATTCTCCTGCCTCAGCCTCCCAAGTAGCTGTGACTACAGGCGCCCGCCACAACACCCGGCTAATTTTTTGTATTTTTAGTAGAGACGGGGTTTCATTGTATTAGCCAGGATGGTCTCGATCTCCTGACCTCATGATCCGCCCGCCTTGGCCTCCCAAAGTGCTGGGATTATAGGCGTGACCCACTGCACCCGGCCTGATTTACACATTTTTTAAAAAAGAAACAAAATTTACTCTTTCTTTGGCTAATTAATTTTTCCTAGATAAAAGTACAGGTTTAAAAATGTTTCAGCGGGGTCAGGGGGCTCACACCTGTAATCCCAGCACTTTGAGAGGTCAAGGCTGGAGGATCACTTGAGCCCAGAGTTCGAGACCAGCCTGGGCAACATGGCAACATTCTGTTGCTACAAAAAATTTAAAAATTAGTGGGGCATGGTGGTGTGTGCCTGTGGTCCTAGCTACTCCAGAGGCTGAAGTTGGAGAATCATTTGAGTCCAGCCAGGAGTTCGAGGCTGCAGTGAGCTTTCATTGAGCCACTATGCTACAACGTGGGAGACAGTGAGGCCTTGTCTCAAAACAAACAAACAAAAATGTTTCAGCTGGGCATGGTGACTCATGCCTTAATCCCAGTGCTTTGGGAGGCTGAGATCGGAGAATTGTTTGAGGCCAGGAGTTTCAGACCAGCGAGGACAATGTAGTGAGACTCTGTCTCTTTTTTTTTTTTTTTTTTGAGGTGGATTCTCGCTCTGTCACCCAGGCTAGAGTGCAGTGGCACCATCTCTGCTCACTGCAAGCTCCGCCTCCCAGGTTCACACCATTCTCCTGCCTCAGCCTCACAAGTAGCTGGGACTACAGGTGCCCGCCACCACGCCCAGCTAATTTTTTGTATTTTTAGTAGAGACGGGGTTTCACCGTATTAGCCAGGATGATCTCAATCTCCTGACCTCATGATCCGCCCACCTCGGCCTCCCAAAGTGCTGGGATTACAGGCGTGAGCCACTGTGCCTGGCCCAAGACTCTGTCTCTTAAAACAAAAAATTGGTGAGGTTTGGTGGCATGGGCCTGTAGTCCTAGCTACTCAGAAGGCTGAGGTGGTAGGATTCCCTGAGTCCAGGAGTTCAAGATTGCAGTGAGCCAGGATCGTGCCACTGCACTCCAGCCTGGCAACAGAGCAAGACCCTGTATCAGAAAACGTTTCAAATTTTTCCACTGGATTAATATCTATAAAGAAGATTCAACTGTAAAGTAGATGGCTCTATACACTCTCATGTAAAGCAAAAATCAATTACAAAAAAATTGTAAATAACATATTTTTAAAATATGATTGACAAATATTAGACACATTTATTGTGTACAACATGTTGTGAAATATATAAACTGTGGTATGGCTAAATAGAACTAATTAATATATGCATTACCTCACATACTTATTTTTTTTTCTGATGAGAACACTTAAAATCTATTAAGTGTTAAGATTTTAACACTTAAAATCTTTCTTAGCAATTTTCAAGAATATATTCTACATTGTTATTAACTATGGCCATCATATTGTACAATGGATCTCTTGAACTTATTCCCCCTAGCTGAAATTTTGTATTAAGATGTTCTTTGATCATAATCATGAAAGTTGCTGGTTTCAATACATAACCAGCTAATTAGGGCAGTAAGTAGGCACCTCAAAATCATACTATGTAGTTAATATCTTAAAATCTTTTCACATATTTGTGTTAAATCATCAAATAAATCATCAGTGACAGAACAAAAAATTGCTGATTTTTTTTTAAACTTATAAACAACAGAAATTTATTTCTCACAGTTCCAGGAGGCTGGAAGTCCGAGATCAAGGTGCCTGCATGGTTCAGTTCTGGTGAAGGCCTCTTCCGGGCTGCAGACTGCTGACTCCTCCTTGTGTCCTCACATGGTGGAGAGCAGACAGAGCTGCTGATTTATTTTCTATTTGTAATGTATGGTTGACATATTTGATGAAACTGAGTTCACTTTCTTTTTTTTTTTTTTTTGAGATGGAGTCTCGCTCTGTCACCCAGGCTGGAGTGCAGTGGCGCGATCTCGGCTCATTGCAACCTCCACCCACAACATTCAACAGATTCTCCTGCCTCAGCCTCCCGAGTAGCTGGGACTACAGGTGCCCACGACCACGCTCAGCTAATTTTTGTATTTTTAGTTGAGATGGGGTTTCACCATATTGGCCAGGCTGGTCTCGAACTCCTGACCTTGTGATCTGCCCGCGTGGGCCTCCCAAAGTGCTGGGATTACAGGCGTGAGCCACTGTGCCCAGCCAAATCTGAGTTCACTTTCATTTCAAATAATAAAAGCTATATTCTAGAAGGAATAATAAATAACAAATAGCTCCCATTCTAGCGCAGGTTTTTTGTTTTTTGGTTTTACAAGACAGGGTCTTACTGTATCACCCAGGCTGGAGTGCAGTGGCAAGATCATGACCCGCTGTAATCTCTGCCTCCTGGGCTCATGTGATCCTGCCGCTTCAGCCTCCCGAGTAGCTGGGACCACAGGCACGTACCACCACGCCCAGCTACAATTTTTATTTTTTGTAGAGATGAGGAGTTGTCATGTTGCCCAGGCTGGTCTCAAACTCCTGACTTCAAGTGATCCACCTGCTTAGGCTTCCCAAAGTCCTGGGATTACAGGGGTGAGCCATGACACCCAGCCAATGTTTTGTTTTTTATTTTGAAATAATTTCAAAACCACTGCTTGGGTTAAGAACCGTACAAAGAATTTCCATATACTCTTCTCCCAAGTTCCCCACTGTCACCATTTTAACACATTTTTGCCTTATTAATCTCTCTCTTTACATGCACATATATGTGTATGTATATACACACATGTAATTTTCTTCCTAAGCCATTTACTGGGACCAAGTTGCAGAAATAATGCCCACTACTCCAAAATAGTTCAGTGTGTATTACCTTAAAAAAAAAAAAGAACTCTCATTCATAACCAGTCTACCTATGAAAATCAGAATTTAGCCAGGCTTGGTGGCTCACACCTGTAATCCCAGCACTTTGGGAGGCCAAGGTGGGGGGTGGATCATCTGAGGTCAGGAGTTCGAGACCAGCCTGATCAATATGGAGAAACCCCGTCTCTACTAAAAATACAAAATTAGCCGGGCATAGTGGCACATGCCTGTAATCCTAGCTACTCGGGAGGCTGAGGCAGGAGAATCGCTTGAACCCAGGAGGCAGAGGTTGTGGTGAGCCGAGATTGCGCCATTGCACTCCAGCCTCAGCAACAAGAGCGAAACTCCATCTCAAAAAAAAATCAGAATTTAACATTGATTCATTACTATCACCTAATCCAGACTTCAGTAAAGTTTCACCGATTGTTCTGACAATGTCCTTTGAACAAAAGAAATACAAAGACTTCTTATTTCCCTTTTTCCTTTCTTGTCCAGGATGCAATATGGAATCACACATTGCATACAGTTGTCATGTCACTTTGGTCTCTTTCAGTCTGGAATATTGTTTAGGCTTTCCTTATCTTTCATGATCTTGTCATTTTTGAAGAGTACAGGCCAGTTACTTTGTAGAATTATCTAAATCTGGATTTACGTGTAGTTTCATCATGATTAGATTTGGTTGGTACATATTAGATAACTATTTTAGATTAGATTATGTAAATTTGGTAGGAAGTGTTTTGTGTTCTTCTCAGTGCATCAGGAGGCATATAATGTTAATTTATTTTTTCTTTGCTTTCCTTTTTCTTTTTCCCTAGAGATAGAGGTCTTCTTATGTGCCCAGGCTGGTCTCGAACTCCTGGGCTGAAGTGATCCTCCTGGCTCAGCCTCCCAAAATGTTGGGATTACAGGTGTGAACCTATAATGTTAATTCATCCCACTATTGGTGGTTTTTTAACTTTTACCACTTGAATAAGATGCTGTTGGCTGAGGATGCTGGACAATTACCCCCTAGCTCCTGGTGTCACCAACTGCACTGGCTGAACCAGCCATGCTAGCCACAGACCCCTGACTGTGACCAAGGGGAATAGGTATACATATTTTTAATTTTCTTGTTATGGATTTATAAGGTAAGAAGGAGAGGGATAAGGATGATAAAGTATATTTAATTTAACATGTTGTTTGTTTCATAACTTCTTTTTTTGGATTTTATTTTTTATAGAGACAGGGGCTCACCAAGTCTCCCAGGCTGGTCCCGAACTCCTGGGTTTAAGTGATCCTCCTGCCTTGGCCTCCCAAAATGCTGGGATTACAGGCCTGAGCCAGCACATCCAGCCTGCTTCATGACTTCTTTCTTTTTTTTTTTTTTTGAGACGGAGTCTCACTGTCGCCAGGCTGGAGTGCAGTGGTGTGATCTCGGCTCACTGCAACCTCTGCCTCCTGGGTTCAAGCGATTCTCCTGTCTCAGTCTCCCGAGTAGCTGGGACTACAGGTGCGTGCCACCATGCCCGGCTGGTTTTTGTATTTTTAGCAGAGATGGGGTTTCACCATGTTGTCCAGGATGGTCTCGATCTCTTGACCTCGCGATCCGCCTGCCTCGGCCTCCCAAAGCGCTGGGATTACAGGCGTGACCCACCGCACCTGGCCTGAGCTACCGTGCCCGGCCCACAACTTCTAAATATTCAGATGAATAGTATGTGGGTCTTCCTATGAACCCTTGCCCTAAAACATGCAGAAGTTAGGAGTCGGCCTGTTTCCAGGCAGACTTTCCTTCCTGATGCTTTTGCCTCCAGTGTAAGCAGGGCCTGACCAAGACATGGAGCACCTTTGGTAGGCTAATAACTTGATAATCCACCAAAATGAAGGTTTTTAAATATTTTCTATAAATACGAATTGAATACCTCTTTCTTTACCCTTTCAAAGGTGGCTCCACAAAAGTAGAATCACACTTCCTGTGAAAAGTGTTTTAAGTTTTCTCCTCTAGAGCTCTGTTGACATCGGCCATAGCGAACTCTGTTTATTTTTCCTATTATATAAGGAATTACAAGTTGGAATCAGAAGTAATTGGCATCCTAATCCTGATTTATTCTAGTGGCAGTGTTTTGGAGTCACTTAACCCTGTCATCCTGGTTGGCCGTCCCTTCTCCCAGCTCTAACGGTGAGCAGCTGATACCCTGCTAGGTGCTGGAGAGTCAGAGGTGGACATCAGGGCCCACCTCGAAAAGTTGACAGTCTGTGGTGGGCTGAAGCCAGTAGAAAGCTGCTGTAGGAAGGCAGAGGAGTGGCCCCTATCCCAGGCTTGGGGCTCTCAGGGAAGGCTTCCTGGGGGTGAGATGGGAGGGTGGGTCCATATGCTCTTGGACCAGAATGAGTAGCCCAGAGAAGGCAAGAGGGCTCCCAAGCAAACTTGTCCTATTTAATTTTTTTTTTTTTTCCTGCTTAGAAAAGCAAAATGCGTTATGAACAAAACAAAACAAAACAAAACAAAACAAAACAAAACAAAACAAAACAAAACGCTGTAGCAAAGAAAGCGAAAGGCTCCAGTAATCCTCCCTGCTCCTCCTCACCGCACGGATCCTGTGAGATACCCCGAGCATTGGAACCTGGAGAGCTTGGGCAGGCATTCACCCTCCTTCCAGCAGGGGGCGGAACGTAAAACGCCTTGTGGCCGACGCCCTCTCTCTTTCACACGTCACTGGCGTGACCGTCCGCGCTACATACTGCGCCTGCGCAAGGGCTGTGGCCCTTTTCCCACCCCCTAGCGCCGCTGGGCCTGCAGGTCTCTGTCGAGCAGCGGACGCCGGTCTCTGTTCCGCAGGATGGTGAGTGGATGCCTCGGTCTCGGGGCTTTAGATGCATGGAGGTTCCCTTTTCTTGCCCGTATGCCAGCCTAGGGCCCGTCTCGCGCGTCGCAGGGGCCGGATGGCGTTAGATTGCTAGCTCTGACTTGGTCGAGGTGCAGTTCCCAGCGTGGCCTTAAATGGCTGCCGCCCGGTGCGCGAACTTGGGGGGAGGGGTTGGCGAAGAAGGGTTGCGTGAGCTTGGACGGCGGATTGGGGAGAAGGGTGAGTTTAGTAGACAGCCTGAGTGCGGATACTGCCGTCTAGTGTGAGGGGGCGCTGGCAAGCGGCCGGGCGTGAGAGGTCGCAAGCAGTCGACCTCAGCCTAGCTGGGGAACGCCAGAATGGAGGGGGGCTGCAGGTCCTCGGGTCCCACTCGACCTCCGAGTACCGAGTACTTCGTGGGTTTTCCAGGAGAATGTCGGAGCCGGCAAGTCTTAGATTTAGGAAGCTTGTGCCCGTGGGCTGAGCAAGTGGCTTTTAAGCCAAAATTGTCAGTGGAGCTTGGAGGCCGAGGGGTCCCTGGGCCCCGGAAGCTCCTTTAACATGGAATACGTGCCTCCTGCCTCTTCCTCTAGAGTCCGTCGCCGGATGAGTTTTTAATTATTGGGGTAGGGCCCCAAGGGTGGGATGAAATGTTGCTTTAGCTGATGGGGAACAGTGCTGTTTTAGTGGGGGAATTACTGCTGAATGTGCTCTTGCCCAGTTAAGCTTTGTGGCAGGTAATTTAGGCTTTTGAAAAACATAACATGGGAAGCGAGAGAGGTACGTAGTTGTTATTTGAGGCTAGGTTTTCGAAGTGGGACATAGCGTGTTCCGAACAAACCGACGTTTGGCATCACTGATTGCTGTCTGGAGCAGTGCTTCGCAAAAGTTTGGCACAATTACCGGTGCTGGTCCTTGAAGAAACAAATATGGAAATTGAAAGCGTTTAAAACCTTTTGAAAGCAATATAACAATAATTTTATACCTGTTAAATGTAATAAATTGGGGCCTGCATTTTGTATGTTTCTTTTATTCCATATTTCTCTAAGGATTCATTTTTATTGTTTTATGAAACTACTAGTCTGTGACATGGAAGGTAGAGGAAAAAGATTCTTGACCCTAGTTGCTTGTGAAACCTGGGATTCTACAAGTGACAGTTGTCTGTTTACTCTTGAAGTTCAAGTGTTACTTTGTTACATGGTTAATTTATGTCAAAAGTATCATAGGCTAAGACATCAAAGTTTTAATAACATTCTTTTTTCTTTAAGGGGTTTGTTAAAGTTGTTAAGAATAAGGCCTACTTTAAGAGATACCAAGTGAAATTTAGAAGACGACGAGGTACTGTCACCTTTTTGTGTTTACAATATTAATCTGCTTTGCAGATGCAGTGGAGTATCCTTTCTACAATTATTTTTTTCTTTCAGAGGGTAAAACTGATTATTATGCTCGGAAACGCTTGGTGATACAAGATAAAAATAAATACAACACACCCAAATACAGGATGATAGTTCGTGTGACAAACAGAGATATCATTTGTCAGGTAAGTTGTATTCTAGACAGTCCCCTTTTTTTATTGCTAGAGAAATTGTGCTTGGGAAGCAAAGCACATGGTGTGTGTGTTAGAAGGGCTGTCTAGCACCTCCAAAAGCATCCAGTGAATAATTTTTCCTTTTAGTAGGTCTAGAATTGGAACCTGGGAACTTGGTACTTTAAAAAATGCTCTTGGTTGCGCTCATGCCTGTAATCCCAGCACTTCGGGAAGATTGCTTGAGCCCAGGAGTTTGAGACCAGCCTGGGCAATATAGTGAGAGTTTGTCTTCACAAAAAATGTAAGAAAATTAGCTGGGCATGGCGGGGCGCACCTGTAGTCCCAGCTACTCAGTGGGAGGATTGTTTGAGCCCCGAGGTTGAGGCTGCAGTGAAGTGAGATCACACCCAGCCCTCCAACCTAGGTGACAGAGCAAGACACTGAAACCTAGTTTATGTGTGTGGGGTGGGGAGATTAGAAGTAAGTAAGAAGTTCTTGCCCATCCCAATTCCAGTAGAAGAATAGGGTTTGTCCTGATTTTTCCTATATGGCCTTATATGCCACTTAACCACTGAAAAGGTAGTTGTGAATTAAACAGGGCTTTAAGATTGTTCTGCTTATTCTTTGAAATAGGTTTTAATAAAATGTACAAAGGTGGCTCCCGCATGAAAGACCTTTAGGAAGTGTCAGTTTTGCTCTTGTACTAAGAGCATTCTCACTGGACTCTGAAAGCTAGAATCCTGGGCTTTTACAACTAGGAGAAATTCTGAGAGTTAAGATTTATTGATATTTTGCAGCAGGTAGGCACACCTGTTTCCTGGGCAAATAGTTTGTTGATTGTGAAGGCATTGTCTTCCTCCGTACCCAAGTTCAGATAACTAAACGTTAGGTTCCTGAGACTTTGCTGACTTTAGTTATGTTTAGTTCAAAAGATGATTGAAATATTTGGGTATTCCTCTTTGACTTTTTAAGCACCTCTAATTTACTGGTAACCCAGCTAAGAGTCTTAAGCATTTTAAGTGATGTTCATCTGTGTCCATCAATGTTTTTTTATTCCCTTGAAAAATAATTAAGATGTAGTAAGACAGTGAAAGCAACAGATTACTAACCTAGTTTCTCTCTTACTATAGATTGCTTATGCCCGTATAGAGGGGGATATGATAGTCTGCGCAGCGTATGCACACGAACTGCCAAAATATGGTGTGAAGGTTGGCCTGACAAATTATGCTGCAGCATATTGTACTGGCCTGCTGCTGGCCCGCAGGGTATGTACAAGATGATTTTAATTGATGTAGTTTGTGGCTGATTGCTTGGAGAGTTTTCTGCAAGATGTTTGTACATGGATAAGATAGCTTAAGTTGTGCTTCAGGAGAGTGCTTGCTTCCAGTTTTCTGCTTTGTTAATGGATCTATCTAGGTCAGCTCTTTCCAATAAAATTTTCTGCAATGACACAAATCTGTAATTTGCTGTCCAGTGGTTTTGCCACTAGCGACCTGCAGCTGTTGAGTTCCAGCAGTATGTAAACTTGAATTTGAAAATCCACTTGTAGCTAGTGTCTACTTAATTGGACAATGAAGACCCTTGCTACTTAGGTATACATTCTGAATGTTGGCAAACATTAAAAATGCAGACTCGTGGGAACTCCACTCTAGACCTTCTGGAATCTGTATTTTGATAGTATGTACCAAGTGATTTATATGCACATTAAAACTGGAGAATCTTGGCTAGGCGCGGTGGCTCACACTTATAATCCCAGCACTTTGGGAGGCCGAGGAGGGTGGATCACTTGAGGTCAGGAGTTTGAGACTAGCCTGGCCAGCATGGTGAAGCCCTGTCTCTACTAAAAAAGTAGAAAAAAAAAAAAAGCCAGGCATGATGGTGTGTGTCTGTAGTCCCAACTACTTGGGAGGCTGAGGCAGGAGAATCACTTGAACCCAGAAGGCAGAGGTTGCAGTGAGCTGAGATCACGCCATTGCACTCCAGCCTGGGCAACAAGAGCGAAACTGTGTCTCAAAAAAAAAAAAAAAAAAATGAGAATCTTAGTGTTTTGGAGAGTGGCCATTGACGGGAAGATTCATTTTTGTTTTAAACATTTTTCCTGGTAGATGAAGATGGGATTTTGCCTTGTTTTTATTATCTGAGTTTTTTACCTTGTTTTGCAATGGAATTGTTAAGCATGTGCAGCAAGGTTGATGACAACCCACTCATTGGTTATAAACATGTTTTAATGGAGGGAACATTGTAAGTATAAGAATCAAGTTTATGCATTCTCATTGATTGCTGCATAAGTCAAGTGTGGACATGTAGCAAAGATGCAAAAGTCATAAAACAAAATTGTTTCAAGTGAAATTGAATGTTTTAAGTTTTTTTTTTAAATAGCATTTAAAAATTCATGAGCAAGTGGATCTGGTGAAAGGGTGGGTGTGGAAGGAAATTTTCTTTTCCAGATGTCAGTGGTCCTTACGGTTATGACATAAGCTATTTTAATTTTAGAGCAGTTTGAATAATTGAAACCAGCATTTACATTGGTTTCTTGAATAGCTTCTCAATAGGTTTGGCATGGACAAGATCTATGAAGGCCAAGTGGAGGTGACTGGTGATGAATACAATGTGGAAAGCATTGATGGTCAGCCAGGTGCCTTCACCTGCTATTTGGATGCAGGCCTTGCCAGAACTACCACTGGCAATAAAGTTTTTGGTGCCCTGAAGGGAGCTGTGGATGGAGGCTTGTCTATCCCTCACAGGTAAGAATACTATTTAAGACCTTGGTGCCTGGACCGTGGTACTTCCCTGTTTTTAACTAGTTGGACTGTGGAGATAACCGAATTAAAGTAGCTATCAATTGAATGCCTGCTGTATGCCTAGGTACCATGCAGGAGGAACCTAGTAGGGCAGGAAGGAATTATAGCCCATTTTATAAATTAAGAGTCTGAGGCCCAGAGTTATTTGTCCCAAGTTTTTCGGGCCAGTTATTGAAAGAGATGGGATTGAAACCACTACCTTTTGCATATGACTTAATTCTTATTAGAAATGAGCAACTCCATCCTCTTTCCCCATGCACTTTCTTTTTTCAATCAGAATAAAAATGATTTACTGAATTATGCAAAAAGGTGGATCCTAGAATTTTATAAGAAGTTTGAGGAAAAGGCTTATGAAAGATTTCTAAACCTGCAACTAGGAATAAGATTGTAGGCCATTTTGGGAAGTTAAGTAGGTTAATTTGTAGTTCCATTGGTTTAATGATATTTTTTGTTGTTGAGTCTGTGCATCTTGATTTATTAACTTCTTAGGAATATTTTAGCATTTGGTGATTTAACCAAGAAATAGTAATTTTTGGTAAGCCTAAAATACAACCCAACTGAAATTTTGCTTTTATGATGTGGAGGTGGGTGGGGGGAGTTAGTTGCAAGTACACCAAGAGCATTCTCACTTGACAATTTCATTAACTGTGATCTTGGACAAATCACTTATTCCCATGTACCCACTGAAAATTAAAGGATTTAGAGTATAAGTTTTGAAACTCCTTCCTGTGCTGATGTGCTGGATGACTAATTTTGTAGTGGTGGAAAGCCTTGGTAATGGCTTTTAAAGGTTTTTGTAGCATGAATTTCTTTTCTGTCCTGGAATTCAGAGATGAGCTGCTGAATGATGATATCCCACTAACTGAGCAGTCAGTAGTTGGTCCTTTGGTTGCATATGATGCGATAATTGTTTCAAGACGGGACTGATGGCAGCTACTAAAGTAAATTCTTACTAGTAAACTAAGTTAAGTGAGTCTATACTAAAATATGAATAACTTTATTTTAGTACCAAACGATTCCCTGGTTATGATTCTGAAAGCAAGGAATTTAATGCAGAAGTACATCGGAAGCACATCATGGGCCAGAATGTTGCAGATTACATGCGCTACTTAATGGAAGAAGATGAAGATGCTTACAAGAAACAGTTCTCTCAATACATAAAGAACAGCGTAACTCCAGACATGGTAAAACATTTACCTAAAAATGCCTATATTGGTTAATTTATGGAAATAGGTTTATTACTTGTTTTGGGGGCAGGTAACATTCTTATATAGGTGTGTTTCTTGACAACATGAGCTAGACTTGTCAACATTCTTTTAGTAATCTTTTAGATGCTCAAGTGTGGGAGACTTCAAGCATCTGAAGATTTGGCTACCTTTTATGCTTTGGCTGTTCTGTATTTGTAGATGTCATTTCTGTAATCATAGTTGTAATCTGCTTTGTTGGATAAGAGGTGCTAGATAATAAACTTCACTTATTTTGATACCATCTGGGAGGAAAGCTCTTCATAGCATATGTGTGCTATATTCTGGACTTTCCCATTATCTCAGACATGTACACAGGAAAAGAGATTTGATCACTGGGTCTGCGTGATGTTGTAGAAATGAGGGGAGCCATGTTTGCAAGAATGAGTCCCAAAGTGCTGGGCTTACAGATGAGAGCCATTCCTGACCCAGGTTCTTTTTCGTTAGTGTGTAGTAGCTTCTATTTTGGCATAGCTATTGGTTAGGAAAATTTTTAAAAACAGTAGTTGGGAAATGACCACTTTCTGTTATTTCTATGCTTTGGACACAGTGTAAAGGCTGAATAAACAAATAGCTTGAGTTTCTGAGTTAGGAAAAGGAGTAGTTTTTTATCAATAATGTAGGTGCATGTTAATTTTTACTGCGTTATATTTCTTTGTTACTTATGACTTCATCCTGGTAAAGAGGTCATTTACTTTTGGATTATGATTCTACTAGTCTTGCAAAATTTACTTCCTAACCTATATCTTTATGTAGTCATGTCATACTTGCTCAGAACTTTTCAGACTCCCAGTTTGTGCTTTCAGATGTTTACTTCCTAATGCTTTCCTGTATATGTGCCTTCCTTCAGCTAGACTACTTTTTGGCTAATGTATTTTTCTAGCTGGCTCATTAATTTTATCTACAGTGGCCTCTATCCTCCTGTGTGCCTGCTGAAATCCTGTGCAGACATCTGATGTGTCTCCAACAGGAGGTGGTCTTTACCTCAATTCAGGCATTATCTACATGTCTGCTTGTCTGACGTCTTGGAAGGAACTGGGTTGCTTAGATTTGTTGAATGACTATATATGAAGTCATCAAATGGATTTGTTATTTGTTAGTGAACAGCTAGCTATAATAGAGTGCTAAAAGAGGTAGGGAAATTAACTTTCAAAATGGGTATAGGTAGTTGAGGTTTCAAATGCAGTGAGCATTTTTGCATTATTTTCCTTTAATAATCTTTATGCAAATGCATGTAGTAATCACATCTCCACATTGATTGAATAATTTTAGAGACCTGGATTACTGTGACATAGTCTGTAGTGGGCTATAATTATTAGATATTCAGAGAGTTGCAGCTTTTTTTTTTTTTTTTTTTCAGTGAGTTTTAGAACAAAATTGCCCTGGCGGGGCATGGTGGCTCACGCCTGTAATCCCCGGACTTGGGAGGCCGTGGTGGGCAGATCACCTGATGTCAGGAGTTCGAGACCAGCCTGGCCAATATGGTGAAACCCTGTCTCTGCTAAAAATACAAAAATTAGCTGGGCATGGTGGCTCACTCCTGTAATCCCAGCGACTCGGGAGGCTGAGGCAGAAGAATTGCTTGAACCCTGGAGGTGGAGGTTGCACTGAGCTGGGATCGCGCTACTGCACTCCAGCCTGGGCAACAGAGCGAGACTTCATGTCAAAAAACAAAAAATTGCCCAATAAAATATCTGATCGGTTGGCTTTTCAGGAAAACTTCTGACATCTTTCTGGTCTAGAGGCCTTATATTACCACTAGATACTAGGGATAGATTGGTGGTAGTGAAAGACAGAAGAGAGGTCCTTGGTACATAATGCTGGGAATTACTTTTAAAGGCCTGTGAGATAAAGATGGAAAACAAAAGTCTAGGGATTGTGGGATGACAGATGAATTTGCTTGTTGGCCTGTGTCCAGTCCTTGGTCTCAGTTAAGCTATGTCAGTGTTGTGACTCTTGGTCCCATACGTTCATCATCTTAATATCTTAATACTTTTGGCACTTGTTCTTGAATGAAAGAATCTAGGTCAGACAGTATTTAAAATGAGAAGCGCAATATTTGTTTCTGCAGACAAAAATTTGATTTAGAGTGACTCAAGAAGTGTGGCTGAATTTCTCAGAAGTACATGCAGATTTTTCTTTTTGTTTTCTTACTTTTTTTTTTTGAGGCAGGATCTTGTTCTGTTTCCTGGGCTGGGGTGCAATGGCACAATTATAGCTCATTGCAACTTCAGACTTCTGGGCTCAAGCAATTCTCCCACCTCAGCCTCTCGAGGTAGCTGGGGTTATAGGTGTGCACCACCATGCCCTGCTAATTTTTTTTTTTTTTTTTTAATTTTTGGTAGAGATGAGGTCTCATTCTGTCATCTAGGCTGGGGTCCAGTGAGCTGTGATTGTGCCACTGCAGCCTTGACCTCCTGGACTCACGTGTAGTCCTGTAGCTGGGACTACAGGTGCATGCCACCATTAATAATTGCCACCTGGCTAATTAGTTTTTTTATGGAGACAGGTCTCACTGTGTTGCCTTAGCTGGTCTCAAACTCCTGGGCTGAAGTGATCCTCCCACTTCAGACTCCCAAAGTGCTTGAGATTACAGGCATGAACCACCACACCTGGCCTGATTTTTTTCTTGAGTAAGATGGAGTTCTGTAGTGATAATTCACATTGCATAAGGTGAAAATTGGGAATTTGTTAGGAAAAGGTGAGTTACATTTAGAAGTTAAAGTGTTTACCAACATTGATTTAGTTTAGTTCCTTTTGAGAATCTGGCTTAGAAGGACAAGATAAGTTATGGTTGCATTAATATAGTAGGGCACATGAAATGAAACCAAGTACTGTTTGCTTTCCTTTGTTTCAGATGGAGGAGATGTATAAGAAAGCTCATGCTGCTATACGAGAGAATCCAGTCTATGAAAAGAAGCCCAAGAAAGAAGTTAAAAAGAAGAGGTATGTCGTCTTTTTTTTTGTCTTTTCAAGAAAACAGGTTGGGAATGGTTCCCACGTGGGGCAGACTGTTGGTGTAATTGTGCAAACTCGATCACTAGCTCTGCGTGATGTGGCAGAAGCGAAGGGAACCAGGTTTGCAAAAGTAACTGTGGTGATGGAAATGTGTTAGCCTCAGACACTACTGAGGTGGTTCTTTCTATCCTAGTACAGTCTAAGTACTGGTTACTGCATTTTTTTATTGGCTGACAAGTTGCTTTTTGTTGATCTTTCATGTTTTGATCTTTAAATGGAATAGAAAGTAATACTTAATGAACATGTAAGCATAAAGTGATGTGATGGCCCACAAATACAATGTATAGTAATTAAATCAATGTATTTAACATATTCACCTCAAATACTTAACACTTTGTGGCAACAACATTTGAAATTTATTCTCTTAATTGTGAAATGTACGATATTCTATATTCATCATGCTGTGCAATAGAACTAAAAACAAAATCATACTCCTCCTGTTGGAGATTTTATACTTGACTATCATCTGCCCATTCTTTGCACCCACCAGCCTCTGTAACCACCATTCTGCTCTCTGCTTCTGTGAGTTCCATTGTTTTAGATTCTATATGAATATGAAGTATTTGTCTTTTTGTGCCTGGCTTATTTCACTGAGCACAATATTCTCCACTTCATTCATGTTGCAAATGACAGAATTTCCATCATTTTTAAAGACTGGGTAATAATCCATTATGTATATGTATACCACATTTCCTTTATCCATTTATCTGTTGCTATTAATATATAGTGCTGCAATGAACATGGGAGTGCCACTCTCTTGGACAAACTGATTTCAAAACATTTGGGCAAATACCTAGAAGTGGTATTACTGAATCTAACATGTCTTCTATTTGACTTTTGGCCCTATGGTAGTAGGACATCACAGAAGTTGGGGTTTGGGAAAGTTAGCTTAAGATCATACATAAGTAAATGTATTTGAACTTGGATTATTTAACCTTCTGATTGCAAAGTCTTAAATATTCTCTATCAAAATTAAATTTTATTAAAATTTTAAATTAAATATTCTATTCTCTTCAGTTATAGTTTAAAAAATATATATTCCTATCTTTTGTAGGTGGAACCGTCCCAAAATGTCCCTTGCTCAGAAGAAGGATCGGGTAGCTCAAAAGAAGGCAAGCTTCCTCAGAGCTCAGGAGCGGGCTGCTGAGAGCTAAACCCAGCAATTTTCTATGATTTTTTCAGATATAGATAATAAACTTATGAACAGCAACTATTTCTGTGTTAAGCTCTTATTCTTATGAACCTTATAGGAAATACCCTGAAATATTTTGGAAAAGCAAAGGAGTTGACAGGTTTTTTTCTCCAAGAAAACAAGTGTAACTAACTTTTTAAGAAAAAAAGTTGTTATTTCTTGGGCTTCTGTTTTACCTGACAGGAGTCATTATCCCTTATGTTGTATGATGAACAGCTCTCCCTAAAAATTTGGCAAGCAACAGACCAACCATCAGTGGGAAATATTTCTTCCATCCATTTATTATAACCAGATGATGAATGGGAAAAGTACCTTAAAGTAAACAAAACTGGTGCTAATCCAT
Source organism: Homo sapiens (assembly GCF_000001405.40). NCBI lineage: Eukaryota > Metazoa > Chordata > Mammalia > Primates > Hominidae > Homo > Homo sapiens. The sequence continues at coordinate 92,842,247 of NC_000001.11, forward strand.
GGCGTTGAAGGAAAGTTTTGAGAGAAAGCTGTCCAGTGATGGTCACATAGATTTTTAACATGTTCCACTTTAGGTAGGCGAAACCTTTGAGCAGAAAATAGTGGTTCTTTTCTCCAAAAGGTGTTTAATTTTATGGAGATGTTGAAAGGTACATGCCAAATCTGAGTATACGTGTGAAAATAATATGAAAGAGGAGCAAATACTAAACCTTGTATATCAAGTTTACATGGGGAAAAAAACATTAGATAAATAAATACATTTACATGCCTCTTTAAGAAATAGCCCTTTGGCCCACAGGATATACTGTTTGAAAATGGAAAGTTATTACTAAAAAGTCTGCTATAATTTATTTTAGTCTTGCACTTACAGTCCCACTTTCACATAGTTCAAAATCAGGATATGTGGATCTTGATTGGGCCTTAAGATGTCAGTTTTGAAGGGCTCAGTCAGCTGCGTGATACTAAGATGGGCCCTTTGAATCTTTAGGAAAGTTCATCCATTTTTAGTCAATAAAATTGGTGTACTGTCAAGTATAAGATTTCTTGAAGTAAGCCACTTGAACCATTGTGAAGCTACACATAACTTGATGTCTGAATGAGGTTAAAAATGGGTGTATAAGTCTTTAATACAGTAAACCATGCTATTAACCCAACATCTGTTTTATAAAGAAGCAAGTTTAACCTGCTTTGCAGTCTTAATTTCTGTTAATGTGCAAACTTTACCATGCTAAGACATTAGTAAATTTATAAATTTTCTTGTTGAACAGCAGCTTCAATGCAAACACAATGCTTCCAGCATTGGTATTTTGGCTAAGGTAAATCTACAAATCACTCACTGTTGATGTTTATGGAATGAAGCTTTTCACAGCATTGGTTTTTAAAGTCAGTCAAAATAGTTACACAATGAATGTACTTCGGAGATGTAACAGGGCTTCTAAAAGGGCAGGAATGACATCTTGGGGACCTGTTGATCCTACACCTGCCATTACTTCAGTGATCACATACTGATGGCTTCTCAGGCCTGGGGGGAAGGAGTTTTGTGTAACTGGCCGGAATTTGAAGCCATTTTTTTTTAATGCTCAAAATTGTTCTTTAAAAGTGGCAGGTTTCTTAAAATGGTAATTATGTCCAAATGAACTAAGAGTCATTAGTGTAGGAAATTTTCTTCCACAATAATGTTTTTAGGTTATTTAGTATCAAAGAATGTTCCATTTCCATTTGATTTGCTGTGACTTTGAGAGCAATACAAGAATAAAGCTGCTTTTCTAATTCTTCACGAATTTCACTTGGAGCACCACGCAGTAGGTAGTCTTTGAGTAACTGACAAGCTTTTGCCAAGTTTGGTTGTATCACTTCTGAAGTACACTTCATTGTACTCTGATCACAGCTAGTTCTACAATCTGTGCCATAGACACAGTCCAAATCAGACTCACAGTGACGATCCTTAATAAGTTCTTTCAGGTTTGTCTCTGGCACAATTTTTCTCATATCCACCATTTTCAAATCATACTTATCATTATATCCTAGGTTTTTGGCACTAGTATCGCACATGAGGAAATTTCCGTAGGGGCCATGGAAAACATCTTCCACAAATTCTAGAAGTCCTATGGCTATTTTGGCCTTTCTTGGCCATGATGGTGTGAACAGCTGATCCATGCTTCTTCTGAACCCAGATGGAATAAAAAGTTCAATGACCCAAGGAAGGCTTATTCCATAAAGAGAGGTATATTCAACACTTTCCATCACATAGAGGTCACCACAGAATCCCATTAATTTGGGGGTATGTTCTTTATCTTGAAGTATCACCATGAGAAGAAATTCATTCAGTTGAAGAAGTGCCCATGCCGACTTTGCTTCTCCCAAGGAAACCTGGCCATCTTTGTCTCCATCAGCCACCGTCAAGATGAGATTAACCAGTTCAGAGAGGTTTCCTTGGTCACCCAATTTTGCCTGTCAAGAATTTGGCTAGTTACACAGAAGGAATGAAAAATACCTCCCATGCAACATACTAAGTTTCTTTACGGGCATTATTAACCATGCCAGAAATAATCTTGGTACTGAATCCCCAAACAGGAACTTAATGTATTATATCTCCAAATATTTATGATACTTCCTAAGTGAACTAGAACCATGCTTTATGTAACTGCAGTAAAACCCACTTTAAAATACTTGTCTGTTTGTTAGGAAATGGCCACTAACTCCCCTGTCCCCTTCAGGCCCCTTAGATAGTTAACCAACAATGTAATTATTCCTCATTCATACATTAAAAAACCACCGCCTCATATGTGGACTTGAAAAATTGTACTGTAATGTACTTACATCAAAGTTACAATAAGGGTCAACTAAAAATTATTTTCCTTTTTTTAGAGATGGGGATCTCACTATGTTGCCCAGGCTGGTCTCAAACTCCTGGGCTCAGGTGATCCTCCTACCTCAGCCTCCCAAAGTGCTCGGATTACAGGCATGAGCCAGCATGCCTGGCCTAATTATTTTATCCTATTTTGTATTTATCACAATAATTATTTTGTTCAAATAGTAGTATTACAATAATGAAGATTAAAAAGTATTTCCGTTAGTCTGAAATACATGTAAAATGGCCAAATAAAAAATTTGAGTGAAAATAAAAGAGCAATGAAAATAAAACTTTTTTCTAAAACTTTGTTTTATTTCTATTTAATCTATATATTAGTATTTCTTTTTTTTTTTTTTTTTTTTTTGAGACGGAGTCTCGCTCTTTCGCCCAGGCTGGAGTGCAGTGGCGCGATCTCAGCTCACTGCAAGCTCCACCTCCCAGGTTCACGCCATTCTCCTGCCTCACCCTCCCGAGCAGCTGGGACTACAGGCGCCTGCCACCACGCCCAGCTAATTTTTTTTTGTATTTTTAGTAGAGACGGGGTTTCACCATGTTAGCCAGGATGGTCTCGATCTCCTGACCTTGTGATCCATCCGTCTCGGCTTCCCAAAGTGCTGGGATTACAGGCGTGAGCCACCGCGCCCGGCCTATATTGGTATTCCTTTAAATTAAAAAAATAATTTGCAGAGTACCGTTTTTTTTTTTTTTTTTTTTGCATAGGAAGAACTGCTATGCTTTTTTTCCCGTTAGTTTTAGTGACATGTAATAACTACAAATTTATGGGATACTGATGGGCACAATTGCTCAAGCCAGTAATTCCAGCACTTTGGGAAGCCAAGGTGGGCAGATAGCTTGAGCTCAGGAGTTCTAGACCCGCCTGGGCAACATGGTGAAACCGTGTCTATGCTAGAAAAAAAAAAAAAAAAAAAAACCGTCTCTGCTGAAAAAAAAAAAAAAATGCTGGATGCGGTGGCTCACGCCTGTAATCCCAGCGCTTTGGGAGGCTGAGGCGGGTGGATCACCATGAGGTCAGGAGTTCGAGACCAGCCTGGCCAAAATAGTGAAATCCCATCTCTACTAAAAATACAAAAATTAGGTGTGGTGGCGGGTGCCTGTAATCCCAGCTACTCGGGAGGCTGAGGCAGGAGAACTGCTTGAATCTGGGAGGCAAGGTTGCAGTGAGCTGAGACCATGCCACTGCACTCCAGCCTGGGCAACAGAGCGAGACTCCGTCTAAAAAAAAAAAAAATTAGCCAGGTGCGGTGGTGCGCCTGTGATCCCAGCTACTTGGGGGGCTGAGGCAGGAGGATGGCTTAAACCCAGGAGGCTGAGGCTGCAATGAGCCGAGATCATGCCACTGCACACTCCAGCTTGGGCACCAGGGCAAGACCCTGCCAAAACAAAACAAAACAAATAACCAACCATCTTTTAAAAAAAGAAAGAAAGAAAAAAAATCCCCAGGCCTCCTGGTGCTTACCCCAGGCTGTGTTCTTATACTGACTGTATAGAATGAGGAGGTGAACTCCCATGTACACCTCAGCCCAGGCCCTGCGCCTTGTCTGTATTGTGAACGGGAGCACACAGAAAAAAAATTCATGGGATACATAGTGATATTTCAATACACACATACAATTTGTAATGATCAAATCAAGGTAATTAGCATATTTATGTCTCAGTTATCATTGTGTTGTGAACATTCACAATCCTTTTAGTTTTTTGAAAATAACCAAAAATTATTAATCCCTTTACCCTATAGTGCTATAGAACACTAGAACTTATTCTGCCTATCTAGCGGTAATTTTGTATCTGTTAACCAACCTCTCCTTATTCTCCTCTCCTCTGTACCCTTCCCAGCCTCTAATAGCCACAATTCTAAGAGTATACTCATTTTATTTCACCTTTTTTGAATTAATTTTCATGTCAAACTGTACAGCACTCCAATTAATTAATGAACTCCCTCCTCATATCTGGACATTTTTAGCTATCATAAATAATGTTAAAGTAAACATTCTCCAACACAGATTTCTTTTCTTTTTCTTTTTTTTTTTGAAACAGGGTCTCACTTTGTCGTCCAGGCTGGAGTGCAGTGGTGAGATCTTGGCTCACTGCAACCTCGACCTCCCAGGCTCAAGCAATCCTCGCACCTCAGCATCTCAAGTAGTTAGGACTACAGGCACATGCCACCACTCCTGGCATATATATATATATATATATATATATATATATATATATATATATATATATGTGTGTATATATATATGTGTGTATATATATATATATATATACACACACACGTATATATATATATACGTGTATATATATATATATATAGCTGAGGTCTTACTATGTTGCCCAGGCTGGACTTGAACTCCTGGGCTCAAGTGATCCTCCTGCCTTGGCCTCCCAAAGTGCTGGGATAACAGGCGTGAGCCACCACGCCCGGCCTCTTATAATTATTTCCTCAGGATGGAGAATCTGATAGAGGTCAAAGAATATCAACACTTTAATGGCTTAGGATGAGGTCCTGCCAATTCCTCTAAAGAGTCCCACTTCACACTAGCAACATATGAATGGGTATGCTTACCTTAAAGAGACTATAGACCATTTCTTTAAATTTTTGTACAGTAGTTCCTCTAGTTGGCTTATCAAATAGCACTATTTCTTTTCTTGGTTCCAATTCAGTTCCAAAATCAAGATGAAGCGCTTGTTCCATTTGACATTTCACAACACCTGGTAGATTATCCCAAATCCCTAAATACATCTATGTAAAAAAGAGTGGCAAGTTATGTATTATACTGAGTAGAAAACTCTAAAAAATATACTACTATATTTTTAGGGTCCTCCTCCTCTGAACAAAACAAAACAAGCATCAAACATTGAGGTTAAGGTGTGACTTTATTTCTGAACTGCAAACTTGAAATCACACTCAAGATTTTTTCCTTAAACTAATTTTTTAAATTATAAGAGTAATGCATGCCTAAATATATTTTTCAAAAAGTCCAATGAGAAGGATGTAAGGCAAAAGCAAAGTTCCCAGACATTCTACTTCCATAATCCCACTTCCCCAGAATTAACTACTATTTAAGTATCTAGTTATTTATCAAACTAATATTATATAGTGTTAACTATGTCCTATGGTCTACTAATTTATTTTAGAGACAGGGTCTTGCTTTGTCACCCAGGCTGGGGTTCAGTGGCATAATCATAGCTCATTGCAGCCTCAAAGTCCTGAGCTCAAGGAATCTTCCTGCCTCAGTCTCCCAAGTAGCCAGGACTATAGGCATGTACCACTAAACCTGGCTAATTAAAAACATTTTTTGTAGAGATGGGGTCTTGCTGTATTGCTCAGGCTGGTCCTGAACTGCTAGCCTTAAGTGACCCACCTGCCTCAGCCTCTCAAGTTGCTGGGATTGTAGGTATGAGGCACCACACCTGGCTTTTACTGATTTATGTTATTATTTTAATCCTTGTACCAATCTTAGGTGGTAGGTACTATCATTATACTTATTTCACTGATGGGGAAACTGAAGCAGATACAGGTGAAGTAACATGCTGAAAAGAGCTGAGGTCTTTACCACTAGGATAGGTTGCCCCTCTTCTACATAAAAAAATAAATAAGATCATATTCATTCTTAATATTAATCCAAAGAAAACATTATTTCACTGCCTTGCTCCAAACCCTCTAATAAATTCCCCTTTCAATTAAAGTCCAAAGTCCTTTCCATGACCGGTTGGGCTCCATTTGAGCTAGCCTCGCCTATGTCTCCAACCTGATCTTGTACCACGTACTCCGTTTCTCAAAGTCCCAGCTACACTGGTCTTTCTGTGACAGGTTGAAGCTTGTTTCTGCTTCCTGACCTGCTTCACTTGCTGCTGGCTCTGCCTGGAATGTACTCTCCCAGATCTTCACATGGCTGGCTCCTTTACATCATTCAAGTCTCAGATTAGACATTGCATTTAGAAAGCCTTCCCTGACCCCCTGTCTAGAAGAGATCCTCTTCCACCCCCAGGTCACCTCTAACCCTGTTTCATTATCCTCATAGCCTTTTGCACTGTCTAAAATTATCATATTTATTTATTTATCAGTTCATTACTATCTGTCTCATCTCACATTAGAACATGAGGCCAGAGGCTTTATCTGTCTCCCTCAGTGCCTCAAACAGTGCCTGGCATGCAGGAGACACTCAAATGTTGGACTTTGTTTTAGAAATTGTCTTTAACATGATTAATACTGTCAACTGAAAAATTAGTTTAAATTTCTATAATAATAATGCATATTTATATAGGAAAATTTAGGAACCATAAGATGAACATTAAAATGCAATTTTCCACTGCTCCAGATGTTTCGTTGTATTTTCTTCTACCCCAATTAGATATTCTACTGTTTTATTCTTATTTCTCTGATGAAAAGTAAGGTAGAATTTTTTTTCATTATGTTCATCAGCTGTTTGCAGTTCTTTTGTGATTTAGTTCATCCTGTCCTTTTCCCATGCCTATGAATTTTTTATTAAGGTATAAGTTCAAATATTATTTCAGAAAGGTCTTCTCTGATCACATCCTCTAAAGCACTTCTCACCATCCCTTACACTGCATTCTCTATCAATTTGCCCTCTGTGTCTCCTACAGAACACACCATATTCTACAATTATTTTGTTTGTTTATTTATTTATTTATCAACTGTTTGTACCTCCTGTCCCTCTGGAATCATGTAAGGTCTGTAAGGGAAGCAATCTTGTCTGGTTTTTTTTTGTTTTTTTTTTTTTTTTTGAGACAGGGTGTCACTCTGTCACCCAGGCTGGAGTGCAGTGACATGAACACGGCTCACTGCAGCCCTGACCTCCTGGGCTCAAGTGATTGTCCCACCTCAGCCTCCCGAGTAGCTGGGACCATAGGTGTGTGCCACCACACCCAGCTAATACATATATATTTTTTGAGACAGTCTCGCTCTATTGTCCAGGCTGGAGTGCAGTGATGTGAGATCTTGGCTCACTGGAACCTCCGCCTCCCAGGTTCAAGCGATTCTTGTGCCTCAGCCTCTGGAGTTGCTGGGATTACAGGCATGTGCCACCACACCCGGCTAATTTTTTGTGTTTTTAGTAGAGAGGGGGTATCGCAATGTTGCTCAGGTTGGTCTTGAATGCCTGGCCTCAAGTGACCTACCGCCTCAGCCTCCCAAAGTGCTGGGATTACAGGTGTATGCCACTGTGCCTGGCCACCCAGCTAATTTTTGTATTTTTTGTAGAGACAGGGTTTTGCTATGTTGCTCAGGTAGGCCTCAAACTCCTGGACTAAAGCAATCCACCCACCTTGGCCTCCTGAAGTGCTGGGATTACAGGCCCGTGCCACGGGCCCGGCTGTTTGTATTTTTTTATTTTTATTTTTTATTTTTTGAGACACTCACTCACTCTGTCACCCAGGCTGGAGTGCAGTGGTGGGACCATAGCTCACTGCAGCCTCAACCTCCTGGGCTCAAGCAATCTTCCCACTTCAGCCTCCTGAGTAGCTAGAACCACAGGTGTGTGCCACCACACCTGGCATTTTTTTTAAATTTTGGAGAGACAGGGTCTCACTACATTGCCCAGGCTGGTCTCAGACTCCTGGGCGCAAGTGGTCCTCCCATCTCAGCCTCCCAAAGTGTTGGGATTACATGCGTGAGCCACCGCACCAGGTTGCCTTAATCACCATTGTATTCCTGGTAACTGAAACAGCATCTAACATCAAAGTGCTGACAGAAAAAAAAAAACAAAACAAAACAGTGTCTGGAATATACTGGGGATAGATTAATAAATATCTTTTGACTGGCCAGGTGTGGTGGCTGACATCTATAATCCCAGCACTTTGGAAGGCCAAGGCGGGTGGATTGCTTGAGCTCAGGAGTTCGAGACCAGCCTGGGCAACATGGCGGGACTCTGTTTCTACAAAAATACAAAAAATTAGCCAAGTGTGGTTGTGTGAGCCTGTAGTCCCAGCTACATGGGAGGCTGAGGTGGGAGGCTCACTTGAGCCTGGGAAGTGGAGGTTGCAGTGAGCAGAGATCTCACCACTGTACTCCAGCCTGGACAACAGATCCTGTCTCAAAAAATTAAAATAAAATAAATGTCTGTTTAATGAATGAATCAAAGCATACAAAATTGAAATACATATAATGTCTCAAAGCTTTGGTTCAAGAATTCTTTTAATAATGCCTTTAATTTCTGGTAAAATTAGAGTACACTATAATTCTGGAATGTTTATTCATAATGGCCATACCTGATTGTTGGGCTTGGTGGATAAACATTTTCCAAAGTAAAGAGTTTCTGTAACACAAAGGCTGTTACATGCAGGCCCATCAATAACTCCAGTCTTGTACTTGTCACACTAAAAACCAGGAAATAAAAAAGTAGTTAATAGAAAAATATTCACAAGAAGAAGCATAAAGAGATATCTATATCCTTTATGAGTAAGTTCTATGACAAAAAGAACTGAGGCTTTGGACTTAGACAGACCTGGATTTGATCTAAGCTCTGTTACTTATACCTATATGATTATGAGAAAGCTTGTTGCTGCTGGGGTGTGCGTAGAATTTTGAAACTATTTTTCCCACATGACATGGTCTAAGGTGGTATGTTACCTACTCCTTCCAAGAATAGAGGCACTCTATCTTTAAAAATGGTTCCGGTTTTAGGCCAGGCACCGTGGCTCACGCTTGTAATCCCAGCACTTTGGGAGGCCGAGGCTGGTGGATCATTTGAGGTCAGGAGTTCGAGACCAGCCTGGCTAACATGGTGAAACCCCATCTCTACTAAAATAAAAAAATGAGCCAGGCGTGGTGGCGGGCGCCTGTAATGCCAGCTACTCGGGAGGCTGAGGCAGAAGAATCACTTGAGCCTGGGAGGCAGAGGTTGTGGTGAGCCGAGATCATGCCACTGCACTCCAGCCTGGGTGAGAGAGTGAGACCCTATCTCAAAAAAAAAAAAAAAAAAAACTTCTGGTTTTAAAATAAATAAAGTTTAGAATAACAAAATAAAGTTACCTCTGTCACATTGTCATCCTTGAGATCACCCAAAAACAAGAAAGGGAAAAAAACCCATCCACTCTCTGAAAAAATATGGTACCAATGAAACCCTAGGCACAATAAATGAGGATGACCTGCCAAATTCAGTGAAGATTACACCAGAGCCTACAAGTATGCTGAGATTAAACACCTGCTGTGGTCCCCACTCTCAGACAAAGTTGGCAGAGCACCAAGTAGGTGGTACATCTGCAGAGCACAACCATTATCCTGGTTGCAACAAAGATTTAAGGGGCACAAGCTGTGGGAACTTCCCAGAACTCTATTTGGCACCATGAAATAGTAAGATAAGACAGGCCTGAATGATAAAATGCTCAGAAATGTTCTCTTTGCTGGAGGCAGTCTGTTGATGAACTACGGTTGGGAGAGAGGGCCAGAAGCAGCTTCACTACCAGCTCAGTTCACTGCCCAGTTGCTTCCCGCACATGGCTGGCTGAAGGAGACCTCATTTCACTCAGTAATGAGTAATAATCAAAACCAAACAAGCAAAAGATCTATACAGCAAATCTACAAGAATTAGGAAGAATGGAATAGGAAAAGCAAATGTCAGATAAAAAAAATTTTCTAGGCAGGGTGCAGTGGCTCACGCCTATAATCCCAGCACTTTGGGGGGCCGAGGCAGGTGGATCACCTGAGGTCAGGAGTTCGAGACGAGCCTGACAAACATGGAGAAACCCCGCCTCTACTAAAAATACAAAATTAGCTGGGCGTGGTGGCGCATGCCTGTAATCTCAAGTATTCAGGAGGCTGCGGTGGAAGAGTCGCTTGAACCCTGCGGGGGCGGAGGTTGCAGTGAGCCGAGATCACACCATTGCACTCCAGCCTGGGCAAGAAGAGCGAATCTCCGTCTCAAAAAAAAAGAAAAAAATTTCTAGAAGAATGTTGCTATGAAACAGACCAAACATATTGTTATGAATTTAAAGGACTTACTGAACCAGTTTAAAATAAGACTTCAAAGCAGAAGAAATGATGAGGCAATAGAAGGAAGTTTAAAATAAGCTAACAGAACTCAGACAGGAAGGAAAATAAAACATCTAGAAATAAAAGCCACATTATAAATGAGGGGAAAGACAGACAGGGATAAAACACAGTAAGATTTAGGAGGACTAGGCCAGGCGTGGTGGCTCATCCCTGTAATAACAGCACTTTGGGAGGCTGGGCAGGCAGATCGCTTGAGCTCAGGAGTTCAAGAGCAGCCTGGGCAATACAGCAAGACCCCATCTCTACAAATAATACAAAAGAATTAGCTGGGTTTGGGGGCACATATATGTAGTACTAGCTACTTGGGAGGCTGAGGTAGGAGGATCGCTTTAGCCTGGGAGGCAGAGGTTGCAGTGAGCCAAGATCACACGACTGTACTCCAGCCTGGGTGACAGAGTGAGACCCTGTCTTAAACAAACAAAAACAATAACAACAACAAAAAACTTTGGAGGACAAGGTTGAGAAATGCAAGCAAAATGAAATGGAAATTTAAAAATAATAAAATGAATTTAAGATAAATGTATAGATAAAAAAGACAAAGTATATCCACCATGTCCATATGAAGGAGAATGGGAACTGAAGGAGAATGGGAACAAGTGGAAAAGAAAAAATATTCAAAGTAGAATTCAAGGGAAACTTCACATAAATTAAAACACTTTAATCTATAGATTGAAAGGACATACAATGAATGTCCCAAGAAAAACTGACAAGAATGACCCCTGTGACATATCCCACTGAGGTTCACTGGACTTCAAAAATAAGTTATCCTTTGAGCATCCAGGCAAAAAGATCAAGGCACCTTTAAGGGGAAACCAATCAGATTGGCCCCAGATTTCTCCATAGCCACATTCAATAGTAGACAACAGTGGTGCAATGCCAGCGGAGGCTTTGGGGAAGGAAGTGAGACTCGCCTGTGTCCTAATAGTCTCATCTGTGAAGGGGATGTTAATAGGTCTTAATTTACAGCATCCTTATGAGGATTAAATAGTGTAAGTATAGACCACCTGTGACTTTAAAAAGTGCTCAGTCATAGCTATTATTATTTTACATAGCTGAACTTTCTTTCAGTAGGCACCAAATGTTTTTGAACACATAAGGTTCAGAAAATATAATTTCCATGAGCATCTCTTGAAGAAATGATTAGAGAAGGAATTTCAGCCAACAAAGAGATGAATGGAGAAATGGAACATGAAAGCCAGTTGAAATGGACTGGAATAAAAACAGCTCAGGTAACTGAATTAATAAAAACTGATTTTTTTTTGTTTTGTTTTTTTGAGACAGAGTCTCACTCTGTTGCCCAGACTGGAGTGCAATGGCACAATCATGGCTCACCACAGCCTCGATCTCCCAGGCTCAAGTGATCCTCTTGCCTCAGTCTCCCGAGTAGCTGGGACTACAAGAATGTGCCACTATGCCTGGTTAATTTTTTAATTTTTTGTAGAGATGGGGTTTCACTTTGTTGCCCAGGCTGGTTTCAAATTCCTGGGCTCATGTAAGCTTCCCACCTCAGCCTCCCAAACTGCTAGATCTACAGGCATGAGCCACTGTGCCTGCCAATAAAAACTGTTAATATAATACCTGATAGTAGGTGCTTCTTATGTGTCAGGCATTGTTCCTAGCACTATACATTTATTACCATGACAACAACCCTGGGAGGTGGAACCTAATATCCATTAAAAGATAAGAAAACAGAAACAGAAATATCTGTTATGTAATTTGTTCACAACTACAAAATAATAAAGCCAGGATTCTAGCCCAGTCAGTTTGGCTCCAGAGCCCACTCTCTTAATGACTATTGTATATTGCTCAGAATGGCACAGGCTCCTCAGGCCTGCCTCCTGTACCCTCCTACCAATACTCCTTACAGTTTGCTTGGAGGATATGGGCAGTCCTGATAGAGATCAAGAGCCCTGCCCATGTGCAGAGTTAAGTGTCAACACCAAGGCACTGTTGCCCTTCAGCTAGTAGTAGTGGAGAAGTTCCTGGACAAGCCCTTGGCTATGACCTGGTTTCTCTTTCAGATCTGTCTGTAGCTAAGAATATTAAGTTTCATCTTCAGGAGAGGAGCAAAGCAATCTAGTTCTTAAACTCAAGTTTGGGAGGCCACTTGGGAGAGGCCCAATGCCTTTCTTCCATCTGGTCAACCTCTGGGGATATTTTAGAAAATGCAGAACCATCTGTTAGGCATATCTGCTTGGTAGCAGATGGCCCGCAATTTCATTGGCATGTTTCTTCCTTGATGCAAAGGTGATGGGAAGTCTGAGGCCTCATTAGGAGGAGCTTGAGTGAAAGCTCCTGTAGGTATGGTTTAGGGTTTCCAAGGAAGTCATATCATATAGACCACATTCTCTGACCACATATAAATAAAAAATAAGTGGAAGAAAAAAAGTCAAGTTGAAGTCCCATAGCTCAAACATGGCCCATTGCAAAAGAAAAGAGAAAAAAAAAGACCAAAAAACTGTACAATTTTTTTAAAAAGTAAAAAGTAAAACAAAAAAACAAACATATGTTTGGAAACTAAAAAGCATATTCCTAAATAATTTGTGGGTTAAAGTAGAAATTACCATGGAAATGCAGAAATATTTAGAAGTGAACAACAATGCAAGTGTATATATCAAAACTTGTGGGAGGCAGCCAAAGCAGTTCTTACAGTGAAAATTATAGCAATTTCCAAATTTAAACGCAATGACGAAAAAACCAAGATACTGAATATAAATAATCGCTCAACTAAAGAGACTTAAAAAAACCAACCAACCAACCAAACAAACAAACAAAAAAAACCCAACAGACCGGCTCAGTGGCTCACAACTGTAATCCCAGCACTTTGGGAGATCAGGGCAGGAGGACTGCTTGAGGCCAGAAGTTTAAGACCAGCCTAGGCAACATAGTGAGACCTCATATCTAAAAATTTTTTTTTTTTTAAATTAGCCAGGCATGGTGGTGTGTGCCTGTAGTCCCAGCTACTCAGGAGGGTGAGGAAGGAGGATCCCTTGAACCCATGAGGTTGAGGCTGCCACGATCATGCCATTGTACTCCAGCCTGGGCAACAAAGTGAGACTCTGTCTCTAAGAAAAAAAAAAGAAAACCCAACAATAATGAAAATAAACTCTCAAAATAAGTAGGAGAAAAGAAATAATAAATGAAGAAATAAATGGAAAAAAAATCAGGCCAGGTGTGGTGGCTCACGTCGATAATCCCCAGCACTTTGGGAGGCTGAGGAGGGTGAATCACTTGAGTCCAGGAGTTCCAGACCAGACTGGACAACATGGCAAAACTTTGTATCTACAAAAAATACAAAAATTAGCCAGGTGTGGATGCACACCTGTGTCCTAGCTACTCGGAAGGCTGAGGTGGGAGGATGGCTTGAGCCCTGGAGGTCAAGGCTGCAGTGAAATGTGATTGTGCCACTGCACTCCAGCCTGAGTGACAGAGTGAGACCCTGTCTCAAAATAAATAAATAAATAAAAATAAAAAGGTAGCTCTTTGAAAACTTTACCAAAAAAGATACACTTTTAGCAAGACTGATTATGAGAAAAAGAGGAGAAACAAACATTATTAGGAAAGAAAAGAGTAGTGGTGGCAAAAAAATAGAAACAATTTATGGTAATACATTTGAAATAAACAATTTTTCTAGAAAAATATACATAATAGAAAGTCATACAGGAACAAACAAAAAAGCTGAATTAGATTAATACATATAAAAATTGAATCAATAACCAAAAATGTTTCCTTCCAAAGAAAGCAGGCCAATAACTCTATAAAAGATTAGTTTATTTACTATTATTTATTATTATTATTATTTTTTGAGACGGAGTTTCCTCTTGTTGCCCAGGCTGGAGTGCAATGGCACGATCTCGGCTCACTGCAACCTCCTCCTCCTGGGATCAAGCGATTCTCCTGCCTCGGCCTCCCAAGTAGCTGGGATTACAGGTGTCCACCACCAAGCCCAGGTAATTTTGTATTTTTAGTAGAGATGGGGTTTCTCCATGTTGGTCAGGCTGGGCTCGAACTTTTGACCTCAGGTTATCCACCCGCCTTGGCCTCCCAAAGTGCTGGGATTACAGGCGTGAACCACTGCGCCAGGTCTTGAGAGATTAGTTTTAAGGAAGGAAAAAAAGAAAAGGAAAAGAAGAGAAAAGACAAGATAAGACAAGATGTGATGCAGGCCAGGGTACAGTCTTGGAAGGACTGCAGCATGCCATCTAGGTGCAGTACTGGGAGATTTGCCATCCAGATGCAGTTTGTGAGAGTGGAAAATGGGTAAGAACGTTAATGCCCCTCAACAGGAGAATGGTTGAATAAAGTGGTATATTCATAGTACGAAATACTATGCAGTCATTAAAATGAAATAAATAGGCCCAGACATATCAACATAATGTGAAATAGAAACAATTTCAGAATGACGTGAGCAGTTTAGTACCATTTATTAAAGTTTAGATATATGCAAACATAAACATAGTATTTATGTACCCCTGCCACATGCAGTGAAAGTAGAAAAACATCATGGCAAAAACTCATACCAAATTCAAGATGGTGATTCCTCTAAAGAGGGAGGAAGGAGAATATCAGGCAGGATAAGAGAGCTTCAACTATACCTGTAATGTTTTACTTCTTTTTAAAAATGAAGCAAATATGGCAAAAGGTTAAGATTTGTTAAGAAGGTGGTAGCTACACAGCGTTTGTCATATTGTTTTTTTTTTTTTTTTCTGAGATGGAGTTTCGCTTTTGTCACCCAGGCTGGAGTGCAGTGGCGTGGTCTTGGCTTACTGCAAACTCCACCTCCCCAGTTCAAGTGATTCTCCTGCCTCAGTCTCCCGAATAGCTAGGATTATAGGAACCTGCCATCACGCCCAGCTAATTTTTGTATTTTTAGTAGAGATGGGGTTTCACCATGTTAGCTAGGCTGGTCTGGAACTCCTGACCTCAGGCGATCTGCCTGCCTTGGCCTCCCAAAGTGCTTGGGATTACAGGAGTGAGCCACCGTGCCCGGCTGTCATATTGTTTTTTATATGCCAATACTGTTCTATGAGATTTGCATGTATATATCTTAAATTCTCAAAATCTCCCTATGGAATAGGTATTACCATTATCTCCATTTTATTGATAAAGAAACTGAGGCAAGAGAGGTTAAGAAGAGGGTAAGAAATTTACAGAGAGCAGGTTAATGGCAGAGTTGGAACCTGAGCCCAGATAGTCTGCCTCCAGAGCCTGTTCTTTTAACCACTAAAGTAACAGAACCAGGATTATTTATGTTGGAGAGGAGCATGCAGAGCAGGTTTAGCACCGACTGTGTCAGATACCCCTCCCGAGTGCACCCACTAAAGGTGTCTCTGGTCATTCCCTCCATACAAGCAACTCACAACAGGGCTAGGACTTTCATCCTTATTTCCTGAGGACTTTGTACAATGCCTGACGCATAATCAAATACAGATAAAAAAGCACTTGCCAAATGGATGAATGAAGTGTATGCTGGGTTTTTATCCGGAAGTAGGGCCCTCTGTCATGAACAATTCATGGGATCGGACTTAAAGAGTGATATCCTTCCACTGTCCTGATCTTGGGCTCCTGAATCTTAAGAAACACTTCATCTTAACTCTGTTCAATGTCAGGATTTAAACATGACTCTTTCCACAACCATCTTTCAATAATCATCTTGGGAGTTTATATTTCTTTCCTGACACTATTTTCTTCCTCCCTTCTTTCTGTATATTCTGAAATCTAACATTATTTGTGTCCAAGTTATCTTCCCTTGTGGAAAGCTGGATGATTTGAAGGCAGATACTTGGTTACATTCATCTTCAAACCTCCCCTCCTCTCTAGCACACAGCACAGTTTGGTATTTAAGTGTTCCGTAAATGTTTATTAAATAACCAACATAAATAGTGGCTTTGGCTTTAAAATCTCATTGAGGATTAAAGTGCATACTTTTCTATAATATTTAATACTTTTTTTTTTTAAAGCACAAACCAGGTAGCTCATTAGTAAACTTATTGGGAAGCAGTAAAGACTAGTCTGGCATTCAGCTACAAGACAAATTCTAGTTCTAAGAAAAAATCTCAAGCCAACCCTTCATCAAAGAGGCAGTTACAATGAGCAGGCTCTTCCACTTGTGGCTTACATCAAAAACCAAAAGCAAATTTCCCACATGCTTGTATAGAAAGGATGGTTGGCCACGTACTGTTTTGTTTTGTTTTGTTGTTTTTCAGGCACAGCCACAGACACAAACTGTAATTACTGTCAGTAAAACGATATTCTAAATAAAAAGACACAGAAATTATAGAGAATGTTTCACTTTACCATAGGATGATCAGCGAAAACATCAAAGGTTTTTCCTGTCCTAAGATTGTTCTTTACTCCGGTGATTCTCCTAAATGCCTCTCTTGCCTGCACATACCTCATCAAACCAGGAGATGGCACTCTTTAGTCTTATTTGACGAAACCCACCCGAGTTGAATGAATAATTTCATCAACTATGGAAACTATACCACAAGGGGGCAATAACAATGAACAGATGTATACTACCAGGTTTTAAGTAATTTTCTAAGATGTGTGTTCTAAAAATGTATTTCAGACAAACTCATCAATTTTTCCTAAGGAAAAAAAATAGCTGAGTTGGGTTAACAATGCCTGAAAATCTTCCACGTCTCTCGTCAACACCCTCTCCCGTTCCCCGTATCAACGATACTAAATCTTCACCATTTTCTAGACTTGCACTTCATGTTCGCGTTCTCATCCTCTCTCTCTCTCAGCCATTAAAAGTGCTCAAATCTCTCTCCCCCCTGCCCGCAACACACACATCCTCTCCACTCTTTCCTTCCTTCGGTTATAATAGAGTCTGCAATTTATTTTAGAATTCCTCAGCACACACAGTTTAATATATGTGTGTAAGTTATAGTCCAGATGTCTCTCATATCCAAATCAGGAATGCACAGGTGCTTGGCTAGAGCTGTAATCAGGAAGCCAATGCTCGAGGCAGCTACTCCAAGCGCTTCTATATTCCTTATCTCCTTACTTTGATCAAGATTGGTCAATTTCTGAGACTTGTTAATTAGGAAATCTGGCTTTTATTGGTGAAATTTGTCATTTTCTCGAGACAGGGTCTCACTCTGTCGCCCAGGCTGGAAGTGCAGTGGCATGATCACAGCTCACTGCAGCCTTGACCTCCTGGGCTCAAGCAATCCTCCCACCTCAGCTTCCTAAGTAGCTAGGATTATAGGTGCATGCCACCACCCTGGCTAATTTTTTATTTTTAGTAGAGATGGTGTGTCAATTTGTTGCCAAGGCTGGTCTCAAGCTACTGGCCTCAGGCAATCTGCCTGCCTTGGTCTCCCAAAGTGCTGAGATTACAGGCATAAGCCACTGCACCCGGCCTGTGGTTTGTTAAATAGCATGATAAATGGATGGATAAATATTACAAATGAATGATAACTGGTAAAATTAAAGGTATCTAAGATATGTGTTGTGGATTGGCTGAAATATGAGATATTCCATACCTTTTAATGAAGAGGTTTTAAGAACTAGTTGAGGCTATAATCTTTACCTTTAGGGAGGTACCTGGAGCTAACAGTTTTACAGTTAGAGGTTCTCAAACTTTAGAGAGCTTCAGATTGCACGGAGGGCTGATGAAAACACAGTTTGCTGGACCTGTCTCAGAGTTTCTGGACTCAGTAGGTCTTGGATTAGGCTGAAAATATGCATTAATTTTAAGTGCCCACGCTGGCCTAAGAGACCACGTACTGAGAATTATTGGTTCAGAATTTCTAGTGGCCTGATGCTAATTATAAGGAAACACAAGCCTGCCTTTGAAGTATCATTGGTTTTGTCTTGACTAAATCTTTCATGCAAGTTGATAGAGCACTTAAAAAGGCAGACTTGGGGGCCGGACACAGTGGCTCACACCTATAATCCCAGTACTTTGGGAGGCCAAGGCAGGTGGATAACCTGAGGTCAGGAGTTCGAGACCAGCCTGGCCAACTTGGTGAAACCCAATTTCTACTAAAAAAAAAAAAAAAAAAATGGTGGTGTGCACCTTAGTCCCAGCTACTGGGGTGGCTGAGACAGGAGAATTGCTTGAACCCAGGAGGAGGAGGTTGTAGTGGGCCAAGATTGTACCACTGCACTCCAGCGTGGGCGACAGAGCAAGACTGCATCTCAAAAAAAAGAAAAAAAAAGGCAGGGTTAGAACTTTAATAAGTTTACAGGCAGATTATATGAAATGTTTCATGATTGCTTGAAAATAAATATATTTATTGCAAATAAAATGTTTTATGACTGAATAAATGTCTACATGTCTAGCAGAAATTGCTTTCATTACAACCTAGTAATAAGGTTGCATGGGGGTACTTAATCCTCACTTACATCAAACATCGGTGGATTCAGTTCCTTCTCTCCCTCCTTCCCAATCTCTATGTCTTTTATTTTTTTTCTTGACTTATTACAGTGACTAGGATATTCAGTAATATGTGGAATAGAAATGACAACGTATATCCTTGCTTTGATCCTAATATCAGTGATTATATATTCAGACTTTCACCATTACATAAGATGTTGGCTGTGGGTTTTTCATAAATGTCTTTTATCAGGTTAAGAAAGTTCCCTCCTATTCTTAGTTTGCTAAGAATTGATTGAATTTTGCCAAATGCATCTATTCAGATAATCATATATTAATAGCTTTTCTATTCTCTCTCTCTCTTTTTTTTTTTTTTTTTTTTTTTGAGACAGGGTCTCACTCTGTCACCCAGGCTGGAGTGCAATGGCGTGATCTCGGCTCACTGCAACCTCTGCCTCCTGGGTTCCGGCAATTCTTGTGCCTCAGCCTCCCGGGTAGCTGGGATTGCAGGCAAGAACAACCAGGCATGGCCAAATTTTGTATTTCTAGTAGAGACGGGTTTTTGTCATGTTGCCCAGGCTGGTCTCTAACTCTTGGCCTCAAGTGATCCACCCACCTTGGCCTCCCAATGTGCTGGGATTACAGGCGTGAGCTGCTGCGCTCAGCCAATACTCATAACAGTTTTAACAATGATCTCTGACTTGCAAATTTTAGTCCTTATATTATTTAACCTCCTTCAGCATTTGTCCTGGTTGACCACACTGTTTTAAAACTCTTTCCTATGGCTTCTCTCTTCATATTTTCCTCCTCCTTCTCTAGCAACTCTTTTCAATCTTTTTTGAGACAGGGTCTCACTCTGCCGCCCAGTCTGGAGTGCAGTGGCGTTATGCCTCACTGTAGCCTCGACCTCCCTGGGCTCGGGTGATCCTCCCACCTCGGCCTCCCAAGTAGCTGGGACTATAGGCACGCACTACCACACCCGGCTAAGTTTTGTATTTTTTGTAGAGACGAGGTTTCGCCATATTGCTCAGGCTGATCTTGCACTCTTGAGCTCAAGTGAACCACCTGTCTGGCAACTCTTTATGAGTGTTCTTTATGGAATTCTCTTCCTTTCTCACCATCTTAAGTATTAGTGTTTTCCAGGGTTTTGTTCCATTTTCCTTGTGTTCTCTGTATACCATCATCAGTGACATTCCCACAGCTCTGAGGAATCCTGGCTCTATCCCAGCCTAGGCCTTTTTCGTGAATTAAATATCCAAGTGCTCCCTGAACATCTCTTGCCTCGATTTGGATAACCTAAAAGCAATTCACACTCAATCTATCAAAGACTGAACCCATCACACCCTTCCCTCCTCTGTCCCAAGGTTGTCCTCCTTCATGGCCTGCCTCAGTGGAAGGTGCCATCAACCACCTAGGCACCGAGGGAGGAAGCAGTGAGTTGTCCTAAATTTCTTGTTCTTCCCAATTTCCCCAAACTCAACTGGTCACCAATTGCTGGCAATCAAATTATTTCCTTCATATCCTTTGAGGCTGTTTCATCCCTTCCATTCCCATTGTCAATGCCATAGTTTAAACCCTCGTCACTTGTGCCTGGATTATTACAACTGCCATAAAACAGATCCCCCTGCTTGTGCTGTCTCCTGTCTAATCCACCCTCTCCACTACAAGTAGCAAAATTTTTCTAAAACATAAATCGGATCAGTCACTTCCCTGCTTAAAAACTTCTACTGACTCTCTACTGCTCTGAAGGTAAAAGGCGAACTCCTTACCATGAGATACAAGGTCTGTTATGAGTTTGACCCTGCTTCCTTCACCTCTGCAAACTGCCGTTCATCTTCTCTGCTCTAGCTATGCTATGCCTGGAATGTAGCATTATTTCTCATGTTTGTAGCTTTGCACATGCCTCCTTCTGTCTGCAATGCTCATTCATCAAAATTCAGCTCAGATGTAACCTTTTCCAGAAAGCCTTCTGGGACCTTCTTCATTAGGGTTGCCGAGCAAAATACTGCTTAGGATACACTTATGCTGAAAAATTATTGTTGTTTATTGGCAATATTTGGGATATACTTATACTCAAGGTAGTCCTAGTTTATTTTAAATTCAAATGTAACTGAGCATCCTTATTTTTATTTGCTACATCTAGCAACCCTAATCCCAGTCTCACTTATGTGCTCCTCCTTTTTATTTTTCCATATCCCCTACTAGTCTGTAAGCATCTTCAGGGCAGGGATACCTCTCATCTCTGTATCCCCAGGCTCAAGCACAGTGCAGTAAGCAGACAATAAATATTTAACTGAAATCAAATGTTTTATTGCTGGCTTGTCTTTTCTAAGTTGGCTTTAACCCTTAGTCTCTTTCTTGCTTCACAGGAATGAGCTAATCCTAACAGTGATACTGCCTGTCCCAGGATTACAAGAAATATCACAAAATATAAGAGAGTGTAGCATAAGACATGAAGGCCACCAGAAGTGCTACTATGATTTAAGATTGGCCGGGCAGTGGTGGCTCATGCCTACAATCCCAGCACTTTGGGAGGCTGAGGTGGGGGAAATCAATTGAAGCTAAGAGTTCAAGACTAGGCTGGGCAACATAGAAAGACCCCTGTCTCTACCAAAAAAAAAAAAAAAAAACCCACAAAAATTAAAATAAAATAGAGATTTCCTTAGAATAGGGTTTATGTGTGTTAAGATTTCAAATAAATCTGTTTAATAGATTTTTTATAAGTTCATAAAGACTTAAGTTGGTATAAAGGGAAAAGGGCTATACTTTTCTTAAAAGGAAAAAAGCTTGTACTTTAAAACAGTGTGTTCCGGCCAGGTGCAGTGGCTCACACCTATAATCTCAGCACTTTGGGAGGCCGAGGAGAGGCTCACTTAAGGTCGGTCAGGAGTTCAAGATCAGCCTAGTCAACATGGTGAAACCCCGTCTCTACTAAAAATACAAAAAAATTAGCCGGGTGTGGTGGCCCATGCCTGTAATCCCAGCTACTCAGGAGGCTGAGGCAGGAGAATCTCTTGAACCCGGGAGGTGAAGGTTGCAGTGAGCTGAGATGCGCCACTGCACTCCAGCATGGGTGACACAGCGAGACTCCATCTCAAAAAAACCAAAAAACAAAAACAAAAAAACAACAAAAAAACCCAGTATGTTCCAAGTAGGACTGGTTCAGTATATTTAAAAAACACAGGATAATGGCAGAAAAGAAACTTTTCAAGTTAAATAATAATTGATCCTAAGCAAAGGCAAAGCTAAATGAAATACAGTTAGCTATATATCACTATCTAATTGAAAACATGGTTCCAAATATCTTAAATTTAGTATATCTTATGTTAGTTGCTTTAAGCAATAAACCATTACCCAACAAATCAAATTTCATAAGAGACTGTAATAACATTTAGAGGCCCTTTTATTTTGTAATACTTCCATTTAAAGGATGTGCTCATATAATGGCCACAAAGGTTTGCTAGAGTAATGTAGTGAGTAATTCCTCATTATTACCCAGGTAGAAACTTAGAACTTGCTTGCATAGAGGAATATGTCAGAAGAGATCAATATTAAACAATATGGTCCTGAGAAATGTATAGAAGGGAAATATTCTTCTCTGCTTCTTTTTTTCCCTTTATGAAAGAACCCAACAAACAAAATATGCTATGTCAAGAGAATCTTACCTACAAATCTTACTTACAAAGTCAAACTGTAAAATTTCTTTATGGGTAGACACCAAATAGGATTTGCTGAAATAATGAATAAATTAGTGATTTCTATAATCAGAGAAAATGTAAAAAAAAAATGATATAACAAGGCCGGGTACAGTGGCACACACCTATAATCCTAGCACTCGGGAAGGCCAAGGTGGGCAGATTACCTGAGATCAGGGGATTGAGACCAGCCTGGCCAACATGGCAAAATCCTGTCTCTACTAAAAATACAAAAAAATTAGCTGGGCATACTGGTGTGTGTCTGTAATCCCAGCTACTCAGGAGGCTGAGGCAAGAGAATTGCTTGAACCCAGGAGGCAGAGGTTGCAATGAGCTGAGAT
Source organism: Homo sapiens (assembly GCF_000001405.40). Lineage (NCBI taxonomy): Eukaryota > Metazoa > Chordata > Mammalia > Primates > Hominidae > Homo > Homo sapiens. The sequence goes on from NC_000001.11 coordinate 92,864,996, forward strand.
TGCGCCACTGCACTCCAGCCTGGGCTACAGAGTGAGACTCCGTCTCAAAAAAAAAAAAAAAAAAAAAGATATAACATACTATATAGCCAAGAACATTGACTTACACCTGTAATCCCAGCTACTCAGGATATCTAGGTGGGAGGATCGCTTAAGGGCAGGAGTTGGAGATCAGCCTGGGCAACACAGTGATAACCCATCTCTAATAAAAATTTTAAAAATTAGCTGGGCATGGTAGCTCATGCCTGTAGTCTCAGCTACTTGAGAGGCTGAGGTGGGAGGATCCCTGGATCCCAGGAATTCAAGGCTGCAGTGAGCTATGATCCTGCCACTACACTCCAGCCTGGGTGGCAGAGAGGGATCCTGTCTCCAAACAAAACAAAAAAAGCAACCCCTCCTCCACCATATTATATAATTAGCTTGATGGAAAAAGAAAAAAGCACAAGTGAAAAAAAAAATGGATTTTTCCAAGCACATCTAATTAGGGTTAGTTGTTGCTCTCATTTTTAGACAGTTCTCATTGCCTACAACTTTCATAAGTTAACATTGGCTTTTCTGGGTGTACCATTCCCACTCCATTTCCCTTCTTGGAGTTTTAAAAGCCTATTATCCATCTCACTAGAGTCAAGCCCTAAATAATGGATGATGACAGTGGAAAGTTTCATATTTTTACTAAAACTGAAAACAGTAAACTTGAATTCAAATTGCAAACTAATGTACAGTGTGCAAAATTAATCTCAGTTCTGGTTCCTACCTTATAGCATTACCCTAAATCTTTTAACAAACATTATCCATTGGTTAGAGAAAACATCTCAGGAAAATAATATTAATATTCTATAGTGATTTCCAATGTTGAAACGATATACTTGATTAATAGATTAATATGCACTGTACATAATTTATACGAAATGCATATATAATTTGTTCAACATTCTGTTTGTTTTTAGAATTTACTACAAAAAGACAAAAGAGAAAAATATATTAATTTATAGTCAATTAAAAGCCCCAACCAAGGCTGTGGTTCAGTGGCTACTAATACATAGTTCTGGGAATTCTCTGGTCTAGTGTTAATCAGATATAAAAAGAAACCTCCAAAAGTCTGGGGTTTTCTTGTTTGTTTGTTTTTTGAGACAGAGTCTCTCACTGTCACCCATGCTGGAGTGCAATGGCGTGATCTCAGCTCACTGCAGCCTCCGTCTCCCGGGTTCAAGTGATTCTCCTGCCTCAGCCTCCTGAGTAGCTGCGATTATAGGCATGTGCCACCAGGCCCGGCTAATTCTTGTATTTTTAGTAGAGATGGGTTTTCACCATGTTGGCCAGGATGGTCTCAAACTCCTGACCTCAGGTGATCCACCCGCCTCGGCCTCTCAAAGTGCTGGGATTACAGGCATGAGCCACCGCACCTGGCCTTGAAGGCCCTGTAGAAGTTCTGCCTCCTCTATGAAGCCTTTCCCCACTATTCTATCTAAAATAATCTCCCTATTCATAGATCCTTTCTTTCTTTACATTTTTGTAGTACAACTATTTACCGTACAAACTAAATCATTTTAACCTGATGTGATGGTCTTTTGATCTGCCAACTAGGTTGGCTAGGCCATAGCCCCCAGTTATCAAAACAAACAATCTAGGTGTTGCTGTGAGGGTATTTTGCAGATGTAATTAAAATTCATAATCAGTTGACTTTAAGAGAGAGTATCCTAGATAGTCTGGGTGAGCCTGATTCTACCAGTTGAAGGGCCTTAAGAGCGCCACTGAGGATTCCTTGATGAAAAAATGTTGCCTGTAGACAGCAGCTTCAGCCAATGCCTGAGAATTCCAGCCTGCCCTTCCTGATAGCCTTCCATATGGATTTTAGATTTGCCCAGCCAGCTCCCACAACTGTATAAACCAACTCCTTACAATAAATCTCTTTATATCACTTTTGCTTCTCTGATTGAATCCTGACTGATACACCTGATTAAATAATGTGTGTGTGTGTGTCTTATCTTCCCAGTCAGACTGAAGGGCGGAACTTGAGAATATAACAATAATAACTTACTGTACATTTACCATGTGTCAGACACAGTGTTGTCTTTCAATACATGAACTCATTTTATCCTTACGACCACCTGATATGAAAGTATTATTAATCTCCATTTACAAAGCCTAAATAATTTGCCCAACTTATACAGCTCAGAAATGGCAAAGCTGGAACTGAAACCTAAAGTTCTTTTACTCCAATTCTTTTTTTTTTTTTTTTTTTTAGTAGAGTTGGGGTTTCACTGTGTTGGCCAGGATGGTCTTGATCTCTTGACCTCGTGATCCGCCCGCCTCGGCCTCCCAAAGTGCTGGGATTACAGGCATGGGCCACTGCGCCTGGCCCTTTTACTCCAATTCTTATGCTCTTAACTACTGCAATGGATGGGACCCTTCACACACAAATGGAGAGAGAGAGAAAAAGACAGAGGCATGCAGAGAAGAAAGCTATGGAACACAAGATAGACCACAACTGTTAAACAGATATAAACTTTGTTGTTGTTGTTGTTGTTGTTGAGACAGGGTCTTGCTCTGTCACCCAGGCTGGAGTGCAGTGGCACAATCTCAGCTCACTGCAACCTCTGCCTCCCAGGTTCAAGCGATTCTCCTGCCTTGGCTTTCTGACTAGCTGGGATTATAGGCGTGCACTGGCACACCTGGCTAATTTTTGTATTTTTAGTAGAGATGGGGTTTCACCATGTTGGCCGGGCTGATCTCAAACTCCAGACCTCAAGTGATCTGCCCATCTCAGCCTCCCAAAGCACTGGGATTACAGGTGTGAGCCACCGTGCCCGGCCGTAAACTGCTTATTACACTTTGTTGATAATCTGTCCTCCCTAACTCCTAAGCAATGATTTCAGCTTGGAGGCAATGCTCTCAATGGAACAGCTACAGCAATCTTCCAGGAAATTTTTGAATTACAATGCTATGTTACAGCAATGACAAGTAATGGGGTACTTGTCTCAGATCAAATGAAAAAAGTCAAGGACTTGAGAACCTTCTCTATGTTCAACGGATATGTCAGAGCATCAATCAGTGTTAGATTATCAGGTTAATTGGTTCAATTCTACTTTATCTTCATAAAATCTGTGATGCAGGTAGGACAGAGATACTTTTCTCGAGCCTGTATAGTGTAGTTAAAGCAAGCCAATGAAATAAAATCACTTACTCAAAGCTACACAGTACAGCACAAGAAAAAGTGAGGCTGGGGCTTTCACTTCAGCCTAGCATTTTTTCCAACAGGCTAACATGATATGGTTTAGCTGCTAGTAATCAAGAAGTTCTTCACAGTGGGTTGGTTGTACCACTAATATCTAACATTTAAAAACGTACATGGTGTTACTAAAGTAATAAGACAGATTTTCATAAGCCATATATGAAAGCAATCAGGTTCCTCAAGCTCCCTTCTTTGGGCATTTGCATTCACTGTCCTTTCTCTTTAAATGCTTTTTGCCTAGATTCTCACACAATTGCTTCCTCTCATCACCTTCCAATTCAAAATGCCATCTTTTCAGGCAGGTTTTTCCCAATCACTCCAGTTAAGACAGCATGCCCTAGCCATTCTCTACGAAACATTGCTATTACATATGTTTTCATTGCACTTGTCAGTACCTTATTTATTTACTTGTTTTTGTTTTTAATTATACACATTCCACAATAAGAACGTAAGCTCCTTGGCTGGGTGCGGTGGCTCATACCTGTAATCCCAGCACTTTTGAAGGCCGAGGCAGGTGGATCACCTGAGGTCAGGAGTTCGAGACCAGCCTGGCCAACGTGGTGAAACCTTGTCTCTACTAAAAATAAAAAAATTAGCCGGGCATGGTGGCAGGCGCCTGTAATCCCAGCTGCTTGGGAGGCTGAGGCAGGAGAATTGCTTGAATCTGGGAGGTGGAGGTTGTGGTGAGCTGAGATCGTGCCACTGCACTCCAGCCTGTGTGACAGAGTGAGACTCAATCTTAAAAAAAAAAAAAGCTCCTAAGGCATTCTATCTTGCTTACCACAATATCCCTAGCACCTAGAAAAATAACTTAGATGTAGATGTTCAATAAATATTTAACTGACTGATAGATACCTCTTCTAAAATGGATTATACTTTTTATATGATTGCTATATGACAGTAGTTACCTTGAAAATAAATATTACACTATTATTATTATTATTATTATTATTTTGATACAGGGTCTCATTCTGTTGCCCAGGCTGGAGTGTAGTGGTGCTATCATGGCTCACTGCAGCCTCGACCCCTTTTGCTCAAGTGATCCTCTCACCTCAGCCTCCAAGTAGCTGGGACTACAGGTGCATGCCACCATGCCCAGCTAACTTTTTATTTTTTGTAGAGATGGATTCTCACTATGTTGCCTAGCTGGTCTTAAACTCCTGGGCTCAAGCAATCTTCCCACCTTGGCCTCCTAAAGTGCTAGGATTACAGATGTGAGCCACCATGCCTGGTGCTGACTAAATTATTAAGAATAGGAAAAATAAGCTAAAGGAAAGATTTTGCCAACTTTTGAAGAGAATAAAAGGACCCACACTTTAAAACTTAAAACTTTAGCAAATAATATTTGTGGAACCTCTTTTGGATCTTCTGTGTCTCTTTATAATCTTCTTTAGTTGACAAAGATGAAATTGACTGAAGATTTTGAACGGAATCTGTTCAAAGGTTATACACAGGATATTGTAATCCTTTGATGAGCATGTGTTTACTAAGCATGACTTTAAGATTATGCAGTTTTATATATATATACCTAAAATTCAAAATTAGCAATTTTATTATACGCTTTGGTTCTCTTCAATCCACTTAAAAAAAGAACAGTCCATGCACTAATACAGAGGGAGAGAGGCAATCGGTTTAGACTCCACATTTCAAAACAGTAATGACCAGGACCAGAAGTATGTGTGGATATTGCCATAATTCATGAAATGGCCAGGTAATTACTTAGGCAGCTATTGTAAAACTGAACCATGGGAGAAGCCAATTTAAAATATATTACATTTCAAGTTAGGAAGGGCTGATTAGACTTTAAAAAAAGGTATAATCTGCAATAAAAAACTTACATGAATTATATATACACACACACACACACACACACACACACACACACACACATATCTGTTGCTCTCCTCCAAACATCCAAGAATTTGCATATTTGCATAAGTGGCTTCATATTGTTTTACTTTCAACATCTTCATATATTTCAGATGTCTCTCTTATAGCTGGATTTTAATTTTTATTTTGTAAACAGAGTCTTGCTTTGTTGCCCAGGCTGGAGTGCAGTGGTGCAATCTCAGCTCACTGCAGCCTCTGCCTCCCAGGTTCCAGCGATTCTCCTGCCTCAGCCTCCTGGGTAGCTGGGATTACAGGCACCCACCACCATGCCCGGCTAATTTTTACAGTTTTAGCAGAGACGGGGTTTCACCATGTTGGCCAGGCTGGTCTCACACTCCTGACCTCAGGTGATCCACCCGCCTCAGCCTCCCAAAATGCTGGGATTACAGGCGTGAGCCACTGCGCCCAGCCTGGATTTTGATTTTTAAATACAGCCTCACAATCTTTGTCTTTCAACTAAATCATTTGGTCCACTGATAACATACTGCAATTACCATCATATGTGGGTTTAAATATACTACATCTGATGCCATGGTAAGCCACCCAAATCTCCTTCTCCAGGACTGGAGCACTTATTCCTTCAGCACTGGGAGTACAGGTAGTAAACAGCTCTCAGCTGAGTCCTTTAGGACTGCCCTCAGCTAGAGTACAGCCTTGCTCAAGGTCATATCTCCTTGGCATGGATCGGGGTAAAGGTGGGAATCTGCTTCCACTGACTGGTCAGTGAGGGGGATAAAGGTCTGGACCTTTGCAAGGTCATCCCAGCTCCAGAATTCCCTGTAGCGTTGACCTTTAAGGCCTTTGTTACTACTGCAGTGTAGTTCAACTTTTCCCTCTGACTTAACTCTGCTTCCTCACTCTCTACAGATGTTAATCCCAAGAGCCGAATTTAATCAACTTGCTGCAGGCAAACCTTAGTCTCTAAGTCTGCTTTCCAGGGAATTCAATCTGTGACATCTTTCATCTTATGTATTTATTTTTACTTATCCTGCCTGTTCTTTTTCTTTACTTTCTTGCCTTCCTTTGGACTGACTATTCTTTTATTCTTTTATTTATTTATTTTTTTCTGAGACTAAGTTTCGCTCTTGTTGACCAGGCTGGAGTACAGTGGCACAATCTTGGCTCACTGCAACCTCCTCCTCCCGGGTTCAAGCAATTCTCCTGCCTCAGCCTCCTGAGTAGCTGGGATTACAGGCATGCACCACCACGCACGGCTAATTTTGTATTTTTAGTAGAGACAGGATTTCTCCATGTTGGTTGGACTGGTCTCGAACTACCGACCTCAGGTGATCTGCCTGCCTCAGCTTCCCAAAGTGCTGGGATTACAGGTGTGAGACACTGCACCCGGCCTCTTTTATTCTTTTATTATTCCATTTTTTCTATGTTAGTTTGGAAATGGTACACTCTTTCTATTGTATAGGTTATCCTAGAAATAATAATATGCATCCTTGAATTATCAAAGTCTAAAGTTAACTGGTTGATTCTTTTATCCTACTCTGCAATATTGTAAGGACTTAAACACTTTAACTTCCTTTATCCTTCTCCCATTTTATATGTAATTGTTATTCTAGGTATTGCAGCATATAAATGGAATCATACAATATTTGTCTTTTTGTGTTTGGCTTCTTTCACTTAGCATAATGTTTCCAATATTCATCCATGTTGTAGCATGTATCAGAATTTTACTCTTTTTAAAGGCTAATATTCCATTGTATCTATATACAATATTTTGTTTATCCATTCATCTGTGGATGGACAGTTGGCTTGTTTCCACCTTTTGGCTACTATGAATAATGCTACTGTGAACATTGGTGTGCCAGAATCCATTTGAAACCCTGATTTCAATTTTTTTGGTATGTATACCCAGAAGTGGATTTACTGGATCATATGGTAATTCCATGTTTAACAATTTGAGAACCCTCCATACTATTTTCCTGATTCTTTTTCTTTAAATCTTTTTTTTTTTTTTTTTTTTTTTTTTTTGAGACAGAGTCTCCCTCTGTCACCCAGGCTGGAGTGCAGTGATGTGATCTCAGCTCACTGCAACCTCTGCCTCCTGGGTTCATGTGATTCTTGTGCCTCAGCCTTCTGAGTAGCTGGAATTACAGATGTGTGCCACTACACTCGGCTAATTTTTTTGTATTTTTAGTAGAGACAGGTTTTTGCTATGTTGGCCAGGCTGGTCTCAAACTCCTGGAGTCAAGTGATCTGCCCACCTTGGCCTCCCAAAGTGCTGGGATTACAGGTACGAGCCACCATGCCCAGCCTTGATTCTTTTTTATATATTACAATTCTCTGTTGAAATTCTCCATTGTTTTACCTATTTCTTCTACCTTTATTCCTATTTAACTGAACATGAATATAAAGTTATTTTTACATTCTTTTTGAATAACTCTTAATATCTGGATCATCTGGAGATCTGCTTCTAGTATCTGTGTTTATCTCTTGATTTTTGGTCATTTTATTTTGTCTTTTGGCATTCTTTGTACTTTTTTACATAATGTCTCCAGAGAGGGTTTCCTTCTGTCTAGCAGACAAAGGTAATGGTAGCTGATCACCTTAACAAAATCAGGAGCTGTTTGAAGTTGAGACTTGGTTGTAGCTCTGGGTAAAGCTCTAGCTACTTATGTCCAAGGGTATATAGCCCTCTAGGATTTTTAACTGAGAGCTTGGTATTCATTGGGGCTTCTCCTTCTGGCAAGTTCATAACTCTAATCTGTATCTTGTGAGACTGCCAAAGAGTCTGTTCTGCTTTTCAAAGGCTTTCCAATGAGGTTTTTAACCTCTCATTCTGCAGAGCCCCGGGAATTGGCAAATATCCCAACAGGATAACTGGCTGTATGCATGAGGTTCCCCTGGTTTTCCACAAAGCCTCTGCTGATTTCTTGTCCCCAGTAGGGGCTTTCCGCCAACATAAGGTTTCTGCTTCTCAGATCCCTGCCCATGCCCAGAATCAGCAAATTCCCCCCAGGGTAAAAGAGGCCATAAAAGTCAGCTCACCATTCTGAGATTCTTTTAGTTTACCTTTACTCCTGGGGTTCATTCCTTTAAGGTCTCAGCACAAAGCATGGTGTGCCAGTGTTCCCATCCTTGGTTGGATGTAGTAGATTTTTATTACCCTAGCCCCTTAAGACTGTATATTTCAATTTTAGATCATACATCACCAGTGAAAAGCAGCCACAAAAACTAGGCCCACCTCTTTCAAATCTTATCCTCTCGGCTGGGTGTGGTGCCTTACGCCTGTAATCCCAGCACTTTGGGAGGCCGAGGCAGGTGGATCACCTGAGGTCAGGAGTTTGAGACCAGCCTGGCCAACATGGCAAAACCCCATCTCTACTAAAAATAGAAAAATTAGCCAGGTGTGGTGGTGGGTACCTGTAGTCCCAGCTACTTGGGAGGCTGAGGCAGGAGAATCATTTGAACCCGGGAGGCAGAGGTTGCAGTGAGCCGAGATTGCACCACTGCACTGCAGCCCGGGTGACAGAGCAAAACTCTGTCTCAAAAAAAAAAAAAAAAAATCTTATCCTCTCCCAGGTCTTGATCAAGTAATTCCTCCCTATCTTGTTAGCACTTTGAGGCTTTAAAATATACTTTTAAAGAAGTTATTTTATTTTTGAGATGAAGTCTTGCTCTGTTGCCCAGGCTGGAGTGTTGTGGCAGGATCATAGTTCACTGCAATCTCAAATTCCTGGATTTAAGGGATCCTCCCACCTCAGCCTCTCAAGTAGGTGGGACAACATGTGCATGCCATCATGCCTGGCTAAAATATACTTTAACAATATTTTTTCTGCTTGCTTTTTAGTTCTAATCCCACAATTGTGATACAATATTAGTACTATCTTAGCTTAGTACTATTGACTTTAGTACTACTACTTATGATAGGTTTTAAGAACATAATCCCAAATGCAGAATAACTATAATTTTTTAAAAGCCAGTCTTAGGAAAATGATGTATTTTAGACTCAGAAAGCTCTTTCATTATCTTCAGGGTTTGATAAAATAACCATTAAATTATGCTAGAATTATGTTCTGGTTTCCTTTCTTATAAATTAAAGGGAAATTAAATTAAAGTGAAAAGTAATGAAGCACTTCAACTCTAATTTACTCATGACAGAATATGTACCAATATTTGCCCTACATTTGAAGGATACTGTAATGATACAAGATATTTAAAAGCATATCCACTTCATTTTGTCTTAATCTCTTAGATTTCTAACATTACCAGATGATGTTAACAGGTCTTCCTGGGAGGGCTGTGGTGGGGATATGGTTTTTTCTGATCAAGTATATTTGCTGTCTCTTGGAGATGCATAACACATATTAGTATCTAAAAGAACCTAAGAAGTCCTTAGTAAAGTCAGTTGTTATCTTTATTTAACCCTCTGTTTCCAAATACATCTGACCAGGGACATATTTTATCCATGGAATATCTATTAATGTGCTCCAAGGTACCTAGTTTGAGAAAGGTGGCCTAGAGAAAGAGAAATAAACATTTCAAATAGTTTCGGTTATTTGTATGTTTTTGAACTTGATTATCTACCTCCTGTTTCCTCCTTCTTCACTGAAGGTTAGAAACTGAGTTTTGTGGGGTTTTATTAGCTTTATTAGACTGTAACTTCTTCTGTCAGTCTTTTCTGATGTAGGGTAGCAGAAGGAGTATGAGCTTCATAGAGAGACAGAATTAGGATCAAATTCTGGTTCCATCATCTTGGGCAAATTCTCCTGTCTCTCTGGGTCATAGTTCTTTATCTGTACACTATTATGCTAAGGATTAATGAACATGTAAAGTACCCAGTACATTGGCCCCAGAGATACCTCCTATCTTAAAATTCCTTAAGGATCTAGAATGGCCAGTTGGAATGAACACAGGATTGCTATCTTTGAACCTTGACTTAGGACTCTTCTTTACTAACTCATTCCCCTCTCTTGCCTAGTTAAAAGACTGTAACACTCCTGTGGAATAACGTGTTTTTGTATCCTAACTGATGAAGCACCTTGTGTTAAACTGGTTTTTATTTTCTTAGAACTTGGGGAAGCTCCAGGTTTCCGTCTTATGTTCCCATAACAGTTGCTATCTTATTTATCTTACCTTACTGTAATTACTCATTTTCTTTCCTGATCCACTGTAAGTTTTATAAGGTCAAAGATATTTTGCTCCCTGTTATATGCATACACCACTGGCCTGGGTAAAGAGTAGCTACTCAACAACTATAGAATCTTTAACAAGTTATAATAATTGGAACCCTCCAAATCATTACTATTCAAATATAATTCTGAGATGGAGTGTTTTAATATTCTTTATATTAGAAAGTACTGGTAGAGGCCAGGTGCGGTGGCTCATGCCTGTAATCCCAGCTCTTTGGGAAGTCAAGGAGGGCGGATCACTTGAGGCTAGGAGTTCAAGACCAGCCTGGGCAACATGGTGAAACCCCGTCTTTACTGAAAATACAAAAATTAGCCAGGCGTGGTAGTGCGAGCCTGTGATTCCAGCTACTTGGGAGGTTGAGGCAGGAGAATTGCTTGAACCTGGGAGGCAGTTGCAGTAGGCTGAGATTGTACCACTGCACTCCAGCCTGGGCAATAAAGCAAGACTTCGTCTCAAAAAAAAAAAAAAAAAGAGAGAAAGTACTGGTGGAAAAAAAGGAGTTAAATTTACTTGAAATTCTCAAATTTTTAAAATATAAGTCTATAGAATTAATGATCACTACTAGAAATCTTAGACTGATACAGTCATTTTTCTGAGATACATCCAATCACTAGGATAGAAACAGAATAATAATCCTTTTAGATAAATTTTGGTATTCAAGAGTAAAAGATGTGTTCTAGAAAGTCTGCCTGTAAATACGCTTTTATAGTCTAAACATTAAAAAACTCATCTGATTGAAATAAACTAAAACTTAAATATATTAAAAATATATATATATATAATAAAAATCCTTCTTTGTATTGAGGATGCCCCCACACTAACTTATTTATGTGTTATATATTTAAATTTCTGAACACTGGAATTTTCAAAGTGGGGAAAACTTTACTAATGGGTCATGTCAAAAAGCTAAGAAGATTAGCACAATTCTAATGTCAAATTAACTTTTATTTTTAAAAACATCATTAGTAAGTATGTAAGCAGTAAATATAGTGTTATGAAGAGGCTTTTTAGTAAACAGGAAATTTAAAATACTTACTATTATTTTCTTACAGTCCTTTCCTCTGCATAATTCTGTATAGGTAGAATACTGCACATATATAATCCAGCTTCCAACAAAAACCACTAACCAGGAAAAGAAAAGATATTTCATCCGCACATATGAGAAGCGAGCCTGTGAGTAAAAAAGAACATAACGATCATTCATTCAGCACCAAATCAGCATTCAATGTCCTAGAACACGACTTCTCACCCTTCTTGGAACAACTCAATATATATTCCAGGCTTTTATATGGCAATTCTAGAACAAAGTGCACTTTCACTGAGTCCAAACAGCACTGGTCTTAGAAAAGGAAGCTCCTTGGTCCTGCCAAGGAAAAAGGGAACAAAATATCCTTTAAGATGTATAACCTTTCAAATACCACCATCATCCAAAGCTACTTTTTAGGCACAAGCACATGTACCATGCTACCCTGGGCACCTTGTGAGATCAGGTAAAGAGAGGTACAATTCCTATTTACTAGAAGCTTACAAAAGACTCTTTCACATAAGAATCTTAAAGGTCTTTAGGAAAATCATGATAAAAATAATTTTGTTTTAAAGAAATAAGAACAGAAAATCTGGCTATTTGTCTAATGTCTCATACTGACAACCAGAACAAGAAATTAAGCTCTACAGTCATTTCTATTTCCCTATTGTATTCACCAGGGCTTTATGTTCCTCTTGTTCAGCGAACCAAATGTTTCACCGAATAGATATTCTGGAAACTGAGGAGACGCTAACAATTGTTAAAGGAGAAATGACTGGAGAAGGGTTAAGATATATTAAAAATAAGTTACTCTTTGCATATCAACTTGCAAAGTGTAAAGCTGCACAATAGGATCCTCTTTGCATTGTTTTGTTTCCAGTGCTCTTGTATCTAATTGCAACTCGGGCTGGTTGATGCCTTTTTTCCATCAATTACATATCAAACAGTTTCATCTTCAAAAGTGACACTTGATCAAGACTATTTGACATTTATTTTTTGAGTCTGTAGCACCCATGGTCTGGTTTTATAAACAGCAGAACTGAGGACTACGAAGAGAATTCGGCAGAATAAATTAAAGATATGTAAACAAACAATGAAAAGCTAGTTTTGCTTTTACAATCACGAGCCAGTTTCTCACACTGGGAACAGTAGGATATTGTGAGCATTGTGAGCATGCAAAGAAGCAGAAAGAGATGAGAGAGACATAAGCACACCTGCAGAAGACAATGAGTGCAAAGGAAAAAGAGACTCAGGAAATACTGAATTCTATTGGCCCTATTTGTGGTTTAGATATCTTTGTGAGGTTAACAGATGGTGAATCCCTGTACCAAAAGGCTTGAGTACAATGAGTTCTCAGTAAAATTGTAGGTCTCTGAGCTTTATTATTAAAATGAAAAAGTGCCTTAATGCAAGATACTTTTGTATTGCTCTAAGTAAAAAGAAAGTTCAGATTAAACTCCAAATTAAATCACATAAAAGACAATGGGGTATATACCATGGGGTTTGTTTGAAAGATATTTAAGATGACTCGTCTCTAATAAGAGGTTTGGTCATCAGACAGAAATCGACATGTACTAATATTGTGAACCTAAATAAGATTAAATGACATAATGCCTATAAAACATAAGCATATTGCTGGGCACGTAGTAAGTATTCAGCAAATGTTAGCTAAATCAATTTGCAAGTCACTGGGCAAGAAGCCAACAATACTGTCAGTGGCTATCATCTTCTTTTCGGACTTGCCAAAAAGAAAACTGAATCTGAATCTGATCAAGCCTTTTAGCTCCAGCTACCAGTTTACAGGAAATACATGAGACAGAGAAACACAAGTGACACTTAAGTAAGTGACACTATAAGGATATAATCAGCAAACTCCAGGCTGTGGGAAACACTGCAATACAAACAATCCAGTTTCTTCAACAAATAAATTACAAGAAGGGAAAAAAAGGCAAGGGGAAACTTAAAGATTAAAAATCATTTAAGATATATATTAGGCTAGATCTGTAATCCCAGCACTTTCGGAGGCTGAGGTAGGAGAATCACTTAAGTATAGGAATTTGAGATCAGTCTGGACAATATAGTGAGACATTGTCTCTATGAAAAAATTTAAAAATTAGCCAAGGCCAGCCAGGAGCTCACGCCTGTAATCCCAGAACTTCGGGAGGCCAAGACAGGCGAACAACTTGAGGTGAGGAGTTCAAGACCAGCCTGGCCAACATGGTAAAACCCCGCCTATACTAAAAATACAAAAATTAGGCCAGGCGCAGTGGCTCACACCTGTAATCCCAGCACTTTGGGAGGCCGAGGTGGGCGGATCACGAGGTCAGGAGATCGAGACCATCCTGGCTAACACGGTGAAACCCCATCTCTACTAAAAATACAAAAAATTAGCCGGGCGAGGTGGCGGGGGCCTGTAGTCCCAGCTACTCGGGAGTCTGAGGCAGGAGAATAGCGTGAACCCCGGGGGGCGGAGCCTGCAGTGAGCCGAGATCGCACCACTGCACTCCAGCCTGGGCGACAGCGAGACTCTGTCTCAAAAACAAACAAACAAACAAACAAACAAACAAACAAAAATTAGCCGAGTGTGGTGGCATGCACCTGTAATCCCAGCTACTCAGGAGGCTGAGGCAGGAAAACTGCTTGAACCTGGGGGGCGGAGGTTGCAGTGAGCCGAGATTGTGCCACTGCATTCCAACCTGGGTGACAGAGCAAGACTCCATCTCAAAAAATAAAAATAAAAATAAAAATTAGCCAAGCATAGTGGCTCATGCCTGTAGTCCCAGCTATTTGGGAGGCTAGGGTGAGAGGATTGCTTGAGCCTGGGAGGCAGAGGTTGCAGTGAGCCAAGATCGCACCACTGCACTACAGCCTGGGTGACACAGAGAGACCCTGTTGCAAAAAAAGAGAGAAATATATCAAATAATTACAACACATGTATCTTTTTTGAGTCCTGATTCAAATGAAAACCTGTAAAAAATGACATTTATAAGACAATTGAAAATTTTAAGAATGACAGTATACTTGATGATAGTAAAGGATTATTTTAGTTTTTTAAGGTGTGATAATGGTTCTGTGACAATATTTAAATATTTTTCTTTTCTCTACCTATCAAATAGCTACGTTTTTCTACTTCCTCTGGCATATGTTTAAATGGAGAAAAACCCTATGAACTGGACTGCCCGATGCCTACTTGTCATGACAAAGAATGCCAAACATTTTTGAGAGGAAGTTAGATTGATGATGTTCCCAGCAGGGCACTGGGCATCACCTGTTGTAGACAAAATGATAAAAGGAGTGAGACACCTTTTTCTTTCAGCATGCCATTGAGAATTGCTGTGATTTGGGGGTAACACAAAGTAGTAAAAGGACCTTCATGCGTCCTTTAATATCTGCAGATCCTGCAGCCTCACATTTAAAAATAATGATTGAAGAAAGAGCCATAAATTACATCTGTAGCTATTAACCAATTTAATTTCCCTGTGTGCCACTCACTAAAATGTTTCTAGTGGTCTGTTCTGTACCAATTACCTAGATAATGTAGTCTTTGATTAAGAAATGTAGTCTGACCTTTTTATTTATGCTGAACTATTCACAATGACTGCCCAGCAGTTTTTTGTTCGGCAGATTGTGTGCCTAGCTAGTAATGGTATGTTGCTTTTTTCCTAATTTTGTTCCTGAAAAGCATGATAAGAATTTTTGTAAATACACTATGGCAGTGATTCTCAAATGGACTTAGTTTTGCCCCACAGGGGACACTTGGCAATGTCTGGAGACATGTTTGGTTTCCCAACTGGAGGCTGCTACTGAAATCTTGTGGGGTAGCAGCCAGAGATGCTGCTAAACATCCTGCAATGTACAATGTAGCCCCCCACAGCAAAGCATTATCAGGCCCAAAATGTGTTTGAGAAACTTACAGTTACACAATAAAATGAAAACAAAAACTGTGGGGTTGAAAGAGCTAAATTTGTATGACATTAGCATTTTATCTTATATTAGCCTTTAATGCATAAAATATTAGTAATTTTAAAAATATAATAACATCTGTCTGGAAATAACAGAAGCAGTTATCACTAGAGTAAATGATTGCCAATATTTTATTGTAAGCCCACGATGACACAAAATGCCAATTCTACTCTAAAAAATAGTAATAGTTTTTCTTCTTTTAAAATATCGTTTGATTTCATTGTGATAACTTATTTCAAAACAAATCTGAAAATTTTTGATCTTGTTTGTAACTTTACATTAAGTTTTAAAAATAGGCAGAAAGAGGCAACAACCAAAATTTAGCCATTTAAGACTACTTCTGGCCACGCGGTGGCTCACGCCTGTTATCCCAGCACTTTGGGAGGCTGAGGTGGGAGGATCATGGAGCCAAAGGATAGAGCCCATCCTGGCCAATATGCTGAAACCCTGTCTCTACTAAAAATACAAAAAAAATTGGCTGGGCGTGGTGGCGTGCACCTGTAATCCCAGCCACTTGGGAGGCTGGGACAGGAGAATCGCTTGAACTCGGGAGGCAGAGGTTGCCTTGAGCTGAGATCGCATCACTGCACTCCAGCCTGGGCAACAGAGCGAGACTCCGTCTCCAAACAAACAAACAAACAAACAAACAAAAAAACTACTTCTGGCGGGGCGCGGTGGCTCACGCTTGTAATCTCAGCACTTTGGGAGGCTGAGGCAGGCGGATCATGAGGTCAGGAGTTCGAGACCAGCCTGGCCAACACACTGAAACCCATAAAATTAGCTGGGTGTGGTGGCGGGAGCCTGTAATCACAGCTACTCGGGAGGCTGAGGCAGGAGAATCGCTTGAACCCGGGAGGTGGAGGTTGTAGTGAGCCGAGATCATGCCACTGCACTCCAGCCTGGGTGACAGAGCGAGACTCGGTCTCAAAAAAAAAAAAAAAAAAAAAAAAGGCTACTTCTATTATCTATTTTTAATACTCTGCATCTTTCATAAACATGTAAAGCACAAAGTCCTTTTACTTTACCCCTAAATACTCCATACACAAATGTTCTTAATTTTGAGAATGGGGACTCTGTCTCAAAAAAAAAAAAAAAAAAAAAGGCATTATGAGTCTACTGGTCAGAGTTTTAGCATTCTTAATCTTTTTAAGAGGTGAATTTTAGGATTTATAGAAAGAATCTGAATTATTCTTTGATCTCAAGTTTAAAGATTTTATTTGCAGGAGCATATTCTGTGTTTTGATTTTATGAAAACTCTAGAAATAAAGTTTCAATAAAAAGCAGATAATTTTCACATGCTTAGAGGCTGACCGCAAAACAAAATGCCAAGAACAACTAGGGAATTCATTGCATGGGGTGACTCTCAAGCCTGTGACTAGGCTCAATGGTAAAACACTATTTCAAAGAAGTGTCTAAGTAAAAGCAATAGCTCGTGATATATTAAGTGAAAAAAAATTCGCTTTCAAAATCACATGTATGATATGTTCCCAATTTGGCTTTTAGAAAGAGAAATCACCAAAAAACTTTAGAAACTGCAAGGAAATAAACAAAACATTAAGGGTTGTTATCTCAAAATGTCAAGAGGTGGTGGGATTATGGATAATTTTTATTTTTCTTCTCTTAATTTTCTATAACAAATATGTATTACTTTTTTAGTTAGAAAAAACTATTTGTATATATGTGTTTAATGTACATATTTAAATGTCTCTAAGATCTACAAGTCTCTTGATGCTTTAAAAATCTTTTTAACTGTAAAATATTAACACAGAATTACTTAAAATATATAAATATAGCTTACATTATAATTATAAAGCAAATATCTAAATAACTACCACTTGGGTAAAAATACAGAATTTTCTGGCCAGGTGTGGTGGCTCATGCCTGTAATCCCAGCACTTTGGGAGGCCGAGGTGGGCAGATCACCTGAGGTCAGGAGTTCGAGGCCAGCCTGGCCAACATGGTGAAACCCCACCTCTATTAAAAATACAAAAATTAGCTGGGCATGATGGCATGCGCCTGTAATCCCAGCTACTTGAGAGGCTGAGGCAGGAGAATCACTTGAACCAGGGAGGCAGAGGTTGCAGTGAGCTGAGATCGTGCCATTGCACTCCAGCCTGGGCGACAAGAACAAAACTCCGTCTCAAAAAAATAAATAAATAAAACCCCCAGAATTTTCTAACACCCTCACTGACCCCTATCCTCCCAACATGCTCTTGACTACCATGATAATCATTTGTTTATGTGCTTTTCTAAGTAGTTTAACCACTGATCATGTAACCCTATAATGCAGAGTTTGATGTTGATTGCTTGAACTTTACACAAGTAGAAGCATATTCTATTTCGACTTGCATCCTTCTCTTAGCATTATGAGATTTAACCATGCTGATACATATAGCCAGTTTGTTCATTTTCTTTGCTGTAGAGTATTCCACTGATTTTTCAGTAAGCAATTTTTATACTTTTATATACAAACAATATAAAGATTTAAAAATGTATACTTTTCTCTTCAACTTCTGTAAGGAAAAAAAATCCACATAATATGGAGCTGCATTCTGTGCCAGTCACCGCAGGAGACACTCTGTGTATCCCACATATTATATACAATGTTCCTGAAAATCACAGACTTAGAATGTTTGAAAGAGACTTTGGAAACATATAATTCAACCACATGCTGATGTGATATTAGGCTTAGAATGTTAAACAGCTTTGGCTCTAACTCGGTTGTGCCAGGAGGAAGTCTAAAGATTTTACACAGGAAGTGTCACAGACATGCCCTGGGGTGGGTGCAATTCTAGGTCTTAGCCACTGAGGAAGTGACTTCTCCTGGCAAAAGCTGAAGACTATAATCCTTTCCCTTGCTGCTGCTGCTTTAGAGAACACAGGCCAGGCACATATTGAAAGAGCTTCAAGGCTAAGAAAACATAAAAGGCATCTCTAGGGTTAAAAAAGCAGGCATGCAGATGGCTTTTAATTAACAATTAGACAGCCAGTATCTTACAGAGCATATAGGAGGAAGATGCAACCTCTACTAGCAATCTATATATAAAAGGAATGTTGGCATTTGCAATTGCAGGTAAAAAGAACTCATCATAGGGATCTTCAACATCCCAGTGCAGAAGGACAAGGATAAGTAAAAAAACTAAGTGTTTTGATTTTCTATTGCTGTATAACAAACCATCTAAAAACTTGGAGGCTTAAAATAACTATCTATTTGTCTCTCATGGTTCTGAGGGATGATGACTAAGCTAAGCTCTTTAAGGTTCTCATGCATTTGTGATCAAGACTGGAGCCATCTGAAGGACTATGTGGGTTGGATGGGCAGACAGATGGCTTCTTCATTCACATGTCCAACCTCTCAACTTAGGTGGCTGGAACAGCTTTATGTGGCTAGCTGGGATTCTTCAAAGTTTGGTGGTGTCAAGGTAATTGAACTTCTTACATGATGGCTGACTTTGCTCAGAGTGAGTGTTCCAAGACAGCAAAGGGGAGGCTGCATCATTTCTGTAGAATTCTTTTGGTTAGAAATGGCCAGCTCAGAATTAATATAGGAGAGGACCACATAAGGGCATGACTACTAGTAGGCATGGCTCACTGAGGGGTCTTCTTTGGAGACTAGCTACCACCCCAGAAGAGGATCAGCAAAGCAGGGTCTAGGGGTAAGGAGAAAAGCACTGGGGACATCTCAACCAGAATAGACAGCTTTCTTAGCCATTCTAATTAAGGGTTCTTCCTTCTGCCTTAGAGGAGAACTGGAAGTTGCTATTAGAATCCATTAATAGTATTTGTAGTCACATGTATTTATGCCTAAGTTGACTGAAAACAGTTCTCATTCCATATGATGGGCTCAATAACTATCAGCAAATCTTTTGCTGTGTACACAAAGTTCCATGATAAAGAACTCCAAAGTATTAGAAATTGTTCATGATATTAAGAGCGGTGGCTCACACCTATAATCCCAGCACTTTGGGAGGCTGAGGATTGCTTGAGCTCAGGAGTTTGAGACCAGCCCAGGCAACAAAGTGGGACCCCATCTCTACAAAAAATAAAAAATAAAAAATTAGCTGGGTGTGATGGCACGTGCCTGTGATCCCAGCTACACAGGAGGCTGAGGTAGGAGGATTGCTTAAGCCCAGGAGTTCAAGGCTACAGTGAGCCATGTTCACACCACTGCACTCTAACCTAGGTGACAGAGCAAGACCCTGTCTTAAAACAAACAAACAAAAAAAAACAACTCCTTGAGATATGGATATAATAGAATTCATATTACCTTATTATTTCAGTTAAGATTCCAGCATCAGAATCTTAACTGAAGATTCAGTTAAGATTAATGGGCAAATCAGGTGTCCATTTCTCCCTTTGATTAGGCCTAACATGCCACATTGGATCTAGTGCTTACTAAAACATACAATAGCCATACACAAATCTTTGATGGGAATCCTAATTGGCACTTAAACTCACTAATGATTCAATTACTAAAAATAAAGTTTAACTCTGTTTTACCTAAACTTGGAGATGAGAATGCATGGTCCTTTTATACTTCAGATTCTAAAGCATATTTTAGGGCAAAATTTACTTGGAGTAGTTACTTCTAAGGACTTACAAGCTTATTAATATAACAATTTTCAACACAGCTTAGACTCTTGGAGTATCCAGGGGCTGATTATAATTTAGATAAAACTTTATTACTGTAAAGGGTTTTAAAAAATAATTAACTTTAATTGCTAATATTCTGTGAGATTGGTGAAAGAGGCTACGGGTTTCTGAAGCTTCCTTTCCAGTCTTTATTCATGTGACTCCTAGACACATGGTAA
Source organism: Homo sapiens (assembly GCF_000001405.40). Taxonomy (NCBI): domain Eukaryota; kingdom Metazoa; phylum Chordata; class Mammalia; order Primates; family Hominidae; genus Homo; species Homo sapiens. The sequence goes on from NC_000001.11 coordinate 92,885,058, forward strand.
TTAAATATTGAAACATAATCTCCCCTTGATACATAAAAAAAGCAGAGGTATATGTCCAAATACTGAAGAGACCAGGGAGGGGTGGAAGAGGTTGTTCACCTCCAAGTGTCAGTATTCTGCCTTTGTTATCACTGAAAGGACTGTGGTTGCTCAGGGAATGTGGTCCCAAAGGAGCTACTGTTGATACAGCCTGAGAATCAGTGAGGAGATGCTATTCCCATTGGTTGGTACTCTGACATAGATTTCCAGGAGTCCCAGAACAGAACAACATTTCTTTAACAACAACAACAACAAAAATTGGAAAGTGACTATCTAATTCATTTTTTTTTTGGAAGGAGTCTCACTCTGTCTCCCAGGCTGGAGTCTCAGTTCACTGCAACCTCCGCCTCCTAGGTTCAAGTGATTCTCCTACCTCAGTCTCCCAAGTAGCTGGGATTACAGGTGTGCACCACCACACCCAGCTAATTTTTGTATTTTTAGTAGAGATGGGGTTTTGCCATGTTGGCCAGGTTGGTCTCTAACTGCTGACCTCAGGTGATCCGCCCACCTCGGCCTCCCAAAGTTCTGGGATTATAGGCATGAGCTACCGTGCCCAGTCCCATCTAATCCATTCTAATCAGCCATCTCTGAAGGTAAATACTTAGTTTGTTAAGCAATTAAAACATAAGTGGAATATAAAATGATAAATACATTAGAGCTAGAAGAGTTTTCAGTGAACTCAGTCAGATTCCATCCTTCTTATTGAAATAATGCCAGATTGTTATGCCCAGTGGAGAAAAAATGGACAATAAAGAATTATATTAAAAAACTAAATGATACCGTTTGACATATTCCTTTCCTAGCTGTTTTCCATGTTTAAAATGTATTATATTTTAAGAAAAATAAAGTTGGGGTCATATGATACATATTACTTATCTCTTTTTCTCATTTAACATAAACATGTTCTTATGCCATTATATAGTGTTGATATATCTTCAAAAAATTGATATTTAAGACTGGGCACAGAGGCTCATGCCTGTAATCCCAGCACTTTGGGAGGCCAAGGTGGGTGGATTGCTTGAGTCCAGGAGTTCGAGACCAGCCTGGATAACACAGTGAGACCCTGTCTCTACAAAAAATAAAAAATTACCCAGGCACGGTGGCTTGCACCTGTAGTCCCAGGTACTTGGAAGGCTGAGGCAGGAGGATTGCTTGAGCTGGGGAGATTGAGGCTGCAGTAAGTGATGATGTGCTACTGTACTCCAGCTTGGGCGACAGAGCATGACCCTGTCTAAAAAAAAAATTGATATTAAAAAAATTTTCTTTTTAAATAAAGACAGGGTGTCACTATGTTACCCAGGGTGGTCTCCAATTCCTGGGCTCAAGCAATTGGCCTGCCTCAGCCTCCCAAAGTGCCAGGATTATATGCGTGAGCCACTGTACCCATACTGTAAAATGTTATACATCCACTTAAATATCAATTTTTTTTTTGGTATTTAAATGGATGTATAACATTTTACAGCACAGGTGTGCCATAACTTATCTAACCCTATCTGTATTGTTGAACATTTTTATTATTTCCAATATTGTGCTATAATATTGGATAGTGATAACAAACAATATTAATGAAAGCCAATATTTATTAGTGCTACTCTGTAGAGGAATGTTAAAAGCACTTTCTATATATTAATATACTTAATCCTCATAAAAACTCTATGAGCTGATGTGGTAAATTAGTCAGGAGTTGGAAAACTATGACCCATGAGCCAAATCCAGTCTGCTGCTTGGTTTTATAAATATAGCTTATTGGAACACAGTTACTCTAGTTGTCGATACATTATTATCTAAGGCTGCTTTCATGCTATAATGGCAGAGTTCAGTGGTTGTAACAGAGACAATATGGCCAACAAAGCAAAAAATATTTACTATCTGGCTCTTTACCGAAATAGTTTGCTGACCTCTGGACTGTTCAGCAAATACTCATTCTCTCCCACCGCCTCACCTTCCCTGCCTCATTGGTGTTGGGCTCAGCCATGTGACTTGCTTTAGTCAATGTTTGCTAAGTGCAAACATTAGATGCAAATAAAAGTATGCAATTGGGCCAGGTGTAGTGGCTCACACCTGTAATTCCAGCACTTTAGGAGGCCAAGCAGGAGGATCACTTGAGCCCAGGAGTTTGAGACCAACTAGAGAAACATAGGAAGACCCCATCTCTACTAAAAAAAAAAAAAAAAAAAAAATTAGCTAGGCATAGTGGCATGTGTCTGTAATCCTAGCTACCTGGGAGGCTGAGGTGAGAGTATTGATTGAGACTGGGATGTCATGGCAGCAGTGAGCTATGATCACACCACTGTACTCTAGCCTGGGTGACAGAGGGAGACCCTGTCTCAAAAACAAAAGCAAAGAAAAGGAAAGAAAAAGAAAACTATGCAACTGGACTTGCTCTCTTTCATGTCAGATACTGCCAGTAAAACAGATCCCTACTAGTCTACTGATACACACAAAAATAAATGATACTGTAGCCCCTTGAACCAAAATGATGTCCTGAAGTCAAGCCAAGCCTAGAATAGTGGAACTCCAGCTGACCTGTAGATGTGTGATTGAGAAATAAATGCTTATGGTATGTCACTAAGTTTTGGGGAAATTTATTATGCAGCGTTGCTGGGGTAACTAACTGATACTGGAGGGGACTACTATTATCCCTTTACAAGAATTCTATAAGTAGGGGACTATTCGTCATTTTACAGATGGGAAAACTGAGAACATACAGAGGATAAGCAAGGCCATACTAGTCATAACTAGGAGAAGCAGGCTTTGAATGGAGGCAGTCTGGCTTCAGAGCCTGCACTCACTCTACTCTACTGCCTATTGCATTAAATACATAAATAGTTACCTGAGTTTTTTTTTAAATTAGGTAAGAATTTATTAAATAATAATCTAGTATGGAACACTATTCTTTTTTTACCCATCACCTCAAACGTTGATCATTTCTTTGTATTTGGAACATTCAAAATCCTCTCCTCTACTATTGGAAAATATACAATGAATTGTTAATTATAGTCACCCTATATTACTATAGAACACTTGAACTTACTTCTCCTATCTAGCTGTGCTTTTGTTATCTGTTAACCAATCCTTGGTTATTGCCCTCCTCCCCTTACCCTTCCCCACCTCTAGTAACCGCTCTTCTACTCTCTACTTCTATAAGCTCAACTTTTTAAACTTTCACATGTGAGTAAGATCATGCAGCATTTACCTTTTTGTACCTGGCTTATTTCACTTAATATAATGTCCCCCAAGCTCATCCATGTGGCTGTGAATGGCAAAATTTCATTGCTTTTTATAGCTAGATAGTATTCCATTATGTATATATATCACATTTTCTTTATTCATCTGTTGATGAACACTTAGGTTTATTCCATATCTTGGCTATTGTGAATAGTGCTACAATAAATATAAGAGTACAGATACTTCTTCAACATACTGATTACCTTTCCTTGGAATATATGCCCAGTAGTGGAATTTCTGGATCATATGGCAGTTTCATTTGCAGTGTTTTGAGGAACCTCCATGTTGAGTTCCATAATGGCTACACTAATTTACATTTCCACAAACAGTGTAAGAGAGTTCCTACTTCTCCACATCCTCACCATCATTTATTTTTTGTCTTTTTGAAAATAGCCATTATAACTGGGTTTAGATATCTCATTGTGGATTTTATTTGCATTTCCCTGATGATTAGTGATGTTAAGCATTTTTTCATGTACCTGTCTTCTTTTGAAAGATGTGTCCATTCAGCTCATTTGCCCAGTTTTAAATAGAATTATGTGTTATTGTTGTTGGTTTGCTGTTGAGCTCTTTGTATATTCTGGATATTAATTCCTTGTTAGATGAATAGTTTGCAAATATTTTCTCTCATTCTGCACGTTGTCTCTTCACTCTGTTGATTTTTTTCCTTTGCTGTGCAGAAGCTTTTTTGTTTGATATAATCCCATTTGTCTATTTTGCCTGTGCTTTTGAGGTCTTCTCCATAAGATCTTTGCCCAAACTACTGTCATAAAGTGTTTCCCCTAGGCTTTTTACTAATAGTTTCATAATTTCATGCCTTCTATTCAAGTCTTTAATCCATTTTGAGTTGACTTTTAATATGGTGAAAGATAGAGGTCTGTTTTCACATTTCTCCATATGGCTATCCAGTTTTTCCAACACTACTTACTGAAGAGATAGTCCGTTTCCCAATAAATGTTCCTGGCACCTTCATCAAATATCAGATAGCTGTTTATTTCTGGGTTCTGGGTTCTGTACCACTGGTTTATTGGTCTGTTTTTATGGCTAGTACCATGCTGTTTTTGTTATTATAGCTTTGTAGTATATTTCGAAATCTGGTAGTGTGATGCCTAAAGCTTTGTTCTTTTTTCTCAGGATTACTTTGGCTATTCAGGGTCTCTTATAGTTCTATATTAGTTTTAGGATTGCTTTTTTATATTTCAGTGAATAATGTCATTGGTATTTTGATAGGGATTGCACAGAATCTGTAGATTGCTTTTGGTAGTATGGTCAAGTTAACAATATTCATTCTTCCAATCCATTAACATGAGATATCTTTCCTTTTTTTTTTTAAATCAACAATTGACAGGGTATCACTCTGTCACACAGGCTGGAGTGCAGTGATGTAATCTCGACCCACTGCAGCCTCTGTCTCCTGGGCTCAAGCAATCCTCCCACCTCAGCCTCCCAAATAGCTGAGACTACAGACATGTTCCACCATGCTCAGCTAATTATTTTGTATTTTTGGTGGAGACAGGGTTTTGCCATGTTGCCCAGGCTGGTCTTGAACTACTGAGCTCAAGCAATGTGCCTGCCTTGGCCTCCCAAAGTGCTGAGATTACAGGCGTGAGCCACCATGCCCAGCTGTCTTTCCATTTTTTTGTGTGTCCTCTTCAATTTCTTTCATCAGTGTTTTATAGTTTTCCTTGTAGAGATCTTTCATCTCCTTAAATTTATTCCTAGGTTTTATGTATTTATTTATTTATTGTAGTTATTGTAAATGGGATTTCTTTCTTAATTTCTTTTTCTGCTAGTTCATTGTTGATATATAGAAATACTACTGATTTTTGTATATTGATTTTGTATTCTGCAACTTTACTGAATTCATTGATTAGTTCTAAGAGTTTTTTGGTAGAGCTTTTAGAGTTTTCTATATATAAGATTATGTCTTTTGCAAACAGGGACAATGTAACTGACTCCTTTCTAACTCGAATGCCCTTTCTTTCTTTCTCTTGCTTAATTGCTCTAGCTAGGACTTCCAGTACTATGTTGAATAAAAGTGGTGAAAGTGGGCATCCTGGTCTTGTTCCAGATCTTAGAGAAATAGCTTTCAGCTTTTCCTTGTTCAGTATCATGTTGGCTGTGGGTTTGTCATAGATGGCCTTTATCATGGTGAGGTATTTTCCTTCTATATCCAATTTGTTGAGAATTTTCATCATGAAAAGGTGTTTAATTTTATTGAATAGTTTTTGGTATTTATTAAAATGACCATAAGGTTTTTGTCTTTGGTTCTGTTAATGTGATGTATCATATTTACTGATTTGTGTACGTTGACCTATCTTTGCATCTCTTGAATAAATCCCATTTGATCATGGTAAATTATTTTTCCAGTGTGCGGCTGGATTCAGTCTGTTACTATTTTACTGAGGATTTTTACATCTATGTTCATCAGGTATATTAGCCTATAGTTTTCTTTTTTTCTGGTGTCCTTGTCTGGTTTTGGTATTGAAGTAACACTGGCATTATAGAATAAGTTGGAAGAATGCCCTTCTTTTCAGTTTTCTGGGAGAGTTTGAGAATTGGTATTAGTTCTTTAAATATCTGGTAGAATTCTGCAGTGGAGCCATTGGGTCCTGGGCCTTTTTATGATAGGAAACATTTTATTACAAATTCATAGATTCAATCTCATTACTTGTAATTGGTCTGTTCAGGTTTTCTATTTCTTCTTGGTTCAATCTTGGTAGAATGTTTATGTCCAAAAATTTATCCATTTCCTCTAGTTTTCTAATTTGTTGGTGTGCAGTTCTTCATGATACAAAGTCTCTAATGATACTCTGTATTTCTGTGTTATCAGCTGTCATATCTCCTTTTTCATTTCTGATTTTATTTATTTAGGTATTTTCTCTTTTTTCTTGGTTAGTCCAGCTAATGGTTTACCAATTTTGTTTGTCTTTTTGAAAAACCAATTTTTCATTTCATTGATCTTTTGTGGTTTTTTTTTAGTTGATCTTTATTATTTATTTATTTCTAATTTTGGGTTTGGTTTATTCTTGCTTTTCTAGCTCCTTGAGATACATTGTTAATTCATTTATTTAAAATCTTTCTACTTTTTGGATGTAGGTGTTTATTGCTATAAATTTCCCTCTTAATCTGCTGTATCCCACAGGTTTTGTTATATTGTGTTTCTATTTTCATTTCTTTCAATAAAATAAAAAATTTCGGGGTGGAGCCAAGATGGCCGAATAGGAACAGCTCCAGTCTACAGCTCCCAGCATGAGCGATGCAGAACACAGGTGATTTCTGCATTTCCAACTGAGGTACTGGGTTCATCGCACTGGGGATTGTCAGACAGTGGGTGCAGGACAGTGGGTGCAGTGCACCGAGCCTGAGCTGAAGCAGGGTGAGGCATTGCCTCACCCGGGAAGAGGAAGGGGTCAGGGAATTCCCTTTCCTAGCCAAGGAAAGGGGTGACAGATGGCACCTGGAAAATCGGGTCACTTTACCCTAATACTGCGCTTTTCCAATGGTCTTAGCAAACAGCACACCAGGAGATTATATCCTACGCATGGCTTGGAGGGTCCTACGCCCATGGAGCCTCGCTCATTGCTAGCACAGCAGTCTGAGATCAAACTGCAAGGCGGCAGCGAGGCTGGGGGAGGGGTGCCTGCCATTGCCGAGGCTTGAGTAGGTAAACAACGCGGCCAGGAAGCTCCAACTGGGTGGAGCCCACCGCAGCTCAAGGAGGCCTGCCTGCCTCTGTAGACTCCACTTCTGGGGGCAGGGCATAGCCAAACAAAAGGCAGCAGAAACCTCTGCAGACTTAAATGTCCCTGTCTGACAGCTTTGAAGAGAGTAGTGGTTCTCCCAGCACACAGCTTGAGATCTGAGAACGGACAGACTGCCTCCTCAACTGGGTCCCTGACTCCCGAGTAGCCTAACTGGGAGGCACCCCGCAGTAGGGGCAGATACTGACACCTCGCACAGCTGGGTACTCCTCTGAGACAAAACTTCCAGAGGAACGATCAGGCAGCAACATTTGCTGTTCATCAATATCCGCTGTTCTGCAGCCTCTGCTGCTGATACCCAGGGTCTGGAGTGGACCTCCAGCAAACTCCAACAGAACTGCAGCTGAGGGTCCTAACTGTTAGAAGGAAAACTAACAAACAGAAAGGACATCCACACCAAAAACCCACCTGTACGTCACCATCATCAAAGACCAAAGGCAGATAAAACCACAAAGATGGGGAAAAAACAGAGCAGAAAAACTGAAAATTCTAAAAAGCAGAGTGCCTCTCCTTCTCCAAAGGAATGCAGCTCCTCACCAGCAATGGAACAAAGCTGGATGGAGAATGACTTTGACGAGTTGAGAGAAGAAGGCTTCAGATGATCAAACTACTCCGAGCTAAAGGAGGAAGTTCGAACCCATGGCAAAGAAGTTAAAAACCTTAAAAAAAGATTAGATGAATGGCTAACTAGAATAACCAATGCAGAGAAGTCCTTAAAGGACCTGATGGAGCTAAAAAACCACAGCACGAGAACTATGTGATGAATGCACAAGTCTCAGTAGCCGATTCGATCAACTGGAAGAAAGGGTATCAGTGATGGAAGATCAAATGAATGAAATGAAGCCAGGAGAGACGTTTAGAGAAAAAAGAATAGAAAGAAATGAACAAAGCCTCCAAGAAATATGTGACTATGTGAAAAGACCAAATCTACATCTGATTGGTGTAACTGAAAGTGACGGGGAGAATGGAACCAAGTTGGAAAACACTCTGCAGGATATTATCGAGGAGAACTTCCCCAAGCTAGCAAGGCAGGCCAACATTCAGATTCAGGAAATACAGAGAACGCCACAAAGATACTCCTCGAGAAGAGCAACTCCAAGACACATAATTGTCAGAGTGACCAAAGTTGAAATGAAGGAAAAAATGTTAAGGGCAGCCAGAGAGAAAGGTCAGGTTACCCACAAAGGGAAGCCCATCAGACTAACAGCGGATCTCTCGGCAGAAACTCTACAAGCCAGAAGAGAGTGGGGGCCAATATTCAACATGCTTAAAGAAAAGAATTTTCAACCCAGAATTTCATATCCAGCCAAACTAAGCTTCATAAGTGAAGGAGAAATAAAATCCTTTACAGACAAGCAAATGCTGAGAGATTTTGTCACCATCAGGCCTGCCCTAAAAGAGCTCCTGAAGGAAGCACTAAACATGGAAAGGAACAACCGGTACCAGCCACTGCAAAAACATGCCAAACTGTAAAGACCATCGAGGCTAGGAAGAAACTGCATCAACTAACGAGCAAAATAACCAGCTAACATCATAATGACAGGATCAAATTCACACATAACAATATTAACCTTAAATGTAAATGGGCTAAATGCTCCAATTAAAAGACACAGACTGGCAAATTGGATAAAGAGTCAAGACCCATCAGTGTGCTGTATTCAGGAAACCCATCTCACGTGCAGAGACACACATAGGCTCAAAATAAGGGGATGGAGGAAGATCTACCAAGCAAATGGAAAATAAAAAAAGGCAGGGGTTGCAATCCTAGTCTCTGATAAAACAGACTTTAAACCAACAAAGATCAAAAGAGACAAAGAAGGCCATTACATAATGGTAAAGGGATCAATTCAACAAGAAGAGCTAACTATCCTAAATATATATGCACCCAATACAGGAGCACCCAGATTCATAAAGCCAGTCCTCAGAGACCTACAAAGAGACTTAGACTCCCACACAATAATAATGGGAGACTTTAACACCCCACTGTCAACATTAGACAGATCAATGAGACAGAAAGTCAACAAGGATATCCAGGAATTGAACTCAGCTCTGCACCAAGCGGACCTAATAGGCATCTACAGAACTCTCCACCCCAAATCAACAGAATATACATTCTTTTCAGCACCACACCACACCTATTCCAAAACTGACCACGTAGTTGGAAGTAAAGCACTCCTCATCAAATGGAAAACAACAGAAATTATAACAAACTGTCTCTCAGACCACAGTGCAATCAAACTAGAACTCAGGATTAAGAAACTCACTCAAAACCGCTCAACTACATGGAAACTGAACAATCTGTTCCTGAATGACTACTGGGTACATAATGAAATGAAGGCAGAAATAAAGATGTTCTTTGAAACCAACAAGAACAAAGATACAACATACCAGAATCTCTGGAACACATTCAAAGCAGTGTGTAGAGGGAAATTTATAGCACTAAATGCCCACAAGAGAAAGCAGGAAAGATCTAAAATTGACACCCTAACATCACAATTAAAAGAACTAGAGAAGCTAGAGCAAACACATTCAAAAGCTAGCAGAAGGCAAGAAATAACTAAGATCACAGCAGAGCTGAAGGAAATAGAGACACAAAAAACCCTTCAAAAATTCAATGAATCCAGGAGCTGGTTTTTTGAAAAGATCAACAAAATAGATAGACCGCTAGCTTGACTAATAAAGAAGAAAAGAGAGAAGAATCAAATAGAGGCAATAAAAAATGATAAAGGGGATATCACCACTGATCCCACAGAAATACAAACTACCATCAGAGAATACTACAAACACCTCTACGCAAATAAACTAGAAAATCTGGAAGAAATGGATAAATTCCTCGACACATACACCCTCCCAAGACTAAACCAGAAAGAAGTTGAATCCCTGAATAGACCAATAACAGGCTCTGAAATTGAGGCAATAATTAATAGCTTACTAACCAAAAAAAGTCCAGGACCAGATGGACTCACAGCCAAATTCTACCAGAGGTACAAGGAGGAGCTGGTACCATTCCTTCTGAAACTATTCCAATCAATAGAAAAAGAGGGAATCCTCCCTAACTTATTTTATGAGGCCAGCACCATCCTGATACCAAAGCCTGGCAGAGACACAACAAAAAAAGAGAATTTTAGACCAATATCCCTGATGAACATCGATGCAAAAATCCTCAATAAAATACTGGCAAACTGAATCCAGCAGCACATCAAAAAGCTTATCCACCATGATCAAGTGGGCTTCATCCTTGGGATGCAAGGCTGGTTCAACATATACAAATCAACAAACGTAATCCAGCATATAAACAGAACCAATGACAAAAACCACATGATTATCTCAATAGATGCAGAAAAGGCCTTTGACAAAATTCAACAACCCTTCATGCTAAAAACTCTCAATAAATTAGGTATTGATGGGACATATCTCAAAATAATTAGAGCTATCTATGACAAACCCACAGCCAATATCATACTCAATGGGCAAAAATTGGAAGCATTCCCTTGAAAACTGGCACAAGACAGGGATGCCCTCTCTCACCACTCCTATTCAACACAGTGTTGGAAGTTCTGGCCAGGGCAATCAGGCAGGAGAAGGAAATAAAGGGTATTCGATTAGGAAATGAGGAAGTCAAATTGTCCCTGTTTGCAGATGACATGATTGTATATCTAGAAAACCCCATCGTCTCAGCCCAAAATCTCCTTAAGCTGATAAGCAACTTCAGCAAAGTCTCAGGATACAAAATCAATGTGCAAAAATAACAAGCATTCTTATACACCAATAACAGACAAACAGAGAGCCAAATCATCAGTGAATTCCCATTCACAATTGCTTCAAAGAGAATAAAATACCTAGGAATCCAGCTTACAAGGGATGTGAAGGACCTCTTCAAGGAGAATTACAAACCACTGCTCAAGGAAATAAAAGAGGATACAAACAAATGGAAGAACATTCCATGCTCATGGGTAGGAAGAATCAATATCGTAAAAATGGCCATACTGCCCAAAGTAATTTATAGATTCAATGCCATCCCCATCAAGCTACCAATGACTTTCTTCACAGAATTGGAAAAAACTACTTTAAAGTTCATATGGAACCAAAAAAGAGCCCGCATTGCCAAGTCAATCCTAAGCCAAAAGAACAAAGCTGGAGGCATCTCACTACCTGACTTCAAACTATACTACAAGGCTACAGTAACCAAAATAGCATGGTACTGGTACCAAAACAGAGATGTAGACCAATGGAACAGAACAGAGCCCTCAGAAATAATGCCACATATCTACAACTATCTGATCTTTGACAAACCTGACAAAAACAAGAAATGGGGAAAGGATTCCCTATTTAATAAATGGTGCTGGAAAAACTGGCTAGCCATATATAGAAAGCTGAAACTGGATCCCTTCCTTACACCTTATACAAAAATTAATTCAAGATGGATTAAAGACTTAAATGTTAGACCTAAAACCATAAAAACCCTAGAAGAAAACCTAGGCAATACCATTCAGGACATAGGCATGGGCAAGGACTTCGTGTCTAAAACACCAAAAGCAATGGCAACAAAAGCCAAAATTGACAAATGGGATCTAATTAAACTAAAGAGCTTCTGCACAGCAAAGAAACTACCATCAGAGTGAACAGGCAACCTACAGAATGGGAGAAAATTTTTGCAATCTACTCATCTGACCAAGGGCTAATATCCAGAATCTACAATGAACTCAAACAAATTTACAAGAAAAAAACAAACAACCCCATCAAAAAGTGGGTGAAGGATATGAACAGACACTTCTCAAAAGAAGACATTTATGCAGCCAAAAGACACATGAAAAAATGCTCATCATCACTGGCCATCAGAGAAATGCAAATCAAAACCACAGTGAGATACCATCTCACACCAGTTAGAATGGTGATCATTAAAAAGTCAGGAAACAACAGGTGCTGGAGAGGATGTGGAGAAATAGGAACACTTTTACACTGTTGGTGGGACTGTAAACTAGTTCAACCATTGTGGAAGTCAGTGTGGCGATTCCTCAGGGATCTAGAACTAGAAATAACATTTGACCCAGCCATCCCATTACTGGGTATATACCCAAAGGATTATAAATCATGCTGCTATAAAGACACATGCATATGTATGTTTACTGTGGCACTATTCACAATAGCAAAGACTTGGAACCAACCCAAATGTCCATCAGTGATAGACTGGATTAAGAAAATGTGGCACATATACACCATGGAATACTATGCAGCCATAAAAAAGGATGAGTTCATGTCCTTTGTAGGGACATGGATGAAGCTGGAAACCATCATTCTCAGCAAACTATCGCAAGGACAAAAAAAACAAACACCGCATGTTCACACTCATAGGTGGGAATTGAACAATGAGAACACATGGACACAGGAAGGGGAACATCACACACCGGGGCCTGTTGTGGGGTGGGCGGAGGGGGGAGGGATAGCATTAGGAGATATACCTAATGTTAAATGACGAGTTAATGGGTGCAGCACACCAACGTGGCACATGTATACATATGTAACAAACCTGCACGTTGTGCACATGTACCCTAAAACTTAAAGTATAATAAAAAAAAAATTTCCTTTTTCATTTCTTCATTGACCCATTGGTCACTCAGGAGCATGCTGTTTAATTTCCTGTTTGTAACATATCAGAAGTTCCTTTTTTTTTTTTTAAAGAGACAAGGTGTATTAATTTGTTTTGTGTCACTATAAAGGAATACCTGAGGCTAGATAATGTATAAAAACAAAAAAAAGGATTACACTTTGGGATGCCAAAGCAGGTGGATCGCTTGAGGTCAGGAGTTCAAGACCAGCCTGGCTAATGTGGTGAAACCTTATCTCTACTAAAAATACAAAAATTAGCCATGCGTGGTGGCGTGCACCTATAGTCTCAGCTACTTGGGAGGCTGAGGCAGAAGAATTGCTTGAATCTGGGAGATGGAGGTTGAAGTGGGTCAAGATTGTGTCACTGCACTCTAGCCTGGGCAACAGAGCGAGACTCCATCTCAAAAAAAACAAAAAACAAACAAACAAAAAAAACAAGAGGTTTAATTGGCTCATGGTTCTGCAGGCTGTACAAGGTACAAGAAGCATGGTGCCAACATCTGCTCAGCTTCTGATGAGGGCCTTCAGCAACTTACAGTCATGGTGAAAGTGACAGGGAGCCAGCCTGTCACATGGTGAAGAGAGCAACGGGGGAAGGGGGAAGTGCTACACACTTTTAAACAACCAGATCTCACATGAACTCAGAGCAATAACCCACTCATCACCAAGGGGATGGTGCTAAGCCATTCATGAGAGATCCACCCCCATGATCCAAACACCTCCCACCAGACCCCATCTCCAATAATGGGGATTACATTTCAACATGAGATTTGGAGGGGACAAACATTCAAACCATATCACAAAACATATCACCTTGTCATCCAGGATAGAGTGCGGTGGTATGAACATAGTCACTGCAGCCTTGAACTACTGGGCTCAAGGGATTCTCTGATCTCAGCCTCCTGAGTAGCTGGGACTATAGGTGTGAACCACCATACCTTGCTAATTTTTATTTGTTTACGGTTTTTGTAGAGATGAGGTCTTGTTTTGTTGCCCAGGCTGGTTTCAAACTCTTGGCTTCAAGTGATCCTTCTGCCTTGACTTCCCAAAGTGCTGGGATTACAGGTATGAGTCTGTCTTATTTAGAGATAGGGTCTCACTCTGTCACCCAGGCTGGAGTGCACTGGCACAATCATGGCTCACTGCAGCCTTGACCTCCTGGGCTCAAGCAACCCTCCCACTTCACCTTCCCGAGTAGCTGCGACCACAGACATGTGCCACCATGCCTGGCTATTTTGCTTTTTAATGTTTTTGTATAGACGGGGGTCACCCTATGTTGCCCAGGCTAACCTCAAACTCCTGGATTCAAATATCCTCCCATGTCAGCCTCTCAAAGTGTTGGGATTACAGGCATGAGCAATTGCACTTGGCCTAAAATGTACTTTATATTCATTTCTGTTGTTGATTTTCTGTCTAGATGATCTATCCAAATGCTGAGTGTGGAGTGCTGAAACCCCCAACTTTTATTGTATCAGACTCTATCTCTCCATTTAGATCAAATAAGATATGCTTTATATATATCTGAGTACTACAGTGTTGGGTTCATATATATTTATAATTGTTATATCCTCTGGCTGAATTGATCCCTTTAACATTATGTAATGACCTTCTTTGCCTCTTTGTATAGTTTTTGACTTAAAGTCTGTTTTATCTGACATAAGCATAGCTACTTCTGCTCACTTTTAGGTTCCATTTGTGTGAAATATCATTTTCCATCCCTTCACTTTCAGTCTATATGTGTCTTTACAATTGAAGTGAGTTTCTTGTAGGCAGCATATAGCTGGTAATGACTTTTTCATCCATTCAGCCAGTCTATACTTTTTAAGTGGGGGATTTAATCTATTTCTCTTAAAGCTTATTATTGATAGGGGAAAACTCGCTTCTTCATTTTATTAATTGTTTTCTGCTTGTTTTGTATATCCTTTGTTCCTTTTCCTTTTTTCCTCTCTTAATGTTTATCATTGTCATTTGGTGGTATTTTGTAGTGCTATGGTTTGATTCTTTTCTTGTTCTCCTTCATGAACGTGCTCTACAAGTTTTTTACTTTTGAGTGTTCATCATAGTGATGATTATCTTTTCACTTCCAGAGATAAGACTTCCTTAAGTATTTCTTGTAAGGCTGGTCTAGTGGTGTTGAATTCCCTTTATTTTTGCTTATCTGGGAAACACTTTATTTCTCCCTCATTTCTGAAGGATAGCTTTGCTGGGTGTGGTATTCCTGGCTGGCTATTTTTTTTTTCTTTCAGCACATCCCATTCTCTCCTGGCCTGTAAGGTTTCTGCAGAGAAATCTGCTGTTAGTCTAATGAGGGTTCACTTATATGTGACTTGACACTTTTCTCTTGGAGTTTTTAGAATTCTTTGTTTTTGACTTTTGACAATTTGACTGTAATGTGCCTCAGGAAGGATCATTTTGGGTTGAATCTTTGAGCTTCCTTGATCTGGATGTCTATACCTCTCCTCAGTCTTGGGAAGTTTTCAGCTATTATTTCATCAAGTAGGTTTTCTACACCTTTTCCCTTCTTTTCTCTTTCTGAACTCCCATAAGACAAATATTTGTTCACTTAATGGTGTCCCATAAGTCTTGCAGGCTTTCTTCACTGTTTTTCATTCTTACTTTTTTTTCCCCCTGACTGGGTAATTTCAAATGATCTGCCCTCAAATCCAGAGATTCTTCTGCTTGATCAAGACTGGTGTTGAAACTCTCTAACATATTTATTTCATTCATTGACTTCTTCAGCTGCAAATTTTCTGTTTGGTTCTTGTTTATGATTCTATCTCTTTGTTGAATTTCTTGGTCATATCATGAATTGTTTTCCTGATTTCATTGTCTATCTGTATTTTCTTGTATTGTATCTCAATGAGTTTCCCTAAGATCATTATTTTGAAATTCCTTTTCTAGAAATTCACTGATTTCCTTTTCATTGGGGTCTGTCACTAGAGAGTTATGTTCCTTTGGCAGTGTCAGGTTTCCAAATTGCAGCCCTACCCTACTCCTGAGGCCCAAATCTTCAGAGCACCCCTTCCTCCCTAGAGTGTGGCCAGTGTTGTGCCCTGCCCCCTAGGGTAGAATTATAGCTACAACCTAGCCCTGTGGACCCAAGCTGCTAAAAGGTATATCATACAGATCCTGGCTTGGTAAAACTGGCTTTCCTTGCTTTTCTTCAGCTTTCCTTGCTTTTTCATGTTTTTTTTTTTATGTCCATGTGTTGATGTTTGTGCAGCTGGAGCAACAACTGCCTCTTGAAAACTTTCTAAAGTGGTTTTCATAGAGAAAAACTTTCACCTATAGTTGGAACTTAGTGTGCTGATTAGGAAGAGTACAATGACTCTGTCCAGGTAAGTGTAGTGGTACAGTCTCTGTGTAGCTTCTTCAGCTGTGTTCAATGTTAGCAATAACTGCAGACACCTCAATGGCATAGGCTATAGAAATCTGTGGTTGTGGCAGGGTGGCAGCATACATTGTTAATGTCCTCAGTATCAAGGGCCTTTGGGGTCCTTCTATTCTTATTTTCCCCAGAATGGGGAGACTTAGCTGAGGGGATCCTTTTTTGTGTCAGGTCTGACATGGCCTACAAGCAGATGTAGCAGTGCTGGGTTCTGGGAGCAGGTGTTCAGAGCAGCTGTGAGGCCAGGGTCCTAGGTGCAGGGTTTTGCCAACCTATTGTAGCAGCTGGGTCTTGGGGCACAGGTTCATTTTCTGTGGCAGGTTGGATGTAGGCTGCCTACTGAGCTAGGATCTGTGATTGTGAAGTACTCCCTAGCAGCTTGGGCCCACGGAGCTAGGCTGCAGCTGTGATTGTACCCCTAGGGGTCACAGTATAGCACTGAACCACTCTGGGGAGGAAGGGGTGCTTTGGAGATTTGGGGTTCAGGAGCAGGGTATGGCTGCAACTTGGAAACCTGAGCCAATACGGCTCAGTAACAACTCAGGTCCCAGTGGATGAGGCACTGTGTAGTAGTGACTGTATACCCTGAGATGGTGGGACTTGGAAGTAACTCAGATTCTGTGATGCCAGGTGCAGTGGCAGCAAATATCCCAGAATAATGGAACACAGCTGTTGTTTGGGCCCTGGGAGGCAGGGAATGCACAGCAATGACTATATACCCCAAGGAGAGGGGTGTCAGCAGCTCAGACTCTAGGGAGCTAGTCCAGTTCCAGGGAAGCAGGGTACTAAAGTTGTCTGGCTTATAAGGTGGGATGTCTCAGCTCAGCCACTGCTCTGTTTCCCTAGGACACAGGATATTACATCAGCTCAGCCCTGGGATGCACAGCTGCTCAGCTTAGCCAGTGTACTGATTACCTAGGGGGTGAAGTGCCACTTCAGCTCAGATTGGCTGGTGGGGGACGCGGGAGGGCAGTGTGTGAATGTTCTTGGAAGCCCAGGCACCATTTCCCTGGGATGCAGGATGCCACTTCACCTTAGGTACCGAGGTGTGTGACCACTCTGGGCAGCCAAGGCATTGTTTTCTGGGATGCAGAGTGCTGCTTCAACTTAGGCACTGGGGAGGCCTGAGCAGCCTAAGTACTGTTTTCCCAAGAGACAGGTTACTACTTCAGCTCTGGCCCAAAGGGCAGGGTAAGGGGTAGGTGGAGTAGCTCCACCTCCACTTGTCCCCACAGGGAAGAGTGTAAAAGCTAAACACAGCTTGGCTTGGGGATGTGTGGCCACTGGGCTGGGGTAGTTCAGCAGTGGCTCAGCCTCAGGGATGAAGGGGAGCTGTGGCTACTCACCCATGGAGGAAGACACACTCCAGACACAGTACCGGCTCCAAGATGGCATAGTGCAGTAGCCATGAGGCCCACAAGGAGTGGAGCACAGTGTCTACTTCTTCATCTATAGGGAGACCATAGCTATGTGGACTCTAGGTGGCTCCCTCAGCTGGCCTTAGTGTCTGTGAAAACTGCAGGGGACCCTAATGGTGAGGACTATAGTTGGCCAAGGTGTTGATAGGGGTTGCTAAGATCTTCTTGCTTACCTCCTCACTGCAGGGAGAAATTTCCCCTGGTTTCCAGCTGATCCTGATTAGGGGGTGGGGTGGTGGAGGATGATGTTGCCTTCCGTTCTCTATGTGGCCCTACCAAGTTCCTGTGCTCACCTGTTTCTTTGATTTCTCCAATGTACTCCAGTACCCTCCTTCAGTTATTTTCATTAAAATGTGGTTTAGCTATTGTTTTGGTTCTTTGTGAGGATGATGACCACGAGGGGCTTCTAGTCGGCCATCTTGCTGATGTCACTTGGAGCGTGCCTGAGTGTTTTATTATTTCCTCAGGAGAGACATTCAGTAAGTAAAATTCTTAGGTCAAAGGGTATGCATTGCAGTTTTAAAAATTTCTGAAACATAATGTTACACTGCTTTCTTTTTATTTATTTTTTGAAACAGGATCTCACTCTATTGCCCAGGCTGGAATGCAGTGGCTTACTGCAGTCTTGACCTCCCAGGACCTCAGGTGATCCTCCCACCTCAGCCTCACAAGTAGCTGGGACTACAGGCACACACCACCACTCCAGGCTAATTTTTGTATTTTTTGTAGAAACAGGGTTTTGCCATGTTGACCAGGTGGGTCTTGAACTCCTGGGCTCAAGAAATCCTCCCACCTTGGCCTCCCAAAGTGCTGGGATTACAGGGGTGAACCACTATCCCCAGGCTAATGTTACACTGCTTTCTAAAATGCTTGTAACAATTAGCATTCACTGCATTTTACCTTCTCCAGCATCCAATTCTATAGGCAATTACAGTTTTAGTTTCATTTCCTTGACAGTGGCCTTGACACTTTTGAAAATATGCTCTCTTAATATTAAGTACTAACTCTGGTAAAAGTCCAGTTATACTTAGACCTGTGAGGCACTGATAAGAGCTGGTGAATGACCAACTCAGAACTTCTAAAATGCAGAATTTCAGGAATTTATCTAGGAAATGTATGTCAAAGTGATTATAGGAGGCAGGAGAGCTAGTCAAAATCTAAAGAACCCTCAACATAGGGATGACCTAGGTCAAATTCAGGTATCGTAAGAGCTACCAAGTTTGAATTCTTTGGGCTTGACCTAAAATAATTATAACAGTGAAATCTAAGATAGGCCGTCAGGTTATGTGGGCCCAGGCAATGAGAAATATGGCCTTAAACTGCCCATCTAAGTGTCTCAGAGAACAGAGAAAGGTTGTTACTGTAGCTTTCCTTCTTAGAATGAACATCACCAACACCTATTTAACTATTCTGTTTTCAGTTTGATAGTAAAATGTTGATAGCTGCAGCAGTTTTTAGAAGAGCCTAAAAATCTCTTTGGAATGGTAAAACCCTATTTTGCAAAACATGTAAACCAGATGGCCATTTCTAATTTTGGAATTTCTCAGACAGGTGTTAATCCAAAATTGTCTTCTCATTTCTCTCTTAAATTCCAAAGAAGGCTGAAACCAAAACAAAACTTATAGAAAATGTTTCAGAGACAAATGACAGATCTTTTGATCAAAGCAATTTTTACTTAGAAGGAAACAGCTGACTTACAAAGAAATTGCACTGAGACTATTTCTAAATAAAAGTGTTTTTGCTGTGGCATTGCAGGGAATTGAGGCACCTTCCATACTGGTGGTTACTTACAGCAACACAAGTACCTAGAAAAATAATAGGCTTCACCTTGCCATATGGGAAAATGCTGAAAAATAATTACCCAAAGATCCTCATGAAAATATACTGATAGAATTACCTATGGTGTTTAGGGTAATAGGTATCTGGTAAATTATGTTTTAAGTGAATGTTGCTATAAATCTCTTAAATACACAGCATATACCTATAAGCAAAAGATGGCAATGGAATTTTTCTTAATTTTTTAATTTTTGTCGGTACATTATAGGTGTATATATTTATGAGGTACACGAGATTTTGTACAGGCATGCAATGAATAATAATCAACTGAGGGTAAATGGGGTATCCATCAACTCAAGCATTTATTTTTTCTTTATGTTATGAACATTCCAATTATACCTTTTTAGTTATTTTTAAATGTACAATAAATTACTGTTGACTATAATTACTGTTGTGCTAACAAATACTAGATCTTATTCATTCTAACTATATTTTCATACCCATTAACTATCCCCACTTCCCGTCCACCCCACTACCTTTCCCAGTCTCTAATAGCCATCATTTTACTCTTTACAAGTTCGATTGTTTTAATTTTTAGCTCTCACAAATAAGTGAGAACATGTGAAGTTTGTCTTTCTATGCCTGGTTTATTTCACTTAACATAATGACCTCCAGTTCCATCCATGTTGTTGTAAATGACAGGATCTCATTTTTTTCCTATGGCTGAATAGTACTCCATTGTGTATATGTACCACATTTTCTTTATCTGTTCATCTGCTGATGGACACTTAGGTTGCTTCCAAATCTTAGCTATTGTGAATAGTGCTACAATCTAATGGGAATGCAGAAACCTATTTTATATACTTAATTCCTTTCTTTTGGGTGTATACCTAGCAGTGGGATTGCCAGATCATATGGTAGATCTATTTTTAGTTTTCTGAGGAACAACCATGCCATTCTCTATAATGGCTGTACTAACCTACATTCCCATCAAAAACATACAAGGGTTCCTTTTTATCTACATCCTTGCCAGCATTTGTTATTGCCTGTCTTTTGGATAGAAGCCATTTTAACTAGAGTGAGATACATTTCTCTGATGATCAGCAATGTTAAGTACCTTTTCATATACCTGATTGCCATTTGTATGTTTTCTTCTAAGAAACATTATTCAGATCTTTTGCCCATTTTAAAATCAGATTATTAGATTTTTTCCCTATTAAGTTCCTTATATATCCTGGTTATTAATCCCTTTGTCAGATGGGTAGTTTGCAAATATTTTCTCCCATTCTGTGGGTTGTCTCTTCACTTGGTTGATTGTTTCCATTGGTGTGCAGAAGCTTTTTAACTTGACGTGATTCCATTTGTCCATTTTCACTTTGGTTGCCTGTACTTTAGGGTATTAATCAATAAATCTTTGCCCAGACCAATTTCCTGGAGAATTTCCCCAGTGTTTTCTGGTAGTAGTTTCATAATTTCAGGTATTAGATTTAAGTCTTTAATCCATTTTGATTTGATTTTTGTTTTTGTTGAGAGATAGGGGTCTAGTTTAATTCTTCTGCATAAGGATATCCAGTTTTCTCAGGACCATTTATTGAAGACACTGTCCTTTCCCCAATGTATATTCTTGGCACCTTTGTCAAAAACGAGTTCACTGTAGATGTATATATTTATTTCTGGGTTCTCTATCCTGTTCCCTTGGTCTCTGTGCTTGTTTTTATGTCAGTGCCATGCTGTTTTGGTTATAATAGCTCTGTAGTATAATTCTAAGTCAAGTAATGTCATTCCTTTAGTTTTGTTCTTTTTGCTCAGGATGACTTTGGCTATTCTGGGTCTTCTGTGGTTCCACATAAATTTTAGGATTTTTTTTCTATTTCTGTGAAGGATTTAAAAAATTATACCAAAGAACAAGCTAGCTTGATACTGTTTTAAATGTAAGTTTCTCTTCTTCCACCCACTATTTCCTAACATTACTAGCCATTAATATATGGATAATAGGGCCATATCTGCAAAGAAATATTAAATCAGAGACTAAGTCTTAGACAGATGAGTGTTAGCTAGCATAGAAGCACAAGTTGTTAAGGGCTAGAAGAGGCCTTGAAGATAACATAGTTGGAATAACTTTATAAATGAGGCCCCAAAATGGTTTGGAATTTGTCAACTTATCATCCAACTAGTAAGTTACGTGAACTTGAGTAAGTTATTAAGCTTCTTTGAGTTTTAGTGTCTTCATCAATAAAATGCAGATATAAAATTTAATCATGGACAAAATATATATTTTAAAATTCCTATTTATATAAGTATGATAATGTATATAATATGAATACAATGATACCTACATTGGGGGATATACTCAAAAAATTTCCCAGTAGAGATGCACAGTCAAAAAAGCATGCAGATGAGTGAAAAAAAGGCACAGTATGTGGGGCCTGGTAGTGTTTGTTTCTCCCAGGTAAGTGTAATACCTAGTACTCTTGCTCTTTTCACGATGCCATGGAATTCCGTAGAGAATCTATGGACCTAAAACCAGCCTACCTGTAAATGAAAGGGCTGAGCTACTTGTATGAGAGCCTAAATTACCTCTTATCTTTAAAGATTGTACCTCTGAATTAGAACTGAATCCATTGTGGACCATTATAAACAAGCTCACATTTAACTGCCTCTACTGCACCTATCCTATAAATAAACAAAAGAAGTCAGTGTCTGGGTTCAGTTAGGCTCTTTAAATGTTTAATATTCAAATGAATGACAAAATAATCTAAAATTTCTAATCAATATTTTTAATTGCTGGAGTCTTAAGGTATGATTTAAACAAGTTAATTGGGGAAATAATATAATAAGGAGATGGGAAGATGTTGCCATAGCACAGTCCATAATGCTAAGTAAAAATTTTAAAGTTGAACAAAACAGGGCAACTAAAGTTAATCATCACATGCCACAGGTCCTATATTTTAGAACAGCCCCACTTGAATACTACCAATAAATTATTTTTAAGGTTTAGAGCATCTTTTTGTGTTTTATTCTGCAGTATTGTCTTAAAAATACATTAAAATATTTAAAAAATTGAATCAGATCAGTGGTTGCTTTGGAGAGTGACTGACTGGGAAGGGTCACAAGAGAAATTTCTAGGAAGATGGAAATGTTCTGTGCTTTAATTTTTTTTTAATTAAAAAAAGTTTTTTAGAGACAGGGTCTTGCTCTGTGGCACAGGCTGGAGTACAGTGGCACAATCAAAACTTATTACAACCTTGAACTCCTAGACTCAAGGGATCCCCTCACTTCATCCTCCTGAGTAGCTAAGACTACAGGTGTACCCCGCTATGCCTGGCTTACTTTTTATTTTTTTGTAGAGACAGGGTCTTGCTATGCTGCCCAGGCTTGTCTTGAACTCCCCTGGGCTCAAGTGATTCTCCTGCCTCAGCCTCCCAAAGTGGTGGGATTACAGGCATGAGCCACCATGCGCAGCCTGTTCTGTATCTTAATAGGGATGAGGCTTACACTAATGAATGCATTTGTCAAAGCTGAACAAACTGTACAACTTAAAATCTCAGCATTTCACTTTATGTAAATTCGATCTTGATAAGAAAATTTTAAAAATATATATTTTTTTGAGACAGGGTCTTACTCTAGCACCCAGGCTGGAGTTCAGTGGCATGATCCCAGTTCACTGCAAACTCTGCCTCCCAGGTTCAAATGATCCTCCCACCTCAGTGGATGATAGTGAGGAAGAAATCAAGTAGGAGCCCCAAGTTTCTGGCTTGAGTAACTAGATGGATTCTAGTGCCATTTTCAAAAACACTGAAGGACAAAAACATTGGGGAAGGATGAGTTCAGTTTTGAACATGTTGAGAGTGAAGTGTCTATGAGTCATGCAAGTGATATTTAGCAGGCAGCTGTATGTACAGGTCTATGGCAGGAAAAACAGAGGTCAGAACTGGAGGTAGAGGTTTGGGAATCACAGGGAAAGTAACAAGCCATGGGAGTAGTCGTCATCACCTGAGGAAAAAAATTAGAGTGAGAAAAGGGTTTAGGACTGATCCCTGAGAATCTTCACTATTTAATGGTTGGGTAAAAAAAAGACAAGCTGATAAAAGAGAGCATGGAAGATCAGATAGGGTAGAAGAAAACGAGAATGTTGTAACACAGAAATCATGGAAAGGATTTTGAGAAGAGAGTGGTCAATGGTGTCAAAGGTTGGAGACTGGAAAATATCCATTGGATTTAGTAACATGGAAGTCACTGTTGACCTTGATAAGAGCAACTTCATGGGAGAGAAGCCAGACTGGAGTAGGCTGAAGAGTAGGAGGTGTGATATTAAAGACAACCAGGTAGATACCTCTTAAGACAAGTTAGACTATGAAGGGGAGGACAGACATAGAGCATTAGGAGCCTTGAGGCAGAGGTTTTTTAAAGCCAAGAGAAACTAGCACATGTTTAAATGTTGACAGAAAAGTGAGGTGTTGACAGCTAAATAGCACAAAGGTTCCTGAGAGGTTGGAAGGGAGAGATCCAAAGAGGGGACAAAGGGGCTGGACTTGGACTCAAGGAGAGACACCAACTCCGCTGTCCCTAGAGCAGAAGGAAGAGTGTAAGGATGGATGCACATCTGAGGGTGGGGAGGTGGGACAGCTTCTACCAGATGATTTCTGTTTTCTCTGTCTTTCAGAATTAAGAGAGAGAAACTTAAAGCAGAAAAAGTATTGTAACCTAGATCGATTTTTCCATCTATTAATAATTTTAAATTACAAAACATTTCCAAATTCAGGAAAAAATATCCATATAGAAAATTAGGAAAGTAATATAAAAGGCAGCTCTGTACCCACCACTAAATGTAAACAGATGTCAACAGTTTGCTACACTAAAACTCTTTTCTAAGAGGAAATAAAATGTTATGACTACACCTAAACCCTCTCTCCATAAATTCCCCATCTTTTCCTTCATCTGCAGAGGAGAATACCTGAAATTCAGTATGTCTCATTCTATATATATTTTTGTGTCTTTACTACACAAAATACCAACTTATATAAAACACAAAATGCTATGTGCTTTGTGCTATGAGGCACAAAGATAAAATAAAAGCTGTACATCAAAATGAGGTGCCCAGAAAATACACACAATAAAAGCCAAACGGGTCCAGGCTGGTTCTCCGATGCCTCACCATCCCTGAGTCATATCTGGGGTCAAGAGGAGGGAGGATTTGCAGAGGTTTCTTTGGAGAGATGTACTTGTTCTCCTGTGATCACTCTGGAAAGGAAGGAGTTGGGAGATGCTTCCTGGCCTCAAGCCCAGAAAGAGTGGCTTTCACAGGACAACTCACCAACTCAATATGTATATCCAGGAATTGGGGAAACAGTAGGACTGGACTCTGACATAAGCCCAAGCGAAGATGTTCTGATTATTGGCCCTAGGTGTAGAGCAGAGAGTGTCACTCAGATTTCAACAAGCTGCAACCTAGGCATCCCAAAAGGTAGAACAGAATTTCTCTGTATCTGCTTTTCAATAACAGCAATCATTTTAAGTAACTTGACTACCAGGGTGTAGGGGGGAATAAAAGGACTGCCCAAGTGCTTTAGTTGGAACCTCATTTACAAAACATAAGGAATTAAATGAATAGATTATTTTCAGAGTTTATAAAGTGCTTTGGCATTCTTCACATTAGTATCTTTCCCTTTGTACAGTCTAAAGCAGGAGTCTTTGCCTTCTTTGTACCAAATAAATCACGAGTGGTCAGGCAGCTAAGAGACGGGAAGGGCTCCTTCCATCTAAGAACCTAGGGCAAGCTCTTTGTGTTCAAAGTTCTTGTTGATTCCGAGCAAGTAAAACCTTCAGTTTGGTCAAACATTCTTTCTTCAACACGTGGGTGTTTGGAAAATTTTATCAGTACTTTGCTATTAAAATTCTCACCTAACTACAAATCCTCTATGCCACAGAGAAATTTAAAGGGTTCTTATTTACTCACCATAACAAGTATGATTTATTGTTCATAATTGTTGATCTCTTGAGTCAGAATTCAATGGACTGATCTCTTGAATCACAGTCAGCTGATAACATTCTTTAATTGTACGTTGCCAGGATCCACCCCTAGACCTACTGAATCAGAATCCGTAGGGAGTAAGCCTGAGAACATGCATCTTACAAGCTCTTCAGGTTATTCACATTAAATTTAGGGGGAAAGTGTATAGACAAAAGCTAAATAGGCACCTCTCAGAAATACCTGTCTAGTTTACTAAAATGAGATTGTAGCAAACATCTACCAACAATAGTGCCAGTGACTAGAGTGCATCATTCAAAGGTCCTTTCCATTCCAAGATTCCATTCCTTTATAAATAATTTAATAATAAATAATTATTATTAAAATAAATATGCTATAGTTCTTAAAAATTTGAACCAGTAATTTTACTTAAAATTGCATTTTTTTATTTTGAGATAATGGTGCAATGATATGCAGCTGTAAGAAAGAATACAGAGATCCCTTTGCACAGTTTTCCCCATATTGACATTGATACAATCTACTGATTTTATTCAGACTTCCTGTTTTACTTGTACTCTTGTCAGGGGGGTGTAGGGGATGTATTTATTTTTATACAATTTTATCATGTGTAGGTCTATGTCTCCACTATTACAGTCAAGCACACAACCACTCCATCACTACTAGTATCCCTCATGTTGCCTTTTTATAGCCACATCCACCTCTATTACCTCCCCCATTCCCTGGCAACCGTTAATCAGTTCTCCATCTCTATGATTTCAAGAATGTTAAATAAATGGATTCATACAATATGTAAACTTTGAGACTGGCTTTTTTTCGGCAAGCATAATTCCCTGGAGATTCATTCAAGTTGTTGTATGCTATGGTCTGAGTGTCTGTGGCCCTCTCAAAATTAATGTTAAAACCTAATGTCCATTGTAATTGTATGAGGAAGTGAGTTTTGGGGAGGTGACTAAAACATGGGGGCAGAGCCCTCATTAATTGGATTAATGCTCTTATAACAGAGGCCCCAGAAAGCTGTCTTGTTCCTTCCACCCTGTGGGAACACATCTAGAAGGTACCATTTTATGAGCCAGGAAATGGATTTTCACCAGACATTGAATCTGCAGGTACCTTGTTCTTGAACTTCCCAGCCTCTAAAACTTTGAGAAATAAATTTCTGTTGTTTATATGAGCCGCCCAATTTATGGTACTTTGTTACAGCAGCCTGAAGAGACTAAGACATTACATGTATCAACAGTTCCTTGCATGGTATTGTTAAATAGTATTCTATATTATATACGTACCATAGTTTGTTTAACCTACTGAAGGACATCTGAGCTGATTCCACTTTTGGGGTATTACAAATTAAGCTACTATGCATATTTATATGAAGGTTTTTATGTTAAATTTTCATTTCTCTGGAATAAATGCTCAGGAGTATAATTGCTGGGTCATATGAAAGTTACATGTTTAGGCCAGGCGCAGTGGCTCATGCCTGTAATCCCAGCACTTTGGGAGGCCTAGGCGGGTAGATCACTTGAGGTCAGGAGTTTGAGACCAGCCTGGCCAACATGGTGAAACCTCATCTCTACTAAAAATACACAAAAAATTAGCTGGGTGTGGTGGCAGGTGCCTGTAATCCCAGCTACTTGGGAGGCTAAGGCACAAGAATCACTTGAACCCAGGAGGCAGAGGTTGCAGTGAGCTGAGATTGTGCCACTGCACTCCAGCCTGGGTGACAGAGCAGGACTCCATCTCAAAAAAAAAAAAAAAAAAAAAAAAAAAAGGGTACGTTTAGTTTTTAAAGAAACTGCCAAACTATTTTGCAGAGTAGTTATACCATTTTATACTCTCAACAGCAATGTATGAGTGATCCAGTTTCTCCACATCCTTACCAACATTTGTTGTCATTGGTTTCAATTTGTTTTAATCACAACACTACACATTTTAAAAATAAGGAATGAAATGTATCGATATAAGGATACTTATTAGGAAGAGAAGTGGACTTGTTACGAGAATGTTTAAGTTGCTGCCCCATCCCCAGCACTTACTAACACAGACTAACTTAACACTAAAGTTGTGATAGGTTTGTGGGCGTTAGTTTTTTATATGATTCATAACTTACAAATATTATATTCATAACTTACAAATAACATATATATAATATATATGCCAAACATTAATGTAATTTTAAAAGAAGATCTCTCATTATAGGTCCAAAAAATTCCCTCAGAACTAAAGGGGAAAATGCAGAGAACTAAAGTGTTATATGAATATATAGGTGTAATTTTCAAAATACTATAGAATGTTAGATACCTATAAAAAACATATTAGATCACTTTCAAGACCCACATACCCTCTTATCCAAGGCTTGATGAGTCCAAAGATCTAGAGCTTAGAGTCCAACATTCTCACTCAAATTTTCTCCAAAACCCAAGTGGTTATAAAAAACTAAAAGTCAGAGGCCAGATTTAATAATCTAAAATATGCACTTCTTTTTCCCTGATGGAGCTATACCTAATACATTAGACTACCAGCCACAACATCATGTATCTATATATATAAGCCATAGAGGCCAGGCACAGTGGCTCACGCCTACAATCCCAGCACTTTGGGAGGGCGAGGAAGGAGGATCACTTGAGTCCAGGAGTTTGAGACCAGCCTGTGCAACACAGCAAGACCCTGTCTCTATGAAATAAAAAAAAAAAATTAGCTAGGCATGGTGGCATGCATCTGTATACCCAGGTACTCAGGAAGCTAAGGCAGGAGAATTGCTTAAACCCAGGAGGTCGGGGCTGCAGTGAGCAGCCTGAGTGACAGAGTAAGACCAAGAAAAAGAAAAAGAGAGAAAAAAAAAGATAACAGAGTTAATCAGGCCATTATTTACAGCTATCTTATTCATGCCAAAACATGTTAGCTTCCTTTTTTAAAATCAAGTCACCAAGATGAGGTGTTAGCTTTCTAATTGCAGGATAAAATTCAATATTTAATGACTACAATACTGCAGTTTACACAATTTATTCCCAAGCTACTGATTGCTTCAACCCCAGGTCAGTCACCTAAGTTGACAGCAGCCCTGTATGTTTGCTCTAGTACTTTACAAATTATCATTCTTTTATACCATGATGTGAAAAAAAAAAGGGGAAAATACTGGTCTATTCATTTGTGTACCTAGTTGGAGAACATTTCTGCTTCGAGAAGACAGATTCTCAGTCAATAAATAAAAGATGGCAAAAATATCCATTTTGTCTTTCCTATTATTGGCTCCTTTTGTATTAATTAGGGTGAAAGTAGAGTTCTTTGCATGTTCCATGACACATTCTTTATAAGCAAATTAAATAATCTCTAAAGTTCCTTCTTGCTCCATGAGCTGTAACTGAATTATTTTATTGAACTGACACACAGAGGGCAGCAGTAAGTAATATACTGTATATGATACGTTATGTGCCTGGGGGCCTTAGCCAACTTCTCTGCCGCATAGCTCTCCCTCTAGCAAAGCTTTTTATTTTGGCCCTCTCTGCCTGTCTCCTCTGATCTGTATCTTTCTTTCTCCTCCTGCCAGAGCTTTCTTCCCATTTTGTCAGACTTAGAAAATCAAGAATAGATCAATATTACCATTCTGGAAAAAGGTAAGCTAATCAGCAAGAAGTCCTTAAACCCAATGTGTAAACAAATGGGATGTCTTGCCATACATACTCTGAGGCATTCATTCAATCAAAGCACACAATATTTTGAAGTCAAAGAAAATCAGTGAAATGATTATTAGAATATGCAGAGAATATAATATACATAGACACTCCATCACTGCAATTTCTTTTTCTCAGTTGTCTCTCTCTCTGACATCCAATTTGGGACAGGAAAGGAACTAAGGGTATAGAAAAAGTTAGGAGCAAAAGGCAATGGAGAAGAGAAACAGGTACCTAAAACAGTGCCTGACACATACTAGATTATCAGTAGACATCTGTCAGATGAATTGGATTAACGAGCATTAAAGGAAAGAAAACATTTTAAAAATGTAACAGTGGGGAAAAAAACCCACAGTGTAAAACAATGGCTTGTTCTAGGTTGTCTTTGTATTATCAACATTTTAATTATTAATCACATGTGAAGTTCTTTTATACGAGCTTCCCCTTAAAGTGGAAATAGGAAGACATCAGGGAGGCAACAAGGGAGTAGGGAAGAAGAAATACAGCACAGGAGGCGAGGACAGGGAAGAGAGATCACACATAAGAAGTGGGCACCGGCCAGGCACGGTGGCTCTCGCGTGTAATCCCAGCACTTTGGGAGGCCGAGGTGGGTGATCACTTGAGGTCAAGAGTTCAAGACCAGCCTGGCCAACATGGTGAAACCCCGTCTCTACTAAAAACACAAAAATTAGCTGGGCACAGTGGTGGGCACCTGTAGTCCCAGCTACTTGGGAGACTGAGGCAGGAGAAGTGCTTGAACCTAGGAGGCGGAGGTTGCAGTGAGCCAAGATTGTGCCATTGCACTCCAGCCTGGGCAACAGAGTGAGACTCCGTCTCAAAAAGAAAAAAAAAAAAAGGAAGTAGGCACTTAGGGCTGGGCGCGGTGGCTCACACCTGTAATCCCAGCACTTTGGGAGGCTGAGGTGGGGGGATTGCTTAAGGCCAGGAGTTTGAGACCAGCCTGGCCAACCTGGTGAAACCCCATCTCTACTAAAAATACAAAAAAATTAGCCAGGAGTGGTGGTGCACACCTATAATCCCAGCTACTCGGGAGGCTGAGGGACCAGAGTCTCTTGAGCCTGGGAGGTGGAGGTTGCAGTAAGCCGAGATGGCACCACTGCACTTCAGCCTGGGTGACAGAGCAAGACTGTCAAAAAAAAAAAAAAAAAAAAAAAGGACACACACACACACCCTCCTGTACTTCTAACCTCAGTGATCCTGGTGTTTAAGGTCCAGGTTTCCATTTTCCTTCTTTATCTTCCCTTGCTCTCATAGCCTGCAGCTACAACACAGCAATATCTGTAGATCTCTCTCCACTACCACACAATTCAGGACTAAGGAGGACAAAATGGCATGCCCTAAACATGTGAGTCCGTGTATTTAATATTTACAGACTTCAGATCCATGAGCGAGTAGTTTACTTGAAGAAAATGGAGGAAATTTATACACATACAGTTACAGTCTCTCTCTATAAAATGTAATTAAAATATATACCATTACCAATCAATGAGAATAACAAAGGCAAGATGCAGTGTAGTAAAGGAAATAATACAGGAACTTCATTTTACATACAGTTAATGTATCTCAGGGTAATTATCAGCTTTCCCTAATGATAGTGATGACAGTATCAGTAAGAATAGTTAGCATCTATTCTTGGGTTTCCTATTTAACAAGCACTGTGTTAAGAACTGGAAGGGGATGTCAAAAGATCATCTGGGAACTCTTCTTCATTGCTAGTTGGGATGTAAAATAGTGCAGCTACCTTGGAAAACAGTTTGGCAGTTTCACAAAAAGGTAAACATAGGCTTACAACATGACCCAGCAATTTCATTCTTAAGTATATACTCAAAAGAACTAAAAATATATGTCCACACAAAAATCTGTACACAAATATTCACAGCAGCATTACTCATAATAGTCCCAAAACGGAAACAATCCAAATGTCTATCAAGTAGATAAAAAAAATAAGGTATACCATACAATGGAATATTATTTAACTATAAAAAGAAATGAAGTATTGATACATGCTACAACATGGATGAACCTTGAAAACATTTTGCTAAGTACAAGAAGACAAGCACAAAAAGCCACATACTGTATGATTCCATTTATATGAAATGTCTAGAACAGGCAAATCCATAGAGACAGCAAGTAGATTAGTGGTTGTCAGAGGCTGGGGGAGGGAGCAATGGGGTATGATTGCTAATGGGTATTTTAATAATAATGTTCTAAAATTAGATAGTGGCAATGGTTGTAGAACTGTGAATATATTAAAAATTACTGAATTGTGTGCTTTAAAAGGGTTTTATAGTATATGAATTTTATTTCAATAAAGCTCTTAAAAAAATGATCAGATTTGATCCTTTTTTTCTTTTTTTTTTTTTTTTGAGACGGAGTTTCGCTGTTGTCACCCAGGCTGGAGTGCAATGGCTCAATCTAGGCTCACTGCAACTTCCACCTCCCAGGTTCAGGTGGTTCTCCTGCCTCAGTCTTCCAAGTAGCTGGGATTACAGGTGCCCGCCCCCATGCCCAGCTAATTTTCAGATGTTTAGTAGAGATGTGGTTTCACCATGTTGGCCAGGCTGGTCTCGAACTCCTGACCTCAGGTGATCCACCTGCCTTGGCCTCACAAAGTGCTGGGATTACAGGCATGAGCCACTGCACCCGGCCAATCCATCTTTTGTAATATGAATAAATCAATCAATACCACTTTCTGATTTTTCTTAACAATCTCTGAAAATGGAGTCTACAATCTCCCCCAGGAGGCCATTCCAGTATCATTTACCCTGATAATGTTCATTTTTATAAGTCTCTAAGAAAGTAGAGGTTTCCTTATTTCCTACAATGTAATTATTTTGGTCCATGAGAAGAAAGGGGCTCAGATTCCAGAGTTCTTCCTTCTTTTTGCTGCAAAACTCTCAGAATAACGATAATCTAAATTAACTGACAATCTGAAACTCAAATTTTTCCTATGTACTGGAAAAGCATTCAATAAAATGTCAAAACTTCCCCATAATTCCAATACACTAGAACAGCTGTTTTCATTATCCACTTTCCTTTCTAGTTGTCCACATGCAATTCATTTTATACACAGCTGTAATCAGTGTACATATAATTGTGTATTCTTTTCTCTCTGTACTGTAAACATTCAATGTTGTTAACATAGTTTTTATAATAGTCATTTTCAGTGTTGCAATAATATTCTAACTAGTTGATGTATCATTATTTACCTAACTCTTCCCCCTATGTTGACTTTAAAGTTTTCTTTCCCCAACTTTTCAGCATCTAGACAAGGCTATATATAGATTTTTTAGATTTTCATTCTTTTGAATTATTTCCTTAAGTTGTTTCTCAAAAATAGAGTTCTCAGGTCATACAGTATCAACATTTTTATGGCTTTTGCTTTCCAAATCATTATGAGTTTTTCAACACTACTTTGCACTATGTCGGTAGTGGGGTGTGTACGAGTATGTACACATATAGATAGATAGGTTCATTTAATAGACCTGAAATGGTAGAAAAGGCTCTATTCCTGACTTCATTTTTCAAAATTGAACCATCTTTACTTTTCAGTTACGAAAACAGCAAATGCTCGTTGTCAAACTTAAACAATTTATAAACTATATAAATAGAAAGTGAAAGGTTCCCCCATTCTTCTTTTGGAGGATTAAAACACACCTCCTCCTAAGTTTGAATTTACATAAGTGTAAAATGTATTTACTGATCAAAGGCTCTAGGAAGGTATGCATAGAAACTCCCATGGTCTGCCAAAAGTCCACACTAGCTCAATAGAAGAATACCCAACCAGAGAGCTGTGGGAATGGGAGGAACTAGTGGAGCAAGGAGAAGGTTTGGGTTCCTACATTCCATAAGGAAAAAGGCAGAGGCTGTGGTGGATTTTTGAGAATAAAGAGATGAAAGGACAGGCTAAGATAGTCCCTGTGTAGTATGGACTGAGAGTAGTTTGGCAGAAATCCAGAGACCCATTTTATATAAACAATAAACAATCTGTTTTATATAAACAATAAGGCAAACTGAATATCTAAAGATACAAATAAAAATAGTGGAAAATAAGTGTTAACTAAAGACATAACACATAGGCTCCCATCCTTAGTAGAGAATAAGAAAATAAATGTATTTATTATAAAGAAAAATACATTTGTTTTTTGTTTATATTACAAGGCTTAAAGATGATTACTTGTTGATCTAGGTAAGGAGTCATTTCTTTTTTTTTCTGAGACAGAGTCTCACTCTGTCGCCCAGGCTGGAGTGCAATGGCGTGATTTCAGCTCACTCCAATCTCCACCTTCCAGGTTCAAGCAATTCTCCCACCTGAGCCTCCAGAGTAGCTGGGATTACAGGCACCCACCATCATGTCTGGCTAAGTTTTGTATTTCTGTAGAGATAGAGTTTCATTACGTTGGCCAGGCTGGTCTTGAACTCTTCACCTCAGGTGATGCGCCTGCCTCAGCCTCCCAAAATGCTGGGATTACAGGCATGAGCCACTGTGCCTGGCCAGGAGCCATTTCTTTACTGTAAACTACAGAACATCAAGAAATTTCTCATTTATAAATACATTCCTCAATTTTGCATTTTCCATGCTCAGTTAGCTCTTATGGAACTTGTTTTTCTTAAGCCAAAAATCAGGTTGTCTCTTTCTAATTACGCACTCTCCTAATCATTCCTATAACTCCATCAAAATTGTGCTTATACCCCACCTTTACAATTTTGGTTGGCAGCAGTCTGTAGATTGCTTGGTAAGTGCTGTATCTAAACGAGCAGTCCCCAAACTTTTTCACATCAGGGACGGGTTTCGTGGAAGACGGTTTTGCAACAGATGGGGTGGGGAGTGCGGGTGAGGTGGGGAGATGTTTCGGGATGAAACTGTTCCACCTATGATCATCAGGCATTAGATTTTCATAAGAAGGGGGCAACCTAGATCCCTCGCATGTGCAGTTCACAACAGGGTTCCAGCTCCTGTGAGAATCTAATGCCACCGCTGATCCGGCAGGAGGCGGAGCTCAGACAGTAATGCTGCTGGCCCACCACTCTCTTCCTGCCGTGCAGCCTGGTTCCTAACAAGCCATGGGCTGGTACTGGTCTGCAGCCTGGGAGTTGGGAACCCCTGCTCTAAACTCTCTGTGTGGATATATTCTGTATCCTCAACAAGACTATAAACTCCAGGGAGCATCTTCTTTTTCATTCTCATCTACCTATACAATAAACACTAAAATATAGCTAGATGACCACAGAACTTTGTATAAAGCAATACACGGCTTCATGTTTGGATTATAAATATCATCAGCTATATTAGAGACCTTACCATTCTCTTAACTAAAAAGTCACCCAAACATAAAAGAAATATTTTGGCACTTAAAATATTGCCTACTATCCTAGCTTCATCTCTCACCACCGCTTGTATCATCATTCTACTGAACTTAATGCTGCAACAATACCAAAGTACTTATTGTTTCTGGAAGACATGGTCCTTTCACTTCTCTAGGCCTTTGCATATTCTCTTTCTTCTTTCGAAGTACCTTTCACTGACCTGAGCATGGAGAGTGTCTTTTCACCCTTGATAACTCACTCAGAAGTCACCTTCTCCAGGATACCCCGTACACCCTAAGAATTCTATCATGCTTTCCTCTGTGCTATCTCTATATCTGGAACACACTTTGATTATTACTCTGAGTATACTATGCTATAATTAACCTCCTTACGTTTATTTACTCCATTAGATGCAAATCCAGGCTCAGTAAAAATTTATCCAGACAAGGATGAATGAGAAGGAAGAATAAAGAAATGGAGGGAGGGAGACCCAGGGAAGTTTCTTCTGCACAGGAACCATGTCTTACTCATTTCCATATATCTAAGGGACAAGGCAGTACTTAGGATACATGGGTGCTCATCAAAATGTTTGATAAATTGATTTGACATCAATCTTAAAGGAAAACGAATGCCTTGGCAGATAATTCTTATCAAATGGAAAACTGCCATTAATCGACATCATGTAATATTTGAGCCAAATCTATTGTGTTGTACACAAGTATATCACAGGCTCAACTTGAGACCCTATAGAACCTACTAACTGACAAGAACTAAGCTAAACATTCAGAATTCAAAGATGCATGAGACATGATACTTTCCCTCAATCAACTCATAGTTTAGATGGGGACTCAGGTAAGTAAAAAGATAATTACCATCTAATATGATAAAAATTATATCCAAGTGATATGATTTGTCTGTGTCATCACCCAAATCTCACCTTGAATTGTAATAATCCCCATGTGTCAAGGGCGTGGCCAGTGGAGATAAATGAATAATGGGGGCAGTTTCCCCTATACTGTTCTCATGGTAGTGAATAAGTCTCATGAGATCTGATGGTTTTATAAATGGGAGTTCCCCTGCTACAAGCTCTCCTTGCCTGCCACCATGTAAGATGTGACTTTGCTCCTCCTTTGCCTTCCACCATGATTGTGAGGCTTCTCCAGCCACGTGGAACTGTGAGTCAATTAAATCTCTTTCCTTATAAATTACCCAGTATCGAGTATGTCTTTATTAGCAGTGTGAGAAGGGACTAATACACCAGGACATGTTCAGAGTAACCATGGTACAAAGAAGAGATACATATCTAGCTGGAGGTGATACAGGCAGAGGGAATTCTGAAAGGACTTCTTGGAGAAGATAGTTTCTTAACTCTACCTTAGAAGATTAACAGATGTTTTAACATGGTTGATTGGTGAGTTAGTCCATGAAGCAGGGAACACTTGTTCTGTGGCTCCAGCATCCTCCTAGGAAAAAACTCATTCTAAAGGAAAGTGAATCTAAGCACATAAGCTAGGGTAAAGACAATGGGTTGGTACTGCAGAGGCAGGGCAATACATCGCTTGAACTAGACCAGCTGAAGAACCAAACCAAAGAACTGAGTCTCAGAGAACATTGGGTATCAGAGCATGGGGGTGGCAGTAGATTTTGCATAGGAGCCAGAGAGTAAGAGGAAGGAAAGAGGTGTGGGGCATGGTATCTCAGAGAAAAACATTCATGGAATACAGGCTGGGGGAAATGGCCACCCACAGAGTAGTCTAGAGAATTGTAGTCAAAGGCAAACTTGAGCTATCCCTGGGACTCCCTGGACTAGTTGGGGAAGGGGTTGGAGGAAGCCGGTTTCCACAGTTAGGAGGGTAATGCAGAGCCAAAGAAATGCTACTTGCTGCTGTTACTGACACTTTAGTATTTTTTTTTAATCCCAAGTTGCTTTGTTCTAGGTTGCATAAGAAAAGCGTGAGACACAATTTCAGCCCTCAGACACTGTTTATTTCAGGAGTTTATAACTGTATTGAGAAAGCAATTGTGTTTTGGTTTTTAATTGCTATAGAAACACACTCAGGATGGACAAATTGTGAACGATGTCCCAGAAAAGGAGAGCCCAAAGGAGAGAACACAAAGATGACCATATCAGACCAAATCCAGAGGAAGTATGTAGAAAATGCAATGTGTTGCAAAAAAATTGACATAAGTATAAGGTAGCATATATAGGCTTACTAATTAGAAAGGAGAATTTGCTAGTCGGGAGTAAAACAATAAGACAATTTGCTACATCCTAAGTGCTTTTGAGGACAGGAGGACGGTGGGACCTGAGGAACCTGGCTCAGTGGGAGAGCAACTGTGCGTCAGTCTTGGGCAGGACATCTCTGGAGTGGAAGTACTGTCTGGAGAAAGACCAGCTCCTCGGAGTTGGGCAGTAGGTAAGAACAGGATCCAAAGTGAAGGCTAAAAGTTTGATCCTGCCTCTATTTTCAAGTACCAAACCAGGGTAGTCAGTAAGATAGTGAAAGCAAGTCATCTATAAAAGGTACAAGGAAAGGGACCAGGAGTTCTATCCTCAGCCCTTGGCTCTCCACCTAAAGAACAATTACCTGGAAAGCCCTCAAGCTTGAAGGTCATCAGAATGTGCTCTAATTGTTTGCCTCAGATTGGAGGTTACTGCACAAAGAAATTAAGACCTCACATTTATTTATTTATTTTTTTTTCCTGGTAGAGCAGTCACAAAGAACTTAACGTCTGTTTTTAAAATTTAAGAATTTTAAATCTAAAAAGGTTAGTATTTTAAATGTTCCTTTTTACATTGTTTAAGCTAATACTACTATTTAAATAATATTTATGTTCTCTAGTTTAACTGTTTAATTAAAATCTTAATTGTTTTTGGCTTTCGTTTCACTATTTTGTATGCCCTTTTGCTTAGTTAACAGCATTTTAATCAATTTTCCTTTATCTATAGTTTTATTGAAAAATACATGCTCATTTCAAAAGTAGAAGATTTGAAAATCACAACTTAGTAGTCATTTAATTTTTTAACATTTGAAATATTTCTTTTCAGTTTTTTTGGAGAAATTTTTCTTTTCTTTTTTTTTTAGCATTATTGTACTGTAATCTTATTTAATTGAACTTCTGGATCTTGTGGTAAATAATGCCTCAGGGAGAGGGTTTTCCAGACGAATTATTTGCGCCCAACTACACAATTTCGTCCGGGGAGAATAACTCATGAGGGAACTGTTTGCTTTTAAGTGTAATCCAGATGCCAACACGACACACATTTCTGCAGACTCATCCATGGACACGGTTCAATCAATGCGGTTTGCTAAGATGAGGATTCTAAGAACTCGGGAGGGCCCTATACTTGCTGGCAGTCCTCTGGAAGTCTGAAGGTGTTTAGTAACATAAATCCTATTCTTAAGTTCATTTTGATTTGTCTTTCAGTCAATTAAAACTTTGTTCATTTGTTTTAGTTCTCCAAGAAGGCTATGTGCACAGCATATTTTGAACCCTGGCATACATGAATGTCTGTAACCTTCGAGAATGAAACAAAATGCAGCCAGTACAACACTCTCTAGTCACAACCTTTTCCCCTGAAAACTTTGGCTCACAAGTTCTGGCACTGGTGCTGTAGAAAAGTCTGTCATCCATAGCTACCATCTCCCTCACAGTTTTCATCTCCTTTTTTTTTTTTCCTCTGCATTCTGAGAAAATTTCTCAAATCTGTTTTCCACATCATTGCTTCAGTACACCTCAGGGTGAATCCTGCTTTTAACACTGTCTTCAGTTTATATCTTCACTGCTATTTCATGTCCAGTTTACCTGTAGCTTTCCATGCTTATTGTTCCCTTTTCATCTCAGCCTATTTGCTCCTTATACTTTTTGTGTATGTATGTTTGTTTTTGTTTTTTTGAGATGGAGTCTCACTCTGTTGCCCAGGCTGGGGTGCAGTGGCACGATCTCGGCTCACTGCAACCTCTGCCTCCTGGGTTCAAGTGATTCTGCTGCCTCAGCCTTCCGAGTAGCTGGGACTATAGGCGCCCACCACCACGCCTGGGTAATTTTTGTATTTTTAGTAGAGACGGGATTTCACCATATTGGCCAGGCTGGTCTCGAACTCCTGACCTTGTTACTGCCTGCCTTGGCCTCCCAAAGTGCTAGGATTACAGGCATGAGCCACCTCAC
Organism: Homo sapiens; assembly: GCF_000001405.40. Taxonomy (NCBI): domain Eukaryota; kingdom Metazoa; phylum Chordata; class Mammalia; order Primates; family Hominidae; genus Homo; species Homo sapiens. The sequence continues at coordinate 92,923,430 of NC_000001.11, forward strand.
TCAGCCTGTTCCTTATACTTTTATACTTCAGTTCCACAGAGGCTATATCTTCCTGAATCAACTAAGGATGCTAGAAAAGTTTCAAAATTTCTTACATTTCTATAATAAATAATTTTCAGAGAGTTGCTCTTCCTCTAAATCTTCATAATGATGTTCCCTTTGTTCTGAAAGTTTTATAAGTCCCATATTGCTATGTGATCTCTCATTTGAGGATGAGGAAAACATCTAGACCTGGTATTTGACAACAAACAGGTATATGAACCACCACTGGCCCCATTCTGTCAACATATGTACTAGTGGAATCGTCTGCTCTAATCTACAGCTGCATAGTTGATGAGCATAACTTCTAATCTAATTCCCAGTGTCTTAACAGGCTTCCATCTGGGGCAGGTCTGCTAAACTCAAATCCAACCATCAGGCTTAGTGTTACACAGAAATGATGGAATATTTCGAAACAAAACAAAACAAAACAAAAACGAAACTACAATCTCCAGCATATTACTTGAGACTCTTTTCGTTATTAGTCCATGGAAAGTCTATCTCTAATTGGCTTCAACTGAAACAGAATTTAGGGACTCAAATAACATACCTCTCCATTTATTTAAATCTTTTTAAATTTCTCTCAGCAGTATTTTATACTTTTCAGTGTAGAGGTGTGCATGTTTGTTAAATTTATTCTTAAGTATTTTTGATGCTATTAAAAGATAATTGGTTTTTAAATCTTATTTAAGTAAAAACAGTTAATTTTTTATTGCCCTTGTATCTCAAGACTTTGTTAAATTTACTTATTGTTTATAGTAGTTTTAAAATTGATTCCTCAGGATATTCTACTATATAAATAATCTGAGAATAGGGAGCTTTTACTTCTTCCTTTTTAATCTTTTTTTTTTTTACTTCTCCTTGCCTTATTGCATTGGCAAGGACATTCAGAAAAATGTTGAGTAGAAATTTTGAGAATGGTATCCTTGCCTGTGTAGCACCCAATTCTGTCGCTGTTCAGGGCGCCACTATATAACCCGCACGGATCAAGGGGAACTGAAAAAAGAGGGAGTGAATGCGGGAATAGAAGACAAAGACAAAACAGTATATTTGGAAGAAGGAGTCAGGGGGCACCTTGCCTCTAGTGGACAAGGGCCCTGAGCTCTACACAGCCCTCCGTATTTCTAGGCAAAAGAGATAGTGAGAAGGTGGGTGGAAGAAGGGGTCAGCTGCTCGGTCCGGAGTAGGCTTTCAAGACTGCATTCTTCGAACAACAGGCTCTAGATGTCGCAGTAGATAACGTCGGTGTCAGGGAGTGATTGAGTCCAGCAAATCTTCTGTCGGCAGGAGCACTTGTGAGTTTGCTCATATCCTGCATTCATGATAAACAGTTTGCTGTTTGATCATATAGCTTCCAGTGGAATGCTGAGTTGGTCATGTCCCATGGGCCTTCGGCTCCCTGCACTTGCCTTGTTCCAGATATTAAAGGCATAGTCCTCAGGGGCTTATTACTAAGAATGATGTTAGCTGAAGTCATGTTGTAGATGCCCTTTATCAGATTGATGAAACTATCTTCTAATTCCAGTTTGCTGGATTTTATTTAAGCCCCATGCTGATTTTGGTCAAATGCTTTTTCTGTGTCTATTGAGATGGCCACATTTCTTCTCCTTATCATTAATGTGGTGGATTACATTTATTTATTTTCAAATACAAAACCAATTTTATATTCCTGGGATAAAACCCACTTGGTCATGTTGTATTAATCCTTTTATTTATAGCTGGATTCAATTTGTTAATATTTTGTTAAACAGCTTTATGTATGTTCATAAGAGATTTTTAACTTTTCATAATGTCTTTACTAGATTTTAGTATCTGAATTATACTAGCCTCACAAAATTAGTTGAGAAGTTATTTCTTCTTCATTTTCTGAAGCTGTTTGTTAGATTTTACAGTGTCTTTCACAAATGTTTGAGAATTCACTTTTGATACTCTCTGGGCCTGAAGTTTTCTTTGTAGGAATGTTTTCTATCACAAAGTGAATTTCCTTGACACATAAAAGACTATTCAGTTTTTTGGGGTTTTTTTGTTTTTTTGCTTTTGTTTTTGAGACAGTCTCGCGCTGCAACCCAGGATGGAGTGCAGGGGTACGATCTCGGCTCACTGCAACCTCCACCTCCCAGATTGAAGCAATTCTCCTGCCTCAGCCTCCCGAGTAGCTGGGATTACAGGCATGCACCACCATACCTGGCTTATTTTTGTATTTTTAGTAGAGATGGGGGGTTTCACCATGTTGGCCAGGCTGGTCTTGAACTTCGGACCTTGTGATCCACCCTCCTCAGCCTCCCAAAGTGTTGGGATTACAGGTGTGAGCCACCGTGCCAGGCCAAGACTATTCAGTTTTTAAATTTAATTTTGTGTCAGTTTTGGAAAGCTGCATTTTTCCAGGAATTTGTTTCATCGAAGGCATCAAATTTATTGGTGTAAAGTTGTTTTTAGAATTCGATTATCTTTTTGAAGTTTACAGATACATAATCATGCTCCTCCTTCATTATCAGTATTGGTATATAATAAGCTTTTTCTAGGCATTTTCAATTTTTTTGATCTTTTGAAAAAATCCATTTTGGTTTTGTTTATTGTCTCTGTTGTCTATTTTCTAATTAATTGATATCTGCTATTGTCTTTACTTTCTTCTTTCTTGGGTTTAATTTGCTTATTTTTTTCCACCTTCTGGTAACTTAAATATTACATTTTAACACTTCTTCCTTTCTAATATGAACAATTAAAGCTATAAATTTCTCTGTAAGCAGTGCTTTAACTGCATCCCAAAAATGCTAACACATTTTTTATTATCATTCAGTTCAAAATATTTTCAGAAATACACTATCTAATTTCCAAATCTTTGGGGGTTTTCCAAATATCTTTTTGTTACTGACTTGTATTTTAATTCAACTGTAATCAGAAAACATACTCTGTTAGATCTCAATCTTCTAAAACTTATTAAGACTTGTTTCATGGCCCTGGATATGGTCTATCTTGGTAAAAGTTCCATGGTACCTAAAAAGACTGTTTATTCTGTATTTTTTGGGTATTGGGTTCTATAAATATTAACTGGGGCAAGCTGGTTAACAGGGCTATTAAGATCTTCTATATCTGTACAGACTTTTGGCTTAGTTGTTCTACTAATTGCTCTAAAAGGGATATGAAAATCTCCAAGTATGACTGTGGACTTGAATCCTTTCTTCCATCTGTCAGTTTTATGGTTTATGTATTTTGAAGCTAATTAGGCATACATACATTTGGGATTATGTCTTTCTGATATATTGAGTTTTTAAAATTATAAAATGTCCCTGTTTATCTCTGGTAGTACTCCTTGAAGTCCATCTTTTCCATTATTAAATTATCTATTCTAACTCTCGAATTATTTGTTTGCACAGTATATCCTCTCCCATCCTTTTACTTTGAAGCTTTGTATCTTTTGTTAAGTGCATGCCTTGCAGACAGCTTAAAGTTGGGCAATGCTTTTATCCAACTTGACAATCTCTATCTTTTAATTGTAATGTTAAGTTGATTTACATTTGATTTGGCTGGATTTGGCTGGACTGGCCATTTTAGTGTTTTGCATTTGTCTCATCTGTTTGCTGTTTCTCTGTTCCTCTTTTGGGGTGAACTGAAAAAAAAAATTTAGTATTCTTATTGTCTTTTAAAAACAGCTTTATTGAAATATAACTCATATACCATACAATTCACCCATTTAAAGTATAGAATTCAATGTTTTGTTGTTGTTGTTGTTTTGAAACAAGGTCTTGCTTTGTCACCTATGATGGAGTACAGTGGCGATCACAGTCCCACAAGGTCACAAGGTCACAGCCTTGACCTTCTGTGCACAAGTGATCCTCCCATCTCAGCTTCCCAAATAGCTGGGACTACAGGTGCATGCCACCATGCCAATTTTGTTGTTTTTTTTTTTTTTTTTTTTTTTGCAGAGATGAGATCTTACTGTGTTGCCCAGGCTGGTCTCAAACTCCTGGGCTCAAGCAATTCTCCCACCTCAGCCTCCCCAAGTGCTGGGATTACAGGCATGAGCCTCTGCACCTGGCCCAGTTCAATGTTTTAAAAAATATACTCATAGGTTTGGAAAAACATCACCACAATCAAATTATAGATCATTTTCATCCCCTTCAAAGAAACCCTGTACTCATTAGCTGTCCTTCCCCTCATTTCCCCAGCCCAAAGCAAACACGAATCAACTCTCTTTCTCTATAGATCTGCTTATTCTAGACATTTTATGTAAATGATATAATACAATATGTGGTCTTCTGTGACTGGCTTTTTTCACTTAACTTTTCAAGATTCATCCATGTTACAACATGAATCAGTACTTCGTTTCTTTTTATTGCTGAACAATATCCCACTGTATGGATATACCACATTTTATTTTTCCATTCGTCAGCTGATGGACATTTGGATTGTTTCCACTTTTTTACTATTTTAAATAAGGCTGCTATGAACATCCATGTGTATGTTTTTCTGTGGATGTGGGTTTTCATTTCCACTGGGTATATATCTAGGAGGGGAACTGCTGGGTCTTGTGTAACTCTACATTTAACTTCTTAAAAACCTACCAAACTATTTTACAAAGCAGCTGCAATACTGTACACTTCCACCAGCAGTGTATGATTTCCTATTTCTCCACATCCTTGTGAACACTTGTTATTGTTCTATCTTTTTTATTATAGCCATCCTAGTGGATGTGAACTAGTATTTTGTGGGCCTCTATTGTCCTTTGCTGAACTCTTTGCATTTTTGTTTTACTGGTTGCTTTAGAAATTAAAATATACATCCATAACTAATACAATCTACTTAGAGTTAATGCTGTACTACTAAACACTAAATACAGATATCTTGTAACAGCATTATTCTATTTATCCCAATCCTTTGTGCTACTGTTATAAACCCTACAATACAGTGCTTTAATTTTTCTTTAACCACTAATATGTCTTTTGAAGAAATTAAGAAAATAATCTATAGTCTTTCAAATTTATTCACTGATTTGCCATTTCTATTGATCTTTATTCATTTCTGAAGATATGAGTTACCAGTTAGTGTCATTTCCAGTGTTATTTCTAGTATTAGTTCTTTAGCCTGAAGTACTTATTTTACCATTTCTTATATTACAGGTCTGCTGGTGATGAATTCTTGTTTTTATCTGAAAAATGTCTTCAGTTAATCTTCATTCCTGAAGACTAGTTTTTCTGGATATGAAATTCTAGAGGCTGGGTATGGTGGCACATGCCTGTAATCCCAGCACTTTGTAAGGCCAAGGTGGGCAGATCGCTTGAGCTCAGGGGTTTGAGACCAGCCTGGCCAACATGGCAAAACCCCGACTCTACTAAAAATACAAAAATCAGCTGGGCGTGGTGGTGCATGCTTGTAATCCCAGCTACTCAGGAGGCTGAGGCAGGAGAATTGCTCGAACCTGGGAGGCAGAGGTTGCAGTGAGCCAAAACCGCACCACTGAACTCCAGCCTGGGCAACAGAGTGAGACTCCATCTCAAAGAAAAAAAAAAGAAAAAAAGAAAAAATTTCTCTTTCTCTGTTTGAGGTTTCCTACTTGTTCAATTACTATACATATTTTCTTTCATAGTCCTCAAGCATATTTATAATGACTGCTTTAACATCTTTGACTTCGAATATGAACACTTGGTCATCTTGAAGATATTTTGTTATTGACTACTTTCTCTTGAACGTGGTAACATTTTCCTGTTTCTTCACATGTGTAGTGATTTTTGGATTGGTTATTACACATTATGCATAATATGTTGTCATGACTCTAGATTCTGTAACATTCCTCTGAAGATGGATCTTTGTTCTAGCAGGCAGTTAATTCGGTGAGACTCAATTTCCAAATTCTGTCTCTCCTGCCATCAGCATCTGCTGAAAGCTCTTCTCCATTCTTTTAGCTTCCACGTGCTGCTTTTTCATTGCATTTCCTGGGCCTCCCCACACATATGAAGGAATTGGGTGGATGTTAAATGCAGGTTTGGGCACTAATCTTTCTGCATCTCCTCCCCTTCCACGATTTTTTGCCAAAGTTTCTGGCTGTTCTACTAGTCCTGAGCCCTGTTATCTAAGATTTCTGCCTCTGGAGCCAGGCACAGACTGGGGAGTACCTTCAGGGGCAAGTTCCTTCCTTTCAGATTGAGTTTAATCTTTTCTTTCACTTCCTTTCCAGTGCCTTTAAATAGCTGTTTACAATATATAAATACATATATGTAATTGTTAAATCTACATTTCAATAATCTTTGTCTGTGGGAGGTTAGTGTGAGTAATCTATTATGTCATCACCAGCAGCTGAAATAATCAATGTTGTTTTGATTCAGTGTCTCACACTGGGTGAATTTTTTTGATTCTTCATCCACCTTCCAGAGGTTCATCTTCATCCTGGCTGACTTTCCAAGTTGTCACAAGATGGAACCAGCAGCTTTCAGAGCTACATGCTTCCATCTTCAAAACCAGAGAAGGAAGAAAGAGTTAAGCCAACAAACGTGGTCCTGGGCTTCACTCCAACTAAATAAATTTTTAGAAAACATAACCACCCTTGAACCAAGCACTGTGGCCAGTAGAATGCTATGAGCTGACTGGCTTAGGCTTGGGTCACTGGTCATCTTCTCCCTCTAGCCTTATTCCTTGTTTCTGACTCCCTGAAGGCCTACAACCCCACTTACAGGTCCTTGTTGCTTTTGTAAGCCAGGGGAGTGATGCTGTTGAATACTCTTCCTCAAAAGCATGGCCTTTTGTGGCTCCCAATTTTAAACACACAGGTCAATTGCAATTCTCTGACTCTCAGAAGCCTAAAGTCTTTTCTCCTCACCTCATATAGCCCTTAAAACTATGGTTCCCACTCCCCATTGGCCATTTTGGCTTTAGCTCTCTTTCATATCTGAGTTTGAGTTTTCTTGTCATTTCTGGTATCTGGAGATTTCCTTTGCTTGCTTTCAAACTTAATTAGGTAGTAATAAAAAAAAACTGAGAAAGGGAGCTTATATTTTATCCAGCATTTCTATGTATTTGCAGAAGACAAAAAGAGGAATCTTCTCATATTAACTAAATCCACCATCAGTAACTCTCCTTAGCCTTCAGGATATAGAACCAATTCTAATTCATTTAACACAGAGGGCCCTTCAAGGTATTATTTACCCTCTTAGTTTCATGACCTGAATACCCCCAAACGCAATCTTTTCTTTTGCGAAGGAAAGAACTTTTTGTAGTTCTCTGTTCATGCCATGCTGTTTCTTCTTTCTATGCCTTTTCTGATACTGTTTACTCTATACAGAATATTATCTCAAGGTGCCCATGCCCTCACACACAAATTTTGATCTAGTCAACTGATACTCATTCTAAAAGTCTCCAATAAACATGGCTTCTTAAAAGCCTTTTCTGTCTCTCCCTCCCCTATACCAACTAAGACTAAGATGGTCCCTTCCTGGGGTCCTGTAACACTCTATACACACTTCTGAAATACAAATATCACTCCAATTGTTGACTTACTTTTCCCACTAGACTACACTCCTTGAAAGAAATATGTCTTATGTAATTGATTACTTCTAGTACTTCATTCTTTGCTTGGCACATATTAGATATTTGACAAATGTTTGTTGAATGAATGGAGAGACAGATTCTTTTTTCTTATTTTTTTAAATTAATAGATTTATTATTTAGAGCATTTTTTTTTGGTTTACAGAAAAACTGAACAGAAAGTACAAAGTTCTCATATAATTGGCAAAACCTGGAAGTAACCAAGATGTCCTTCAGTAGGTGGATGATACATAAACTGCGGTACATCAGACAATGGACAATTATTTAGCAATAAAAAGAAATGAGCTGGCCCCTCACCCCATGTGCAGACCCCATCATTGGAAGGCCTGGTGCCCACACCGTATCAAAGAAAAAAGGACTGAGTGCAGAAGAAAAGAGAGCCTGCATGATGGAAACATTTTTTAAAACAAAAGATGTATTTCAATTAAAAGACATGGAGAAGGCCAGGTGCGGTGGCTCATGCTTGCAATAGTAGCACTTTGGGAGGTTGATGCAGGAGGACTGCTTGAGGCCAGGAGTTCAAGATCAATCTGGCCAACATAGCGAGATGCCATCTCTTGAAAAAAAAAAAAAAAAAGACATGGAGAGGACTGCTCCCAAAGAGAAAGGCATTACTGCTGTGTTAGTAAAAGAAAAAAGTCCTTCAAAGTTTAGTTGATAATGATATGGTTGACTGTGAGAGAACTGGAACTTCTAATTATTATCAGTCTTTTCCAAGTAAAATTCTTCATGCAAGAACGTATAAATTGGAGGTTCTGAAATCTCAGTTGTTTCAGGGAAGCCAAAAGCATGCAAACTTACAGAAAAGCATCAGAAAAACTAAAATTGGCCAACATGAGATGAAGGAGTGAACCGTGTTAGCCAAAGAGCATTCTTCACTCTTGGATCAAAGGCAGAAGTTGAAAAATGCAAATAATGTGACCCGCAAGTTGTTGAAGAAATACATCAGGCAAATAAAGTACTTGCTAACAGATAGACTGATAACATATTTGCAATAAAATCTTGGGCCAAAAGAAAATTTGGGTTTGAAGAAAATAAAATTGATAAAACTTTCGGAATTCCAGAAGACTCTGACTACATAGATTAAAATATACCAGGGTGGTAAAGAATCTACGAGCTCGCAAATATGTAAATTTTTAAATATTATCCAACTAGGCTGGGCACAGTGGCTCATGCCTGTAATCCCAGCACTTTGGGAGGCCGAGGCGGGCAGATAACTTGAGGTCAGGAGTTCGAGACCAGTCTGACCAACGTGGTGAAACCCCATCTCTACCAAACATACAAAAATTAGCCAGGTGTGGTGGCACATGCCTGTAGTCCTAGCTACTCGGGAGGCTGAGGTAGGATAATCACTTAAACCTGCGAGGCAGAGGTTGCAGTGAGCTGAGATCACGCCACTGCACTCCAGCCTGGGCAACACAGCGAGACTCTGTCTCAAAAAAAAAAATTAAAAATTTTAAAAATCTTATCCAACTAAATGTACTGAACTGTCTTTTACCTGTAACAGTGTTTATCATTTTATTAAAGTATAAAATGTAAAAAAGAGAAAGAAATGAACCATCAAGCCATGAAAAGATGTAGAGAAATCTTAAATGTGTATTCCTTTTGTAGTCATTTTAAGATTTTAGAAAATTATTTGTCAGACATACCCTACCTGATTAAATGTGTATTCCTAAGTGAAAGAAGCCAATCTGAAAAGGCTACATACATACTGTGGAATTCCAACTACATAATATTCTAGAAAAGACAATGGTAAAAACATCTGTGGTTGCTAAGGGTTGGAGGGATGAACAGGTGGAGCACCGAGGATTTTTAGGGCAGTGAAACTACTCTGATTGATAACATAATGGTGAACACATGCCATTATACACTTGTCAAAACCCAAAGAATGTACATCAAGAGTAAACCCTAATGTAAACTAAGGGCTTCAGGAGATAATGATGTGTCAGTGTAGGTTTGTCAATTGTAACATATGTACCACTCTGGTGAGGGATGTTGATAGTGGAGGAGGCTGTACATGTGTGGGGCAGAGGGGTATATGACAATGCTCTGCTTAATTTTGCCGCAAATTTTAAATTGCTCTAAAAATTAAAGTATATTTTTTAAAATATGAAAGAGCTAAACATACATCTCAAGAAGAAGAAAAGGAACAGAAAAACAAACAAAAACCCCCAAAACCCAAGAAGTAGAAGGAAAGAAATAATAAAGATAGAAACTAATGAAACAGAACATAACTTAAAATAAAAATCAACAGAACTAAAACTTTGTTCCTTTGAAAAGTTCTAAGAAGAAACTGAAAAGGTGAATAGTTTCTATACCTAAAAACTACAGAAGGAAGAAGTATCAGGGAGGCAGGCATGGTCAATAGTATATAATGCCATAACAAAGTAAAGTAAAATTCATATTGAAAACTGCCCAGTGGGGTGGTTCCCATCTATAATCTCAACACTTTGGGAGGCCAAGGCAGGAAGACTGCTTGAGGCCAGGAGTTTGAGACCAGCCTGGGCAATATAGCAAGACCCTGTTTCTTAAAAAAAGGAAAAGAAAACTGCCCAATCTAACAATGAGGACATCACTGATATCTTGGGCAAGAATAATTTAAGTGGAATGGAATGAAGTAGAACAAGTTTCTAAAAGGAAAAAAAAATCCCGGATGTGTTGACATTAATGCTGACCTATATCTGCAAGAAGCTAGATTTGATTTATCTTTATCTTTGCACAGTGCCTCACATATCGCTGCTTGCAACACTATTTGCTGAATTAATTCAGTTGGATGGAAAAGAAAGGACCACACATAAAGGGCTTTAAATGCTTGACAGTATTGAGACTTAAATGAAGAAGTTTTAAGATTTCTAAACAGATATACAGTCTGATGTTTAAAGAAGATTAATCTGGATGTTAGCTTAAGACTTTTAAAGGTAATACTGAGGAAAGGGAGACTAGTTAGGAAGTTGTTGCAGCAATCTAGGCCCTTCTGGATTAGGATAGGCCAACAGCAGTGAAGATAAAGGGTGAAATTTGAGAGACATTATGAAAGTAAACTTCTTAGGATTTGTCAACAAATGGATATGAAAGTTAGAAGAAAAAGATGTTAAAGGTATGAAAGACTGAAAAACTTTAGATAATAAAAAATGAAGGTCAGTGGTAACACACACTGGCATTTTAACTAAATGCAACCTCAACTTGATCTATTTCTATGGTTTAAGAAATTCAGGTATTTAATTTTCAGCATACAACTTTTGGTCACAAAATAAATTTTCTTGAACAAATGAATGTTAAATCTAGATGTAAACTGAGATCTTTATAAATGAATTTAAAAAGTGGAGAATTTATTCAAATTCAAATACTTTTATATTTATTTCCAGAAGGCAAGATAATGGGACAGTTTTGAAATATCTAGTAGAATATGCCAATTTTCCATAAAAGTTTTTTTTTCTTAACAGTTTAAATCTAGGAGACTAGTTTAAAATCAAAAAGTTATGCATGAGAAAAGCTAAAATGACAAATCTGGATATGTATATCAGAAGTTTTCTATTTGTGGAAACACACATACTTGCATAGTTCAAATGTATTTCCTGAGTCAGCATATACTGGAAGGTTTCTCACCTTCCTCTTTTCATCTTATTTTGGCTCACCTTCTCCCTCAAAACATCTTGAAACATAGATACTATGGAAACAAATGAAAATGATCTATCTCTGAAAGCATTCAGAATCAAATAGCTCAGCATTCCTCTTCTTTTTCACTAAACTGTGCTCTGCACCACAAAATTAAACAGACATCCCTAGGGATACAGATTTGCCAAGAGAGTTCCTGGCAAAAATAAAACCTGGCCCTTCTCCAGACTGCTATACATGGACAACAATGGAAGTTCTACAGATGGAGATTGATTGCTGGCTGGCTGGCGGGCCTGTGGTTACTTACTAGCGTCAAGATGAAGAATATTAGGCACAGATCATTTTCATGTCCAAAGACTTCTGACAACAAATGTGCTCTGCCTGACTTCTCACATTCAGCAACAGTGAGAGTTATTTACTGAAGAGATAGTTCTAATTCTAGCTCTATTCCTTTATGTATCAGACAAGCAAACTGAAGCCCAGCGAAGGTGGGTCATTTGCTCAGAATCATACAGCTAGTTGGTGACAGGACAAAACACAGGTCTTGAGATTCCCAGTTCAATATTTCCACCTCTCTATTGAGCAACACTACTGTCTAAATAATACTAAAAAGAACGTGTTGCTCACATCTTAAACTCTTTTAATCTAAGTCATTTCATAACTTGACATTCCCGTTCAGTGTTTTGCTAGAAATTGCAATATACTTTTATTTTGTGAGATACTATATATTAATATAACAGTTTTTTAAAGAACTATGTATTTTAAGTCCCAGAGTCACCAAAATAAAATGAGATTAGAAATGGTTTTAAAACTATTAAAACACAATTAATAAATTCTGAATCTTTAAACTTGGGGAGATTCTTTAAAAATTACGGCTCAATATATTTAAAAGCAGAGAGGGGTACTGGAATCAAGGTCACAAGACCAGGATTTAAGTGCTATCCCTGCTACTGACTAGCTGCGTGACCTGAACATGTTTCGTCCTTATCTATAAAATCAACAGGGTCAATCAGGGTCACTGAAATTAGTTTTATCATTTAAAATACAGTTCCAGACAACTCAAGGATAAGATCTTTATGTTATCCTTATTATATTATAACGTGTTCAAGTAACTGAGCAAAAAAAAAAAATCCCTCACTATTCTATAACTAACTAACTAAAGACATTAAAACACAGGAAATGGCTGGGCATGGTGGCTCATGTCTGTAATCCCAGCACTTTGGAAGGCTGAGGCGGGAGGATCAGGAGTTCACGACCAGCCTGGGTAACAAAGCGAGACCCTGTCTCTACAAAAAATAGGAAGATAAAAATTAGCCAGGCTGGAACATCTACTCTGGTGGCTGGAACAGCTACTCAGGTGTCTGAGGTGGGATGATCGATCACCTGGGCCCAAGAGTTCAAGGCTGCAATGAGCTATGATCACGCCACTGCATTCCAGCCTGGGCGACAGAGAGAGACTTCATCTCAAAAAGAAAAACAAAAGAACAACAATAAGAACAACAAAAAAACCTCACAGGAAACATCATCTCTACTATAAAAAAGCTGTAGATTTGGCTCTGCATAGAGTCAGCAAGAAAAACAATGTCAGAAAAATGCAGTACAGAGTTGAAGTTATGGAAATCTGGATCACATCTTTCTGCATTCATTTAACTAAATAGGCAGCTTTGAAAACCTAAGTATAGTTTTTCTGAAGGGAAAACAGAAGAACATAAAAGAAGCTCAGAGAAACTGGGCATGGTGGCTCACGCCTGTAATCCCAACACTTTGGGAGGCCGAGGCAGGCAGATCACCCGAGGTCGGGAGTTTGAGACCAGCCTGACCAACATGGAGAAACCCCCAACTCTACTAAAAATACAAAAATTAGCCAGGCATGGTGGTGCATGCCTATAATCCCAGGTACTCAGGAGGCTGAGGCAGAAGAATTGCTTGAACCCGGGACGCTGAGGTTGCGATGGGCCGAGATCACACCACTGCACTCCAGCCTGGGCAACAAGAGCGAAACTCCGTCTCAAAAAAAAAAAAAAGAAAAGAAAAAGAAGAAAGAAAGAAGCTCAGAGAAGCTGTTTTAGTCCAGTTCTGCCAGACCCTCCATAGCAAGTACCACGCAGCACTATCAGACATCAAGACCCTTTATCTATTGCTTTATTGAGTGCTGTTATACATGGTCCTGGATGATGAAGTTTGATCCTGTTTAATACACAGGTCATTTAGATCTTTGGTGAAAACTGTAAATCAACTGTAAAAACAACTTTTACTTTTGCTTTTCTACTACTTGAGACAACTGTGAATTCACAAAGATATAGATACCCTTACATGCAATTCACTGTTCATTCACTCTATGGAAATCCAAAAAGCATAAACATAGTCCCTGTACCCACTAGCTACCAAGAGTTTACAATTGAATAGGATCATGAGTTTTACTATGTAATAAATTCTTACCAGTTTTATGTCCAATTTAATTGCACTTAAGTCCTTTGTCTCTTAACAGATGTAAAACAGAAAAATTAATTTGTAAGGTACTAGAAAAAAGGATTAAGGAATCATAAAGAGCTAATCCAAGGCTGGGCATGGTGGCTCATATCTGTAATCCCAGCACTTTGGGAGGCTGAAGCGGGCAGATTACCTGAGGTCAGGAGTTTGAGACCAGCCTGGCCAACATGAAGCCCTGTCTCTACTAAAAAATATTAAAAAAAAATAGCCGGGCATGGTGACTTCTTCCTAGCACATTAACTGGTGACTAACCTATCATAAATACCTTGCAAGTATTACTTCACAGATACTGCATGATATACTTCTATCTAACTTTTGCAGATGTGACTTTCAATTTGTGGGGATCACAACAGAAATCCCCACATGCTTTATTTTTTACAGACTAAATGGTGATCCGGAAAGAAAAAGAGGCTCTGACACATCTTTCAGCCTCCTTTTGGGCTAGGATTGGAATTCATTCTAGTGGTGAATGAACCAACTATTGCCAAAGTTGCTTTTTTGGACAATGCTGCTTTTTAAAAAATCTCAGTACCAGGTCATTTGAATATCTAATTGGAAAAAATACATGTATCTTTAACTGTAATTATACCATATACAAAAATCAATTCCTAACTGACTGCAGATCTAGCATGCTGGTAAAATGGTGTTCCTTGAGCATAAATGTACATTTCAATATTCATGTTATACTTTAATGAAAAGTTAAGGACTACTTTTTCTTGCTACTTAAGGTTCTGGCCTTTCACATAAAAAGCCAGCACCCCGATCTTGGATAAATACCAAAGTATACTGTAAAGGCTAGTAATGAAACTGGTTTTAAGCTAACTACAGATTAACCTTTACCCCAGGTCACAGCTTCACAGAATTAGGAACCTAATAATAGTCTGGCAGAACAAATTTGTTCTTTTCTGATTTAAAAAATTAAAAAGGCATTAGAAATGAACGATTTTCAAGTAAAAATGTAACTGCAGCCTGGGCAACGTGGTGAAACCTTGTCTCTACAATACATACAAAAATTAGCCAGGCATGGTGGTGCACACCTGTAGTCCCAGCTACTCAGGAGGCTGAGCCAGAAGAATTAGCCAGGCATGGTGGTGCACACCTGTAGTCCCAGCTACTCAGGAGGCTGAGCCAGAAGAATTAGCCAGGCATGGTGGTGCACACCTGTAATCCCAGCTACTTGGGAGGCTGAGCCAGGAGAATTAGCCAGCCATGGTGGTGCATACTTGTAGTCCCAGCTAGTCTGGAGGCTGAGGTGAGGCTGAGGTGGGAGGATCACCTAAGCCCAGGGAGGTCAAAGCTGCAATGAGCTGTGATCACACCACTGCACTCCAGCCTGGGCAACAGAGCGAGACCTTTACTAAAAAAAAAAAAAAAAAAAAAGTTGATTCCTCTAAGGCAACTCATAAACATATACCAAAGACAGACAATTAATCTGAAAGGAGAAACTAGCCATTTCACTAATTTGACTTCAAAAAATTCTAAAAATAGCAAGAGTCCAACATAGAAAGCCATAATGTATTTTTGGAAAGTCATTCAAAAATGTATAATTTTTGGATATATCATTTTATGAGCAGGCTAAAGAATTCCTCTTTCAATAATGAATTAATTCTCCCAGAATTGTTATTAGGGAGGTAAGAAAAAACTGTCCTATCAATCATCACCTCACTGGTAAATGAAAAAAATAAGGGTCAGAAGGACAAAGGAGCTTGACACAAGTCAAATCATATACTTGAAATCTCATGCTAAAGCATATTATTCACCTTAAAGTTGGATAATGTCAGAATTCTTTCTACTTTTATCATTTATTTTTTAGACGGAGTCCTGCTCTGTCACCCAGGCTGGAGGCAGTGGTGTGATCTCGGCTCACTGCAACCTCTGCATCTCGGATTTAAGTGATTCTCCTGCCTCAGCCTCACAAGTAGCTGGGATTACAGGCGCCCGCCACCACGCCTGGCTAATTTTTCGTATTTTTAGCAGAGACGGGGCTTCACCATGTTGGACAGACTGGTCTCGAACTCCTGACCTCAGGTGATCTGCCCACCTCGGCCTCTCAAAGTGCTGGGATTACAGGTGTGAGTCACCACGCCTGGCCTTCCATTTTTCTTTAAATTCAAAATTACTTCAATAAAAATACTTGCTACATAAGACATTTATAACCAAATACTATCATTTTGTACACTGAATTTCTATCACCTTTGGGGAGGGAAGTCTACATAACCGAATGACTTTTACATTCACTGGGTAGATCTAGCTATAGGCCATTTTTGCATTAGTCTAATTTAATAGGATATATTTTAGGTTAATTAATCTTCAGGGATACAAATTTCTTAATAGAGCAGTCAGCAGTATTTTTAAAAATTAACCAAAACATTCCTAAATCATGTGAAGTAATACATTAGCAAGACTAAAATACCTCACTTCTGCTTCTATTTGTAGACTTCAAAGCTTAACCCTCTGCTTCCCCACCTTCCCATATGCCCCCTTCCACCCAATGATACCCCTTTCCTCCCACATTCTTCTCTGTCAACTAAAAAATGATCATAGAAAATTTACATTTATCAGGGCTGGAAGCAGTAGCTCATGCTTGTAATCCCAGCACTTTGGGAGGCCAAGGCAGGAAGATCACTTGAGGTCAGGAATTTAAGACCAGCCTGGCCAACATAGTGAAACCCTGTTTCTAACAAAAAACACAAAAATTAGCCAGTGGTGGCCCATGCCTGTAATCCCAGCTACTGAGGAGGCTGAGGCAGGAGAATCACTTGAACCCGGGAGGAAGAGGTTGCCGTGAGTTGAGATCACGCCACTGCACTCCAGCCTAGGCGACAGAGTGAGACCCTGTCTCAAAAAAAAAACAACTATATTTATCAAATGACTGAAATTCATTTATACTATAACTAATCCTTTAAGTACCTGTATATTAAGCTGGCTAATGGTGAAATGGAAGGCTTAATCCCCCATTTAAGAAGACTGGGACAGCATCATCAAGCATATATAGAGATTTTCCATACATGGGGAGCTAGAAATAGGAAATCTGAAATCATGCATTACCTAAAGGTAAACCTGATGTAGTCCTTTCAGGGTGATTTCTGGGAGTAGAGATGAGTGTCCGACATCACTCTGCCCTACCCAACACAGACTGCTAAAAACACAACTCTCCCCTGACTTGCCTTTCCTTTTTCTCTCTTGCCTGTTTAGAACATGGCTATTGAACACATCTGTCCGAGCACATCCCTTGACCTTGATTTAAAAATAGGCATTTAAAGCCAATAACATCATCTTAACATAGTACAACACTTCTTTTTCTTACTCTTACTAGTGCCATATTTTATGTGATTATCATTTAATTAAGGGACTTTTGGTACTACAATTCTACCCCTTAACAGACAAATGCCAAGTTCCTTAATATTTCAACTACCTCTGATATTTAAGATTCTGATTTCTTAAAAGGCATTCTTTTGGAATGTAGCCCTTTCAGCAATGGAGGTATTATGGTTTTAAACTCTAGCATTTTTGTTTGTGGATCCCACAAATAATTTGAAAACTATATACCCCCTTGCATATTTTTAAGTTGACATCTACAATTTTTCACCATAAGTTTAAATAGTTGCAAACTGCTTTCCATGGCTGTATCATTTTACATCAATGTATGAATCATCCAGTTGCTCTGCGTCCTTGCCAGCATTTGGTGTTTTCACTATTTTTAATTTTAGTCATTCTGATGATATCTCATCACGGTTTTAATGTGCAATTCCCTAATGGTTAATAAGCTTGAATGTCTTCATCTGTGTTTACTTGCCATCTATATAGCTTTGGTAAAATGTCTATGCGTGTCTTTTTCCCACTTTCTAACTGGACTATTTTTTAAAACTGAGTTTTGAGAGTTCTTTGTATATTCCAGATACTAGTCCTTTGTGAGATATGTGATTTGCAAATATTTTCTCCCAGTCTGTAGCTTGTCTTTTCATCTTTTTAACAGGGTCTTTAGCAGAGAAAAAGATTTTAATTTTGATAAGATCAAATTTATCAATTTTTCCTTTATGAACCATGCTTTTGGTGTCATCTAAGAACGTGCAGTAACTATTATTTCTTGCCAGAATGAAATAGGACTCAGCTATTAAAAAACAGAATTATCCCTATTTTTTGTTTTTATAACTTTAAGTGGTGAGAAACTTTTTTCACATAAATGAAAAGATAAAAATGGAAGTCTTGTTGTAGCAATTATCTCTCAATTCTTGGAAATCTTTTGAGTTATGTGACAAAAATAACAGTAACCTACCATCAAAAATATACTTACTGATCTATTAGTTACTTAGCAGACAACTCTATCAGGCCTTCTTTCAGTTCTGTTGACAGCAAAATATTGGAAACTAATATTGCAAAAAACTGTTATCTAGTCATTCCCTGAGACAGTATTTCTCGACATTCACTATCTTAACACAGACACCAAATTTTCAATTGCCCTTTGTTTGGTGTCCTGGTAGTTTTTACATCCAGGGCAATGGACCTTTGTAATATCTAAAATGGATTAGCAGTGTGCCTTTCCTTTCTAAAAGTGAGAAAGGATAACGACGCAAGTGAAGGTGGGAAAGCAGAGCACACACCTCCATTCCAAACACATTCTCTGGCAGAGCAATGTTAGGAAAAACTACATCGGGAATTCAAAAATCTAGAAATTGATTCCCTTAACTATCCACACTCTATACTCGAAAAGTGCACTCAAATGTACAGATAAAAGCCAAGAGTGGTGGCGCGTGCTTGTAATCCCAGCTACTCAGGAGGCTGAGGCAAGAGAATTGCTTGAACCCAGGAGGCGGAGGTTGCAGTGAGCTGAGATCACACCATTGCACTCCAGCCTGGGTGACAGAGGGAGACTCTGTCTCAAAAAAAAAAAAAAGCCAGTGTGCATCTACAGCCCACAGCAACACCGCCAGCACAGGGAATATATGGACATGAGCAGTAAATACTTTTTGATGAGGAAAAGAGAAACAGCAAAATGATGAGCAGCAAAATAGCAACATGATACAGTTTATGAAAGGAAGAACTCAAAAACTAAGAATCAGACAGAAGCAAATTAAGTTGTTGCTTAAAGCATAATAATTAAGGCTTTTAAATTCACCAAACCATTCTGCTATCACAGACTGAAAAGGCTTGTTTATCCCTTCTCTGTCCTGGGGGAATAAATTATCTCATGAGTCTTTCTATTTTACCAAATTGCTATTTAAAAGCTGGTGAAATGTTTAAGCAATTCATTACATTAATATAAAGATCTTTTATAGGACAAAAGCATTATCAAAACCAAGTATGAACAGCATTATGAGTAAAGTGGAAAGGATATTGTTTACTTAAAACCCATTGAACTCAACCACAAAATTGATTCTAATTTAAGACGCTAATCTTTTAGCAGTTTTTTTTTCTTTTTCTTTTTTATCAAAATGAACTGTATACAAGATTTTCTGGGGAAAAAAGTTCCATCTTATTTTTATTCCTCTCAAGTTATTTACTCTAATTATCTCACCTTATTTTATTGAAATACTTTGTTAATTAGGTTTTTTATTTTTATTTATTTTTGAGACAGAGTCTAGCACTGTCACCCAGGCTGGAGTGCAGTGGCGCGATCTTGGCTGACTGCAACCTCTGCCTCCTTCCTGAGTTCAAGTGATTCTCCTGCCTCAGACTCCCGAGTAGCTGGGATTACAGGCGCCCGCCACCACGCCCAGCTAATTTTTTGTATTTTTAGTAGAGACGGGGTTTCACCATGTTGGTCAGGCTGGTCTCGAACTCCTGACCTCATGATTCGCCCGCCTCGGCCTCCCAAAGTGTTGGGAATACAGGCCTGGGCCACTGCGCCCAGCTAATTTGTTAATTATGTAATGCTTAAATAGACACTGCAGTCATGAAGATAAATAGGGTAGGTAAATATTAGAAAACAGATGCTGCAGTTTAAAATTCACATCAGGACTTTCAGTTTAAGATGGTAGACTAAAGATACATGTTTGCTACTTACAGCTTGCAAAACCACACTCAAATAAGGAAGGCAAAAGAAGCAATAAATCTCTAACAGCTGAAAGAAACAAAGAAAGAAAGAAAAGTAGGAAATTCACCAGCGGATAAAAGATCCAACACATTTCTAGTTTCAAAAAGCAAATGGAATTGTGTTGATGGATGAGGCAGGCAGAGAAAGCCACAGCCCAGAATACTCTACCAGGCAACCTAAAAGGAGCTGGAAGCCAAACTGCTTCTTGGAATGCTAGAGGGAATCTAGAGAGCCAATCTGTCAGTTGGAACACCTGATGGCTCTGGGCTCCGAGCCAACAGGTACAAGGGAGGGCAGGAGTGAGAAGTGAGGTTGAAGACGGTGGGAATAATTGAAGATCTGTACCTGGAACTGCACTGGTTGGCACCCCCAACCACCTCCCCCACCCCACAGAGATCATAGGCAGCCTAGCATTAACCCTTACTCGAAAAACCAGATAGCTGAAAGAACAAACTGCAGAAAGCCAAGGCTTCTAGTGTGGGTATGTATAGTCCAACAAGAGTAAAGTACTCCGCTGGCACGAGGGACCCCAGAGCCCAGCATAGGCTCAACCTAGAGCAAACAGGCCAGCCAAGGCATCCCATCCTACATACAGGGCTCAGTCAGGCATCCATTCCGGTGATAGGTCTAATGGGAAAACAGACTAACTTTTAAAACAGCAGAGGAAAGCCACACCAGTTACCTAGTCCTTCTTTCTAAAATATGAACAGACAACCAACAATCACCAAGCACATGAGAAAGTCCAGCAGCATGAAAAAGAAGAGCTAAGATAAACATATAGAAAATAAAATCTCTGAAAGGAATGAAGACAATTACAGAGCATAAGAAAACATTAAAAAATAAAATTGTTATAATCAAAATACTGAAGAGGATGGTGCATCCACATAAACTATGAATAGGAAACCATAAAAAGAAACAAATAACTTTTAAATTAAATATAAGATCCTTAGAGTTTAAAAAGTGGTTAGAAAAGGAAAGAAAATCAACAAACGATCTGGAAAATAAAATTGAGAAACTCAACAATGAAAGTACATGAATAAAAGATAAAAATAATAGAGAAGCTAGAAAAGACATAAAGAACCAATCCAATAGCTCCACCATTTGACTAGGAAGAGCTCTAGAAGGAAGAAACAGAGGAAAAAGAAGGGAGAAACTATTCAACAAATAATATAATTTCCCAGAGCTGAGAAAGGATCCAAGTCTTAAGATTCAAAGGGCTCAGTGAGTACCCATACAACTGATAAAAGAACCCTATTTATACATTTTCTCTGGAAACTTCAAAATAAAAATATAAAACAGAGATCCTGAACAGGAAAAACAGGTCACCCACAAAGGATTGATAATCAAACTAGCTTCTTGTCAGCAACAGGGGATATCAGAAGTCAAAGCAGCTGCATCTGCAAATTTTCTGAGAAGATTATTTTTGGCCCAGAATTCTACACTGAGCCCAACTACGAACAAGTACCAGGGTACAATAAAGGCAGTTTTTGTTTTGTTTTGTTTTTCTGAGACAAGGTCTCACTCTGTCACCCAGGCTGGAGTGCAGTGGTGCGATCTTGGCTCACTGCAGCTTCCACCTCCTGGGTTCACGGGATTCTTCCACCTTAGCCTCCCAAGTAGCTGGGAGCACAGCTAATTTTTGTATTAGGATCACTTGAACCCAGGAATTTGAGACCAGCCTGGGCAACATGGCAAAACCCCACAGGCTGGCTGAAACTCCTGGGCTCAAGTGATCCTCCTGCTTTGCGCTCCTAAAGTGCTGGGATCACAGGGGTGAGCCACTGTGCCTGGCCAAAGACAGTTTTAGACATGAAAGCACTCGAAAAGTTTACTTCCCACACATCCTTGCCAAAGAAGAAGATGGCACAGATTAGGACAAGGAAAGACTTAGGGTCCTGAGAACAGTGACACCAACCAATGAGAAGAAGAGAGGGAAATCCTAGGAAGCCAGTTGTGTAGTAGGCCTAGAAAAGCATCCGGTCACCATGGGAACGCAAGCATGGAGGAGGGAGGTTTCTGGTAAGAAGAAAAAAAAGAAGGATTTCACCACAGAATATGAAATATAAGTGAGAGTACAGAAAAAATAAGGCTATGATAAAGGAAGATGGTGCCAGAAAAAGAAGGCAATTAGAAACTCCCTGCAAAAATTTTTAAAAAGGAAGGAAAAAAGACAAATAGCATTAAAAAGCTACATTTCAAACAGGAAACAAGCTTGTATGTACCCTGATTACAAGGAACTGATAGAGTGTGAGAAAAGAGGATCCAGTTACTATTAATGTTGAAGTTTTGAGAGCCCAGGGTCATTACCCTGGCCCCAGCAAGAAGAAAAAGTAGTCCTAACATAGAGTTGGCTCTGCACTAAATAATATTTATAGAATCATATTTTAGGGGGTACTAAAATTAGAAATGTCTTTCATCTTAGGCAAGAACTAACTTTGATGTATTTGGTCTCAAGACATAAACTTCAGGATCCTAAGAGAAAGAGTGGCCAAAAGTATCTCACTCCTTTTCTATTTTCTATAAACACAGAATCAAATGATACCTAGTTCCTTCCTGCAATTAACTCCCTGAAGGTGAGAGTCATTTTCATTATTTGAATGGTCCAGAACTCCAGAAGAAGCTCAGTTCACTTGGATTTGGGGAGCGGATGACAGAAGAAATGTCCACTTTCTGCAGCTAAGTGTAACCAGGTAATTATTGCAAAAGACAAATACTGCATATTGACTGTTCAGGGGAGAAACTGTGGCCGATGGACAGTGATTTCAAATCATAATTCTGTTACTTCATTAGGGATCCCAAAGGCTAGGTTTTAATTATTATTTTTTAATAGAAACGTCAAAAAGCAAACAAGCATGATTTCTAAATACAAGGGACTTTTTAATAGGGAATTTACAAACATCACATGTTCTTTTCCCTATTGGCAGAAATATGGTCTAGCTTCTGGGAAGGGACAAATCCTTGTAGTAATGTGCTAAATAACAAGGGGCAATTGTTGAGGTCTGTTAATTCTACGTGCTTCCTATAATAAAAGGAAAATAACTATAAGCTGCAGACAATGGGTTTCAGGTTTATAAGGGAGATTTTCCTTTATGGAAGAATTAACAAGTCATAATAATATAATATTATTTATAGTTCTCATATTCAAAATTCAACTTATATGGAGACTTGGTTGTATAAAAGGAAAAAATATAAATGTTATCAACTTTGGCAGTGTAAAATTAAAAGTAGCTGACAGAAAGTGGGAAGTAGAAGAGAGGAAAAAACAGGTAGAAAAAGGAGCACATGTTCTCATGTCCCTTCTAAAAAAGGGGAGAGTCAAGAAAGACTGTCAAAAGCGGATAAAATAAGAAACAGTTGTTATTTCTGAGGTTACCAAGTTAAGCAACAGAATAAGTTAAATTAAAATTACAACTATCAAACAATGGAGAGGGATAATGATGTGAGAAAACTAAATATTCATTTTTTAACACCAAGTTAGCAAATATTAACTAAACTTGATAAATCAAGAAACAGAGGTAGGCTGGGCCCGATGGCTCATGCCTGTAGTCCCAGTACTTTGGGGGCTGAGGCAGGCAGATTGCTTGAGCCCAGGAGTTTGAGATCAGCCTGGGCAACATGGTGAAACCCTGCCTCTATAAAAAAATACAAAAATTGGCCAAGCCTGGTGGCACTTGTCTATGGTCCCAACTACTTGGGAGGCTGAGGTGGGAGGATCTCCCGAGCCTGCGATGTTGAAGCGGCAGTGAGCTGAGACTGTGCCACTGTACTCCAGCCTGGGTGACAGAGTGAGACCCTGTCTCAAAAAAAAAAAAAAAAAACCACACAGACATAAAAGTCTATTATGTAGAGCAGTGATCTCCAAATTTTTTTGATAATGCAATCCTTTCAGGAAAATAGTAATAAGCACAAATCCCTGATATAATTATATTTAGTTATTTCTATTCTATGTAAAACTACGACTATACTCATCTATTATATGTATATAGTAACTTACACAAAAATAAAAGTTTTAAGTATGTAAGAATAATTTTGAATGCATTTTTCAAGGCGGGGAAATACTTATAATAATACATCAAAATACAGAAAATCATCAGTTATTCTTATACAAAAATAAACATTTTAAGATATTTTTTAAAAGTATATAAGCTGGGCAAATGATCTGAACAGACATTTCTCAAAAGAAGACATACAAATGGTCAAAACAAGGATAAGAAAATCATCAGGGAAATGCAAATCAAAACTACAATGAGCTATCATCTCACCCCAGTTAGAATGGCTATTACCAAAAAGACAAAAAATAACAAATACTGGCAAAGATGCAGAGAAAAGGGAACTCTTATACACAGTTGGTGGGAATATAAATTAGTACAGCCATTATGGGAAAGATTATGGAGGTTCTTCAAAAAAACTACAAACAGAATTACCATATAATGCAGCAATCCCACTACTGGGTATTTATCCAAAGGAAAGGAAATCAGTATGGAGAGACAGCTGTACTTCCATGTTTACTGCAGCATGATTCACAATAGCCAAGATAGGGAATCAATCAAAGTAATGGAATACTATTCAGCCACAGAAAACAATGAAATCTTGTCTTTCACGGCAATATGGATGAGCCTGCAGGACAGTATGTTAAGTGAAACAAGCCAGGCGCAGCAAGATAAATACCACATGTTTTCACTCATATGTGGAAACTAAAACAGTTGATCTCATAGAAATAGATAGTAGAATGGTGGTTACCAGAGGTAGGAAAAGGTACGGGGGACAGAGGAATAGCTAAAGATTGGTTAACCGACACAAAAGTGCAGCTAGATAGGAGGAATAAGTTCTAGTATTCTACAGCACTGTAGAGTGACTCTAGTTAACAATAATTTATTGCATATTTTCAAATAGCTAGGAGAGGATTTTGTATGTTCCCAGTTTAAAGAAATGATAAAAGTTTAAGGGGATAGACGTGCTAATTATCCTGATTTGATCATTATACTTACATGGAGACTTGGTTGTACAATAGGAAAAAATATAAATGTTATCAACTTTGGCAGTATAAAAGTAAAAGTGTAGCTGACAGAAAGTGGGAGGGACATTCCAAGGCAAAGAGGAAAGGTAGGGTAGACATGTTGACACATGAGACAGCATGTTGTCTGGAAAACTGGAAGTTTTTCAGGATTGCTAGAGCAAATGGTACATGAGGTGGTGGTGGCAGGAATGGAACATGTATTGAAATATCACATTGTACCCCATAAATATGTACAATTATGTGTCAACTAAAAATAATTTTTAAAAACTTTTTTAAAAAGGTAATTAACTTTTTTCTTTAAAAAATAGAGACGGGTTCTCATTATGTTGCCCAGGCTGGTCTCGAACTCTTGAGCTCAAGTGATCCTCTTGCCTCAGCCTCCCAAAGTGCTGGGATTACAGGCATGAGCCACCACACCCAGCTAAAAGGTAGTTAACTTCATATTCATATATATATATTTATTTTATATTTTTTTGTATTTAATATATATACGTATATATACATATGTGTATATATACATGTATATGTATATATACACATATGTATATACACATATATTTTTTATATTTAATATATATGTATATATACATATATATGTATATATATGTGTGTGTGTGTATATATATATATGTGTGTGTATATATATATATTTTTCCCCCCTGAGGTGGAGTTTCACTCTTGTTGCCCAGGCTGGAGTGCAATGGTGCGATCTTGGCTCACTGCAGCCTCCACCTCCCGGGTTCAAGCGATTCTCCTGCCTCAGCCTCACAAGTAGCTGGGATTACAGATGACCACCACCATACCCGGCTAATTTTTTGTATTTTTAGTAGAGATGGGGTTTCACCATATTGGCCTGGCTGGTCTCGAACTCCTGACCTCAGGTGATCCACCCACTTCAGCCTCTCAAAGTACTGGGATTAGTTAACTTCATTTTTTTAAAGCAGCATACAAATAAAGAACCAACGATTTGACATTCTTCTTACCCACTTCTCTACCCTCCCACTCCCACCCCCAAAATTAGAACTTCACCTTCCTTCAGGAAGTATTTGGGGAACTTAAAAAACTTAATAAAGTTAATATACTTTCCAAAATGTATACAATAAATAAAATTTCAAATAATTCTTTTTTTTTGAGACAGAGTTTCGCTCTTGTTGCCCAGGCTGGAGTGCAATGGCGCAATCTCAGCTCACTGCAACCTCCACCTCCCGGGTTCAAGCAATTCTCCTGCCTCAGCCTTCTGAGTAGCTGAGATTACAGGCACCCACCACCACACCTAGCTAATTTTTTTGTATTTTTAGTAGAGACGGGGTTTTACCATGTTGGCCAGGTTGGTCTCGAACTTCTGACCTCAGGTGATCTACCCACCTCGGCCTCCCAAAGTGCTAGGATTACAAGCATGAGCCACTGTGCCCAGCAATAATTTCTTTCAGTACTCAAATTAAGAATCTTATGAACCTCCCAGGATGTGTACAGTTTTCTTTAGAGATATAGCTATAGAAGTAAGAGGCATAGTAACCAGGAAATCCAAAAATATAAATGGTTAAAGAGAGGCTACCTTTAGGGAATAAAGCTAGGGGCAGGATGAAGTGGAAGGAGAAACATAGTTTGTATCATAAGCTCATCTATACTATTTGACTTGCTGTGTACACATTCTTTCAGATAAGGAATTAGTTTATCTAATCAGTTCTATAAAACTCTGTATCTTTACAATTATGTATGCTGATTCATTTCATTCAACAAATATTTTTTCCTCATCTGCTCTGCCCTAGCCACAAAAGACAGAGAAAACTGACATTTTAGCTCTCAAAGAGATCACAGTCTGGGATGGAAGAAGGATATGGAAACCACTGACAACATTTCAGTCTTCTAAGTGCTTAAGAGAAGAGCATGCCAGGTATCATGCACTCGCAGTTTGGGTCACAGAAGAGGTACACTAATACTGTGGAGTATTAAGGAGGGACTGCTGAAAGGTCACTTCCTCTTTGAGTTGAGACTTAAAGGACAAGTAAAAAAAAGACAATAAACCAGATGAATGGGTATGGAGAGCAAATGGGGAAAGGACATTCTAAGGCAAAGAGGAAAGGTGGGGTGGACACGTTGACACATGAGAGAGAGCATGTTGTCTGGAAACTGGAAGTTTTTCAGGATTGATAGAGCAAATGGTGCACAAGGTGGTAGTGGCAGGAATGGAACGACAATATAGGAAGGGGCAAGAAATGAAGAGCGGTGCTCAGAACTCTGCATAGACTCCTAAAGGCAATGGGAAGCCACTGAAGGATTTCACCAGCAGGAAGGGAGACCTGAACAAATTACTTTGGAAGCAATGTGGAGGATAGATCTGAAAGGGTTAGACTGGGCTATTACAATGGGCCTAATTAGACAAAAGGAGATGTGAATTACAGTAACAGCAGAAGAATGAAGATGAGATGATGCATTCAAAAGTTATTTGGGAGGCGGGAGGATAGCTTGCTTGAGCCTGGGACGACGCTGCAGTGAGCTATGATTGTGCCACTGCACTCCAGTCTAGGAAACAGAGGGAGAGCCTGTCTCAAACAAACAAACAAAAAAGAATAGTGTTTATGGTAAAAACAAGTATTTCCAAATGTAATTGTTAGCAGCTATTTTCATTTTCCTTCCTTTAATAAACATCCAAGACTCCTTTCATAGTTATTGCCAGAAGGATTAATATAATCATAGCTCTCTTATAAAAATCTCTTGCTTTGGTACCACCGTTAAACCTAATACTAATAGGAAAGAAACAAAGTATTTTAAGAAATAATTACTTTTTTTTACTATTAGAATTCAATTATATCTTCCTGTGGAGGCAGAATTCTATAGATATCCACCAACATTTCCACCCTCTGGTTATTTCAAATACTAATCCAAGTACTGCTGTGAAGGAGGGACTTTGCAAGTGGAACTAAGGTTACTACTCAGATGACTTTAAAATAGAGATTATCCTGGATTATCTGAGTGGATCCAACGCAATCATACGAGCTCTTAAAAGCAGAAGAGGAAGGCAGAGGAGTTAGTAAGATGAGGCAGAAGAGGGAGGCAGAGAGATGTGAAACAAAGGACTCCACCCATAGTTGCTGGCTTTGAAGTTGGAGAAAGGGAAACATGAACCATGAACCATGAACCATGAAATGCAGGTGGCCTCTAGAGGCTGAGAACAATCCTCAGCCAGCAGCCAGCAAGGAAATGGAGACTCAGTCCTGCAACCACATGTAACTGAATTCTGACAACTGGAAAGAATCTGGAAGCCGAATCATTCCCAAAACTCTAGAAAGAAACTCAGCCCTGGTGACACTGATTTCAACCTTGTGAAACTTGGAGCAGAGAAACAGCTGAGTCACACTGTGCCCTGACTTCTAAGTTAACAAAACTCTGAGATCAGGGTACAAACAAATGGGCGTTGTTTTAAGCCACTAAATTTGTGGTAATTCGTTACAGGAGCACTGGAAAACTAATACTCTTTATTTAATCACTGACTTCAAATATGCTCTGTCAAATCTCATTTTTCTATTAAGAGATGTAACTTTGAACAGAGTTCATACATTTCCAGTCATACTCAATTACTATAAAATCCAGTCTAATTTACTTTCCCCAAACTAATTTTGAAAATGTTTAAACCTACAGAAAATTTAAAAGACTAATACAATGAATACTCTTATACCCTATACCTACCTATATTTATCAACTGCTAACATTGTTCTAATTTATTTGCCTTTTCACTCTTCCTAAATATACATAAATACTCCCCCGCCCCCCACCCTCTCCTTCTCTGTATCAGGCATTCTAAACTGTAGATGATTTTGCCCCCCAGAGGACAACTTATCATCAGGAAAATGAAATTAAAACTACAATGAAATACCAACTCACACCCATGAGAATGGCCACTCTTTAAAAAAAAAAAAAACACACACAAATGTCTGGAGACATATCTGATAGTCACTACTGGGGGAATGCTACTGATATCTAACGGGTAGAGCCCATGGATGCTGCTAAACATCCTGCAACACCAAGTCCCACACAATTATCCAGCCCAAAATATCAATAATGCTGAGATTAAGAAACCCTGCTTTCTGTATATGTATATACAAACATTTTTTTCCTGAACCATTTGTAAGTAAATTACAGACATTATGATACTTTTTACCCTAAAGGCTTTAGTTTTGGCTGGGCATAGTGGCTCACGCCTGTAATGCCAGGACTTTGGGAGGCCAAGGTGGGCCGACTGCTTGAGCCCAGGAGTTCGAGACCAGCCTGGGCAACATGGTGAAACCTGGTCTCTACAAAAAATACAAAAACTAGCCAGGTGTGGTGGCACAGGCCTGTGGGCCCAGCTATTTGGGAGGCTGAGGTGGGAGATCGCTTGAGCCAGGAAGGCTAGGTTGCAGTGAACCATTGAGCCATGATGACGCCACTGCACTCCAGCCTGGGTAACAAAGCAAGACTTTGCCTGAAAAAAACACTACAGTTTATATTTTCTGAAAACCAGAACACTATCCCATACAGCACAATTTAACATTGATACAATACTACTATCCAATATGTAATCCATTTTCAAATTTCCCCGTAATCTAAAAAAAATCCTTTATGGCTTTTTTTTAAAAAAAAATACAGGATCCAATGAAAGGTACATAGGATGGCAGCCTGATCAACATTCTAGATTTAAAATAAATAAGGAGTCCCAATTTTCAAGCAGTGGGGGACAGGGAGTAAAACTTGTGGCACTAGCTCTAAGATCTAATAATAGTCTATGACTCTGATACTATGCTACATCTGAAATGGATGTACTAATTCAGAAGCTTGTTAATACATTAAAATCTCTCTTGGAAGAATATCTTCAAACATGTTTACCCTGTTCTTAAGAAAGGGGAACTCTGCTCACAATAACACATAACCCTGTTGAATAAATATCAATCTGAAACAACAAATCAAGAAGGAACTTTCTCCAAAGAAGATATACAAATGGCCAAAAAGCATATGAAAAGATGTTCAACACCACTAATCATCAGGAAAGTGAATAAAAACTAAAACAAGGTATCAGCTCACGCCCGTGAGAATGGTCACTCTTAAAAAAAAAAAAAGAAAAGAAGTGCAGACGGGGATGTGGAAAAATTGAAACCCTTGTGTATTGTTGGTGGGAATGTAAAAGGGTAAAGCCACTTTGGAAAACAGTATGAAGGTTGCTAAAAAAATTAAAAATAGAATTACCATGTGATCCAACAATCCCACTTCTGGATATACAAAAAAATTGAAAGCAAGATCTCAAAGAGATATTTGCACTCCCATGTTCATTGTAGTACAATTCACAATAGCCAAGAGGTAGAGGCAACCTAAATGTTCATCGACTAATGAATGGATAAAGGAAATGTGGAATATACATACAATGGAATACTATTCACCTTTAAAAAAGAAGGAAATCCTGTCATAATCTACATGGGTGACATTATGTTAAGTGAAATAAGGCAGTCACAAAAAGACAAATGCTGTGTGATTCCACTTATATGAAGTATAAAGCAGTCTAATGGAAACAGAAAGCAGAATGTGGTCACCAAGGGCCAGGGGCAGGAGGAAATGAGGAGTCGTTCAATGGGTAGAGTTTCGACTTTGCAGGATGAAGAAGTTCTAGAGATCTGCTGCACAGATCTTTGTTGCTGCACAAAGTGCATAAAATAGTTAATACTACTATACTATATGCTTAAAAATGGTTAAGATAGCAAATTTTATGTGCTTTTGACCATAATTTAAAAAAACAAAAAATGAAACAGAAAAAAATAACCACCATTCCATGATCACACCTAAGAAAGATAACTATTTAATTTCATTAAATACCCAATCAACAACAAAAAAGGAATTGCTTATTTTCAAAGATAAATTCATTTACTAATATTTTGGGTTATTAAAACATGCACATTGCAATATCCTGGTTTTCTAAACTCGCATACTTCGTAGATTAAAAAGTTTTAAAGGAAAATTATTTGCAAATGATTTGAACATCTAGAAATGAATATGGCCAGACATAGTAGCTCATACATATAATCCTAGCATTTTGGAAGTCCAAGGTGGGAAGGTGCACTTGAACCCAGGAGTTTGAGACCAGCCTGGGCAACAAAGCAAGACCCTGTCTCACAAAAAAAAAAATAAATAAATAAATAAAAGAAATGGATATGTTAAAAATATTAACACTTTATCTTTTCTTTCTTTTTTTTTTTTTTTTTTTTGTTTTGAGACAGAGTCTCACTCTGTCACCCAGACTGGAGTGCAGTGGCGTGATCTTGGCTCACTGCAACCTCCAACTCCCGGGTTCAAGCTCTCCCACCTCAGCCTCCCAAGTAGCTGGGACTACAGGCACATGCCACCATACCCGGCTATTTTTTGTACTTTTAGTAGAGACAGGGTTTCGCCACATTGGCCAGACTGGTCTCAAACTCCTGACCTCAAGTGATCCACCTGCCTCAGCCTCTCAAAGTGCTGGGATTACAGACGTGAGCCTCCGTGCCCAGCCGACAACACCTTACCTCTTCAATCAGACAATGTAAAATGATGGTATTTAACAGGATGATATAGTGTTGCTTTTAGAAACAACTTTTAAAAATAAAAACAATAAAATGTACCTAACTGCTACAAAAAAAGAAAACTTTCATGGAGAATAAAAAATAATACTATAATCCATCAAGATGAAAAACTGGGGCACTCCACAAAAAAACCTGCACACAGATGTTTATGTAGCAGCCTTATTCATAATTGCCAAATACTGGAAGCAACTAAGATGCCCTTCAGTAAGTGAATGGATAAACTGTGGTACACCCAGACAACGAAATATTATTCAGCGTTAAAAAGAAATGAGCTATTAAGCCATGAAAAGCCATAGAGGAGACGTAAATGCATATTACTAAGTGAAAGAAGCCTATTTGAAAAGGCTACCTAAAATACTACGTGATTCCAACTAGATGACATTTTAGAAAAAGGCAAAACTATGGAGACAATAAAGACCAGTGGCTTTTGGGGGCTCAGTGGGGACAGAAGGATAAATAAGCAGAGCACAGATTTTTAAGGCAGTGAAACTACACTCTATACAATAATGATGGATACATGTCATTATGCATTTATCCAAACACACTGAATGTACAACACAAAGAATGAACTCTAATGTAAAACTATGGACTTTGGGTGATAATACGTCAGTGTAAGTTCATTAACTGTAAAACATGTACCATTATGTGGGGGATGTTAAATATAGGGGAGGGGGCTGGGCACGGTGGCTCACGCCTGTAATCCCAGCACTTTGGGAGGCCAAGGCAGGCAGATCACGAGGTCAGGAGATCGAGACCATCCTGGCTAACACAGTGAAGCCCCGTCTCTGCTAAAAACACAAAAAATTAGCCAGGAGTGGTGGCGGGCACCTGTAGTCCCAGCTACTTGGGAGGCTGAGGCAGGAGAATGGCATGAACCTGGGAGGCAAAGCTTGCAGTGAGCTGAGATCGCACCACTGCACTACAGCCTGGGTGACAGAGTGAGACTCTGTCTCAAAAAAAAAAAAAAAGAAAAGAAAAGAAAGAAAAAAGAAAAAAAAATGAAAATAGGGGAGGGGCCAGGCACAGTGGTTAATTCCTATAATTCCAGCACTTTGGGAGGCCAAGGCAGGAGGATCACTTGAGCCCAAGAATTCAAGACCAGCCTGGGCAATGCAGTGGGACCACTGTCTCTTAAAAAAATATTTAAATTAGCTGGACTTGGTGGGATGTGCCTGTAGCTACTCAGGAGGCTGAAGCAGTAGGATCACTTGAGTATGGGAGGTAGAGGCTGCAGTGAGCCATGATTGTGTCACTGAACTCCAGCCTGGGTGACAGAGGGAGATCCTGTATCAAGAAGAGAAAAGAAAAGAAGAAAAGGGGAAAAAAAAGAAAAGAAAAGGAGGGAGGCTATTCATGTGTCAGGACAAGGGGTATATGGGAAATCTCTCTGCATTCCTCTCAATTTTGCTGTGAACTTAAAATGGCTCTAAAAACTTTTAAATCTTTAACTTAAAAAAAAAATCTGAGGCACTGAGAAGACTACAGTGAAGAAACACTTTTACTGTATGGTCCAGTTTGAAAGAAATGTGGTAAGGATGCAATCTGCCTGAGAATTCACCATTTCTTTGAGCTTCTAACAAAGGTTCAAAAGCAACTAATGGTAATATCAAGTGGCTCTCTGTACACATACCAGTCTCAGAAAGCTAATCATAGTTCTGGAGATTAAATTTCAGGCAAAGGCAAAAGCTAATCTCTGAACAGCAGGTCTAATAAAGTTAATGAGAACTATACAAACTACAGATCTTCTCCCTCTATTGTCTTTGGAGGATAGAGAACAACCATAGGCTCTAATTATCCTTAGATTTAAAATAATCCTGGAGACTGAAAATGGGCAAAAAGCCCATTTTTACTACAGTATTTGGCAACATTACTACTATTACCAATTAATCTGTATCAGTAACCCTGTCTGGCACTAAATCTCACAAAATATCCACATTAACTCATAAGGAACCAAACCATCCACAGCAGTCATGTTTGAAAAATTGTACTAATACGAGCCAAAGTGCCAGGTATCAGAAATGTTAAACAAGTGCAAACACCCTAGCTAGAACATGCCATCTACCCATTCACTCATAACAACCCTACTGAACACATACTGAAATTGCTAGGGCAGTCATTTTCAAGAGGATACTTCTAAAACTTTAAGCCCCTTACAAGCAAAACGGCTTGAAAACCTTCAAAGGACCCAAGTACATGGGACTTCAAATTCCATTAGAACTGCACCAACTTTTCATATGCAACAGAACACATAGGCAGAATGATTGGAATGGAAAATGTGTATAATCTAAGTACAGAGAATTATGCTGAATTGTCTTGACTTTCATTCTTTCAGGACTTAACGATGGTGAGAAGGAAGAAGGTATTTTAAACCAAAACCAACAAATTATAGGGTTGCTGTGTTATCAGCTTCACTCAGACTATGAGTAAACCCTAAACAAAGTAGATCTTAGTTTGTAGAAAACACACTGCTAAAAAAAGACAAATGCAGGTGTCATTCTGGGTTATCACACCCAAGCAGGCCACAAGTAGTATGCACCATAATGGCACGTGGAAGAAAATACTGCCTAAAAATGGTTTAAGCAGTTAATACATCCACAGTTTCTGATCTCAGAGGCAGGATTCTACTCTGTTCAATGTGCTGCATCATTTAGCCAGTCCAGGAAGTGTTATTTCCCAAGTAATGTTTCAACAAAATATCTGGAAAACATGGAACTGTAAATTAGCTTGCTTGCTCTGGGCAAGATGCCTTGCCATGAGAAGCTTGTTGCTCAGGTAAACGTCTGTTGGCCCTTCCAGGCAGGTCACAAGTCCTTCTAGCCCACAGAGAGGCTGCACAGACTAACAGTGTGCCTGCCCAGCTCCCCTGGAAGAAGTGCTCCCTGCACCAAAAAGCTGACCTTGGTGGAATCTGCAGCAAAAGGCAGAGAGAAGAAGGACGACTTTCATGAGATAAACTCGGTTCATTTATTTTTCAACTGTTTTATGGAGATATACTAATAATTCACATATCCTACAATTTATTCATTTAAAGCATAACGTTCAGTAGGTTTTAGTATATTCACATACTTGGGCAACCATCACCACTATCAATTTTAGAACATTTCTGTCCCCCTCAAGAACACTTCATATCCATCAGTAGTTACTCCCCATTTCCCCCCAGGCAACCACTAATCTATCTTTTTGTCTTTATAGATTTGCCCATTCTGGACATCTCATATGAATGAAATAATACGTGATCTTTTGTGACTAGTTTCATATATTTAATGTTTTTAAGGTTCATCCATGTTACAGTGTGTATCAGAACTTCATTTCACTTTATTGCTGAATAATATTCTGTTGTATGCATATACCACACAAGTTCTTTTCTTCACAGGCAGTAGAATCTCTTCTGCTATATAAGCAAAGCTATAAACAGTGAATAGGTGCCTGCATTAGCTCATGAATGTCTATTATGGCTGAAAATATATCATTAATTGTGTAATGCCACAGTTTTCCAAAAGCGTTACCAAATGCCACAGTGATATCTGGATTAATAAAAATACTGAGAATGAAGTTCCTTTACAAGTAAGCTGACTGCTTAAAAGTTTTCTCCTGTACACTGCAGAAAAAAGGGAACTCACAGCTCCTAAGGCCTGAACACCTCAGGACATAACTGGTCTTTGACCCCATCCAGTTAAAGACAAACAGCATAACTGCAAGTATACAAAGCTGGTCTCTGCAACCTTTCTCTCCTCTTCCTGGCCCTCCATCTCTTCCCTCTATCTGTGAAATAAATCCAACTTCTTCCTGTACTCTTACCCTTCCCCTCCCCCCAAACAGAACAAGATCTCTTATACCTGCTGAATAGTTATACCCTCACTCTAAATTAAAATAATACATTCATTCACAGGAAAAGTTACTTAAACCAGACATCTGTATTCTAAGACATTCTTTCAAAACATGAAATCAAACTAGTTTCCCTCATAAGAATTTGTGGCATGAATGAGCTGATAAGAGGAGGGTTTTTTGTTTTGCTTTTTGCAGAGAGACCCATCCAAATCACAGTAAACTCACTCCATGGCAAATCAAATTTAGTTAGTAATCTCAGGTTGATGCATATCTAGAAAGGGGTGGGAAAAATAAATTGTTATTAACTTTGTTAGGCATGATAATGGTATTATGATTATGTCTGAAAATATCTTTATCTATTAGAAATGTATATTGAGGTACTGAGATGAAATGATGTGATGCCTGAGGTTTACTTTAAAATACTTTGGTTCAGCCAGGCTTGATGGCTCATGCCTGTAATCCCATCACTTTGGGAGGTCAAGGCAGGAGGACTGCTTGAGCCCAGGAGTTTGAGACTAGCCTGGGCAACACGGCGAAACTCCGTGTCTACAAAAATTAAAAAAATTAGCTGGGCATGGTGGTGTGCGCCTGTAGTCCCAGCTTCTCAGGAGGCTGAGGTGAAAGGATTACCTGAGCCTGGAAAGTCCAGGCTGCAGTGAGCCCAGATGGCACCACTGCACTCCAGCCTGGGCAACAGAAGGAGACCCGTCTCTAAATAAATAAATAAATGAATAAATAAATAAATAAGTTTGGTTGGAAGAGGGAGTGGGGGAGGTGAAATGAAATAAAATACTGATGAGGGTGGCTGATGGGCATATGACAGTTCATTATTGTTTTCTGTTTTCTGAAGGTATACAAATTTCCACAGTAAAACACTTTTTTTTTTTTTTTTTTTTTGAGACGGAGTCGCACTCTGTCGCCCAGGCTGGAATGCAGTGGCACGATCACGGCTCACCACAAGCTCTGCCTCCCAAGTTCACGCCATTCTCCTGCCTCAGCCTCCCGAGTAGCTGGGACTACAGGCGCCCGCCACCACGCCCGGCTAATATTTTGTATTTTTAGTAGAGACGGGGTTTCACCGTGTTAGCCAGGATGGTCTCGATCTCCTGACCTCGTGATCCGCCCGCCTCGGCCTCCCAAAGTGCATGAGCCACTGCGCCTGGCCGTTTTTTTGTTTTTGTTTTTGTTTTTAAGAGGCAAGGTCTCACTCTGTTGCCCAGGCTGGAGTGCAGTGGCGTGATCTCAGCTCACTGCAATCTCCGCTCCGGGGCTCAAGCCATACTCCCACTTCAGCCTCCCGGAGTAGCTGGGACCACAGGCACCCAACCAACTTTTTTTTTTTTTTTTTTTTTTTTGTATTTTTAGTAGAGGCGGGGTTTCACAATGTTGCCCAGGCTGGTCTCAAACTCCAGAGCTCAAGGAATCAGCCCGCCTCGGCCTCCCAAGTGCCGGGATTACACGTGTGAGCCATCGCGCCTGGCCGGTAAGCTTTTTTTTAAACTCACATAAAAGATTACACAGAGGTACCTGGCCTGGGTTGAATTCTAGAAGGGGTTGTGACAGTGTTACTCAAGTGCACAATTACTATTGGTGGTGCTTGCTACAAAGACTCAGTTTTATTCGTACACGCTTAATATCATGGGTTGTCAAATCATGCTTCCAATTTGCAATACGTCACTCATTTCAGGGTAATGACTTACACATACAATTTTCAAACAAAAATGTAAGATTTACTTGCCTCATGATGGTTACCTTCTCAACTTTTTTCATAATTTATAAAAGCACCAGCTGACCCCAAATCATCTACCTCTTGGCCTTTTAATGTAAGCGGTAAAGGAATACTGTCCTCTGAATGCAGCGTTGGCTAACACTGCTGACCCACGCAAGGCATTGATTTGTAGTTGTTTTTCCATCGGAGTGATGGATTTGCGCTCAGCTACTCGCGGTGTCTACTAGGTCCCCCTGGTGACCAAACAGTACACTTAGGCAGTAGTAGGGTTCCAAGGCACAGACTGGCAGCGGAACAGAGGGTGGAACGGGAAATCATGAAAAATTAACACGCGAACCGTACACACGACATGACTGAGAATTACGTTTGCATTACTAGGGTATTTGGGATCCACAGACCAGCCACTAGCCCCTTTCCTTTAAAAAGCAAACACCCATCCGCCTGGTTCAGGCTTATCGGTCTCCACCTCCCATTTAAATCTTGGGTGTGATGGAACGACCCAACCAAGGGGCTCGGCACGAGGCACACGCTGCTTTTTGGAGCCTGGGGAAACACTGGTGTGACAAATTGTCATAATTTTCTAAGACACGGAGGAATGCTACACCACCTTTCCTACCACCGACTTAAGACCCAAGACACTGAGTCAAGGGCAACCGACCTGCGGGGGCCCACGGGGGAGGGGGGAAAGCCCCGAAAACACCAGGGAGAAGGCGGCCCGTCGAGCTCCGCCTGGAGCGGCGCAGGGCTGCGGGCAATGCCCGGAGCGCGGGGTCGTACCCAGGTCACGTCTCGGGGCTCTCAGGATGCGAGGGCGTACCCGGGCGGGACGACTCGGGCCCTGGAGCCCGGCTGGCCGCGGCGCGGGAGCCGCGAGGGCCGCGGTGGGGGGCGTCGGCAGAGCCGCTGAGGGGGCTGGGGAGGGCGCGCCGCCAGGTGCCGGACGGCAGGGGGCAGCGGGGTTCGGGCGGGCACAGACCCAGGGAGGGAGGAGGGGAGCGGGCGAGTCCTGCGCGGCGCGGCAGGGCACACGGCCGGGTGCTCCCGCAGCTGGTGGCTGGGCGGCCGCCGGCCTACCTGGAGGTAATAGGGTTTCCTTAGCCAGGCCCCCGGACAGAGACTCCTCGCCATGGTAATCACACATCGCCCCGCCGCGCTGCAGTCAGAGGCGGACCCGAGCGCTGGCGGCCGGGCTCCCCGCCTCCCCCCGCCTCCCCGCCCCCTGCCCGGCCGGGCCCGCCCACTCCCCCGCCCCCGCCGCGGCGCGCGCCGCGCTCCCCTCGGCCCGGCTGCAGTGAAGGCGGCGAGAGGCCAGAGGCCCAGCCTCCTGCCCTGTTCGCCCGCCGGCCGCCGCGGCTGTCAGAGAGGCTGCTGCCGACTCCGCCATAAAGGGGAGTCGCACCTCGCCTCCGCCGACACAAATCGACTGCGCCTGGAGCTTAAAGGGGAGGCGCGCGGAGGCGGGAGGGGGCGCCGCGGCAGCGGGGGTGTCGCACGCTCGGCGCGGATTGGGGCGTGCTTCTCGCTGGCTGATGCGGCGACCCCCGGACCGCGCTGGCCTCGCAGTCTGCTCCGGCTTCCGGCTCCCCGCGCTGCGCCCAGCTGCGCGTCCCGCCACCCGCCCCGGCAGCACCGACGCTCCCCATGGACTCTTCTCCTGGAGTCAGGACGTGTCTGGACGGGTTGTTTGGAAATTCAAGGGAAGCTTGGGGCTCCTTCCCTGGGGACTGGCTCGTCCTCCCTCGCCCTTGGTGGCGGTCGGGGGAAGGGGGTGTCTGCCGCAGCTGGAGACGCAGACCGGGGCATCCCCCCAGGACTGGGCTCAGCTTCGAACGCGGACAGGGCGCCCCACTGCTGAACTCGGTGCCCCCCTTACCACGCTCCAGTTCGCCTCTAACGGCCTACAACTTTTTTTAAAAATGTACTTTTAAAAAATTCCGACTTTTTTGGTTTATATTGTTTTTAAGACAGCTTCAGAGTTTTCCTGGCCCCGTCCAGGAACACTGATTTCAAAAGAAAACAAAAACAAAAACACCGAATTAAATACAGTCCTGAAGGCAGGGAGCCTGGGACGTGGCCTGCTGCTTGGTTAAGGCTACATA
Organism: Homo sapiens; assembly: GCF_000001405.40. Taxonomy (NCBI): domain Eukaryota; kingdom Metazoa; phylum Chordata; class Mammalia; order Primates; family Hominidae; genus Homo; species Homo sapiens. The sequence continues at coordinate 92,962,401 of NC_000001.11, forward strand.
ACACAGGGTGTGGTGTCTTTCTTTTGACAATGAGTTCCAAATAAGGGAAAAAAGAGCCACCCTAGTGGGAGAACAGCTGTTGATCCAAGTGACTTGTAATGGAAGAAGCAGCTTTTTTTTTTTTTTTTTTTTTTTTGGCTGCTTTTTACCCCACCTACCACGTTTAAGCGTGATGCTAACAAAGTTTAGGTGGCCCGTTAGAGCTCATTCCGGCCTGTTGCTCTGAGAAGGGGTTTCCCCAGAAGCAAACCATTACTCATTCTCACTTGGTTTTTGCATAAGCCTTGTTCAGGTGCCTTGTTCTGAAGAGATACCTTCATGTCTGCCCCTTCCCTCAACCCACACACAGACACAGGTTTTAAACCTAGGTGATTTTTGTTGTGGTGGTTGTTCTTTCTGTTTTTGAGAGGGGTCTTACCATGTTGCCTAGGCTGGACTCAAACTCCTGGGCTGAAGCCATCCTCCCATGTAGCTGGAACTACAGCTACTTGGTCTTATTTTATTGCTTGCAGATAAACCAATTTTTCATTGATTTTGTTTGGGTCAAGAGACAGTAATTTCTGAGTAAGATAAGGATGAATCCTAGTGGTTTCATTCATTCATTTAATAAAGATTTATGAGTACCCAGGCACCATTCAAGTTGTTTCGGTTACATAAACAAAACAGACAAAAATCCTTGCGCTTGTGGATGTGAGAGAGAGGGGCAATAAATAATAAATGTAATCAATAAAATCAAATTGGATAAGAATGCTAATAAAGGTTATGGGGAAAACACCAAGGGAGATGGGGAAGACTACAAATAGAGGAAGTTTGAGGCAAAAGAGGAGTTCAGTTTTGGAGAAGTTCCATTTTAAGGTATCTATTAGAAATTGAAGTGGAGATCTTGATTAGGCAGTTGTATGTATGAATGAGTCTAGGATTAAGGAGCGTGGTCCAAGCTAGAGGTATATGAGAGATATCAGCATTTAGATGGCGTTTAAAGCCATGAGACTGCCTAAGATCACCAAGGAAGTGAGTGTAAATAAAAGACGACTGAGGATGGAGCTCTGGGGACCAATGCAGCTTTAAGACAGGGTAGTGGGTGAGCCAGCCAAGGAGACTGAAAGGGAGCAGCCAGTGAAGTGGGAGACCCGAGTGAGGTGCCCTGAAGCCGAGTGAAGCTTGTGGATCTAGGAAGAGGGAGTGCTCCTCTGCGAGTGAGCACTGAGAATTGACTGTTGGATTTAGTGACATGGAGGCCATTGATAACCCTTCAGTGGAGCAATAGAGGAAAAACTTGATTGGAGTGGTTTTAAGAAAAAAATGAGAGGAGAGAAACTGGAGGTGGCTAATACAAACAATTCTTTTGAGAAGTTCTCTTACAAAGGGGAGCCCAAATCTGGGACAGTAGAAGCAGAGTCAAAAGAAGATTGAAAAAAAATGGGGAGAGGCCAAGCACAGGAGGTCAAGGCTGTAGTGAGCTATGATCGCATCAGTGCACTCCATCCTGGGTGACAGAGTGAGACCCTGTTTCTTTAAAAAAAAAAAAAAAGAGAGAAAGAAGGTGGTAGGGGGAGAAATACTTGTTTTTAATGGGAATGATCCGGAAGAAAAGGGAAAATTCATGTAGAAACAAGAAGTGAGAAGTGCTGGAGTGGTGTCCTTGAGAGGGAAAAAGCGTTTGAAAACTAACACACAAGTGGAAGGATCATTTGTAGACGAGTACAGACTGTTGATCTATGGAAACAGGCAGGCAGGTGGGTAGGCATGGTAAATAGGAATCTTTGGAAGTTCTCTTCTGATTGCTTCAATTTTCTTAGAGATGTAGAAAGAAATGCTATCAGCTGGGAGGAGATGGGAAAGATTATGTGAAAAGGGAAGAGAAGGTGTGAAATGTCATCTAGGAGAATGAGAAGACAATGGACCAGAGAATAATTGTGTGCTTGTTGAGTGTCATGTAGGGCCCACTTCAGTTTATGGTCATGAATTTAAGTGAGACAAGTTAGTATGAGTGTGCTTCTTTCTCCAGCAATAATTAGCTCCTAGGAAGCAGGTCCAGAGTAGGCTGAAATTCTGTTTAATCACATTTTACTAAAGGAACAAGAGCAAGGAGAGGAGAACAAGGAAGTTGAGGATATAAGCAAGGGCATGATTATGATTCACCATGGAACTTAAGATGATTAAGGAGGGAAGAGTGGATATGGAGAGTTTAAGGACAGTGAAAAGGTGGTAGGATCAATGAATTGCAAGTCCTTCTGGGGTTGAGGGGTTGTAGGAGTCTAGGGAAAAGAGAGAATGATCTGGAAAGATAGGAGGTATGTAATAGTCTGAGGCTGGGCATAGTGTCACATGTCTGTAAACCCAGTACTTTGGGAGGCTGGGACGGGAGGATCATTTGAGGCTAGGAGCGCAAGACCAGCCTGAGCAACATAGTGAGATCCCATTCCTATAGAAAATTTAAAAATTAGCCAAGCATGGCTAAAAACCCCAAAAAACTGTCACAAAACTCTTTAGTGTGATGTGCACCTGTAGTCCCAGCTACTCCGGAGGCTGAAGCAGGAGGATCCCTTGAGACCAGGAGGTGGAGGTTGCAACAAGCCATGATCGTTCCATATATTCCAACCTGGGCAACAGAGTGAGACACTGTCTCTAAATATATATCTATATTGCAAGTCTGACTCCATTTTTTATATGTGCTGACAGCTTTGAAGCCCTGCCACTCCTGTTTCCTCTGTGCAAACATAAGAAAGCCTAGATGCCTTTGATGCCAGCAGGAAGTTCAAACCGTGCAAGACCCAGCCCATGTGAGAGAGCCCTCACCGTGGTCCTACCCCTTAACCACCATGACATCCTAAGATAGTCTCCTTTCTTTGCTCCCTTAAGCCATTTTTGAACCAGTTTGGGAGCCTGCCCTGCTCTCCCCAGAAAGCTGCAGTATGTGAATAAACCTTTTCACACCCTCTTGGTGCAAGTGTAACATCATCAGTCTCAACGTCCAAATTAAATTTTAGGTGGAGGAGCCCATCTGGCTTCTGCAGGGTGACCACAACAATGTGGTAATTTTAGTGGGATCCATGAAATTGAGACTATGGAGGAGTGATTAAACCTAGGGTGGGATGCCACCATGGCAGTGAATGGCTAAGGGATGTGGAGGCAGGATCATTGGAAGAGAGTCAAGGACAGACTGTCATACAGATTATATGCATGCGTATTAAAAACAGTAAGACTTAGGACAGGAGGTGCTGGGGAAGATGTCAGTAGCAAAAGCTAAAGTCCTTGATAAGACAGTGATCTGTGAGTGAGTAGGTGAGGAATGAGGAAGGTGAGTGACAACATCAGAGGACATGAGTTTTAAGATAATGGGCAGGGGCAGGAATTAGAGAGGAAGCAGGAAGAATATCTTAAAAGAAGCATGGAAGAGCCCTCTCCTACCTCCCACTTCAGTGGTATGAGGGCGCTGGGAAGGCTGCAGGGACAACAGCATCCACAGGGATGAGCCAGGTTGGTGTTAGGACAAGAAGGTGCAGGAGATATTTAGAGAAGCGTTGGAGGACATAGAGGATTTTGCTGATGATAGACAGAGGGCACAGTGGAAAAGCCTCAAAAACTGGGGAGTCTTGAGAAGAGTTCAGAATAGGTGATGTGAAGAGCCTTGAGAGGGTCAGGTGAGAAGTGAGGGAGGCATGGTGGTCTGGTGTTTCTCACGGTAAAAGATATAAACAAGGATACCAAGGACAAAATTTGAACCAAATGAGAAGAAATGGTTATTCGGGTTTCCTTTTAGAGTCACCCAAGACTAAATGAAATTAATGTTTTATTTGAATGGAGAAAAGTAGTTTAGAAGATTTTCATTTCCAACTTGAGTTGCTTCCCTTGTCTTCACATGCCCCAGGACCCTTGCCCTCCAGGGCCCATCCTGAGGACCTTGCATACAGGTGGGTACGGTGAGCCCTTGTACCACTGAACTTGCAGTTTGGCTATAAATCCACTTGGATGAGTCCCAAGATGGATCCAAGCACGTTGGCCTTGGCAAATTTAGGCAAGATCCTTTCTGCCTCTGGTCTGATGTTCTCCTGAACTCTCACTGCAGAGGCCTGGCCAGCCTTTATGTCATATACTGGACCTACTTTACAAACATCCAAATGTACTTGTGCTGGTGCCTGTTCTTATGGCACTTAAAAATTTAAGTTTTTCTAAGTAAAAGCTAGCTAATCCAAAACTAATTCATATGGTTATGTTCAGAGGTGCTAATTTGTGGCCTCTTAGTCATCATATGTAATGTAACTTTGGCCTTCCAGAGACAAAGAAATTACTCCAGTGGGTTCCAGTACAGGAAAATCAAGATCGGTGGTCTTTGAACTTTCTTGTTTGCACATTCTCAAAAGAATTTTGAAAAAGATATGAATTCTCTGATGTTTTATATCAACATCCAAAATTTTTATCATAAAATTAAACAATTGTAAAGGAAGTAATTTTCAGTTTTGTGTTGTAAATATTGGCATTTAAAAATAAAACTGTGGCTGGGCGCGGTGGCTCATGCCTGTAATCCCAGCACTTTGGGAGGCCGAGGCAGGTGGATCACGAGGTCAGGAGTTCAAGACCAGCCTGGCCAAGATGGTGAAACCCCATCTCTACTAAAAAATACAAAAATTAGCTAGGCGTGGTGGCGGGTGCCTGTAATCCCAGCTACTCGGGAGGCTGAGGCAGAGAATTGCTTGAAATTGGGAGGCGGAGTTTGCAGTGAGCCGAGATCACACCACTGCACACCAGCCTGGGCGACAGAGCGAGACTCCATCTAAAAAAAAAAAAAAAAAAACCCCAAAAAACTGTCACACAACTCTTAAGTGTATCCAGTGGAATATATATAAATACCATGCACCTTGATACCATTTAAAGAGTATCATCCTTTAAGTTACAAGATTATTTATTTAGCTATCAGAAATATAACATTGTTCCCTTTTCTTCTTCTTGAACTTTTATAATTCTGCTTCCCTCATACAGCGTTATAGTTTTTTATTTTTATGCTTTCTAATTTATTTATTTATTTAATCTTGCTCTGTCACCTAGGCTGGAGTGCTGTGGTATGATCATAGCTCATCATAATCTAGAACTCCTGGGCTCAAGCAACCCTCCCATATGAGCCTCCCTAGTAATTAGGACTACAGATACATGGCACGGTGCCCAGTCTCTATTTTTCAACCTATCGTACTTCTCTGTATGATAGGTAATTTTAAAAATGTGATTTTAATGTTTTTTATTTTTATTTTTAAATTTATTGTAATTTTTGAATATGTAATATTTTCATCTGGTTCAAAAATAAAAACTAAATTAAAAGTAGTCATTGAGAAATTTTATTATTCTACCTTGTCCTACCCCTCATAGGTAATCACTTTTACTAATTTTAAATTTATCCTTCCAGTGCCAATTTTTTATATAAATAAAAGCAAAATTGAATATGTATTTTTAAAATTTAATATATATTTGTTTCATTCCCCCTTTCTTACCTAAAAAAAGTCACTTTATTACATTTTTTTAAAACTGAAGAATGGAAACCTATTAATTAGACTAATGAAAATGTACTAATTAGACCAACATCAAATCACACTCCTGATAAGAATCTTTCCCTTCTCTTTTGCCTTGACAGTAAGGTTAGATCACAGAACTCAACTGACATTCTTCAAGGACATTTCGGAAACCTGTGGTGTTTTCAGTGCTTTGAATTCAATACCAATGAGAACACAGGTTGCTAATGGCAGCCCTGGGCAGATTGTGTTTTGTTTCTTCCAATATTTACAAATTGGGACATTTTACATAAACATCTAGATTTCTGGCGCTTTTGAAAATTAGATCAGCTAACCAAGCCTCTCACACACACCAATGGTGGGCTGGTGTGACCTCTGTGTGGCACTTGTCCTGCGGTCTGCTATAGTCCCTCTCACTTCCTAGTTTTCTTGCTTCAGCCCTCAGCATTTATTTATCTTTCCTGTCTGGTCCCTGTAGGTATTTGACTTAGTGACCTCTGAGTTAAAATCATAGCAGTGACTTGGGAAAGTACACTTAAAGAGGAGCTTCTTTGAAGCTTCAGAATGGGAAGCAAGAAAGGAGCAAGTGAAGAGAATAGAGAAAGATTAGGCTCTGGATTAATGATTCCATTAAAAAGAACCCATGTTTTACCTGAAATTCCTCAGATAACAGGACAAGTGAATTCTTTCCATATACTGTGTAGTCTGTATTCACCTTCTCAGGCCACTAGATGGTGCAGGGTATTGATAAGCCAAGGTGGTGACTGAATTTGCACCCCAGGAAAAATGAAATCTATTGTGATTGAATCATGAGAACATAGACTGAAATGAGAGACAGAGCTCTTTTTTATCTTCTATGAAAAGGCCCATTGGACATTGGAATTTAAAAATACAGTGGTTCCCTAATTTTCTACTAACACTACCACCAAATATTAAGAATCTATTGTGTCCAAAATTTTATAAAATGCTGTTCAGAGTATGGAACAAAAGAAACTTATAAAGTAGGGCAGGTATTTTGTGTATCTGCTTTTAATATAGAATACAGTGCTTTAAAAAAAGAGGAAGAATGATAAGAAGGGAAATGATAAGAATGATTGAAGGGAAATTATAATTTATTGTTATTTCCTTAACAGTTGGCCTAGAGAAGGTAATCCATAAACATTTCTTAAGAAAATAAAAGAATGAATGAATAAGTGAGGCTTCCAAGAAGATAAGAAGTATAAAAATAAAATAGGTTTTAAAAAGAGCTTTTACCTTGAAAGCAGCGTTCAAAATCTGAAACAGTCATGAATGACAATCTTTATTTTGTTCTTTATTCTTATCAGTACATTCCCTGAAGAAGTGCTGGGTTTTTTTTGGAATAGTTCTTCAAGAAAATGAAACACCTGTAATAATTTGGTGCTAAGATTTTGTCTGATTTAAGGCATAACACTTTAATTCTGGATCTTGAAATTCCTCCTAATGAAAATGTTGCACTAAAAGACTTATGTTGAGAATTCACAGTGACTGCAGCAATAATGTCAGAAATGAACATCTTATGAGACCTATCACATGGAAGTTACTGAAGGAGTCACCTTATTGTGGTGGGTTAGACTTCAGGAGGATATGAACTTGTCCTGAGACCATTTGATGACATTTTCAGTCTCTGGCAATAGTCTCTGGGATTTTGTATAAACTGTCAATGTCATAATATACAGATTTTAAAAATATGGAATGCTTCACGAATTGGCATGTCATCCTTGTGCAGAAGCCATGATACTCTTCTCTATATGGTTCCATTTTTAGTATATGAGCTGTCAAAGCAAGCATGACAATGTCATAATATTAAAATAGTATTTCACAATAGGGTTTCCCTACTCTCTTAATTTTGTGTATAAGAATATGCCATGTTCTCCACAGAAGAGGAAAATCAGGTAGAAACATAACGCAGCAAGAGATGACCGGGTGGCACTACAAGAGCACTGTTTACTGGGTGATTTCTAGTGCTTTCTTCCTTCTGATGACTAACCCTAAGCACTCCCCAATTTTCTTGAGCACAAGAATAACCATCCAAGTCCAGGAAACATTTGATTCTCTCAGATGACAGTAAAGGTTCTTAGAGAACCCAGATGTTTCCTTGCTGATCACCCCCAGTAAAATCCAGTTAGAACCAACAAGTTCAGAAAATGTCATAAGGATTCCAAACTTCTTGTGGAGCATATTCTTCATCTTTTCCTGAGTTTTTTTCCTGCTTTTCAATGTTTCTTTGTTGCATTATAGTGGTTAGGAGCTCTACAAGAACCACTGAAAACAGATAGGCTCTCTTTGTTTAGTTCTGCTACTTTTTAGCTGTATGACCTTGGGCCAGCTATTTAAAATCTCTATGCCTCAGTTTCATCTTCAGCAACAAGAGATTAAATGGGGTTATGTGTTATAAAGTGCTCAGCATGATGCTTAGCACAGAGTAGGCACTGGACTCAAGTAGAAGTCTGAAAAAGATGTCTAAAATGTCCTGCTATAAGGCCATATATGATTACTGTTTTGTTTTGTTTGTTTTTTTTGAGACAGAGTCTTGCTCTGTTGCCCAGGCTGGGATGCAGGGGCTCTATCTCGGCTCACTTCTACCTCTGCCTCCTGGGTTCAAGCAGTTCTCGCGTCTCAGCCTCTTGAGTAGCTGGGATTACAGGCGCCCACCACCATGCCCCGCTAATTGTTTTGTATTTTTAGTAGAGACAAGGTTTCACTATGCTGGCCAGGCTGGTCTCAAACTCCTGACCTCAGGTGATCCGCTTCTCTCTGCCTCCCAAAGTGCTGGGATTAAAGGTGTGAGCTGCCGCGCCCAGCCTGATTACTCTTGTTATTGAACAAATCAATGGAGAGCCAGCATCTTCAACAAACCTTCTCAAAAAGCTTTAGGTAAAAATTAATTTTTGAGTTATAGGGAAATGGGCTTTTCCACACAAATTAATTTTCTTAGTAAACAAAACTAGTCCCTTTAAGGCACCAACTCTTGTAAAACTGTTGACCGTTGTTACATTAATAGAGATCTTTTTGAACTATGACACCCATGTCTCTGTTTTATGAAACTCTGTAATGAATATAATCTAACTATTTATTGATGCTGTAGGATTATACAATACAGAATCACATATCTGACATCTCAGAGTGGGCCAAGTATGGCCTGCTAATACCAGAGAGGAGAAGAGAACCAGCATTGAACACATCCGCTGGGATGGACTGGAACTTGGTGATGCTGATAGGGCCAACAGGCGTTCAAAATAGTTCCAGTTATCAGGTTATAGTTTGTGAAAGCAGTTGTCAGTGTTGGATTAGGCAGCAGCTGGATAGAGTCAAGCTGACACAGAATCAAGTACTTCAGAAGGAGAGACTCTGAAATTCAGGCCAGCAGGTTGGAGGTGGTAACTGGGAAGTCCGTTCAAAGACTGTCAGGGTCTATAGCCACCACCTGTATGAAGGCAAAATTTAATTTCCAGTTGCCTGCACAGCACAGTTATCTCTAGTTATAAGAATAAGGACTCACAGAAAGAGCTCAAAGTCACAGAGTATGTGGCTGGAGTTGGTTAAAAATCTTTCTTAGGCGGGGAAAGGTTGGGTAACTTGCCTAAGGTCATACTGTGAAGGTGCACGCCCAGAATTCTATCACAGGCGAACTCCCTATCTGTCTCTGCTACTTCGCTCTATTCATTTTAAAATAAAACAAACATTTTACTATTTTGGCAAATGTAGAAATGACTGGATTTGTTTTTCTGATTCTAAGGAAAATTCCAACTATACAACTCTAGAGTCACATAATTCATTTTTGAAGGGACAAGAGTGAGTTACATATTTATCTATAAGAAAAATATGTTGTTGTTATAGAACTGATTACTATAGGGGTACCTTAAGAATTATCTGTCTTAAATTCCTACAACCTAAAATTAAACCTTTCAAAAGGAGCCAGTGAATCGCTATGAAAATAGCACAGTTCAATTAGATTTAAATTAAACACTGGTTTCAAATTTGGGATACTAAAAATAAATTATTATAACTGTGAATTCTAAATTATTCTACCTATTAAAAAACCTAAATTAATATATTTAAAATTTGATAATGAGCTAAAAACATTTAGTTCAAAGGAACTACATTTTCATGATATGAAAAACAGAACTTTTGTTCTTCCTCATCCTCAGACTCTCAAAAAAAAAACACAGAATATTATTAAGAAACAATGATCAGGCTGGGCGTGGTGGCTCATGCCTGTAAACCCAGCACTTTGGGAGGCCAAGGTGGGTGGATGGTGAGGTCAGGAGTTCAAGACCAGTCTGGCCAAGATAGTGAAACCCCGTCTCTACTAAAAATACAAAAAAAATTAGCCAGGCACAGTGGCAGCCGCCTGTAATCCCAGCTACTCGGGAGGCTAAGGCAGGAGAATCGCTCGAACCCCAGATGGCAGAGGTTGCAGTGAGCCAAGATCACACCACTGCATTCCAGCCTGGGTGACAGAGTGAGACACTGTCTCAAAAAAAAAAAAAAAAAGCAATGATCTCTCAGGTTCTTACTTTAAATTATTCTTAGATGATTACTATTTTGTTACTTAAATTACCAACAATAAAAGGATTTCTATTTGAATTCAGGTATTTTTCACCTTATATTCTCCATTATTGCCTTCCTGAGATTCAGTTCTAAAGAAGACTAAACTTGCCTCCACTCTAATCCTGCATTTCCTCTTTCCAAAAAGGCATTTCCTCTTGATTACTCCACTTCAAGCTCTAAATATATGTCAGTTCTGGGACTGTGAATGATGATGGTGCTTTGCAAAAACAGGTTAAAAAATATCAAATAGGTGAAGGAAGCTGCAAGTAGGGTCTTGGCCAGGCAATGGGCCAGCAAGATGGAAAAACAGGAGTTGAGTAAGACCCAAGAACCAAAGGGCAGGACAAATTAGTGACCTAGAAGCCAAAGGCAGGCAGAATTTAGAGTATGCCAGAAACTAGGCATGCAGATAGCAACAAAAGAGATCAGAAATCCCAAAGGAGAATGCTTTAGGAGACTAGGCATGCCACAAGCCAGGCAGGGTTAGGGACCCTGTGAGTAAAAGGGGTGGTCAGGAGGTAAGAGCACAGTCTCAGCAAGAGGTAGGGGCAGCAGAAGTCAAGCACCCGTGCAAAGAAGCCTCCAAGGAGACCTTGATTCTCAGGCTAAACAGTGTCCTGCCTGGGACTGTCAGAAGAAGTAGAAAAAGACACCTAGTTGCCCAGGGAATATGAATTTGGACCGACCAGAGCAGGTCTTTCCTTTTCCTACGGTTAACAAATGATTTGGCTCCATGACCAGATAGCTGGCGAATTTTCTTCACTTTTGGATGCTTTTATCCTGACACTCTCTGCTGCTCTCTTCCTAGGTAATGTAGAGTTCTTAATCGGTACCCACAGATGCTGCACTGATTCAACTTGGCAAGAGACTTAGAGCGTCTCAGGACAAGTTGGAAACTGAAAATAGATTCTGCCCATTGACTCAGCAGGATTGGGGGGTTGCCTCTTAATAATCGCACACCAAGTTAGAACTCGTCATGTCTAAGATGTCCTATTCCAGTGTGGTCTCATTTTGTTCCAAAGGTGGTTTTCTTTTTTAAAAACAGAAGTATTGACAGTTGGTCCCATGTTATATTTTTCCGCTTTACAGACTCTAACAAAGTTCTACAGATATGAAAGTCTGGTGACATTTCCCTTCTCTTTATAAAGTGTGGATTTCACAGAACCCACTCCCTGTCAAGGCCATCTGGGGAAGTGTAGAATCTTTTATCTCTCTAGGCAAAAGGGTTTATCTGTTTTACTTCCTTCTTTTAAGCTGAGGACCTTCTGAGGTAGTTTCTTTAATAAGTAAATTACTTTCTTCCCCTGTCTTACCTGACTGTGTTGATAGCAGAAGTGAGGGCATTTTCTTAGAAGATAAGATTTCTTTTACATTGGGTTTATGAATGAGGATTGGTGGGTCTAGTCCCCACCTCCCCACCATGGGGCTGAAATGAAGAGCTGAAGGTCTCATAGGCAATTCTGGGCCACATTCAGTCTTGTTGAGACCTCTTTGGTGTGATTTGTATGAATTTGGATCAGATTACCTGAATTTGAATCCCAGTTATATGATTTTCTGGCTATATGACTTTGAATAAGTCATATACCTAATTTCTCTGGCTTTAGTTTTCTCATTTCTAAAATAGAAAAAAATAATATATCCCAACCTCGTTGTGCAGATTAAACAAAATAATATATCTGAAAGTGCCTTATGTATTTTCTGTAAGTATTCTGTGCATGTTAACAAAATCCTTAAGAAGGTAGGGCGGACAGTGCTCCCTGTAGGTTACCCATCATAGGACTATTTACACCTGAGGCTGTTCTTTCACAGTGCATTATTTATTTATTTTTATTTAATTTATTTATTTATTTATTTATTTATTTATTTATTTTTGAGATGGAGTCTCGCTCTATCACCCAGGCTGGAGTGCAGTGGCAGGGTCTTGGCTCACCACAACCTCTGCCTCCCGGGTTCAAGCCATTCTCCTGCCTCTCAGCCTCCCAAGTAGCTGGGATTACAGGTGCGTGCCACCACACCTGGCTAATTTTTGCATTTTGAATAGAGACAGGGTTTCACCATGTTGGCCAGGCTGGTCTTGAACTCCTGACCTCGTGATCCACCTGCCTCGGCCTCCCAAAGTGCTGGGATTACAGGTGTGAGCCACTGCGCCTGGCCTATTTTTTTAATTAGAGAGGAAGTCTTGCTTTGTTGCCCAGGCTGGAGTGCAGTGATGTAATCATAGCTAGTGCAACCTCAAACTACTGGGCTCAAGTGATCCTTCTGCCTGGGCCTTCCAAAGTGCTAGGATTACAGGTGTGAGCCACCATGCCCAGCCCATAATTTGGTTTTTATTTTATTTTTTAATTTTATTTTGGGAGACAGGTTCTGACTATGTTGACTATGAGTGCAGTGGCTATTCACAGGTGCAATCCCACTACTGATCAGCATGGGAGTTTCGACCTGCTCTGTTTCTGACCTGGGCCAGTTCACTCCTCCTTAGGCAACCTGGTGGTCCCCTACTACTGGGAGGTCACCACACTGATGCCGAACTCAGTGCTGAGACCCAGTGACCACAGTGCACTACATCCCAGAACCCCTACACGCACGCTATCCTCCTGTCCTCTGTCCCCTCCTCCCAAGTGGCTGGAACTACAGGCCTGACACTGCACCCCACTGATGTAGAAAACTCCCAAAAGGCCCTTTTTCTGTAGTCTTCCTCCTGAGTTAAGTGGAAATTTCCAATATGCTGTTCCCTAGAGAAAGTTTAGCTCAAATTTGTTTGTAGGTTTTTTTTTTTTTTTTAGAGGGAGTCTCGCTCTGTCGCCCAGGCTGGAGTGCAGTGGCGTGATCTCCGCTAGGCTGGAGTGCAGTGGTGCGATGGGCTCACTGCAAGCTCCGCCTCCCTGAGTGCATGCCATTCTCCTGCCACAGCCTCCCGAGTAGCTGGGACTACAGGCGCCCGCCATCATGCCCAGCTAATTTTTTTGTATTTTTAGTAGAGACAGGGTTTCACTGTGTTAGCCAGGATGATCTCGATCTCCTGAACTCGTGATCCGCCCATCTCGGCCTCCCAAAGTGCTGGGATTACAGGCATGAGCCACCGCGCCTGGCCGTTTGTTTGTAGCTTTAATGGTAGCTCAGTAGGTCGTTCAGCATCACCGTGTGCTTAAGGAACAGAGATTTTCACCCTAGAAAACAGTCTTTGGAAGGTTGAGTTATTTATCATAGCTCATGTGGTTAGTCATTTAAAACAGTTCAGTGGTTTAGTGGCACCTGTCTTCTGCCCCACCCTCAGCTAATGCCACTGTCCCTCAAATGTTCTGCGTTTAGCCACAGGGCTCTTCTTTCAGTTCCTCCAGTGCCTATAAACCCTCCTGTCACGTGGCTCATGCACATGCTGTTCCCACTTCCCAAAATGCTTCTTGCCTCTCCCCATCCTCTACCAAACTTCTAATTATCCTGCAGATCTCAATTCAGAGAAGTCTTCCCTGACTTCCAAGAAAAGTTCTGATGCCTCTGCAGTCCAACCCACTCATCATCATTGATAATTAGATGTAACTATATTTATGTGATTATTTGATTGATGTCTGTCTTCACTTCTAGATAATAAACTCTATGAGGACACAGGCCATGTTCATTTCTGTTTATCATTTTTATCTGCAGAACCCAGCTGGATGCCTGGTACAAAGGAAACTTATTACAGATATTTAAATAAATAAATGAATTTCCCAGTGGCCAGGGAAAAACAAAGCTATTACAATACTCACAGTGTCTATAAGATAAAAGAGGACCAGATACTTTCAAACAGAAACCAGCTTTGCTTGTGTTATTGTGATATGTAGACAATGTTCTTGTAGGGGAGAAAAAATATATTTTCCTTCTACCCATCTTAGGTTCATTGGCTGGGACCAGTGGAACAAGAGAGATTAACAAGAGAAAAAGCACACAAATTTATTTAATATAAGTTTTACATGACACAGGTGACTTCATAAGGAAATGAGAGCTGAAGAAGCGGTTGAGAGTTTTTATGCTACGTTTGATGAAGAGTAAAGCGTCATGGAGAAATGTGAAAGGATAATGAAAAAGCATGAGCTAGCTAAATGTAATAAACTGGGAGATGGCATGGCCTGTTCACCCAGATTCCCTTTGGTGTTCCTGTGTCAATGGAGATAGGGATGCTCCTTTTCTCCAAGTATGGGAGGGCATCTCTCACATGAGGATCTTATGACTTGCTTCAAGGGAAGGCCGGAATATCCTTCCTGTACATGTTGTTTCTCAAATTCCTTCAGCTTAAAATATTCAGTATGCCAAGTTGCCATATTTTGGAATAGTGTGTGGTGGTTTTTTTTTTTTTAGAGACAAATTCTCACTATGTTACCCAGGCTGGACTTCAACTCCTGGGTTCAAGCAATTCTCCCACCTCAGCCTCCCCAAGTAGCGGGGATTCCAGGTGCATACCACTGTGCCCAACTCTGTAGTGTGTTCCATCATTCTCAACAATTATCCTACAGTTTATACAATGGTGAACGTAATGTATTTCTTTTTTTGTTGTTCTTCTTTTTTTATTTTGAGACAGAGTCTCACTCTGTTGCCCAGGCTGGAGTGCAGTGACATGATCTCGGCTCACTGCAACCTCCGCCTCCCGGGTTCAAGTGATTCTCCTGCCTCGGCCTCCCCAGTAGCTGGGACTATAGTCAGGTAGAGATGGGGTTTCACCATGTTGCCCAGGCTGGTCTCGAACTCCCAGGCTCCCACGTGCCACCACACCTGACTAATTTTTGTATTTTTAGTAGAGACAGGGTTTTGCCATGTTGGCCAGGCTGGTCTCAAACTCCTGACCTCAGGTGATCTGCCTGCCTCAGCCTCCCAAAGTGTTGGAATTATGGGTGTGAGCCACAGTGCCTGGCCATGTATTTCTTAAAACACCTCTCAGTATAGATTCAAGGCCAAATGCTAAATGTAGGTCAGCAAAGGGCCAAGTCATGGGGGAGGTGGGTATTGATATTGAGACAATGTAATCCAAGAAATCTCTCCAAGGATCTATCTCCAAACCTGACAAAATTTAGGATGACTATGGAATGAGCCCATCCTATCAGGCAATTCTCCTCAACATGATCCTTACAAGTAAACGTTTGCTAAGAATTCAACACCAGATAATTCAAGATTATATTTTCTGAGAACTTGAAGTGTGGAAGTTCCAAGGTGTAGTAAAGCATAATTAACTGAGAATTGATGCCCTTTCTGAAAGGAAAGCACCTAACCAGTATGCATACTTAAATAGAAAGTCACCCAACTTCCCCATGGGGGTGAACTGGAAAATGCAGGGCAAAGATTTTCCTTAGATTATATTTTTGGGTTCATTCTAACATATACACAATGAGCATGTAACATGAATTCTCAGCTGGAAGTAAAAGAGTTTTAATTATGAAAGTAATAATCACTCGTAAATTATTCAAACACACAGAAAGCCCTCCTACTCCCATCCTCCCTATTCTTGCTCCTTCTTGGTAACCACAAGGATGGTTTCTTGTGTCTCCTTCTAGACCTTTGTCTATGTGTATCTTTAAGGAAATCCCCTGGGGGGGCCATGATATCCTAATATTGTTACTTAATGATTCTGTTTTTCCACAGAGCAGGTGAGATGAGCAGGCCATAACTATTGTCTATTATTCTTCAGCAAGGTACAGCAAGATCCGTGTGGTCCTGCCAAGAAGATGGGGCTCATAATCTGCAATAAAGGAGAATTTCTTTTTTTCTTTCTTTCTTTCTTTTTTTTTTTTTTTTTTGAGATGGAGTCTCGCTCTGTCGCCCAGGCTGGAGTGCAGTGGCGCGATCTCGGCTCACTGCAAGCTCCGCCTCCCGGGTTCACGCCATTCTCCTGCCTCAGCCTCCTGAGTAGCTGGGACTACAGGCGTCCGCCACCAAACCCGGCTAATTTCTTTTGTATTTTTAGTAGAGACGGGGTTTCACCATGTTACCTAGGATGGTCTCGATCTCCTGACCTCATGATCCGCCCGCCTTGGCCTCCCAAAGTGCTGGGATTACAGGCGTGAGCCACCGTGCCCGGCCAATAAGGGAGAATTTCTGGAGCATCTGTAAATTCTCTACTTTAAGCTGCTTCAAATAGAAAGCAGCCCTGCTTTTTGTGTTTCTACAAAAGACTGGGCAGAAACCTGCCTGTCCTTCAGGGTCCCAAATGAGGTAAGAGGCCAAAGTTGGCCATCACCATGGGGGTCACAATTTATGCCCTGAAAGAATTAATGGAAGGCATCAGAACATTTCATTTTGGAGCATTTGTTCACTCAGTTTGGCGGAGGTTGAGCAGAAGTAGAGATGTCCCTCCTGTTGATTGATGCTCATTGCCTAGTGAGCAGAACCCACTGTGGGGCCCAGTCCTCTTCAGATCACTGAGCAAGCCCACCTTCAGGCAGAAGGGCAGGGGTAATGTGGTGGGTATCAAGACATTGCCAGGTCTAACTGCAAAGCAACCCCCACCCTCACTAAAAATAGACGTGTGTGTGTGTGGGTGTGTATGTGTGTATTTTAAATTAAACAAACCCCCCAAAACCCTCATAACACTCTCTATGTATCCTTCAATTTTCATCTTCTGACTTCTTTAAAAAATGAAAATAGAGTCCTACTCTGAGAGATGAGGAATCCCCAATTTTGGCAGATTCTATATATATGTATTGTTTAAATAAAGGAAAATAAATGAAATTATATTCTATATTTCATTCTATAATTTGTTCTTTCCATTTTACGCTATATTACCTATATGCTACCACCTAAATTCATTCTTTTTTTTTTTTTTTGAGATGGAGTCTTGCTCTGTCAGTGCAGTGGTGCAATCTTGGCTCACTGCAACCAACCCTCCTGGATTCAAGCAATCCTCTTGCCTCAGCCTCCTGAATAGCTCAGATTATAGGCATGCGTCAAGACACCCAGCTCATTTTTGTATTTTTAGTAGAGATGGGGTTTCACTATGTTGGCCAGGTTGGTCTTGAACTCCTGACCTCAGGTGATCAGCCACTCTTGGTCATTCTATTTTTTATAACAGTTTTATAATAAATATAGGGCCATAGTTATAAAGGATCTTGTTATAAAATTATTATAAAAATGTACCATCACATGAATGCACCACAAATTACTGAAGCTTTTTTATTAACAAATATTTTACATTGACTCCAATTTTCACTTGTTCAAATCATGTTTTAGTGAATATTCTTTTGTGTATCCCCTTAAACTCTAGAGTGCAGTTTCTTAGAAATAAAATTGTTGGTCAAAAGATACATGCATTTTAAATTGTGGTAGTTATAGGTAGACTATCCCTTATGTGAAATACTTGGTAATAGAAGTGTTTCAGATTTTGGATTGTTTAGTATTTGCATGTATTTATCAACTGAACATCCCTAATCTGAAAATCCAAAATCTGAAGTGCTCCAATCAACATTTCCTTTGAGAATGACCTGTAAGCTTCATGTCAATGCGCAAAAACATTTCAGATTTTGGAGCATTTTAGATTTCAGATTTTTAGATTATGGAAGCTCAACCTATATTAGAAAATTTTTCTCTACAAACATGGTACCAATTTTTATTCTCGCAATAGTATATTACAATATATGTATCCTCCTTTTGTTTTTTGTTTTTGTTTTTGTTTTGAGTCGAGGCCTTACTCTATCACCCAGGCTGGAATGCAGTGGCCCTATCACAACTCACTGCAGCCTCAACCTACTGGGCTCAAGTGATCTTCCTGCCTTAGCCCTTCGGGCAACTGGGACTACAGGCATGTGTCACCACTCCTGGCTGTTTTATATTTTTTTGTAGAGATGGGGTTTCACCATGTTGCCCAGGCTAGTCTCGAACTCCCGGGCTCAAGCTATCTGCCCACCTTGGCCTCGCTAAGTGCCAGGATAACAGGCGTGAACCACCACACCCAGCCAGCCTCCTTTTGTTTTAATAATTATTTTCCTAATTAGAACTCAGAGTGTGAATCTTTTTTATATGTGCACTATTTATTATTTCTTCTCATGTGATTTGCTGTGAATGTAGTGTTAATTCTTTAGTTAAATTGGCCCTGTAAGATGCTGCTCAAGGACCAAAACTAGCCCCTAAGTTTTCTCTTTTATTGACAACTGGGGACATATTAGGCACAGGCATGCTTTGTTTTATTGCACTTTGCAGATACTGTGATTTTTACAAGTTGAAGGTTTGTGGCAACTCTGTGTTGAGCAAGTCTGCCAGCACAATGCTTCTAACAGCATGTGCTCACTTTGTGTCTCTGTCACATTTTGGTAATTCAGGCAATATTTCAAGCTTTTTCATTATTATTATATCTGTTACGGTGACCAGTGATCTTTTACAGTGCTATTGTTATTGTTTTGGGACACCATGAACCGTACCCATATAAGACAGAGACCTTCATCCAAAAATGTTATGTGTGGTCTGACTGTTCCACTGACTGGCCACTCCCCTGTCTGTCTCTCTCTCTTAGGGCCTCTCTATTCCCTGAGGCACAACAATATTGGAATTAGGTGAATTAATAACTCTAGAATGACCTATAAGTGTTCAAGTGAAAGGAAGAGTCACAGGTCTTTCACTTTAAATCAAAAGCTAGAAATGATTAAGCTTAGTGAGGAAGTAATGTCAAAGGCTGAGATAGGCTGTAAGCTCGGCCTCTTGCACAAACAGTTAGCCAAGTTGTAAACGCAAAGGAAAAGTTCTTGAAGGAAGTTAAAAGTGCTACTCCAGTGAACACATGAATGGTAAGAAAGTAGAACAGTCTTATTGCTGATATGGAGAAAACTCTAGTGATCTGGATGGAAGATTAAATCAGCTAAAGCCTAATCCAGAGCAAGGTTCTAACTCTCTTCCATTCTATGAAGGGTGAGAGAGATGAGAAAGCTCCAGAAGAAAAGTTAACAGAGGTTAGTTCATGAGGTTTGTGAGGTTTAAAGATGCCACCTCCATCATGTAAAAGCACAAGGTGGAGCCGTAACCACTGACGTAGAAGCTGAGCAAGTTATCTAGAAGATCTAGCAAAGATCTAAGACTACACTAAACAACAGATTTTCTTTTCTTTTCTTTTTTTTTGAGACGGAGTTTCACTCTTGTTGCCCAGGCTGGAGTGCAGTGGCGCAATCTCAGTTCACTCCAACCTCCACCTCCCAGGTTCAAGTGATCCTTTCACCTTAGCCTCCTGAGTAGCTGGAATTACAGGCTTGAGCCACCACACCCAGCTAATTTTTGTATTTTTCATAGAGACAGGGTTTCGCCATGTTGCCCAGGCAGGTCTTGAACTCCGGGCCTCAAGTGATCCGCCCACCTCAGTCTCCCAAAGTGCTGGGATTAGCGGCATGACCCACGGTGCCCAGCCCAAATTTTCTTTTCTCTTCTTTCTTTCTTTTTTCTTTTTCTTTTCTTTTCTTTTCTTTCTTTCTTTTTTTTTTTTTTTTTTTGAGACAGAGTCTCCCTCTCTCGCCCAGGCTGGAGTACAGTGGTGCAATTATGGCTTACGGCAGCCTCAACTTCCTGGGCTCAGGTGATCCTCCCATCTCAGCCTCATAAGTAACCGGGATTATAGGCCCGTGCCATTATGCTTGGCTAATTTTTGCATTTTTTTGTAGAGACAGGGTTTCGCCATGTTGCCCAGGCTGGTCTTAAACAACTGGACTCGAGCAATCTGTCGGCCTTGGCCTCCCAAAGTTCTGAGATTACAGGCGTGAACCACCACGGCTGGCCAACAACAGATTATCAGGGTAGGCAGAACAGTCTTACATTGGGAAAGATGTCACCTAGGACTTTAATAGATAGAGAGAAGTCAATGCCTGACTTCAAATCTTCAAAAAACAGGCTGACTGTCTTGTTAGGGGCTAATGCAGCTGGTGACTTTAAGTTGAAGCCAATGCTTATCTACCAGCCTGAAAATTCTAGGGCAATTAAGAATTATGCCAAATCTACTCTATCTGTGCCCTGTAAATGGAACAACAAAACCTGGATGACAGCACATACGATTACAACCTAGTTTACTAAATATTTTAAGCCCACTGTTGAGACCTACTGCTAAGAAAAAAATATTATTTTAAAAATATTACTGCTCTTGACAATGCACCTGGTCTCCCAAGACTTCTGATGAAGATGTACAAGGAGATGAATGTTTTCATGCCTGCTTACAACATTCATTCTGCAGCCCATGGATCAAGAAGTAACTTGGGGCCGGGTGCAGTGGCTCACTCCTGTAATCCCAGCACTTTGGAAAGCCAAGGCAGGCAGATTACTTGAGCCCGGGAGCTCAAGACCAGCCTGGGCAACATGGCAAAAAGCTATCTCTACAAAAAATACAAAAATTAGCCAGAAGTGGTGGTGTGCACCTGTAGTCCCAGCTGCCAGGGAGGCTGAGGATCACCTGAGCCTGGGAGGTCAAGGCTGAGCTGAGATCATACCACTGCACTCCAGCCTGAGTGACAGAGTGAGACACCGTCTCAAAAAAAAAAAAAAAAGTAATTTTGATTTACTTCAAAATTTTCAGTCTTATTTAAGAAATACATTTCTTAAGGCAATAGCTGCCGTAGATGGTGATTCCTCTGACAGATTTGGACAAGTAAATAGAAAACCTTCTGGAAGGGATTCACCATTCTAGATGCCATTAGGAACATTCATAAGTCAGATCCGGTGGCATGCACCTAGCTACTCAGGAGGCTAAAGCAGGAGGATTAGTTTAAGCCAGGAGTTCAAGGCTGCAGTGTGCCATGATTGTGCCTGTGAATAGCCGCCGTACTCCAGCCTGGGAAACCTAGTGAGACCCTATCTCTAAAAAAATATGTGATTCATGGGAGGAGGTCAAAATATCAACATTAACAGGAGTTTGGAAGAAGTTGATCCAACTCCCACAAATGACTTTGAGGGGTTCAAGACTTCAGTGAAGGAAGTGACTGCAGATGTGGAAAAAGCAAGAGAACGAGAATTAGAAGTGGAGGCCAGCCATGGTGGCTCATGCCTGTAATCCCAGCACTTTGGGAGGCCGAGGTGGGCAGATCACTTGAGGTCGGGAGTTCAAGACCAGCCTGACCAACATGGATAAACCCCATCTCTACTAAAAACACAAAATTAGCCAGGCATGGTGGTGCATGCCTGTAATCCCAGCTACTCGGGAGGCTGAGGCATGAGAATCGCTTGAACCTGGGAGGTGGAGGTTGCGGTGAGCCGAGTTTGTGCCATTGCACTCCAGCCTAGGGAACAAGAGTGAAATTCTATCTCAAAAAAAAAAAAAAAAAGTGGAGCCTGAAGATGGGACTGAATTGCTGCAATCTCATGATCAAACTTGAACCAATGAGGAGTTGCTTCTTGTGGATGAGCAAAGAAAGTAATTTCTCAAGATGGAATCTACTCCTGGTGAAGATGCTGTGAACATTGTTGAAATGACAACAAAGGATTTAGGTATTACATAAACATCATTGATAAAGCAGCAGCAGGGTTTGGGAGGATTGGCTCCAATTTTGAAAGAAGTTCTACTATGGATAAAGTGCTATCAAGCAACATCGCATGCTAGAGAAATCTTTCATGAAAGAAAGAGTCAATTCAGGTGACAAACATCATTGTTGTCTTATTTTAAGAAATTGGGGCCGGGTGTGGTGGCTCACGTCTGTAATCCCAGCACTTTGGGAGGCTGAGGCGGGTGGATCGCTTGAGGCCAGGAGTTCGAGACCAGCCTGGACAACATGGCGAAACCCTGTCTCTACTAAAAATACAAAAATTAGCTGGGCATGGTGGCAGGCGCCTGTAATCCCAGCTACTTGTGAGACTGAAGCACGAGAATCGCTTGAACCTAGGAGGTAGAAGTCGCAGTGAACCAAGATGGCACCACTGCACTCCAGCCTGGGTGACAGAGCAAAACTTTGTCTCAAAAAAAGAAAAAAAAAAGAATAGAGACAGCATTTCCTAAGTCTGCCTGCCTGACTATCATCTTACCAACCCTAAACTGCCTAGATTTATGGAAGGGAAAAGTTAAACTTTTAACTTGTCTAAGCTCCTACTGTGTTGAATTTGCTGTCACTTGCAGCCAATACAAATCCTAACTGATACAGAAGGTGCTATTACACCAGAAGAAGGGAAAATTTCCGGGTAAACAAAAAATCCAAATGTCTCTGCACAGATTTTGTTAATAACTTTTCAAAAATCTCCCATTAGTTATCCACAAGGTGAATTTTCTCACTTCCTTTAAGTTCTTGCCAAACTATCACTTTTGTCTTTAAACACTTTCATCGAGATATAATTGATATACAATAAACTGCATGTATTTGAAGTGTACAATTTGGTAAGTTTTGACATATGTATATACTGTCAAGCAATCACCACACAAGATAGGGGATATATTCATCACCCACACAAGTTTCCTGTATCCCTGTCCTTCTGCCCCTCTCTAGCCACCCCTCCCCAGGTAATCATTTATCTATTTTCATCACTATAGATGACTTTCCATCTTCTAGAGTTTTATATAAATGAAATACTACAGTGTGCCTTATTTTTTTCTAGATTCTTTCACTCAGTGTAATTATTTTGAGATTCATCCATGCTGTTGTGTATATAAGTAGTTCATTGTTATTTACTGTAAGTAGTGTGCCTTTGTTTGGATAGATCACAGTTTGTCTATTCACACATTAATAGACATTTGGATTGCTCCAGTTTTTTGCTATTACAAAGAACTCTGCTATGAATGTTAATGTACAAGTATTTATATAAATATATGCTTACTTTCCTCTTGGGTAAATGCCTAGGAGTTGGCTGGATCATATGATAGATATATATTTTACTTTTTGAAAATCTTCCAAACTAATTGGTATCATTTTGTATTCCCACCAGCAGTGTATGAAGTTCCAGTTTCTTCACATCTTTGACAACAATTTCCTATTATATGGCTGGACAGTGGTAACTTATTGTGGTTTTAATTTGCATTTCCCTAATGTCTAATGATGTTGAGCATCTTTTCATATGCTTATTTGTCATCTGTATAGCTTCTTTGGTGAAGCAACAGCTCAAATAGTTTGCCCATTTTTTATTGGAGGTTTGTTTTCTTATGTAGTTGTAAGAGTTCTTTATATATTCTGAGTACAAGTTCTTTATGAGATGTATCCTTTGAAATGTTCTTTCCTGGTTGATGACTTGTCTTTTCATTATCTTAACAGTATATTTTGAAGAGCAGAAGTTTTTAATTTTTCTGAAGTTGAATTTCTTTCTTTCTTTCTTTCTTTTTTTTGAGACAGAGTCTTGCAATGTCACCCAGGCCGGAGTGCAATGGCGTGATCTCGTCTCACTGCAACCTCCACCTCCCGGGATCAAGCGATTCTCCTGCCTCAGCCTCCCAAGCAGCTGGGATTACAGGCGCCCGCCACCATGCCCGGCTAATTTTTTGTATTTTAGTAGAGACGGGGTTTCACTATGTTGCCCAGGCTGGTCTCAAACACCTGCCCTCGTGATCCGCCCGCGTCGGCCTCCCAAAGTGCTGGGATTACAGGTGTGAGTCACTGTGCCCGGCCTCTTTTTCTTTTTGTTTGAGACTGAGTCTCACTCTGTCATCCAGGCTGGAGTGCAGTGGGACCATCACAGATCACTGCAGCCTCAAGCTCCCCGGCTCAAGCGAGCCTTCCACCTCAGTCTCCAGAGTAGCTGAGACTATAGGCATGTGCCATCATGTCCAGCCAGTTTTTAAATTTTTTGTATAGACAGGGTCTTTCTATGTTGCCAGGGCTGGTCTGGAACTCCTGGGCTCAAGTGATCTTCCCGCCTCAGCCTCCCAAAGTGCTGTGATTAGAGGCATGAGTCACTGTGCCCAGTTTTAATTTTCTTTTATGGATTTTGGTGCTATACCTAGGAAATCTTTACCTGACCTAGTATCACAGACTTTATTCTATTTATAAGAAATGTTATAGCTTTAGGTTTTATGTTTCGGCTATGATCCATTTTGAGTTAATTTCTGCATATGATATGAGGTATGGATGGGAGTTCATTGTTTTCCATCTGGATATGCAATTGTTCCAGCACCATTTATTGAAAAGACTATCCTTGACCCACTGAATTTTCTTCATACATTTGTTAAAAATCAGTGTCCATAATATGTGGGTGTTTTTCTCAGACTCTCTTGTCATAGTCAGTTTGGGCTGCTATGACAGAGCACCATAAACTGGGTGGTTCATAAACCACAAAAATATTTTTCTCATAGTTCTGGAAGCTGGAAGTCCAAGAGAAGGTGCCAGCATGGTAGGGTTCTCCTGAGGGCCCTCTCCAAGTTGTAGATGGCTTACTTCTTGCTGTATCTTCACATAGCAGAGAACAGAGAGGGAAAGCAAGCTCTCTCATGACTTTATAAGTACACTAATTCCATTAATGAGGTCTCCATCCATACGACCTCATCTAAACCTAATCACCTCTCAAAGGTCCCACCTCCTGATACCATCATATTGGGCAGTAGGGTTTCAACATATACATTTTGAATAGGACACAAACATTCAGTCCATACCACTCAATTCTATTGTTTTGTTCTATTTTTCTATCTTCACACCAATAATACACAGTCTTGAATACTGTATAAGTCTTTATAAGTCTTTAAATCAGGTAGTATTTGCCTTCCAAATTTGTTCTTTTTTTTTCCAAAATTGTTTTGGTTATTGCAGTACTTTACATTTCCACATAAATTTTATAATCAATTTGCAAATTCCAAAAAAAGTCTGCTGGGATTTTGATTTGAATTGCTTTGAATATGTAGAACAAATTGGAAATAATTGACATCATAACAATATTTAGTTTTCTGGATCAGAACAAAGTATGACTCTCCATTTATTAAGTTATTCTTTCACTTCTTTCAACAATGTTTTATAGTGTTCAGTGTGTAGGCTTTTCACATCTTATGTCAGATTTATCTCTATGTATTTAATGTTTTTTAATTAAAAAATTTTTATGAATCAAGAAAGAGCTGGAGTATTATATTTGTGACACTATTGTAAATGATATTTCAAAATTTCAATTTATAATTCTTTGTTACAGATGTATAACAATACAATAGATTTTTGAATGTTAATCTTGTATCTTGAGACCTTGCTAAAGTCATTTATTAGTTCTAATAGTTTTTTGTTTTTTTTTTTTTGTTTTGGAGACAGGGTCTTGCTCTGTCCTGCAGGCTGGAGTACAGTGATGCAATCATAGCTCAATGTAACCTTGAACTCCTGGGCTCAAGCAATCCTCCCACCTCAGTTTCCCAAGTAGCTGAAACTACAGGCATGAATCACTGTGCCTGGCTAATTTTTTTTGTTTGTTTTTTATTTTTGTAGAGACAGGGCCTCATTAAATTGCTCAAGCTGGTCTAGAACTCTTGGGCTCAAGCAATCCTCCCACCTCAGCCTCCCATAGTGTTGGGATTATAGGGTTGAGCCACCATGCTCAGCCTATATCTATTTTTTGTTTATTAGTTCTAGTAGATTTTGGGAGATCCTGTCGACTTTCTACATAGATAATTATTTTATTTGTAAATAAAGACATTTTTACTTCTTCTTTTCTAATTTGTATCTTCTTTTTAAATTATATTGCCTAGAACCTCTAGTATGATGTTAAGCAGAGATGATGAGAATGATTATCAATAGTAGGTAGAAAGTACTTAGTCTTTTACCATTAAGTATGATGTTAGCTGTAGGTTTTTCATAAAGGCCATTGTCAAGTTAAGGAAGTTCCCTTCTAATCTTTCTCTGTAGAGAAGATTTATCATCAATGGATGCTGGATTTTGTTGAATGATTTTCCTGCATCTATTGAGATGATCATATGCTTTTTCTTTTTCAGCTTGTTAATGTGATAAATTACATTGATTTTCAAATGTTAAACCAATTTTGCATTCCTGGGTTAAACTGTATTTGGCTATGATGTACTGTCCTTTTTATATATTATTGCATTTAATTTGCTAAAAATATTTTTAGAATTTTTGCAACCATATTTATGAGGGATATTTGTCTATAGTTTTCTTATAATGTCTTTGTCTGGTTTTTGGTATCAGGATAATACTGGCCTTATAGAATTATTTGGGGGAAAATTCTCTACTTTTCAATTTTCTGGTAAAATTTGTATAGAATTGATATTGTTTCTTCCTTCTACATTATTTAGAATTTACCAGTTAAGCAACTTGGACTTTTCTTTGTGGGAAGATTTTTTAAAACAAATTCAATTCTTTAATAGATATAAGGCTATTCAGGTTACTTATTTCTTCTTGAGTGAATTTTAATAGTTTCTGTCACTCAAAAAATTTATCCATTTCATCTATGCTGTTAAATTGATATGTAAAAAGTTTCTTATAATATTTCCATATTATTATTTTAATAACTATAGAAACTTTAGTGATGTTACCACTCACATTCTTGATATTGATAATTCATATATTCTTTCTTTTTTCCTGACAAGTCTGGCTAGAGATTTATCACTTTTATTATCTTCTCAAAGAACCAGCTTTTGGTTTCATTAATTTTTTCCTACTGTTTTTGCCTTTTCTTTTTTATTTATTTGTATCTCATATTTATTATTTCTTTTCTTCTGCTCACCCTTAGTTGAATTTGCTCTTCTTCTTCCAGTTTCTTAATTTTTTTTTTTTTTTTTTTTTAGAGACAGAGACTCACTATGTTGCCCAGGCTGGCCTCGAACTGGGCTCAAGCAATCCTCCTGCCTCAGCCTCCTGAGTAGCTAGGACTATAGGAGCACACCACTGTGCCTTGTTCTTAAATTAGTTTCTTAAGTTTCAAAAGAATTTTGCTTGTTTTTGTTGTTGCTGGCAGAAGAGTAAATCTAGTTCCCAAATCCCATCGTGCCTGGAAATGAAATAGGATTAAGTTCATAATCATGTCTTCATCAAACTATTTTTGATCACTGAGCCCAGATCTTTCTTTTCATATTTGTTAGGCCTACAGATTCCAAATCTGCTAGAGACAGGGCCTTGCTATGTTGCCTAGGCTGGAGTGCAGTGACACGATTATTGCTCACTGTGGTTTTGAACTCCTGGGCTCAAGTGATCCTCCTGTCTTGGCCTCAGAGTGCTAGGATTTCTGGCATGAGCCACTGTACCTGACCTGGTTTTCATTTGTTCATTTGAGCAAAATTGGAAAAAAATGGATAGTTCTTTCTGAGTGAAACACCTATCCTTTTTATATTCTATGCCCTTACTTTATGTCTTAATCCATTAGTGTTGCTAAAACAAAACACCTGAGACTAGGTAACTTATAAACAACAGAAGTTTATTTCTCACAGTCTGGAGACTAGGAAGTCCAAGATCCCAGCAGGTTCGGTGTCTGATGAGGGCCCGGTCTTCCCTCCCAAGACAGTGATTTGTTGAGGCATCCTCTGGAGAGGAGAAACACTGTGTCCTCACATAGAGGAAGGGATAGAAGGGGCAAAAAGAGGCAAACTTTCTCCATCAAGCCCTTTATAAGGGCACCCAATCTTATTCATGAGGGTGAAGCTGTCATGACTCAATCACCTTTTATAGGCCACGCCTCCTAATATTGTTGCATTGGGGATTAAGTTTCAATATGAATTTTGGAGAGGACAAAACATTCGAATTATAGCATTTTGTACTTTGTGAGCTTAGAGCTCAACACATTTTTTAAAAAGAAATAATCACTGCTAGCATTTTTAGCAGTAAAAGCATGACTGGCAATCTAAGGGAAGAAAATATTAAAAAAAAAAAAGCTCACAAGATGCGGTGACTCACGCCTGTAATCCCAACAGTTTGGGAGAGTGAGGCAGCAGGATCACTTGAGTTCAGGAGCTGGAGACCAGCCTGGGTAACATGGTGAGACCCCGTCTCTACAAAAAATTTAAAAATTAACAGAGTGAGGTGGTGTGCACCTGTAGTCCCAGCTACTCAGAAGTCTGAGGTGCGAGGATCCTTTGAGGTTATAGTGAGCTGTGTTCTTGCCACTGCACTCACTCCAGGCTGGGTGACAGAATGAGACCCTATCTCAGAAGCAAAACAAAACTCAAGGATAACTGGGCATGGTGGCTCACACCTGTAATCCCAACACTTTGGGAAGGAAAGGTGGGAGGATAGCTCAGGCTAGGAGTTTAAGAGCAGCCTGGGCAACATAGCAAAACTCTGTCTCTATTAAAAAAGAAAAAAACCTCACTGATCTAATCATGCCCCAGGGTTTATCCACGTGTGCTTAAGAGAAGGAGTAAGTGATAGCCTTCATGGCTCAGGAGGATCACAGGTAATGTCAGCTGCCATGTGACTGAGCCATCCTGGAAGCAGATGCACCTTGCTAATGTATTCCTGGATTCTGACCTTTGGAAACTGTGTGAAATAAATGTTGCTTTAAGCTGCTAATTTTGGGATAATTTGTAATGCAGCAATAAATAATACAGATTCACAATGAAATAGGAGTTTCTAGGATTTGAGATAAATAGTAGCAGGTTTCTAGAACTCAGAAGGCACCAGGGTAAATTTCTTTGCCATATTGTGTACAAAGCACTCAGAACACTGTTGACAAAACAGTACTCACAGGTTGAGAGAGTCCAGGGACCATCTGGGACCAATGCCCCAGCAATGCAGATTTATGTGGTAAATGGTTTCAGGGAAGTGGTTCTGTGTTTCCTGAGAAGTACCGGATGTTTTTTATGGTGATAAGAGAGACAGAAGGAGTTTAGAGAGTTCAAGAGAGGAAAGGTAAGAATGCCAGGGCTCAGAAATTGGAGAGCTATTTTATAGAGTAATGAAAAGAGGAGTTTTCTTTATTTTTACCCTGTTAATTTAACACTAATGCATTCAGAAACTTTAGAAAATATAGGTAGGCAAAAAGAAGAAAATTAAATTCACCGTATGGAAATAATCGCTGTTGCCAGGCTTAGTGGCTCACACCTATAATCCCAGCACTTTTCTTTGGGAGGCCAAGGCAAGAGGATAGATTGAGTCCAGGAGTTTAAAACCAGCCTGGGCAACATAGTGAAATCCCATCTCTACAAATAAATAAATAAAAATAAAAAGAGGCTGAGTGTGGTGCCAAAGTGGAAGATCACTTGAGCCCAGGAGTTCAAGACCAGCCTGGGAAACATAGTGAGACTTCATCTCTATAAAAAGAAAAATAAATTTTAAAAAAGAAATAATCACGCTAGCATTTTTATCATGTTACTCTGACAAATAAATAAATGAATATAGACAGACTGACCCACCCATAAAGTCAGTATTTCAGTTGCCCCTTTAGAAGGCCATTTTGGCATTCTGTGAGCCTGGCTGCATCTGGATGGTGTGGCATGTAATATGACCAATGGAACCCATGGTCATGGGTCCATTCCTGTACCTCTGCTTCAAAGCAGGTCACTTGGCCAGATGTTATGCTGTGTGGGATTCCATGCCTGTGGATCAAGCATTCTATAAGCCCCTAGATAGCAGTCCTGGCTGAGGCTCTGTGGGTAGGAAAGGCAAACCCATACCTGGAATAGGCATTATCCTTGTGAAAGTGAACCACTAACCCTTTCAGAATAGGAGAGTTCTAATATCCAGGATGTTTTCCTTGAGAAATAATATGTTGAAGACTTAGTGATGGTCTCTGTTGCCGACAAGTTGAACATTCAGAGATAACTAGATTGGCTTTGCTCTGAGTCCATGCTGTTGGGCTCATATGTGGTCTCCACCTCTGCCATATGGTCACCCCACTCATGTGCCCATTATCTCAGCTCTGGGATTGCCAGTGATGCAGTCTGACTAATATCAATTGGCAGAGCCATTGTGTCTGCTTGGTTGTTAAATGTCTGGTGGATACTTTCTGGTAGACATGTGATACAACAGTCTTCATACTTTGTGCCTACTCTCACATGTCCATCCACTTCCTCTACCCAGATTTCCTTTGTCTCTGGTCTTCCAGTCCTCTGCATTCCAGGCCTTTAACCAGACAGCCAAGCCATTGGCCACAACCCAGGAATTTATATGTAGGCCATTTTTCCTTCCACCAAAGCAGATTCCCAGCTCTGTCCTTGGGGAAGATTTTTCCTTTCCACTGTCATTAAGGAACACCTCTGAATGTGGCGATAATGCAGTCACCACTCATTTTTAGTATGCACTTGAGACGACCTATCTATAAACGAATCTTGGGCTTTTCCTTCCACTTTAACTCATCATAAGAGACCTTTCACAAGGCCATTGGTATAAGCCATGGGAGAGGAACTAGTGCAACTGTAATAGGTGACACGAGGGCCTGAGCTATTTGCCCATAGAGCTGGCTTGTACCTTCCGGTCCTACTTGGACTTGATTCTGGATATATCTGGATATACCATTTTCATCAACCGATGGATTGCTACTGGGCCCATCTAACTTTTTAACTTGATGTTATGGACAGAACCCTGATTACAATGGGAATAAGTTCTGAATGCATGGGTCATTTGATGTTCAATAGTCAAACATTCTGCCTCTACCAGAGTAACTTGCCTTCTGCAACTCGACAAGACAACAACTTGACAAGAACTGTTTTTCAAAGGGTATGTAATTTTCTGCTGTGGGTGGCATGACCTTTCTCCAGAATCCCAGGGGTCAGCCTTGTGATTCTCTCACTGGAGTTCTCCATAAGCCCCTCACTGCATCTTTTGCCACCACTGATACCTCCAACACCATAGGGCCTGCTGGATCATGTGACCTGAGTAGGGGTCTGCTTATACCACAGTCTGGACCTGATGGAGTGCCCTTTGTTTCTTCAAGCCCCCTCAAAGCTGTCAGCCTTCCATGTCACCCAGTATATGGGCAGGTGCAATATTCCTAAGTATGGGATATGTTGCATCAGAATCTAAAGAGACTTCCAGGCTCTGTGCTTTCTTCTTTGGGTTAAGGTGGAAGACGCCACAACTTGTCTTTTACTTTGGAGAGGTTATTCCAGCAAGTCTCTCACCACTGGACTCCTAAAAACCACACTGAAGTAGCTGGGCCCTGAAACTTCATGGAGTGTATTGACCAATTCTGGAATCCACATATCTTACCAAGGCATCCAGCCACCTCTACCTGACCACGGGATACCTCATATGAAGTGAGTTGCCCATTTTAACTGGGACTTGTCTGAGACACCAAACCATAAATTTGGAAAGCCCAGAGCAGTTCATCATTAAGCAGAATTGGCATACATAAGCTCAGGTTTAAGCAGCTTCTGAAGACTCTAATTAGTTAAGCAGGTGACCCTCACTCACAGTATGCCTATGCTTTTCACACTCAGCCCACAACTGTATCCTAACGGGAAGTTCCCTGTGATCAGTTGAGAAAGGAAGAAGGGATTCAAGCCTGGATAACAGATGACTCTCCATGGTGTGGTGTTACCAGTCAAAATTGAACCACAACAGCTGTCCAACTTAGATGTCTGAAAGACAATAAAGAATGTAAATCCTCCCACTGAGCATAACTTTGATCACTGCATGTCATGGTCCATTTGCTGAAAAAGGTGGACTGAGATGCAGATCTATGCACTTTCAAGGGCAGGGGCTAAGTGTAAGGTCACATGTTCAAAAACTTGGAAGAAAGAACAGAACACCAAGGGATTGGTAGCTGGAGATTTAGGGGAAATGTATGTGAATGAATATCTCGGAATGATCCCAGAGTGTAAGAATATTTGTGTCTCATGTGAATGACAGTCAAATAGCCTTTGCGGTTGAGACGTTCTGAATAACCAGTGGACAAGATTACCCATTTTATGACTCTCATATTTTTTCCCCAAACACTTCTGTACTTGCACAATTATTTATGGACTTAATATGGGCCTCACCTCAGCAAAGCTAATCTAGCTACTGCCATTGCTTGAATGCCAGCCTGACCTTGAGCCCTCAATTCACTGCTATACTCAGCAAGAAAAGACTGCCACCTGGTGGCAGATTGATTACATTGTCCTCTTCTTTGACTAAGGAAGAGCAATTTGGTCATTTATTCTTATTGGAATAGAAATTCATTCTGGGTAATCTGCCTTTCTTACCCGCCATACATCTGAGAGAAATATGATCTATAGATTTACTTACTGCTTCATTCACCATCATGGTATACCATAAAACATCGTTTCTGATTAAGGAGCTTATTTTATAGTAAAAGGTGTGAAGCTGCTGGGCGCGGTGGCTCACACCTGTAATCCCAACACTTTGAGAGGCCGAGGTGGATGGATCACCTCAGGTTGGAAGTTTGAGAATAAAGCTATTCATATGTCTATTGGATTCACTGGTCTTAACATGTATCTCATCCCCCCAAATTCTATGCAGAGATGCTATTCAAGGTAATCTACTCAAAATTTAGGTCCCCAGAAAGAATCAGGGCCCAGCTCCTGGGAAATGGGATGGCATGAATGAGGTGGGAAAGCAGGACCTTGGCTTCTAACCGGGACTCAGGGTGCCCTCTGTAGAATAGAAGGATGGAAAAGCTATGAGACCCAGTAAGAAGGAATGCAAAAGGGGATCTGGCTTCTTTTCACCAGGACATTGTGTTCAGGCTGGCATTGTAGCATTTAGGGTTGCTCTCAGCTGGTGAGCAGCTAAGCCAGTTTTGTCATATCTCAGTTTCCTAACATGCCTTTTTAATGCAGGTCTTTGTGCCTTTTCTTACACTGTTTTTTATATGCCCTTCTCCATTTATCTGATCACTACTAACGCCACAGCATCTCCAGAAAGTCTTCCTTTACTGGCCACATTAGCCCACAGTAACCTCTTCCTGAACCATATCACTTTCTGTCTGCATCATTTGTTTGGCATTTATCATTTATTTTTCAATGATAAGTGGACATATCATGTCTTCCCAAGTAGATTCACAGGAGCAATTTCGTAGACCTCATAGTATGAGCACAGTAACCATCACAGTTATGGAGAAATGCATACTGACTGATTGATTGATATAACCAAGCACAATGAGGAGTAAGTGCCATAGGCATTCATGGAGGGAACTATCATAAGACAGTGCATAGCGGGCACTCAATAATCATTTGAGTGACTAAGTGAATGATCAAATTGAGGAATGGGTTGACATGACTGGGAGGTCACATAAAGGAGAGAGGACCTTACTTTTGCTTGAGGAATGGAGAAGATGTGTTTAGAGGAAAGGCATAAGAGGCGAGGGAGTGGGTATAGCCTCTCCCTTCTCAACAGTCTACTGCTGTGCTCCCGTCTCCTAGAATGTCTCCGGCCCTCTCCCTGCCCCACCATAATATTGCTTAATAAGGAAGTAAGATTACTGGGCAAACAAGCCACTGCTGCATAGGCAGGAAAGTAAACTTTGTTTCTGATGTGACCATGTAATCTTTCCTACCTTTAATCTCCAGTACCATGCCAAAGCAAAATACTTTGGTGAGTGGTGCTCAAACCCAGGATTTAGTTTTAAGCCTGTCCTAGTGCACAGGCTCAAATTGAGCAAATGTGTCTTCTGCCATCCATGTGGAGCGTTTTGACTCCTTCCTTAGCCCTGTGGTATTCTGGGAGGTTAGGCTCGCTGCTTAGAGAATTATGTTGTGGATTAAAACCAGACCAGGTGGAAGGGAAGCCTGTGACAAACAAAAGCCATGACCTTCTCTGAGGTAATTATAGATAAACTCAGATTTTGCATAATTTCTTGGCTCTGCTGTATCAGGAGCTTGCTAAAGTCTTGTGTTTTTTACTTAGTCATTTCTTCTGTCCCAGGGATGGGGGTTGGGAGAAGCTTTGGGATTGCTGTGGAAGGAAGAAGGTGCAAGTCTCAGACACTCTGGAAGGGTCGGGGTAAGTACAAGGATATTAGCAAGTTTAGCCTGGTGACTTCTAGATCCTCTGCCTGGAATGAGATCTTTGCATAGGCGAACTGGAGGACTCTAGGCTGTCAAGGCCAGTCACAAGCCACAGGTGCCTATTTTATAGCACGTACTTCCCTGCTTTCCCCAGGTGCCCATCATCCAGCAGATTTGTCTATAGATCATGGTATTA
The DNA here is from genome assembly GCF_000001405.40 of Homo sapiens. Taxonomy (NCBI): domain Eukaryota; kingdom Metazoa; phylum Chordata; class Mammalia; order Primates; family Hominidae; genus Homo; species Homo sapiens. The sequence goes on from NC_000001.11 coordinate 92,996,374, forward strand.
TCTCCATTGCTTCTGAATCATTGAGTGTTTTTCCTGAGTCAGGATGCATTTATGAGGGCCACTTAATTTCTTTACTGTCAGTCACTTAATCATTTTTATTATTTATTACTAAACCTTTGCCTGAGTTTTTCTTCACTTCCTGGGTTTGTTTTTGTTTGTTTGTTTTTGAGACGGAGTCTCGCTCTGTCCCCCAGGCTGGAGTGCAATGGCGTGATCTTGGCTCACTGCAACATCCACCTCCCGGGTTCAAGCGATTCTCCTGCCTTGCCCACCGAGTAGCTGGGATTACAGGCGCACGCCACCATGCCCAGCTAATTTTTGTACTTTTAGTAGAGACTGGGTTTCACCACGTTGGCCAGGCTGGTCTCAAACTCCTGACCTCAAGTGATCTGCCTGCCTCGGCCTCCCAAAGTTCTGGGATTACAGGTGTGTGCCACAGCTCCTGGCCAAAATAGTTTTTCTTAACTACATTTATTCTGATTAATTATCTATATTTTTTCTGCCATCGGCCTTATTGAAAAAAAAATACTTTTTTAGAGGCATATAATGCCAACATATTTTCCTTTTTGGAATTCTTTTTGCTCTATTAAAGAGGTTTTTAATAAATTAATTTCATCAGGCAGTTTTAATTCTGTTTACTATTCATAAGCATGGGAACTGATTAATATTCGGGGTTTCCCTTTTTCTATCCAAGTCCCTTTCTAACCATTAGGTCATGACAGTTTGCCAAGCAAAAAATCAAAAGGGCTACTGCAAAACACATTACTACTGAGATTTGCCTGAAATGTTTGAATAGTGTTAAATGGTGCCATGGACACTGCAGATACCACTGCTTTTCTTATGATTCTTAATTTTAGGATTAAGACATCATGCGACTCATCTATTGCCAGGAACTTTAGTTATTAGGTTCCCATAAACCCAGAGAATCCTATTTCTCTTCTTGGTGATATATAAAACAGAACTTTAGGTGCCCACAAAACCATGGCTTCTTCACTCACTTTTCCCCTACAAAATGAGTTCAAAAGAAAGGCGAATGCAAAGTATATATTCTGCCAGGCATTATGCCATTTATTTTATATATGAAGTCTCACATAATCCTCACAATAATCTCATTGTGCATATTTGACAAATGAGAAAATTGAGGCTTGGAGTAGTTAGTAACTTAACCAAAATCACACAACTGGCAAGTTGGCAGGGTGAGATCCAAACATAGACCTGCCTAACTTCAAGGTCTGGGCTATTCTACTAGATACAGCACTCAGAAAAAGACAAGGGTTCCTTATGTCAGCTGGGCAAGAAGTGATCAGTAAATATTTTATCCAGGTGCCCATAAAAATTAGAGGCCAATGCAAAGGAAGGAATTACAAATTATAAACAAGATCAATAGAAATTAGGGAGATACAGATTTCACAGGTCATGGCAGAAACTAGGTGAGCTCTGGGGGTGGGAGGTGGCGTTTGTAACAGGCTAGGGAGGAGCATGTGGGCAGAGAATGAGGTCCTGTCAGGACATAGTCAGAGAACTGTCTGTTCATCCCATCCTGCTGCCTTTAAATGGGTGTGGCCTGCCTGTGCAACACCTTCCAAAGAAGTGTATGAACATCTCCCAGGTATCAGTTTCTGTGAGATTAATCCTGCTACCCTACTCAATCTTGCTACCCCAGATCTCCCTCCTCTCACTCTGTCCACCTTGACCAGTACTGAGCCCCTTTGTCCTGATGACCCATTTGGACACACTTCTCTGGTTTAGACTGGCTCTCGATTTTGGCCACAGTTGTAGAATTTGCCTTCCACTCTATAGCCTCCAGGCCTGCAAAGAGATAGCCCTGCTTCTGGGTCTGCCTTCCATTTGCCTAAAGGAGTCAGGCCAATCTCCCCGCATGGAAAAGGGGTCTGACCCAGGTCTGACCAGGTATATGAGAGTCAGGTCAGAAGTCAGGCAAATAAGTGAGAGCTGGAAAAGCCATGTTATCAAAGCAAGAAATTAAGCGAATGAACAGTCAGGAATGACCATGGAACCCCCAGTACTGTGAGTGACCCAAGGAAAAGTTTTTGAGGAATTATATGGACTTTGGAACCCTGTAACTTGACTGTTAAAGATGAACAGGAATTAGTTTTCACAAATTGGTTTTAATAAAACTTATTTTCATACATCTTGGCTGATTTGCTTTGTGGTGGGAGGAGTTAATGTCAGTGTACTAAGTTGTCCATAGAGAGATTTTCTGAGGTTGCTGGTGGAAGTTTAAAGCAAATAAAAGAAAATGTACCCAAACCCTGTCTGTGTGAGCATCTCTGACACAAGACATATGGAGTGAGCTGTGTTGTATGTAACTGGCCAGTTACGTACATGGCACCTATAAGTCCTGGAGAGCCATACAGCCAGGGGATGAAGCCAGGCAAAATGACTCTAGCTTTGGTCCAAAATTTGATCCCAACTCTCTTTTGGTCTCCTGCTCCGCTGAGCTGTGCTGGAAATCATAGAAACTACAGAAGTCTCCTTTATCTTTCTGCTCTAATAGGAGAGCCAGGCCCAAGCTTTTCCCTCTAGGTCTCCCCTTTGCTGGACCTCACCCCTGTCATCAGCCCCTTCCCTGACCGTCATCTGACTCCCAGGCCTTCCAAGGGCAAAGGAGCCATGGCAACCTGCAGGCCATCTCGCCACACAGCTGCCTACGGTGTCAAGAGAGAGCAGTGTGAGGCTACCCAAAAGGGAGCTGAGAGCCAGAGGGTGAGTCCCTTTGCTTCTCCCATAAACAGATGTCTAAATGACATGGAGATGCCCAACAAGTCTAGTGGGATGGGAACTCGTGGAATTCCTAAGTACCCCTAGACACTCCCCAGAGACTTCTAGAAACACTGCTGTGGAGTTGGGAGGGAGAACACTGTAGTGGGGTAGTCATGAATAGGTGGGGATCATCGCCTCACAAAATGTGTATAAAAATGCTCATTTGTACTTACAGGCTAGAGGCCTGTGGATATTCAGATTTCATGAAAGAAATGGAAGATATTTGCGGGCTTTTCTCAACTTTTCTTTTTAGAGAGAATTTTGCTCTGTCACCCAGGCTGGAGTGCAGTGGCGCCATCATAGCTCACTGCAGCCTTGAACTCCTGGGCTCAAGTCATCCTCCCATCTTGGCCTCCTGAGTAGCTAGGACCACAGTGTGAACCACCACACTCGGCGATTTTTTGTGTGTGTGTGGTAAAGATGAGGTCTTGCTATGTTGCCTAGCCTAGTCTTGAACTCCTGGCCTCAAGTGATCCTCCTGTCTGGGCCTCCCAAAGTGCTGAGATTACAGGCATAAGCCTGGCCCTTCCTCAACTTTTCGAATTGAGTTCATGTAAAGGAGGGACAGAGGAACTTTGTTAATTTCATCAGCCCTACGGAGTAATACCACTAGTCACAATTATAAAAAGTGAAAACCCCACTTATTTCCACCTCATGTGGCAATATTCCAAAGAATCTTGAAATCGCGCTGATCCATTTCAACTTGACCCAATTCTCTATGCATATGATATGACATTCTCCACTTTCATACCCAGAAGTAAGAGTTTTTCTAGTTTAAAATAATAAAGATAGAGAGATTTACGAATGGTTAGGTTTCTAAGTTCTAGGTAGCAATTTCCTCTTCTAGAAAAATAAGTTCTAGTGGTATTTACCTGTGTTTCTTAAAGGGTTGTACTTTTTTAAATGGGATTAATATATTAAGGGTGTTCATATATAGTACTAATATGAATACATTAGACCTGTGCTTCTTAGGAATTTCACAGAAATTTCACAATCATTAAGGTCACTTTTCTATTTCTCCCTCTTCATTTTCCTTCATTCTCCATCACCTCTCTTGCCCTTAAATGATTATAACTTAGAATTGGATTTTTTGAATTAATTTTGCTTCTGTTAAGTAGAATTTCCTGTTCCCTACTTTTAATTTTTAAAGTTAAAGACTAAATTAAGTTGCCTTTTGCTTCTTAGGCTTTTTACTGTAACTTCTTTGTTGCTCTTGAACTTCGATAGTTAAAGTGTTCAGAAACCAAGCTTTCCCAGAAACCAAGCTTTCCCAAGCTCTTCATGCAGCCTCCCTGCCCCCACCCTCTCAGTGTTGTTTTCCCTTTCTCAAGGGGAAGACTGTCCTAGGAGGGGCTGCGGGGCAGAGACAGACTGCAGGAGGAAGAGGAAAGGGGAGAAGGGATAGCATTCCACTTTGTTTGTATCCACCTCACAACCTGCTGTTGACCTGCCTACATGATTAGTCTCAGGCTGCAGTTTGGCCCAAGACAATATTTGATAAAGAACCTTCTAAGTAGAGAAGAAAGTACTTGATTTAACTTGGAGGCAAATATTCTATTTAAGAAAATAGATGGAATTTATATGCACTTAAAAATGCTGTGACATTTTTGGGAATTGCTGGGCTCAAATAGCTTTCTGGAGTTAGGAAACCAAAAAACCTGCCAGATGACATTTTTGCTCAAGGAAGCGAGGAGGTATAGAAGAGAAGAATTTGGATTCTCAGCTGAATGTCTGGCTTAGCTGTTAAGCCTCTCTGGCTGAGAATGTGCTTTCTCGCTTCTGTTTTTGGTGTAGTGCCAAGAGAACTATCAGACCACAAATAATCATTGTTAACTTCAGTGGAAACCAGAGCTATTAAGAAAAATATTAAAAGCCTGTTCCAGGATTATAACATTTTAGAGAGCAAAGAAATAAGATACCTGACTAACCTGTTTTATTGGGTTGTAAATGGAAAATGTCCTGACCAGCTGGGTTTTAAGCAAGAATGACATTTTTTCCATATGATTTGTCATGGATTTTAAAAAGACGATGTGCTTAGAAAAACAAATTTGCTGTAACTTGGCTAGTGGGCAAAATAACCGGCAGAAAGCTTGATAACTCAAATTCATGATACAGCAGAAATAATTTTGTTATTTGGCCAGGATGGCCCAGTCCTGATATGCTTAAGCTTCAGAGAGTTGCCTATGTTGTCTTTGCAGAAAACAATCCACATTTGTGCAGGATGCAAACTGAATTCCTTTGAACTTCACTGTAAAATCCACATTTCTCAAAATGTATTTTAGAAGATTTTGCTAAACGATTGGCAAAAGCTACAGATACCAAAAAGTTATTTTCATTGGAATTTACAACTAAATATCCTGAGTAACAGATAAGCATGGGTGAAGGTCTTACTAAGACCATAAATAGGTGAGGTGTTGAATGTTAATTAGCTTGATGTAACCATTTCACAATGTATACATATATTGAAGCATTACATGGTACAACATAAATATATATATAACTTTTATTTGTCAACTCCTTAAATTTTTTTTTAAAGGGGAGATGTATGGAGGGGCTTCCTCCAACAGTTGGGGAACAACTTCACACATTTTCCTTCTTCCATTTTTGTTTCCCAATTAGAATATTTAAAATCTTACCCTTGGCTGGGTGTGGTGGCTCATGCTTGTAATCCCAGCATTTTGGGAGGCCAAGGTGGGAGGATTTCTTGAGCCCAGGCGTTCGAGACCAGCCTCAGCAACATAGTGGGACCCCCATCTCTATTATTAAAGATAAATAAATAAAATAAAATTGTAACCCAATGCAGGCCAAGAAGTGACACTTTGAATTGTAAATTTGGTTGACTATGTTTGGTTGAGTTTGACTGAGTTTGGTTGACTTCTGTTTGCCACTTCAGCTCCATTTTCCATTCTTTGTTCCACACTTCCACCTGGAGGTTGGTCTGAACACACCACACTGTAGCTTCCAAGTCCTCTGGCTTCTGGTTGGGGTTGACCAGTGGGGATTTGGGGCACTGGACTGATGAAAGGGAGGAAAATGAGTCAGGAAGAATTTTTACTCCTTGGCTTCTTCCCTGTGAGTCCCTTGACCAAGGATTACAGCTTCTATCCAGGTGACCTTCTCCATGTGACTACCTCCTTCTGGCGTCTGGTGACTGCTCCCTCCCCTCGTCACTGGGGCCGAGGGTTATCCTTTGTGGTTCCCCTATACCCTGCCCACGTCTCTATAAGCAACCCTTTGTAAATAAATCCAATTAGAATGATTCTAAGTTAAGTGTGTCATCTGATTCCTGCTAGTCTTATAATTCTGCAAGTCTTATCACCGTCCTCTAAGGATATTCTAAGATACTCATGGGATAAGAAGCCAGGGACTGACCACACTCTCAATGGAATCTAATACAATGTCCCAGCCCGTTGCTGAACCCCATCTGCCAGTGCTTATTGTGCAGTGCCCAATCTCAGAGCCTTGCCCTCACCCCTGCTCCACCAGCCTGCCAATCACCATGTCCCCCACCTCCCTCTATTCCCATTCCCACCTCTGTGACCCAAAGCACCATGGTCTCCCAATATCTACTTCAGAAGCCTGCCCACTCGCCCTCTGTGCCCCCTCTTAAAAACATCCCATATTACAAAGTGCTCTTTCTATACTGTGAATCTCGTCTTGTCATGTAGACATTGCTTAATAAATAAATGTTAAGTGAGGGAACAAGTGATGTTCCTTTTAGGCTTAAAATCTCTCCATGGCTTCCTACTGCACTTAGGCTAAAGCCCAATAGTGTGACCAGGCTTGTAAGGCTTGCAAGACCCTGGAAGATCCACCTCCTGCTGCCTCATCTCACACAACTTCCCCTCTTGCTCTCTGCTCCACGCACACTGGCCTCCTTTTAGTTCCTGGAGTGAGCTGGGCTTTCTCTGGCCTCAAAGCTTCTCACCAGTATCCCTTGTGCTAGAAATTTTCTACTCATCTCCTTTTCACTCATCCTTTAGGTCCCAGCTTAAATGTCATTTGCTCAGAGAAACCTTAGCTAACTCCCCTCCCATCCCCCAGACAAGACCAAGTTGCCCTATTCATCCCTTTTGCAACATATATCCCAATCACGATTAACTATGTGAATTGTCACTTAACGTCTGACAAGTCTAATATGTCTCTCTACTGCTTGCCTGGATGGCTGAAATACCTTCCTAACCAGTTTCCAGGTTTCCACTCTTGCTACCTCCCCGTGTTCGGTTTTCCACATGGCTGCCAGAATGAGCTTTTAAAAACATAAATAAGCCGGGTCTGGTGGCTCATGCCTGTAATCCCAGCATTTTGGGAGGCTGAGGCAGGAGGATCGCTTGAGGCTGGGAGCTCGACACCAGCGTGGGCAACATAGCAAAACCCCATCCCTACAAAATAAATATCTAAAAAATTAGCCAGGCATGGTGGCAGGCACCTGTAGTCCCAGCTACTCAGGAGGCTGAGGCAGGAGGATCGCTTGAGCCCAAGAGTTTGAGATTGCAATGAGCTATGATTGTGACACTGCACTCCAGCCTGGCTCACAGAGTGAGACCCTGTCTCTAATAAATAAATAAATAAATAAATAAATACGTACAATTTTAGTTTTTTTTTTTTGTGATGGAGTCTCGCTCTGTCACCCAGCCTGGAGTGCAGTGGGGTGATCTCAGCTCACTGCAACCTCCATCTCCCGGGTTCAAGCGATTCTCCTGCCTGAGCCTCCTGAGTAGCTGGGACTACAGGTTCATGCTACCATGCCCAGCTAATTTTTATATTTTGAGTAGAGACAGGGTTTCACCTCGTTGGCCATGATGGTCTTGATCTCTTGACCTCGTGATCCACTCATCTTGGCCTCCTAAAGTGCTGGGATTACAGGCGTGAGCCACCATGCCCAGCCCTAAATTTAAAAAATAAAAATAAAAACAGAAATGGATCATGTCACCTCCTGGCTCAAGACCCTCTGAGAGCTTTCCATACACAGAGTAAAACCCCAGCCCTGCGCCCTGGCCTGCTGCACCTGCTGCGCCTGCTGATCTGCTGCTTGACTCCCTCTCAGTCCTCATCCCAGAGTGCTAGACCTCACACATTCTGGCTTCTTCTGTTCCTCCAACTTCTGCCCCTCACCGTCATACCTACCATCTTCCTCCTATTTCTCTTTTAAAGTTTTGTCTCTGAAATTTCTAATGTGGTGAATAGTTTATGATGTGCTCATGGATACCATGTGCATTTACTTTTCCAATGCCCTATGTCCTATTCTCTTGTTAACTGCACTCCCCTTCTTTAGCTGATCCTCTCCTATGCCAATTCATTTTTTTAAAATCGAGGTATAATTTACACATAAAAGCTGTACATAGTTAATATATACACCTTGAAGAGTCTGAAGATAAGTATACAACTGTTTAAGAGTCACTATAGACAATGCCATAAACATCACCATCACCCCTAAGATTCCTCCTCACTCTCTCTTTTTGCACCCTTTGGCTGACACCTCCGCATTTATATTTCCCCTTTACCCAGCTCCTGGGAAGCACCATTCTGCTCTATGCTTCTGTGAGTTTGACTGTTTTGGATTCCTGACGTAAGTGAGTCTCACTCCAATCTTCATACTGCCTCCCACTCCCCCAGTGGGCATGTGACCCAAGCCTGATCAGTCTAGGCTCCCATTCCCCGGTGCTTTTCTTCTCTTCCATCAGAGAAGACATTGAAACCCTCGTACTTTATTATGCATATTCTTAGAGACTGTCACCCTGAGAGAAAGTAGACAAACCCTTAAATTAAGCAATACATAAGTAAGGTGTTCCTAAATGCTTCAAATTAATGTATTTATTCAACATTTATTGAGCACTTTCACGCTACCTACCTATTGTTCTCAGAACTGGGGAAGCTTATGGCAATGAACAAAGCAGACAAAAATCCCTACCCTGAACACTTCTACAGCTGTCAATATCAGCCATGTGATTACTAAAATTCTGAGTGCTGAAAGGGGGTGCAGAGCACTTACTGTATCCATCAAAGACTTTGTGATCAAACAAGTTTTACCACAGATTTTGCAGATTCTGAGACTAATCTACTCAACAAAGCATATTAAAAATGCAAGCTATTAATAGAAAGAGACATTAAAATTCTATTTTTTCAAAGAGCTCAATCACTCTGCTGGTTAGAGATAATATGTAATCAGTTCTGAATCTAAAATGACTCTGGAAAGTCAAGAGAAGCCACAAGGTCATGCTCACATCTTTCCTCTCCAGAGAGTTTCAGAACATCAGCACTGTATTAAAAATAAAATGGTTTAAAAAAAAGGAGAGAGAAATAGAGAGAAATTCTAGAACTAGGAACTGAAAGTGCAAGAATATGAGTTTGGTATTGCAGAGAAAAAAAGGTTAAGCTTTTCGATCAGTTTAATACAGTAAAAGCCTTCTTAGCAGTGATTTATTTCTATTTTTGTGATTGATTTTATTTTTATATTATTTTATTTAGTGAGGAATAATTAAGAAAATAAGTAAGCGAATAAAGAAAAAAAATCTGTTATATTCCTACCACTCAAAATTAACTGCTGTTAATATTTTGGCATATTTGCTTCCAAGTCCTTTTTGATGTTCCTACTATTTTTAAAAACATTGCTATTTTTAAAAACATTTGATGTTCCTACTATTTTTAAAAACATTCTGTCTCACTGTCTCTCTCCATCTTTTTGTCTCTGTCTCTGTCTCTCTCTCTCTCTGCCTATGTATGTACATATTTGTGCACACATATACTTCTTTAAAAAATATTGGAACATTAAGTTAATGCTAAAGTATCTTTTGAATGTTATCCCTCTTGGTTCCCAGAAGTAATCATTATTTTAATTTTTTTTTTTTTTTTGATACAGGGTCTCACTCTCTTACCCAGGCTGGAGTGTAGAGGCACAATCATGGCTCATTGCAGCCTCCACCTCCTGAGCTCAAGTGATCCTCCTGCCTCAGCCTCCCAAGTAGCTGGGACTACAGATGTGCACCATCATGCCCAGTGAATTTATTTATTTATTTATTGAGACTGAGTCTTACTCTGGCGCTCAGGCTGGAGTGCAGTGGCACAATCTCGGCTCACTGCAACCTCCACCTCCCAGGTTCAAGCGATTCTCTGCCTCAGCCTCCCAAGTAGATGGGACTACAGGCGTGTGCCACCACGCCTGGCTAATTTTTGTATTTTCAGTAGAGACAGGGTTTTACCATGTCGGCCAAGCTGGTCTCAGGCTCCTGACCTCAAGTGATCCACCTACCTTGACTTCCAAAGTGCTGGGATTATAGGCGTGAGACACCACACCCAGCCCCCAGTGAATTTATTATTTTAAACTCGATAAGTATCATTCTATTCCTTTTGCTATATTTTTATATACATATGCAAATAAAAGGGATCTTTTGCTACTTGCCTAATGCCAATCTGGGATCACGGTGGGGTGGTTGTAGGATCTGCATGCCCAGATGGACATCTGAATTATAGTTTAGGCTAAGCTGAGAGCCTCACCAAAAAGTACATGCATACAACCATTTTTCTGGAAGCAAATTGTTCCTATCCCATAAGATAAAATTAAATGCATTATTATGTCACAAAGAGCATCACGATTTCCCAGTATTTTATCCTGAATAAGTATGAAGACCACTGCTCTTCCAGAGGGGTTGAGAAAAATATTAAGTGAGAAACCCATAGATATTAGGTAATGATCAATGTGTTAAAAATGGAATCAGGCCGGGTGCGGTGGCTCACACCTGTAATCCCAGCACTTTGGGAGGCCGAGGTGGGTGGATCACGAGGTCAGGAGTTCGAGACCAGCCTGACCAACATGGTGAAACCCTGTCTCTACTAAAAATACAAAAATTAGCCAGGCATGGTGGCGCGTGCCTGTAATACCAGCTACTCAGGAGGCTGAGGCAGGAGAATCACTTGGACCCGGGAGGCAGAGGTTGCAGTGAGAAGAGATCGTACCATTGCACTCCAGTCGGGGTGACAGAGCGAGACTCTGTCACAAAAAAACAAAAACAAAAACAAAAAAAAGGAATCAAATACGAGAATAGAGGTGAGGGTGCCTAAGTGGGTAAGGGAGGTCTCCAAAGAGGTGACCTTCAATGTGAATACAATAAACACTGTGAATACAGTGCGGAAGCAAGCCAGAAAATGTCAGGAGAGCAGAGCAAATCGGTGCAATGTGATCTTTGACATGAAATGCCGCACTAGGGCCCTGTGGTTCACATTACAACCTAATCTCTTGAGGAAGAAATGCTAATGGTCAGGAATTGGTACATTTCCTTCACCAGCTACCTGAGTAGCAGAAGGCAAGAGGCCTCAGTCAGTATGTGGTTTGTTAGATTATCAGAAGCTATAACCAGAGGTTACTTGGGGGACTATGCAGGGCTGTTAGGACTTCTGGGTCCCTTAAAAAATTTGCCAGGAGTTTGTTTTTGCTACACTTAAACCTCTCTTGGCCAGGCACGGTGGCTCATGCCTGTAATCCCAGCACTTTGGGAGGTCGAGATGGGCGGATCACCTGAGGTCAGGAGTTCGACACCAGCCTGGCCAACATGGTGAAACCCCATCTCTACTAAAAATACAAAAATTAGCTGGGTGTGGTGGCACATGCTTGCAGTCACAGCTACTCAGGAGTCTGAGGAAGGAGACACTTGAACCCGGGAGATGGAGGTTGCAGTGAGCCGAGATTGCACCACTGCACTCCAGCTTGAGTGACAGAGCAAGGCTCCATTTAAAAAAAAAGAAAAAACACCTGTCTCTCAACCATTTGCCCCTCTGGGCCCCCAGGGCACTCACACTGCCCAAGGTCATGCCAACCCACCCAGGCATTTCTGGTGGACACCTGTTGTGTGCCAGCCCAGAACTCCTCCCTTCTTTGGGTAATGGAACCCCTTTTCTTCTGACTCATGTTCTTCTCCCCATTACAAACATGTGGTTCAAAAGGAGCTGCCACGTTATTACAAATCCTGCCCTTTGGTCACATTCATGAGTCTTTGGGTGGGAACATGACTAAAACTGGGCCAATCAGAATACTTCGTGCACTGACCACAGAGCCTTCCACAGCCTGGTCAAAGCTAGGTCAAACCATAAGCCAAGTTAAGCAGCACCCATCCCCAGGATTTTTTCACTTGGAGCTTAAGGAAAGAAATTCAGTCTCTGTCTAGGAACAACGTTGTGAGCACCGAGGCAGGGGAACTGTTGACAGTCCTGTTCCTTGCTATGAAGGAAGCTGTGCGGAGAGAATGAAGCCTCATGCTGAGAGAAGCTGAGAGATAAGGAAGAGAGTTAGTGGTATTGGAGCTCCTGCTTCCAGATATCCTGGAATTCCAACTATATCCCCTCTGCAATTATGAAAGGCTGCCAAAAAACTTCCCCCTTTGCCTAATCTAATTGTGCTCAATTTCTTTCATGATAATACGAATCCTAATATAAATGTCTTTCTCCACATTGCCCTAAATTCTAAAATTGCCCTCCCGCTCCCCTGCTTCCTAAATAAAATTCTTCCTCAAGTTCATAGGCCAAAGTAATCTGATTGGCTACTTGAAACAATTCACCCTGAGGTATGGACAATTCAGAAGCTTCCTTGTGTTGTTAATGGGGTAGACTACACACCGGTGGGGGCAGGGGTATATGGGAAACCTCTGTAATGTCTAAATTTTGCTGTGAATTTAAAACTGCTGCTTAAAAAAATCTTAAAATCTTCCCTGGAGCCTTGGCCTTAAGATTGAACCACTTTATGACCAAGCAATTCTACTTCTGGGTATATAACCAAGAGAATTGAAAAAGCGTATATCCACACCAAAATTTGTACATAAGTGCTCGCTTTAGCAGCACATATACTATGAGGTTGGTGCAAAAGTAATTGCGGCTTCAGACCATGCATGTTAAATCATTATAACTCAGCTCAAACACATCTTTATTCATCAAAATAAGAACCATTACAATCAACATATTTTTGTCAACGAGAAATATGTTTGTTTATTCCTGTAGCATAAAAATCCGTGCTTCAGGATTCGACGAACTCTTGGAAAGCATTTTCTGCATCCTGCTGATTATGGAAGCATTTTCCCTGAAAAAAGTTGTTGAGATGCTTGAAGAAGTGGCAGTCAGTTGGCAAGATATCAGGTGAATATGACAGGTGAGGCAAAATTTCGTAGCTCAATTTGTTCAACTTTTGAAGCATTGGTTGTACGCCGTGAAGTCGCACGAAGTGAGGTTGTCATGGAAGAGTTGGGCCCTTTCTGTTGACCAATGCCAGCTGCAGGTGTTGCAGTTTTTGGTGCATCTCATCGATTTGCTGAGCATACTTCTCAGATGTAACAGTTTCCTCTGGATTCAGAAAGCTGTAGCGGATCAGACCGGCCGCAGACCGCAAACAGTGACCATGACCTTTTTCTGGTGCAAGTTTGGCTTTGGGAAGTGCTTTGGAGCTTCTTCTTGGTCCAGCCAATGAGCTGGTCATTGCTGCTTGTCGTATACAATCATTTCACGTCATAATCCGATCTAGAAATGATTCGTTGTTGTTGCGTAGAATAAGAGAAGAGGACATTTTAAAAGAATGATTTTTTTGATTTTCGCTCAGCTCATGAGACACCCACTTATGGAGCTTTTTCAGCTTTCCAATTTGCTTCAAATGCTGAACGACCATAGAATGGTTGACGTTGGGTTCTTTGTCAACTTCTCATGTAGTAGGATCAGCTTCGATGATTGCTCTCAATTGGTCGTCGTCAACTTCCGATGGCCGGCCACTACGCTTCTCATCTTCAAGGCTCTCGTCTCCTTTGCAAAACTTCTTGAGCCACCACTGCACTGTACGTTCGTTCATTAGCAGTTCCTGGGCCAAACGCGTTGTTGATGTTGCAAGTTGTCTCCCCTGCTTTACGACCCATTTTGAACTCGAATAAGAAAATTGCGCGAATTTGCTTTTTGTCTAACGTCACTTCTATAGTCTAAAATAAATATAAAATAAACAGCAATAAGTCATTAGCAAAAGATAAAAGTGAGAAATGTGCATTAAAATGATGTACAACATAACCACACTTATTTAAGAAAGTATTCCAATATCAAACAGCAAATTTCAACAATGCAAAAACCGCAATTACATTTGCACCAACCTAATAACACTGGAACAATACAGAGAAGATTAGCATGGACCCTGCACAAGAATGACATGCATATTCAGAAAGCATTTCATATTTTTCCATTGAAACTTCTTTCACCTCGGCTGGACGTGGTGGTTCACGCCTGTAATCTCAGCACTTTGGGAGGCCGAGGCGGGCGGATCACGAGGTCAGGAGATCGAGACCATCCTGGCTAACACGGTGAAACCCCGTCTCTACTAAAAATACAAAAAAAAACTTAGCGGGGCATGGTGGCGGGTGCCTGTAGTCCCAGCTACAGGCTGAGGCAGGAGAATAGCGTGAAACCAGGAGGCGCAGCTTGCAGTGAGCCGCGATCGCGTCACCGCACTCCAGGCTGGGCGACAGAGTGAGACTCCGTCTCAAAAAAACAAAACAAAACAAAACAAAACAAAAACTTATTTCACCTCAAAAAGAGCTAAACACAAATGATTATAGCAGCATTGTTCATAATAGCCAAAAAGTGGAAACAACCCAAATGTCCGTCAACAGATGAATGCATTTAAAAATATGGTTACTTATACAATATAATCTTATTCAGCCATAAAAAGGAGTAAAGTATTGATACATGCTACAGCACAGAAGAACCTTGTAAACATCATGCTTACTGAAAGAAGCCAGTCACAGAAGACCATGCTGTGTATGGTTACACTTAGATGAAATGTTCAGAATAGGCAAATCCATAAAGACCTAAAGTAGATTAGGGGATGAGGGAGGGGTTATAGAGAGGGACTGTGTTTTGTTTGTTTGTTTTTTGAGACAGAGTCTTGCTCTGTTGCCCAGGCTGGAGTGCAGTGGCACAATCTCTGCTCACTGCAACCTCCACCTCCCAGGCTCAAGCGATTCTCCTCCTCAGCCTCCCCAGTAGCTGAGACTACAGGCATGTGTCACCACGCCCAGCTAATTTTTATAGTTTTAGTAGAGATGGGGTTTCACCATGTTGGCCAGGCTGGTCTCAACCTCCCGACCTTAAGTGATCTGCCGGCCTCGGCCTCCCAAATTGCTGGGATTATAGGCATGAGCCATGGCGCCCGGCCGGGTACAGAATTTCTTTTGGGGGTAATAGTGTTCTAGAATTAGATAGTAATGGCTGAACAACCTTGTGAATATATTTAAAAACCACTGAACCTTACATTTTTAAATGGTGAATTTTGTAAACCGTATGTAAATTTTTTAAAAAAGCAAAAAAGATCGAACGATTTGTTGACTCTCTTGGTAGGATGAAAGGGGGAGATATTTTTGAGCGGAGTAGCTCCCATTGCTCCTTCTCTGCTCAGTGCTCATGCCCTTCAGCAAAGCAGAACAAGAGAAGCAGGATTTGGACAAGGGCCCTGACACTTGCATCAGACCGAGAGGCTTCCAAGCACTTACTATCAAGAGCTAGAATGAAATAGGCCCCATCTTTTTCAATGACAGGTAAAAGGTTAATGGGTATGTTTTTCTCAATGTTAAGATTTTCACCCATAGTATATCTTAAAATGTTGGTGCTACTTCTACTTGTCTGTTGGGGAGTATTAATGCAATGCTTACCACACCCAGAGAGAAATGAGTCTCGAGAGAGCACTAGAAGGCAGAACTGTTTGGCAAACCTCAATTTTGTTTTTGTTTTTGTTTTTTAGAGACAGGGTCTCCCTGCTCTGTCACCCAGGCTGGAGTGCAGTGGCGCCATCACAGCTCACTGCAGCCTCAAACTCTTGGGCTCAAGTGATCCTTCTGCTTCAGCCTCCCAAGTAGTTGGGACTACAGGTGCGTACCACCACACCTGGCTAATATATATATACAGACAGGTTCACACTATGTTGCCCAGGCTCATCTCTAACTCCTGACCTCGAGCAATCCTCCTGCCTCAGCCTCCTAAAGTGCTGGGATTATAGGCGAGAGCCACTGTGACTGGAAGCAAACCCCAGTTTTAAGGTTACAGGCAGAGCTTCCATTAGACAAATTTAGGAGGCAGGTGACATTTGTCTTCAGAGACTTCCATCTTCCCTTGTAGGGGGTGCTCAGTGCTCTCTTACACACTCATCATCATCCTGGGGATCTGAGATCCTGTCCATTGGTGACTCATCCTTGAACTTGGTTTATTGTAACTATTTTAAAACGTTAGTCTATAGAAAATATTCACATGAGTACACAAAGACACATGTATAAGGATGTTCATGGTATCATTTTAATTACAGTTTCCAATCAGAAACAACCTAGATAATTGCTAATAGGAGAAATATTGTTCTTCTGGTCAACAAACCAAACTTCTCATGGAGGATTTGTATTACAGAGCATGCTCAGAGAGAAGCCCCCTCCTAAATTAACTGATGCGTGTGGGTGGGGGTTGGGATTTGGTAGTAGTGGGGAACCCCATATGGAGGCTGATGAAATACAAGCTGGTTTGCTACTCTGATATTTTGCTTATTTTTTCCTTCGCCTGGAGTACGCTCCCCTTCTACCTGCTCCCATTCCAAAATCTGACATTAGCACAACTTTCAACCTTATGTTGCTCAAATGCCACTCTTGATATACTTTTCTCTTCCCCATTCAGCTAAGGGCTTGGTGTCATTCATTTTTGAATCTCTGTCATTTAGCAGACTTCCTGGCATATAGCAGAAGTGCAAGAAATATTTTTTAAACAAAATAATGAACAACTGAACCTACCTCTTCTAACCATATTAAGTATTTCATTCTCTGTGAACCCACAGCACTTTATTTATGTCTCTCTTTTGGCATTATGACTTTCTACCTTGTATTGTGATTTCTTTGTGTAAATCTTTGCCTCTCTACTGGAATGAAAGCCTTTTGTGGGCAGAAACCACATAAAACCAAGCATAGTGTTTTGTGTATAATAAGTATGCAATTAACTAACTTAATTCAGTTTGGCAAAAAAAACTTTTTTGAAAAGAAATTTATAAGGATCTCATAAATATGAGAAGTAAATGTATGTATGCTAATACAGATGCAGGAATATAAAAAGTACTTTATTTCCATAATGCTGTCATCCTCGAGCCACCAGGGATATTCTGAGGTTTAAGCTTACTGATTTATGCACATAGGGCCTAGCAGCCTCAGCAGCTCAATCAACTTGCTCTTCTTCTCTCTTTCCCTCAGGCCTCCCCTCCAGCTAATGATAATTTTGTCTTTCACACTGTAAGGAAAACTGGTGCCTGGAAAAGTCAGAGGGTTCAAACGGCAAGTCAGCTGCAGAATCAAGAATAGATCTGCCCTCTCAGCCTCTCTGGCATGGACCTTCTCTGACACAAACCCTGGCTTTGGGAATGTGGAGACTGATGATTCCCACATTTAGGACTCACATCAAAAGAGAAGCTGCTTGTCAGTTCTACTCCCTTCCCCACATTTGGTATGCAAAGGAGCTTCTCTGAGACCTTAGGACCCCAATGTATACCTGTTTTATATTTCAGACTCTTCTTAATGGTTTGTGAGCATGTCACAGTCTCTGTTAGTCTGGGATAGGGCATAATTATCTTTGTATTGTGGGAAGAACTGTGCTATAAGCTACTTAATATTCAGAGAGCAATTTGCAGGTACTCAGTTTAGTCACAAAGTCTGCTTAATGACGCTGAACATGAAAGTCTGGATTGTCTATTTCCAAGCTGTTATCCAGGCTGGCTAAATGACCCATCTTCCCTCTGGCCTGAACTCCAAGAGTAGCTGGAGTTTGGGGCCTGAAGTGAACACCTATAATCAGCTAGACCAGGGTTTCTTTTCCTGAACACTATCGACATTTTAGACCAGATAATTCTTTGCTTTGGGGGCTGTCCTGGGCATGGTAAAATTTTTAGCAGCATCTCTGGCCTCTATACACTAGAGGCCCATAGCACCACTCCTCCCCAACCAGTTGTGACAACCAAAAATGTCTCCAGATATTGCCAGTGTCCCCTGAAGAGTAAAATCGACCCCAGCTGAGAGCTGCTGACTGTGGACTTTGAGCTACTTGCCTGCTATCCTCCAGACTAGAGACTGATGTTTCCAAATTTCTCTTGCCTCCAGATTCCCCAGACTGAGTGGTGTCTTCTTTCTTTGAGCCTTAGCTTTGACTGTTTCTTCCTTTTTTGCCTGATAGTCGGTGGTCTCCTGGTTGCTTGAGTCACTTGGTCTCATTTCCCTCTGGCCTTGGATGACCTCACTGCTGTCCTGTTTCAACTCATAAACTTCTGGACTAACAAAAATAATGTACTTCCTGAAAGCCCAAATTTGCAACATTTATTCAATAAACATTTATTACTATATATTTTGCTCTAGTGACATGCTAGGATATGCTTGAGACTGTGGGGTTTATTGGCTAGAATTATGTTTCAATGCAAGTGACAGTGGCTTGAACAAGATAGTTTATCGCGCGTAGAAGTCCAAAGGGAGACAGGCCAGAACTGGTGTGGTGATCTTGTTCCATGGAGTTGATCTGCTGGGCTTGAATTCTCTTCTAAGATCACTCCATGGTCCAAGATAGCTGTTCACCCCCAGCCATCAGCTCCACCACCAAGCCAGAAGGAAGAAGGAAGGAATGGTGAAAAAAGCGAAATTAAGAAAGGTCCTTAAAGACTGCTATATAACACTTAAGCTTGCATCTATTTGCCTGAACTTAGTTACCAGGCCACACCTGTCTGTAAGGCAGGCTGAGAAAATGTGGTTTTGTTTCTGTTTTTGTTCTGAAACGGAGTTTCACTCTTGTCGCCCAGTCTGGAGTGCAACAGCACAACCTTGGCTCACTGCAACCTCTGCCTCCCGGGTTCAAGTGATTCTCCTGCCTCAGCCTCCCAAGTAGCTGGGATTACAGGCATGCGTCATCACACCCAGCTAATTTTTGTATTTTTAGTATAGACAGGGTTTCACCATGTTGGTCAGGCTGGTCTTGAACTCCTGACCTCAAGTGATTTGCCTGCCTCGGCCTCCGAAAGTGCTGGGATTACAAGTGTGAGCCACTGCACCCGGCCGGAAACATGGTTTTTACTCTGAGTGGCCATGTGACCCATTTAAAAACTGAGGGATCTAGTACAATGAATATTAGAGGACAATTGGAAGCCTCTGCTGCACGGAGGATACAAGGACACTTGGAACACACACCTACCCTCATGATGCTTTGGTACAGTAGCAGAATTAGTTGCACAGTATACACAACTACCTCTAGTTAAACTTGACTAAAATAACTTTTTTTCTAAAGGGGAAGGTGTAATTACAATAATGATAAAATGATAATGACTGTAAACTAAATATTAACCACATTAGGAAGAGGATACATGTTTATATTTGCACAGTTGTGACTGTCTACAGTTCTTCAGATCCTAAAATTTTATTCTACAACAAATTTGAGTTTAATTTTTGGAAGAGTTTGCCTCTCAGGAAATGCATACAGGAAACTCAATTACAAGTTTTTGAAATGTTGGAAATAATAATTATGAGTCACTTTTTATTATCTAGCAGTGGGTGTCAAATTAACTGCTGCTTTATTTTTAGCTATGTGATGTGTCACTCAGTATACATTCTCTAGAGGTTTGCATTAGTTGAAATATGAGAAAGATCTGCAGAGTCAATAGGGTTGCCAAGTCTTCATCAAAGATTATCCCAAACTGGTATTTTGGTTTTGGTACAAATTGACGTGTCATCTTACAGTGCCAAAAGTCATGACGACCAAACAGAGTGGAACTAAGGCAGCTTTTTTTCCAGTTTCCCCATGCTTATAAATCTTCCTCCTGGAGAATTTTATTTCTTAACAGTGCTATTCTAATGACCTCCATGAAGTGCTGATCCAATCCCAAGGCTCAGTTTTGAACTCTTTGAGTAGGAAGTAGGCGGTCTAAATGCAGATTAACAGAATTGCTTTGACTTTCTTTAGGAAACTTACATGGGGCAGAGTGAAGAGAAAGTTGACCTCATTTTATTACTTTCATAAAGGAAAAGCTTGGTGCTCTCCCATTCTATTCTGAATTCCTATCATCACTCATTCTTGGAATTGTTTAGGTAAACAAAGAGTCATAGAGGTACAGGGAAAAAATGCAGTGTGCTGGATGGAGACCTGATCCCTGATTAAGACAGAGGAGGTTGCTGGGGAATGCAGCAAGTGATAATGCCACAGATTTTCTAAAGCTTTGGGACCTCTAGAAGAGGAGCTGGAGTGAGGAACGGGTGAAAGCGGCTGCTGCAGCCAGAGTCAAAGGGCATGTGAGACAGCATCTCTTTCATCATCCTCACACACGTGAACAGCAACTCCATTCGGAGTGTCAGCTTCCAGCAGGAGGTATTATAGAGTGCTTCTGCAGCTTTGCATGTATGTGTGTTACAAATGCACATGTGTAACATGAAGAATTGTGAGGAAAATGTGTGTGAAGTGCCCAGCACCGCGTCTGACACATGGTAGTAGGTGCTCTGTGTGTGAGAGTTACTGTTATCATCAGAGTGAAAGGGCACCACAAAGCCCCTTCCTCCTGGCCTGCAAATCCAACTCTGGGGTCATATATGTGGATGAGGGAAAATACACTGTTATCTGGGACCTGACGCAGTCTCTCTCACCTTCTAGCCATATTTGTCTGCAGGTTCCTCTTCCCCACTCACCTTCTTCCTCCTTTCCCACCTCATCCCCAAATA
The DNA here is from genome assembly GCF_000001405.40 of Homo sapiens. Taxonomy (NCBI): domain Eukaryota; kingdom Metazoa; phylum Chordata; class Mammalia; order Primates; family Hominidae; genus Homo; species Homo sapiens. The sequence goes on from NC_000001.11 coordinate 93,016,875, forward strand.
CCTACTTTTTCTTCAAGGCCCAAGACAAATCCCAGCTTTTCTCTATACCTATACCTCATCACATTCTCATGTAGATACCCATTGTCTTCTATGGGTGCCCACAGCACTTTGAATGTAATGTAATATGCCTCTTATCATTCTATCCTTTAGTTATGTGCCACCAATGCCAGTGACTGAGCTTCTCCAGGATGAGGATGTTTTCTTCTTTAGCTTTACCTTTTCAATTATTAAAATATTGCTTGACTAGATAAATTGTACATTCATCCAATGGGATATTATGCAGAGATAAAAAGAAATGAGCTGTAGGCTGGGCGCAGTGGCTCACACCTGTAATCCCAGCACTTTGGGAGGCCAAGGAGGGCGGATCACCTGATGTCAGGAGTTTGAGACTAGCCTGGCCAACATGGTGAAACCCCGTCTCTATTAGAAAATACAAAAATTAGCCAGGCATGGTGGTGGGCGCCTGTAATCCCAGCTACTCAGGAGGCTGAGGCAGGAGAATCACTTGAACCCCAGGAGGTGGAGGTTGCAGTGAGCCAAGATCACACTACTGCACTCCAGCCTGGGTGACAGAGTGAGACTCTGTCAAAAAAAAAAAAAAAAAGCTATCAAGCCATGAAATGGCATGGAGGAAACTTAAATGCATATTTCTAAGTGAAAGCACCCAGTCTGAAATGGCTATACATTGCACAATTCCAATTATATGACATTCTGGAAAAGGCAAAACTATAGAGACAATAAATCTCCAGCAATTGCCAGGGGTTGAAAATGGGGGTTCATTATGAAGGTGAAGCACAGGAGATATTTAGGGAGGTGAAACTATTCGGTATGATACTGTAATGGTGGATACATGACATTATGCATTCATCAAAACCCACAGATAGAACACAAAGAGTGAACCATAATGTATGCAGATTAAGTAAAGTCATTTAGGAGGTAGGAGAGTTCCAGGAAGGGAGGCAGACAATGGCAGTAAAATCTAACTGTATTAAAAATGTATGAAACAACCTCACTGAAGGAAGTAGGGGGAACACATACTGACCTAAAGTTACTTTGGAAATGAGTGGAATATGTAAGACTAAAGGCAAAAGAAATCGCACACTAAAAGCACGTAAGAACACTTCTTTAAAAATGCAATAAAAACAAAAATAAATAAACAGGACTTAAACTACAAAGCTTCTGTATAGCAAAATAAATAATCAACAGAGTAAACAGACAACCTTTAGAATGAGAGAAAATGTTTGCAAACTATACATCTGACAAAGGACTAATATCCAAAATCTATAAGGAACCCAAACTAATCAGCAAAAATAAAACAAATAATCCCATTAAAAACTGGGCAAATGATATGAATAGACATTTCTCAAAAAAAGATATACAAATGGCCAAAAAACATGAAAAATACTCAACATCACTAATATCAGGCAAATGCAAATTAAAACCACAATGAGATACCACCTTACCCCAGTCAGAATGGCCATTTGAAAAAGTCAAAAAACAATAGAGGTTGGTGCAGAAGTGGTGAAAAGGGAATGCTTGTACACTGTTGGCGGGAATATAAATTAGTACAACTTCTATGGAAAAAAGTGTGGAGATTTCTCAAAGAACTAAAAGTAAATCTACCATTCGATCCAGTAATCCTACTACTAGGTATCTACCCAAAGGAAAAGAAGTCATTATATAAAAAAAGACATGTGGCTAGGTGCGGTGGCTTACACCTGTAATCCCAGCACTTTGGGAGGCCGAGGCAGGCAGATCACCTGAGGTCAGGAGTTTGAGACTAGCCTGGCCAATATGGTGAAACCCCATCTCCACCAAAAATACAAAATTCAGCTGGGTGTGGTGGTACACGCCTGTGATCCCAGCTACTTGGGAGTCTGAGTGAGGCAGGAGAATCGCTTGAACCCAGGAGGTGGAGGTTGCAGTGAGCTGAGATCACACCACTCTACTCCAGCCCGGGTGACAGAGCAAGATTCTGTTTCAAACAAACAAACAAAAAAAGACACTCGCACTCATATGTTTATTGCAGAACAATTCACAATTACAAAGATATGAAATCAACCTAAGTGCCCATCAACAGATGAGTGGATAAAGAAAATGTGATATACATATACCATGAAATACTACTCAGCCATAAAAAGAACAAGATAATGTATTTTGCAGCAACTTGGATGGAACTGAAGGCCGTTATTCTAAGTGAAGTGACTAAAAAATAGAAAACCAAATACCATATGTTCTCACTTATAAGTGGAAGCTAAGCTATGGATGTGCAAAGGCATATAGACTGGTATAATGGACACTGGAGACTCAGAAGCGAGGGATGGTGGAAGGAGGGTGGGGAGAAAAAATTACCTGTTGGGTACACTACACACAGATATACTAAAAGCCCAGATTTCACCACTGTACAATGTATCTATGTAACCAAAAACCACTTTTACCTCTAAAGCTACTGAAATAAAAACAAATTAAAAAAATAATGCTGCTTTAGTTGATAAAGTTGTTTCATTTGGGGGCATGGGTTAACAATTCTGATACTGCTACACATGTGTACTGGAACTAAATGATTGAGTAAATAGATGGCAGATTGTAGGAACCAGGTTTCTCACTGCTGGAGTGGGAATTTACAGATAAGCAAGGAGAAAAAGCTAGAATGATCCATATATTAATGGATTAAAGTTAGACACATCAGTAAGAACTCATATTTAGTTTAATTTGGATATAGATTGTTTTTTTAAGAGACAGGGTCTTGTTCTATTGCCCAGGCTGGAGCGCAATGGTGTGATCATAGCTCACTGCAGCCTTGAACTCTTGGGCTCAAGCAATGCTCTCACCTTAGCCTGTTGAACAGCTGGGACTACAGGCATGCACCACTACATCCAGGTAAATTATTTTTAATTTTTTAGAGTTGAGTCTCTCTATGTTGCCCAGGCTGGTCTCAAACTCCTGACCTCAAGAGATCTTCCCGCCTCAACCTTCTCAGTAGCTGGAATTCTGGGCATGAGCCACTGCACCCGACCTATATAAAAATATTTATAGATAGATGTATATACACTGGTTAGTATCCACACAATTATTTATTTGATCTGTTAGCAGAGAAGTCCTAAAAGACCTAGCATATTCTCTAGTACACAGACACCTACCATCCAGATCTCGGTTCCTAATACCATTATCTAACAAAAGGAACTAAGGGTTTTTTTGGAGACATGACTGATTCTAGAACTGGGGAAGGAAAGACACAAGATGTACCTGGAGCATGTTGCAGTGCCGAAAAGTAAGGAAGTGCTAGAAAAAAAAAATCATGTTGTTGGATTATGTCAAAGGGGCATAAGAGCCAACTGAAAGAGTTCCCGGTGACCAAAGGGGAAACAATTTGAGCAAAAAAAAATAAAATAAAAGTAATACTGAATTATAACCTAAAGTATAAAACAAGTATGCATGAGTTAACAATGTTATAAATACATAATTGAATAAATTAATAAGTGGGAGGAAGAGACAAATTGTCCATACAGAAGAATTGCAAGTGATTTATGTAGATACTCTGCCACCCTCCAAAAAGGGAGCATACATCCACTTCTTATGTGTGGGCAGCACATGGTGACTTCCCTCCAAAGATTATGGAAAGAGAGGAAAAAGAGTAACTTTACAGTGGAGAAACTTGGCAAAAACCACTTCAGCCAGTGTCATAAATCATGATGACTGTATATCCAGGGATACGATGTGATGAAAATGGCACTTTGCCTCTATGATCTTCCTCCTGTGGCCTCATAACCCCAATCTAAGACAAGAAAAACATCAAATTCCAATTGGAGAACATGCTCCAAGACACTTGACCAGTACTCCTCAAAGCTCAATTTTTCTGTAAATCTAAAACCGTTCTAGAAAATAAAATCTGACCAGGCATGGTGGCACACACCTGTAATCCCAGCACTTTGGGAGGCTGAGGTGGGAGGACTGCTTGAGGCCAAGAGTCGAGACCAGCATGGTCAACACGGTGAGACCCTATCTCTATAAAAAATTTTTTTTAATAAAAAGAAAAGAAAATCTATTTTTTAAAAATTTACTGACACATAGTTGTTATTATTGTTATTATTATTATTATTACTTTGAAACAGAGTCTGGCTCTGTCACCCAGGCTGCAGTGCAGTGTTGCAATCTCAGCTCATTTCTACCTCTGCCTCCTGGGCTCAAGCCATCCTTCCACCTCAGCCTCCAGGGTAGCTGGGACTAGAGGTGCACACTACCAAACCTGGCTAATTTTAGTACTTTTTTTCGTAGAGATAGAGTTTCACCATGTTGCCCAGGCTGGTGGCAAACCCCTGGGCTCAAGAGATTCTCCCACCTCGGCCTCCCAAGGTGCTAGGTAGGATTACAGGCGTGAGCCACAGCACCCGGCCAATTGCTCATCAGTAAATGACCCAAGGCCCAGAGAAGTTAAATAATTTCCCCAAGTTAGCAAAAGTGTAAATTATAATCAGTATAACCTAAATATAAGAATGATCTTTATTGTGATTTGTTCTAATTTACTTAGCAAACATTTATATTATGCTTACTATGTGAGATGCACTATTCTAATTGCTTTTCAAGTATTCTCTCAGTTAATCCTCATTATAATGTCATAAAGAAAGTACTACTATTATTCCCACTTTGCAGACAGAGAACATTTGCCCAAGCTCAAATAGCTAGTAAGTGGCAAAGCTGATGTTTGGATTGAGGCAGTCTAGCTCAGAGATTATGTGCTTGACCACTACACTACTCAGCCTCTCTTATTCAAAGAAAACTTTGAAAAGTCAATTTAAATTAAAGTTTTCTTCACCGTTTTTTGGCATCAAAAATTGTTACAGAACATTAAGTGCAGACAGACAGTTACTATGACTTGCCACTAGGAGGTGTCAAAACTTACAAATCTGTCTAATGACCGTATTTCAAAGGGAGTAAAGGACAGTTTCTCATCTACATTGCCATTAACCTGTTTCCGTTTGCTAGCCCATGAATAAAAAGAAAAACACACAAATGAAATGAGTTCAGAGGTGTTTGAATTTCGTAAAGTGTTTCACTTGTCTTTTTTTTCACCTTTATTATACATGGCCTTCCATATTATACAATTTAACACTTCATTATATACTGTTTTGTTTTCAAGTTGTTTCATTTGTCTTGTGCCCACACTAACATGTAAAGTTTTTGTTAGCAGGGAACATGGCTTATATTAAACTTATTATTTTTAAAAATTGTATAGCACCTAGCATAGTGTTAGGTACTTTATAAACACTTGCTAATCAGTTAAAATGCATAAATACCTTAATTTACATAATAAACGTGTTTTGGGGCTGGCATAAGTGAACTTAAAAATTCACTAGAGGTGCTAGATATTTAAGGGAATCCAATAATGAATCCTTTTTAATTAGATCAAGAAGAACTCTGTAATTTAGCCTCGTGTAAATCTCTATTTTCATATACGGTTCGGCTTAAAGCAGGAAGTACCTGGGTATGCATCATTGGTTGAATAAAAATTTATTTCTGTATCTTGTACAGGTTTAAGAAAGACTTACTTGAATTCTGCCTTTTCTCCTTTCTGATGCTGATGGCAACAAACTGGGGTAGATCAAGTGGTTAAGATGCTGTCTGAAGAGGCCATGACTTGAGATCCCGGTCCTGCCCTGCCTCACTCACTGGCTGAGCAATCCACTTGAGCTTTCTGGGACTCAGTGTCCTCATGTATAAAAAGAGGGAGTTGAATGAGATGAGCTCTTTCAAACTCAACATTCACTTTCCCAGGTAAGGGGGCAGGCAGACAGTAGAAGAGCCTTCACAGATTCTCCCACCAGAATACCACACTTACAGTACTTGTATTCTTTATCTTAGATGCCATTGACATTGCGATAGTGTGTAATGATATAGTCATTGTCCATAAAATATTTAATATTTCCTTTATCCTCCCTGTCATCCAGGACACTATACAAATATAAGGGCAGGTAACAACCTTCTGTTCCAGTTTCAAAGACAAGTATGCTAAGAGACTGGTAGAAGATATGACAGTTGTTGAAACTTTTATTTCTCTCCAAGGCTAACTTAAAGAAAACCCTATGGCTGGGCAAGGTGGCTCACACCTGTAATTCCAGTACTTTGGGAAGCTGAGGTGGGAGGATCACTTGAGCCCAGGAGTTCAAGGCCAGCCTGGGCAACATAGTGAGACCCTGTCTCTACAAAAAAGTAAAAAATTAGCCAGGTGTGGTGGCACACATCTGTAGTCCCAGCTATTTGGGAGGCTGAGGCAGGAGGATTGCTTGAGCCCTGGAGGTTGAGGCTGCAGTGAGCAATGGTTGTGCCACTGCACTCTAGCCTGGCTGAGAGAGCAAGACCCTGTCTCAAAAAATAAAAAATAAAAATAAAATAAAAAAGAAAACCCTCAGATGTTAATTTTTTCCAACAAATAATTATAAACATTCCAAAAGTATAAGATTATTCTGATATTTAATTTTCTACCAAGGGACACTATGGTTCATTTAACTTTAGAATCTATTATTGGCAGAGGTTTAGGGGCCATCTGAGAGGGGTTTATGAGCTGTAAATTGAGTGCACTGAGAGCAATTAAGCATTTAAATTGGAGCGATGTGTAAATTTAACAGCTGGTAGGTGTTGTCAATTGCAAGCTACAGACCACCGGCTTGGCAGAAATCTGCATACAAACTGAAGAAAATCGATGGAATGGTGAAAAGTAGAACCTGGATTTGGTAATTTGGAGCAAACTTCAGATTGCACATACAGCTGAGAACATTTAAGATTAATCTAGAGGTATGGCATCTCCTCTAGGAATGCTTCACTGGACAAAGATTTGTTAAGCTATTTAAAATGTGCTTAAATTACAAGTTAATTACTCTCCCAGTTAATAGCTTGGGATTGTTACAAGAGAATCTGACCTTGAAGGCCAATGTGTATTTATCTCATAATCTTTGTGTGTGTGTGTGTGTGTGTGTGTGTGTGTGTGCTAAAAACAATGGTTGTTGAAGACTTAGAAGCTTCTATTTATGTGCATGGTATTTATAGAATTTATTAAAGCAGTGACTTTTACCATGTTCCCAGGATCCTCCTTAAGGGTTGCCACAAGGGCAAAAGAGAAAAAAACAGGGAGTTTCTGACATACTGATCTTCCAGCTTCCCATCATTGACCAACTTCTTAGTTAAGTAGATGTTTTAAATTCTCAGTAATAAGGCACCGATAATTGTTGAAGAGGAAAAAGATCAGGGGATTTGGATTAAACTTGGTCTGACCTATACTTTCTACTCCTCTTTTTCATATCAAAATCCACCCTTCCAGATCTGTCACTTTTTGAGTTGTTGGGTGTTTTTGTTTTACTTTTTTTTTTTTGAGACACTCACTCTGTCACCCAGGCTGGAGTGCAGTGTCACAATCTGGGCTCACTGCAATCTCCGCCTCTTGGGTTCAAGTGATCCTCGTGCCTCAGCCTCCCGAGTAGCTGAGATTATAGGCGTCACCACCATGCCTGGCTAATTTTTGTGTTTTTAGTAGAGACGAAGTTTTGCCATGCTGGCCAGGCTGGTCACAAACTCCTGGCCTCAGGTGATTACAAGTGTGTGCCACTGTGCCTAGCCTGCTTTCTGAGTTTTTTAAGGTAGCAGATTAAGTAACTTCTGATAAACCGAGGGGCATACATCACCTCAGGAAGCCTTATTTGTTCTACTAATTTTATTTATTTATTTTTTGAGACAGAGTCTCGCTCTGTTGCCCAGGATAGAGTGCAGTGGCACGATCTTGGCTCACTGCAACCTCCGCCTCCCGGGTTCAAGCAATTCTTCTGTCTCAGCCTCCCAAGTAGCTGGGACTACAGGCGCCCACCACCATGCCCGGCTAATTTTTGTATTTTTAGTAGAGACAGGGTTTCACCATATTGGCCAGGCTGGTCTCAAACTCCTGACCTCAAATGATCCACCTGCTTCGGCCTCCCAAAGTGCTGGGAATTACAGGAGTGAGCCACTGAGCTCGCCCTTGTTCTACTAATTTAAAAATGGAATGTTTTTACAAGTTTGAAGAGTTTTTTAGGGCTGCTATAGTTTCTTTGGCTCCTTAACCTTCTTACCTTAGAATAGACAAGATCCTAAAACACATTCTCAGGCTCCCATGCATTCATGATCTCATTCAACCAACAATGAAACAAAGATGAATAAGACTGTTCCTGGACCTCAAGGAGCTTCCATGGTCAAGTAGGAGAGACAGAAACACAGAAATAACCACAACATAATCAGAGTACTTAATGTCAGGCACTTTACTAGATGATTTACATATGATATCATTTAATCCTACCACCAACTGTAAGGGGCAGGTGCACATCTCCCCATTTGCAGATGAGGAGACCGAGGCTTAGGAAGTTACCTTGACTTTCTCTTGCTCTTCTTTGTACAGTGCACTTGTCTCTCAAAATTTTAATATACTGTTTGTCTGAACCCTCAAGTATATTGCATTAGGATTGTAATCTTTCAGGTGAGAACAGCTTTGTCATCTTTGTATCCCTGGAACATGGTTCAGTGCTTTTCATGTAATTCATGCTCAATAAAAGCTATTGGATTGAATGAAATATGGCAGAGTCAGGATTTGATCCTATGTGTGCCTGGATCCAAAGCCCTGGCCCTTTCCACTCTGTTAATTTGCCTTCCTATATCATAAGTGCAATAGTAAAAATACATACAAAATATGGGAGCACAGAGAAAGTCATGATGTGGTTCACAGGGAAGGTAATATTTGAGTTGGGCATTTGAAGAATGCCCAGCAATTTGTCAAGTTGAGAAAGCAGTGAAAACCTCTCGGCTGGAGAAATAGCTCACACAGTGGCATGAGAAAGCAAGATGCATGTGATTTATGAAGAGTGCTGACTAATTCCATACTGATAAAGCACCAGTTGAAAGGAAGTGAATGATGGTAGATGGAACTGGAAGGCTAGGGTGCACCGGCATGTAAGGGACGTTGCATGCCATTCTCAGGAAACAGTTTGGGCAATGGAAAGCCACTGAGGGTTTTTAAACAGAGGACTCACTTGGTAGAGAGGGGCTGGAGTCAAAATATTTGGGTTCATAACCTAATTTTGCCTCTCACTATGTCATCCCCACATAGTGAGGGTTTCCCATGTCCTCAGTTTCCTAAATGAAAATGGTAGCATCCTATCAACCACTGGGATTGTTATGAGATTCAAAAAAGTACTTTGTAAGCTGTAAATCCAACTACAAATGCTAGCTATTATTAAATTAACATATGTGTTAGTTTGCTAAGCCTGCCATAACAAATACCATAGACTGGGTAGCTTAAACAACAGAAATTTATTTTCTTACAGTTCTGGAGGCTGGAAGTCTGAGATCAAGGTGTGGGCATGGGATGTGAGGGCAACCTGGCTGTGACATCTGTCACCCCAATGATCCCCAGGGTTGACTCAGCTCATCTGGCTGGCTCAGTGAGTGTCCCCTTCCTCACCTCTCCATATGTGTCCCTCCTGAAGCTGCATGCTGATAGAGGAAGACTGTTCCTTGGTCAAGGATATAAGAGTAGCTGTGCTTTTTCTGAGTTTTGTAAGGAAGCAGATTTGGTAACTTCTGATAAACCAAGGGACGTACATCAGGTTCTAGCAAGGGACATAACTATTCTTTGGTCAAAGATATAAGAATATCTGTGCTCAGCCAAGTGCGGTGGCTCACGCCTGTAATCCCAGCACTTTGAGAGGCCGAGGCGGGCAGATAGCGAGGTCAGGAGATCGAGACCATCTTGGCTAACATGGTGAAAACCCGTCTCTACTAAAAATACAAAAAATTAGCCAGGCGTGGTGGCAGGCGCCTGTAGTCCCAGCTACTCGGGAGGCTGAGGCAGGAGAATGGCGTGAACCTGGGAGGCTGAAGTTGCAGTGAGCCGAGATCGTGCCACTGCACTCCAGCCTGGGCGACAGAGTGAGACCCCGTCTCAAAAAAAAAAAAAAAAAAAAAAAAGAATAGCTGTGCTCTTTGTGAGTTTTGCTGGAGCCTCCAGATAAGCTTTCAAGGTCTTTTTGCAAGAAAATGTAGGAACTCATGTTGGATCTCGCAGAACTCCAGGCAGATCCAAACGAGGTGCTACATGTGACAGTCTGCCTTCCTTAAAAAAAAAAAAAGTGGGAGGGTCAGCAAGGTTGACTTCATTCTGAGACCTCGCTCATTGGCTTGTAGATGGCCATCTTCTCCACTTGTCTTCACATGGCCTTTCCTTTGTGTACGTCTATGTTCCAATCTCCTCTTATTATAAGGGCACCAATCATATGGGATTATGGGACCCAAGTGACCTCATTTTACCTTAATTACCTCTTCAAAAGCCCTGTCTGCAAATATAGTCACATGCTGTCCTACTGGGGGTTAGGAATTCAACATGTGTATTTTGGGGGTTCACAATTCCATCTATAACAGCACATAAGAAGATCAAAATGGAGCAATTCCACAATGTCTACTCAGGCAATGCCAAGTGAAAAATGGAAAGCTCACATTATTTTCTTTTTTCTCTCCATCTTTTTTTAAGGCTAGTCAAGTAAAGCAGTGGTAGTGGAGAAGGAACAAAGAAATCTGTAACTGGTTGTGATCAATTCATTGTAAACACCACTGTTTATAGCCATGACCGCTCTATTCACTCAGGAAATGGAGTCATGGGCCCAGACCCATATCTCTTCCTTATAAAATAGATTGCCTGGTCAGAGGCTATGTTGGATGGAATTCCATGTCCGTGGATCAGGCTTTCCAAAACCCTCCAGAAAATCATGCTGGCTGAGGCTCTGTGGACAAGAAAGGCAAATCCATGTCTGGAATAAGTATCTACCCTGTGAGCATGAACTGCTGGCCCTCCTAGGATGGAAGGAACCCTCAGGCTTGCCTCCTCGGGGACCCCAGTGTTGGTCTATAATCCTGAAAATTTGAACACTGAGAGGCAGCAATAGCCAGACTGGCCCTGGGAAGTGGGAGTCCATGCTTTTGGGTCAATACATAGCCTTCATTTCTGCCACCATAGCCAGTCTGTTCATGTGCCCATTGTGTCTGTCCTGGGATTGACAGTGGCAAAGGCTGACCATACATCAACTAGCCAAGAAATTTTGTCTACTTTCTGCAGGAATTCTTCTGTGGTGGCTGCTTCTGGTGGGCATTAACACATGACGCAAAAATCTTCACGCTTGGTGCCTACTCTCTCGTGTCCTTACACATGCCTCTGTCTCCAATCCTCAAGCCCCTGATCAGCCCCTGATGGTCAGGCCATTGACTACTGCCACAGTCTGTATATATTCTTGCCTCAGACCATTTAACCTTCCACTCCTGATGTTAAGGAAGATGAGCATGTTCCTTCTCTGTTTCTCTTTGGCGTCTACCCTCCTGCAGGGAGTACATGCATTCTGTGCATCTCCTCTACACTGAATTGTACAGCAAGAGCTCCAGGGTCACCCAGGTTTGCCTGCGAGTGGGTAGCCCAGTCTGCACAGTTCTGCTGCTAGACTACAACCTCCAAACTACCCTTTATCATAATTCAAGTGGTATTTTGATCTCGAATTGACTCTTGCATCTTTCTCTTAATTAGTTCCAAGTTCTGGAAATGTTATTGATTATGCAGTCTGAAATCTCAACAGAAACTATCAAAGCTGGGATTTTGGCAAGCAAATAGGCAGTACCTCTCTACCTTAAAATTTCTCCAGAAATACAGGCATTTTCCTGGGCTTAGGGAATTATAGGAGTATTTGATCCCATAGTGGACACAGGAGCCTGAAGAGGCTTGAAAAAACGTCGACAGAAAGTATGAATGACAATTGGGTCTGAACAATGTGGAGGTAGGTGCAGTCTTGTTGCCTCACCTCCCTGGCTCTCTGCAGGACTCCTTTCTAGGAGGCTGATGTGATGAGAGCCAAGACCAGCCTCCTGCAGCAATCCAGATTCTTTGAACTCATGGTTCATTTGGACCATGTCATGGAGAGAACTTTGGAAGGATCCGTGTGAAAATACTTTTTCTAACTCTTTTTGAAAGACCAGATATTTTTCTTTGTATGCATTTTCGTTGAATGTTACAGCAAGATGCTTTCTGTACATTTAATTTTACACAAATATTAAATGTCTATTGTATTTGAGATGTTGACTATGTAGTATATACTATGTATTATAGAGACTATATATGTACATATACATATACACACATATATATACAAACAGTATATATAACATATATGTAATATATATAGTGTGTGACAGAAGGAAATAAGCAGTTATGTTTCTCACATTTCTTAAAAGTATTTTTTTCGTGACTACATGCCAGTATAGAATAACTAACATTTCCTTTTCAAAGCAATGTTGAAATACTTTTGCTCAAGCTAGTAAATTATTAGGAAGTTCACATGTAAGTGTGGAAACTAGAACACTCAATTTCACCTCATATGTAAGTGTCTTGTGCTTTTGTTCTAAGTAAAAAAAACAAAATGCATTTGATGTTCACTCTGAATTTTCATGGTAGCAACTGTTGCCCACATCTGGCATTCTGGTGGCCACACCTGGGGCATCACAACACTGAAAACAGATGTATGGGCTGCTTGAGAAGCGGAAACAAGTGTCAGATTCAATCAGAGAAGCAATGGGAACATCACAGAGTGAAGCCTGTGTTTAACCACAAGGTGTCAAATTGGATCAAAGGATGCCACAGACTAAGAGAGGCACAGATCAGTAGCTGAGAAAAGGGGAAGGGCAGAAGGAGATAATAGATGGGGATAGGAGATTCGAGAGCAGATAGAGAGCAAGCCAGTGTGCCTTGGCTTGGTGGTGTGTTCTGGGGATTGGGCTGCTTTGAGTGAACGCAATGCTACGATTATTCCTCCCACCCTACTGCACTGCCCAACATTTGACACCTGTAACATGAAGGCTTTCACAGAAGGCCTAATGCCATAGCAGTTAAAAAGACTGAGCTTTGGAATCAGGAAACCTCGGGTCCAAGCCCAGCTCCATTATTTACTACCATGTGACCATGAACAATTACCTTATCTCTTGACTTTTAGGTTCTTTGTCTGTAAAATTGAGCTAATAAGAGATTGTTTCTCATAGAAAGGGGTGGTGGTGATGATTCTATGGGATAATAGATTGTAAAGTTCTTAGGACAATGCTTGGCACATAGTGACTCCCAGTAAAAGTTAGTCAATATGGGCCGTGTGCGGTGGCTCACGCCTGTAATCCCAGCATTTTGGGAGGCCAAGGTGGGCGGATCACCTGGGGTCAGGAGTTCAAGACCAGCCTGGCCAACATGGTGAAACCCCATCTCTGCTAAAAATATGAAAAATCAGCCGAGCATAGTGGTGGACACCTGTAATCCCAGCTATTCAGGAGTCTGAGACAGGAGAATCGCTTGAACCTGGGAGGCAGAGGTTGCAGTGAGCTGAGATTTCGCCATTGCACTCCAGCCTGGGCAACAAGAGTGAAACTCTGTCTCAAAAAAAAAAAAAGTTAGCCAATATGATTAACTTGGGTCATGAGTTCTGTAACTGCACTTTGGAAAGACCTAGAGATGTGTGGAAATGCCTTTGCTTACCCGTTGTCTTCACCAGAGCCATTCCATTTTTATCCACTTATATATTTTTCTTTTGTGATGATTTTCCTTGAGTAAAGAGTTATACTTTACAAAACTAATATTTAAGGCTGGGAGCTGTGGCTCATGCCTATAATCCCAGCACTTTGGGAGGCTGAGACATGAGGATTGCTTGAGGCCAGGAGTTGAAGACCAACCTGGGCAACACAATGAGACCCTGACTCTACAAAAATACAAAAAAGATTAGCCAGGTATGGTGGTGTGCAACTATAATTTTAGCTACTGGGAAGGCTGGGGTAGAAGGATTGCTTGAGCCCAAGAGTTCAAGGTTGCAGTGAGCCATGATCACGCCACTGTACTCCAGCCTTGGCAAGAGTGGGATTCTGTCTCTAAGAAAAATAAAAAAAGAAAAAATATATATATATCTTTCAAAACCGTGATCTAAATCACCGATATAAGTCTGAAAATAGGCAATTCCAAGTATTCGCCCAGGACCCTTTACTAGAAAATTCCCTCCAGACTAGTAGACACCCTTTGGGTACAGTGTTCCATGGATTATGAAGCCACTTGTAATACCATAATTCCACTTCACTTTAATATCTTATTCACAAGGAGACAATGGAAAATTTTTGCCAACTTCTCTGCTCTAATTAGGAAACACTGGATCTTTAGCATTTCCTCAGTCTATCAGTCTGGTTGATAAAAAAGAAAGTCTATGGTTTTTTCTTTGGTGTCATTGTTTCCAATGCAGCTTCCCAGTTCACTGATGATCAGTGCTAGCATCCATCATTTATGAGTCCTTAGATTGCTAACATAGACTTACTTCTTTTTTTTTTTTTTAGACGGAGTCTCCCTCTGTCGTCAGGCTGGAGTGCAGTGGCACGATCTCGACTCACTGCAACCTCTGCCTCCCAGGTTCAAGCGATTCTCCTGCCTCAGCCTCTCGAGTAGCTGGGATTACATGCATGTGCCACCATGCCCAGCTAATTTTTGTATTTTTAGTAGAGATGGGGTTTCACCATGTTGGCCAGGATGGTTTCGATCTCCTGACCTTGTGATCCACCTGCCTTGGCCTCCCAAAGTGCTGGGATTACAGGCGTGAGCCATCATGCCCGGCCAACTTATTTCTTATAGAAAAAGAAATTTTTACATAAATATTGGATTAATGGCATTCGTGATAAAGCTGTTTCCTAAATACAAAGTCTAATACCACGGGAATTCATACAATTCAAATAAAGCAAATAGGAGAGTAGGTGTAGGAAAAGCTTTGATTTATACAATTTTATGACGAGGAAGTTTAACTGAGAGAGAAGTTAAAAATATCTTTCTAGCATTGGTTAATAGTTAAATAGTTTTCTTAAGAAAATAACCAAGCTAGATGCACCATCATTTTAAAAGGCTGGTGCATCTGTTCATGCACTGAGTATTCTTAATGTAGAGGAAGGTCCCACGTGGGCTTTCTGATTCTTCTGTGCTTGAACAATGCCAGGCAAATTGGTCTGGGATTGTATTTCTCATGCTTCCACCTCGCTTTACCAATCAGTAGTGTATTAACCATCTGTACAGGGATAAAATTTACACTTGCATCTTGCAGTTTTAAAAGAGTACATTGTTTTGATATAAGGCTTTGGCACATGAAAACAACAAAAGTGAATTTTATAACTATAGAAGGACAGAGGTCTAGAAAAGTAAATAAAAGTATTGCATTTATTTGACAATAATGAAAAGTTTTTTGAAAAGCAGAAATGTTTTTGATGTATAGAGAAATTTAGAAATCTTAATCTAGAAATTAAGTAAATAAAATCTTTACTTACTAGAGTTTTTATGTTTGGCCAGAGAATAGGATATGTTGGTAATCAAATACCATGTGTACATTATAAATAAGATATTCTAGAAACTGAGTCTTCAAAGCACTGAAATGTGATAATATCATTGAAATAAAATAGAATGTAATGTCACCATTCAAAAATTTTGGATTACTACATGAGTCCCAGGGTCTTCATATGGCTCTCCAGATTTGCCCCATGAACACAGAATTGAAATCCTATAATAATGAAATAATATATGAAATCCTATGATAATTATATGGTATCGGATTAAAAAGGGAAATGTTCAGATAACAGGCATTTCTTACTAATAGAACAATGGATGGTAGAATTTACTGCATTTGATAGTGTCTAGCAGCCCATCACCACAGCTTAAAGTGTTTTCTTCAAAATTAGATTCCTTTTTCTAATTCTACATTCGGTAAATATTTTTGAGCTTGTATTACTATCATAGTTATAAAATAACTTAGAGTTGTTCTGTGCTTTACCTTCATGAATCTGATTAACGTATTTTTCTGGTTAAATAGTAAGTATTATAAATAACTTGTTATTTAAATATTTCTCTTAGGCAATCTGTATAGATTACCTTTATTAAGGCCATTAAATGACATGTAGATAAAAAGCAATATTTATTATCGTTGAGCATTTGCAATTTTAATTTACAAACTACCTTTCTATCCATTTATTCTGATGCTCTGCTGTGCTTCTTAGAGAGGGTTAGGAGGTTGAAGAGCTTTGTATCAGACCTCTCTTGGTTTACCTGATGCACATCTGGATCAGATGCATGCCCCGTTGAGCTACATGCATGCCCCATGCTCCCAGCAACATCCAACTGCTCAACCCCTCCCCTGTTCCCTGTCAACCACAGGCCCTCTTGGGGGTTAAAACCTTTTGAACAGGGCCATCTGTTCTTCACTTCGACAAGTTGAGCAAAATGACTCAGCAATTCACTCTTCTAGTTTTTTAAGTCAGGACAGGATAAGGGAGAGATGAAAACATCCAATTCAATTCCAAGAACTTGCCAAACAATACGTCATTTGCTCAAAGTCACTCAGTTGGGAAGAAAGATTAGAACTCAAGAAATGTTATGCCCTCAGATGCACTGCTTATCCAAAAATGTATCTAAAATGATTTAGAAATCTCGTATTTCAATCAGCGTTGGCTTCACAGGTGTGCAACCTGTGCAATCACACAGGGTCCACTCTCAGAAGAGCTTTGCACTTGGTTGAATGCTCTGCTGTCTCCATTTTGAAATTCTTAGTTATTTTACTTTTGAACTTATATTTTGTAAGTGATGTTCAATGGGACAATGGCATGAGCAGAGAAGATACATGAGTGCCTTCCAGTCTTTGTTACTAAATCTGTCTGCATATGGCTCTCCAGATTTGCTCCATGAACACAGAATTCCACTACAGACCCACAATGCCTAGAAATGTAGCAGACACAAAGGAAGTACATGATTAGCATGTATGTCCACAAATAAGTAGGCACTGACAGTCCTGAGAGGCCATGTTTTCCATTCAAACCGGAGCCTGTTTTGACTGCAGAGAGAAAGCAAAGGCATCCTAAAAAAAATTATCAAAGGAATCATGTCATATTCATTCTTGCTTATGTTGCTTCCCTGTATTAGCCAACCACTTACACAGAAAATGATGCCCTATAAGGAAAGGGAAAGATAACAGCTCTTAGTTTCTTTCCCTTTCAGTTCCTCCTTACTCATCAGTAAGCTGAAGATAGTGCTAGGAGGAACACGTGCAATCAAGAAGTGAAATAAAAACAGTTGAGTTAGTTTTGTGCAGTGTTTCTACTGTTCTAGTAAGAACAAAACATATGTGTGTGTATAAGCTACAATATACAAATTGTGTAATTTTGTTGATTCTGCATGAGTTAAATACTCTGATATTTTCATTTAAAACCGGCATTGCACAACGGAAAGATGAACATTAAAATTCATGGTAATAGTTTTAAATTTAAATTTTTCTTTATTCAGAAAAACATTAAATAGCAAATAAAAAATACCACTGCAAATCCAGGAAGAGCTCAGAAGAAAGGGAAAAGCTTTATATTTTAGCACTTTTTAAAAACAGCTTTACTGAGATATAATTCATATATCATACAATTTACTCACTTAAAATGCACAATTCAATGGTTTTTAGTATATTCACATATAGGTACAGCCATCATCACAGTCAATTTGGGAATATTTTCATCACCTCAGAAAGAAAGATTGATAAATTAGGCAGGTATGGTGGTGCATGCCTGTAGTCCTAGCTACTTGGGAGGCTGAGATGGGAGCACTGCTTGAGCTGATCTTGAGCTCCTGGGCTGAAGTGATCCTCTCACCATTGACTCCCAGAATGCTGGGATTACAGATATGAATCACTGTGCCTGGCCAAGCATAAGGTTTTCAAGGTTCACCCCTGTTGTAGCATGTAGCAGTGTTTCACTCATTTTTTATGGCCGAATAATATTCACTTTTACAGATATGCCATGTGTTATTCATCCATTTGTCAGTTGGTGTACATTTGGGTTGTTTCTACTTTTTGTATATTATGAATAATGCAATTTGCCAGAGGAAATTGACAAGATATTTGATTAAAAAAATTTTTTTACAAAAGATAAAAAAGATTATTGTTTAGTACAGTACTTTTTTTTTTTTTTCTAGAGATGAGGTGTCACTATGTTGCCCAGACTGCAGGGCAGTGACTATTCACAGGCATGATGACAGCAAACTAGGCCTTGGAACTCCTGCCCTCAAGCAATCCTCCCTCCTCAGCCTCTCTGGTAGCGGAGACTATAAGTGTGTGCTACCATGCCCAACTCTTCACTGATTAATTTTGAAGAAATTAGAATATTTAAAAAATCTACTTAGGCCAGGCATGGTGGCTCATGCCTGTAATCCCAACATTTTAGGAGGCTGAGGTGGGAGGATTGCTTGAGCCCAGGAGTTCAATACCAGCCTGGGCAACATAGTGAAACACTGTCTCTACAAAAAAAGTCAAAAAATTAGCTGGGCATGGTGGTGCTTGCCTGTGGTCCCAGCTACTCAGGAGGCTGAAACAAGAGGATCGCTTGAGCCTGGGGAATCGAGGCTGCACTCCAGCCTGGTGTTCGAGCCACTGTACTCCAGCCTGGGTGACAGAGTAAGACACTATCTCCGAAAACAAACAAAAAATCTACTTAGCATGAAAACACTTCAATACATAGAGTACAGATACGCCTGGAGAGGGAGTTCTCCATGGAAAAATATGCTCCAACCTCCAGGATCTGGGACCAGCACAGGCCAATTACAACAAAATACTGACTCCTGAGGTCTGATAAACATGAGTACCTTTTCCCTGAAATAAGCAGAAAACAATAGACATCCTGGTAAGGACCAGGGAAAACCAGCCTCTGAAGCTGCCAGGTGCCTCTGTCTATTGAAGACAGAGGAGAAAGGATTTAATATTTGGTGAGAGCCATTATATTGATTTTATTTGATTTTGTCTCTCTATTGTGACTAGTGGTGGCCATTGAAATAAATCACAGCTGGCTGGTGAATGGTCCAAATGAAAAGAAAACTAGGATATCAGTCTGAATGAAAAAGTACCTCTACGACTTAAGAGTGAGGGCAAGCCTGGAGGATCCTTTAATACTTCAGAATTGGACAGAATGAGTGGGAACTGAGGAAGGATGGTCCCCAGGACACCCATGAGTATAATTCCTGGTTCCCTGCCATTATAGAAGTGGGAAAGAAAAAAGATGTTATGAGAAAGAAACATATAACAAACAACCCATGTAGTTTTTTTTTTTAACTCTTTTGTGGGTAATGTAGACTAACTGTAATGAAAAAGCATAGGCAAAAATAAATGCTATAAAAAGAAATGTTGTTCGTCTAATTACTGATTTATCACCTAATTTTATCGTGAAGCTGCTCTATGATAGCACATATAGGAAGAAGACATGGTCCTTTGTTTTCAAGGAGCTCAGACTAAAAGAAAGCAGGCAAGTCAACATATATAAATCACACTGTGAATAGTGAAACATGGAAATATGAACAAAGTGAATCCCAGAGGAAGGAACTTCTAATTTGGGCACTAATGGGACTAAAGTCTAGAATATTTGAACTGATTTTTGATGGATTAGGATGAGGTCACCATGTGAACAAAGAAAGGAAGTTTATTCTAGCAGAGGGAGTAACATAGCAGAAGACCCAGGACTATTAAAGAGCATAGTTTGGGTCAGGTGCAGCAGCACATGCCTGTAATCCAGCACTTAGGGAGGCTGAGGCAGGTGGATCACTTGAGTCCAGGAGTTTGGGACCAGCATGGCCAACATGGCAAAACCCCGTCTCTATAAAAAATATAAAAGTAGCAGGGTGCTGTGCCTTGCGCTTGTGGTTCCAGCTATTCTTGAGCTGGGGAGGTCAAGGCTGCAATGAGCCAAGATCACTCCACTGCACTCCAGCCTGGGTGACAGAGTGGACTCTGTCTAAAAATTAAAAAAACAAGAAACAAACAAACAAAAAGAAAGAGCACGTTTTGTTTAGGGAATGTGACTGGACTAGTGGGCTGGAGAGTGAAGTGCAGAGCAGGGGAGTGCAGGAGACAGCAGCCCAGGAGAGGAGGGCTCCAACCTCAAGCTACCGCCCAGGAATGTTGTCTTTGTCCTGTGGAATTTGAGGTGTTTAAGAAATGGCCCAGTGAGGTGGCTCTTGCCTGTAATCCCAGCATTTTAGGAGGCTGAGGTGGGTGGGTGGATCACTTGAGTCCACGAGTTCGAGACCAGCCTGGCCAACAAGGTGAAACCCTGTCTCTACTAAAAATGAAAAAAAAAAAAAAAAAATTAGCTGGGTGTGGTCATGGGTGCCTGTGATCCCAGCTACTTGGGAGGCTGAAGTGGGAGGATCTCTTGAACCCGGGAGGCGGAAGTCGTAGTGAGCTGAGATTGCGCCACTGCACTCCAGCTTCTCAAAGAAAAAAAAAAAAGAGAGGCCGGGCGCGGTGGCTCATGCCTGTAATCCCAGCACTTTGGGAGGCCGAGGTGGGCGGATCACAAGGTCAGGAGGTCGAGACCATCCTGGCTAACACGGTGAAACCCCGTCTCTACTGAAAATACAAAAAATTAGCTGGGCGTGGTGGCGAGCGCCTGTAGTCCCAGCTACTCGGGAGGCTGAGGCAGGAGAATGGCGTGAACCCGGGAGGCGGAGCTTGCAGTGAGCTGAGATCGTGCCACTGCACTCCAGCCTGGGCAACAGAGCAAGACTCCATCTCAAAAAAAAAAAATCAAAAAAAAAAAAAAGAGAGAGAGAGAAGTAATATGATCAGATTTAACTATGTAACTAAGTGCTGCAGGAAGGAAGAATCTTTGAAGGGAAAAAAACAGAACTGAGGCTCAGAGACCAACAGGAGAAAAGGCAAGAAATGATGCGTTAGGGCACTGGCAATGGCAAGGGAAAAGAAGAAAGCTCTGAGACACATTTCAAGGTATAATAAAAAAGATTTAGGGATCAGCTGAATGTAAATCAAATGCAAACTGAAAGCTATATGGTTGGACCTACCTAAAAGTCCTCAACTGTAAGACAAGTTTACAACAGGTTGAGAAGGCAAGGCAACCACACACACACACACACACACACACACACACACACACGCACACACACAGAGCCCAGCAAACAAACAATAGCCTAGGCAGTAAATGACAAGTCATTTTGTACATGATAGACTTTTTTTTTTTTTAACAGTCTCACTCTGTCACCCATGCTGGAGTGCAGTGGTGTGATCTTGGCTCTCTGCAACCTCAGCCGCCTGGGGTTCAGGCGATTCTTGTGCCTCAGACTACAGGTGCCTGCCACTATACCTAACTAATTTTTGTATGTTTAGTAGAGACGGGGTTTCACCATGTTGGCCAGGCTGGTATCGAATTCCTGACCTCAGGTGATCTGCCCACCTTGGCCTCCCAAAGTGCTGGGATTACAGTCGTAAGCCACTGCACCCAGCCTCATGATAGACACTTAATGCTTGATGAATGAATAAATGGGTAATACAGTTGACAAATGCTATAAGAGTCCAGAGTAACACAATGGTACACCATGAAGTGCAGTGTGTATGAGAACAGGCTTTAGAATCAGGCCTTTTTTCAAATCCGGCACAACTACTTAGCAGCAGGAGGAACTTGAGGTTACTCAACCTCACTAAGCTTCATTTTCCTCATTTGTAAAGTGGGCATAATAATCACCTCTTCAAAATGTAGATGTGAAGTATAATAATATAATGTTATATAAAATAAAATAAAATATAATAAAAAATATTTAAAAAGATGTGAAAATAATAAAAGTATTTTATGAATAGGGCCTAGCACGTATTGATCAACAAATGATATGTATTACATTTATGATGGCTTGGTGATGGTCCAGGAAGACTTCTCTAAGAAGGTGGAATCTTATAGAACCTAAACAGGATTCTGTAGGAAGGGTACTATTCTTGTTGGCAATGAAAACACAAGACATTCATTATAGTCGTGAGGATTGTTATGAGCAAAATTGAAAGTAAAACAAGGCAGATTCATAAACTGATTTCTCTGTGCTTCTTTTCTGTACTTCCATAACATTCTGTACTTATAGGGTTTTTAAGGTCTAATTCCTTCACTCCTCCTTGAAAGCAAGAAATGTGTCATTCATGGCTGGGACTGTATTCAGTACCTGACATTATCCCTCATACACAGTATGCATTTAAACATGATGCTGAATGAATAGAGGAATAAACAGATCTCCATGGAGCTCAGGTTCGGCTGCAGGATTAATCAGAGATGGACACTTAGTGTGACATTGTCACTGATATATGTTATCAGCAGGATGTATTTTTTTTCTCCTATGAAGTAGTTCTTATTTGAGTCACAACTGGAGGATGGTTTTAGATCCTTGGCAACATAGGGCAGCAGCTTGATTCCTTTCTGGCCTAGAACCTTAAATAATAAAGTATTTTCAAAAGGAAATTAAAATGCATTGGAAAGATATAACTTTATAACTTCTATAACTCATTATTAATAGATTCCAGAACAGATCTCTGAACAATTCTTCACAGTAGCACAAGAACCTGTTATAAGCAAATGCAATCAACCCTCCAACACTTTCTGGAAATAACTTTAGTTTGTATGAGAATTATTGTTTTAAAATTACTTTTTGCTCTCTATAGCTTCACTATTTATCTTGAACATTCTGGATGAAAATTGTAGCCTTACTTTTCACACAGCTAAAAATTTAAGTTATCTAGAATATACTTTAAAAAGCATTATGGATGCCGGGCACTGTGGCTCATGCCTGTAATCCCAGCACTTTGGGAGGCCAAGGAGGGTGGATCATTTGAGGTCAGGAGTTAGAGACCAGCCTGACCAACATGGTGAAACCCCGTCTCTACTAAAATACAAAAAAATTAGCCAGGCATGGTCGTGGGCACCTGTAATCTCAGCTACTTGGGAGACTGAGGCAGGAGAATCACTTGAACCCAGGAGGCGGAGGTTGCAGTGAGCTGAGATCACGCCACTGCACCCCAGCCTGGGCAACAGAGAGAGTGAGACTCCCTCAACAACAACAACAAAAAAAAGTGTATGGATAATGGAGATACAGTCTTCTCTCTCCATCTCCTCACATCCTTGTAATCATGAAAATGTAGCTTTCTTTCTTCTCTTGTTTCCATTCTTTTTATTATCCAATCAGTATTCCATATTAGCACATTGAAAGCTCCACATTGTTTTTACAGTTGCATAGTATTCCACTTGTGAATATACCATTATTATTTAACCAGTTATCTGTATATAAGTGGTTCTCAATTAGAGAGTCTGGGAGGTTTTGTCCCTGACT
The DNA here is from genome assembly GCF_000001405.40 of Homo sapiens. Classification (NCBI taxonomy): domain Eukaryota; kingdom Metazoa; phylum Chordata; class Mammalia; order Primates; family Hominidae; genus Homo; species Homo sapiens. Next base: position 93,040,099 of record NC_000001.11, read on the forward strand.
GGGGTCATTTGGCATTGTCTACAATCATTTTGGTCTGGGAGTAAAGTGCTGCTCACATCTAGTAGGTAGAGGCCAGAGATGCTACTAAATATGCTACAATGCACAGAACAGTCCCATAACAAAGAATTATCTGGTCTAAAATGTCAATTAGTGCTGAGATTGGAAAATTCTGCTATGGATGGACATTTGGGCTATTTCCAATCTTCATGGCTATACAAGCAATGCCTCAATAAATGACCTTGTAAATTTGTCATTTTGTATAAATGCAAACATATTTTTAGAATGAATTGCCAGAAGTGATAGTGCTGGGTTGAAGAATACGTGCAATTGAAATGCCTTCTAAATCACCCCCAAAGGGATGTGGATTCTGCACTTCCAACAGTAGTTTATTTATTTCTACAATCTCTTGAACAAAGTGTATTGCTACGCTTTTGTTTTTTCGTAATCTGAGAAGTGCAGGATGTTATTTCAGTTACCCTTAATTTGCAACTGCCTTATGATAATGTCTTTTCATATGGTGAAGGGCCATTTGAATTTCTTTCTTTCTTTCTTTTCTTCTTTTTTTTGAGATGGAGTTTCACTCTTGTTGCCCAGGCTGGAGTGCAATGGCACGATCTCAGCTCACCGCAACCTCGCCTCCTGGGTTCAAGTGATTCTCATTCCTCAACCTCCCAAGTAACTGGGATTACAGGTGCCCACCACCACACCGGCTAATTTTGTATTTTAAGAGATGGGGTTTCTCCACGTTGGCAAGGCTGGTCTCAAACTCCTGACCTTAGGTGATCCATCCGCCTCGGCCTCCCAAAGTGCTGGGATTACAGTCGTGAGCCACTGCGCCCAGCGTGAATTTCGTTTTCTATTGCCTTAGGGTGAGACGAAGACAGTTGTCTGAACACCGGGTGGGGTTTTCAGAGAGTCTGTGACTATAGCCAGGGTTTAAACAGAGTAAAGGAATCTGCGCTTTTATCAAGGCACCTGAAGATACAAAACTCAAGAAATCTAGTCCAAGCCAATGTATTAGAAAGAGAAGAATCAAATGGCAGGGAGACGGGACAAGCTCCAGGTTCAAAAGGCCAGAAGAGGGTTGGAGCCAGAGTAAAGGAGCCTAGAGTCCAGAATCTGCCAGCGGAGTCAGGTTGGAATAAAAATATATTGGAGCAAAAGCTAATTGTGTGAAATGACTAACATAGCAGCAGCTGGCTTAGAAGGAATAATGGCTAGGTAGACACACTGGCTGAACAGCTTCCTTTCTCCTCACAGAATTTTGTTATTTCTTCTATTATAGTATTTAACTTGTATTGCAATTGTCATGCACAGTGCCTGGCATGAAATTAACCCTTTTTTTTTTTTGAGACAGAGTCCCTCTCTCTCGCCCAGGCTGGAGTGCAGTGGCGTGATCTCAGCTCACTGCAAGTTCCGCCTCCCGGGTTCACGCCATTCTCCCGCCTCAGCCTCCGGAGTAGCTGGGACTACAGGCGCCCGCCACCACACCCGGCTAATTTTTTATTTTTATTTTTTTATTTTTAGTAGAGACAGGGTTTCACCATGTTAACCAGGATGGTCTCGATCTCCTGACCTCGTGATCCGCCCGCCTCCGCCTCCCAAAGTGCTGGGATTACAGGCGTGAGGTCCCGCACCCGGCCCTTATTCTTTATCTTCTTATCCCTTATCTGACACTAATCTTGAAGTTCTGCCTTAGCCCTCCTCTAAGAATCTCTATTTGCACTATAAGTAATTGGTTTTTTTTTCTCTACGTAACATTCTCCATCACCATCTCCAAATATACTAATTAACTGTGACAGTTAAGGTGTTTATATTCTTCTAATTGAAATTAGTAAATATACTTGGCTGATGATCAGTGCAGGATATGCAGTTTTATTTGTGTGTCTTAATGACCAAAGACTTAGGGTATGAGGAAAGTCCTACTCTTGTAAAAACAAAACAAAACAAAAACAACCCATGTTACTGTTACCAGTAGAGGCTCTTGACTGCAAGCTGCCCAGGTTCTTCGCATTTTGAAGAATTGGGCAAAACGCACAGCAAAGCAAGGAAACAATGAAGCCATGAAAGCAGAGATTTATTGAAAGTGAAAATACACTCCACGGTGTGGAAGCCCTCCCAACAGCGGCTCAAAGGCTCTGGATACAGAACCTTCTTGGGTCCAAATACCCGCTAGAGGTTTCCCATTGGCCACTTGGTGTTCACCACATGTAAATGAAGTGGTGGTCCACAATTAGTCTGATTGCTTGCAGACAGCAAGCAATCAGAGGCTGAAGTCAAGTTACAAAGGTCACACTCCTATGCAAACATATGGTTGGTTGTGGAAAGCAAACAATCAGAGGCTAAAGTGAAGTTATAAAGTTGCACTTCTATGCAAATGTAGCCTTGGCTCATAATCATAATCACTGAAGTGAAGTTACAATGTTATATTCCTATGGAAAGGTCTGATTGGTTGCAAAAAGTAACCACTCAGAGGTAGTTTCAGTTTCCCATCTGCTGTGTAGAAAAGGTTGGGGTTTGCAAAGGGAGTAGCTTCTGGTCCTTTTGTTACGTAGGTGCAGAAAGTTGGGGTTTTTCTTTCGATTTAGTTCTAGGAAGTCAGGGTGAATCAGCCTTAGGTTCCTTGCCTCCAGACCCTATTCTGCCTCATTACGATATTCCTTTCACGTTCTTTGGGACTATTCGGTGTTTCACATGAGATTGGCTCTCATGCCTGGTGAAATACTCAAATTCAGTTATACAGATAACCTTGTCTTGAAAAGTTCTAGAAAGCACTACTGAAACTTTAGTCTCCAGCTTTATTTCTTCTGGACTACTTGATACAAACTGTCTCTCTCTCTTTTTTTTTTCTGAGACAGGTTCTTGCTTTGTCATCCAGGCTGGAGTGCAGTGGCTCAAACATGGCTCACTGCAGCCTCCGCCTCCAGGGTTCAAGCGATCCTCTCACCTCAGCCCCACAGGTAGCTGGGACTACAGGTGCGTGCCAGCATGCCTAGCTATTTTTTTGTATTTTTTTAAAGATGGGGTCTTGCTATGTTGCCCAGGCCGATCTTGAACTCCTGAGCTCAAGCAATCTTCCCATCTCGGCCTCCCGAAGTGCTGGGATTACAAGTATGAGCCACCACACAGAACCAGTATGATCTCTTTTCATGGTACTTAAAAAATTATATTACTAGCCTTTGTTCAACAAGCTTGTATAAGTGTAATGACCTATTTTATAAATTATTTTTATTGTATTTTAAATTAGATGTTTATTGATGACTTAGCAAGAAATACATTACTCTCAACACTAAAAGCCTATTAACATTAAATTATAAAATTTAGTATTTCCAGAATATTTCTTGCAGACACCAATCCCATCAATGTTTCAACTCAATTTAATAGGCATCTTGTGAAGAACTGGTATAGAAAATCAGAGTTTTGCTCAATGCCTAATTATCATAAATTGAAGCATTTATTGTCTTCTATGTTCTTAGTACCATATTTAGTTATAGGACAATTCATAGTCCTATATGGTGCTATGGTATAGCAATAGGCTATACCATATAGCCTAAGTGTGTAGTAGGCTCTACCATGTAGGTTTGTGTAAGTGCACTCTATGATGTTCACACAAGGACAAAATCACCAAACAATGCTTTTTTCAGACTGTACCCTGTCGTTAAGCAACATATGACTGTGTTTTATATGGGAATATGGACACCAAAATGTTATTCTCTATGTGTATTATGAGTAATTTTTATTTTTTGTTTTATACTTTTTATATTTTTTCAGAAATAACATCAATACTTTGTAATCAGAAAAATATATTTTAGGGATAAGTATTGGCTTGTACAATTTTTTTTTTGCTTTTGTGAAAATACAGAGGAAAAACTAATGTTATATTATAACGAAAATGGTATATGTTAACAAAGGAATCCTTTTACAGAAACTCCTTAGAAATAAAAGGAAAATCAAGGCCAAAGCAAAAGTCATGTCATGACTTTAAAGAACTTTGCCCCCTAGGATACAAAATCTATTAATTTTAACGGTGGGGCTACTGTTTGTAAGAGTACCAAACATTCTGAATAGATAGAAGCCTCCAGCTGTAAACTGATGGACTTTTGTGGTCTCAAAGCAGTTGAGGGTTTCTACCCTTAAAATACCATTTCTCATGTTACAGCAATTGAGAGTGTGCAAAATGTATAGAACAGATTGTGTTTCACTCTATTTGCGTGGCTTGTTGAAGTTAGATTAATACTGTGGGAATCCTTACTCCATTCATAACTCTGAATATGTACTTATGGTATTTATATATCTAGAATTTAAGTAATCACTCTTGCCCACCATCTGTACACGGATAATTTTTACCCTGGGAGCTATTGGTTCCAATGTATTGTTTTGACATTATACGCTATAGTTGATTCAAACAGAAGTGAATACCACAACAGTTGGCACTCTAAAATAAAATCCAGACCAATAACTTTCACAATTTTGTGGAATCTAATATGCCTATTACCCACACTGAGTCCACTACAGAATTAAAGTGAAAACTTGGAAAAGTAAGAATGAGATCTATATAAAAATTATCATCCCTCACTTGACAAAAAATTCTCATTGAAATCAATTGAGACTACAGGGTTCAATCTAGGAAAGTTGTATAGACCTAGAGTTCCCCAAATTTCTCAACTATGTCTGTTGACTGATATTTATGGCTTCCCTTTTCATTTATATTCTTTTTCTTTTCAAACACAGTGTAGTATAACTTGTTTAATTTTTTTAAAGTCTGAAGACTCAAAAACAAAACTAAACAATTTGAAAGCAAAACCTTACTGGCAGTGCAGATGCAACTTACAAAATATGAGAATCAGATGTGGAGATCTTTAGGGATTATAACATTTTAGATGATGATGATGATAACAATTATTATTATTATTTGAGACAGGGTCTCACTCTGTTGCCCAGGATGGAGTGCAGTGGCGTGATCTTGGCTCACTGCAACTTCCACCTCCTGCGTTCGAGAGATTCTCCTGCCTCAGCCTCCCAAGTAGCTGGGACTACAGGCACGTGTCACCATGCCTGGCTAGTTTTTGTATAGGTTGATGCAAAAGTAACTGTGGTTTTTGCAATTTTAAAAGTTATTTAATATTTTTGGTAAAGACAAGGTTTCACCATGTTGGCCAGGCTGTTCTTGAACGCCTGACGTCAAATGATCTGCCTGCTTTGGCCACTCAAAGTGCTGGGCTTACAGGTGTGAACCACTGAGGCTGGCCCCTTTTAGAAATTTTAATAGTAGCCAAGGCATGATCGGTACCAAACTATCTAATTCCAGCTACAAAGGTTGTTTGAAAACTCATTTTTAGAAGTTTGATAGCCTGTCCATAATCATACCACTTCCCACAAGCTTGAAAAAAAGAAAAAAAAGCAGGGGATAGCACATGGATTATACAAAAGGATAAAAGGATTATTATTATGTATTTATTTATTTATTTTTGAGACAGAGTCTTGCTCTGTCACCCAGGCTAGAGTGCAGTGTCGAGACCTTGGCTCACTGCAACCTCCACCTCCCGGGTTCAAGTGATTCTCATGCCCTAGCCTCCCAAGTAGCTGGGATTACAGGTGTGCGCCATCACAACCAGCTAATTTTTGTATTTTTAGTAGAGTTGGGGTTTCACCATGTTGGCCAGGCTGGTCTTGAATTCCTGGCCTTAAGTGATCCACTGACCTCAGCTTCCCAAAGTACTGGGATTACAAGTCTAAGCCACAGTGCCTGGACAAAAGGATTATTTTAAACATAACTAATGTTGCTTATTTACAAGTTTTTATGTACTTCTAAATTTCAATATATTTAAAGTTTTCTGTTGACTAATTTAATCAAAACCTGTCTAAAGTTGAAGAGAGAAGATCCTGAGAAGTTACGTATTGATTAATTCCTAAACTTAGTTGTAATGTATATTGACCTAACTCTAACTTTATCTGAAACTAATAGGTCAACCTAATATTAGGTCAACATTATTATTATTATTTGTTTATTTATTTAATTTGTTTTGAGAAGGAGTCTCACTCTGTGGCCCAGGCTGGAGTGCAGTGGCACAATCTCGGCTCACTGCAAGCTCCGCCTCTGGGGTTCACACCATTCTCCTGCCTCAGCCTCCCAAGTAGCTGGGACTACAGGTGCCCGCCACCATGCCCGGCTAATTTTTTGTATTTTTAGTAGAGACAGGGTTTCACCGTGTTAGCCAGGGTGGTCTCAATCTTCTGTATGTCAATATTGCTAACTGAATACTAGGTCAATATTATTACATTGTTCTAATTCTGAATGTTGATGCCCATATGGTTAGCGCTAATAACCGTTGAATATGTCTGCAGTTTATCAAGGAGTTTTATCTTGTTCTAACAACAAAACAAAAGAAAAAGAAAATAGAAAACAGTGGGCATATTCAATCATCAAAGGACCCAATAACAGAGAGAAATGTAATTTACATTTCTTGAATGCCACTATACATCAGACATTATGCTAGGCATTTTACATGGATTTATTGCTTAATCTTCCCAACGATCCTATGAGTAATTATGAGTAATGTATTATTATCCTATTTTACAGATGAAGAAAATGAGACTTGAAGGCAGAAAGTGGAATGTAGATGACACTCAGCTCTTCTTTGAGATGAAAACCCAAATGCATGAGGATAAATCAGAGGAAGTTATTATAAGACAGGGAGGTTGAGAAAAATGTGTCACATGAGTTTCAGCACGAACAAAAGCAAGGTACTTTCATTTAAAATGTATTTAGAGGATAATGATAAGTCATTATTAACTACTCCTCTAAAATAATAATCCTCAATGGTTACAGCCAATATGCCAATAGAAGATTGGGCATTGCCAAAAATTAAAGGAAAATTAAATTGAAAACACTGTCCTTCCTTTCAACAAACTATGATATATCCCCATCTAAATATTCTACCCCATTCTGCTTGTTTCATCTCTAGAAATGAATAATGGAACCAGCCAGGCATGGTGGCTCACACCCGTAATCCCAGCACTTTGGGAGGCAAAAGTGAAAGGTTGGCTTGAGCCCAGGAATTTGAGACCAACCTGGGCAACATAGTGAGACCTCATCTGTACCAAAAAATATATATAAATAAATAAGTAAATTAGCTGGATGTGGTGGCACGCACCTATGGTTCCAGCTACTCTGGAGGCTAAAGGTGAAAGCCACAGTGAGCCATGATCACGCCACTGCACTTTCAGCCTGGGTGACAGAGCAAGGCCCCATCTCAAATAATAATAATAATAATAATAATGGAACCAAGGAAGGCCCAAATGAAATTGAGCTTTTACCGAAAAGTGTCACTTGAAGTTTTTTTATGCTAAGAATAGTGTCTTTTATTCTCAGATCACTTTTCATGATATGCTCGTCTAAACCCTGGAGTATGGTGGCAAGAAAGATGAACATGCTCACTCAGACTCTTATTCAGTAATTCATATAATAAATGTTATACACTGTACAGACACTAGAAATCAAAGATGATAAAGGTAACTTTTAGACACTTCCTGTCTAGACATCCCTGCCATTTTACTCTGATTTGGGCTATAAATCTAACCTGCACCAGGCTCTACCTGCCCGCTTGGGCTTGGAGAAATGGTTCCTTATTGTTGCACTGGTTTTCTTCAGCCTCCATCCTACACAAACCCTGGCCTAGATCATTCTCCCATCGCTCAGAGGCAAGCTGGTTACAAAAGTTTTATTGCCACTATTCCTCACCCCAACTAGCCTGGTTTTATGGACAAAATGTTTGATCTATGTTGGACCCTGGGATCAAAGTCCCTATGTCAACTTCAAATCCTTGCAGAAAAGAAAGGGGCAGAACCCATCTCTGTTCATAGACCTCGATTTTTATACAGAGTAAAATATTTTCATCAGGCCTTAGTGCAGATCATAGCACACGAAGACAATAAATCTACAGTACATTTTCTAAAATATTTATTTGATAAAACATGGTCAATTTACCATTTAGAAAGAAAAAGTGCAGCTCTCTGCCAGTGCTCTCATTTAATTTTCCATAAACACCCTCTTTGAGGCTGAAGCAAATCTGATGATTTTCAATGCGAAAACAAAATATAAAAACTGTTCTTGGAGTTATTTCTAAACAGAAGTAACAACAGAATCATCTGAATTATCAGAATCATCTATTTTGGAAAAATCGGATTCATCAAATGAATCTTCAGCCAACAATTGTCCAATAACAATGTTAATTAACATCGTGCATAAGAATGCTATGTATTCTAGGATTTGACATTTTTAGCCTTTTTAGCCATAGAGAATTACTACATTTTGTAAATGGAAATGCCATTACTAAAAACAGAATGTTATAAATAGAATGATGTCTTTTTTTCTTTTAATTTTTTAAGACAGAGTCTCCCTCCGTCACCCAGGCTGGAGTGCAGGGGCGCCATCTCAGCTCACTGCAACCTTCGCCTCCTGGGTTCAAGCGATTCTCATGCCTCAGCCTCCCAAGTAGCTGGGATTACAGGCATACACCACCACGCTCAGCTAGTTTTTGTATTTTTTAGAAGAGATGAGGTTTCACCACACTGGCCAGGCTAGTCTTGAACTCCTCGCCTCAAGTGATCTGCCCACCTTGGCCTCCCAAAGTCCTGGGATTACAGGCGTGAGTCACCACTGTCAGCCTGAAAGATGTCTTTTGTTTACAGAGTTGATATACTAGAGCAGTGTGAAAATAATAATGAGGCTGGGCACGGTGACTCACGCCTGTAATCCCAGCACTTTGGGAGGCCGAGGCGGGCAGATCACGAGGTCAGAAGATCGAGACTATCCTGGCTAACACGGTGAAACCCCGTCTCTACTAAAAATACAAAAAAAATTAGCCGGGAGTGGTGGCGGTTGCCTGTAGTCCCAGCTACTCGGGAGGCTGAGGCAGGAGAATGACGTGAACCCGGGAGGTGGAGCTTGTAGTGAGCCGAGATCACGCCACTGCACTCCAGCCTGGGCGACAAGAGCGAGACTCTGTCTTAAAAAATAAAAATAAAGAAAAAATAAAGAAAGAAAGAAAGAAAGAAAATAATAATGAAAGTGAGCTATTTCATGGCAAAGTTATCTCAAGGTAAATGCTGCTGCAGCAAGCGCTGCTGGTGAGTATTCTCTGGGCAAATGGGAAAAGGGTTAATGAATATTAACTCAATTAATGTTAACAAGCTCCTAATGGGAAATATATGGATCGTTGAAATAACATTAATCTAGTAACTACAATGGAAATAAAGGTCAGAACCAGCCTGGTAGTTTCAGAAAACACAGAGGACTGGGCCCCTCTTTCCCAAGGCTGGCCCTGAACTGGGCACAGAAGATTGATAGCACAAACACCATGCCTTTTCTGATGCTGGCTTGGATGAACTCACTGAGCCAGACTCCTTGGTTTGGCCATCTTTTTATCCCTACAGTTATTATCGTCTATTTTCTGACCTGGAGTACCTCTCATATGAGCAGCTGGGTACAACTGCCCCTACTAGGGGCCTGTACTTCTGCTGAAGGCTAAAGATTTGTCACAGGTTGAGTTCTCTGGGAAGAACACCCTGAGATGGAAATTAGCATGCAGGGAGTTTATTACAAAGTCTCTTGGGATCAAAACCTGTTTGGGAAGGGAAGAAAGCAAGACTGGGCAGAAGGAGAATTTGGCTACAATGTAGTCACACAAGGCCTTAGGGACCCCCCGGGGGAGCTGTGAAGATGGAGAGTTGCCTCCAGTTGAAGTAAAGTTGATGATGCTGAGCATCTTTTGATGTGCTTTTTGTACATTTGAATCTCTTCCTTAGAGAAATGTCTATTCTGATCCTTTGTCCATTTTTAAATTGGGCAATTTGTCTTTTTTTTGAGTTGTAAGAGTTCTTTACATATTCTGGATAAAATTATTTCATTATATATGATTTGCAAATATTCTATGGTATCTTTTTACTTTCTTGATGGTGTCCTTTGTAGTACCAATTTTTTCTTTTTGATGAAGTCCAATTTATTTTCTTTGGTTGCTTGTGCTTTTGGTGTCGTATCTAAGAAATCATGGTCTAATCCAAGATCTCAGCTGTAGTTTATTCTGGGTTTTATAGTTTTAGCTCTTACATTTAAGACTGATTAATTCTGAGCTATCTTTTGTATATCATATACAAGTAAAAATTCAACATGGGCAACAACCTATACACTGTAACACTTGGCTAAATTACAAAGCAGTCGAGTGAGGTCTTCTGAAGCCTTAAAGTAAAGAAGAATGTTTTCTGTCAAAACTCCTGGTTGTGTGTATACTGCCATGAAAGGCCTGCAGTTCTTGGCAGGTTGCTACCGTACATTCAATATCCTGAATATAGTCTGCACAGACATATGTGGCCTGCATGCATCCTAACACCTTCTTGTACCTGAGGGCCTACAACACCTGCCTGGGTCAAAGATAGGCCCTTCAGGCACACGGGGTGACAGTGCCCACTCCCCAGTATTTGCACAGGCATGTGGCTGACAAGTCTGTACTCAAAGTTCTGAATATGTAAATCACTGCAGGTAACATAGAAGAAATGAAGAAATATTTTAAAGAGATTAATCAGATTTTAGGTTAAGCTGATCAAATCTATTAGAGGTAACCTTTAGAAAGTTTTCAAAGCAAGCTGGGCATGGTGGTGAATGCTTGTAGTCCCACCTACTTGGAAGGCTGAGGCAGGTGGATCCCTTGAGACTAGCCTGGGCAATATAGCAAGGCCCTTGTCTCTGGGGGAAAAAAAGAGAATATTTTCAAAGTAGAAGAGTAGAAGAAAAGAAGCATTTTAAGAGCTAAATTGATGTGTGCTCAAGAAGAAGTATCCTTGATAAAGCATCCTACCTAGACCTCAGCAGAAGAAACTACCAATTTCTGGTTGGGTGGTTGTATATAAGAGAGTTTTAGGCTGAAATAAGACTGAAATTTAAAGCTAACAAAATGTCTTAAAGATCTGGACCACAGGCATTAATCAGCTGAGGAAATAAAAGCTAAAGAATTAGTTTGTAAAGCTTAATGAATTAAATTAGGTTAAGCTAATTGAAGTTAAGTTGTTCTGCAACTATATTCCACCTACTTTTATAATGTTTGTACCCTAAGATTTCCTTTCAGGAGAACAAACTAGTTTTACTGTCTCATCAGCTAACCAAATATGCTGTGCTGAGAACTGAGAACTGAAAGGGTTTAAGCCTTAAGTAAAATGCAGGGCAAGCTGGGCACCTTTGCACACACCTATGTTCTCAGCTACTTGGGAGGCTGCAGTGCAAGATCTCTTGAGCCCAGGAGTTCAGGTCCAGCTTGGGCAAAATAGTGAGACCCTGTTTCTAAGAAAAAAAATGAATAAAATACAAAACATTTTCCTTTATTGCTTTTGTGAAAAATGGAAATTTATGTGCAAAACTCATTTATTCATTCAACAAATACATACTGATCATCTAATTGACAGGATGTTGTTCTAGGCACTAGGGATATCATGGGAAAAAAAAAACACAAAGTCTTCCCTCTCATGGAGCATATATTCTACTAAGAAAGCCAGATAATAAAAAATATTTTTTTCAAGTGGCGATAAGTGTTGTGAAGCAAAAAAAGGAACAGAGTGACTGAAAGGTTCTGTTAGATATATGGCAGTCAGAGAAGGTGAAATTTGCTCTGGTCCAATTAATCAATATTATTCAATAAAATTATCAGTCATCAAGCCCTTCTTGAGTGACTACCAGAATGATAATAGCAGTATGTGAGTACTTCTAGTGTCAAGCATTATTTAACTTATTCTTACAACAAGTCTGAGGTAGGTATTATTATTTCAAATTTACAGTAGATGAAACTGAGCCTTAGAGTGGCTGACTGTTCTAGTTATCTATTGCTGTGTAACAAAACTTCTCAAAACTTACTGGCTTAAAATAACAACCATTACTTCTTTGCTCATAATTCTGCAATTTGGTCAGGGCTTGGTGACCAAACACTTGGAGATGAGCCAACAGCTTGTAGACTCCACATGGTGTCATCTGGAATGGCTTGATGGGGCTGGAGGATCCACACCCAAGATGGTCTCACACACAAAGCTGACAAATTGGCACTAGCTGTCAACTGGAAGCGCAACTGGGGCTGTTGGCAAACAGCCTCAGTAGTCTTCCACATGGCCTCTGCAAATAGCAAGATTAGGCTTCTCACAGCATGGCTATCTCAGGGAGATTAGTTGTCTTAAATGGCTACTGGCTTCTCCCAGAGCACAAAAGTAAAAGATGCCAGGTGTATTATTAGTCCATTTCTCACACTGCTATAAAGAAATACTTGAGACTGGGTAATTTAAAAAAAGAAGAGGTATAAGGGAATTGAACAATGAGAACACATGGACACAGGAAGGGGAACATCACACACCGGGGCCTGTTGTGGGGTGGGGGGAGGGGGGAGAGAGAGCATTAGGAGATATACCCAGTGCTAAATGACAAGTTAATGGGTGCAGCACACTAACATGGCACAGGTATACGTATGTAACAAACCTGCACGTTGTGCACATGTACCCTAAAACTTGAAGTATAATAAAAACAAAAAGAAGAAGAGGTTTAATTGGCTCATGATTCTGCAGGCTGAACAGGAGGCATGGCAGGATCTGCTTCTGGGGAGGCCTCAGGGAGTTTTTACTCATGGCAGAAGGTAAAGCAGGAGCAGCTGCCTTCATATGGCAGGGGCAGGTGGAAGACAGAGAGAGTGGGGAGGTGCTACACACTCTTAAATGGCCAGATCTCATGAGAACTCTCTCACAATGAACAGTACCAAGGGGGGTAGTGCTAAACCATTCATGAGAACTCTGTCCCCATGATCCAATCACCTTCCTCCAGGCCCCACCTTCAACACTGGAGATTACAGTTTGACAGGAGATTTGGTGGGGACACAGATTCAAACCATATGACCAGAACTTCTTAATAGCTGGACCCAGAAGTCTCATAAGGTCACTTCTGCCACATCTCACTGGTGAAGGTCAAGAAGTCAGACCCAATTCAGTCAGAGGGACTACACAGGGGCATGAATAATGAATGCTAGGACACACGATTCATTGGGAACCATGAATATAATTGACCACCACAGTTTACCTTTGGCTTCTACTTGTTTTTTTGGTTTTTTTTTTTTTTTTTTTTGTGGTCAGGGAGCCTCCTGAGCCAGAATAGGTTGAGAGAGTCTCCCTGCCTTTGGCTTCAAATGATTTATGTTCCTCCACATGCAAAGTGTACTCACATCTCCCAACACCTCCAAAAGTCTCATTCCATTCTTCTGTTGGTTCCAAATCTAGATCTTCCTGGGATCCCTGTTTTATAGTACCACCATCTACCCGGATGCTTAAACCAGAAACTTATTCATTCTCCTTATTTCCTCCCCTCCCCCACCATTTCAATCTAGCATCCTATATTGTTGACTTTACTTCCTAAACATCTCCCTAATCAGTTCACTTCCTTCCTTTTTCACCTTCTCAATTCTAAGCTATCATAATCTGTTATCTGGACTATTGTAAAAAAAAAACCTCCAAATAATCCCCCTCACCCCCTCTTGCTCTTCCTCTAATTTGGCAGTTCTCAATTAGGTATGATTTTCCCCCTTGGAACGTTTGGCAATGTCCAGAGACGTTTTTGGTTATCTCATCTCAGGGGGTGGGTGCTCCTGGCGTCTGATGTAGAGAAGCCAGGGATGCTGCTAAACATCCTGCAATGCGCAGGACAGCCCCTACAACAAAGAGTTATCCATCCCCAAACGTCGATAATGCTGAGGCTGAGAAACCTGGCAATCTTTTTTTTAGCAAGTAGTCAGAAAAGTCTTTTTCAAAGGCAATCATGACAACACACTGCTGAAAATTCTTCAAGCTCTTCCTACTGATTTTAGGTTAAGACCATAAATCTTTTTTTGTCCATAGGGTCTTCTACAGTGTAGCTCCTTCCAGTCTCTTTCATCTCAGCTCATGCACTCTGCCTCTTGCTTTTTGTGTTCCAGCCACATAGGTCTGCCTTCAATTATCATGTACACACTGTGTCTCACCATAGGGCCTTACTTACCTTCTGTCAGTAATGCTCCTCTGCTCTGCCACCAAATACACACACCTAGTTAACTCCTGTTCATCTTTCTGATCACAGTTCAAGTATCTCTTCCTTAAGGAAGATTTCCCTAACCCTCCAGACTAAGTATAAGTTCTCATAGCCCTATGAAACTTTTATTCACAGCAGTGTGTGTGTGTGTGTGTGTGTGTGTGTGTGTATATATATATATTTTTTTCTTTTTGAGATGGAGTCTCCCTCTGTTGCCTAGGCTGGAGTGCATTGGCACGATCTCAGCTCACTGCAACCTCCTCCTCCCGGGTTCAAGCAATTCTCCTCCCTCAGACTCCCAAGTAGCTGGGACTACAGGTGCCTGCCACCACACCTGGCTAATTTATTTTTTATATTTTTATTAGAGATGGGGTTTAACCATATTGACCAAGCTGGTCTCGATCTCCTGACCTTGTGATCCGCCCCCCAGGCCTCCCAAAGTGCTGGGATTACAGGTGTGAGCCACCGCACCCAACCTCACAGCGGTGTATATTTATGCACTTATTTGTGTCACTATTTGATTAGTGTCTGGTCCCTCCCTACACACTAGATATAAACACCAGGAGGGCTAGGTCATGTCCATTGCGTTCATGTTGTAATCCCAGTTGCTAGTGCAATGGCTGATATACAGAAGACACTCAGTAATATTTTAAAAATTAGTAGTCTTTAATTTTTAGAACAGTATCAGGTTCACAGAAAAATTGAGCAGGTGGCAGAGTTACCATATAATTCCCCCCCCACCCCCAGTTTCCGCTATTATTAACATGTTGCATTAGTGTGGTATATTTGTTACAATTAATGAACCAATATTGATGTGTCATTATTAACTACAGTCTATCATTTACATTAAGGTTTATTCTTTGTGTTGTATAGTTCTACAGGTTCTGACAAATGCGTAATGTCCTATACACACCATGATAGCATACAGAATTGTTTCAGCTTCCTCAAAATCCCCTGTGCTTCACCTATCCATTCCTCCTCTGCCACCACTTCCTGCAAACTACTAATCTTTTACCTGTCTGTAGTTTTTTCTTTTCTAGAATGCCATATTAGTTGGAACCATACAGTGTGTAACCTTTTCAGATTGACTCCATTAGCTTAGCAATAGGCATTTTAAGTTTCCTTCATGGAAACTCTTATTTCATGGCTTCATAGCTAATTTCTTTTGATCAAATAATGATATTCCACTGTATAGATACACCTGTTTCTTTATTTATCTATGGAAGGACATCTGGTTTCCAGTTATTGGCAATTATGAATAAAGCTGCTATAAATATTTGTGTGCAGGTTTGTGTGTGAACATACTCATTTGGATAAATACCTAAATGTGCGATCATGTGATAAGACTATGTTTAACTTTGTAAGAAAGCCAAACTGTCTTCCAAAGTGGCTATACCATTCTTCAGCAATGATGACAGCTCCTGTTGCTTTACCTTGTTGTCAGCATTTAGTCTTGTCAGTTTTTGTTTTGTTTTGTTTTGTTTTTGGCCATTCTAATAGGTGTTGTAGTAGTATCCCATTGTTTAATTTGCAGTTTCCTAATGACATATGATGTTAAGCATCTTTTAATATGTCTATTTGCCTTATGTGTATCTTCTTTGATGAGGTGTCTGTTTAGGGCTGTTGCCCATTTTTAAAGTGTGTTGTTTGTTTTCTTATTGTTGAACTCTAAGTATTCTTTGTATATTTTGGATACAACTTCTTTACCAGACATATATTTTGAAAAAAATTTCTCTTAGTTTGAGTTTTGTCTTTTAATTATCTTAACAGTATCTTTAGAAGAGTAGATGTTTTAATTTTTAATTAACTCAAACTTATCAATTTTTGAGTCCACGGATTGTGGTTTGGTGTTTCCTCTAAAAACTCATTGCTAAACCTAAGTTACGTAGACTTTCTCCTTTGTTATCTCCTTCTGTAAGTTTTATAGTTTTGAATTTTACATTTCTGGCCACTCTCAGTAGTATTTGTTAAATAAGTTAATGAGGGCTAATGGCAATAGAAATGAAATAGAAGAGCTTGGGTGAGAAGAAAATTACCGGCTTGATAGATTTAGAAGGCATCAGCATAAAAATAATAGTCAAAGCCTGCTGGGAACTCATCTGGGAAACTAAGTTGCTTTCAGACATAGTTGAGACAGGCAGCTGACCGGAAGGGCAAGATTTAGGGCAAACCAGTAGGTCAGAAGAGAACACAAGGACCTGATTCATTGATCAGAGATTGAGGAGAGGCAATCCAGTACCCTGGAGAGCTCCTAGAGCATCTACATTTTCGAAACGTGGGAGCTCTCAAATGCCCCTAGCTGACAGCATTTAAGTTGTCTCAAAGTCTCACAAGACCAGAAACCTATGTAACTGCACTGCATTAGTTTCAACTAAGTCTTCTTAAATATTAAAACAGTATAAAATTACAACTTATAAAAAATTGAGAAATAGGAGCACAAAGAATAAAATAAAATCCTACCACATTAAGTACATTCATTATTAATTGATGATAAAATGATATGTATAAATGAATCCTACTTATCCATTCCAATTTTCCTTTGCCAGAAATCCTTCAAATGCTCCAATTTAATGTATAAATTATGTGGAATTAAATTTTATTATCTAAGATTGCGTAATTAAATATACTCTGCTTCAGTTATAATTATTATTTGTGCCAAGCCCTTGTCCCTGGCATGAGAGAGACAGTGAAGAGCAGTAGTCAGTCAAACTGGATTGGGGTACCAAAGCTTGATTAGGTGTGTAGTTTTCCATCTGATACCAGCCGTCTCCTTTCTTGAGCTCCAGATGCATTGCAGTCACAGCAACCTCTTTATTTGCAGTGTAATTCCCTTGTTGAATCCTATTTCTGTACAATGACAGAGAGATATTTCTCAAGGATGGACTTATTTTAAAGCTTCTTATGGTTCTTTTATTTCTATATAAGATAGTGGTTAAAGAGTAGTTTCCAAAGTCAAACAAAAGTGGATTCAAATATGTATATTGTATGACTCTGCACAATTTGCTTATCTTCTCTGCCTCAGTTGTTTTATCTGTAAAATAGGAATTTATTCTATCTTCTTCATAAGGTTGTTTGAAAAATTAAATAAAGAACATATGCAAAGTACTTTTCATGCAGCTTGGTGCAAAGTAAGCATTCAGTAAATGTTATTATTTTTTCTGTTACTATTGTTATTATCATATGAAAGTTCATATTTAGTTAGCATGTTAGTAGACTCAAAGTATTTTGGCAGCTTAGAATAGCAACCCTTTTTATTTTGGGAAATAGGTCTCTCCAACTCTAAATAAGTGCTTCTTGTGGTGCAGTTAATATTATAAAAGACTCCATCTCTCTGCCCACAAAGGTGGGTATCGATATAATTTTGTTGATCAAAATATCTCATCCTCTTGGCTATAGCACCTGGCCCAGGTTGGGCACGTGAACCAAACCTGGTTGGCTAGAGTACGTCCATGGTATGGAGAACAGTTTGGAGGTTCCTCAAAAAGCTAAAAACAGAGCTCCCATATAATCCAGCAATCCCACTAATTATTATGTACCCCAAAGAAAGGAAATTAGTATATTGCAGAGATATCTGTGCTCCCATGTTTGTTGCAGCACTGTTCACAAAGGCTAAGATTTGGAAGCAACCTAAGTGTTCATCAACAGATGAATGGATGAAGAAAATGTGGTACCTATACACAGTGGAGGTTTGTTTTTTTTTTTTCTTTCTGAGACGGAGTCTCACTCTGTCACCCAGGCTGGAGTGCAGTGGCAAGATCCACTGCAACCTCCACCTCCTGGGTTCAGATGATTCTCCTGCCTCAGCCTCCTGGGTAGCTGGGACTACAGGCATGTGCCACTACACCTGGCTAATTTTTGTATTTTTAGTAGAGACGGGGTTTCACCATGTTGGCCAGGATGGTCTCGATCTCCTGACCACATGATCCACCCGCCTTGGCCTCCCAAAATGCTGGGATTACAGGTGTGAGCCATCATGCCCAGCCACAGTGGAGTATTATTCAGCCATAAAAAGAATGAGATCCTGTCATTTGCAACAACATGGATAGAACTGGAGGCCATTATGTTAAGTGAAATAAGCCAGACACAGAAAAACAATGTTTGCATGTTCTCACTTATCTGTGGGAGCTAAAAATTAAAACAATTGAACTTATGGAGATAGACAGTAGAATGATGGTTACCAGAGGCTGGGAAGGGTAGTGGGGGTGTGTGTGGAGGAAGTGGGGATGGTTAATGGGTACAAAAAATAATTAGAAAGAATGAATAAGACCTAGTATTGGTTAGTACAACAGGGTAACTATAGTCAAAAAATTTAATTGTACATTTAAAAATAATTAAGAGTATAATTGGATTGTAACACAAAGAATAAATGCTTGAGGTGATGGATACCCCATTTACCTGATATGATTATTACACATTGCATGCCTATATCAAAATATATCATGTAACCCATAAATATATGCACCTACTATGTACCCACAAAAATTAAAAATTAAAAAAGAATACTTCCCTGGTTTATTTTTTATTTTTTTGGCTAGAACTATAAAGTGGGCTATGGAGGTAAAGGAGGAGGCTGGGGGAGTGAATATCCTTTTCTTAACTGGTTTCTATACTCAAATGTAACCTTGCTGAAAGCTGTTTCCCACTAAATAAAGAAACTATCTGCAGCAGAGAATGAAAGCAACATTCAGACAGGAGCAGAAATAAATGAGAGACGGCCAGGGGAATCTTGACATCTTTCTACTCTGTTTCCAGACAACACCAAGGGATGGGGTGCCACCCTTCTGAGGCTTGTGTTGGTTGCAATAATGACCCTTGCAATAAAAAATGTCTTGCTCCATACCACTTTTCATATAAGTCTCTCACAATGAGACCCAACTGCCTTTCCATCCTTGTTTTTATCCTTCACACTAGGTTCCATTGAATTTTTTCCTCATTCCTAGGATGTATCACACCCTTCACACCTGTATACATTTGTACTACATCTTAATTACTTATTAATGCCATTGTCTCCAGACTCCGAGCTCTCCAGTCCAGCTGGTGGACATATAAATATATATTTAAATTTTTTATTTTACTTTAAGTTCCGGGATACATGTGCAGAATGTTCAGGTTTGTTACATAGGTATACATGTGCCATGGTGGTTTGCTACACCCATCAACCCATCATCTACATTAGGTATTTCTCCTAATGCTGTCCCTCCTCTAGCCCCCAACCCCCGACAGGGCCCAGTGTGTGATGTTCCCCCTCCCTGTGTCCATGTGTTCTCATTGTTCAACTCCCACTTATGAGTGAGAACATGCAGTGTTTGGTTTTCTGTTCCTGTGTTAGTTTGCTGAGAATGATGGTTTCCAGCTTCATCCATGTCCCTGCAAAGGACATGGACTCATCCTTTTTATGGTTGCATAGTATTCCATGGTGTATATGTGCCACATTTTCTTTATCCAGTCTATCATTGATGGACATTTGGGACTAGGTTTTATGCCCCACATTCATTATGTATTTGTCCTAATGCTCTCCCTCCCCTTGCCCCCACCCCTCGACAGGCCCCTGTGTGTGATGTTCCCCTCCCTGCATCCATGTGTTCTCATTGTTCAACTCCCACTTATGAGTGAGAGCATGCGGTGTTTGGTTATATACATTTTTAATGTTTGTATCCTGTCCTAACAGTGGATAGCACAGTCCTTCACATGTAGAAGAACATAGTTAACATTGTTAAGCCAATGAATATCCATTTTAAAATTTATGTAAGGGCTGCTTTACGACTGATGCTCTGTGCCAGAGGAATTTCCAATGACAGGATGTAAAAAAAGGGTAATGCCCTCCTATCCTCAAGTAGCTCAGAGTTTAATTAGGAGAGTCAGACATGTAGTGAGTGCTGCAAGAGAAAAAGAAATGAAGCGCATATATATATATATATATGTATATATATGTGTGTATATATATATGTATATAATCTCATTTAGTCTGTATAATAAAGCTTTAATGTTGATATTCTTATTTTCTCCATTGAGCCCCCAAAGAATCTCAGGCTGTGGGAGTTCAGGAAACTTGCCTAAGATCACTCAGCTATAAAAGTGACAGAGGCTGGCTGGCAACTGAAGTCCTCTTTCCTCTAAAGATTCCTGCCTCTGCTACTCAGTGGACAAATTAGCAGTGTGAAGCAAAAAAAGGAAGAAGATTTATTTTTCTTGCCATTATATAATTCATTCTCTCTCTCTCTCTTATTCCTCCTCCCAAATTTTGATGATTTAATATTCAAAACCTTGTGTCGTGAGCAGGGTATGTGAAGATGGGAATTGGAACCTAGCCCTTATGACTCTTAATCGAGTGATTTGTTTTGACTGCAAACACACTTTTCAATCACTCACCTTAAGTTTCCAACTGCCAAGACAGCACTAATATCACTTGATGGAAGCACATGCAAATTCTTATGAGATTGGAGTAGGGGGAAGATGATTTAATAAATCTAAAATTATTAGGTAACAGTAAGAGTCAAAACTAAAATTTTTTATGCTCCTGAAAGTTTACGTCATGCAACTATATTTGGAAAAGATGATATGATGCTTAATTTTAGATTCATTTGTATAGTTTCAATATATTCCATAATTAGAACTTATACTTTATAGATATAAGACTATATATCTATATAGGCAGGGAGATTCAGACAATTTATTATAAAATAATAAGAACACTAATGCCTTTCTGGCTAAATTCAGGAGGGTACAACTTGACAGCCCCTGACTTTATGTCCACGATGTGCATACTTGTTTCCCACCCAGGGATTTCACTGTTGACCTTGAGGCATGAGACACAATAAAAATCCACAGTAGCCCTGTAGGCAACTCAGAGGTGCTAGGCAGGAGTCTTAATACCCTGGGGAGAGAACTACTGACTAAAGGGAGATGGGAGCTGGTGGATAAATTCTTCTTCTTTCCTCCCGCAGTGGACTGAGAACTACCTTCATCTCCATGCAACTGCCTTTGTTTCTGCTTTCAATGTCTTTATTCTCTACCTTCACCACTTTTTCAGCTGGCAAAGAAATTCCTCTGCCATCATCTCTTAAGCCACAGCTTTCATCCCTTTCTCTGTTGCTGCTGCCCCTGCCTTCTCCTTATTCACTGCCTTCCATCTCATCCTTCTCTTGCCCCCTACTCTGGCACTGAGAAAGCTATCACTTTGTCTTTTTACCCCAATCTCAAAGCCATCACTGTGCTCAGTAGCCCTGATCTACTTAGATGATAACAAAAATATTTTCTTATTTTTAAAATGTTTTTTTTTGGAGACAGGGTCTTGCTCTGTTGCCCAGAATAGAGTCCAGTGGTACTATCATGGCTCATTGCAGCCTTGAATTCCTGGGCTCAAGTTATCTTCCTACTTCAGCCTCCTGAGTTGGGACAACAGGAGCGTGCCACCATGCCCTGCTAATTTTTATTTTTTTATTCTTTTGAACCAAGGTCTCATTCTGTTGCCCAGGCTGGAGTGCAATGGCGCGATCATGGCTCACCGCAGCTTCAACTTCCCCAGTTCAAGTGATCCTTCTGCCTTAGCCCCCCAGCAGCTTGGACTACAGGCGTGCACCACCACACCTGGCTAATTTTTGTGTTTTGTGTAAAGACAGGGTTTTGCCATGTTGCCCAGGCTGGTCTTGAACTCCTGGCTCAAATGATCCTCCTGCCTCGGCCTCGCAAAGTGATGATATAGCAGGCGAAAGCTGCCGCACCCAGCTTCTTCTATTTTTTTTTCAATTTTATTTTGTAGAGACAGGGTCTTACTATGTTGGCCAGGCCGATCTGAAACTTCTGGCCTAGAGATCTTTCTGTCTTGACCTCCCAAAGCTCTGGGATTACAGCTGTGAACCATCACACCTGGCCTTGTTTTCTTTTTAGCATAGAGGACTCTATATAAAAGTGCTTTAGTCCCAGATGAGTCACTAAAAAAGGAATACAGTCATGGTAATTTAGAGTGAGAAGAAAGAGATTATCTAGTTATCAAACTCCCTTGCTTTATAGATGAAGAAATTGAGCTTCAAGAGAGAAATGACATGCACATGTTTACATGCTGTTCCAGTTATCTACTACTGCATAACAAATTACCTTCAAACATAATAGCTTAAAACAACAACTTTAATATAACTAAACATTTTGTAGGTTAGTAATTAGGGCAGAGATCAGCTGGGTGGTTCTTTTTCATGTGGTTGACTGAGGCCACCTGGTGGTATTTAGCAGGCAGATGGCTGGAGGGTTCAAGATTGGTTCAGCCACGTCTCACATTTAGGGTGAATAGGCTGGAAGGCTGGGCTCAGCTGAGACTCAATCAGAGCACCTACATGTGACTTCTGTTTCATGATGGTCTCAGGGTAGTTCAACTTTGTACCTGACAGTTCAGGACTCCCAGAGAGAGTGTTCCAAAAGACTAAAAATAGAAGCTGCCAATTTCTTAAGTTCTTGGTCCAGATAAGATCAATCAGGGAGAGTGGAAGTAAAGCTGAACAATGAAAAATCTTCAATAAATGTTTAATTGAATCTAAGAGAGTTTTTTAATACTGATTTTCATGAAACTCTGACTTTTCCATTAATTGGAATCAGTGTCTGAATCACACCAAAGCCCTGAAGGAGAAGGAATAGAAATTATTCTGGATGCTATCATTATTGTTATTTGCATGTCCATCTCTGTTACTTTTTTATTTTTTTAGAGACAGGCAGGTCTCGCTATGTCACCCAGGCTGGAGTGTGGTGACTATTGACAGGCATGATCATTGCACACTACAGCCTTTAACTCCTGGGCTCAAGTGATCCTCCTGCCTCAGTCTCCCAAGTAGCTGGGACTAAGGTGCACGCCACTGCACCTGGCTCCTCAGTTACATTTATTGGCTTCTATTTTTCTTTCTCTTGCTTCCTACCTGTGGGCTGTCCCAAGTTTCAGTCCATCACTTGCTGTACTCTAGGGACTTTGTTTCATGGAAAGTTCTTCTATTCTCACAATTTAAAAACATTTATGTTAACTATTTCTAAATAAACTTCTTTATTCTCACACTTACTTAAACTCCAAGCTTTTCCTCCCAATTCTATTTGAAATAGTTCTAATTGGGACGGTTCTAATCTCACTCTATCTCAAATTCAAAACGTCAAAAATAAGAGTAGTATCCCCAAAACAAAGTCATCATCTCCTTCTGAAAACTAGCTTCTCCCAAGCTCCCTCTTTTTCTATATAATTATTCTTATTATTCCAGGCTTAGAACTTTGGTGTCATCTTAAATTTCCCCCTTCTTTACTATAAACTATGTTTATAGATCACTTTCTGTTATAGTTTCTCTCTTTCAAAATTTCTATTAGATCCAGGCCGGGCGCGGTGGCTCACGCCTGTAATCCCAGCACTTTGGGAGGCCGAGGCGGGCGGATCATGAAGTCAGGAGATCGAGACCATCCTGGCTAACTGGTGAAACTCCGTCTCTACTAAAAAATGCAAAAAATTAGCCGGGCGTGGTGGCGGGCGCCTGTAGTCCCAGCTACTCGGGAGGCTGAGGCAGGAGAATGGCGTGAACCCGGGAGGCGGAGCTTGCAGTGAGCCGAGATCGCGCCACTGCACTCCAGCCTGGGCGACAGAGCGAGACTCCGTCTCAAAAAAATAAAAAATAAAAAATAAAAACTCTGTTAGATCCATACCTTTTTCTTCATTACACTGCCACTAGCATTGTCTGAAACCTCACCACCTTATACTGTGGTAACATTCTCATTTGCCTTTGTGGCTCACCTTTCCTCCCTTCAGTCTGTCTTGTATACTGCTGTCAGGCTAATTTTCAAATGATTGCATTATGTAAATTCTTTTCTAAAAGAAATCCATAAAGTTTATTGTTATTATCTGTTCAAATACAAATGTCTCTGACAGAGGTCCTAAAGTCCTCTGTCTCCAGTTCCCACCCTCCATACCTACTCTATTTAGCCCTTTTTACCTATACAACTTTATTTCCCCATGTTATTCAAGGAAAACCTCCACAGCATTATTTTTTCTATTTCTCTTGTTTTCCCTTCAGTGAGAGTAACAGGCAATATAACTTTCTGGTTGATAGCTCTGGATCTGGAGTTAGACAGACTTGGGTTTGAATCCTATCTTGCCACCATAATGACCTTGATCAAATTAATTAATTTTTTTTTTTTTTTTGAGACAAGTTTTCAGTCTGTTGCTCAGGCTGGAGGGCAGTGGCGCGATCATGGCTCACTGCAGCCTTGACCTCCCCAGGCTCAGGTGATCTTCCCACCTCAGCCTCCCTAGTAACTGGGACTATAGGCACGTGCCACCATGCCTAGATAATTTATTTTTGTGTGTTTTGTAGAGACGAGGTCTCACTATGTTGCCCAGGCTGCTCTCGAACTCCTGGGCTCCACTGATCCACTGTCTCGGCCTCCCAAAGTGTTGGGATTGCAGATGTGAGCCACCACGCCCAGCCAATCAAAATACTTTCTGATCCTTAGTTGCCTATTTGAAAAATAGGAATAATAACAGGGTTGTTATGCAAATGAAAAGAGATAATACATGCAAAGCAATATAATGTTGACTATTATTACTTCAATCTTCTTTTTTCCCTCTACCTAACCATTTTTCAATTTTGTACCATTCATTGCTCTTGTTGCATGTTGTGCTTACTATTACAATATTTGCCACACTATCTTGTAGTTTTCTTCCTACCTCCTTGAAGGTAAGAACAGGATATATTCGTAGTAATATTCCCAGTGTCTGGCATGTGGAAGATGTATTTGTCAAAGAACGAAGTTTTGGCCAGGCATGGTAGCTCACACCTGTAATCCTAACACTTCGGGAGGCCAAGGCGGGCAGATTGCTTAAGCTTAGGAGTTCAAGACCAGCCAGGGCAACTTGGTGAAATCCCATCTCTACAAAAAAAAAAAGAAAAAATTAGCTGGATGTGGTGGCTTGCACCTGCAGTCCCAGCTATGTGCGGGGGCTGATGCAGAAGGATCGCTTGAGCCCAGGAGGTCAAGGCTGCAGTGAGCTGTGTTTGTGCCACTGCACTCCAGCCTGGGTGACAAAATAAGACCCTGTATCAAAACAAACACACAAACAAAAAAGTTTCAGCAAATTAAATTTCAAAGCTCTGATTGAGTTATTAGTAACTCATGAACTGGGCAATATGTAATCTACAAAATAAAAAGGAGCTCTAATGAGCTAAACAGAGTGGGTGAGTTTTATAGGCAGAAAAAAGCAGAAGCAGACAGAAACAAAAAACAAATAGCAGATTGACCATTTCAAGGTTAATTTCCTTACAGGGATATAAGTGAAATCCTGTTGGCCTAATGGGATTTGGTTATCATCTCTTAGGTTTTGGTTTGGTGATGTGAAACTTTAGCATGGGTGATTCCATTTTGGACCTGCTATATTTTATTTAACATGCTCAATAAATGGGTGCTAAGGGAATGAAGACTTTTTTCGCTATTCTAACCCTAATATTATCTCTTTTGAATGCATATAATAATTATAGTATTCACTTCACAACCTAGCATTTAATTATTTAATGCCTCTTACTGCTTCATGCATTGTATTTCCCCAATTAGATTAGATATTCTTTAAGGGTACACAGTAATCTAATAAATACATGTTAAACTACAGAAAAATATACAGTAGGCACTTAATGAATTATTGTTAAATGAATGAGTGAAACACTTTACCTCTTGCCTTTCCATTACTGACTTGCCCATTGGTATTTCTAGGATCTGAGTTGTTAGAAGAAAAATAGGAGAAGGCTGGTCGGCTTTTGCTCCAGTGAATGGTGGTATATAAGTATCCTCTGTCACAAATTCACCTAATTACTTTGGAAAGTTATCTATAGTCTTTTGGGAATCACTGTCATATTTATAATGCACTACCACTTGGCAACTAGTTACATAACTTCCTATGTTTCACTTATAGTCTCTCAAATCTTTTTGATAATTGCATGGCACACTTAGTTTTAAGAGCAATCTTATTTAAAGTAGCAAAAAGATATTCTCCTATTTCAATGAAGCAAAAAGATTTGTCATGACTAAAAGTACAATGAAATATTTTTATAGGCTGAGGTAGTATCAATGATAAGAATTTTGCTTTACCTTGCTATGAAGATTTTCTGTGATAAATGCTCCAAAAGTTTTAATATTGCTAATTTTGAAAGTTCTGGCCATTGGTGGCAATGGAGCCTGGGTGAGCTGGAGGTGCCTGGGGTATGGGGCAGTTGGGCCTTCCGGTCTTCAGAAAGGTACCATGTGAATAGTGGTCTTTGACCACTGACACTTGCCAGAGCTCGCATCAAGTGTGATTTGAGGATTAAGCCTTCCAGGGAGGGAGTGAGCTGGGAAACAGTTCCTAGCACCTGGGACCATCCTGTACCTAAATCTTTTCAGAGGGAGTCCAGAGTCCCCATAGGGATTTTCTCCACTAACTCTATTTCTGGAGCATCTAGATCCTGTCTGCCTCTTGTACATTATAGTCACCACTGAATGTATACAATTTTTGTTTTTTAAAGATGGCTGGGCACAGTGGCTCACATCTGCAATCTCAGTGCTTTGGGAGGCTGAGATGGGAGGATGGTTTGACCCCAGGAGTTTGAGGTGAGAGTGAGCTATGATTGCACCACAGCATTCCAGCCTGGCCAATAGAGCAACAACCTGTCTTTAAAGAAAAAAGAAAAGCTTTGTGGGCTGTTCAGATACCAAAGAATATCTTTGGGTAATTTTTAAAATTTTATGTAGGGTTAATTTGAGGATGCAGAAAGCACTCATCACTCCTAGAGGGCTTTCTACCTTTAGATAAGGCTGGAAAAAGAATAAAAGCTCTGGGCTAGGCACAGTGGCTGGCCCCTATAATCCCAGCACTTTGGGAGGCCAAGGCGAGCAGATTGCTTGAGCCCAGGAGTTAGAGACCAGCCCGGGCAATGTGGAAAAATCCTGTCTCTACTAAAAATACAAAAACAATTAGTCAGGTGTGGTGGTGGCTGCCTGTAGTCCCAGCTACTTGGGAGGCTGAGGTGGGGGGATCACCTAAGCTTGGGAAGTTGAGGCTGCAGTGAGCCGAGATTGAGCTACTACACTCCAGCTTGGGTAACGAGAGTGAGACCCTGTCTGAAAAAAAAAAAAAGAAGAAGAAGATGAAGATGAAGACGAAGAAGAAGAAGAGCTCTGGAGTCAGATTTATCCAAGACAATTTTAATTCCAGTTTTGCCACTGTGCTGGTCATTGTCTTTGTCCTTCCAGGTTGATTCTCTGTCCTTTCTTTGCCCTGGTCTGTGACCAGGCAAGACCGACTTCTCTGGTCTATATTACCCCAGCTCCCTTGCCCTCTGGCTTCTGGTTGGGTCAAGACACCATAAAGGCACCTTATAAGCTTACTGTATGGAGATCAGAGGGCACCAGGAAAGAAAGGTCAGAGTATTTATTGTCTACTTCATCCCCTATGGTTATATCCACTGCTAAAGTGACCAGGTTGGCCCAGCTTGCCCAGGACTTTCCTAATTTTAGCACTGAAAGTCCCACACCCAGGATGGTTGGTTGGTCACCTAATCTATTGGCCTTCTTTTCCAAGTTTCCAGCTTTAGCTGGGTACACATAAAAGCTCCCTCTCCTCATCTTCATTTCTTTACTTTCTCACCATCTCTCAACCCACTTCTGTCTCTACCGACATGATCCCACCATCCATCCTCTTCTCTTTTTGTGTGTTGGTTTATCTATCTTTTCATCTATTTTACTACTAATTTCTACATTGATGATTCCCAAGTATACATCTACAGCACTCCCCTGCCCTCATATTTGGAGGGCTGACATTTATTTAAGGCTTATTCTGTGCCAGAAACAGTTGCAAGGATTTTATAAGCATTATCTTATTTAATCTTCAGAGTGAGCTTGTAAGGTAAGTAATATTATTATCTCTATTTTAGCAGATGAGGAAACCAAACATTTAAAAGGCTAGAAACTGGTGGATTGCCAATTTTCAGACTCTGCCCTATGTGACTTCAGAGCTCCTACCCCTCAGGGAGACCCTGCCTGAGCATCCTCTGTGTTCTCCCTCCTTCTCCTGTTCTGGTTTCCCTGATAACACTCACCTCTGCCTGAAATTTTATGTATAACTATTTGTTTATTATTGCTCCAAGAGGATAAGCACTTTGTTTTCTTTGCCTCTGTATCATCACTATCTAGAACTGTTATTCTTAAACTTGAACATGCATCAGAATGATCTGAAAGGCTGGGAAAAACATAGATTGCTGGGCCCCACCCCCAGAGTTTCTTTCTTTTTCTTTTCTTTTTCTTTTTCTTTTTTTTTTTTTTGAGATGGAGTCTTACTCTGTCGCCCAGGCTGGAGTGCAGTGGTGCGATCTTGGCTCATGGCACCCTCTGTCTCCTGGGTTCAAGTGATTCTCGTGCCTCAGCTTCCCGAGTAGCTAAGACTACAGGTGAGTGCCACCACACCTGGATAACTTTGGTACTTTTAGTAGAGATGGGGTCTCACTATGTTGGCCAGGCTGGTCTTGAACTCCTGACCTCAAGTTATCTGCCTGTCTTGGCCTCCCAAAGTGCTCAGATTACAGGTATGAGCCAACGCACCTGGTCAAGAATTTCTGATTCAGTATGTCTGAAGTGGGGTCCAGGAATGTATATTTCTTTTTTCTTTTTTTTTTCAGAGAGGGAGTTTTGCTCTGTCACTCAGGCTGGAGTGCAGTGGCATGATTTCAGCTCACTGCAACCTCCACCTCCTGAGTCCAAGCAATTCTCCTGCCTCAGCCTCCCGAGAAGCTGGGATTACAGGCAAGTGCCATCATGCCCAGCTAATTTTTGTATTTTTGGTGGAGATGAGGTTTCACTGTTTTGGCCAGGCTGGTCTCGAACTCCTGACCTCAGGTGATCCACCCGCCTTGGGCTCCCAAAGTGCTGGGATTACAGGCGTGAGCCACCATGCCTGGCCAGGAATGTATATTTATAGTAAGTTCCCAGGTGATGCTAGTGCAGCTGATCTGGAGACCATAATTTGGGAACCAAGGGCTAAGAACATCCCAGGCTCACTCAAGGTAGGAAAACTGATTATTATTTGTTGAACTAGTTAATTCATTCACTTGACAACTATGACAATTTGACAACTACTTGAACTCCCTCTGAAAGTGAATAAAGGAAATATTTCTTACATTAGTATTTTCAAATCTCTTTAGGGAGCACTACTTCACTCACCAGAGAAGCTAAGAGAGAGAGTTCCAATTTGAACAATAGGTGGACAGAGGTAAGCTAGAAAAGGGAAACCTTCTATTTATTTCTTAAAATTGCGGTACAACATACCTAAATAAACAAATGAAAAAGTTCCACATATGAATAATAGCTGCCACAGTTACAAGGTTGTTTGGTTTTATTAAAAAATAGACATTTTAGGCTGGGTGCAGTGGCTCATGCCTGTAATCTCAGCACTTTGGGAGGCCGAGGTGGGTGGATCACGAGGTCAGGAGATCGAGACCATCCTGGCTAACACGGTGAAACCCCATCTCTACTAAAAATACAAAAAATTAGCCGGGCATGGTGGTGGGCGCCTGTAGTCCCAGCTACTCGAAGGCTGAGACAGGAGAATCTCTTGAACCTGAGAGGCAGAGGTTGCAGTTGCAGTGAGCCGAGATCACGCCACTGCACTCCAGCCTGGGCAACAAAGTGAGACTCCATCTCAAAAAAAAAAAAAAAAATTTAGAGCAGTTTTAGGTTCATGACAAAATAGTAGAATTCCCATATGTAGGCTTACTTCATTTTTTAATTGTGCTTCACAGATACTGCATTTTTTTACAAATTGAAAGTTTGGGGCAATGTGGCATCAAGCAAGTCTATTGGTACCATTTTTCTGACAGCATGTGGTCATTTCGTGTCTGTGTGTCACATTTTGGTAATTCTGACAATATTTCAAACTTTTCCATTATTATTATATCTGTTATGGTGATCTGTGATCAATGATCATTGATGTTTCCATTGTAATTATTTTGGGGTGCCATGATTGTGCCCATATAAGATGGCAAACTTAATTGATGAATGTTGTGTGTATTCTGACTACTCCACCAACCAGCCGTTCCCCTGTCTCTTACCCTCTCCTCTTGCCTCCCTATTTCCTGAGACACAAAAGTATTGAAATTAGGCCAATTAATAACCCTATAATAGCTCTAAGAGTTCAAGTGAAAGGAAGAGCCACACATCTCTCACTTTAAATCAAAAGCTAGAAATGATTAGGCTTAGTGAGCAAGGCATATTAAAAGTTGAGATAGGCCAAAAGGTAGGCCTCTTGTGCCAAACATTTAGCCAAGTTCTGAACGCAGAGTAAAAGTTCTGGAAGAAAATTAAAAGTGCTACTCCAGTGAACACACAAATAATAAGAAAGTAAAACAGCCTTATTGCTGATATAGAGAAACTTTTCATGGTCTGGATAGAACATCGAACCAGCTACAACATTCATTTGCTTAAACCAAAGCCTAATCCGGAGTAAGGCCCTAACTCTCTTCCATTCTATGAAGGCTAAGATGGTGAAAAAGCTGCAGAAGAAAAGTTAGAAGCTAGCAGAAGTTGGTTCATGAAGTTTAAGGAAAGAATCTGTATCACATAAAAGTGCAAGATGAAGTAGCATGTGTTGATGTAGAAGCTGCATCACGTTATCCAGAAGATATAGCCAAGATAACTGATGAAGGTGGCTAGACTAAATGACAGATTTTCAATAGAGATGAAACAGCGTCTTGTTGGAAGAAGATGCCAGCTTAGGCCTTCATAGCTAGAGAGAAGTCAATGCCTGGCTTCTAGGCTTCAAAGGACAGGATGACTCTCTTCTTAGGGCCTAATGCAGCTGGTGACCTTAAGTTGAAGCCAATGCTCATTTGCCATCTGAACATCAAAGGGTCCTTAAGAATTATATTAAATCTACCCTACCTGTGCTCTACCAATGGAACAACAAAGCAGACAACCGCGCATCTGATTATAGCATGGTTTACTGAATATTTTAAGCCCACTGTTGAGACCTACTGCTCAGAGAAAAAGATTTCTTTCAAAATATTACTGTTCATTGACAATGCACCTAGTTGCCCAGGAGCTCTGATGAAGATGAATGTTGTACAAGGAGATGAATGTTGTTTTCATGCCTGCTAACACAACATCCATTCAGCAGCTGTGAATCAAGGATTAATTTTGACTTTCAAGTCTTATTATTTAAGAAATACATTTTGTAAGGTGATGGCTACCTTAGATAGTGTTTCCTCTGATGTATCTGGGCAAAGTAAATTGAAAACCACCTGGAAAGGATTCACCATTCTAGATGCCATTAAGAATATTCACGATTCAGCTGGGCGCAGTGGTTCACACCTGTAATTCCAGCACTTTGGGAGGCCAAGGTGGGCGGATCATGAGGTCAAGAGATCGAGACCATCCTGGCTAACACAGTGAAACCCCGTCTCTACTAAAAATACAAAAATTAGCCAGGCGTGGCAGTGGGCGCCTGTAGTCCCAGCTACTTGGGAGGCTGAGGCAGGAGAATGGCGTGAACCCGGGAGGCAGAGCTTGCAGTGAGCCGAGATTGCGCCACTGCACTTCAGCCTGGGCGACAGAGCAAGACTTCTTCTCAAAAAAATAAAATAAATAAATAAAAAATAACAAATAAAAAAGAATATTCACGATTCATGGGAGGAGGTCAAAATATCAACATTAACAGGAGTTTGGAAGAAGTTGATCCTAAATTTCATGGATGACTTGGAGGGAGTCCTTCAGTGGAGGAAGTCACTGCAGATGTGGTAGAAAGAGCAAGAGAACTAGAATTAGAAGTGGAGGCTGAAGATATGCCTTAATTGCTACAATCTTATGATCAAACTTGAACAGATGAGGAGTTGCTTCTCATGAATGAGCAAAGAAAGTGGTTTCTTTTTTCTTTTCAAGTATTTTAAAAATTGAAGTAAAATCCAGGTAACATAAAAGTAACCATTTTAAGGTGAATAGTTCAATGGCATTTAGTACATTCACACTTGTGCAATCATCTCCTCTATCTAGTTCCAAAACATTTTCATTACACCAAAGGGAAACCCCATACCCATTAAGCTGTTACTCACTTCTTATCCTTCCCGATATGATTTGGCTCTGGGTCCCCACTCAAATTTCATGTTGAATTGTCATCCCCAGTGTTGGGGGAGGGGCCTGGTGGGAGATGATTGGATCATGGGGGCAGATTTCCCCCTTGCTGTTCTCATGATAGTGAGTTCTCACAAGATCTGATTGTTTAAAAGTATGTAGCACCTTCCCTCTGGCTCTCTCTCTCTATCCCCTGCTGGCCTTGTGAGGATGTGCTTACCTCCCTTTCACCTTTCACCATAATTCCTGAGGCCTCCCTAGCCATGCTTCACATATAGCCTGTGGAACTGTGAGTCAATTAAACCTCTTTTCTTTATAAATTACACAGTCTCAGGTAGATCTTTATGGCAACGTGAGAATGGGCTAACACATCCCCTCCCCCAGCCCTTGGCAATCACTGTTCTAAGGAAAGTGGTTTCTTGAGATGAAACCTACTCCAGTGAAGATGCTGTGAACATTGTTGAAATGACAGGCTGGGCATGGTGCCTCACACCTGTAATCCCAGCACTATGGGAGGCTGAGGTGGGTGGATCACTTGAGGTCAGGAGTTGAAGACCAGCCTGGCTAACATGGTGAAACCCCGTCTCTACTAAAAATACAAAAATTAGCCAGGCATGGTGGCACGTGCCTGTAATCCCAGCTACTCAGGAGGCTGAGGCAGGAGAATCGCTTGAACCTGGGAGGCAGAGGTTGCAGTGAGTGGAGATTGGGCCATTGCACTCCAGTCTAGGTGACAGAGTGAGAGTCCATCTCAAAAAAATAAATAAATAAATTATGAGAAAGGATTTGGAATATTATATAAACTTAGATGATAAAGCAGCAGGGTTTGAGAGGATTGACTCCAATTTTTTTTTTTTTTTTTTTTTGAGACAGGGTCAGCCGGGCATGGTGGCTCATGCCTGTAATCCCATCACTCTGGGAGGCTGAGGTGGGTGGATCGCCTGAGGTCAGGAGTTCGAGACCAGCCTGGCCAACATAATGAAATGCTGTCTCTACTAAAAATACAAAAAATTAGCTGGGTGTGGTGGTAGGCACCTGTAATCCCAGGTACTAGGGAGGCTGAAGCAGTATAATTGCTTGAACCCAGGAGGCGGGGGTTGCAATGAGCCAAGATCACACCATTGCACTCCAGCCTGGGAAACAAGAGCGAAACTCCGCCTCAAAAAAAAAAAAAAAAAAAGTCTCACTCCAGGCTGGAGTGCAGTGGCATGAACACAACTCACTGCAGCCTTGACCTCCCAGGCTCAAGCCATCTTCCCTCCTCAGTCTCCCAAGTATCTGGGACTACTGACATGTAACACCATGCCTAGCTAATTTATTTTTATTATTTTTATTTTTTGTAGTGAAGGGGTCTCGCCATGGTACCTAGGCTGGTCTGGAACTCCTGGACTTAAGTAACCCTTTTGCCTCAACCTTCCAAAGTGCTGGGATTACAGGTGTGAGCCACCTGACCCAGCCAATTTTTGAAAGTTCTACTGTGAGTAAAATGCTATCAAACAGCATCATATGCTACCAAGTAATCTTTTGTGAAAGGAACAGTCAATCGATGTAGCACACTTCATTGTTGTCTTGTTTTAAGAAATTGCCACAGCCACCCCACAAACCTTTAGCAATCACCACCCTGATCAGTCAGCAGCCGTCAACATGGAAGCAAGACCCTCCATCAGCAAAAAGACTATGACTTGCTGAAGGCTCAGATAATTTTTAACATTTTTTTTTAGCAATAAAGTATTTTTAAATTAAGATTTGTTTAAAGAAATAATGCTATTGAACACTTAATAGACTACAGTATAGTGTAAACATGACTTTTATATGTACTGAGAAACCAAAAAAATTCATGTGACTATTTGCTTTTTGTGGTGGTCTGCTACCGATCCTGCAGATTAATACAGGTATGCCTGTATTAACAAATCTAGATTGTATCAGTCAGAGTAGGCTAAAATATGCTGGGTAGCAGACAACTCCAAACTGCAGTGGCTAATACAACAAAAGTTTGTTTCACCATTTGAACATTCACATGCAAAAAAAAAATTTTTTTTGAGACAGGGTCTTGCTTTGTTGCCCAGGCTACTGCTCAGTGGCAAGATCACAGCTCACTGCAGCCTCAACCTCCCAGGCTTAATTGATCCTCCCACCTCAGCCTCCAAAGTACCTGGGACTACAAGTGCACACCACCATGCCCAGTTAATTTTTTTTTTTTGTATTTTTTGTAGCGACAGGGTTTTGCCATGTTGCCCAGGGTGGTCTCAAACTCCTGGGCTCAAGCAATCCTCCCACCTCAGCCTCTCAAAGTGTTGGGATTACAGGCAGAAGCCACCACACCCAGCCACAAGAAGATTAATACAGACCTATACCTCTCACACTGTGCACAAAAAATAACTCGAAATGGATCATAGACTTACATATAAGAGCTAAACCTATAAACTTCTGAAGAAAACATAATAGAAAATAGACTTTGGTAAAATAATTCTTAGTTATAACACCAAAAGCATATGGTATTTAAAAAAAGATAAATAGGATTTCATTGAACTTAAAATAAATTTTTTTCCCTTCAAAATACATTAAGCCCTGGCAAGGGTGGCTTGCACCTGTAATCCCAGTTACTTGAGAGGCTGAGGTGGGAGGATGGCTTGAGGCCAAGAGTTCCAGGCCAGCCTGGGCTACATATAGAGATCCCATCTCTAAAAGAATTAAAACAAAATTAGCTGGGAGTGGTGGTGTGCACCTGTAGTCTCAGCTACTTGAGAAGCTAATATGGGAGGATTGCTTGAGCCTAGGAGTTTGAGGTTATGGTGGGCTATGATCAGTGCCACTACACTCCAGGCTGGGCAACAGAGTGAGACCTTGTTTCTGGGGGAAAAAGAAAAGACATCATTATGAAAAATGAAAAGACAAGTCATAAAGTCATAGACAGGAAGACAATATTTGCAAATCATGCTTCTGTTAAAGAACCTAAATCTAGAATATATAAAGAACTCTTACAAGTTGATATAAGAAGATTGTCCAGTTAAAAAATACATAAAATATTTGAGTAGGCACTTCACTAAAGAAGATATAAGAATGGCTAACAAACCAAAGATGCTCAATAGCACTAGCCATTAGGGAAACCACAATGAACCACTTCACTCCCACTGTTTTAAATTATTATAATAATTTTTTTTTTTTTTTTGGCCAGGTGCAGTGGCTCATGCCTGTAATCCCAGCACTTTGGGAGGCCGAGGCAGGCAGATCACAAGGTCAGGAATTTGAGACCAGCCTGACCAACATGGTGAAACCCAGTCTCTACTAAAAATACAAAAATTAGCCGGGCGTGGTGGCACGTGCCTGTAATCCCAGCTATTCAGGAGGCTGAGGCAGGAGAATCGCTTGAACTCAGGAGGCAGAGGTTGCAGTAAGCCAAGATTGTGCCACTGCACTCCAGCCTGGGTGACAGAGAGAGACTCCATCTAAAAAAAAAAAAAATTATTATTTTTTTAGAGACAAGGTTTCACTGTATTGCCCTGGCTGGTCTCAAACTTCTGGGCTCAAGCAATCCTCCAGCCTTGGCCTCCCAAAGTGCTAGGATTACAGGTGTGAGCCACCATGCCTAGCAATCCCTACTGTTATGAGTGAAATCAGAAAGATAGACAAGTATCAGTGAGGATATTGGGAAACTGGAAGGCTTACATATTGCTTACACTTTGGAAAACAGTTTGGCAGTATCTTAAAATGTTAAACATAAACTTATCATACAACTCTGTAATTCCACTTCTAGGGATCTACTCAAGAAAAATAAAAAACGAATGTCCATACAAAGATTTGTACACAAATGTTCATAGCAGTCTTATTTATAATAGCCCCAGATTGAAAACAACATAAATGTCCTTCAACTGGCGAATGGATAAACAAAATGTAGTACATTCATTCAAATGGAGTCTATTTGGCAATAAAAAGAAATAACTACTGACTGGTACAACGTAGATGAACCTAAAAAATATTCTGAGTGAAAGAACCCAGATGCAAAAGACTACTTATTGTATGAAACCATTTATATGAAATTGTCAGAAAGCAGATAGCAGATTGCCTAGGGCTTGGAAGGAGGGTTGACTGCAAATGCGCATAATGAATTTTTTGGGGGTGATGGAAATGTTTTAAACGTGGATTGTGGTGATGATTGCACAATTCTAGTCACTGCTTATTGTAGACATTTAGGAACTGAAAGCGACAGACATTCTATCTCAACCCAAGCTTCCATGATTACCATAGCATGGGGGAGGGAGATGTGTCTCTGCTTCTTAAAGATTCTCCTGAGAAGTGATACATGTCACCCATTTTATTGGTCAAAGCAATTAACTTCAGGGGTGCAAGAAAGTGCAAATTTTTTTTTCTTTTTTCTTCGAGACAGAGTCTCCCTCTGTCGCCTAGGCTGGAGTGCAGCGGTGCAATCTTGGCTCACTGCAATCTCGGCCTCCTGGGTTCAAGTGATTCTCTGCCTCAGCCTCCCAAATAGCTGGGATTACAGGCATGCACCACCACGCCCGGCTAATTTTTGTATTTTTAGTAGAGACAGAGTTTTGCCATGTTGGCCACGCTAGTCTGGAATTCCTGGCCTAAAGTGATCTGCCCCCCTCAGCCTCCCAAAGTGCTGGGATTACAGGCGTGGCCACCGCGCCCGGCCAGAGTGCAATTTTACTATGTGTCTGGAAGAGAGGGGAACCAGAATACTTATGAACCACCCTAAGGATGATCACAGAAATACATACAACAATAAAGGGTACAGTTTACTCTGATCAGAGTTCACTCTATATTTCCGAGGAACCACAACTACAGCAGGTTTTTTTTTTTTTTTTTTTTTTTTTTGAGGCAGTCTCACTGTGGCTCAAGTAAGCCTACCACCTCAGCCTCCTGAATAGCTGGGACTACAGGCAGGGGCCCAGCTAATTTTTAAATTTTTTGTAGAGACAGGGTCTCACTATGTGGCTCAGACTGCATACTGGTCTGGAACTCCCCAGCTCAAGTGATCCTTCTACCTTGGCCTTTCAAAGTACTGGGATTACAGGAGTGAGTTGCTGGTGGCTGGCTGACAGGTATTCTTTATACTTGACTGTGACTCCCTGAGTGTCCTTAAATCTCTGAACACTTGGTTTGCTTACACCTTTGTACTCACACGTTTGCACAGAAAAATAACACTTTTTTTTGATAGAGGCATAATTTACTTCTCTAATGTATAAGGGATTAGAATACTTTTGTGTAGCCAAAGAGCCTAAATTATTAGAGTTTCTGAGGTGGAAATGAATGCGTCTGAAGTATTGAATCACTGAAGATTTTGAAGTTGAGGCTTGGTGACCACTTTACAGAAATGTTGAGGAAAACTTAGACCAAACGTTCTCCAAAACAGATGTTCTCTGATTAGGCTTAGCTGCACAGCAAATATATCTGTTTGTGCAATATCTTTATTAATTTTTGTACTGCATCTACTTTTTAATATTTTATTTATTTATTTACCTTAATGCCACGTTCCTGAATGGGAATGCATCTACTTTTTTTTTTTTTTTTTTGAGATGGAGTTTTTGCTCTTGTTGCCTAGGCTGGAGTGCAATGGCACGATCTTGGCTCACCACAACCTCTGCCTCCTGGGTTCAAGCGATTCTCCTGTCTCAGCCTCCCGAGTAGCTGGGATTACAGGCATGTGCCACCACACCTGGCTAATTTTTGTATTTTTAGTAGAGACGGGGTTTCTCCAAGTTGATCAGGTTGGTCTCGAATTCCCGACCTCAGGTGATCTGCCTGTCTCGGCCTCCCAAAGTGCTGGAATTACAGGTGTGAGCCACCGCGCCCGGCTGCATCTGCTTTTTTTAAGTCAAAATTTTCCTCAGCCAACGTATGAAGGTCACTTAAGACGAATTTATGAGAGACGATGATGAGAATTGAAATAAAGTGAAACCTGAAAGGTAGTAGGTAAGTAGATACAGTGAGGGTACAGTAAGAAGACAGACTTAAAAGATTAGGACTATTATTCAGGAGAAGCAGAGGAGTGGAAGGGTATGACCACAATATTTAAAGTATTGAATGGTATTGGATAAAACGAATATGCTTATTTGCCAAATTCTGAGATCACAGGCTGAGGGAACCCCTTTTGAAGTATGAGCCAAATGAGCTTAGACCACAAAAGGTACTTTTTCAGAGACAGAAAAAATATGGTGTTCACTATCCCTGTGGCATAATATGGGACAAAAATATAAAATGGCTTTAAAAATATTTTGACGAAATTATAAATAAAGATTCCACACGTGGCTACTAAGAGGAGCTGGGTTGTATCTAGGTGTAAGTTAAAGAGACAAGCATACAATCTCACAGCTTGTCAGTTGGGACCCCTGTAGGCAGCAGAATCTGGGCAGGCTAAGGGTCTGCACTAATAAACAATTCTGTTTTCTTAAACCATTTTGCAGGGGACTATTCTCAGATTTCATTACAACTAGGAAGGACTGCAAAGCGGGTAAACAGAAAACAACCTTTCATCGTTAGGAAAAAAATCGTCTGAAAGTCTTTCATAAAAGCAGCTCCTGATAAGGAGTTTGGGACTGGACAGTGAATCGCTGAATAAAATTTAATCTCGACATCCTGGGTCTTCTCCCCTCTGAAGGAAATTCTAACAGCAGGCCTTAGGATGAAAGTAGAGGAAACGTGCTTCAGTTAAGGTTTTCTCCAGGGAAAAGAAATCGGCCCAGCAAGATGCACAGAGCACCGTTACGACCACGCACACCGAAGGTCGCACACGACCCTTTTCCTGTATAACAGTGCCAGCCTGCCGACGATCAGGAGCGCAGCTTTCACTATTGTGTTAGCCCCGGCGGCGGAAGGACTGAGCCTCACTGCAACGTTAAAGAGTCCTTCTTTGTTCAGCCCCAGTCGGGGACGCAGGGCGCGGTGTTCCTCCGCGCTCGCCGCGCAGTCCCTGCCCCCCCGCGGCTTTGGAGAGCTGCCATTCGGCACCGGAGTCGCTCCGCGCTCCCAGAATGCACCGGCAGTCCGCGGGAAACCAAAATGGCGAGGGGCTGTATTGAAGTGGGCTGTGTTTGAGGCCGGTGTAAGAACGCTCATTCTACCCCCAACCCTTGTCTCCAAGGACCTCGGTTTGTGCGTGCATATGTGCCGGGTACCCGGTGGGGCGGGTGCCCAGTAAGTGCTCGGACTCGCAGGGGAAGCGCCCACGGGGACGGATTGGTTGTTTTTTCCTGTATGAAGCGGTTGGCACCACTGAAGTGACCGAATGAGGTGAGAGACCTTGGCCTGGGAACCGACTCTTCCGGAGGAGATGGGGGTTGGGGGAAGGAGGAAGAAAGGAAGCAAGTATAAAAGGGAAAGATGGAGGACCAAGGTGGGGGTGGGGGCTCCTGTATGTGGGTGCCTTTGCATTTATGTGTATATTGAAAAGAATGGATGAAGAGGAGTAGTCAGTTGAGTGTTGGGAGAAAATAGGGACTAAAGGAGCGAGGAGGTCGTTGGGGGAGTCTGTTGGAGGAACAAGATGAAACGTTGAGACGGGGAAGCTGTGTTTGGAGGGCAGGAAGGAACCTGGGGGCGGGAGACGGTTGGAGGGGCAGGATGAACCTGGTGACGAGGGGGTGGGGAGCCGAGAGGAGGAGCCGTTGGGAAATGGGGGCTGAGGGAAATGTGGGGAGCAGAGTGGAGGGCTGC
The DNA here is from genome assembly GCF_000001405.40 of Homo sapiens. Classification (NCBI taxonomy): domain Eukaryota; kingdom Metazoa; phylum Chordata; class Mammalia; order Primates; family Hominidae; genus Homo; species Homo sapiens. Next base: position 93,079,955 of record NC_000001.11, read on the forward strand.
CTGGGACCTTAGCAGTGCGCAAAGGGAAGTAGCAGCTTGGAATCGGAGGGTGGAATTGTATGGAATTGGAGTAAAGGGGGTCGAGTGTAAGTGCTGGTAAGGATAAGGGGAACACACTGAAGTGGAGGTTGGAAGCACAACCTGAAAGCTTAAAGGGAAGCGGTGGGAGGGAAAGTGAGATGGGGGAAAGCTAGGTAGCTTATATTTGGAGCTCACCAAAAATATGAGGCTTTTCTTGTGTTTAATTAAACCTAACTCATATAATCTACGTCTAGGATGTAGATTTGTATTGTATTCATTTTTACAACTGAGGTAATTACGGCTCAAGGAATTTTAACCAATTTGCCAAGATTTCTTAACATATTTCGGTAGTGCCAGAACTCTAACTCTGTGTTTTACAATCTGGTGTCCTTGGTTGCTAGAATTTTTCTTTGGAAGCAATTAGAGGGAACAGATGGATTTATCGGGGTAATCTGACTAACAGCAAGGGTTTGTGAACAATGGGAAAAGGCTTATGGAATGTTACTCTATTCTTTAAAACATTTAACTTTGGTTAAAGATAGAAACCATGTAACACTAACTTAAATGTGAAAACCTAGCTAGGCCTGTGTGTAATACATAGGAAGGCACCATGTGAGGTCAGTACAGAGCTAGAAATATGTAAATAGTACCTGATTTAATTTGACTTCAGAACCTCCGGTAGTAATAGTAGTTACTTTCTCCTTCAGATGGATTCCATGTGACCCTCCTGTATACCTAGCCTACAAGCTGGTTTCAATTTCCATGGTTTCATTCTCTCTTGGGAATTCCTTTTTTTTTTTTTTTTGTCAGTAAATTTCAAAGATAGTTGTATGTAGAAGTAGTTAATGTGGATAAAATGTAATTAAATTCACAATAACCTTTTTAAGATTTGAAAATGCTTTAAAGGGAGTTGTTTTGACTGATGGCTTTAAGTGCCCTATAGTTTAGTTATAACTTGAGAGGGAATACAAAATGACTTGTTTTTTCAGATTCCTAAATATAAAAATGTATTTGAATTCACATTTTAAAATTAGTTCACCTGCAGTTTTTTAAAGTGCTAAAAATGTTCTAAATATTTGAATTAAGAACACACCTGCTTCCTGATACTACATTTATAATGTTAGTGGGTATTAACGGAAATGTGTAACTATCAGGATGAAATGCATACACAGTTTTAGAACTAGTTGTACAGAAATCATCTTGTTAAGCCTTTTTTCTAGATGACACAATTATATTTAATAGTTCTTTAAATCATCCCCGTTGCCTCAAAGCTCTGTTAGGAAAGACATTCTGTGTATTTTACTGTGGGTCATTAACTCTTTGATTTCATGGATTATAAATATTCCTTTTTGTGGGATCTTTGAAGGATAATTTGCTTTAATCATTTTTCAGCATAATCTTTACATCTGACTTGAGGAAACTGACAGTATATTGTTAATCTATATTTTAACAGAGAAATTTGCCTCTGAGGAGTTGCCATGACCAACATCTGTAGCTTGATGGTTCTGAAAGTAAAACTTAACTGCTGTTTTAGTTAGTCGACACTTCCATGAACGATCTTTGATGGTTAATATTTTTGTACTTTGTTTTCCCTGTTCTTCAGGAAAATTTGTTTATTGCTGTGAAATCCAGTATAACCATCCTAAATTGGAATGTAAAAGTTTCCCTGTGGATATTTCTTATATGTTAGAGTAGTGCTATCTAGTAGAAATTTCTCCAGTGATGGCAGTGTTCTATATCTGCTGTATCCAGTACAGTAGCCACTAGCTGCATGTGGGTATTGAACTCTAGAAATGTAACTAGTGAGACTAAGAAGTGAATTTATAATTTAATTCATTAAAACTAAAATTTAAATGGCCATATGTAGCAGTGCTACTGTATTGGACAGCACAGTAGTAGGGGTTATTGCATCCATGTATTGAGGAATTGTTACATTCATTAACCATGGAAACCACAGGAATCCAAGGATGAGGAAATGCCTGAGAACTGAGGAAGTTCAGATTCTTTTTGTACATTTAAGATGAAGTATTCATTTTTACCACATACCATGTCTTCTGTCATATTTCTGTTTTCATATAACATTGCAATAGAATAATGAAAGATAGTGACCTCTCTAGTCTTTTTAAAATATAAGATTCTGCTTCTGTGTCAAAAAACAACAAAAAATGGATATTAGGAACGTTTTGTTGTTTAAAAAAATTACTTTGTTTTTACACTTTGGTAGAAAAAACTTAAGGAATATTTCAAACATAATACAAAGTGAGCAGAATAGAATAGTGAGCTTTTATGTAACCATTCTTTTTTTTTTTTTTTTCTGTAAAAAGAGACAAGGTCTTGCTCTGTCACCCAGGCTGGAGTGAAGTGGTGCTATCATAACTTGCTGCTGCCTCAGACTCTTGGGCGGAAGTGATCCTCCTGCCTTAGCCTGCCGAGTAGTTAGGACTACAGGTGCACACCACCACACCTGGCTAATTTTTAAATTTTTAATTTTTTTTGTGGAGACGGGATCTTACTGTGTTGCCCAGGCTGGTCATGAACTTTTGGCCTCAAGCAGTCCTCCTGCTGTGGCCTCCTAAAGTGTTGGGATTGAGCCACTGTGCCCAGCCCATTGTTTTTATTATTTTTTAAAGGTTTATTTTTAGGTGAAGTTTACATATATTGAAATGCACAAATCTTAACTGTACAGTTGTTAATAAGTTTTATTGAGATATAATTTATATACTATAGTTATATGTACATAATTCACATGCATTCTTTGAAGGTGTACAGTTCAGTGATTTTTTTTAGTATACTCACAAAGTTGTGCAGCCATCACCATACCTAATTTCAGAATATTTTCATCATCCCAAAAAGAAAAGAAAATCTTAATCCATTAACAGTCAGTCCCCTTCACCTATCCACTATCCTCTGGCAACCACTAATCTACCTTCTGTGTCTATAAATTTGCCTGTTCTGGACATTTCATGTAAATGGAGTAGTACAATATGTGGCCTTTTATGTCTGGCTTCCTTCACTTAGCATGACTATATTAGTCCATTCTTGTACTGCTATGAAGAAATAACTGAGACTGGGTAATTTATAAAGAAAATAATTTTGATCGGCTTACGGTTCCACAGGCCATACAGGAAGCATGGCTGGGGAGGCCTCAGGAAACTTCCTGTTGAAGTGGCCCCCTTGAAGTGGCCACAGCAGGAGGATTAGAGATGGGGGCGGCTCCACATGCTTTTAAACAACCAGAGAACTCAGTATCATGAGAACAGCAGGGGGGAAAATCTGCCTGCATGATCTAGTCATTTCCCACCAGGGGCCTCCTCCAATGTTGGGGGTTACAATTTGACGGAATATTTGGGCGGGCACACAAAATCCAAACTATATCGTTAATGTTTTCATGGAACAGCCATGTTGTAGCATTTATAGTCACTTCATATCTTTTTAGGGTCAAATAATATTTCATTATATGAATATACCTTTTTTTGTTTGTCTAGTCATCAGTTGATGGACATTTGGGTTGTTCCCACATTTTGACTATTGTAAGTAATGCTGCAGTGATCATTCATGTATAGGGTTTGGGTGAACATGTTTTCATTTCTCTTGGGTACACATATCTAGGAGTGAAATTACTGGGTCAGATGATAACTCGGATTAGTGTTTTGAGGAACTGCCAAACTGTTTTTCAAAGAGGCTGTGCCATTCTACAAGCTCACTAGCGATTATCTGGTGAGTGATTATCTCACCAGTTTATCCACATCCTCACTGATACTTATTATTGTCTATCTTTTGATTATAACCATCCTAGGGTTTGAATTGGTATTTCATTGTGGTTTTGATTTGCATTTCACTTATGGCTAATTATATTGAGGATCTTTCCACATACTTGTTGGCCATTTGTATACCTTCTTTGGAGAACTGTCTATTTAAGTCTTTTGCTCATTTAAAAAATGGGACTGTCTTTTTATTCTTGGATACAAGCCTGTTATCAGATATGATTTGCAGACTTTTCTTCCCCCATCCTGTGCATTATCTTTTCACTTTCCTGATGGTGTCCTTTTAAGCACAAATATTCTTAATTTTGATAAAGTTCAATTTATTCCTTTTTTTTTTGCTTATGCTTTTGATGCCGTATCTAAAGAGCTTTATAGTTTTAGCTTTTACATTTAGGTCCGTCATCTATTTTGAGTCAATTTTTTATATATGGTGTGAGGTAGGGGTCCAACTTCAGTGTTTTGCATGTGGATACCAGTTTTCTAGTACCATTTGTTAAAAAAAACTAATTCTTTCCTCATTGACTTGTGTTTGACAATCTTGTCAAAAATAAATTAACCATACATGTAAAAGTTTGTTCTTGGATCCCAGTTTTATTCCATTGATTTATGTGTCTGTACTTAGGACTGTACCATAATATTTTAATTACCATTACTTCATAGTAAGTTTTGAAATTGGGACGTTGTGAGTCCTCAAGTTTTTTTCTTTTTAAAAAACAATTTGGCTATTCTGGGTTCCTTTCACTTTTCCATGTAAATTTTAGGATCAATCTGTGAGTCTGTGCAAAAAAACGCAGCTGGGATTTTGGTAGGTATTGTATTGAATCTATAGATTGATTTGGGAAGACTTGCCATTTTAATATTATTAACATCTATGAACATGGGATGCCTTTCCAGTTATATAGATCTTATTTAATTTCTTTCTCTGATATTATGTAGTTTTCATTGTACAATTCTCGAACTTCTTCTGTTAAATTTATTCCTGAGCCAGGCACGGTGGTCCCAGCTACTCAGGAGGCTGAGGCAGGAGGATTGGGTAGGAGGATTGCTTGAGCTTAGGAGTTTGAGACTTCAGTGAACTATGAGAGCTATGATGTGCCACTGCACTCCAGCCTGGGTGACAGAGCAAGGCCCTGTCTTTAAAAATGTAAGTATTAAAAGAAATACTTTGAACATATAGAAACAAAGTAAACCATTTTCCTTGATAAGATAAAGCATCACTTTCTCCTATCCTCATTTAATTTAAAGTTCTTATCAGTACTTGAGCCCCTCTGTTGATTCTCAGTTCTGAGGATTTTTTGATAGTAGTTAAAGAATTCTCCCATAATCAGGGAGATAGAAGGGTAGTTTGTGAAGTGCTTATCTAGTACTAAAAATACTTTTAAAATTTCAAAGCATTGTCATTATAGTATAGTTATGGATCCTAATTACATTACCTTTTTTCTTTTCTTTCTTTCTTTTTTTTTTTTTGAAACGGAGTCCAGGCTGGAGTGCAGTGGCACCATCTCGGCTCAGTGCAAGCTCCGCCTCCCAGGTTCATGTCATTCTCCTGCCTCAGCCTCATGAATAGCTGGGACTACAGATGCCCACCACCATGCCCGGCTAATTTTTTTGTATTTTTTAGTAGAGACGGGGTTTCACCATGTTGGCCAGGATGGTCTCGATCTCCTGACCTCATGATGCGCCCTTCGTGGCTTCCCAAAGTGCTGGGATTACAGGCGTGAGCCACTGCACCCGGCCTTTTTTTTTTTTTTTTTTTCTTCATTAAAAGAGACAGGGTCTCTCTGTTGCCCAGGCTGGAGTGCAGTGGCGTGATCATAGCTCACTGTACCCTCAAACTCCCGGGCTCAAGTGATCCTTCCACCTCAGCCTCCTGAGTAGCTAGGACTACAAGTGCATGCCACCACACCTGGCTAATTTTTAAAATATTCTGTAGAAACGGGGTCTTGGTATGTTGCCCATGCTATTCTTGAACTCCTGGCCTCAAACAATCCTCCTGCCTTGGCCTCCTTAGGTGCTGGGATTACAGGCATGCCACTTGGGCCCAGCCAGGGCCAACTTTTAGCATCCATAGGTTCTATGGGTCACACTGCAGAACTTGAGTATCTGTGGATTTTGGTATCCTCAGGAGGTTCTGTGACCAGTGCCTTGTGGATACCAAGGGACAACTAAATAGCATATACATAAACCAGTAACACAGTCGTTTGTTATCAGTATTATGTATTGTACATAATGAGTATATGTGCAAGACTTTATGCTACTGGCAGTGCAGTAGGTTTGTTTTATACCAACATCACTGCAAACACATTGTAAAGCATTGCATTACAGTGGTTACAAAGTCACTGGGTAATATGAATTTTTCAGCTCCATTATAATCTTATGGGACCACTGCTGTATATGTAATCTGTCGTTGACCAAAGTTTTACTGTGTAGCACATGACTATGCTTAGAAGGAAGGATCAACTATGTAAATAATGAAGGAGGAGGCCGGGTGCATTGGCTCACGCCTGTAATCCTAGCACTTTGAGAGGCTGAGGCGGGCGGATCGCTTGAGGCCAGGAGTTTGAGACCAGCTGGGCCAACATAGTGAAACCCTGTCTCTACTAAAAATACAAAAAATTTAGCCAGGTGTGGTGGCACATGTCTGTAATCTCAGCTACTCAGGAGGCTGAGGTTCACTTGAACCCAGGAGGCGGGGGCTGCAGTGAGCTGAGATTGCACCACTGCACTCCATCCTGGGTGACAGAGCGAGACTGTCTCAAAAAAAAAAAAAAAAAAAAGATGAGGAAGAAGGGCAATTTTGGTAGTAGGTACAATATGTATGAATGCCTTGGGTGGAAAAGATCTTGGTTTGTGAATAATTGATAGGCAGCCCCGGGTGAATCTTGAGATGCAAAGACATATTCCTGTGGGAGAAGAAAACTAATATATCATATTTGACTTGTAGCTTTTTCAGCCTAGTAATTATGTTAGTTTCCCAGTTTTGTTGGTGTTTGAAGAACTATTTATAAAGTCCTTTTGTATTTATCTATGTGATAAATACAGAGCTTTGAAAATGTATACTACAGGCAGCTGTCTTTGAACTTTTTCTTGTTGTTTCAAAATTGGGCAGACAGCTACAGGTTGAATATCCCTTATTTGAAATGCTTGGGACCAGAAGGGTTTTAGGATTTTAGGCTTATTTGCATATACAAATGAGATGTCTTGGGGATGAGACCCAAGTTTAAACACAAAATTCATTTATGTTTCATACACACGTTGTATGCTTAGTCTAAAGCTTATTTTTTCGTTCGGGACACTGAATAAACTGTGTTGTGCCACCTGCGTTTTGACTACAACCTGTTACGAGGTCAGATGTGGAATTTTTCATGTGTGGTTGATGCTTAGAAAGTTTCAGATTTTGAAGCATTTCAGATTTTGGACTTTCAGGTTAGGGATGCTCAACTTGTATTAGTATCTGAGGACACTTAACAACCAAGTTGAACCATCTGTAGGAATGCATCATTTCATCACTGATAGATGACTTCAGTTAGACTTATAAAAAAGGCCTTAAGGCTGGGTGTGGTGGCTCACGCCTGTAATCCCAGCACTTTGGGAGGCCGAGGTGGGTGGATCACCTGAGGTCGGGAGTTCAAAACCAGCGTGACCAACACGGTAAAACCCCATCTCTACTAAAAATGCAAAAATTAGCCAGGCGTGGTGGCACGCACCTGTAATCCCAGCTACTCAGGAGGCTGAGGCAGGAGAATTGCTTGAACCCAGGAGGCAGAGGTTGCAGTGAGCGGAGATGGTACCATTGCATGGCAGCCTGGGCAACAGAGTGAGACTCTGTCTCAAAAAAAAAAAAAAGCCTTAATGGCAAAATATACTGTGGACAAGAGGCTGGATACTGTCGATACTGGCAGTGAATGGCCTGATTTCATTCACCAGTTGCTAAATCTGAAAATATTCTTGGCCTTCCCCACTGTATGTGACCTCGGTTCATAATTGGGATCCAAAGGTGACAAATATCTAGAATAACTTTGTCTCAGAAATAGTATCACTTAACTGGGGTTTACCATAGTAGAGCCAGGTATTACCTATCTTTCTTTACAACTTTAAGGAAGTAATTTTACTTCTGAGTTCCAGATTTTTCACTTGTTAAACAGTAGTCTTCCCTTCCTATTCTATGGCATTATTAGGAGGAGAAAATGAGATATGAATGCTTTTGAGAAAGTTAAGCAGTATAGCAAGATGAAGATATTTTCAAGCCCTTATCATCCATATGCTCTACTACCTACCAAAGATCCAGTTCATACTTTTGTTTATAGTAATTGGAACTTTTAAAACTCTAGGGTATAGTTAGTGGCTTGCAGCAAGAGCCCCTCAGTTCTCTTATTTTTTTCTCGTTGGTCTTAGGACCAGAGTCTGCAGGATTATAATGACAACGCTGAACTTTCCAGTTCATCCTTGCCTGAATTGTTAGTGGAGGCTCATTTTATGTAGTGTAATCAACTTTATAAATTCTGGACTTGAACATGAATGTATGTACCTGTACTTAATTCACATTTATCTGTGGTTTTAATGTATATTAGTGGCCTTGTTGGTTTTGGTGTTTTAAGTCTGTAGTTAACCTTTCTTTATTATTCATTGTATATGTGAGATAATATAATCAAGGATTCCTTTTGCACAAATAATTTAGATGGCTATGGGTATTGTGATGTAAAGATTTTACCAGTTGTCATATTGGCTTTTAAAAAAATCAGATATATTTTTGAAATCTATTACTGTTTCTAAATGTTTGGTATTTACCATTTTGAAAATACTTGATATATTATATTTAACAGTGTCATTTACAATTTTTTTTTGAGACAGAATCTCACTTTCTTGCCCAGGCGGGAATGCAGTGGTGCGATCTCGGCTCACTGCAACCTCTGCCTCCTGGGTTCAAGCAATTCTCATGCTTCAGCCACCCAAGTAGCTGGGATTACAGCTGTGTGCCAACGTGCCTGGCTAATTTTTGTGTTTTTTGGTAGAGATGGTGTTTCACCACGTTGGCCAGGCTGGTATGGAACTCCTGACCTCAAGTGATCTGCCTGCCTCAGCCTACCAGAGTGGAGTGCTGGGATTACAGGCATGAACCACCATGCCCAACCTCATTTACAATTTTTAAAAAAATCTTAAGATCTGTATTTTTTATAGTTTATAAAAGTTTTTTTGTGATCACAAAAATACATGCTTTTGGTAGAAACACAAACATACAAAGATGTTCTATAAAACTGACTTTTTATCGTACATTTTAAGATATTTAAAAATATTTTCTGTAATTTCATGAAGAGTACTAAAGCCACAGTCACTGACATTGTAAACACCTCTGTTCATTCTCTAACCTGTTAGGTGGTTAAGCTATTTTTAATTCTAGGGGGCTCAGGCTGAACTTGAGGTTGGGGAGGAGAATTTGCCTCTGCTTTTAGTTGCAATTTTCAAGTGAGGTGAAATTAAGTAAAATTTGTAAGAGCTTTTTTGGCTTTTTAATTCTAGATAAATACATAAATAAATTTGGGTCTCTGTAATAGAATATGTGCTTTTATAGGATAGTGATATTTGCTTGATAAATGGAGGATTTACTTACTAGTGTGTGTATTGATAAATACAGACTTTGATTAGTTTATTCAAGAGAGATTTTTAAGTCCCTACTTTATGCCATACCTTGAAAAGTTTTAGAGTTCCAGTGATGAGCAAAATGTTTACTTTCAATTGTAATTCAAAATGCAAATTCCACTTGTTTACATGGAGTTATTAGATTGTAAATTTCTAGAAAATTGTTTGATTCTGCCTTTAAAAAAAAAGAAAGATGGAGCCTCTCAAGAGTGCAGTGGTACAATCACAGCTCTCGTACTTCACTGTATCACGGTAGCGTTTGAACTCCTGGGCCCAGGATATCTTCACACTTCAGCCTCCCAGGTAGTTGGGACTACATGCTCTCACCGCTATGCCTGGCTTAATATTTTCATTGTTTTAGAGATTGTGTCTGTGTATGGGGATCTCGTTATGTTGCCCAGGCTGGTCTTGAACTCCCAGCCTCAAGGGATGTTCCTGTCTCAGCCTCCCCAGTATTAATAGCTTGATTTTCCTTTTTTTTTTTTTGAGACAGAGTCTCACTCTGTCACCGAGGCTGGAGTGCAGTGGCGCAATCTTTGCTCACTGCAACCTCAGCTTCCAGAGTAGCTGGGATCTCAGGTGTGCACCACCACACCTGGCTAATTTTTTTTCTTTTTTGAGATGGAGTCTCGCTCTGTCCCCCGGGCTGGAGCGCGGTAGCACGATCTCGGCTCACTGCAAGCTCCGCCTCCCGAGTTCACGTCATTCTCCTGCCTCAGCCTCCTGAGTAGCTGGGACTACAGGCACCCGCCATCACGCCCGGCTAATTTTTTGTATTTTTAGTAGAGACGGGGTTTCACCGTGTTAGACAGGATGGTCTCCATCTCCTGACCTCGTGATCCACCCGCCTCAGCCTCCCAAAGTGCTGGGATTACAGGTGTGAGCCACCATGCCTGGCCAATTTTTGTATTTTTAGTAGAGATGGGGATTTCTCCATGCTGGCCAGGCGGGTCTTGAATTCCTGACCTCAGGTGATCTGCCTGCCTTGACCTCCCAAAGTGTTGGGATTACAGGCGTGAGCCACTGCGCCTGGCCAATTTTTGTATTTTTAGTAGAGATGGGGGTTTCTCCATGCTGGCCAGGAGGGTCTCGAATTCCTGACCTCAGGTGATCTGCCTGCCTTGGCCTCCCAAAGTGCTGGGATTACAGGCATGAGCCACTGTGCCTGACTGACTGTACTTTTAATATATCTTTTACACAGAAGATTCAGGTTTAATCATCAGTGTATGAAAGTAAGAGAGTAGGATTGTTGGAATATGAATATTCTTGGTTACGTTATTTTTCCTAGTTTTTTTTTTTTTTTTTGAGACGGAGTCTAACTGTGTTACCCAGGCTGGAATGCAGTGGCACGATCTCGGCTCACTGCAAGCTCTGCCTCCCAGGTTCATGCCGTTCTCCTGCCACAGTCTCCCAAGTAGCTGGGACTATAGGCACCCGCCACCATGCCTGGCTAATTTTTTGTATTTTTAGTAGAGATGGGGTTTCATCGTGTTTGCCAGGATGGTCTCGATCTCCTGACCTCATGATCCGCCCACCTCGGCCTCCCAGAGTGCTGGGATTACAGGCGTGAGCCACCGCACCCAGCCTATTTTTCCTAGTTTTAACAACTTCTCCATTTTTGTAACCTTGTAGCTTGTATGAATGTTCAAACATTTTTTTGCCCCTAAAACTTTTTTGACCTTTTTGAGGAGCTAAACTTTTAGAATAAGCTAAACTCAGCCTGTTAGTCCTCACTTCTAAACCCCATGCAGTCTGGCATTTGAAGTCAGTGCTCGTATGTGACGTTTGAATTGTTATATTCAATAAACAGTTTTTATTACTCATTTTACTTAACCCGTCTGGTACATCTGGTATACTACTACTTAGTTGTATTTTCTCATTTTTTTGGTAATATTTTACTCTCTGGGTTATCCTTGTATTTCTCTGGTGACTTCTTTTCCTCAGGATACTTTTATAAAAAAGCATTTTAAATTTTGTATTTAAAACATTTTTAAAACATGGCAATACAAGATCTTGCCATGTTGCCCAGACTAGTTTTCTAACTTCTGGCCTCAAGCAATCCTCCCACTTCAGCCTCCCAAAGTGCTGGGATTATAGGTGACAGCCACTGTGCTTAGCCCCTCTGGAGTTGTTTGTCCATCATTCAAATAAGAGTTTTCCAGAGATTCCTATACTTACCTTTCATGAACCATTAACTGGTGGGGTGGAGATAGTGTACTGACAAGATTGCCAACGTTTCATTTTAGAAAGTAAGAATGTTTTAAACTGTGACCACCATCATTGCATAAAAGATACTTACATTTAAGAATATAAGAAGGATATGCCCTCAAAATACAGAGTGGTCTTTTAAGTTAACTAACTTAATTAAATACTGAATACATTGTTCTTGCTTTTCTTACTTTGCTGTAGATCAGTACTGGTTTATGGACTTGAGTTGAGAACCACTGCCTTATTAAAACAATTGTTTCTTGAGCTGTTTTAAGGAAAGGGAGTGTGGAGTTTCTGTTGTCTCATGTCAGAGAAAACTATATATAAAGTATTTCTTAACATATTAAAATCTCCAAGAAGTCCTTTTGTGAAAAAGCCCCACAGTTTACCTGGTTACTGGGATGTCGTCTTCTACTTTTTCTTTGGTAATTTTTTCCCCACCTTTTTTCTGTTTTCATGTGCTGGATGTCTTAGATGAGCCTTTGGTTGTCTTAATCTGTTTTCTCTTATTATATATGTTTGGTTTTTCTTCTCTTGAAATTTTTATTTTGGCTATAATTTTATTTCTTAGAGCTCCTTATTATTTCATGGATGTAATATTTTCTCATATCTCTGAGGATATTAATTGGTTATTGAAACAGTTTTTTCACATACCAACTATTAACATTCTTTAGAACTAGTATTCAGAAAATATCCTTTTGAAACACTACCATAGATGTTGATGTTACCAAGGGTTTGTCTTCACTGCTTTTGGTTTGTCTTCACTGCTTTTATCATTTTCTATCTTTTAAAAAGTAAATTTGGAATATTTAATGGCATGCTACTTGCTAAAAGTTTAAAAATCAGATAATTTTGAAATTAAAAGGCTTTTTTACCAAAACAATGTAGTTTCTTTTCTGTTCCCTCCGCCCCTTCCCACTCCTTAGAGGCAATAACTTTTAACCCTTAGCTAATTCTTTATATCTCTAAATAAAATAGCACTGCATTTAGATTCATCAATTTTATATATTTTTTATAATGTTAGATGAGAATGAATGAGGAGAGGAATAAGGGGGTAAGCTTTCTCTATAAATATATTCTCTGTAACATAATGTTAGATGAAACATAATGTTATAGAGAAAGCTTTCTCTATAAACATGTTAGATGAGAAAGAAATTCATTGCTTCTCTCCTCATTCTTTCAGTATAGTTATATAAAACATTTTAAACTGTTTTCATTTGTGAGTATATAAAAATTGTTTACATATGAAGAACCACGTAGAATATGGTACCACAAAGTAGTGGTGAGGGTTAGTTAATGCTTGTAAAGAATTTAGAGGCCGGGTGCGATGGCTCACACCTGTAATCCCAGCACTTTGGGAGGCCAAGGCGGGCAAATCACGAGGTTAGGAGATCGAGATCATCCTGGTTTGCACGGTGAAATCCTGTCTCTACTAAAAATACAAAAAATTAGCCAGGCGTGGTGGCACATACCTGTAATCCCAGCTACTTGGGAGGCTGAGGCAGGAGAATCGCTTGAACCCGGGAGGCAGAGGTTGCAGTGAGCTGAGATCACACCACTGCACTCCAGTGTGGGCGACAGAGTGAGACTCTGTCTCAAAAAAAAAAAAAATTTAAAATAGTGTCAAATACTTGTTAGCTGTTATTTCTAGATTTACATTTTTTTCTTATACAACTATGTTTAAAAATTGCCTCATTAAAAAACAAAATTTGCCTAGTTTTCTTTGAACATTAAAATCTTCATACATCTTCAGTTCCACAAAATGTCTCACAGTGCACTTTTCCACAATGTCAATCTGTCATCTAATTTATCAGTGCCATTTATTTTTCTTAGAGATATCCTCCTGGAGTTCTTCTGGAGTTCTGCTCTAATTTGGACTGGTTCTCTAGACCTGCTGCATGGAAGTTGTCTTGGGGCTTTCCTTTACCACCATCCTGGGAATTCCTTTCTCTTCCCTTCTGTGTGACATACCTTGCATTCCGTGCCTGCCTTTTATTTGGTTTACTCCCTCTGTTTAGTTTTATTAAGCTCAAATAAAGTGTGCTTGGGGGATAAATCTTTAAATACTTTATATGGCTGAAAATGTTCTAATTTTCATACACATACACTCTTTTTTTAAAAAAATACATTTTAGAGATAGGGTCTCTCTGTGTTGCCCAGGGTGGAGTGTAGTGGCTATTCACAGGCATGATCATAGTACACTACAGCCCTGAACTAGGCTCAAGCGATCCTCCTGCCTCAGCCTCTGGAGTAGCTGGGACTACAGGAGTGTGCCACTGTAGCCCAGCTTTACTTACTCTTTTTAGTCCCTTGATTGATAATTTGACTGGTTATAAGGTTGATTTTCACCCAGAATTTATTTTTCACTCAGATTTTTAAGTGAATAGTTCCACTGTCTTCTGACTTGTAATATTGCTATAATGATTATTATTCTCAGTCCCTTGTTAGTTGCCCTTTTATCTCTTTGTAAACGTAGTATCTTTGTCCTTGATTTTCTTAGAACAGGTTTTTTTTGTTCAGTTTGCTGGACACTTGTGGCCTTTTCAATCTGGTTACTTCTTTCAGTACTGGGATGTTTTCTTTTACTTTGATAATTTTTTCTCCACTTTTTTTCTGTTTTCACATGTTGGATATTTCTGATTGGTCCTCTAATTTTCTTAATCTGTTTTCTCTTATTTTCTATCTTGGTTATATAAGGTGAAAACTTTTGTAATCACCCCAGGGTCAAAAGTAGAACATTGCCAGCTAACCCAGAAACCCACATTGCAACCCTTTCATCCCCCAGATAATCTCCATCCTGACTTCTGTGGTGATTATTTTTTCTTTGTAGTCTTATTATTCAGATGTGCATTTTGAGGGTTGTAGTTTAATTTACTAGTTTTAAAATATATGTTTTAAGATTTTTTTTCAATTACAGGTTCTATCTTAGATCTTGCCTCTTTTTTTCTGTGGAGTTTATTTGTGGGAGAAACCAGGTCATTTGTCATGTGCATTTCCTAACCTGTATTTTGCTGTTGCATCCCCACTGTGTAGTTGAGCATATTTCTCTGCATTTACTAGATCTAGAGGCTTACCAGGTTCAGGTTTGCCTTTTTGGGGGGTGGGGTGGGCAAGACTATTTCACATGTGCTGTGGGTTCTCCCATCAGGAAGCATGTAATGTTTCTCTTGCTGTGCTCTTAGCAGCTACTGATGCTCAGTGCATAGATCTATTTATTCATTAGGTGTTGCAAAATGGTGATTTAAAACATTTTCTTTTTCATTTATTGGCTTGAATATATTTATAGAGAAAGTTTACCTCTATTTTCAGCTGGCACCTTACCTGTTCCCCTCTCTGTGCCTTGTATTTCCCTTGATTCAATTCCTTGAAAGAATAAACGTTCCATATTCTGATGGGATGTACAGGATAGGAGATGTGACTCGGGGGTTCCAAGTGTCTTTTTTTTCAGACATGGTCTTGCTCTGTTACCCAGGCTGGAATACAGTGGCTGGATTATATAGCTCACTGCCATTATAGCTCACTGCTGCCTCAAACTCCTGGGCTCAAGTGATCCTCCCACTTATGTGTTCTGAGTAGCTGGGAAGCTGGGACTACAGGCACATGCCACCATGCCTGAGTAATTAAAAAAATTTTTTTTGTAGTGGTGGGGTCTCCTTATATTGACCAGGCTGGTTGCGAACTTCTTGCCTCAAGTGATCCTCACCTGGCTTCCAAGTGTCCTTTTATACCAACTTCTACATATTTCTTCATTCTTTTTATTTTATTTTATTTTTGAGATGGAGTTTAGCTCTTGTCGCCGAAGCTGGAGTGCAATGGTGCAATCTTGGCTCACTGCAACCTCCGCCTCCTGGGTTCAAGCGATTCTCCTGCCTCAGCCTCCCAGGTAGCTGGCATTACAGGAGTCCGCCACTACATCCAGCTGATTTTTGTATTTTTAGTAGAGACGGGATTTCACCATGTTGGCCAGGATGGTCTCGAACTCCTGACCTCAGTGATCCGCCCACATTGGCCTCCCAAAGTACTGACTGGGATTGCAGGCGTGAGCCACCCTGCCTGGCTATTTCTCTGTTCTTTTTTTTTTTTTTTTTTGAGATGGAGTCTCGCTCTGTCACCCAGGCTGGAGTGCAGTGGTGTGATCTCAGCTCAGTGCAACCTCCACCTCCCAAGTTTAAACGATTCTTCTGCCTCAGCCTCCTGAATAGCTGGGACTACAGGTGCATGCCACCACACCCAGCTAATTCTTGTATTTTTAGTAGAGATGGGGTTTCACCATATTGGTCAGGCTGGTCTCAAACTCCTGACCTTGTGATCCGCCCACCTTGACCTCCCAAAGTGCTGGGATTGCAGGCGTGAGCCCCTGCACCCGGTCTATTTCTCCATTCTTAATGCTCCCACTTGACCTCTGTCTTTTGAGTCTTGTGTCAACAGTTCTTTAGTCTTTTGAGGTTCTGTAGAGCAAAGGATTTGCTTCTCATTCCTCATTGTTCTTTCAGCTGACACTTATGTTTAATTTTCTTCCTTATTTTACAAGTGTTCATTCTTCCATCTGCCTTCCATCTTCATATATTGTGATTTAGAATTTCACATGTAACATGAACGTGGAACATCATGTATTGTTGAAGATGGAGTGTGTTTTAATTTTTTCTTTTCTCTTTGTTTTGTCATGAAAAGGAACAAATAAATCTTTACTCTCCTATCTTAATACAGCAAAGTCCTACTCTTCTCATTTTCACTTCTCATTTCTATCCAGGGCCCCAAATACGTATTATTAATATGTTACAACTTCCAAGTCTTCACTTCCAAACCAGATTTTCTGAGCTGTGGATCTTAATAGCCAGCTGCTTCCTAGACGTCATGAATAATATTTCCCAAATGTTTTCCAATTTTATTAGTTTTTTCAGAGGACCAGCTTTTGGTGCCATTTGTTCTGTCATATGCTTTTTTTTTTCTGTGTTAATTTCTGTTCTTTTATTTTTCTACTTTTTGGGGGCTTATTTTCTTTTTTCTTCCTTCAACATGAGATAGCTACTCAATTCATTAACTTTTTTTTTCTTTTCTATTATATGTATTTCGAGACGTATCTCTCCAACTACTGCTTTAGCTGCATCCCACAAGTTTTTAATATGTGCTTTTTGTTGTTCAACTTCAAATACTTATTTCTGTTATGATTTCTTCTTTGGCCCATGGATTATTTAAAAGTGTATATTTTCTTTTTTTCTTTTTCTTTTTTTTTTTTTTTTTTTGGAGACAGGGTCTAGTTCAGCTTCCCAGGCTAGAGTGCAGTGGTGTGATCATGGCTCACTGCAGCCTTAATCTCCTGGGCTCAACTGATCCTCCTGCCTCAGCCTCCTGAGTAGTCGGGCCTGCAGACATGCACCACCATGCCTGGCTAATTTTTAATTTTTTGTAGAGATGCGGTTTTACCATGTTGCCTAGGCTGGTCTCAAACTCCTGAGCTCAAATGATCTGCCCACCTTGGCCTCCCAAGGTGCTGGGATTACAGGCCTGAGCCACTGCGCCTGGCCTAAAAGTATATGTCTTGATTTCCAAACTTTTAAGTTACCTTTTTATTGATTTTGGAGTCTTACGGCATTGTAGTCATGAAATATATGCTGTATGATTTTATAGCTTAAAATTTGTTGAGACTTGCTTTATAGATCAGTATATGGTCAGTTTTTGTAAATATTTTGCCTAGCAGACATCCTTTCTTGGATGAAAGAGATAATTTAAACTTGTTACTACTTTCCTTCTAATTTCCCCCATACCATCTTCCCAGTTTCCCAAGTTAAAAACTTGGGAGTTGTTCTGAATTTCTCCTTTGCTCTCAATACCACATAAAGTTAATTCTTAATGTCTGTCTGTTTTACTTTTAAATTATTTATTGTTATAAGAGTGATGCCATGATTATTTTAAAAAACTTGGAAAATATAAAGTATGAAAACTAGGTTACTTAAAACCCTAGTATCCAGGGATGTTTTAAAATTCCAATTTCTTCGTGGCCTGATTTCAGGTTTTTCCTTTCTTTTTTTTTGAGATGGAGTCTCACTCTGTCGCCCAGGCAGGAGTGTAGCGGTGCGATCTCAGCTCACTGCAACCTCCACCTCCCGGGTTCGAGCAGTTCTCGCGCCTCAGCCTCCTGAGTAGCTGGGGTTACAGGTGCATGCCACCATGCTCAGTTATTTTTTGTATTTTTAGTAGAGACGGGGTTTCACCTTGTTGGCCGGGCTGGTCGCGAGCTCCTGACCTTAAATGATCTGCCCGCCTCAGCCTCCCACAGTGCTGGGATTACAGGCATGAGCCACCATGCCTGGGCCTTTTTTTATTAATAGATTATTGCAGATTTATTTGGGTTCCCATCTTTTTCTCTCTTTTGCATAGTGTTTGTTTATTCAGCCAGTATTGAGAATCGATGTGTGCCAGGTACAGGGGATATATAAGAGTAAATAAGACAAAGAGGCAATGTCTCTACTCTTATAGCTTGGTCTTTTTTTGTTTGTTTAGTGTTATTTATGCCACTTTCTCTCTAATTTGAGCTGCAGTTATACTGCAGTTTTGTTCCTAGAAAAGTGTGTGTTGTCTCATGACTTTGTGCCTTTACATATGTTCCCTAGGCTTATGAAGTCCTCTCTAAGGTTCATCTCTGAAACTACTACTCATCCTTTAAGTCTGTAGTTAAAAGCTAAGTCTTGATGAAGTTTTGTCTGTCCCTGCCTTTTGCTTCTGGACAGATTAGATATTTTTCTTCTTGTGTTTATTCATTATAGGAATTACACTGCATATAGTTTTTTTGGTGTGCACACGTGTTTCTCTACAAAGGCTATGTTCCTTGGTGGTATGTACTGTATCTTTCCACATTTGTCTCTCTTAACACCTGGCATGGTACCTGGCATATAGCAGGCATTGTATATTTGTTGAATGACCAGAGCCATTGAGTTTAAATACAATAATCATGTTTTCCTTAACTCTCATTGGACTTTTATTATAAAATGATTGGGGTATGGATGTTTTGGTTGGTTAAAATGTTCTGTTTAATTAAAGTATACTCTGAGATACCAGTTTTCAAATATAAGTTGTCAGTAGGTTAGGAGACAAATGTATATATGTTGGTTGTTTATAAGAAGGCTGAATTTTTGCATATGAACCATTACAAATAGGAATTGGGATTCCAAGTCAGTTGGTCTGTAATTTGTAATATAGTTTATTTGTAGTATTTATGATACTTAATACCTACTGTAATGGTTTCAGAATTTTGACTTTGTTCTCCAATGAATGTGTTTCTTCTCAGTGTTGCCCAGTTGTAAAACTAGGGTATCTGCTGATTCTGAGCCACTAGTAGCAACCCCTGACCATGGGTTTCAGCAAGGTGAGGGATGAGAGGATGACATTTACAGATGGTGAGAGGGGGATGTTTGTCTATATTGTAAACAGATGGACACTACCCACCTATACCCAGTTGTCCAGCCGCTCAGGTAAAGAATGTAGAGAGGGTTTTTACATTGATAAGGTCCTGAAAAAGACCTCCATATTTTGGCAGAGTTTATCAGTCTAAGCGTTGCCTCCCTACCTGATCACACTAAGGCAAAGCTGAACTCTCTACAAATCCTGCATCATGTGTGAAGAGATCCCATGTGGATTTATATAACCTCAATCTTAACTGTCACTGGACAACTAAGGGCCACTAAATAGCTGAGGAAAGCCTGCTGCATCAAAGGAGAGTCTAAAATAAACAGAAAAACAAATGAAAGGATTTACCAAGGGCTGGACAGTATGATTGAAAGAAGACCTTATGCCTAGACACATCATTATGAAATTTTAAGACATTAAGGATAAATGAAGATCCTAGAAACTTTCTGAGGAAAAAATGGTAACCTATAAAGGAGTAAAAGTCAGAGTGGCATCAGATTTTTCATTATGAATGCTGAGTGTGGTAGAGGAATAGTATCAAACTTCCGAGGGAAGTTTTCAACATTCAATATTTTCAACATTAAATTCTGTATCTGGGAAAGTATTGGTCAATTGTGAGGGTGGGATTGAAATAGATATGCAAGGTTTATACAGCCTTCTGTTGTAAGCCACTGCTCCAGCAAAAGAATATGGGATCTAGAAAGCAGAGTGATAAGGGGAACTTCCAAGATGACAAGAGCAAGGCTTAGAGGATAGTCATTCTAGATTGGCACAGGAACATGGAGAGCTTTAGAAGCAGGAGTTACATGTGGAAAAAAGATTTGAAATTATCATTGACAGTTTGAAACAGGAGGCAACAAAGGGATATATTAAGCAATTTTGGGAAAAATTGAAAGTGAATAAGAAAGGATATTTAATAAGGGCATACCACTTATCTTTGCATGACCAATATTTACACATTGTACAATAAGTAAAACTTACTGATTTAATGAAAATAGTTCAATAAGATTTGTAGAGGATGAGAGGTAGGAAATAGGAGTTGGCATAAGATGTGAATTATCAACTTCAATAGCAAGAAGTCAGATTTGAAGTTGATCAGTTTAAAAAGAGAAGTATAAACACATTATTTGTAAATACGAGGGTACCTTCAGAAGGCATAGTTGAAAGAGTTAAAAAAAACCCACTTGCCTCTGAGAGTAAGACTGGAATATTAGAAGTGGTGGAGTGAGGAACTATTGATTTTCACCTTAATTTTTTTCTATACTATTTGCTATTTTTATAAAAAAGCATATATGTGGCATTATGTTTGTTTGTTTGTTTGTTTGTTTGTTTTTGAGACAGAGTCTCACTCTGTCGCCCAGGCTGGAGTGCAGTGGCATGATCTCCGCTCACTGCAACCTCCGCCTCCCAGGTTCACGCCATTCTCCTGCCTCAGCCTCCTGAGTAGCTGGGACTACAGGCACCTGCCACCATGCCTGGCTAATTTTTTAGTATTTTTAGTAGAGACGGAGTTTCACTGTGTGTTAGCCAAGATGGTCTTGCTCTCCTGACCTCATGATCTGCCCGCCTCGGCCTCCCAAAGTGCTGGGATTACAGCCGTGAGCCACCACCCCCAGCTGTTTGTATTGTTTCTAAAACTAAGGAGTAGAGCTGGCCTTTAAGCTGCTTGCTTTATGCTTTCTGTCCTTTAGGTTCAACCCTGGTTCTCTTTGACATTCTACTTTCAGGGAAACCTTAACCAGAAAGAAGGCAACGAGTCTCAGGCTTCATTTTACATACCTGTCTCAAGAGATAAAAGAGAATTCCTTCTTCATAGCTTTAATGCAGTGCCAAGCTTAAGCAGATTACCTGTTGCTTCCCTTATACCTGGGCCTTACTTTGGCCCTGTTTGGCCTCATGAATTTGACTATATCTGTATGAAAGTTTTCACCAAAAATAGCACTTTTCTTAGGTTATATTATATCCTTCACATGCTATTAACCCACATATTTACTACTTTTCCCAGGGAAGGGAAGAAATTGTGGGCATGGGAAAGATGGCAACTAAGAATTGAGATAGTTCTTTATTTAGTTCACTAGGAGAACAGATTGAGGAATGGATTGGGAAGAATTAATCCATTTTCCCTAAACCACACTATTTCTGAATTAAACATCCAGTTTTCAACTTCTTGAATCAGGGTCTTACTTATTCTGGGGTAGTAAACCAAGAAAGAGTTACTGGCTTGAACACTTGGTCTCAAGGGAAGAAACTTATTTGTCCAGGCAATCTCTTTCAAGATGTATATGACTAGCAGTGATCCAGTGGTAGTGACTATGAGCCCTCTCTCCCAATCTTTTTATTGAGTTAAAATACATGTAACAAAATTTACTATCTTAACCTTTTTTTTTTTTTTTTTTTTTTTTTTAAAAGGAGATAAGGTCTCACTCTGTTTCCCAGGCTGGAGTGCAGTGGTGTGATTCCAGCTCACTGCAGTCTCGAACTCCTGAGCTCAAGTGATCCTGCAGCTATGTGCCATCACACTTGGCAAATTTTTTAAAAATTTTCTGTAGGAATGTGGTCTTGCCATGTTGCTCAGGCTGGTTTTTTTTTTTTTTTTTTTTTTTTTTTTTGAGACAGGGTCTCCCTGTTACCCAGGCTGGAATGCAGTGGTGCAGTCACAGCTCACTGCAGCCTCGACCTCCCAGGCTCACGCAATTCTCCCATCTCAGCTTCCTAAGTAGCTGGGACTATAGGCACATCCCACTATGTCTGGCTGATTTCAAAGAAATATTTTGTAGAGCCTGGATCTTGTGTTGCTTAGGCTGGTCTTGAACTCCTGGCCTCAAGCACTCCTCCCGCCTTGGCCTCCCAAAGAGCTGAAGTTACAGGTGTGAGCCACAATGCCTGGCCCGTCTTAACCAATTTTCAGTGTACAGTTCACTGATATTAAATACATTGAGCCGTCTCCATAACACTTTTTTACCTTGTTAAACTGAAACTATATGCCCGTTGTATAACAACTACCTCTTTCTCCCTCCCCTCAATCCCTGGCTGCTTAATCAGGAGAGGCAGTTTGAATCTGAGATGAGGTGAGATGAGGGATATAGCTTTGTAGCTACTGACCAGAGTCAACTGAGTACCCAAAAGGAGTACTGATTCCCCAATCAAAAAGTCTGTTTCTCATGGCACTTTAGTATATGAACTCAGAAGAATGTTTGCAATATGTATAAGAAAGGGTTATAACATATAAGATGCTCTTGAAAATTATCATGACAGTGATTAACATTTCATTTAAAAATGGGCAAAGAACATCAACTGCAGTTTCCAGAAGACTTAGAAATTGTTAATAGGCTGGGCGTGGTGGCTCATGCTTATAATCCCAGCACTTTGGGAGGCCAAAGCGGAGGGATTACTTGAGCTCAGGAGTTTGAGACCTGCTCCCATTCCTACTAAAAATTATTTTTAAAAAATCAGGTGGGCGTGGTGGCATGGTGTGTGCCTGTAGTCCCAGCTGCTTGGGAGGCTGAAGTGGGAGGATCCCTTGAGCCCGGGAGATTGAGGCTGCAGTGACCCATGATTGCACCACTGCACTTCAGCCTGGGTGACAGAGAGAGACCCTGTCTCAAAAAAAAAATTGTTAACAAACCTATGAGAAACATGCTTTTTTACTACTACTAATAGAGTTGTAGATAGAAATAGAGTGTGTGTTGTCAAACAGCAAAAGAATGATAATTCTTCCCGTTGGTGAAGGTGTGGTGAGAGTGTGAGTTGGTACCTTTTGGGAGAATAATTTGATAATACCTATGATATTTAAAAATACACATATGAGGATGGGGGGATATGGGTATATAAATGAAATAATTTTAGCCATGAAATTTTATGGGCCAGGCACGGTGGCTCACGCCTGTAATCCCAGCACTTTGGAAGGCCGAGGCGGGCAAATCACGAGGTCAGGAGTTCAAGACCAGCCTGGCCAACATAGTGAAACCCTGTCTTTGCAAAAATATGAAAAAAATTAGCCGGGCATGGTGGTGGGCGCCTGTAGTCTCAGCTACTTGGGAGGCTGAGGCAGGAGAATTGCTTGAACCCGGGAGGCAGAGGTTGCAGTGAGCCAAGATCGCACCACTGCACTTCAGCCTGGGTGACACAGTGAGACTAGCTCAAAAAAAAAAAGGAAATTATAATTGAAACTGGGTGTCACTTGATGGTTCATTATACTTGTTTTGTCTACGTTTGTAATTTTCTATTATAAAAAGGAAAAATATACGTAGTATTTTATTATATATATATTAATTCTCTTTATTATTTATCCTATATAGTAGTTGGGAATGTAGAAGAATGAAGTTTATATTACTGCTTATGTTAAAACATTGGAAACATCCTAAATGTTCCTCCATTGGGTAATGGTTGGAAAGCAGTTTAGCAGCTGATGAAAAGATTATTTTATGTGCTTTTATTTTATATTTACGTAACAGATGGAAATTACATTGTTCAAGATACATTGTTATGTGAGAAAATTTATAGAATAATATATATAATGTCCTATATTTTATTAAAAACATTTATATGAATTATAAATATGTAGTACAAATAAGAATCAGGAGATTAACTTTTTTTATGGGAGGAGATTGCATGGAGCATTTTCATTTTTAACTATATGTTTCTATATTATTCTAACATCAGCATGTTTACCTTTGTAATCAGAAAGGAAGTAATAAATTCTAAAATTAGAAAAATTAATTTGACTTCTAATAAAGGTCACATTCTAGCAAAGAGGGAAGTAATCAGTGATAGTAATGGGGTGGGGGAAACTGCATAGAGGAAAACCCTTAGGGGAGGAAAATGTGCAACGATGTTTATCCTACTTACGTTTGAGTTGTGACATTATGGGTAATTTACTCTTTTCTTGCTTTGTTTTCTGTAAGATTTTTTTGGGCAGAGAAATTTTAAAAGAAGATACTGCTTTTACACGTTATTTATGTATGTATTTTTTGGTTTTTGTTACAGGTTGTCTAGGCTGGAGTGCAGTGGTGAAGTCATGGCTCACTGAAGCCTCTACCTCCTGGGCTCAAGTGATCCTCCCACCTCAGCCTCCTGAGTAGCTGAGACCACAGGCGTATGCCACTACACCCAGCTTTTTTTTTTTTTTTTTTGTAGAGACAAGGTCTCACTGTGTTGCCCAGGCTGGTCTCAAATTCCTAGGCTCAAGTGATCCTCCTGCCTCAGCCTCCCAAAGTGCTAGGATTACAGGTGTGAGCCACCATGCCTGGTACAAATGATCTCTCTATTAATGCAGTTTTATATAGGATTTATGTTTATGTGGGTAAAAGGTTGATGTGTATTTGTCTTAAATGTGAATGAAAGTAGAGTCTATTTTTTACTTAAAGCAAAACAGATGATTTGTGCTTAGAGACATTAGATTAAAAATGTACCCCGGGCGCTGTGGCTCAGGCCTGTAATCCCAGCACTTTGGGAGGCCGAGGCGGGTGGATCACAAGGTCAGGAGATCAAGACCATTCTGGCCAACATGGTGAAACCTTGTCTCTACTAAAAATACAAAAATTAGCTGGGCGTGGTGGCATGCACCTGTAATCCCAGCTATCCGGGAGGCTGAGGCACAAGAATTGCTTGAACCCAGGAGGTGGAGGTTGCAGTGAGCTGGGATCGTGCCACTGTACTCCAGCCTGGTGACAGAGCAAGACTCCATCTCAAAAAAAAAAAAAAAAAAGTAGATAAAGATGAAAAGTTAAACTCTTTAAATATTGGTTAGATAAAAAAATTAACTCCTTAAATATAGGCGTTTCTTGACTTGAACTATATAAATTCTGCATAATCTTTCTGCCGTTTATGTATCATGCCCTATGCAGAGATTGAGGATACAAGTGTGAATAAGAGACAGACATTCTCGGCCGGGCGCGGTGGCTCACGCCTGTAATCCCAGCACTTTGGGAGGCCGAGGCAGGCAGATCACGAGGTCAGGAGATCGAGACCAAGGTGAAACCCCGTCTCTACTAAAAATACAAAAAGTTAGCCGGGTGTAGTGGCGGGCGCCTGTAGTCCCAGCTACTCGGGAGGCTGAGGCAGGAGAATGGCGTGAACCTGGGAGGCGGAGCTTGCAGTGAGCCGAGATAGCGCCACTGCACTCCAGCCTGGGTGACAGAGCGAGACTCCGTCTCAAAAAAAAAAAAAAAAAAGAGACAGACATTCCCTGTTTGGGGGGAGGTTAGTGGGTTATATTGAAGTGGGCCGAAGACTGAAAAGGGGAGGAGACTATAGGAGTGGAGACATTAAGCGTGTATAACTTTACCCCGAGGTTTGCTTGCAAATGGGAGGAAAGAGTAGGAAGTGGTGGGAACGGAGCACAAAGAATCAAGAGAATTTAGTTATTCTACCCCCCATCCCCAAGATCCTTGCAAGTTTTTAAGCATAGTTGAATGCTAATGGGAGGGTGCCCAGAGAGAAGATTTATTGAATGCTGGCTCTGGTTTGTATCCTATAATAAACTTCATCAAGTTATAATCTGTTTTGCAGTTGTAGTTTCCTCATGTAAAAAGGGATCTGTAAAATCTCATCTGCAAAAATATCTCTAAAGCAGTGATCTGAGTATTAAATTACCTCTATATATCTACTGCCTGGCACAGTATGTGGCTCATAATAGGGACCCAAAAATGATTTGTGAATGAATATGTTGAATGTTGTTTGTGTGTGTGTGTGTTTTTTTTTTGAGACCAGAGTCTTGCTCTTTTCACCCAGGCTGGAGTGCAATGCTGCGGTCTCGGCTCACTGCAACCTCCACCTCCCGGGTTCAAGCAGTTCTCCTGCCTCAGCCTCCTGAGTAGCTGGGATTACAGGTGCCAGCCATCACGCCCGGCTAATTTTTGTATTTTAAGTAGAGACGTGGTTTGGCCATGTTGACCAGGCTGGTCTCAAACTCCTGACCTCGTGATCTGCCCGACCCGTTCTCCCAAAGTGCTGGAATTACAGGCGTGAGCCACCATGCCCGGCCATGAATGTGTTGAATGTTTAATGTAGGGTTAGGGACTTGGTAATCTCAGTAATTTTTTCCTGGAGGTTTGACTGTGAATGGAAGGGAAAAAATGAGGAGGTGGTGGGAAGGGGGCATAAGGAATCAAGGGTAACTATAATTAGGTTAGGTCTCATTTGAGACACAGCACACCAGAAATATTAGGAGAAGCAGGGCATAAACACTAGGAGATGGAAAAATAAAAAAATGTTTGATACCTTATGACCTAAGGATGTGCTATGCAGCAGGAGTAGTACAGTGGAGAGTAAGACAGAGACAGACCTTGCCATCCTGAAAGAAGGGGATAATTTATTGAAATAATAGCAAAGCATATGAAACTGGGAATGTTTGCAATTTTTATTTTTGTACAGTTTCTACTTTGGAATTCTAGGTCTTAACGCAGACCTGCCATGGCATTCTACTGAGGTCATTTTTCACCCATGATTGATTAATTGTTCAGGCTTTGGCTATTTTTTTTTTTTAACTGAAGGGATGCAAAATCCCTCAAGTGAACACTGAACTTAAAGCCTTTTTTTTTTTTTTTTGAGACAGACTTTTGCTTTTGTTGCCCAGGCTGGAGTGCAATGGTGCGATCTTAGCTCACTGCAACCTCCACCTCCTGGGTTCAAGACATTTTCCTGCCTCAGCCTGCCAGGTAGCTGGGATGACAGGCATACGCCACCACACCAGGCTAATTTTGTATTTTTAGTAGAGACGGGTTTTTTCTCCATGTTGGTCAGGCTGGTCTTGAACTCCCAGCCTCAGGTGATCTGCCCACCTCGGCCTCCCAAAGTGTTGGGATTACAGGCGTGAGCCACCGCATCCTGCCCCTTAAAGCTTTTTTCAAAGTTGATTGCTAATAGAGTTATTCCCATACTGTGAAGCCGTTAAATTGTTTCAAAATCTGGAGAAAGAGGATTCTTACCCTCTCCTTGAGCATCCCTGATGATAATTCATTGTGATTCTTCCTGCATTTTTACTTCTGTTCTCTTGCACTGATCTTGTCAAACATTTAAACTTTTTAACCCCTCTAATTATACTACCAAAAGTGCCTTCTCCTCACAGCTGACTATGGCACAGAAAAAACAATGTTAGATAAAATTGCTTTGTGCCTTAGCATGAATCAAGGCAGCGGCATCAAACTGTACTTGTATTCTTCATTGTGTACTAACGGTAAAAAATATAAACACACACACGTACCCCCAAACCTTATTTCACTTAAGAATGTTTTTTGTTTGTTTGTTTGTTTTTGAGATGTAGTTTTGCTCTGTTGCCTAGGCTGGAGTGCAGTGGTGTAATCTTGGCTCATTGCAACGTCCGCCTCCCAGGTTCAAGCGGTTCTCCTGCCTCAGCCTCCCGAGTAGCTGGGATTACAGGCACGCGCCACCATGCCTGGCTAATTTTGTATTTTTAGTAGAGATGGGGGGTTTTGCTATGTTGGCCAGGCTTGTCTTGAACTCCTGGCCTCAAATGATCCACCTGCCTCGGCCTTCCAAAATGCTGGAATTACAGGCATGAGCCACCGTGCTGGCCAGGTTTTTAATATGTGTGATAAAATAGAAATGGCATAAGGCACTTGTGCCATTGTTTGAGTTGCCAGCTGAACTAGCAGCTTTTTCATGGAACACCATTTTTACTTGAAACAGCCACTTAGTTCTGTATAAGGCAGGTATTTTCTTGAAGTGACAATCTACGTTTTATATTGACCTTAATTACCATTTTTTTTTTCGTTTGTTCTTGTGAATTCAAGTTAGCATCTTGTGTCTGTCCTTCCTTCCATTTTTCTCTTTTCTTTTCTTCTTTTCTTTTGACAGGTTCTCTCTCTGTTGCTCAGGCTGGAGTGCAGTGGCACAATCACAGCTCACTGCAGTCTCGACCTCCTGGCCTCATATAGTCCTCCCACCCCAGACTCCTGAGTAGCTGGGACCACAGGCACGTGCCACAATGCCCGGCTAATTTTTATTTTTTAATTTTTTTAGAGACATTCTCCCTTTGTTGCCCAGGCTACTCTTGAATTCGGGGTCCTCCTGCCTCAGCCTCCCAAAGTGCTGGGATTACAGGCGTCAGCCATGCTGCACCTGGCCTGTGTCATTTCTTTGAAACAGTTGAAACAGTTTTGCTCCTACATACTTCCTTTATGCTATTATTGCCAAATATATTACATTTCTATATATTATGGGTCTAACAATACAATTATGTACATATTGTTTTATATACTTGCTTTGGAGGGAATATGCATTTATGCTGTCTTTTATAATTACTTTTGTTGGTATTCTTTGTGTGTGTGTGTGTGTATGTGTATGTACATGTATTTGAATTTCCTTCTGGGTTTACTTACTTTCAATCGTAGTAGTATTCATTGTAAGATGTCTCTGCTAATAACAAATTCAGTTTTTGTTTATCTGGGAGTTTGTATTTCACCTTCATTTTTGAAAGACAGTTTTGCTGGATATAAGATTCTCTGGTGACAGCACCCACTCCCTGCAGCCTGCTTACTTTGAATATGTCATCTCACTGCCTTCTGGCCTTTATTGTTTCTGATGAGAAGTCAACTGTTAATCTTATTGGGGTTTCCCTGTACGTGATATATTGTGTTTCTCTTGTTGCTTTCAAGATTTTTTTTTTTTTTTTTTTTGCCTTTCAGCATTTTTACTATGATGTGGCTGGGTGTAGATCTCTTTGCATTTATCCTACTTGGAATTTGTTGAGCTGCTTGGATGTGTAGATAATGTTTTTCAGCAAATTTGGGAAGGTACCAGTTATTTCTTTGGATATCTCTAAAATGTATTTCTTTCAAACTGAAACACTCCGTACCCATTAAACACTAACTCCCTATTCCCCATTCTTCCTAGCCGTTGGCCGCCATTCTGTTTTCCATCTCTATGACTTTGAGTGTCTAGGCACCTCATATAAGTGGAATAGTTGTCCATTTTGTCTGGCTTATTTCACTTAGCATAATGTCTTCAAGGTTCATCCGTGTTTGAGCATGTGACAGGGTTTCCCAGAATTTCTGTATTTTTAGATATTGAAGTTAGATATTCCTAATACTTAGGAACTTTTTGAAACTTTTTTCTTTAATTTCCCTGCTCATTTTATTTTTACTAAACTTTTATGCTGTTTTTAGAATTATTATCTAGTTTTACATGTCACTGTATGTTTAATTAGTGAAAAATCTAATTTGGAAAAGTGAAACCAAACACTGCTTTGTTACCTTTAAGAAAGCTGATGGTGGTATGCTTTGCTGTTTATGGAATGTCTGATACATAAGTTATAATGTAATTTCACAGTATTTAATATATATTTTTTTCCTTTAAGTACTCTTATAGTGTACTTTCCTTTTTTTTTGTTTTTTTGTTTTTTGAGACAGAGTCTTGCTCTGTTGCCCAGGCTGGAGTGCAGTGGCATGATCTCAGCTCACTGCAACCTCCGCCTCCTGGGTTCAAATGATTCTCCTGCCTCAGCCTCCCCAGTAGCTGGCATCACAGGTGTGTACCACCACGCCCGGCTAATCTTTGTATTTTTTAGTAGACACAGGGTTTCACCATGTTGGCCAGGCTGGTCTTGAACTCCTGGCCTCAGGTGATCCACCCGCCTCAGCCTCCCAAAGAGCTGGGATTACAGGCATGAGCCACCGCACCTGGCCTTATAGTGTACTATTTGTCTATAATGTAATGAAATTGCTGGTTCTCAATGTTTTTTTTTTTAAACTCTCAGTCTGCATATTTGCTCAATTCAGTGGTGATTCCCTGTAAGGAGAAGGTCATGACTGCCCTTCCTTTGAGTGTGAAGAGTGTGAATAACACCAGCTGTCCCTTGAAGTCACTGGTTAATGTGTCTTAACTGCATGTGGCATAATCAAGAGATTAAAATGTAATTCACTTTTATTCTTTACCTAAACCCAGTCATGAGATTCAAGACATTATTTGCTCATGATCATGGCCTGCATACCTCAACATAAAGCTGTTATTTTGATGGCAGCTGCCTTGAATGTGTTATCTTGGAGTGTTTGCTGAGTCTTGGCCTCACTTAGAGTAGGCAATGAATGGATATTGAGAATTGTTATCATTTTGTTTTAAACTGCTTTGTTTGGAGAGTATTTATGATTTGAGGTACTTTTTATATTTTTGTCTTAAGGTTTTTAACAAATTTAAAACTTTGATTAACATATAAAATATCCCACTGGTATAAAATAAGCTCTACAAGTAAGTCTTATGTATGGTCTTTTATTCTCTAAACAGAGACTCTACAGGGGCAGGTAATTCACTGGTCCACAAGCGGTCTCCTTTACGTCGAAACCAAAAGACCCCAACATCCTTGACCAAGCTGTCTTTACAGGATGGACATAAAGCCAAAAAGCCAGCATGTAAATTTGAAGAGGGTCAGGATGTCCTAGCTAGATGGTCAGATGGCTTGTTTTATCTTGGCACTATCAAAAAGGCAAGTTACTTTAATGTATCTTTTGCTGTTTTTGCAGTAAGCATTTAATAATCTTAAATTTAACTTCATGTTTTTAATTTTAAGAGATCACCGTTAAGTATTTCTCTGTATTGCAGATAAACATATTGAAACAGAGCTGCTTCATCATATTTGAAGACAGTTCTAAATCCTGGGTTCTCTGGAAGGACATTCAAACAGGCAGGTGCTACTATTTCTCTTGAACATGATTTAAATTAAAATTTGATTTTCTTCAACTTGTCATATTATGATGTTGTCTGTTGAATACAGTGTATTTAGATAACTCAGTATTACTTCCTAGGAGAGGTTAAAAAATCAGCATAGTCGTTATTATAGACCATAAGAAGAACAAGAATACTCTAGAGGACAGATGCATCACTAATTTATACCTGTAAGCTATGTTAAGACCCTTCTAAGAACTTTGAAGAAAAATCTTTAGTAACTAATCTCAGTAACGGTTTGGGATTCAATTCAACTGTTGCTTGCTTATATTTGTAGAAAGCAAGTGTTTATTGGGAGCATACTGTTTGTCAGATGATTTGGGAAATTAGGACATATAAAACTGATTTAGAATAATAGAAATATTCGTTAATAAGAATGGTTTAAAATTACCATTTAGTTATGGGTTTTTTATGTTTAAATGGGAAAATGAGGCTATATTTGTGTGCCAATAAAAATGAATGAAAGTATGCCTTGGTTTGGTTATAGGTATGCTTCTTGTGATGATTTCTATTATTAGAAACCATGATTGTTTCATGCTTTTAGCATCTGCTAAATATAGATGTTTTACCAGGTACCTCTTTCATGCAAAGTACTTTTAAAAATTACAATCTCTACTAAAAGCCTGAGTATTTTAGCTGTTCATTAAAGCCCTACTTTTGGTTTTCCTTTTGCTGGGTTAATAGGCCTACACTAAGACCCGTGTTTTGTGTATTCTCATAGAAAAGAGATAAATTTTCTCCCTAAAGGGTAGACACCTTGCCAAAGTATTTAACAATTGGGTTTTATATTTGAATACCAAGTTCAATTTTATGGTAGGTTTCTGCCATGTTTTAGTTCTTGACTTTACTCTTAATGTTTCTTAAAGAATAAAAAAAGTTTTGGTAAAGGAATTGGAATGTTCTAATTACCATCTGTATAGTTGGTACTCAGGGCTTAGGTGGGGAACTAAGTAGCTTTTACTCTGGTAAAATGTTTTTCTGGAGAAACTTTTTATGGTTCCTGGACTGATAAGTTTAAAGGACTAAAATTACATTTTGAATCTGAAATTGAGGAGCCAGAGAAAAGTGTGACTCATAAGATTTAAAGGGATAGGAGATCTCCAACACTACTAATATTGAGCAGATCTTACTACCCTGCACACAAAATTATTCTTTTTTCCTTATTTTGTAAACATAGGTCTCTCTGTAATAGCAGTGAAACATGTTATGCTGCTTTTTACTCCCCTTCCATTAGCTATGTGTTTCTTTCAGCTTTTGAAGATCTTTTGGAGTTTCCTGTGGATTTAATGTAATAGGTCTGTCTGTCCTTTTGTCTACTTCCTCCTTTCTACTTCTCCTCTGCTTTTAAAAGTGGTAGAAAAGAAGAAAACCAATGTTACATAGAGATAGAAAGTTGTTGTGTGAGGGGTTCTATAAGTCCTGCACTCAGTATGTCAGTTTAATGTTCTGTGGTTGTTCTTTCTTCACTGGTTCCTTTTGCTGTTCTTGGAATTACAAAGGATTGCTCCTGGTCATTTAACTCTTCTTAGCACCCTGATATTAGCACATATGAAACTTATAGTTGCTATAAAAATGAATAAATGAATCTGAAACCTGCGTTATGGCATATTTCAGTGAGGAGTGGGTTTAGTAGTTTTCTTCCCTGTAAGAAATCTGCCAATAATGTATATCAAAACTTAATAAATTATATTTGTCTAATGAGTTTCTTTTAAAAATTTTACATAAAGAAAAATATTAGTAGTCAACAGGGTGAAATATATCATGTTACAACTATTACATAAATGTAAGAGGGTTTTGAATCTTAGCATCTAATGCTGTTTTGGTTTCTGTGAAATGATATACTCTTGCATTGCTGGTGGCAGTGTAAATTTCTATTTTGGTGGTTTAGCATTTGCATTAAATGCAGAAGTTTATAATTATCTAATAGACTCCTTTCTAGCAGTTTATTCATAAGAAGTAATTCAAAAAATACTAGGTGAAAAATGTTTCCTGAAGTTTATTTTAACAACAACAAAAAATTTGGTATTTCTAAGATGAAATGGCCAAGGCTTTCTAGTCAATTGGATTTAGAGTAAAGGAGACTATAGAAGATTACTAAGCTATATAGGAAGGTTCTTGTAAACTTGATGGTAAAAAATATATACATATATGTTTGATTTCACAAGTAAAAGTTAATTCCCAGCTTTCTCAGGATTGTTTCTTGGGTCACTACCCCCTTTTCTGAGGAATTGCCTTCCCCATCATTAGTCCAGGTAGTTACAGTGAGAGTCAGGTCAGGCACCTCCCCTCGCGGGGCTGTTGTTCCATTTCCAGGGAATTGTAAATTTTCACAGAGAGTTCCCAGGCTTAATCTGGTTGCTCTCATGATCGGAACCATAAACCCAGAAGCTATGGGAGACCACCTTCAACGAAGTGTACCAAGAAGCAAACAGCTGGGCGCAGTGCCTTATGTCTGCAATCCCAGTGCTTTGGGAGGCCCAGGCAGGAGGATTGCTTGAGCCCAGGAATTTGAGACCAGCTTGGGCAACACAGGGAGATCCTGTCGCTACAAAAAAAAAAAAAAAAATAGGCATGGTGACACACACGCCTGTGGTTCCAGTTACTTGGGAGGCTGAGGTGGGAGCATTGCTTGGGCTTGGGAAGTCAAGGCTGCAGTGAGCTGTGGCTGTGCCACTGCACTCCAGCCTGGATGACACAGCAAGACCCTATCTGAGGGGAAAAATAAAAGGAAGCAAACAAAGCAGAAGAGAGAGGATGAGAGACCAGAACAAACAAATAAATAGCAGAAATACAAAAGACAGATTTCTCCCCCTCCAAAAAAAGAAAAACAGTTGGTAACCTGTATGTCCGAGAGTAGAGTAATAATGAAGTAAATTGGGTTATTTCCACTAGATGTAATACTATGCAGCTATTAGAAGTTACAATTTTGAAATGAAAAATGATTTTCATTTTCAATTTTGAGTGAAAAATGCTTTTGATAGAAGAAATATTACATAGTATTGATGAAGCATCTCGTAGTGGAGAGAACATGGATTTTGGCACATCTGGATTTGAATCCTAGTCTTGATGTTTTCTCAGGGTCTTTGGGTTAGTTACTTTGTCTGAGCCTCAGTTCTTCTCTATAAATAGTATATTTATAAGTTAGTTGTAGAATTAAACAAAATATATCAAGATCCTACACAGTGCTTGGCCCATAGCACAAAATTATAAGTTTTTATTGTTGTTATGTATATAAAGGCTGTGTATTGTGAATTTGACTCTGCTGAAACAGACAAGATGAGAATACTGGAAATGATAATGTGTTAGGGTGGTAAATTGTATTAGAAATTTTGTGTGATTTTTTTTTTTTGAGAATAAAAATGTCTCAGGAAGAAATGCTTCACTTGTTCTGCTAAAAAAAATTAATAATTTTGGGACCCCCAAATTTTGTTGAAATGATATTTTGTTAGGGTACATTATTGGATACCATATTTTCAGATTTCAGAAGCTAGAGATTAAATAATTGGTGTTCAACCTGTTTAATAAATTAGTAAGTAAAAGGAAATGCTCTGAATTGAGCGAGAAAGAGGTAGTTTACTTATCTTCCTTACTTTTTTTCTTTAATTTCATGGTATTAGTGGTGTAGGATAAGTGAATGTATGTACATGAATAGATAAGTATTCTATAAAGTAGCTCTAGTGTTCACAAACCTTCTCTATCTGCTGTCGCCCATCCCTCATCTCCACCTTCACCTTTAAGAGTGGGAATATGAGAAATGAGTAATAAGGGAAGATGCTCAAGAGCAATTTAAATTATGCCTTCTGCCAAAAAGCAGATTAAATTATGAAAGTAGGCATGTTAAGTTAAAGGTAGAAAGAACACAGAGAGCAGAGAGATACCATTCGTGTACTTTGTCTTGTGAAGCATTATGATGTACTTAGCAAACATTGCGCATATGTGCTGCTCACTGAGTCATAAAAGTGGTTTTGTTTTATGGAATTTTTTATGACTCTCTTTTTTAATGTGTTTTAAATATTTTAGGAGCCACTGGAAGTGGGGAAATGGTCTGTACAATATGTCAAGAAGAGTATTCAGAAGCTCCCAATGAAATGGTTATATGTGACAAGTGTGGCCAAGGTAACCATTGATTTCTTTTAATCTTGTTACATACTGAATGACTATGTTGAAGATTAATGACTAAAAATACTTTACATTGATAATTTGAAATTATCCTTTTTATTAATTATATTAATGTAGGAAATAATGCTAAAATGCATTCTTGAAATTGTGTTGAAAGTATTAATGAAACCGAATTTGCTTTATGCTTTTTTTGATATTAAGGATATCATCAGTTGTGTCACACACCTCATATTGATTCCAGTGTGATTGATTCAGATGAAAAATGGCTCTGTCGGCAGTGTGTTTTTGCAACAACAACAAAGGTATATTTTAAGTGTTTTGGGCTAAAGCTCTGATGGAATTTGTAAGACATTATCAACATAATGATTGTGTACACTGAAAGTTTGTTGGAATGAAATGAGCAATGAATGCTGGGTAGAAAGAGGTGCTATTTATTTGACTAATGATGCTTAAGTGACTTTTTAATGATGCTTTCACTTATTTGATGATAGTAATACGGGAATTGGTGCAGTAATTTGAAAGAAGAAAAGAAAAATAGAGATTATTATTAATCAGACAGTTTGTGATATGGTAAAAGTTTGGAAAGGAAATTTCTCCAGAAGTGTCAGAGTCGTTTTTAAAGTATAGAATTGTGTTTAAAATTTTAGCCTTCACTCTTTCACATTTTTTTCCCTCTAATGTAGAGGGGTGGTGCACTTAAGAAAGGACCAAATGCCAAAGCATTGCAAGTCATGAAGCAGACATTACCCTATAGTGTGGCAGACCTTGAATGGGATGCAGGTCATAAAACCAATGTCCAGCAGTGTTACTGCTATTGTGGAGGCCCTGGAGAGTAAGTAAATACAGTTATGTAATTCCCTTTAAGTAATTTTTATTTACTTATCTATTTTTCTTGATTATGGTGTGTGAGTGATGGTGAATTGCAACTGCATGAACACATCAGTGAAGAAAACCAGGGGGAAAATCTATTATTTTCATAAAAAAATAATTTTCATCTAGTTTTTGATCATATCCACACATTAAAATATTTGTATAAGTCTTATATTCTGGAAATTTAAAGTGAATTATAAATATTGTCATAAAATTAACTATTGAGGGAAAACATTTACTGCAGGGGCCCAGTATCAGTAGTTTCATTGGATGTCATATTTAATGTGATTGACCATTTAGAAACTGGTATATTTAATATTATAATTTAAATGGGAGAGTAAAAGACAAGTTTTTTAAGACATAAAATCAACATGGAACTTTTTCACAGATAGATTACTGCTTTCTTCTACGTATTTTCATTTCTTTCTTAAAGTGATAGGGCACAGATTGTAGTGCAGTGACATGATCATAGCTCACTGCAGCACTGAACTTCTGGGCTCAAGTTATCCTCCTGTCTCAGCCTCCGAAGTAGCTAGGACCACAGACACGTGCCACTACACCTGGCTAATTTTAAAAAGTATTTTTTTTTTTGTAAAGACAGGTTCTTGCTACCTTGGCCTCCCAAAGCTGGCTGGGTTTACAGGCCTGAGCCATGCTGGCCTGGAGTAGCATTTTTATTTTCTTCCAGAACTTTTTCTTTGCATATACAGTTTGGCCAGCTGTTTGGTGCAAGAGGCCTAGCTTTTGGCCTATCTTGGCTTTTGACATACCTTCCTAACGTTTGATTTAAATTTAGAGACTTGTGACTCTTCCTTTCATTTGAACACTTAGAGGCCATTGTAAGATTTTTTTTTTTTTTTTTTTTGAGACAGGTTCTTGCTCTGTTGCCTCGGCTGGAGTGCAGTGGCATGGTTATAGCTCACTCCAGCATTGAACTGGGCTCAAGCAATCCTCCCATCTCAGCCTCCTGAGTAGGTAGGACCACAGGCATGCGCCACCACACCCTGCTAGTTTTTTAAGTTTTTTTGTGGAAATGGAGTCTTGCTATTTGTCCACGTTGGTCTCCAACTCTTGGCCTCAAGTGATTCTCCTGCTTTGGCCTCCCAAAGTGCTGGAAATACAAGCATGATCACCACGCCTGGCCCCCACTGTAAGATTATTAATTAGCCTAATTTCAATATTGTGTCTCAGGGAATAGGAAGCTTGAGGAGAGGGAGAGGGATGGGGACTGGCTGGTTGATAGTAGTCAGAACACATGCAACATTTAGTGATTAAGTTTGCCATCTTAGGTGGGCACGGTTTTTGGTGGCCCAAAATAGTTATAGTAGTAACATCAAAGATCACTGATCACCATGAAAGATACAATATTAATAATAATGAAAAAGTTTGAAATATTATGGGAATTTCCAAAATGTGACACAGAGACATAAGGTGAGCACATGAACCTAGAAAAATAGTGCTAATAGACTGAATCAAGGTATAGCTCTGTTTGGAAATGGTGCCTTTTATTATTTTCCGATAAAGATAACCGTATCAAAGTTTGGAAATGGTGCCTTTTATTATTTTCAAATAAAGATAACCATATCAAAACCACATACTAGCTGGGTGTGGTGGTGTGTACCTGTACTGCCAGATACTTGGGAGGCTGAGGTGGGAGGATCCTTTGAACCCTGAAGTCCAGCTTGGTCAATGTAGCAATGTAGCCCTGTCTCTTAAAACAAACCCAAAATCCATGTGCTAACTGAAAAGAGAAGATATATTTCTTAGATGAAGATTCAATTTTAGCATCTTTAGCTTTCTCAAACAGATCTATAGACCATACATTGAAATATAGCTAAACCTGTCAAAAAGCCTTTATACCTGGTAGAGTCTTAGATTAGATTTATGATAATGTTAAGCAGGTTTATTAAATCGTTATATTCTTTTTATTATAGCTGACAAGAATAATAGAAACACAGTAAAGATATGAAGTGGAATGTTTATAATCTGAAAGCTGCCTAAGGCCATTTGATATTTGGGGCAAACAACAGTACCTCTGAATCTGACCTCTCCTGGGGTTTAGAGAGTTGATGTGAAAAAAAGCCCAGAGGCCTGGCATGGTGGCTCTCGCATGTGATCCCAGCATTTTGGGAGGCCGAGGACAGAGGATCACCTGGGCCCAGGAATTGGAGACCAGCTCTGGCAACACAGGGAGACCTCAGTTTTACTTAAAAAAAAAATTTGCCTAGCTTGGTGGTGCATGCCTGTGGTCCTAGCTACTTGGGAGGCTGAGGTGGGAGGGTCACTTGAACTGGGAGGTTGAGGCTGCATGAGCCATGGTCATGCTGCTGCACTCCAGCCTGGACAACATAGCAATACTTGCCTCTTTAAAAAAAAATAGCCTAGGCTTGTGTTTTAACAGAGCTCATTTGACTAGTGTAGGAGCCAGGCATTTTTGACTAGAAGTAGTAGTGTATCTTTCAAGAGCTTATAAAATTTCATGAATAAAAGAGAGAAGAGGGATGAAATAGCTGATACTATAAGCCTTTTTGGGAAAGGAAATATTTACAGTAAGTATAGTAGAAATGTGATGCTTTAATTAGAACAGTATTGTGGATTAGGCCACTTTTTTTTTTTTTTTTTTTAAAGAAATGAACCTTTCCCTTAAGACAGGAATTTTAGTGTTAACTTTTTTGTTTTTTTTAATAGCTGGTATTTGAAGATGCTACAGTGCTGCAAATGTAAGCAGTGGTTTCATGAGGCTTGTGTGCAATGCCTTCAAAAGCCAATGCTATTTGGAGACAGGTGAGAAGGGCATTTGAACTTTACTGGCTGATTTTTGTCACTTTTTAATTGTGGTTATATTTGTGATTTCAGATTTCCTAAAGATAGTTTCAACAGTGATTTGGAAAGGGGTTGTCTCAGAGGGAAAATATTAAATAATATACTTAAAATATACGTAATTTTTGTGCTTTTGGATTTTATTCCAGAATGCTTTTAAGTATTGTCAGTGATTACATTTGCTCCTATTGACCCATAGTACTCTAAAGTATTCTCATTGGTACCTTCCTTTAAAGAACCTCAAAGGGATAGTATTAGAATTGGAAAAGACCACAGGGCCTTGTTAAAGACACAACTATACTTTAGATATGAAAAATTTGTAAAAGCAGACTTAATGTACTTTCTATATTAGAAGAATGCAGGGTAGCACAGTGAGCTCCAGGAACAAAAAGCTAGACCACTAAGTTTGACATCTGAAAA
The DNA here is from genome assembly GCF_000001405.40 of Homo sapiens. Taxonomy (NCBI): domain Eukaryota; kingdom Metazoa; phylum Chordata; class Mammalia; order Primates; family Hominidae; genus Homo; species Homo sapiens. Next base: position 93,118,897 of record NC_000001.11, read on the forward strand.
CCTGGTTTTAAAAATCTTGGCTTATGCCACTTAATTTTCTTTCTGACCTTAGGGAAGTTCACTTGTCTCTTTCGGGCTTATTATGTTATTTTGAGCGTTGAATTAAACTATGTATGTGGGGGCAGCCATCACAATTCCTGGCACACACAAGCGATTAGTAAACTATAAGTACGTGTGAGTCTGTGTGTGAACTTTGAAGGTCTCCAATGGTTAAAAACAAAGATCCTTTCTCTTCACATATGAACTGTTTCATTATTTGTTATTGGAAAAGAACTTCCTTCAATCACAGAAAGCATTATAATTTAAATTATATTTTGTTTTGAGTATCAGTCTTTATATCAGCTGTAGGTTATTCACTTGGTGAATATTAGCTATAATTGTTAGTTTATCTCTGATGACTCAGTATAAAACTTTTTCTTTTTTTTTTTTTTCTTAGATTTTATACGTTTATATGCTCTGTCTGCAGTTCTGGACCAGAATACCTCAAACGTCTACCATTACAGTGGTAAGTGTGGACCTTTCTGTTAAAAGAAAGAAAAGCCATTTTCTTAAACCTACAAGTTGAAACTTTCTATATACATTTACTTGGCTTAAGTAAAAATAGGTTATTTATGCTTGGCTTTATTTCTTTTATTTATCCTCATGCCTGATGTCATCTTCACTAAGTAACATCCACTTGTATTGCTAAATTAATAAGGCTGTTCAGTGTTGAATGTTATAAATGAAACTTTCAGATATCCTTTAGACCTAAATTCTTACTCATATTTCTAGTTCTTTTGAACATTCAGAATACCATACAGTAGAAGAGAGATAGGTATAACAAATATGCTAATTTCTGCTTCAATGTAGTAATTCTTGTGTGTTGGAAGTGTGATGAATTTTAGAGGTTTACTAATAAAATGCTTACAGTAAGTACTTACAAATCTTTGTTGTATTTTACATATTTTATCAACAGATAGGATTTAACCCATGAATCAAATAGTTTGGTTAAGTATGGTATATTCTGTAGCTTATATCCGGAAGTGAAAACACAAAAATCTTGATTTTAAGTTATATTTTTTTAAAGCCAGACCCTCTTTGAATGCACTTGAAGAAGTAATTTGTGGCCAGGTGCGGTGGCTTTCGCCTGTAATCCCAGCACTTTGGGAGGCCGAGGTGGGTGGATCTCCTGAGGTCTGGAGTTTAAGACCAGCCTGGCCAACACGGTGAAACCACGTTTCTACTAAAAATACAAAAAAATTTAGCCTAGCGTGGTGGTGGGCGCCTGTAATCCCAGCTACTCGGGAGGCTGAGGGAGGCTGAGGCAGGAGAATCGCTTGAACCCACGGGGCGGAAGTTGCAGTGAGCTGACGTTGTGCCATTGTACTACTCCAGCCTGGGCAATCAGCGAAACTCTGTCTCCAAGAAAAAAAAAAAAAAAAAAAAGAAGTAATTCATATATCTTCTAGTTTATAGTTGCTATTCAGAATAAGTGAATGTTTAGTCACTATTTTCTAGTTATTTTTATGTGTAGTGATTTATTGTATTGTGAATATGACTATCCACCTAAATATTTCTCTTTGCATTTTAATTACTGTTTTATAAGGAAACCGTGATTTTTTAACAGTAACCAAAAACATTGTTTTGTGTATTTGATTATTTTCGGATTCCAGGGTAGATATAGCACACCTATGCCTTTACAACCTAAGTGTTATTCATAAGAAGAAATACTTTGATTCTGAACTTGAGCTTATGACATACATTAATGAAAACTGGGATAGATTGCACCCTGGAGAGGTAGGTGGTCTGAGAACTAACTTCAGTAGCTACTTGATGTCTTTTTTGTTTTGTTTTGTTTTTCAAAAAACAACTGAGACACATGTATAAGTCAGACAACTAAAATAGAATTTTATTTTTAGTTCTGGGGACAAATAAGTTTGGTATGGATATCAGGACCAGCCTTCTCATCCTCCTGTGTGTTTGTTGCCTGTTGACTCTGGAAATTTGTAGAAGGAGGAGGTATATTATTTGATTCTTTCATTTTCTGAAGTGAAAGTCATTGTAGTTAAAGATAGAAGGGAGGGAGAAATCTTTAGTATTGGGTATCTTACTTGTAGTTCAACCTCCTTTTCTTCTAAGTTTTCTATAAACTTAGAGATATAACCAACATTCTTCCTTCCTCTCTTGTTGGTACTCCTTTATATATTTCTGACTTGTAGGAATGGTGGGATCTAATAATATTGTTAGAAAAATGAGTTGTAGAGTGAAGCTGCCTGAATAGAAAATTATCCCCTCTCATTCTGACATCTCATTTTGCTTCTCATTTTTGAAGTGTAACTACCTATGCTGGTTTACAGTCTTTTTTTAAATGAATTTAAAAGTAATGTGTGTTCATTAAAGAAAATTTTGAAACTAATGAATAGCAGAAAGAGAAAAGTAACTAGAATAAGTTTAATAGTTAGGGACCTTATTTTTAGCTTTTATTTAGAATTACTAAAGTACATATATTAACTACTTTTAGTTAAAACTAAAAAATTTGTTTTATAATATGGAATTTGATATGTATATCTTAGTCATGCTTTTTTTTAGGTAAAAATTTTGCACACTGATTTGAAGTTTAGGAAGAATTTCTTGATTTGTAGCTTTGAGACACGAAGGACATCCTATTTCATATCAAATAGGATATCAAAGGGCTTTTTGGGGGTTTATGGGATATCAGGGAGAACATAATGCATGATTTAGTTTGTAGTTTTAAAATCTAGGATATTATTGAAATTCAATTGATGAATTTTTGAATTCATCATTTGAGTTTTGAATGTTAGATATTGGATTATCATACAAATTTTTGTTAAGTTTTCTGTTAAATACTTTTTTTTTAGATGAAGTCTGAGAGAAAGTGAGTGATGTGTACATTTGATTTTTTTTTTTTTTTTTTTTTTTTTTGGAGACGGAGTCTTGCTCTGTCACCCAGGCTGGAGTGCAATGGCGTGATCTCAGCTCACCGCAACCTCCGCCTCCCAGGCTCAAGCCATTCTCCTGCCTTAGCCTCCTAAGTAGCTGGGATTACAGGCACCTGCCACCATACCCAGCTAATTTTTGTATTTTTAGTAGAGATGGAGTTTTGCCATGTTGGCCAGGCTGGTCTTGAACTCCTGACCTTAAGTGATCCGCCCACCTTGGCCTCCCAAAGTGCTGAGATTACAGGCATGAGCCACTGGGCATGGCCACATTTGATAAATTTTAATAAACTGATTAGTAATCAGAAAGTAAGGGGTAAGGCATTAGAAGTGGCTATAGTGGTTTTTATAATTATCTTAATATTTAATACTATAATACATTTGTTTAAAAATTCTTTCTAGCCATTATTCTTTTAGCACTTCATATGCAGATACATATGTATACCTGTTAGTACATTGTCTGCATTACATGATGAAATTCTGCAGTAGTAACTTGATGTAGACATTGGGTATATATAATATAAAAACTCAAGTTGTGTTTATTTCAAATGCTGTCCTTTTTAATTAAAATTTAAATTTTAGTGTTTAGATTTTATTTGAGAGGCTGGAAATATAAGAAAATGAAAATCACATTTAGTATATTTTTCAAGAAAAGAGTTCAGTTTATGAATTTTGGGTGTCCCAGCTCCAACTGAACTTCTGAAACATACTAGAAAAAATTTGCTTCAGTAATAATACATGTTTTTATTTCTGTAGCCTATGAGGTAATGTCTTAGAAAAAAAGAAAAAGTTTTGCAAATTATTTCCACTTTTTGACCATCAAATTTATTACTAAAACAAGAGACTAATAATTTCTTACTGTTCTTTCTGTGGATTAAAATAAGAAAATATTCAGACTTCTTAGATGAGACATCTCATTCACAGACTTTGGTAACTGACAGATTGAAGTTAAGGTTTCTAATTTTCTGTATTTTATATTTTTGTACTGTAATTATAATTGGATTTTAGGGTGAGTTTTTAATAATAAAGAGATGATAAAATTTATGCTAGTTTATCATGTTTATTCAGTGTTTTTCATTTAGATTACTTTCAAATGTTTGTAGTGATCAATAAAAAGGTAACATAAATAATGGGTCATTCCAAATTATTTGAATAGAAAATTTTTGATAAACTAAAAATGAATTACAAATTGAATTTTGTCACTAATCCAAATTTAGGTTAACAAAAATTTACTTTTGTTTATATTCTTGTTCCAAATCTTATAAAATGCCATTAATTATTTTCAAAACATGGGAAGTAGTGTATGCTAAATATAATGTTTATATTTTATAATTGAGTACCTTGGAGTACTTTAGTCATTTTGAACATCAGCTCTTTCTTTTTTTTTTTTTTTTTTTTTAAGAGACAGGACAGGAGAGTCTCTCTCTCTCTTTTTTTTTTTTTAAGAGACCCTTGCTCAGGCTGGAGTGCAATGGTACAGTCATACATAGCTCACTGAAGCCTTGAACTCCTGAGGTCAAGTTATCTTCCTGCCTCAGCAATTCTTGTTATACGTAATATAGACTAAAGCGCCTGCTCTAGAAATTTATCTTCAAAAATGAAACAAAATAGAACAAAGGTTGTGATTTTAGTTTATCTAAAATGTGGAGTTTCCTTCCTCTTGCCACCAGATCAGAGAAAAAATTTTGTAATGATATAAGTTGATTGAGATTTTTTATGGCATTTTGCGTAGGAATATATATTGCACAACTAGGCAGTTATCCACATTTATTATCCCTGAACTTTGAATTATAATTTTACATATGATGAGGCTGGCTAAACTTTAATGGTATTTTTTATTTTAGAAACCTAGTAAATACATATTTACATTTGTAATTACTTGCTGTAATCTTACATTGAATCAGTTGTATTCTGTTTCGTGTATTGTGTCCCCCCCCCCTTTTTTTAATAAAGGAAGCACTGTGACTGTTTTTATTTTAAAGACTTTTTTTTTTTTTTTAAGAGCAGATTTAGGTTGTCCCCTTCTGCCACACATGCATTGCCTCCTCCATTATCAACATCCCTCCACCATAATGGTAGATAGTTATAATTGATGAAGCTACATCAATACATCATTATCATCCAAAGCTGTGACTTCTTTTAGTAATAAAAAGAAGTTTCAAAAATATTACACTTTTGGAGATAATATCCTGTCATACTGAAAAGCCAAAATGTAACATTCATGTATCATATTTTTTTCTTAGTTGAATACGGTATAGGATTGTTATGAAGAGAAGATAAAACTTTTGAATCATTTTAGAAGATAATGGTAGTATTACATTGTTTCCTTATGTAGTTTTTGTACTTCTTTTGGCTTGGTACCTAATGATTATCATATAGATTGAGTGTAGCTGTTTGAGGAACTACTATGTTTTGGATTATTTTCTTTGAGATAGTAAAAATACTTAACATTTGAAACCATGATAAACTTTCTTAAGGTTTTTATGTAAAATGAAGTCTCATCTGTTGTATCAGATTGTTTTGGGGAGTTTAAAATGAGATATTAGTACTTTTTGTAATCGCTTATTGTCATTTGTGTTTGATTCTTAAAGTTATTTGAAATCCTAGTTCTGTAATAACCACTCTTCTGTGGTCTTAAATTTTAGAAACCCTGAGGTTGATACCAGAATAATTTATGGAGTGCTACTTCACTTCTGAGGGAGGTAGGGAGAAAAGCAAAGATGAAACTCAAGAAATACTGTGGTAGAAATGATACTAGAGGAAAATATACAATAGAGGTGGAATAATATTTATAAGTGGAAATTATAAGAAATCTGAACAAAAATTCCTTGGGGCTTAGAGTGTTATAATTAGCATATAGTATGGTGGTTAGCAACAAATTACCTAAGTTGTTGGGATACTTAAGCCCAGGTGGCTTGGAACTTAATATTGGTAGTTGAAAGGAAGAGTTATACTGTAAGTATTAGTGTGAGATTAGTATCTGGAGAGGGGGGAGCAAAAAAAAAATATTCTTTTGGAGATTTATATAATAAACCTCATGGTCAGATGGAAGGTGTAGAATATGATGCTCTTCTAATGTAGATTATCTGATTTACACTATAATGGTTGTACTTTTAGTTTGCAAAACACTGAAAGAGGGAAGTCTTTGGCACTTTTATGGTAGCTAAAATATGCAGTTCTATGCAGAGTAGTCATGGAGTGCTGAAGGAACTTAGTAGATAAAATTTCTGAGAAACGGTAGGGAGTAAATACCAAAAGAAAGTAGAGTTCATTGCGATCGTCAGAAAGTAAAAAAGTGGGTTTTAGAAATTAGGAAGTTAGTTTTGCTGTTGACTCAGCAAATTTTCAGATTTTTCAGATATATGGTTTGTGAAGATTTAAAAGGCAATAAGGAAAATCTCTTATTAGAATAAGTCATGTATACCCTTGGTTTCTTTTTTGATATGATTAGCAACGCTGGTTTGTCAGTGTTTTTTTTTTTTTTTTTTTTTATGGTTAGCAAACACTGGTTTGGGCATGATATAGACATAGTATAACTTGATTTCAGATGAGATATTAAAATGTGAACTGGTTAAAATGAAAATTAAATGGATTTGTAACTAATGGAAAAACAGTAACAAAGTCGGTGCTTTGGAAACATTCTTGAGGGAGACTCTTATGGAGGGCCATAGGGGTTCTGTCTTTGTCTCTACCTTCAATTCTAGAAGGATGACAGAATCAAGAGAAAAGATCTGGAACATTGAGATGAAAACAAGATCAATTAACAGCAGTTATAAAATTCTGCTTTAGCCATAAACACAAACAGTACATGGGTATGATAGGGGATACTCAATTTGATAGCAGTTCATCTGATAAGATTTCACAGTTGGGGTGGGGAGGGGGGACCAGGAAGAAGACAGAGTTAGTCAGAAGCTTAATATGAAGTAACCATGTGATATAGCTATTAAACATTTTAACCTAATCTTATAATTAGACATAATAATTGCATTCAGATATTTGAAGAGCTGTCTTGTAAAAGAAGGAATGAAAGAGCTCTGGGGAGGAAGATTTTGCCTACTTATGGAATGGGCTTTTTTAGTTGGTGCCTTATCAGCTTTTATCAGTGGCACTAATTAAGCCAAGGTCGAATAAATATCTGTACTGTAAAAGAGACTGCAATATTGGTGGAAGGCTGAATTGGATCTAGGGTCTCATTCAAGCTTTAAAGTCTGATTCTATTATTCCTCCTTTAAAATTGAAATTCTCTATCATTAGACCCTTCAGAAATTACAGTAGGAGTTGGTGGTTTGATATAGGGGAATGAGTACCTAACTCGTATTTAACATGTTTTTTTTTTTTAGCACTCAGCATATTGGCACAGAGTGGGCTCTCAGTGAGTGTAGAATGAATGGGCTTATCACTTGAGTTCAGGTTCTAGCTCTCTCACCAACTAGACAGGTGAATTTGAGCAGTTTTAACCTTTATATTTGTTAACTCGTGTAAAATAGAATTGGAGTAGATGACTTACAAGTTTTTTCTAGCTCCAGCATTCTATTTGGCAGATTTGTTTTCTCTCTCACTTAAAGCAGTTCTGAGGCTTGGGAGTTTCAACTGGTAAAGAACATACTGGCTGTAATTTTGAAAGTCAACTGTGATATTTTGGAAGCAGCTTTTTTTTTTTTAAGGTGTTTGTAGCATTAATTCAGGATGGTCCTTTTGTAATTTAAGATTTCTTTGCTAATATGCCTTAGTCAAGAAGAGGCAGAAAGGTCTCTGAGAAAAAGCCCTATTGGAACAAAATAGGGTTTTTTTCTAGAATTAAATATTTAGATTTTAAAACAGTTTGTTATGATGAAAAATTATTGAGCCATTTAGAGCTGGCTAAAGTCTATAATTGTTATGAAAAGATCTCTCAATTTTACAGTATTCTAAAAAATTATAGAGATTATCGGTTTATGCTTAATGTTAGAGGTACTGGAAAATGGTATGTTTCTTACTACTTTTTGTACTTCCTATTGATATCTGTTAGGAACTTTTATAGTAAATATTAAAATAATTCTAATGTATTATTTCCCTAGGTTAAAGAATTTTTGAAAAATTTAATAACTAATAATACAGTCCCATTTTTGTGGTGTTTTACAGTTTGTAGTTCCTTCATAAACATATCGTTGGATTAATGTAATGAACAAGTAACTAGTGTAGGATTTATACTTCATTTTTTATAAGTGAGAAAATAAGCCTTGAGAGGTTAAATGGCCCTAGGTCACATAATAGTCAGTGAGGACTTGGAATTAGAACTTAGATCTTCTGACTACCAATCAGTACACTTTTCCTCTGCATCACATTGCCTCTATCTAGCACCTGTATATTACTAATTGATGAAATTGTAGTGCGTTAAATTGTTTCTTGATACTTCACAGCTGGCAGACACACCAAAATCTGAAAGATATGAGCATGTTCTGGAGGCATTAAATGATTACAAGACCATGTAAGTTGATTTATTTTATGTATCCCTATGAGGGAGACATTTAGTAAGTATAAGGAATAATGGCATTGTTTAAGAATTGTGGGATTGATGTACAGAAGAAGTCTATACCATTTTAAACTTTATAATGTCCTATTCTATTTTAGTTAGATTAAAGCAGTGATTCTCAAGGATTGGAGGAGGGAGGAGTAATCCTTCTCCTGGGAATGGTGGGTGGGAGACATATCGGTATCTCTGGGAGAATTTAGCCTGTTCCATTGAAAAAGCATATTCAGTAATAACTTCCTTCTATAATGTAATGTACTGAAAGTAAAATAAAATCTTGTTAGCTGGTGGGAATATTCAAAAGATAGAGAATATTGTAGGGAATACGGGTTTTTAAAAAGATTGAGATCTGTGGTTATAATAGTTAACACCATTAGTTACAGAAAATAATATTTCTAGCTGAGTAGTCTAAGATAATTAAGTGATATTATTTGATATATTCTCATACAGATCTACAGGTCTTCCCCCTACCTTATTTTTACTTTTTTTTTAACTCACCACTATACTAACAAGGATTCCCTTCTTTTTAAAACAATGTATCTACATTTCTTAGAAACATTTTTAAATGCAACAAATTTTATAAATGTATGTGTTGACTCCAGTGAAATTTTATATTATAAAATTTTTGTTGGCAATAAGTTGGTGTTTTGAAATTGATAGTATTTCTTCATTAAATAATGTAATTACCAGTGGCTGGATCTTTACACCAGCTCAAAAAGCCATGAGGTACCTGATATGACCTTGAAGTATAATAAAAAGGAAAAAAGACTGTAAAAAAGTCATAAGGTACCTGAGCAGTTATTGTGCTGGTAAAAATGTTTCATGGGACAGTGAATTCTGAATTTCAGTTTAGGGTACCAGAAATATATCTGTTCCTGTTATGGTAGTAATGAGGGATCCCCTTTCTTAAACCTGCAAAAAAGTAGAACATTTTGGTTGGGCGTGGTGGCTCACACCTGTAATCCCAGCACTTTGGGAAGCCGAGGCAGGCAGATCACCTGGGGTCAGGAGTTTGAGACCAGCCTGGCCAACATGGTGAAACCCTGTCTCTACTAAAAATACAAAAATAGCCAGGCATGTTGGTGCACACCTGTATTCCCAGCTACTTAGGAGGCTGAAGCAGGAGAATCGCTTGAACCCGGGAGGTAGAAGTTGCAGTGAGCCGAATTGAGCCACTGCACTCTAGCCTGGGTGACAGAGCGAGACTCTGTCTCAAAAAAAAAAAAAAAAAAATTAAAAAGAGAGGGAGAACATTCTAAACAACTGATGGAGGTTCTTGTGGCCAGGCAAGTTTCAGTAGAGCTGAGGTAGATGGAGTTGCTTGGGAATAAGGACCATAGAGACTAAAAGAAAGGTCTAAGGAGCATATTTTGCAGAGGCCCAAGTCCATAATAAACTGGAATAACCCTTCTTTGCCCCAGGTTATTTCCATTTCCAGATCCGGCACTCTAGATACTCCTTTTATTTTCTGGGCCTCTAGGATTTATCTCCTGCTTTCTTTTTCAATGCTGTCACCTATTATTTCTGACTAAGGTTTTTCTCTTTATAAATCCACTCTGAGATGGAATTCTTTTTTCCCTAAATCCCTTTTGAAATATTTCTAACAGATGACACTAAATATGGGAAAGCATATTGGGACCAAAAATATACCATTCTTTGTTCTTCTTTCTTCCTTTAAAAAGTTAGTTGCCATGTTTAAAAAGAAAAGTGGACATGTGCTCTTCTCCTTTCTGGTCCTATCCCTTCCTCCCCATCATATCCTACTGTAGACTGGCTCTGGGGCAGATAAAAATCAAGGAAAGCAAGGGGAAGTGAATTTTTGTAGTATTGGGTGGGCTTTCAAGTATAAGGGCCTTATATATGAAAGTTAAGTTAGGGTCTACTATGTATATGTGTTCAGTTTTTAAAATTTTAGTTAATTTTTTTAAAAATTTAGGTTTATGTCTGGGAAAGAAATAAAGAAGAAGAAGCATTTGTTTGGGTTGCGAATTCGTGTTCCTCCTGTGCCACCAAATGTGGCTTTCAAAGCAGAGAAAGAACCTGAAGGAACATCTCATGAATTTAAAATTAAAGGCAGAAAGGCATCCAAACCTATATCTGATTCAAGGTAAAAGTTGATCTGTGGCTTAGTTTTTCTCTTTAGCTTATTTGTAACTAAAAATGTATGTTATTTAGTCTCCTTAGTATATTTGAAAGTACAAGTGGCAGTTACTCTGATTTTTTTTTTTTTTTTTTTTGGTCTATCATATCTTGCTTAGACAAGGTATGAAGAGTTGATGCCAGATGCTTGTTTATTTATTTTAGGACTTTGGCCTTCCAGAAATAGACTCTATTGATTTTGTTAGCAAACAGCTTAAGAGTACTAGCCTGTTTGTTTGTTCACTTTTCATTGATTGATTGATTGATTGATTCATTCATTCAGCACAGTTTTCAAGTGCCTTATTATCTAAGTTTTCAAGTGCCTTATTATCTAAGTGCTAGGCAGTACAATGACAGATAGATTTTTCTTCTGCCCTGATGGGGTTTACAAAGGTGATAAGTAAAATAGTTACAGATTATGCTAGTGCCATGTAGGATAGCATACTGTTTTAGACTTTACTGTGGATAGAGATGGGGCCTTTGTACTTTAACAATGTGGCTTAAGGAAGGACTATTTAAGATAATATTTAAATTAAGACTTAAAGAATGAGAATGTTATAACAATGTGAAAAACAAAGGGAAAAACTACTCCAGCTAGCAGAAACAGCAAGTGCAAAGGCTTTGAAACATATTCTAAGAACTCACAGAAGACTGGTGTGGTATAAATGAGGATGAGAGAGTAGCATCAGGTATTGGAAAGATTAGGTGGGGCTTGATCCTGTGTAGGGTCTTGTAGGTCTTACAAGGAATTTGGGTTGTTTTCTAAGAATAATGGGGAGGCATGTAAGGGATTTAATTATCTTTTAGAAATACTTGGCCGGGTGCACTGGCTCACACCTGTAATCCTAGCACTTTGGGAGGCCGAGGCAGGTGGATCACCTGAGGTCGGGAGTTTGAGACCAGCCTTACCAATATGGTGAAGCCCATCTCTACTAAAATTACAAAAATTAGCCGGGCATGGTGGCTTTTGCCTGTAGTCCCAGCTACTTGGGAGGCTGAGGCAGGAGAATCGCTTGAATCCAGGAGGCGGAGGTTGCAGTGAGCCGAGATCGTGCCACTGCACTCCAGCCTGGGCAACAGAGCGAGACTCTGTCTCAAAAAAAAAAAATATTGTTTTGGATGCTGTTTTGAGAATGGATAGTATAGAGGTAAGAATAAAAGCAGGAGAAAATTAACACTCAATTGTCTAGGTGAGAGATAGATGATATGAGGGCTTGTGCAGAGGTAGGTGGTAACACTCAAATGGAGAGAAAACAGATATGAGGTCTTTATTGGAGGTAGAATTAATTGGATTTGCTAATGAATTAAATTTCTGAAAATAAGGAATCAATTAAATAATGCCCAGATTTCTGGCCTGAGCAACTGGTGGGTGGTTAATCAAGATCTGGAAGAACAGATTTTGGTATGGTGAATGAAGCATTCTTCTGTTTCATATTCATTGAATTTGAGATTCTTATGAGGGACAAACACACACACACACACACACACACCCTCATACACACAGGATGATGTGAAATACAGGCAATTGGATGTGTAATTCAGGAGCTCATAGGAGAGGTCTGGGCAGGTGATACAAATTTGGAATCTGATTGATAAAAGCTATGAGAATGAGTGAAATTACCAAGGGAGCAAGTAGAGAGAGAAGAGAGGGTGGTCTGGGATCATGTCCTGATATCATTTATAAATTTGGAAGAGGTGAAATAAGCAAGGAGACTAAAAAAGAATGATCAGTGAGATGGGAGGAAACCAGGAAGTTTGATGTCATGACAACCAAAAGAAAGGTAGTGTTTCAAGAGAGATAGGTATATTAAAGTGTATTGAATGCTAGTGAGAGGTAGATTAAAATGAAAGAAAAATATTTATTGCATAAGGTATCATTTTGTTATTAGTGACCTTGATAAAAGGAATTTCTTTGAAGTGGTACAGATAGAAACCAGATAGGACTGGGTGAAAGTATGACTGAACCCAGCATTGCCAAATTTACGTGTCAAACTGGGCTTCTCCTGCGTATCAGGGACACAGGCAGATTCAAAATAATAACAGTAGTAAAGGAAAGGAGGAAAATAGGAAACTATCTTTAAGGATCCTGAATGAGAGGGGAGAAAATGGAAAGGGTATATGTCATCAACACCTAGAAGCTTTCCTATGTAGGGAGGCCGACAAATGGAATGGCAGCTGAAGAGGGGGATAGGACTAGTCAAATGATGGTTTTTTAAAATAGATGGGAGATAGTTGGAACCTGTTTTTGTGTGTAAGTAGGAATGATCCAGTGGAGAAGAGGAAATTGGTATAGGAGAGTAGAAGCCAAAAGAGAAGGGATGTAGAGCCTGAATGTGGGACTGGCCTTTTCTAGAAGGAGAAGCATCCTTCTGTTGAAATGGGGTGAAAGAGAAGATGGGTACAGATGCCAGTTCTGTTGTAGATTGGGCAGTTGGAAATTGACCGAAGTTCTTGCCTGGTAGCCTCCATTTTCTCGATGAAATATAAGGTAAAGATAGCTGAGAGACTTGTACAGAGAGGGGAATTTAAGGGTCAATTAAGGGTATGGAATAGTCATCTTGGAGATAAGGAAATTGACTGAAGTTCTTGCCTGGTAGCCTCCATTTTCTCGATGAAATATAAGGTAAAGATAGCTGAGAGGCTTGTACAGAGAGGGGAATTTAAGGGTCAGTTAAAGGTATGGAATAGTCATCTTGGAGATAAGGAAAATGTCATTACAAAGCCTTGACAATGAGTCCAGTTATATGAAGTTTGTAAGAAATTAGCTACTAATTAAGTTTTCTTTGAATGAAGGAAAGAATGCTTATTCTATCACTTTCAGATTTTGTCACTCAGATCCTTTGCTAGCAGTTGCCCATATTATGAATCAGAAAAAAAAATTCCACAAGCTTTTTCATTTCTATCATGATTGTGATAGGATATTCCCTTTGTGGTAGCTATCAGGTCATCTGATGCCACCAGATAAGGATTCAGCTGCTTTCTTTAAAGGCATCCTCAGTTCCTTCTGGACCTTGTGTATAAGTTGTTCCTTTTAGTTTGAGATTACTTTCTTTAGTCCAGGAGTCCTTTATAAATATTATGTTGATCATTTTACAAAAGAAATGGATATCCCATCCATCTTATTCTTGAGACTTTTGATTATAGCGTCTGGTTCTACTTTGTCCTTCTAGTTCCCCTACTTTCTCCTTCCTCATACTTCCACCTTTATTCCCTGACCTTTTTTGGCATCTGGAGGGATAAGTTTTTTTCCTACTTTCTCCATTCATCTCTTTCTAGGCTATTGTATAGTGTTCTTTTTTCTCTCCTTAATTGAAGTCTCCTGGACAATTTCCTCATAGCCCTCACTCCATTTTATTAGCTTGGCTTGTATACACATTTGTCACTTTCTAACTATATTGTGAACTCTTTAGCACAGGGAACACCTTTGTATCCATATTATCTAATATCATCTTTATATGGTAGCTATTGCTGAGTAAATGAAATAGATATTCTTTCTATATATATATTTTCTTTTTTTCTATAATTAGTGTCTTTGCCTATTGCACTTTTTTCCTTCCTATTGCTTGGTATTTGGCTTTATGTTTAAAAAATGGTTTTCTAGGTCTTTCTGATTTTTCCTTTTGAATGACTCCCTGAGAATATGAAGGATTTCTTACTCCTTTCTCCTTTACATTCTGCCACTCTGGGCTTCATTCTCTTTCTGATAGTGTCATTCAAGAATCTACATATATATCTAAAGGCAGCCTTTATGACTACTACAATGTTAACATAGATATTTCCTGACTCCATGAAGTTAACTGCTAAATTCATAGTCATTTTTAGTAGTAAATCCTTGAAACATCCTCCAAGTTGTAACCACCTAAAATTAAACTATATAATTGAGCTTTTAGGAGTTTTGAAATCTTCCATCCAGTATAATTGTCTGGTTTTTGTTGTTGTTTTTAAATCTTTAAGTGGTATATATTGTTCAGAATTATATTAAAGAGGACTTTCTTTAAACCTTTCATAATGTAAATATCTTTAAAGTCAAGAAATATTTATTTGGATTAGAATATATTATCTGTGCACTTGACTAAACTTGTGGATTCAACTAATATTTACTTTTTATTACCATTAATATAAAATAATAAAATATATGTATATGTGTCTAGTTACATACATAGAGTCAATGTCTTTGTTTTCTTTATGCAGAGATTAAATGCATAATGGTTTTCCATTTCAGGGAAGTAAGCAATGGCATAGAAAAAAAAGGAAAGAAAAAATCTGTAGGTCGTCCACCTGGCCCATATACAAGAAAAATGATTCAAAAAACTGCTGAGCCACTTTTGGTAAGAGGATATGTTGGTATATGTTCTCAAGAAGAAGGATGCATGAAATAACTGAGAAGCTAGTATTTTTTTCAGCTTACTTTAGAGACATGCTTTAAGTATATATTTTTATTTTCCAGGATAAGGAATCAATTTCAGAGAATCCTACTTTGGATTTACCTTGTTCTATAGGGTAAATAGAAAGTTATTTTCTCCCTTTCTAGGTTTTGTCTTTTGAGTAGATATTAATATTTGTTTGTTATATAATATAGTCGTTACACAATTTAAATTCTTTTGTCTCAGGAGAACTGAGGGAACTGCACATTCATCCAATACCTCAGATGTGGATTTCACGGGTGCTTCCAGTGCAAAAGAAACTACCTCGTCTAGCATTTCCAGGCATTATGGGTAGATATTTTACATTCTTATTTTTTTTACTTTTTTTACTCTAGATTTCTTTTCTTTGTAAAGTGTTGATTGAATAATTTTTTAGCAATTGAAAGTGATGTAAGTTGTGTCTATCAGCTTTTTGAGAGGTAATCCATATGTAGATCCCAATAGTTGTTAATATTCATTTGAAATATTTTTGCTTTCTAGAGTACAAATGTATTTTTCATGTTTGTGTGGAAATTTGCTGTGTACACAGAGAAAAAGTATACCATTGTTTAGAAGCTGTGCTCGTTAGGCTTTTTAATGCCTCTGCTACACAAGTGTTCTTTGCTTTAGGAAGATATGATTTTTTTTTTTCTTTTTAAGAGACAGATTCTCACTCTGTTGCCCAGGCTAGAGTGCGGTGGCACAATCATGGCTCATTGCAGCCTCAAACTCCTGGCTTCAAACAATCCTCCCATGTCGGCCTCTCTAGTGGCTGGGACTACAGATTGTGCCACCACACCTAAGTAATGCTTTTTTATTTTTTGTAGAGATGGTTTTGCTAATTTGCCCAGGCTGGTCTTGAACTCCCGATCTCAAGTGATCCTCCTGTGTTGGCCTTCTCAAGTGCTGGGATTACACGCCTGAGCCACTACAGCTGGCCAAGATTTGATTAAAAAAAAAAAAAAAAATCAGACACCTAAATCCTTTTGTCCATAAAATGATTTTAAACTTAAGATTTTCATCAATAGCAGACTCCCCTCTGATATCTTATTTAATCCAGCCCTTCAGAAGGACAACGTTTTTGTTTATTGTTTATTTTTTTTTGAGATGGAGTCTCGCTCTGTCACCCAGGCTGGAGTACAGTGGCATGATATCGACTCACTGCAACCTCCGCCTCCTGGATTCAAGCAATTCTGGCACCTCAGCCTCTCATGTAGCTGGGATTTACAGGCGTGCGCCACCATGCCCAGCTAACTTTTTGTATTTTTAATAGAGATGGGGTTTCACCATGTTGGCCAGGCAGGTCTTGAACTCCTAATCTCAAGTGATCCACCTGCCTCGGCCTCCCAAAGTGCCGGGATTACAGGCGTGAGCCACTTTGCCTGGCCAGGACAACTTTTCTCTAAAGCACATCATGTCAGGTATGAAAAGGTTAATCTATTTGGGGTCAGAGCTACTATTTTCAAGTTTTATACTTCATTCTGTTTAAATTTTGTTCATAATTCGAAAACTGCTGTTATAAATTATGCAAAATTCTACATTAAATGCTTAAAGTGTAACCCATTTATTAATGAATTCTGAATAATCGACTTTTTTGGGGCCTCTTACTAGATACTCTGCTAAGCTTTTTACAAATATTGTCTTATTTAATTCTTAAAACAATTTTTTGGCTGGGTGTGGTGGCTTATGCCTATAATCCCAGCACTTTGGGAGGCCAAGGTGGGAAGATTGCTTGAGGCAAGAGTTTGAGATGAGACCCCATCCCTACAAAAGAAAAAAATTATCTGGGCGTGGTATTGGTGTCTGTAGTCCTAGATAATCAGGAAGCTGAGGCGGAGGATTACTTGAGCCCAGGAGGTCAGGGCTCCTGTGAGCCATGATTGTGCCACTGCACTCCAGCCTGGGCAACAGAGTGAGACCTTGTCTCAAACAAACAAAAGAGAACAATTTTTTGAGTTGTGTAAGTCCTGTTGTTCTCATTTTACAGATGAGGAAAGTGAGACTTAGGGGATTTTAAGTAACAAGCCCAACATTGCATGTTTAGCAAGTATAACAGAGCTGGGTTGTTAACTTATACAGTATGACTGTAGGTCTTTCAATTTAGTTGTTGTACTATATTCTCCTTTTATTATAAAATCATAAAATAATTGAATTTCTGTGCTGAAAAGGACCTCACACATTATCCAGTCTAACCCCTTCACTCATTAAGTTCATGAACATAGAGATTGAGATTTGAATTTGGCCAAGTAATAGAGTTAGGGATAGACCCAGGATACTCTGACTGCTAGTTTGTGCTTATTCTGATTCTGGTGTATTACTTCACTAGGCCTAGAACTGGTAATAAGAGAACCTCTATTCTAGTTCCACTCTTTAAGGACATGGAGCAGTGTCATAGATGTAGTTTGTGCTCATTAATTATTTGTTCTAATGAACAAATGAATGAGCTCTTTTAAATGATGTGATTATTGGCAATACCTGATTTATGAGTAGGGCCTCTTCGTAAGAATTTTCCTTGTTGGCCTCCTAAGTAAAAAAATTACCCTAAACTTACTAGTAGTTAAGGAAGAAAAGCTCCACAAAGTTCAGCTCCAAGAACGTGACAAAATCTAAAGTAATGAGCCCAAGTGATAGTCCATTTATATAGCATTTATTGTTTGGGTTTGGCTCATTTTTATATCATCAAGGATATATGGTATAGTAGAGTAATCCAGAAAAGAGAACATATTGTATGGGCATAGGATGCTAAAAAAGCTCAGTAGACAATTCTGGCCTTCTCTGTTACATAGATTATCTGACTCCAGAAAAAGAACGCGTACAGGAAGATCTTGGCCTGCTGCAATACCACATTTGCGGAGAAGAAGAGGTCGTCTTCCAAGAAGAGCACTCCAGACTCAGAACTCAGAAATTGTAAAAGATGATGAAGGCAAAGAAGATTATCAGTTTGATGAACTCAACACAGAGATTCTGAATAACTTAGCAGATCAGGAGTTACAACTCAATCATCTAAAGAACTCCATTACCAGTTATTTTGGTGCTGCAGGTAGAATAGCATGTGGCGAAAAATACCGAGTTTTGGCACGTCGGGTGACACTTGATGGAAAGGTGCAGTATCTTGTGGAATGGGAAGGAGCAACTGCATCCTGACTGTAGGACTGAACATTATGTTCACTGCACTCTGATTTTCTGTAGGTACAGTTCAAAGCCCTAAAGGAGTCTGGCTTTTACTATCTTTCTTAAAAAAAAAAAAAAGTCAAAAAAATTCAAAAAAGGGGATGATACTAGCCTTAACATGTACCTGTCAATGTTATGGATATTGTCATAAAAAGGTATCTTTTAAAAATCAGAACAGAGACTTAATTTTTTAAATCTTAAGATTTGTAGAATGTTTCTAGGATAGGATATTAAAAATGATTGAAACCCATGCATGGTGTTAGACAATTTTTCTAATTATTCCATTGAGTCAGTTTTTTGTGATTAGTGATTATCAGAGCAAACATCATGTAGATAGCACAAGTATTTGGAGAAACGTTGTTTGTTTTGTTACCAAAATGTTGGAAAAATTTATTTCAATACCTTTTAGATTTCATAAAGTGCAGTGTATATAATGCCTACTGAAAGACTGTAAAATATTGAAATTTTCTTTCAAGCAAAGTGTAAAAAAATATATTGAGCCTGTAAATTGCTCTGTGACTAGACTTCATTGTCGTCTTAATATATTCTTGCATGTGCATATATATACACACGTGTATATATATGTGTGTGATTATGTGACCTATGCAATACAAATTATGGGAATGGGCAGCTTTGGAGTATATATCCCATAATTCTTTTTTCAGGAATAGTTGCAGTATTTACACAGCAGCATTTCTTCTCAGGCTTTTATTGGGTGCTGTTGCTTGCTATGTATGAAGAGAAATGTGTCAGACAAGTTTAGTGTGTTCTGAAGAAGGGTGTGAACAACAGTGTTCATGGGCTTTTAGAATGCTTTTCACTTTTAGTCCTTGTAACTCAGCTGTTCAGTACCTAAAACAAATTCAAATAATATGAACATTATCTCCTACTAGAAGTAACGTTTTCAAGTTTTCATGGCACATTATGATTGTAAATGTCTCTCATTTTTAACAGTAAGTCTATAGGAGTCCCGTGAAGATTCCTGAAATGTCTGTAGTAACTGTTAGTCATGTTTGAATAAGTGTAGTATGAACAAAGTATTTTATTGCACAGGGTTAACAAACAGTATGTTGCCAGCTGAGGCTACTGCTGTTTTATTACAACATTACCTCTTGTTTTTATAAAGTGTACCAAGATTTAAATTGATAACTTTATTTTACTTGTAAAAAAAAAGTTTCTTTTATCACCAGTGTTACAGTTGTCTTCTGTTTCTTTTTGTTTTGTTTTATTTGTTTTCCTTTTTAGCCAAAGAGTGAACAGAAGATTTTCTTATTTTGGTGGCTATTCATTTTACTTTTAAAAGTGATTGGTGGATTTTAGACTAATTATGGGGGAATTTGCCACCAAAATAAAAAATATGTAAAGTGTAGTGATTACAGAGTGGTTAAAATGTGGGTTAGTACTTATTTATTCCATTAATTGATTATTTGACTGTTTATAAAGAAAGTTGCTTTATTTCTTTAAACATCTTCAAAAGATGATCCTTTCTTGTCACATTATAGCCAAAAGAAGCAGAGAACTTCATTGTCTGCATTTGGTTCCTGGTTGGCCAGGTATAAATGAGCTTTACAAAAGTGCAAATTAAAAACTGTTACTTCTGTTTACCTCCACCAAAACTTGATTTTCCCCTAGCTATTAATTTAAGGTTGCCTTTCCTGCAGCTGCAATATTTTGAATAACACACAGAGTTTGTGTTGATTTTTGAATGTTTGTTTATATCTAGGGGTAATGAAAAATGTAAATCCCGTGTATCCTTATTCACTCCACCTGTATCATATTATTTCATTTTCCCCAAAGTCCTTTAATTCTAACTGAACACCAGCAGTATTTTTAGAAATTTTTCTTTAACATACTTGGAAGATGATTTATCCAGCTGAACTGTCTTTAGACGTAATTATTGTGAATGTCTGTTTTATTTTCTCATGGTGGTTCACATGGCTCTGATGTTCAGTTTGTATTTTTGGAATTGCTTTACTTAGAAATTAAAACAGACCAACATTAAATGTGTGTATTTTTTAAAGAGCTAATGAGTTTTGCTTCTGTATTTGCTTGAAAATACACACTAGTGCAGTAGTTGACTGCTTTTATTTAGCTAGGGTGGTAAGGATTTTCTAATTCCACTGCTAGTATGTTCACTTGAATTAATCTTTATAAAACTTTGCTTTCATTTTCTTCATCCCTCTTATAATATTAATAACTATCACATGTTCATCTTAAGTGGTCTTAAAGTACGTTTAGTGAGCATGTACACTTTATATTTGAAAGACAATATATCTCTATTGTGTCCCCAAACTTTAAAAAATTCAGACTTAATTTTCCAACTATGTTTGCTTCTTACATAGAATTGTTAGGGTTCATATAAAAGGATTTCCTGGGCCAGGTGCGGTGGCTCACACCTGTAATCCCAGCACTTAGGGAGGCCGAGGCGGGTGGAACATGAGATCAGGAGATTGAGACCATCCTGGCTAACACAGTGAAACCCCGTCTCTACTAAAAATGCAAAAAAATTAGCCTGGTGTGGTGGCAGGCGCTTGTAGTCCCAGCCACTCGGGAGGCTGAGGCCGGAGAATGGCGTGAACCCTGGAGGTGGAGCTTGCAGTGAAGCAGTGAGCCAAGATCGCACCACTGCACTCCAGCCTGGGCAACAGAGTGAGACTCCGTCTCAAAAAAAAAAAAAAAAAAAGGATTTCCTGTACTTTTAAAATAAGTTTTGCCCCTAGGCATATAAAAGATGTGGAAACAATATACCTTACTCATTGTAATTCCATTTTTATTCAAAACAAATACATTTTTATAAATATTCTGCTACTAAGTGATAAATGTGTATTCCTAGACCCTTAGACCACCAAACTAGAGCCAGAATATAAGCTATCAGAGTTACTCTATAAATTCTAATATAGGGGTGATGAAGCCAGCTCTTGCTACATATATTCTTTACTAAATATTTAACAGAATTGAATGTTCACTGATGTGTTAGAGTTGAAGGTGCCCCCGGCTTTTTTTTTTTTTTATTTGCAAGATATGTCCAAGTATGCATGGTTGTTTTCTATAATGTGTATGTTGAGTATATCTCTATTATCTGTGTTGGGGGTAGAACTAACTGTTTTGGGCCACTTTATTGAGTTTCTACTAGGTACTATTAAATTTTGGTTGGAATATGATCTGACTTAGGCAGTTCTACCAGACTGTTTTACATTGTGGTTCTAGAGTTGTTTGAATGAGGATGTGATGACAAAGAAGATGCTCATGCAGCGTTGGGAAACAGTTTTGTTTTTTTGTTTTTTTAAGCCCTGTTTTTGTGGGGAGATTTTTCTTAGTTATATTTGAGTACCTCAATGAATGTACACATCACAGTCCCCTTTGGTTTTTTTTCTGTGGCAGTTGATCAGTCATGTTCAGGAAAATAAAAACTGGACAGTGAAATGTAAGGTAAGAACTTTATCTGATTATGGATTCTTTTCTAATTGGCAGCAGTTAGAAAACCAGACGTCTGTCTGATACACATTTGGAGATGGAAGAAGCTATGAAAGCAAACTAATAGGTTCTCTGTAAAACAAGTAGATGGGCTCCAGGTACAATATTTGTAACTTTTACAAAAATGTCTTGGAGTAATAGCTACATTGAAATATTATGCTTTTTTCCTCTTCCCTCCTCTCATTTCTGCTCAACAAAATCCCTCTTTGCTAGCTCCCCTGGCGGTTTTCTCTTTGTTGGAGATGATAAGTGTATAAACTGTATTCTTAGTAACTTTTTATTTGTCCTGCATCTTCAGAAAATGTGATGTGTCATTCAAGATACCTTTCCCTGGATTTAGGCAAGGAAACAAACAAACCATTTTAACTTTCACAGATGATAAAATATATTTTTGGATAAAAATATATCCTGCTCGGAAATCAGTCTGTTTTCTATTCTTTGTATTTACTAAAAGGCGTCTAATCCATTTTTTCTCCTAACCCTATGACATGTATTCCCAGTGTGGGTGATCACATCCATAAATGGGCAAAAATTTGTTTGGGGAGGGGACAAAAAACCTTAGATAATGGTCCGTGGCCCTCCAAAGTCCAACCCATCCAACAAAAATCTTTATGTCTTAGTATTGCTCTCACTGAATTTTCTTAGGTGTCACACAGGCAGCTTTGACATTCAGTTAATGGAACTATATATAAAATATGTATAATATCAGTGCTACAAAACCACGGCAAATGGATGACTGTGCTTTGAAAGACTGCTTGATCTTTAAAACGTATTGTGAGAGGTGGTTTGCACATGCCTGTTGGCTGTCACTGGCACCCTTGTGGATATTTATGTTTGATCCTCAGTGCTTTTATGTATGGCCTGGGCTTGAATAATTAAATAAAATTAGTTTGTATTTTATTATTTTAATTCTAACCAAGGTTATTTACCCCATCATTAAATGTCAAATGCTAAAAAGAAAAAATGTTGACAATATCTGAATGAATCTCTAGCAGCTAGTTAAAAGTAATTTTTTCATATCAAGCAGAAGTTAAAAGTAAGCTCACCAATAATAGTTTAAGAAATTAATTGGCCAGGCACAGTGGCTCATATTTGTAATCCCAGCACTTTGGGAGGCCAAAGTGGGAGGATCACTTGAAACCAAGAGTTCAAGACTATCCTGGACAACATAGTGAGACTCTGTTTCTACAAAACAGTTTTCAAATTAGCCAGGCATGGTGGTGCATGCCTGTAGTCCTAGCTACTTGGGAAGCTAAGGCGGGAGGATTGCTTGAGCCCAGGAGTTCAAGGCTGCAGCAAGCTATGATCATGCTATTGCATTCCAGCCTGGGTGACAGAGTGAGACCCTGTCTCTGAAAAAAATTAAAAAAAAAAAAGAAATTAATTTTTTTCAAATGTTTTACTTTTGCTAGAAAATAGGATTTTTGAATGATTTTTTTAAAATTGGTTGCATTGCTTTTCTGAATTTATATGAGTTGCTAATTTACATGTGTAATTTGATACATT
Organism: Homo sapiens; assembly: GCF_000001405.40. Classification (NCBI taxonomy): domain Eukaryota; kingdom Metazoa; phylum Chordata; class Mammalia; order Primates; family Hominidae; genus Homo; species Homo sapiens. Next base: position 93,142,035 of record NC_000001.11, read on the forward strand.
ATAAAATGTTATAAATTTAAGTCAAGTAAGTTAATAGCATCCTGGATTAGTAATGTATCCTTAGTGACAGATTATAATTAGTGTTTTAATCAATAAGTGGCACTTGAATATGTTGTCATTAATATTGTAAAATGTAAGGGTTTTTTTTTGTATACAGAATTTGGGATGACAATAAGCCGATAAGAGATTTTGTGAGAGGTATCCTTGAATATTAGCTTTTTTGCTTGAGGAGACATGGAAGCTTAAGGAAATGAAGCTTGTTGGAAAGAGTTTTGGAAGGGAAAGCCTGTGGGTTCATCAAAGACTTGTGGAAGCATGGTTTTGGTTTCTGTATCCCTTTGTCACCAAGTTCCTGCCAGAATCCAAGAGCGTATTCTGTAACAGGTCTGTTGATTTTTAAAAGGTTTATTGTAATTTTGCATAACCTTCTATCTTGGATATTTTGTGTTATTTTAACTTGCTATGAATTTTCCAATGAAGAATTGTGTCATTAGAGACCCATTCTTTATAAACTATAGTTTGTTCTGTAAGCAACTTTTAAACCATCTGAAGACCAGAAACATTGAAAATACCTTTTCGTTGAAGCATTTCCTAGAAGGTATTAAATATTTCATGCTTTTAAAAACACCATTTTTATAACATACTAACCTTTCCTACCTTTCTACTGAGAGATTATGAAGATTCATTATTGTTCATTGCTATAACATGTTGTGCTACTCACGGGAATCTGGATGTAGGTGGGGGAATCTTACCCTTAACACTTAATGACTTAGGCTAGGTGGTGCTTTTATATTTTTCTGCTTTTCACATATCTTCTGTTGGAATCCCTATGTTAATAATCCATGTTTATTTATTCATAGTGCACTGAGCAGCTTTCTACTCTCCCACATAGCTTCTGAACATTATTAATTAATTTGTTACAGGCTGGAAAGAATTAAGGCTTTCTGGGACAAGTAATCACATGAATAAAGTTCAAACCTTTTACAAACCACAGTTCTGATTTTTTAGACTATGAGGGTTTGAGAGTGATTTACTTCTGAAAAAATGTAAATGGCTTAAAAATATTGTTCACCACTGGAAAGATATTTTTTTCAGTTTGTTATTCTTGCTTTCTACTTTATGAAATATAAGTGGTTGAGATATTTAGAAATGTGGCTGCTGGATAATTAAGCTGTGACTATAATGTAGGCTAGAGTAAGTTGATTATTTTGTAGCTCTCTAATTGGTCTTCACATTTCCTTAACACATGTCCAGACACAAACTGCCTGGCCAAACAGCACCGTGGTTTTCTGTCAACTGAGAGGTAGTGTAAGAGTACTGCTAGTGTTGGCTCATGTATGCTGTGTGTTGTTATGAGAAAGAAAAAACAGTGTTTTGCCTAGTAGGGACTTGCCAGATAAGAATAGTACTATTTTAGAGAACAGCAAATTGCCATGACATGGTTTTGTTTCATGTATATATTTAATAGGCATAAAAGAGGCCCAAAGGAATAGAATGGAGATGTTATTAGAGTAGCAATTCAATATTAATTCCTACTACTTTATAGGTTAAATGGATACAATAATTGATATTAGTAATTTGCTTAACTTTTTAGTCCTTTAAGTGCTGAAATTGTTTATCTACAACTAAGAATGTCAAGCTTCAAAGAATTATAATTAATTTCTAAGATAATTGTTTTACCAAATTCAAGTAATATTTATTAAATTTGATTTGTTTCATGATCTTGGGTAAATAACTAAATATGTAAAATTAAGTTACCTGTACTGGTTTGCTTTTATATGGAAGGTAGAATTTAATTGGTTTTAGTAGGGTCACTCTCTATATTTTTGAAATAATTTTCAAAAATTTGAAAATATTTTAAAACTAAGGACTTAAAAAGTACTTGAGACTTAAGTGCACTTATTTATTTATTTATTTATTTATTTATTTATTTAGAGATGGTCTCGCTCTGTCACCCAGGCCGGAGTGCAGTGGTGCGATTTCGGTTTTTACATGTGGCAACTCTTTGAATAATATTAAATATTAACCTTGGACCTACTTAGCAGTTTCTTGAAAGCAGTGTTCTCAGCCTTTAGTGTTTTTAAAGGTAGTTATATGTATATTTAATTTTCTAATTCAAGCCCTCTATGGTTAAAAGTAGCTTGGATTGGATTTTCTTTTTTCTCTTTTCTTTTTTTTTTTTTTTCGAGACAGTCTTGTTCTGTTGCTCAGGCTGGAGTGCAGTGGCACGAGCTTGGCTCACTACAACCTTCGTCTCCTGGGTTTGAGCAATTCTTGTGCCTCAGCCTCCTGAGTAACTGGGATTACAGGTGTGCACCGCCATGCCCAGCTAATATATATATATATATTTTTTTTTTTGAGATGGAGTCTTGCTTTGTTGCCCAGGGTAGAGTACAGTGGCACAACCTTGGCTCACTGCAACCTCCACCTCCTGGGTTCAAGTGCTTCTCCGGCCTCAGCCCCCTGAGTAGCTGGGATTACAGGCACCCGCCACCACACCTGGATGATTTTTTATATTTTTAGTAGAGATGGGATTTCACCATGTTGGCCAGGCTGGTCTTGAACTCCTGACCTCAGGTAATCCGCCCACCTCGGCCTCTGAAAGTGCTGGGATTACAGGCGTGAGCCACCGCACCTGGCCATTTTTTGTGTGTGTTTTTAGTAGAGACAGGGTTTTGCTGTGTTGGCCAGGCTGATCTTGAACTCCTGGCCTCAAGTGATCCACCCGCCTTGGCCTCCCAAAGCACTGGGATTACAGGCCTGAGCCACTGTGCCCAGCTTCAAGTGGTTTTAAATGTAATTTACATTTATTTTGGGACACTTTCTAAAGAACCTATATGTTGTTTGTTATAATCAAATTTTATCTGCTACTTGAAGATGCTAGTTTTCATAGAAAAGCAGAATTAACAAAACAATCATTTATATTTGGAATTTGAGGTCTACATTTTTGGTTTAAGCTCATGGCAATTATTTTTGTAATTCCTTTAGCATACTCTGACTTAAAAAAGCCCAAGCTGGATAACTTAGAAATAAAGCATAAAGGTAAAGGGAAGAACTGGATTAAATTTTTTGAGAAGGAGTCTTGCTTTGTTTCCCAGTGGAGTGCAGTGGTGTGATCTTGGCTCACTGCAACCCCAGCCTCCCTGGTTCAAGTGATTCTCCTGCCTCAGCCTCCCCAGTAGCTGGGACTACAGGCGCATGCCACCACGCCTGGTAATTTGTTTTTGTAGTTTTAGCAGTGACGGGGTTTCACCGTGTTAGCTAGGATGGTCTCAATCTCCTGACCTCGTGATCTGCCGGCCTCAGCCTCCCAAAGTGCTGGGGTTACAGGCGTCAGACACCGTGCCTGGCCTAAAATTCTTTATAGAGAATAAGCAAAATATAAGGCCGTATCTAGTATTAATGTCCAAAATGTGTAACCTCACCATTAAGAACATTAAGACATAGATTGGGCTGGGCGCTGTGGCTCACGCCTGTAATCCCAGCACTTTGGGAGGCCGAGGCAGGCGGATCACGAGGTTAGGAGATCAAGACCATCCTGGCTAACACAGTGAAACCCCGTCTCTACTAAAAAGACAAAAAAAGTAGCCTGGTGTGGTGGCAGGTGCCTGTAGTCCCAGCTACTCGGGAGGCTGAGGCAGGAGAATGGCATGAATCCGGGAGGCGGAGTTTGCAGTGAGCCGAGATCGCACCAGTGCACTCCAGCCTGGGCGACGGAGCAAGACTCCGTCTCAGAAAAAATTAAAAAAGACGTAGATTGTACTGAAAATAACCATCATAACATAGAACTTAATTAGGATCATTCTCTTTAGAAATTGCATGAATTTTAAAAATTATTGTCTAGGCCGGACTCGGTGGCTCATGCCTGTAGTCCCAGCAGTTTGGGAGGCCAAGGTGGGTGGATCACTTGAGCCCAGGAGTTTGAGACCGGCCTCGGGCAACATGGAAAACCCATCTCTACAAAAAATGCAAAAATCAGCTGGGGATGGTGGCACACGTAGTCCCAGCTACTTGGGAGGATGTAGTGGGAGGATCACTTGAGCCTGGGAGGTGGAGGCTGTAGTGTGCAGAGGCCACGCCACTGCACTCCAGCCTGGATGACAGAATGAGACTCTGTCTCAAAAAAAAAGTGTTTGTGTGTGTGTGTGTGTGTGTGTACGTACACACAGCAAGAGAGAGAGAATAGTCAATGTGGTAAAAGCTTTGGTTTAACATTTTAAAAATATACTTTTAACACAAGACATTTTAAGAGGTTGCGCTGAACAACATAAAATGAGTCACTGCTTTATAATCAAAATCCTGTTCATCATAAGTACAGGCAAAGTATGGTTTTCATTAAATAAAACTCAGAAATGTTTATTTCTTAACTTCATTATTGCTATTATTTCTAAAAAATTTTTTCTGGGGCTCTGCTATTGAGGCCTTTGTTTTAATTTCCTAGAGCTGCTACAAGTTGCCAAAAACTTGGCAGCATAAAATAGCAGCAGTTCGTCAGAGTTCTAGAGGCTAGAAGTCTAAAACTGAGTTTGTGTCAAGGTTGGTTCCTTCTGGATACTCTGAGGGAGAATCCCTTCCATGCCTGTTATTGTTTCTGGTTGCAGCTGGTAATTCTTGGACATATAAGTCCAATTTCTGCCTCCATCTTTATGAGGCATTCCCCTATTTCCAATCTTCCTCTCCTTTTCTTATAGGGCAACAGTCATTGGATTTGGGGCCCATTCTAAATGCAGGGTGATCTTATCTGGAGATATTTAATTACATGTGCAAAGACCCTGTTTCCAAATAAGGTTACGATGACAGATACTGGGAGTTAGGACTTGGATATATCTTTTTCGGGGGGACACAAGTCAACTCACTATAGTATTACAGGATTTTTTCTTTTATGCTTTAGTTTTTCTGAAAGTGGTTGAGATGTAAAATTCTGTGTGGTTGTATTAAGTGTTTATTCAAATTCAGCAATCATGTTTTGAATGCCTATGAGTTGCTGTGAAGAGATAGAGGAAAGATTAGGAGCCTGCCTCTGAGTTCTTAAATTATGGAAGATAGACATAAATAAACTAAATTTGAGTTGAAATTGATAATTACTATGGAGTATCGGTACAAAGTTCCATTGACATTTAGAGTAAGCCTAAGAAAGATACCAAGGGAAAGACTTATTGAAAGGGAATTAATTCTATTTGAATTAGGCTTTGAAGGATGATAGGATCTTAACTGGCAAAAATAGGATAGTGTATTTTATAGCATAAAATCAAGGAGGTGGAATTTGGGGGGGTGGTGGTGAAAGTATTGTTTATAGTATAATAGTACAGTCTTGGAGAGTTAGGACATAAGCGTAATTGTTAAGTAACATTTGAAAACAGTAGATGACTACAGGTATCAAAATATGTGCTGTATTGCTGGAGAAATGAGATTGATCTGGACTGCAATATTTGTTAGGTTTTACCTTGAAGGATGGGTTAGCTTGAATAGAGGCTACATAAGAGAAAATCTAGTTTCAACATGAAGGAGCAGAATAAGGCCTGGAGTCAAGAATGAGCGTGTCACTCAATATTTGAGGGCCTAGCATTTTCAAAGACATTACAGTAGTCACCTCTTGTCTGTGGATTCAAGTGTTAAGTTGCATGCCATTCTGAGTAGCGTAATGAAATCTCACACAAGAGTCATCCCCTTGTCCAGCCTATCCATGCTGTATATGCTACCTACCATTAGACACTTAATAATCTTGGTTATCCTATCAACTATTGCAGTATTGTAGTGCTTGTGTTCAGGTAACCCTTATTTTACTTTATTGTGGCCCCAAGGTATAAGTGTAGAGATGATGGCAATTGGATATGCCAAAGATAAGTCATTAAGTCATAAACTGAAAAGGTGAAAGTACTTGAGAAGAAAATTATATGCAGAGATTGGTAAGATCTAAGGTAAGAACAGATCTTCATGAAATTGTGAAGAAAAAACATTCGTGCTAGTTTTAAGATGAAAAAGGCATTAGCCCATTTATGCCTAGTGTTTTATTATTGGAACGTTAAGCTTGTGAGAGTTATTTATATCCTGCTGCTCAAGGTCATTGCCAAGGTCTGATTTTTCACAGATTTTGCAACCTCCGGTATAAATGGGTTAAATTTGTGGGTGGAAGACACGAACAGAAAGAAATGTGTTCCAGCTGACGTCAGGGTGTTGCCGCGAAAGCACTGAGCCTATACAAACATTCAGCAAGGGATCTCCTGAAATGAGTGATACCAAGCCATTTGCTGCAAATAAGGGATGGTTACACAGATTCAGGAATGGGTTTGGACTGAAGTATTTAAGAATTACTGAAGAGGCTGTGTCTGTTGATGAAGAAGCTGCTGCCTCATTTCCGGCAGAGTTGAAGTTAAGGAGCAAGGATACCATTCAAAGCAAGTCTTCAATTGCAGTGACATCAGGCTCTTCTGGGAGAAGATGCCCAATAGAACTTAGATTCATAAAAGTGCAAATGCGGCGGTATCAGGGCATACAGCATGGAAGAACAGATTAACTCTGGTACTATATGGCATTGCTGCAGGGCATATGATAAAGCGAGGTGTAGTGTATAGAGTGAAGAACCTACATGATCTCGAAAACAAAACAAAATATTATGTGTCTTGGCAACATAATCAGTGTGGGTGACAGCCATTTTTATGGAATGGTTCCACCAGTGCTTCATCCCAGAAGTGCAAAAATACTTGAAAGAGAAAGGGTTAGAATTTAAAGTATTAATAATGGACAATACATGAATCTGTCTGCTATGAAAATGAAAATGTTGAGGTGGTATTTTTACCTCCAGATAAAACCTCACTGCTTCAGTCCCTGAACAGGGCATCATTCGGTTTGTCAGGGCCACATACAACTGCCTGATATTTGAACACATTTGGTCAGCAATTGCTGCAGACCCTAATACGTATATAATGCAGTGCTGGATATCATTCACTATTGCTCATGTGATAACATTCATCAAAGCTGCAGTGGATGAATTAAAACCAGAAACAGGTAAATACCTGCTGGAAGAATGTGGAATTATATATATGATTTAAAGGCTTCCTAGGGACCCATGGCAAGTTTAAATCATGTAGCAAGACAAGACAATCCTTCACAGAACTTGTGAAGGATTTGCTGATGTGCTTGATGAAGAGCATATCAAAGGCCATCACGAAGTGTTAACAAATGAGGAATTGGAAGAAATTTTTGAGTCATCTGCAGAGGGAGAGGAAGATTAAAAAAACTGAAGCAGAATAGCCAACATAGACATTAATTAAACTTGCCGAAGTGTTTTGAATTGCACAGACATTAAACAACAGAATTATAGAATACGATCCTCAGATGAGACACAGCATTAAAGTTACCAATATGATCACCAAAGGATTACAGTCTCTGCAGCAACACTTCGATGAGCTGAAGAGTCAACAACTTCTGGTTACAGTGTTCTTCCAAAATTTTTCAGCAAAAAGACCCCAAAATAGAAATCCTTCACCTATTGAGGATCCCCAACCATCAACATTGTCTGCTCCTTAACCATCAACATTACCTTGGCTCAGTGATCCAGGATTACCCGAAGTTATTTTGATGATAATGTAGCCTAACTACATCACTTATACCTACATCAGTCACCTCATTTCATCTCTTCATGTAGGCATTGTATGACATCTCACAGCCTCACAAGGGTGAGTACAAGATATTTTGAGAGAGAGAAACCACATTTGCATAACTTTTATTACAATATATTGTTGTAATTGTTCCATTTTGTTAGCTATTGTTAATCTCTTAATGTGCCTAATTACAAATTAAACTTGATCGTAATTATGCATGCATAGGAAAAAACAGGCCGGACATGGTGGCTCACGCCTGTAATCTCAGCACTTGGGAAGTTGAGGCGGGCACATCACTTGAGCTTAGGAGTTCGAGACCAGCCTGGGCAACATGGCGAAATTAATTAGTCAGAAATATGTATATACCAACATACTAATATGTTTCAGCTATAAATACTTCTAACATTTCACATGTATATTTATGTAATCACCACAATCAAACTACAGAACTTTTCCACCACAAGGCTCCCTTTATAGCCACATTCTCCTTCCCTTCAGTCCCAAGACCTGGCAACCACGAATCTTGTTTCCCATCTCTATAGCTTTATTATTTAAGAATGTTACAAAAACAGAATCATACAGTGTGTAAAACTTTAGGATTGTCCCCCCAAACCACCCAAGCATAATTCCCTTGAGGTCCATGCAATTTGTTACATGTATCAGTAGTTTGTTCCTTCATATTACTATTTAGTATTCCATGGTGTGGACATACTAAACCATTCACTCTTTTTGAAGGACATCCAGGTTGTTTCCGGGTTTTGGCTATTATAAATGAAGGTGCTATGTAACATTTGTGAATGTTAAGTTTTAACTTCTCAGGGATAACTGTCAAGTAGTACAAATGCCAGTTATATGTTAAATGTATGTTTAGTTTTATAAGAAACTGCCAAGAATATTTTCCACAGTGGCTCTACTATTTCATATCTCACCAGCAACGTATGAGTGGTCCACTTATCCAATTTCTCTTGCATCCTAGCAAAACAACTCTAAAATTTATCATTTGGAACTGTCTTTTCTTTCTGCAATGGTATTACGTGTCCTTTTAGAATTGAAATCAAGGGTAGAAAGGTTAGATTTAGTCCAGCCTCCCATTTCATATTAGCTGTAGTAACAATCCCCTTTACAACATTTGATCATTATTGCCACTTAACACTTCCAGGATTAGGGAGTAGTATCTTTCTTTCTGAGGGAGTTTATATCAGTTTGGGTAACAGATTCTCATTGTTCATTTTACTGCTTTCCTATTTCTTCCTCATCTTCCATAAAAGGCACAATAATAAATCTAAGCTTGTTAAAACAGAAACAAAAACAACACAAGTACTAAAACGAGGGTTTTTGTTTGTAAAACTGTCAATTAGGATTTTAATTCATGGTCAGTGAAGACCTTCAGGATTTTCCCTGCCCTGCATTTTCTTGCCTTTTTCTTTCAGATGCAGGGATCCAGAGTCCATCTCCATTGTGCCCTGTCTTATGTAACATCATCCTAGCTCTAGATTCTTTAATTGGTGTCCTTTCCCCAGACGTACATTAGGTGTATGGCTCCAGGTTATGACAACAGCCTTCCAGAAGCCTTAGACACCTGAAAGTGATAGCAGTGCAGAAGCAGAAAGGTGCCTAAGGATTTCTACCAGCTTGTGGTAGAAGAGTGGCTTGTCTGGATGGTTTGAGGGAAATGACCAAATAATAACCTACCTACACCAAGCATTGTACTTTTCCTATATGCTAACAAGTTTTAAGATGTTTCTGAACAAGTTTTAAAATATTTCTGAAAATGAAATAGTCTCAAAGGAGTTTTGATTTTGCAAGATCACTTAGCAAATGATCCAAGGATAACTGACAGGATTCTATATTGTGTTGGTTGAAAATTAAGAATCCTGAGCCATATTCCAGACCTGAATAATCAATTTCTGGGGTGAGGTGGAGCAGGTAAGTTCCCTGGGTGCTTATTTAGCATACCAAACTTTAAGAACTGATTATCTTTCCTTTCATATATTTTGAGCAAAAACTGTACCTTTTAGGAACAGTGCATGTTTAGGCAACAGGTGAATAAGTACATATAGAAACAGAACTCCAATGCAAAGTAGAGTGATGTACAATAAGAGGTGTAGAGAGCTATGGGGTTTCAAAACAGGAGGAGAGAGCACATTATTAACTAAATAGAGATGAAGGAAGGCTTTCAGGAGTAGACAGCATTTACAAATGACTGGCAGTTAATTTTCTTTGATAATTTTTATTATATACATATCAGTACTCACAATACGTTGCTTATTTAAGATGGCTGTTTATAAGTATAAAGCAGTTTGAGCAACACTGATTGTGCATTATTGTACTTCAGATGAAAAATCCTTACATGTGGAATCAATGTCTTTTAAAATTTCAGATAAAGAATTTTCATTTGAGGAGACATACAATTGTAAGTGCTCATTTTTTGTCAATTTTAAGACACCATTATGTGTAAGAAGGATTAATTTTACCATAAAATTACAAACACCCTCCATGTCTTGACATTCACATGAAAGAACAGCATAACATTAATCATCCAAATGCATATCAGAGCAAACTCTAGGCCTTAGTGTGAGGTGAACACGGTAACTGCTACATTATGGAAATCGGTTGGGCCTTAGTTAAATATTGTAGTATTTTTAAAATTTGTATATTGAAAAAGACAAAATGAGCTGTTAAGTGATAAACAGCTTACTCAATTTAGCATAACTTTAATTTAGAAATGGAATAGTGAAATTAAAAAAAGCATATGAAGCAGATAAACAGTATGTCTTTAGAAATATTAAAGATTTTTACTCTGTTTACAAGTTTTGCTTTTTTGGTTATGCCTCTTAAATATCTGTCTTTTTACTTTGTCTATAAAAATAATTGTCCTTAGTATTCCTAAATTCTTTTCCAAATAAAGCAATTATCGTTTTTATATGGTAAGAAGTTACTGAATCATAGGTTTAAGATCAGTGGCACAAATCATACATGTAGAAGATTATGTAACAAATTCATTGTTAGGTAAGGAGTCAGAGAGTACAGTACAGTAACAGCCATACAGGAGAGGTAGAATTCTTAATCACAGTTTTATAGAAAAGATGCAGTAGTTTATATCTGTACCCTGCTTTATTAGTTATGGTACTGTAAATTTGCTTCTCATTGCAAATTTAACAGCGCAAAAGGGAGGGGTATTCATAGGCAAGGATCTTATTGACCTTTGTTCTGCAAGTGTTGCAGAGGATACCCCTAGACACCTGAAGCATTTTCTTGGCCAATTAAGGTAATTGATCATATACGGCATTTACCTCATTTTTAAAAACCTTGCCAGTAGGGAAATCTAAGCTGCTCTTCTCCCAGGGGCCTAAGAGGGAAATGTATCTCTTTTTATACTACTATGAGTGTAAATGAAATCACTCTCTGGTTATCATTATTGCTCATCAAGAATTCCAGCATTACTAACCTGTTGAGGGGTTCTATACCCCAAATTTTAAGTTTGTTTCTAACTCACAATGTAGTCATAAACAACGTTATAAATGGGCATAACTTAAAAATTATAGTTCATTCATGATGAAGTTAAATTACTAGTACTTGAGTAAGACCCCCATAGACTTCAAAAAGCTAGATGGCAGAAACTTTGTTGTATATATGGGTTATTCACATTTAGGTGTTTAAAACTTGGGAGTCTATGTTTCTAATCCTTACTTCAACATCAATAAATAAAGTGTTCAGAAAGGCCATTTTAATAAAAGTTGTTATAATAAAAATTTTTAATAAATATGTACACCCAGTGCTAAACCTTACAGTAGGGCTTACATTTTATAAAATGTACCTGCTTACAAAAATAATTCAAACCAGAATTCTTGTAGAAAATAAAAACCTACAGCCAAAGTTTCTTCCAGCTAACTGGAAATTAATCATCTCCTTTGATTTATGTTATGAGTAGGATGTCATGATGAGCCAGTCAGATTCTAGATATTTATTTATAGTTCTACTTAAGTGAATTTTATTTTGGATTAGGTTTTCTCAAGTTTTTCTAAATTCTTTCCTGTTTCTGATAATTCTTAGAGCTCAGAAAAGGAGATATTTATTTATGGTAGGCCCAGATCATTTTAGCAATATTTCCTTCATAACTGCTGGTAATAATGAATTATCCAAGTCAGCAATCATGTTAAAATTAACATAACATGATTATTAACTGTTGACAGATATTAACTTGACAGATACTATTAAAAATAAACTTATTTTACCTCACATTTAATTTTAAAATCCTACACTTTAGTTAAGGGTTAGAGAAAATGTGTCCCTATGGAGGAGGAAGCTTTTAAACTATATTCTTCATTTCAAAGAGAAAACATGTCCTAATTTTAGTAAGTGTAACTTTGTGTTTTTAAGAATCGTGAAAATGTCAGCTTTTGGGAATGTAAGCAAAGTACAAAGACTAATGCTTTCTGCTAATATGTTACACTGAAATGTATTTGGTTATAAAAATCTCAAAAACCTAATTGTATTTCAAAGCTATTATTCTATTTACATTATAGGAGAGATGCATATGTAAATAGAGAAAAGTTGGGCTTTTGTAGTCTAAAGATTTATTCAATCCATCATTAGGTAATTCTCAGGTGATTTATAACTTAAAACTGAAAACTTCCACAGTTAATTTGTAACTGCCGCATTTACAAAAAAGTTCTGGGTAATAGAACCTGTTAAAAACAGACTGGTGTTGCAATTAGGCCCAATACTCATTTATTTAAATCACCTAAGACATTTGCAAAATTTTTCAAAGTTAGGAAAATGCAGTTATTAATATGGCTTCATTCAGTTAAACCTATATTCTGCAAAATATTCCTGTTACACACTTAAGTACAACTGGATCAGCAGGATTACTTGCACAGAAAGTGAAGACTTAATTTTCACATTAAAATTATACCTGTTTCCTACTTTTATATCTCAAAATATTTTGGAGAAGACCATTAATGGTCTTGACTGTAACAGTTTATTGCATTTTTATGCCTCATTTTTCAATGTTACGTACTCTAGTTTGGAGTTTTAAGTTCTACTTTTCCTCTTATCTTCAAACAGACTCTTCAGCATATAAACTTGAATGGCTGACACCACCACCATGACCACTAAATTAACCATAGACCAGAAATTGACTCTATCAAAGTTGCTTTCTTGTATGTTTCGATCACGAGCTTCAAATGCTCTAAGCAGAGTTTGTATGTGCCCACTTTTGCTTAGTCTGGACTTGATGCTGTTGATGGATTCCTGGAGATAAATAAAATAATTTTATTATTAAAGAATGCTCAGAAATTTTAACTTAATTAAAAAATGAGGCTGGGTGCAGTGACTCATGCCTTGTAATCCTGGAACTTTGGGAGACTAGGGCAGGAGGACCCCTTGAACCCAGGAGTTCAAGACTGGGCTGGACAACACAGACAGACTCTGCCTCTACAAAAAGATGGGTATGGTAGCACCAAGTGTGGTCCCAGCTACTTGGGAGGCTGAGGTGGGGGGATCACTTGAGTCCAGGAGGTTGAGATTGCAATGAGCCATAATGGTGCCACTGCACTCCAGCCTGGGCAACAGAGTGAGTGAGACCCTGTCTCAAAAAAAGTTTTTTTCAAAATATGCTTTATGTTTTTTATCCAAACACAATTTTAAGTTAGATGGCTGCACAATTCAATTAAAGGGCAGGTACTATTTATATTACATTAGAGATTCTCTGTAAGGTTATATAATAGTTCTCCTGACATATTTATATTGTTTATAAGTAGTTATTTAACAAGGGAACAAAGCTACTGTGAATTGAAAATAGGTAACATGAAATTATTCTGAGTGGCATAGCATCAGGAGTTTTACGTACATTATCTCTTTCTTAGTCCTCACACAACCAAAGGAAATGACTAAGGTTTTTTTTTTTTTTTTTTTTGTCGGGGGATGGAGTTTGCCTAGGCACAATCTCGGCTCATTGCAACCTGAGACTGTGCCTGGTCAAATGATTAAGTTTTTAGAGATGGGGTCTTGCTATATTGGAGTGTAGTATCTATTTATATGTGTGACCATGGTTCACTGCAGCCTTGAACTGGGCTCAAATGATCCTCCCCCTAACCTTCTGAGTAGCTGGGATTACAGGTACCTGCTACCATGCCTGGCAAATGATTTCATTTTTAAAAACCCAATTGATATAACTTTAGGTATTTACCTATTACATAATGCATGTGTTTATAATATTTCCTTCTTTGTATGTTTATCTGAACAATTTAGTATTCAGTAAAACACCCAATGTTTTAATACCACAAAATAGTTGTGAAATTAGAAAACATTTTACTTTTCATATGCCTGCTGTATAATCAGAAGCATAATCTATTTATAATTTAAAAATTCTAACTGCACATTTATAAAACAAACTTACCAAGATGCAGTCTTATTTGCACATCTGAAGCTATTTTTATAATAGGGTCCTGGAAGATAAGTTATTTGAAAACTATAAAAGGGCTATATTAATATAAAATAAAATTAAGCTGATACTTGAGGTCAAAGTATTTATGGCAAAAATAAAATATTAGAAACAGATTTTCCTGGATAATGCAGATAAAATGCTTAGTTCAGTAACTTATTACCATAGTAAGGCCTCTGGCTGTTAATAATTTTTATTTTATTAGAAGACCATACTGACCAGGATGTCTTCCAGTTTCATATCCAATATATCTGTGCCAGTAATATATTTCTTCCAATCTTCTTGTTCTTGTGCCTGTTCTCCCATATTATCCAGGATTAATTCAAAGAAAATCACCTTCTCAGAAATGGTGCTGAATGTATTGTCAAAGCAGAACATGTAATCACCAACTTCAGTCTCTACACTGTATAAAAAAAAGTACATGTTTTAAGTTACCTGTATTTCTATTTGTGATGAAAAGCAACTAAAGGTAAAAATAAGAAGTAACAGGCTGAGTGTGTTGCCTCACACCTGTAATCCCAGCATTTTGAGAGGGCAAGGCTGGTAGATCACTTTAGCTCAGGAGTTTGAGACCAGCCTGGGTAACATGGCAAAATCCTGTCTCTACAAAAAAATAACAAAAATTAGCAGAGTGTGAGGATTGCTTGAGCCCGGAAGGTTGAAGATGCAGTGAGGCATGATCATGCCACTGCACTCCAGCCTGGGCAACAGAGCAAGATCCTGTCTCAAAAAAAAAAAAAAAAAAAAAGAAACCAACAAAACAAAAAACAAATAACATAGTTTATAGTAATTGGACAGCTTACCCATAAATTTCCTTAGTATTGAAAGATAATTTATAATTTCTTGGGAAAGAAGCAACCTGAAAATATATATGTTCAAGTACAACTTAGACATGTTTGGCATTTACTCAGTAAATTATGGTTAGTGACCTCATTTTTGGAAAAGGATAGAATTAAAAACCTGTATACATAACTCATAATAAACTTTAATATTTATACATTATTAAAAGTATTTTATCATGAGTTCAATTCATATGCAGATATGACTGCCAACCTACCCTACAACTGAGATTAAACTGAGTTTTGTTTTCAAAAGCAGTGATGGATTGTCCTAAATGTCTTCTTCCAGGCCTCTTACTGATTTTGCCTATTAACTGCCACTGGCTCCCTTATAGATGTTTATGTTTGATCCTAAATGCTTTTTTTGAGAATTAAATAAAACTAGTTTATATTTTATTATTTAATTCTATAAAGGTAATTCAGCCCATCATTAATTATGCCAAGTGCTGAAGAAAAAAATGAATAATATCTGAATTACCAGTACCCTAGTTAAAATTAGTTTCCCATATTAGCGAAAGTTAAAAGCAGGGCCAGGTGCGGTGGCTCATACCTACAATCACAGCGCTTTGGGAGTCTGAGGCAGGATTACTGTAGGCCAGGGGTTCGAGATTAGCCTGGGCAAAAGTGAGACCTTGTCTCTACAAAAATTAAAAAATTAGCCGAGTACACACCTGTAGTCCTAGCTACTCGGGAGGCTTGGTTGAGCCCAGTACTTTAGGCTGCAGTAAGCTATGGTCACACCATTGCACTCTGGCCTGGGCAACATAGTGAGACCTTGTCTTTAAAAAAGAAATTACATTTAAAAGAAAAAGAAAAAGCCTACTTAAGAAAAACCAGTGACATACTCAGATGTTTGCTGCTCTTACAAAATTAATATAGCTAAAGATAAAAGCTTTGTTTAATGTTTAAAAAACAGATTTGTAGGCCGGGCACAGTGGCTCACGCCTATAATCCCAGCACTTTGGGAGGCCGAGGCAGGCAGATCACGAGGTCAGGAGATCCAGACCATCCTGGCTAACACGGTGAAACCCCGTCTCTACTAAAAAGACAAAAAATTAGCCGGGCGTGGTGGCGGGCGCCTGTAGTCCCAGCTACTCAGGAGGCCGAGGCAGGAGAATGGCGTGAACCCAGGAGGCGGAGCTTGCAGTGAGCCGAGATCGCGCCACTGCACTCCAGCTGGGCAACAGAGTGAGACTCCGTCTCAAAAAAAAAAAAAAAAAAAAAAATTTGTAAATCTGGTATAGTGATTAATAGTGAGTTGGACTGCCTGAATGTATATCCTGGCTTTGCCGTTCACTAGCTGTGTAACCTTCAGCAACTTAATTGTTCTATGCCTCAGTTTCCCCATTGGTAAAATAATATTTACGTCATAGGACTGTGGTTAAGAATAAAAAAATTAGTACATGAAAAGTGCTGAGAACACTGGCCTGGCATATCAAAAGAATGCAATAAATGTGAACTATTATAAACTCAATTATTTTCTCCCAATTATTTAATGAGAGGTAATTCTACACAAGGAAGCAGTAAGATACTTATTTTTCTAACAGTGAATTTTATTATCTCAAAAAGGGAGCAAATAATTGGGGAGAAATAAAGACTGACATACATTTTGAACATTTTTAAAATTCTGAAACTTAAAAGATGAACTACATTTTTAGTTTTGTTTTTTTTTTTGAGATGGAGTCTCTGTCGCCAGGCTGGAGTACAGCGGCGCCATCTCAGCTCACTGCAACCTCCGCCTCCGGGGTTCAAGCAATTCTGCCTCAGCCTCCCAAGTAGCTGGGACTACAGGCGTGTGCCACCATGACCAGCTAATTTTTGTATTTTTAGTAGAGACAAGGTTTCACCATGTTGGCCAGGATGGTCTCAATTTCTTGACCTCGTGATCCACCCACCTTGGCCTCGGAAAGTGCTGGGATTATAGGCGTGAACCGCAGTGCCTGGCCCATTTTTACTTCTTATACACCTATCAAAGAGAAAACAGTTAATTCCAAGTATATCAATATAAACTGACTTTTAAAATTACTATTTCTATCTTATTTAGTAATAGCTTATGCAAATATTTTTCTGAGCTCTGCATAGGTAAAATGCCATTTAAAATGCATTTTAAATGAGTATCTTAAAAAATTATTGTTGAGACATTTTTTTCCTCTCATCCATTCATACATGTATTCAGTGTTTACTGAGTATCGATTATGTATCAGGCATTTTGGTTAACAAAGACCAATAATTTTAATAATAGCTAGTTCTTACAATAGTGTTATGTACCAGGGATGTTCTAAGCATATGGTAGAAAGCAAAGAGTTTTGGTCCATCCTGTCTCCACCCTGCATGTGTATCCCTGGAGACTTATTTGACTTCTCTGAGCCTCCTTGTCTATAAAATGGGAATCTTGAGTCAAAGACTCTATCTCATAGTGTAATGGAAAGATTAATTTAGAAGCCTATAACATGCCAACCCTTGTTTATAGCAAATACTAGATACTCCATATTTGCTCTTCTTCCTACAGACTCACAGTTTAAACATATAACAAAACTGACTTAAGAAAATGTTATAGTAAGATAATAGAATGGAACCAGGAAACATACCAGTGAGATATGAAAAGAGGGAAGTGAGGTGTCAGAAGAAGAATATATGGTCTTTTGCTGAACTCTGAACTCAAAGAGTTATAACAAGTATTTTATTTTTATATAGTTCCCTATGATCAGATCTTTTACTTTCAGGCCTTCTAATTACCTAAAACGAATGAGGTCTGAATAAAAAAAAAAAATTTACGTACACACAAAGATATACTGTCCTGTTTTAAGAAAGAAAACTATGGACAAAAATGGCATATAGCCAGCAGCTCAAGAAACTTTAAGACATATACCTGGAACAGTAGCTTTAAGTTAAAATAGAAAGCTTGTGCTGGCCAGAAGGCAGGTTTAAAATGCCACGATAGATTGAATGGAATACCAGGGGAATACTAATTTACTAACCAAAGCACAGAAAAAATTTAGCCTGGATCAAAAGAAAACGCTTAAACAAAAATAGAAAGGTTAATGGAAGATGTTTTTGTTTATCAGATGGCACACTATCATGAACTGTTTTAAATCATATGGAATTATCTAATATTGATATGTAGTATCAAATGTGCTAACTTTCCATGCCCTGCAGATAACCCACTGGTATTATTCAGCAATGAAACTCAACTAAAAGAGATTACTTACGTGTGAACTCCATCTGATTTTCTTTGTTCAAAAACTAAGGTTTTGCCTTCTGGAGAGGCAAGATGGAAATCAATATCTAATCCTGCTCCATCTAAAACCTGTAGAAAAGCATACATGAGAAAAACATATATTACAAATTCTGGAAATAAAAAATTATATACAGTAGATCATATGATGTAAAGATTATCTAAGCTAGAGAGGTAAGAAAGTCATCAGTGATGTCTGAGCTAGAAAAGAACCAAAAGATCATCTAGTTCAATTCCATTCATTTTTGGAACTTGTCCCTTCCTTACCCATTTCTCTCACCATCACCTAAATTTAGGCCTTATGGATATTACTGAAATAAATCTTCCTAAAATAGTGGTTTCATTCAGAATCCCTGTAGAATGGACGGAAACACAAAGAGCAGTTCAAATGCTGGGCGTTTTAGTTAAAACTTAGGCAATTGGCAGGGCGCGGTGGCTCACGCCTGTAATCCCAGCACTTTGGGAGGCCGAGGCAGGTGGATCATGAGGTCAGGAGTTCGAGACCAGCCTGACCAACATGGTGTAACCCTGTCTCTACTAAAAATAGAAAAATCCCAGCTACTCAGGAGGCTGAGGCGGGAGAATCGCTTGAACCCAGGAGGTGGACGTTGCAGTGAGCCGAGATTGTGCCACTGCACTCCAGCCTGGGCGACAGTGAGACTCGGTACCCCGCCCCCCCTGCCTCCCCTGCCCCCCCAAAAAAAGACTTAGGCAATTTCAGACATTGTATATAACTTTTTTGTTTCCTCTTCAATAAAAGAATAATAATTAACTGTTTCTTAGCCTGGAATTCAAGACCACCATGGTGTGGACTCCAACTGACTTCAACACATTCTTCTACTACTTCCCAGTATGAATTGTGTATTCGAAGCAGGCCGGTTCATTTACTAGCCAATGAATACAATCTATCCATTTGTAATTCCAAAATGTCCTTCTATGAAGATGATGATGATAATCATGGCAACTAACAATTATAGTTGATGCCATAAATTGTCTTAAATGCTTTATGTGGATTAATTTATTCCTTATAACAACTCTAAAAGGTAGGTCCTATTATTCTCATTTTAGTAAAAAAACAACAAAAACTGAGGCACAGAGAAATCATTTTTCCAAAGTGACACAGCATTAATTCATCTAGGCCACATTAAAAAAAATAAGTAAAAAATAAACCAAAGTGATACAGCAAATAAGTGACATGGTCAAAATTTGAACTCAGCAATCTGCCTCTAGAATAATTTTTAATAAGTATGCTGTGTTGCCTCTATTTCTGTTCCATTCTCCTGAATAGGTACTCATCCAATTGTATTCATTCTTTAAGAGCCAGTTTAACCCATTTATGCCTTGTGTTCCATTAGTGGAACACTAAGCATGTAGGAGTTATTTATATCCTACTGCTCAAGGTCATTGCCAAGGTCTCATTTTGCAATTCAAAAAATTGCAACCTCCTGCATAAATGGGTCAAGTCCTTTGAAATCTCCTCTGAATCCTCCTGTCCAGTTCTCTCACACTCTCTCTTGTATTACTACAGATTGCACACCTATCCTCTTTGGCACTTATGAGACGTTCTCTGGAATCTAA
Organism: Homo sapiens; assembly: GCF_000001405.40. NCBI lineage: Eukaryota > Metazoa > Chordata > Mammalia > Primates > Hominidae > Homo > Homo sapiens. The sequence goes on from NC_000001.11 coordinate 93,161,733, forward strand.
GCATCTTTTTGTAGGATTCACTTAGCATAAACTTGTAGGTACCTTTATGGACACCTATGTGGCATATCCAACATAGATGATAAGATGGATGAAAATTTTGTTCACTATTTTTATAACTCCAAGGGTACTGGTCCTAACAATGTTATTATCCATATTTTGATTTTTTGTCACAGATGCAAATATTTAATAAATGCATCTTTTTATCATCCTATACAAATTAAAGTGTCTCAGTGTTTTCCCTGTAGATCTGTCTGCAAACTTCTCTTCCTGTCTTCCTCTTTCCCTGCGTTTTCTCTTCTGTATTTATAGTGTTTGCTAAAATTTTAAAAAGAATCTATTTGGAACACTATATAGTACAGCCTTTTAACTGAAAAAAAAAAAAACCTAACTCAATGGCTACTCTTTTTCTTAACACTCCATTTTATTTTTCATGGTAGTTTTAATGTGATGATATAAAAAATTACCTACTCCTGTGCTTTTATTGTTCAACAGAACTGGTTTCAAATGGCTGGCTAAATGTACATAATTTTCTTCTTTAAATCCCAATGAAATGAAGAAGACATGTAACAATTAAAATCTATAGGCTGGGTGCGGTGGCTCATGCCTGTAATCCCAGCACTTTGGGAGGCCGAGGCGGGTGGTTCACTTGAGGTCAGGAGTTTGAGACCAGCCTGGCCAACATGGCAAAACCCCATCTCTACTAAAAATAAAAAAATGAGCCAGCCATGGTGGCACACACCTGTAATCCCAGCTACTTGGGAAGCCGAGGCAGGAGAACTGCTTGAACCCAGGAGGCGGAGGTTGCAGTGAGCAGAGATCATGCCACCGTACTTCAGCCTGGGCAAAAGAATGAGTGAGACTCCACGTCAAACAAAAACAAAAAACCCACAAAGAAGAAAAATTCCTGTTTCAAAAGATGAAAATCTTCAGACAGAAAGGATCTAATAAATGTGAAGCAGGATAAATGAAAAAAGACCATAAAATATGGAGTTTTCCAAAGGATTTAAAAAGTACAATCTTCTATCAAAGAGAAGTAGCAGAAGTAGTAGAGAACTGCAAAATACAAGAATTGGGATTAGCATCAGAATTCTTACATATAACATTAGATGGAAAAAAATAATGGAGCCATGTAGTCAATGTTCCCAAGTAAAAAGATATTTACTGACATGAAAGCAAAAATAAAGCCATTTGCCAGGTGTGGTAGCATGCACTGGTATTCCCAGCTACTTGGGAGACTGAGGTGGGAGGACCACTTGAGGCTAGGCGTTAAAGCCTGTAGTGTTCTATGAAAGTGCCTGTGAGTAGTCACTGCACTCCAGCCTGGGCAATACAGTGAAAACCCATCTCTAAAATAAAATTTTAAAATAAATAAATAAAGTTATTTTCAGATATCCAAGGACTCAAAACATTCTCAAAGAATTACTCAAGGATACCCTCCAAAAACAAAAAATATATATATTAAATCAGAAAACAAGCAATGTAACAAAGCTAAGAAAAGATTTCAGTAAAACAAAGTTAAAAAGCAGTTATTGGTAGTGGCTGTCAGGCTTAATGAAATTGTGAAAAATGATTTTTAAGACTATGGAAGGTTAATTAAAAAATCATAAAATATACTTTTTTTTTTTTTTTTGAGACACAGTCTCGCTTTGTTGCCCAGGCTGGAGTGTAGTGGCGCGATCTCAGCTCACTGTAACCTCTGGCTCTCAGGTTCAAATGATTCTCCCGCCTCAGTGTCCTGAGTAGCTGAGATTATAGGCATGCGCCACCATGCCCGGCTATTTTTGTATTTTGTAGAGATGGGGTTTCACCATGTTGGCCAAGCTGGTCTCGGAACTCCTGACCTCAAGTGATCCGCCCATCTCAGCCTTCCAAAGTGCTGGGATTACAGGTGTGAGCCACTGTGCCTGGCCATAAAATACACTTTAAAAATACAAAATAAATACTAAAAATGCCACAATCTGGGCCAGGCATGGTGGCTTACTCCCGTAGTCCCAGCACTTTGGGAGGCTGAGGTGGGTGGATCACTTGAGGTGAGGGGTTCAAGACCAGCCTGGGCAAGATGGTGAAACCCTGTCTCTAATAAAAAAAAAAAATACAAAAATTAGCTGGACATGGTGATGCACGCCTGTAATCTCAGGTACCTGGGAGGTTGAGGCAGGAGAATTGCTTGAGCCCGGGAGGCAGAGTTGCAGTGAGCTGGGATCATGCCACTGCACTCCAGTCTGTGCCACAGAGTGAGACTCCATCTCAAAAAAAAAAAAAAAAGCCATAATCTGGAACAAAAATTCCAGTTGATTTCAATGGAACATGATGGGGATAATAGTAAAACTGTTAAAAGTTAGGTTAAAAGGAAACATAGACATTAATTTTGATGCTGACAAATGGGTACTTAAACATTAAATAGAGGGACATCTAATTTGGCAATATACAGATAACCGAAAAGCCCTCCCAGTATAAAACTCCCTGGAAATGCTGGATTATATTTTGAAAACAATCTTTCCAACTACATAGCAAGGGCAAAGAAAAAAAAGACATGAAAACTAGAGTGGTAAATGGAAGTTTGTGAAGGGGGTTAACTTGTCACAGTTACCTGGGAGCTTGAGATTTAATATCCCCATGAGGACAGGTCATGAAGCTTTGGGGCTGAATTATGTAAGGGGCAGGAACTAAGAACTATGCATAAAGCTAGGATCTTTGAAGGGTCATACCATCAGTAAAAGGGTTAATTTTTTTAAAAAGTCCACCAGTACATAGAGATCACAAGAAAGCTTGTCCGTCTTGGCCTCAAGTCATATGTGAAAAAAACAATATAAGTTCACCAGGTAATTCATCTATAAGCTTACACATCAAGCAAATTTGTAGTTCACAGTTTCACTACCCACGTGTTCAGAGACTCAAGCAGAGAACAATATAAAATGTAGTCCTCCATCGTGGAATGCCTGGGAGGAGGAAATGCAAAAACCTTTCTGGAGGGTCATATCCTCAACCTAGGGCACACACGATTCACATAGGATATAGCCCCATTGGGTATGGGTTTGATGGGTAGCTTCTGACATGGCTCTCAATGATCCCTGCCTTTCTGATATTCATACACTTGTGTAATAAATACAACATGGCAAATGTGATGGGATGTTGCTTTCATAATCAGGTTACTAAAGATTGTAACTTCCGTCTTGCTAGCTTGTCCTCTCTTGCTGGCACTTTCTCTTGCCCTCTTACTTGCTCTGATGAAGCAAAGCTTCCATGTTGTAAAATGCGTTACAGAGAGGCTCACATGGCAAGAAACAAGGAAGGCCTCTGGCCAACAGCTTGTAGGGAACAGAAGCCTAAGTCCAACAACTAGTAAGGAATTGAATCCTGTCAACAACCATGAGTGAGTTTGGATCCTTCCCAATTGAGCCTAAGATGACTGCAGCCCTGTGAGAGATCCAGAGTAGAAGACCCAGTTAAGCAGTGACCAGATTTTCCTGACTGGCAGAAACTAAAGCTAGTAAATATTTTAAGCCAGTAAATTTTGTGGTTGATTAGTTTTTTATCAATAGATAACTAATGGATCTACATAAGAAAGGAGAGCATCAGGAAAGGAATAAATGAAGAGAAAACAATCTTTTATTTTTTTAATCTAATAAATAGATCATTGTTCAAAGTAATAATAGCAACAATGTATTCAGTGATTACAACATGTGGATAAGTGAAATGAATGACAACTATAAAGGATGGCAGAGAGGAACTGGGAATACTCAGTTATAATGTACCTGTACTACCCATGAAAGTGGACTTGGATTAGTTGTAAGTGTATATTGCAAATCTAGGGCAAATTTTTTTAAAATTTTAATTTGTGTGGGTAAATAGTAGGTGTACATATGTATGGGGTACATGAGATGTTTTGATATAGGCATGCAATGCATATTAACCACATAGTGTAAAATTGGGTATCCATCCCCTCAAGCATTTATCCTTTGTGTTACAAATAATCCAGTTATACTCTTTTAGTTATTTTAAAATGTACATTTATGCTACAACAAAAGTGCCTTACAAAGCAAAAATATTTTAAAAAGAACAATTAAGTTATGATTGACTATAGTCAACTGTTGTGTTATCAAATAGTAGGTCTTATTCATTTTTGTTCTTTTTGTACCCAATAACCATCTCCACACCTTCCCCTCCACCCCCCAGCCTCCCACTACTCTTCCCAGCCTTTGTTAACCATCCTTCTACTCTCTATCTCCATAAGTTCAATTGCTTTCATTTTTAGCTCCCACAAATAAGTGAGAACGTGATATTTGTCTTTCTGTGCCTGGCTTATTTCACTTAGCATAATGACCTCCAGTTCCATCCATGTTGCAGCAAATGACAAGATCTCATTCTTCTTTATGGCTGAATAGTACTCCATTGTGTATAAGCACCACATTTTCTTTATCCATTCATCTGTTGATGAACACTTTAGGTTGCTTCCAAATTTTGGCTGTTGTGAACAGTGCTTCAACAAACATGGGAGTGCAGGTATCTCTTTGACATACTGATTTTCTTTCTTTTGGGTATATACCCAGTGGTGGGATTGCTGGACTATATGGTAGCTGTATTTTTAGTTTTTTGAGGAACCTCCAAACTGTTCTCCATAGTGGTTGTACTAATCTACATTCCCACCAACAGTGTATGAGGGTTCCCTTTTCTCCACATTCTTGCCAGCATTTGTTATTACCTGTCTTTTGGATATAACCCATTTTAACTGGGGTGAGATGATCTCATTACAGCTTTGATTCACATTTCTCTGATGATCAATGATGTTGAGCACATTTTCATATGCCTATATGCTATTTGTATGTCTTCTTTTGAGAAATGTCTATTCAAATCTTTTGCCTATTTTTAAATTAGATTAGATTTTTTTTCCTGTATAGTTGTTCGAGTTCCTTATATATTCTGGTTATTTATCCCTTGTCAGATGGGTAGTTTGCAAATATTTTCTCTCATTCTTGGGTTGGCTCTTCCCGTTGTTAACTGTTTCCTTTGCTGAGCAGAAGCTTTTTAGCTTGATGTGATCTCATTGGTCCATTTTTGCTTTTGTTGCCTGTGCTTGTGAGGTATTACTCAAGAAATCTTTGCCCAGACCAATGTCCTGGAGAGTTATCCTAATGTTTTCTGGTAGTAGTTTCATAGTTTGAGGTCTTAGATTTAAGTCTTTAATCCATTTTAATTTGATTTTTGTATACAGTGAGAGGTAGAGATCTAGTTTCATTCTCCTGCATATGGATATCCAGTTTTCCCGGGACCATTTATTGAAGAGACTCTTTTCCTCAGTGTATGTTCTTGGCACCTATGTCAAAAATGAGTTCACTGTAAGTGTATAGGTTTGTTTCTAGGTTCTCTATTATGTTACATTGGTCTATGTGTCTGTTTTTTTGCAAGCACCATGCCATTTTGGTTACTATATCTCTGTAGTATAATTTGAAGTTAGGTCATGTGATTCCTCCAGTTTTGTTTTGTTTTGCTTAGGATATTTCTGGGCTATTCTGGGTCTTTTGTGGTTCCATATACATTTTTAAATTGTTTTTTCTATTTCTGGGAAGAATGCCAAAGGTATTCTAATAGGAATTGCACTGAATCTGTAGATTGCTTTGGGTAGTATGGACATTTTAACAATATTGATTTTTCCAATCCATGAACATGGAATATCTTTCCATTTTTGGTGTCCTTTTCAATTTCTTTCATCAATGTTTTATAGTTTTCATTGTAGCGATCTTTCATTTTTTCGGCTAATTCTTTTTTAATTTTACTTGTGGCTACTGTAAATGAGATTACTTTTTAAATGTCTTTTTCAGATTGTTCACTGTTGGCATACAGAAATGCTATTGATTTTTGTATGTTGATTTTATATCCTGCAACTTCACTATATTTGTTTATCAGTTCTAATAGCTTTTTTTATGGAGTCTTTAGACTTTTCCAAATATAAGATATATCATTTGCAAAGAAGGATAATTTGACTTCTTCCTTTCCAAATTGGATGCCCTTTATTTGTTTCTCTTCTCTGACTGCTGTAGCTAGGACTTCCAGTACTATGTTGAATGACCGTGGTGAAAGTGTGCATCTTTGTTGTGTTCCAGATCTCAGAGGAAAGGCTATCAGTTTTTCCCCATTCAGAAGATACTAGCTGTAGGCCTGTCATCTATGGGTTTTATTATGTTGAGGTATGTTTCTTCTATACCCAGTGTTTTGAGGGTTTTTATTATGAAGAGATGTTGAATTTTATCAAATATTTTTTCAGCATCAATTGAAATGATTATATGGGTTTTGTCCTTCATTCTGTTGATATGATGTATCATATCATTCTACTGATTGATTTGAGAATGCTGAACCATCCTTGCATCCCAGGGACAAATTCCATTTCAACCACAAAACTTTTAAAAAATAAGTATAATTGATATGTTGAGAAGAGAGAAAGTAGAATTATATAAAATGTTCAGTAAAAACCAGAGAAGGCAGAAAAGGGGGGAAAGATGTAAAAAGAAGAACAAGTACAATGAATAGAAAGGAGTTATAAACATGGCAATATTAATCCAACAATATCAGTAAGTACATTGTGAATGGTCTAAATATGCCAATTAAAAGAACTGCTAGAGTGGATGACAATACAAGATTAACCATATGCTGTCCACAAGAAACCAACTTTAAATATAAAGACACAGATAGATTTAAAGTAAATGGATGCAGAAAGATATACCGTGTTAACACTAATCAAAAGAAATCTGAAGTAGCTATATTAATGTCAGAGAAAGACGACTTCAGAATAAGGAAAATCTTCAGGGATAAAGAGGGGCATTACTGGCTGGGCATGGTGGCTCACGCCTGTAATCCCAGCACTTTGGGAGGCTGAGGCAGGCGGATCACGAGGTCAGGAGATTGAGACCATCCTGGCTAACATGGTGAAACACCATCTCTGCTAAAAATACAAAAAATGAGCTGGGCATGGTGGCACGTGCCTGTAGTCCCAGCTACTTGGGAGGCTGAGGCAGGAGAATCTCTTGAATCTGGGAGGTGGAGGTTGCAGTGAGCTGAGATGGCACCACTGCACTAGAGCCTGGGCGACAGAGCGAGCAAGACTCTGTCTCAAAAAGAAAAGGGGCGGGCGGGCATTACCTATAATAAATGGTCAACTTTCCAGGAAGACATACCAATGCTTATGTGTATACACCTAACAACAATGTATCAAAATATGTGAGGCAAAAACTGAAAGAGCCACAAGAAGAAACAGAAAATCATTACTATAGCTGGAGACTGCGACATCCCTCTATCAGTAATTGACCAAGCCAAGAGGCAAAAAATCAGTAAGGATATAGTTGAACTGAACAGCACCATCAATCAAATGTGTCTAATTGAATCTTGAGAACTAATCAATCCAATGATGGCAGAATAACATTCTTCTCAAGCTCATATGGAACATTCACCAACACAGACCACATTCTGGGCCATAAAACACACCTTGATTTGTGCTGTCAGACCACAGTGGAATTAAGGTAGAAATCAGTAACACAAAAATAGCTGTAAAATTCCCAACTATTTGGAGATTAAACCACACATTTATAAAGAACTCATGGGACAAAGAAGTCTCAAGATAAAATTTTTTTTAACTTCAATGAAATGAAAATACAACCTAACAAAAATTTGTGGGATACAGAGAAATCAGTGCCTAGAGGGAAATTTATAACATTGGATGAACTTATTAGAAAAGAAGAAAGATGTAAAATCAATAATGTAGACATCCACCTTAGGAAGCCAGAGAAAGAACAGTAATACAAACCTAAAACAACCAGAAGAAAAACATTAGAGCAGAAATCAAGAAAATTGATAACAAGAAATCAACGCAGAAAAAAAAAAATCAATGAAGCAAAAAACTGGTTTTTTAAAAAGATCAATAAAACTAACAAACCTCTAGTCAGGCAAACCAAGAAAAAAAAGAGAAAAGACACAGAACACTAATATCAGAAATAAAAGCTGGGTCATCATTAATTATCTATGGACATTAAAAAGATAATAATGGCCAGGCGTGGTGGCCAATGCCTGTAATCTCAGCACTTTGGGAGGCTGAGATGGGAGGATCACTTGAAGCCAGGAGTTTGAGACTAGCCTAGGCAGCAAAGTGAGACCCTGTCTGTACACACACACACACACACACACACACACACACACACAAAATTAGGCAGGCATGGTGGTGCATGCCTCCCTAGCTACTTGGGAGGCTGAGGTGAGAGGATCACTTGAGCCCAGAAGTTCAAGGCTGCTGTGAGGTATGATCGTGCCACTGAACTCCAGCCTGGGTGATGGCAAGACTCCATCTTAAAAAATATAAATAAAAGGATAATAGTGGTGAGAGGTGACAGCATGCTGGCAGCCCTGGCTCGCTCTCAGCGCCTCCTTGGCCTTGGCGCCCACTCTGGCCACGCCTGAGGAGCCCTTCAGCCCGCCGCTGCACTGTGGGAGCCCCTTTCTGGGCTGGCCAAGGCCGCAGCCGGCTCCCTCAGCTTGCCGGGAGGTGTGGAGGGAGAGGCGCGGGTGGGAACTGGGGCTGCGCGTGATGCTTGCGGGCCAGCTCGAGTTCCGGGTGGGCGTGGGCTCCGCGGCCCCGCACTGGGAGCGGCCGGCCGGCCTGCAAGCCCTGGGCAGTGAGAAGCTTAGCACCTGGGCCAGCAGCTGCTGTGCTCGATTTCTCGCAGGACCTTAGCTGCCTCCCCGCGGGGCAGGGCTTGGGACCTGCAGCCCGCCATGCCTGAGCCTCCCCTCAGCCCCCCACTGTGGGCTCCTGCGCGGCCCAAGCCTCCCCGAAGAGCGCCACTCCCTGCTCCACGGCACCCAGTCCCATCAACCGCCCAAGGGCTGAGGAGTGCAGGCGCACGGCATGGGACTGGCAGGCAGCTCCACCTGCGGCCCAGGTGCGGGATCCACTGGGTGAAGCCAGCTGGGGTCCTGAGTCTGGTGGGGACTTGGAGAATCTTTATGTCTAGCTAAGGGATTTTAAATACACCAATCAGCACTCTGTGTCTAGCTCAGGGTTTGTAAATACACCAATCCACACTCTCTGTATCTAGCTAATCTAGTGGAAAACTTTTGTTGTCTAGCTCAGGGATTGTAAACACATCAATCAGCACCCTGTCAAAACAGACCAATCAGCTCTCTGTAAAACAGACCAATCAGCTCTCTGTAAAATGGACCAATCAGCGAAATGTGGGTGGGGCCAGATAAGAGAATTAAAGCAGGCTGCCTCAGCCAGCAGTGGCAACCTGCTGGGGTCCCCTTGTACACTGTGGAAGCTTTGTTCTCTTGCTCTTTGCAATAAATCTTGCTGCTGCTCACTCTTTGGGTTCACACTGCCTTTATGAGCTGTAACACTCACCACGAAGGTCTGCAGCTTCACTCCTGAAGCCAGCGAGACCACAAACCCACCAGGAGGAACGAACAACTCCAGACACGCCACCTTAAGAGCTGTAACTCTCACTGCAAAGGTCTGCAGCTTCACTCCTGAGCCAGCGAGACCACAAACCCACCAGAAGGAAGAAACTCCGAACACATCCGAACATCAGAAGGAACAAACTCCGGACACGCTGCCTTTAAGAACTGTAACACTCACCGCGAGGGTCCGCGGCTTCATTCTTGAAGTCAGTGAGACCAAGAACCCGCCAATTCCGGACACAGTGGAACATTATTAATAAATCTATACCCACAAATTTGAAAACTTAGATGAAACAGGCCAATTCCTTGAAAGATATAAAGTACCAAAACTCATACAAGAAATAGATAACCTGAATAGGCCTGTATCTGTTACAGAAATTATACTGATAATTAATAACCTCCCCCAAAAGAAAGGACCAGGACCAGACAGTTTCAATGGTGAATCCTACCAAACATTTATGGACAAAATGAAACCAATTCTCTAAAATCTCTTACAGACAATAAAGGCTGAGGGAACAATTCTTTACTCATTCTGTGAGGCCAACATTACCCTAATTCTAAAACCAGAAAAGACATTACAAGAAATGGAAACTACATACCAGTATCTCTTAGGAACACAGATGCAAAAATCTTCAACAAAATATTAGCAAAGCTGATTCGACAATGTAAACAAAGAATTACAACCATGACCAGATGGATTTGTTCCAAGTATATAAGCCTGGCTCAACATTCATGAATTATTTTGTGTAATTCATCACATCAACAGGCTAAGGAAGAAAACTCAGATGATCACAGCAATGGGTATGGAAAACATATTTGATAAAATCCAATATCAATCCATGATATTTAATATTAAAAAAATCTTAGCAAACTAGGAATAGAGGGGAACTTCCTCAACTTAAGAACATTTACAAAAATCCTACAGCTAAGATCACACTTAATGGCGAGAAACTAGAAGCTTTCTCACTAAAATCAGAAACAAGACAAAGATGCTACTCCCTCATTACTCCTACTCAGCACTATACTGGAAGCTCGAGCTAATGTAATACAACAAGAAAGGGAAAGAAAAGACATACCTATTGGAAAAGAAGAAATAAAACTGTCCTTGTGATAGTCCATGTAGAAATCCTAAAGAACTGCCAAAAAAAAACCCGTCCCGGAACTAATAAGTGATGATAGCCAAGTCTCAGTATACAATATTAACATACAATAGTCAACTGCTTTCCTATACACCAGCAACAAGCAACTGGAGTTGGGAATAAAAAATACAATACCATTTACGTTAGCACTAAAAGAAAAAAAAAGAAAAAAAGAATTAGGTACAAATCTACCAAAATATGTACAAGATCTATAATCCCAGTAATCCCAGCTACTCAGGAGGCTGAGATGGGAGGATCCTGAGCCCAGGAGTTTGAGACCAGCGGAGTTACACAGCAAGACCTCATCTCAAAAAAGAAAAAACAAATTAGTACATTGTTGGTGGGAATGTAAATTAGTACAGCCCTATGGAAAACAATATGGTGGTTCCTCAAAAAACCACAAATACAACTACCATATCATCTAGTAATCTCACTTCTGGTATACATCCAAAGGAACTGAAATCAGTATGTAAAAGAGATATCTGCACTCCCATATTCATTGAAGCATTATTCACAATAGTCAAGACATAGAAACAACCTAAGTGTCCATTAATGAATGAATAAAGAAAATGTGGTATAGATACACAATGGAATACTGGAGGACATTACACTAAGTGAAATAAGCCAGGGACAGAAAGACAAATACTGCATTATCTCATATGTGGAATTCCTAGAATTCCATACAGTTCCATTCCTAAAAGTGGAGAGTAGAACGATGGTTACCAGAAGCTGGGGGTGGGGGACTTGGGGAGAGAGGGAATAGGGAGCTGTTGATCACAGAGTACAAAGTTTCTGATAGACAGAAGGAATAGGTTTTGAGATCTATTGCACAGGAAGGTGACTATGGTCAATAATAATGTATATTTCAAAATAACTGAGACTGAATTTCAAATAGCTCATCATAAAAAATTATAGGCAAGGCAATGTTAATTAGCCTGATTTAATCATTACATGTTGTATATATGTATCAAAACATCACGCTATACCGCATAAATGTATACAATTATAATTTGCCAATCAAAAATAATACTGATAATAAATTTTTAAAGCTAATGATGTAGAAGATAGAGCTGAAGAAATTATCCATAAAATAGGAGAGTGAGACAAAGAGAGAAATTATGAGAGATTAAGAAGCTTGGATGATCCACTTAAACTGCAGTGAAAATGCAGAAGCAGAAAATTTAAAAAGCTACAAGAGAAAATAGAGATGAACTACAAATATATAACAAACTGACAGGAAGCTTCAACAGCTATAATCGAAGTCAGAAGACAATAAAATACTAGTTTTGATGCATTTAGGAAAAATATCTGTCAGTGAAGAATTCTTTAAGTAATTCAATTCTTTAAGAAAAGTCAAGAGAGCAGAGCCGTAAGAACCAGAGGAAAACAAATTAAGCCTGAAATCAGTCCTATTCAGACTTCCAGTTATATGAACCAATAGACTTCCTTATTAAAAACTGATTTGGTTTGTTTACCTATTGGTAAAAACTTTGTAAGGACTTAAAGACCATGACATTTTAATTAAATAATCATATGTGTTTCACCCCATCAAACCCTATATGTTTTTATGAGTATGGGAAAAGGTGTGGAAGAGTTCACATCTAGGAGAATGACAACAGGCATTCAATAGAGTTACAAAGAGGTTTTTTTTTGTTTTTTTTTTGAGATGGAGTCTCACTCTGTCACCCAGGCTGGAGTGCAGCAGCACGATCTCGGCTCACTGCAATCTCTGCTTTCCGGGTTCAAGTGATTCTCCTGCCTCAGCCTCCCGAGTAGCTGGGACTACAGGCGCGCACCACTGCGCCCAGCTAATTTTTGTTTTTTGTTTTTTCTTTTTTTTTAAGAGATGGTGTTTCACCATGTTGGTCAGGCTGGTCTCCAACTCCTGACCTCGTGATCCACCCACTTTGGCCTCCCAAAATGCTGGGATTACAGGTGTGAGCCACCGCACCCAGCTTTTTTTGCTTTTACATCTTTGTATTGTTTGACTTACTCTAAGGAGGTTGTATATTACTTTTATAATTGGAAGTAAAAAAATTCATAAAGGAGACAGGTGTGGTGGCATGTGCCTGTAGTCCCAGCTACCCAGGAGGCTGGTTGAAGTGGGAGTATCACTTGTGCCCAAATTCAAATTCAGCCTAGGCAACATAGTGAGACCCCATATCTCTCTTTTTTTTAACTTTTATTTTAGGCTTGGGGATACATGTGAAGGTTACATAGGTAAACGTGTTAAAAACCACAATTATTTTTGCACCAACTTAGTATTTCATCACCCAGATATAAAGCCCAGTACCCAATAGTTAACTTTTCTGTGCCTCTCTGTCCTTCCACCCTCCCTCCTCAAGTAAATCCCAGTGTCTGTTGTTTCCGTCTTTGTGTTCATAAGTTCTTACCATTTAGCTCTCACTTCTAAGTGAGAACACGTGGTATTTAGTTTTCTGTTTCTGTGTTAGTTTGCTAAGGATAATAGCCTCCAGCTCAACCCATATTCCCACAAAAGACATGATCTCATTCTTTTTTATGGCTGCATAGTATTTCATGGTGTATATGTACCACATTTTCTTTATCCAAACTGTCATTGCTGGGCATTTAGTTGATTCCATGTCTTTGCTATTGTGAATAGTGTTGCACTGAACATTCGCATGCATGTGTCTTTATGGTAGAATGATTTATATTCCTCTGGGTGTGTACCCAGTAATGGGATTGCTGGAGACCCTATCTCTTAAAAAAAAAAAAAAAGTATATATACACACACACAGACTCACATAAAACCCAAATATATATATTAAATTATTAAATATATTATTCTCCCCAAAACCCAGCCATTTATATATATATATTTATATAATACTTAAAAGCCATTTATATATATATATATATATATATATAAATGGACCTCAAAGGTATCTTTCACTCTTCTTCCTTAGTATCTTGGCACATGTTGTGCCTTCTAATCCATTGTCTTGTTCCACTTACTCCCTTATGCCTATATATATATATATATACACACACACACACACACACACACATATATGGCTTTTGAGTTTTTGTTTTTTTATATACATATTTATATATACATATACATTTATATGTATATGAATATATTATATATTTTGTATATGTATAAAATGTGTGTATATATAATAGATATGTGTGTGTATGTATATAAAACAAAAAATAATAAATACTCAAAAGACATTTTTTCCCAAAGATCAATAAAGTAGTCCTATCTACTTTATACATGTAATATTAGGCATGTATACCTGTAGATAAAATGGAAATAGGAGATATTCCAAATGGCATCAGGTATATTATACAAGTAAATTTTAAAAATTAGATGAAATGGCCAGTTTACCAGAAAATATTGAAATTTGGCTCTATACAAAAATGAAAGACTAATAAAAATTTTTAAAAATTGATATAGCTATATTCTCCCAAAAACTCACCCAGATAGTTTTACATGTTTGGTAAACGTCTGGTTCACTCATTCAATAGATACTTTTTAGTGCCTATTATGCCCTTAAAAAAGTATTGTTGTTCTAGGCTCAGGGTTTATTTTCTAGCTAACATTTTTTGAGTGCTTATTTGGTGCTAGATACCATTCCTTTTACATGTATTAGCATATTTATTCTTCACAATAATATATAGTGGGGAGCAGGTGATTACTGTTAAAGTATAGAAACTGGTACAGAGAGGCTCAATACCTTGTGGCCAAAACGATCTTTTAAAAAACACAGATCGAGTTAACCTGCTTATAACTATTCAGTGGCGTATTACTGGTCTCTGCAAAAGACCCATATCCTTAACAAGGACCTAAAAGCCCACAATGATTTGGTTGCTGTTGCTACTGACTTCTCTAAAGTAGACTTGTACCACTTTTCTCTCTCTGTATCCTATCTTTCAGGACCTCAAAGGTATCTTTCTCTCTTCTTCCTTAGTATCTTGGCACGTTGTTGTTCTTTTTTACCCATTGTCTCGTACCACTCATTCCATTATGCCTAGTGAAAGTCTGATAATTCTGTAGATCTTAACTCTACTTCTGGATGTCTTTCAATTTCCAGATAAAATGAAGTCCTCCTACTGAGCCCACTCATAGTCTTATGAACTTACCTTCATTACCCCTAGTAAATATTTTGACATGTATTTGTGTAATAATTTGATTAATTAATACTTGATTGTATGAGGGCACAGACTATACACACACACACACACACAAACATATATATATATATTTTTTTGAGGCAGGGTCTCGCTCTTGTCACCGAGGCTGGAGTACAGTGGTGTGATCACAGCTCACCATAGCCTCAACCTCCTGGGCTCAAGTGATCCTCCCACCTCAGCCTCCCAAGTAGCTGGAACCACAAGTGTGTGCTACCATGCCTGGCTAACTTTATTTTTGGTAGAGATGGGGTCTTGCTATGTTGTCCAGGCTGGTGTGAAACGCCTGTGCTTGAGTGATCCTCCCACCTTGGCCTCCCAAACTGTTGGGATTACAGGTGTGAGCCACTGCACCTAGCTGATATTTTCACTCACCATTGTATCCCTAGCAACTTGGATAGTGCTGACACATATCAAGCACGCAAGAATGACTTAAATTTCTAAATGGATTATCTATTTTAGTCATAAGATACATGAATTGGCATTAAAGTTTTCAAGAACCTCTATCAATATAATGTGAGGCTAGTCAATTATCCAAAAAGTATTCTCCTAAAACCTAAAAAGTAAGAAATTAGTAAAATTTTCAATAAGTAACCAAGGACAAAACTAGATTGTTCTATAAAATTTTAAAAACTAACTTTAAGACAAAAATTAGTAGGATGTAGTTACTGGGAAATTAAACAAGTTGGGAAATACAAACAGGGTGGAAGATGATAGTTACCCTACACATCTCACCAACACTGTCTAGGATTACAGACAAATGATTTTACCTCTTTCCTTAATCAAAACAAATTGTTTAGGGAGAATGTTTTAAAGGAATAGTCCCAGCCGGGCGCGGTGGCTCACACCTATAATCCCAGCACTTTGGAGGCTGAGGCTGGCAGATCACTTGAGATCAGGAGTTTGGGACCAGTCTGGCCAACATAGTGAAACCCCGTCTCTACTAAAAATACAAAAATTAGCTGGGTGTGGTGGCACATGCCTGTAATCCAGCTACTCGGGAAGCTGAGGCGGGAGAATCACTTGAACTCGGGAGATGAAGGTTGCTGTGGGCCAAGGTCGCGCCACTGCACTCCAGCCTGGGTAACAGAGTGACAGAGGGAGACTCTGTCTCAAAAAAAAAAAAAAAAAAAAAAAAAAAGGAACAGTCCCTTTAAGAGTGACTAAAGATGTAAAGAATAAAGCTAAACCAAGCCAGCTACATAACTATAGAGGTATAAATGTAAAATTAACATTCATTGATTATTTACTATGTGTCAGGGATGATCTATGAGCATTTTTTAATAGACTACTTTACACTGAATATGAGCATTTATTAACTCATGCTTTTTCAAATCAACTCTATGATGTAGTTACAATTATTATCTCTATTTTACAAGTGAGAAGATCACATAAGTTTTAAGTAGGCAGAGTCAAGATTTGAACCCAGGCTAAGGTTAAGAGCTGGTGCTCTTAACTATAAGAGGACAGTAGTTAAAATAGATATCTTCCCTAATATGTGTGTAAATACTGAAGATTTTTTTATTAATACAAATTGTTTTCTTATCTAGACTATTTCACTAGCCCTCTAGTTAGTTTCCTTGACTCTAATTTTGCTCTCCTTAAATCCATTTTCCACACTGCATCCAGTGATCTGCTTAAATCTTAAATGGACTTGTACAAAATTAAGGAAAACCTACTCAGCACGGCAAACAAGGCTATGATTCATGCTTAATGACCCCAGCCTTCTGGCCTCTCCGATGTCCTTTTCTGCTACTCCCACCCTAGACTTTATATGTCTTAAAGTCTAATACAAACTCAGTACTTGTAGTGTCCACTACACACTAACCATCCCCACTTACACTATGTATTTTAAGAACTATGGATCTTTTTGTTCGCTTTTCTGAAATGCCCCTTGTTCCTGGCATTTTCGTCTCAATTAAGCATCTTTCTGGATTAAATTTTATTTTCTCCAGGAATCCTCTTCTGAAACCCTTAGAAGTGACCCTCCTCTACTGGTACTTAGCCATCCTTTATTGAAATTACCTGTTTATGAGCCAGTAACCTTTATTAAGCTCTTTGAGAAGAGGGATTCTTTCTTTCTCTTTTACCTACATCCCGCACAACCCAGCTCCCCCTCCGTCTCCCCCACCTCCATGCACAATTCCTGGCACGTGTTAACTGTTCAGTAAATGTTGAACTTTTGAACTTTACTGGAAATCAAGAAACACTGAGTTTTAGCCTCAGTTTTGCTCACTATGTGATTTTAGATATTTTATTCTCTGTGCTTATCGTGTGTATCTATATACAACTTAATCCTAAAGTTCCATCGTATAAAAAATTCTACAACTTTTTATTTTGCTCTGTATGTGACAGTACCTGGTATTTAAAAACAATTCTCTACATCAACTTAAAAAATTAACATTTGATGATTATAATTAACTTCTAAAAAACTGAAAGATGAAACACATCAATGCCTTTTCTTTCCCCCCTGTACTGCTACCTGAAAACATCGGAATTTGCTGTGGAACGAACAAGATTTCTTCTAAGAAATTACCCCCTACCACCATGACTACATAAAATAAGGTAATTCCCAGCAAGAATATTATGCAGATACTAAAAAGAAAACATGCTAGGCATGGTGGCTCACGCCTGTAATCCCAGCACTTTGGGAGGCCGAGGCGGGTGGATCGCCTGAGGTCGGGAGTTCGAGACCAGCCTGGCCAACATGGTGAAACCCCGTCTCTACTAAAAATACAAAAATTAGCTGGGCATGGTGGCGCACGTCTGTAATCTCAGCTACTCGGAAGGCTGAGGCAGGAGAATCGCTTGAACCCGGGAGGCGGAGGTTGCAATGAGCCGAGATAGCGCCACTGCACTCCAACTCTAGCTTGAGCAACAAAGCGAGACTCCGTCTCAAAAAAAAAAAAAAAAAACAATGACACGAGGGAAATGCTTACAATGCTCAATGAAAAAATGAAAAGAAAGGTTATAAAGTTTTAATATACGATTTGATCTTTTGAAAATAATGGATATATAACTTAAACGGAAATGTATCATTAAATATAGCAACAGCGTCTTCCAAAAAATTTCAAAATCGGGCTTAATGCCAATTACACGATCATAATCCAAAAACCCTTAACTGAAGCAAAGACAGTGATTTGTAACATCTGAACTGTGTGAAAGGGGTGGGGGTGATTCAAACAAGTGTCATCACCTTGTCCAATGATGAAGGAGAACGTGTATCAGTTCTGCATTGTGAAATTCTCAGTATGAGAGCGTGTAGTGGCTAAGAAAAGCAGTGGGCGAATTAGGAAACAAAGAGAAAAGCCAGCGACATCACCAGTTCTGGCCTCCTTCCCACCGGAGGAAAGGGGAGAAGGCGGGTAGTCATCAATTCCAGGTCCAGCCTAAGTTCTGGGTCCCCGGCCCCAGCGAGAGCCTCGCCTCGCCTCGCGCGCCTGCGCGGAGCGGGCTGGCTTCCTGAACGGCCCTCGCCTCTTCACCACCAGGGCCGTCCACCAGAAGTTTCTAAACGGGTGAGAGGCGACAACGCAGTGCAGCTGGGTTAAAGGAAGGAGGCTGGTTTATCCTCCGCACTTACTTGGTACTCGATCTCCAGCGAGGCCTTCAGGGGCATGGGCTGGTAGAAGCACTCCTTCTGGCCGGCGGGAAGGGTAAAGGTGAAGTCGCTATCGAGGGAAGGTGTGAAGCCGGCCGCCCCAGGCAGCAGCACCGGAGGCAGAGCGGCCAGAAGGAGCACGGGGAAGGGCAGCCAGATCTTGTCGCCCATCCCTGCTGGGGCGATCCCGGGCTGAAAGAGGCGTCAGGTACTGTTGTCTCCGCTCCGCGTTTCCTCTCTGGACTCCTCGTGGTTGACAGGGAAATCTGGAGTCTGAAGAAACTCCAGGTGGCGGCCGCGGCGGCGGCGAACACTCCCTCCGAAAGAGAAGCGCAGTTCTCCAAAGGGTAGGGACTCTGGGCGGGGCTAGCAGTCCTATTCCGCAACCGCCTCAGTCTCGGCCCCCTCAGGCCAGGCGTGAGCGCCGCCCGCCTCTCCCCCTGACGGCCTCCGGTTCCCATGGCTTCCCCCACCAATGGGCATCATGGCGGTAATTGTGGGAAATGTAGTCCCGGGCGGGCTCCGCTAGTGGGCTCGGGCGCGCTCGCCGACCACGATCCCCGGCAAGCCCCGCGCCTTCGGCGGCGCCTCACGCAGTCTGCGCCGGGGCGGGGCAGTGACCGGGTAGGCGCGTCCCAACGGCTCCCGCGGCGGTTCGAATTCTGTGCTGCCGGGGTTCGCTGGTTCTCCGAGTTGTGTCCGAGGCTTCCACGCGCAGGGGCCCGGGAAAGGGTCAGAGGCTTCCTAACGCAGACTCGAGTGCGAAGCGCGCAGTCGCCGGGTGGGTCTCTCCCCAGCGACGATTTGGGTGGTGAGCGACTGCGCCTTGGCGTGGGGAAACCGGCTTACCTGGGGGAGTTCTGTTCCTTTCCCTCCCGGCACCTTGGATGCGCTGGGACTGGTCCTCGTGGTTGCTGAGCATGCTGCTCTGAACGGTTGTATTTTATTTGATGAAAAATAGGAGGCCGGGCGCAGTGGCTTACGCCTGTTACCTCAGCACTTTGGGATGTCGAGGCGGAAGGATTGCTTGAGCCCAGGAGTTCGAGGCCAGCCTTGGCAATATGGCGAGCCACTGTCTCTATAAAATTAAAAAAAAAAAAAAAAAGAGGAAACTGTCACTTCCGTCCCCCACCCCCGCCCCCGCTTCTTTCAGACGGATGTAAGATTAGCTGTGTCAAGCGATCTTGAGACAGGAGACTACTACATAAAGTTATGACTTCTTTCCAAAATGAGGAATCTTTTTCGACTACAGCCCATTGTATCACATACATAGGGTATAAAAGAACACTTGTCCTTCGTTTGATGGGTGTGCGTGTGCAAACCTACAAACACATTGTTAATTAGGGCCGAAAGATGATGTTGTTAAGGTCGGTGAGTAGGATGATGTGCTTTTCTAGGTATGCATAGTCAGTGAAGATAGCCTTTTTTGGGTAACTACTGTAAATTGAAGTTAAGGACATTCATTTGACAGTAAATGTCCCACTAGGAAAATGAAAACATTTTAGTATCAAATATATTCATTGCTACTGCAGAAGAGTTAGGGAGTTCTTTCTTTTTTTTTTGAGACCGAGTCTCACTCTGTCGCCCAGGCTGGAGTGCAGTGGCGCGATCTCGGCTCACTGCAACCTCCGCCTCCCAGGTTCAAGCAATTCTCTGCCTCAGCCTCCCGAGTAGCTGAGATTACAGGCGCTCGCCACCACCCCCGGCTAATTTTTTTGTATTTTTAGTAGATACGGGGTTTCACCATCTTGGCCAGGTTGGTCTTTAACTTTTGACCTCGTGATCCACCCGCCTTGACCTCCCAAAGTGCTGGGATTACCGGCGTGAGCCACCGCGCCCGGACTGGGAGTTATTTCTTGCATGGCAATACACAGATGTTGAACTAAAACCTGATTTAAGATGAAATATATAGTACCAAATGGTATTATAGAATTTGCCCAATTTTCTCTACCCTTTTCTCCTTCACCATCCTACAGAGAGCTAGAGATGTTGAATAGGTAAAGCAGGATGGGGACCTGATTTATTGACTTGTCTGCGAGAGTCTTGTCACTTAAGCAGAAGCAAATTTGTGGAAACAAAAAAGGGAAAGAGGATAGAACCAGTTTGTCTATTAAGATTACATAGTATCTCATTTAATTTCCTGCCACTTTCTTTCCATAAGGTGGGAGTTTTCTTTTTAATCTTCCTCCCTACATCTGAGAATTTTTGAGTGGGGAATAAATGTAACATACCATTCTAACTGGATGAGGGAAGGAAGGACAGTTTAGTATTCGTTAATTCATTCAAAATATTGAGCTTCTCTAAGTACATTGCGGTCCTGAACGTAATGCACAGGACTTTTAACCTTTTGGAACTTGGGATGGGATCAGAATGCTAAGAAGGGCGTTGAAGGAGATGCTACAGTGAAAAAGGTAAATGGGATCTGAAAGAGGAATGTAATTTTAAGATTGCGCAGAAAGCTCTGTAGTAGTGGAGATTATAAAGCTTTAGTTTTTTATTGTATTAATTACAATAATAAAATGTGATGCTTTATTGTGATTTTTATATGCAAAGAAATTTAGTAGTTTCACAACCCTAGAGATACTCATCCACTGAAGAAACAAAAGCTTTTCTTCATTTCTATGAGTTGACCTGCCAAATGTTATTTTGATCCCTGTGGTTGTGACTTGTAAATGTGTCTTTTTAAAATTTTATAACTATTGGGCGTAGGAGGAGGAGACAGCTTTTATCTGGTAATAAATTCCCTTCTAACAAAATATGAATGTAATGATACCATTTAATCAGATGTCCAGTACTTGTAATGTAATTATGAAAGTTCAAACACCTCATATTGAAATTGATATGTAATATGTAATAAAGCTACAATGCGACATAATTTAATGGTCTTTGCATCCTAATGACTTGGATTCAAATCTTGATTTCACCATTTACAGTTTGTGTGACTTTGAGCAAGTTATTTAATGTCTGATTCTTAGTTTCCTTAACATGTAATGAAAATAATTAACAATTGTTAGGAAGATCAGGTATGCTTACAAAAGAGAACTATAATAACTAGACCCTGGCTAAAATGAAAAATTCATTCATTGAAATTGTATTGAATTCCTTTATGGCTTTACACTACAGATAAATTCATTATTATTGATTTTTTGTTTTGTTTTAAACCACCATGAAAGATTTCACAACATTTAAAATAGAAAACTAATGAGTTAAATTCTATTCATGTGAGTATTTTGACTGAAACTACAGAATCTTTCAGACAAGGTACAAGAAATTCATTTTTTTTTTAAGAAATGGAATCTAGTTCATCAGACTACTATAATAAAGACAATGAAGAGGAAAGTTTGCTTGCAAATGTTGCTTCCTTAAGACATGAACTGAAGATAACAGAATGGAGTTTGCAGAGTTTAGGGGAAGAGTTATCCAGGTAAGTAAGTAAAATCACATATAGAATTCACTGTGCCTTAAATACATCAATGTAAAATGTGTGGATTTCATTATGATGTATTGTTTCTAACCTGCCTCTGGAATAAGAAATAATTTTCTTATACTTTTTAATGTAACTTTCAGTTTAGGGAAAAATAAGGAATATTAGAGAAGCCTCTTTGCATATTAAAAACACTTTCAGTGTATTAGAACTCAGTATAAAATATATATTTTGGGCTTTACTAATTTTTTATGATTTTTTTGAATCTTAAGTAATCTTAGCGTAGAGGCTTTAGAAATACAGTTTGCTAGTTTAAAAGTAATTATGATTTATTTAAAATTTAGTGGAAACATTGCCTTATGTTCATAACTGTGAATCTGCTTAGCAGCATTTCAGGTTTTCTATTTTCTTATTTAATGTATAGCAATTTGTAGTGAATAAACTATCCAAGAACTGAAATATGTTTTTTCTTTTTTCTCTAGTGTTAGTCCAAGTGAAAATTCTGATTATGCCCCTAATCCTTCAAGGTCTGAAAAGCTAATTTTGGATGTTCAGCCTAGCCACCCTGGACTTTTGAATTATTCACCTTATGAAAACGTCTGTAAAATATCTGGTAGCAGCACTGATTTTCAAAAAAAGCCAAGAGATAAGGTTATTGTTTTTAGACCTATCTAGTTAAAAGAAGTTTTGGTTTTAGGCCTGTCTACTTAAAAAAAATTTTTTTTAATTTTAAAATTAAATTAAAGAAAAAAATTTTTTCTTTA
Organism: Homo sapiens; assembly: GCF_000001405.40. Classification (NCBI taxonomy): domain Eukaryota; kingdom Metazoa; phylum Chordata; class Mammalia; order Primates; family Hominidae; genus Homo; species Homo sapiens. The sequence continues at coordinate 93,184,260 of NC_000001.11, forward strand.
AATACCTTATTCATGGTTTCCATAATCTTTTACTATGGTACTCAAGAATTTAAATATAATTGTTCTTTTTATGTTCTAACAAGAAAGTAGTTATCTTGGTGTATTACTCTACTTTTAAACTTACATATTTATTACCTTTTTGCAGTTAAATGTCTTCTTAAGTAAATTATAATCCCCTTGATTTTAACACTACATCTTATACATAATAGGTAATCAATTGTTTATTAAGTAGTTAAGGTATACCCACCATTTAAAGCCTGGATCAAGTACTTTGGATAGTATGGCACTGTTCTCTTTTCATTATCTATTTTGTCAATGATGTTAGAGATCTTTGCTTGGTCTGAAACTCTCTTCCTTTTTCTTATTCTATCACATATTTATCTCCCTGCATTTATCCCTCTTCCTCACTCAACTCTTTTATCTCCTTTTACACTCTCTTCCTATTCTTTGTTCCCCCGACTCCCTACATGTATATACACAGATATGGTTGCACATAATCTTTTTGGATATGTATTTGCTCTTTCCACTTCGGAAAGCCAACCATTAAGAGCTTTCCTTTTTGTAACGAATCTGCTTAATGAAGCTGTCTGAATCTACTTTTTAGAAACAAATTCAAATTCCATGTTTACATGGTATGTAATTCTAAGAAATTTGATCTCTATCCTCATTCAAATTGCTGATCATTCTTATTGTATATGTGCCTTAATTGGGAAAACAATAATGATAATGCCGATCAAAGACAAAAGGCTAATCTAGTGTGTAAAGATCTCCTAGAAATTGAGAACAAAAATATCAGTAACCCAATGGGCAAAAGACATGAACGGAAAAAGAAATAAAAGTGATATCCAAACTAATGAAAAGGTGTCCAATTTCACTCATAATAAGATAAATTCAAAGTGAAACTATACCTAAGTACCTTACCTAGTTCTTACCTATAGAATTATTAAACATTCAAATGTTTGAGGTGTTATTTTATTGGTGATATTGGGTACGGGTACATTGCCTAGTGGGAATGCACAGTGATATAACCCCAACTGAGATGCATTTGGCAATATTTACCAAAATTACAAATACATTTACCTTGACTTGGAACTCCCACTTCTGGAAAAACGATACTGTAGACACCCTGCAGGATATGAAATTAGGCATTGTTTATCATATCAAAAGATTAGAAATAGTTCAAGTATCCAGTAATAGGGGGTTAGTTGAATAAACTAATGGTTTATTCATACAATGGAAACTATGCAGTTGAGAAGAAAAAAGGAGTTTGTCAATGTATTTATTATGGAGAGATTGCCAGTGTATATTGTTCAAGTAAAAAAAAAATGCAAGGTGCAGAATGTTATATTTAATGTGCTAGTTTTTGCATAAGGAGAGGAGGGAAGTGGGTAATTTATATTGCTTATGTATGCATGTGGAATTACCAGAAGACTAAACAAGAAACTTATAAAAGTGGTTACCCACCTATTAAAGATGGGAAGAGACTTCTGTGTATACTTTTTCTTTTATATAGTTTCAAGTTTTGAATTGCATAAATAAATCACTCAAAATAAAGTTAATTAAAAGAAATGTTTTGAAAATCACAATCCTCATGAAAATTAAATGTATTGTAAAATATATATAAAAAGAATATAATAAAAATATTTATACAGATGAAATAATATTTTACCTATTATCCATTTTGTTGGTGGTGGACATTTGGGTTCTTCCTATTTACTATCTCTGGACAATGTAGCTATGAATAGTTTTATATCTGCACGTGAAAAAGTACAAAAGTTTTTATCAGGTTTATGTCTAGGGATGATATTATTGGTTCTTAGCATATTCAACTTTGCTGGATAATACCAGCCAGTTTCCCAAAGTGCACCACTGTTTTCCAGGTTATACTTGTATGTACTTCCACCAGCAGTGGAAGAGAGAGTATTGATTGTTCCACATATCCTTGTCAATACTCACTAAGTATTTTAACTCATTTTCTGAGCTGCTTCGTCATTTTGTTAATAATTGCTCATAATTTTCCATTAATTACATGTAACCCTTAATTGAAATAATTGAAAATATATTTGTTCTTTTTCATTCTTTCAGATGTTTTCATCTTCTGCCCCTGTGGATCAGGAGATTAAAAGCCTTCGAGAGAAACTAAATAAACTTAGGCAACAGAATGCTTGTTTGGTCACACAGAATCATTCCTTAATGACTAAATTTGAATCTATTCACTTTGAATTAACACAGTCAAGAGCAAAAGTATGTATCTTGAAATAAGTTTGCCAACAGAAAATAGTTGTTATTTTAAGATTTATAATTGGAAAAATATTCCTTGTATTGCCACATTGCCTTAATGTGTTATGGGAAGTAATTTTCATTATAATACTATAGTATCAACATGTTGTAAAATCAATATTGTATGAATTATATCTGAAAATGATTGAAGGGAACTTTACAGTTTTTGCATTTAGATAAGTCAGCTTCTTAAGGTGTTAAGATTACCAATTTGTGTGGTTTTATTTTTTATACAAAGGAAGTATAACTTACTTATCTTCCCTTTTAAAATAACACATTGTCATTGTTGAAAATTTTAAAAGTAGCAAAAAGAGGAAGAAAGATCACCCAGAGTTTCCACCTAGAAACCACTTTACCAGTTTAATACGTAGTTGAATCCAGACTGTTTTAAATAGTTTTGGTGTTTTCTGTTTTTTACTTTATATATAGTCTGTGCATTTTCTGATGCATTTACATAGCTTTTCCATTGAACATTTTTTATGGTAGCATTATATTTCATGTGATTATATCATAATTTAGTTAATAATTCCTGTATTTCAGTGGTTTCCTATTTTTTTACTAAATGATTGGTATTACACAAAAAATTAGAAGAAACCAAAATGTCCAGTAATGGAGACATAGTAAATTATGGTATACCCATAAGATAGATTGCAACAAAACCTTTTTTTAAAAAAATGAGGCAAATATACTAGTACTAAGATGCAAAGTTGTTTGACTTGTATGGAGCATTATAAGGTTTAAATGATATAATATATGTAGTCACTTAAAACAGTGTCTATGTGTAGTCAGCACTCAAAAACAATTACCTAATATATTTAGTGGCAGAAAAACATTACAGAGCAGTACACACATGTATAATACTCTTAGTTTTCCTCTTTATAAGAAGTGTGCATGTGTCTGTGTGTGTGTGTTTGTATGTAAATATATATACATGTGATATATTAAGGTTAGAAACTATGCTTCACACTGTTGATAATTTCGAGAGAGACTGGAAGGTTGGAGTGAGGCTTTCACTATTTACTTTTATAAACATTGTATACATACATTATATGTAGTTTTAAATAGAGGAGTTATGGGAAGACTTTATTTTTCTTTTCTGTTTTTTCAAACAAAACAAAATGCTATTAGGGATTATTTCAGCACAGGAAAAACAAAATGCAGCAATGAACATAAAACTTCTTTGGTGTTTGAGATTATTTCTAGGGTAGACTTACAGAGGCAGAATGACCAAATTTTAGGGAAATAATGTTTTTCAAGCATTTACATTTGGTTCCTCATCTTTTCTTGGTCACTTTGAGGGAAAAATGCTGTTTTTCTTGATTTCTTACAAAATGTACCTTTTCAGTATTTCTTTGCCATTTAGATTTCTTTGTGATTTGTCTGTTCATTTTTTCTGCTTATTTTTAAAATTTTTCTTCAACTGTAGATAATCTCTCTTTTTAAAGTCATGATTGCTTAGTGATTTAAAGTAAGAAAAGAGACATAAAGATAATTTAATAACTACGAACTAATAGCATTTTGAACCTTTCTTTTTAGGATATAAACATACCAGTGGTTATGTGAGAAAGTAAGATACTAGTATTGTATTTCTCAGCTCAGCATTTTCAAAGTTGTTGAAATATTTTTTAGGGAAGCCACCTATTTCAGGCCATGTATGAGCTTTTGATGTTACATATATGCCCACTATTGAGACTGTTTTGCAGAAATCAATCAATATATTCATAACTTACGTCTGGCAATGGTTGTACTTACTCTTCTGGAGCCTGGCATCCTGCTCTTTCTGAGCTTTTTGCCCTCTACACCTGCTGTCCAACTGCTACCCTGGGACTTCTCTTTGGTGTTGTTCTAGGTTGGAGCTACTGTTTCCTGAATTCTATTTTTTGTTATTTCCTAGTTTATTCTTTCTGTATTTGGAGCATATCTTCCAGTTACTTCCTTGCCTGCCTGAAAATGTCTTAATTTCTTCTTCACTCGTGATTAAATTCCAGTTTGAAAATTATTTAATGTCAGAATTTTTAGGGCATTACTCCCTTCTATCTTCCAGTGCCACTTTGAAAAGTCTGTTGCCATTGTGAATTACTTTTTAGCATGTAATCTCTTTTTTCCCCCCATTTGTTTGTTTTTCACTTTATGGTAGATGGTAGTTCTTAGGACCTTCCCATTCTGGTGTTTTAAAACTGCACAACAAGTTGTCTTTGAATAGGCCTTTATTACTCATATTGGGTATTTGAGAGCCCTTTCAGGCTGGAAACTTGTATCTTTTGGTTCTGGAAATTTTTCTGTTTCTTAATTTTTATTTTTAATTTTTGTGGGTACATAGTAGGCGTATATATTTCTGGAGTACATTAGGTTTTTTGATACAATCATGCAGCATAATAATCGCATCATGGAGAATGGATATCCATCCCCTCAGGCATTTATCGTTTGTGTTATAAACAATCCAGTTAAACTCTTAGTTATTTTTAAATGTACAATTAAGTTATTATTGACTATAGTCACCCTGTTGTGCTATAAAATAGTAGTTCTTATTCATTCTTTCTATTTCTTGTACCCATTAACCATCCCCACCTCTCCCCACCCCAACAACTGCCCTTCCCGGCCTCTGGTAACCATCCTTTTACTCTCTGTGTCCATGAGTTCAATTGTTTTGATTTTTAGATCCCACAAATAAGTAAGAACATGTGATATTTGTCTTTCTGTGCCTGACTTATTTTACTTAACATAATGATCTTTAGTTCCATCCATGTTGTTGCAAATGACTGATTCTTATTCTTCTTTATGGATGAATAGTACTCCATTGTGTAAGTACTACATTTTCTTTATCCATTCATCTGTGATGAACACTTAGGTTGCTTCTAAATCTTGGCTATTGAACAGTGCTGCAACAAACATGGAAGTGCAGATACCTTTTCAATATACTGATTTCCTTTCTTTTGGGTATATGCCCAGCAGTGGAATTTCTGGATCATATGGTAGCTGTATTTTTAGTTTTTTGAGGAGCCTCCAAACTGTTCTCCATACTGGTTGTACTAATTTCCATTCCCACCAACAGCGTATGAAGATTCCCTTTTTTCCACATTCATGCAAACATTTGTTATTACCTGTCTTTTGAATGTAAGCCTTGTTTTTTTGTTTTTTTTTGAGACAAGGTCTTGCTCTGCTGCCCAGGCTGAAGTGCAATGGTGCAATCACAGCTCAGTGCAACCTTGACCTCCTGGGCACAAGTGATCCTCCCACCTTAACCTCCCAAGTAGCTGGGACTACAGGCACGTGCCACCATGCCTGGCTAGTTTTTGTATTGTCTTTTTGTAGAGATGGAGTTTTGCCATGTTGCCCAGGCTGATTTTGAACTCCTGGACTCAAGCGATCCACCCACCTCCCAAAGTGCTGGGATGACAGGATTGAGCTACCGCGCCTGGCCCTGTGATTTTTATTTAGGAGGTATTCTCAACATTATTTTTTGCACTTCTATTAAATCTTTTATTTTGGCTGTCATACTTTTTTCGGTTTCTGAAGTTTTTTTTTGTTCCGATTGTTTTGTATTTCATAACATACTAATGTAGTATTCTCTCTTAGCACTCTGAAGATTTAATGATTTTTTTTTCATGTTTGCTTTACTTTCCTTTTTCTTTTGTTTAGGCCTCTGACTTTTATGTTAGAAGCTTTTGGGCCGGGCACGGCGGCTCACGCCTGTAATTCCAGAACTTTGGGAATCTGAGGTGGGCAGATCACGAGGTTAAGAGATCGAGACCATCCTGGCCAACATGGTGAAACCCCGTCTCTACTAAAAATACAAAAATTAGCTGGGCGTGGTGATGTGTGCCTGTAGTCCCAACTACTCGGGAGGCTGAGGCAGGAGAATTGCTTGAACCCAGAGGCGGAGGTTGCAGTGAGCCGAGATCGCGCCACTGCACTCCAGCCTGGTGACAGAGTGAGACTCCATCTCAAAAAAAAGAAGATTTTTTCAGGTGTTAGTATTTTAGCTATTCATATTTAAGAGAAAGGCATTTAAATGCAGATTGGTGGTTTGTTGTCCAGTGGACTTTATTTCTGGGTGATGGTTAGGGAGGTGGTTCTTTTGTAGGGAAACACCTGCCAGCCCCCAAACAGTATCAGTATGAGATGTTTTTCTTTCCCTTTTTTTTTTTTTAACATAAACTCAAGATTTTATTGTCTTCATAATAAAACAAAAGATAACACTTAGAACTGGGTCACTTGGCTCTTTCTGCTCTTACCTCCTCCCAGTTGAGAAAGCTTGCATCTTTTAATACTCAGCATTCTCTTAGATCTGCAGTTGGGCTCAGTGCACTCAAGCCTTAGCACAATCTTCTTTGTAGTTTCAGCCTTTTTCTGGAAAATCTACTTAGTCTGCCCACCATAACCACTCTGCTTCCTGTCATATCGACACTTTCCCTGGGCATACAGAGAATCCTTGCCCTTCTTGTACTGTGTCACTTTCTAGGGTTGGTGCTTGCCACACTTCTTACAGAAAGTCCTGCAGGTTTTAGGAATGTTCACCATGTTTGCGGGAGTGCTATCAGCAAGGAGATTTTTTTTTTTTTTTTGGAGCAATTGAGTTTCTCCAGCAAAGAATCCTTTAGTTTCTCACCTGTGGGATAACCCAAAATGAAATTGAGTAGTAAGGTGGGGCTAACCGTTTTATATTAATTCCCTTGTTACAGCTGTACTTCATTCCTGCTCATTACTCTTAGTGTCTCACAGTCTCAAGCTTCTTCTGTTCAGTTTCTTCTGATAATAAACTTTCTGCCTCTTTCCTAGTATGCCAACACCTTGCTATTGGTGTTCTGGGAGTGGGAAAAAGAGGATGACTGTTACTTGCAGATACTTTGAACTGTATCCCTGGTTTTTCATTGGGTCCTCACTTCTGCCCTCTACAGTACCTTGTGCCTTCATGTTCTAAACTTCTTTTTCAGTGATAGTTATCTTATTGATACTCTCTTCTATACCATTTAGATTGTGGGTTCCCACCCTGCTATAGTAGTTGTACTCTCTTTATTATACAGATTGTAGGGTTATTATGCTTTTCTGTATTTAGATTCTTCCTAGTAAGCATGTATTCTATAATTAGGTTTTTAAATCATAAAAATTCAATAAATATTTTCTTTTATAATTGTTTATAGTTTGATATTTTATGTTTAATTTTCTAATTTATGTAAAATAAATCTTGCTAGATGCTTATCAATAGAGATTCTATTTTCTCCCCTAAATAACTCTTCAGTTATAAGTTGAAGGTAATGCCAGGAGCTTACATGCCAAGGCTGGCTTATAATGATGATATGCCCATGTAAATGTTGATCAAAGGAATAGATGGGAAGCTTTATATCTGACCAATGATTTGGGAGCCCTATTGAACACCCTCATCTGACAGGAAAAAAACTAAGGACCAAGTAGGTTAATTTATTTTCTGAAAGTACTATAAAAGTTGTTTTTATGTTTTAGGTTTCTATGCTTGAGTCTGCTCAACAGCAGGCAGCCAGTGTCCCAATCTTAGAAGAACAGATTATAAATTTGGAAGCAGAGGTTTCAGCTCAAGATAAAGTTTTGAGGTAAATATACTTTTTATAGCTCTCAAAGTTTTATTTTCTACTTATACATTTTATTATATCTTGTTAAATCTTGTTCCCCACACCCAATAAATTTACAGTAACCTAATGGTGTTCAGCTGTCTTAGAACTTGTTGAATCTATTTTTAGTCAATCATAACTCCTCTTGGCTGTAGGTTGCATGTAGTATATAGGGGCTAAAAAGACTAAGGTGAGATGCCTATTTACATGCTTTTATCAAACATGAATTAGTTCATTTCTTCACCTACATAGAAGTATATACTCAGTGTTTCAAAGGGAGTTCAAGAAATAAAATGTAAAGGAGTCAGACACTTTTATTATTTTTACAGAAAGGGTCTCACTGCGTCACCTAGGCTGGAGTGCAGTGGTACAGTATGGCTCACTGCAGCCTCAGCCTCCTGGGTTCAAGTGATCATTCTGCCTCAGCCTCCCAAGGAGGTGGGACTACAGGCACGCACCCACTGTGCCCAGCTAAGCTTTTTATTTTTTATTTTGTAGAGACAGGGTCTCACTATGTTGGTCAGGCTGGTCTCAAACTCCTGGCCTCAAGCAGTCGTCCTGCCTCGGCCTCCCAAAGTGTTGGGATTGCAGGCATGAGCTGCCATGCCTTGCCATCAGGCACTTTATAATTTATTCTCTTCTGCTTTGAATAAAATGGGAAATATATGCATATTAAATAACATATTACTCTGAGTGATTCCGAAAGTATAGTTAAAGGACCAGCAGTAGTAGCATCACCTGGGAACTTGTTAGAAATGCAAATTCTCAGGTCTTATCTCTGGCATACTGAACCAAGTTGGGAGGGGTTTCACAAGTTCTGCAAATGATGCTGCTGCACACTGAAGTTGTCTTTTATGTCCATCAGAGTTTTGTAATTTTCTTTGTAATACATATATTATTTTAAATTTGTAGGTATTTTATATTTTTGGCAATTGTGAATTGTTCCTACTTTGTTCATTGCTAGTGTATGGGAAGGTTACCGACTTTTGTATAATATAATTATTTTGTAATTGGTAGCTAATGGTATTATCAGCAAATAAAAAAAATTTTGTTTCTGAGTCAAAGAGTAGGAAAAAGAAAGAAAGAAAAAAAATTTTGTCTTTCCTTTTCAGCATTTATACTACTTATTACCTTTTCATATTTGCTTTTTGCAGTGGGTAGAACTGTCAGAAAAGTTGTTGGATGTGGGGGTGATAACAGTCATCTTTATTTAGTTTCTGAACTATACAGGAATGCTTCTGGTATCTGACTATAAAATACGATGTGAGTTATTACTTCAGATATATTTATCATCTGGTGGAAGTATTCTTTTATTCTTTAAAAAACTCTTAATTAACAAGTGATGAATATGCCTTTTTCTCTATCTCTTTTTGTATATTGTTTCTCTTAACTCATTGATTTAAACAAATATAATTCCTAATATTAAATTATTCTTGCATACCTGGGATAATCTCTTTAGTAGTCTTAAACAAAGTATCCTTTATTTTATAGAGAGGCAGAAAATAAGCTGGAACAGAGCCAGAAAATGGTAATTGAAAAGGAACAGAGTTTGCAGGAGTCCAAAGAGGAATGTATAAAATTAAAGGTGGACTTACTTGAACAAACCAAACAAGGAAAAAGGTATGTGTTTTTAAAGCAAATACATGTTTTTGAAAGGGAATAAAAGGAAATATTACCTATTTAAAATTCTAGTTAATTTTTGAAGTGAAAAAATTTCAGAGATTTGGCAATAAATTAACTTAATGTTCTTTTTTATCTATTAATTTTTTTAAATTTTCCATTAAAATGTTTATATGTGGAATTTATGTTATTAGCATCCTGGATTGGGCTTAATTTCTACAAAACTGATAACGATTATCAGTTTAATGATACTTATTTCTGAAATTAAGTTCTATGGCCTATTTGAAACCAGTACACTGAGTTTAAAATACTAACAGGGAAAAAGCCTGTAAATTAATATTACCTCTAATAAAACTAAATAAAATGTTGAATGAACTCTTTAAAAGAAAATTTTGCCTCATAGAGAAAGAAACTCAATGCCTGTGAATGTGTGCTTGGATCTTCCTTTAGAAATATATAAATAGTACAAAAATATCTATTTTGTATAAATTATATCTTGAGATCAAGTCTTTTAAGTAGCTCTGTCCAAGGAACCATTAACTCTGAATGCCAGTTCACTTTTAAACTGATAAAGATTTAAATTTTTTGAGTTTAAACTAATAAGATTTTATAATAAAATAGGATTATAGCAGTTGTTATACAGTATAAAGTCATAATCTGTACTAAGCAATTTTGCAATTTTGCAATTTTGCAATTTGCAATATTGCTTAGTAGAAAATGCGTAGGTTTTGGAGTTAGAAAATTTTTAGATTTTACCTCTCATTGGCTTTGTTACCTTGGCCAAATGATATAACCTTTTGAAATCTCAGGTTTTTTTCATCTGTTAAATAAAGATGATATTATCTTGATATGGATAGAAATGAAGAGTAAATGAAAAAAAGAAATGTACCTCTTAAAAAATACTAACAATTTAACTATTTTATAAACTTTGTGGTTAAATACTCTAGAATTCACACTTCACTTACTCAGATAAGCTTTGCACGTGGTTAGTTAAAATAGTGAGATAATAATACATGAAGACCACATTCACAATATAGCTGCCAAGAAAAAATAAAGAGGAAGAGCTACTAGTTTCCTCTATGCAACTTAGATAAGAGATGACTTTTAGGATAGAGTATTGACTTTGTTGTTGTTGTTGTTGTTTGAGATGGAGTCTTACTCTGTCTCGCAGGCTGGAGTGCAGTGGTGTGATCTTGGCTCACTGCATCCTCCGCCCCCTGGGTTCAAGCAGTTCTTCTTTCTCAGCTTCCTGAGTAGCTGAGATTACAGGCATGCACTACCACACCCAGCTAATTATTGTATTTTTAGTAGAGACTGGGTTTCACCATGATGGTCAGGCTGGTCTCAAACTCCTGACCTCAAGTGATCCACCCTCCTTGGCCTCCCAAAGTGCTGGAATTACAGGCGTGAGCCACTGCGCCTGGCTAAATATTGACTTTGGCTTCACAAAGTGAGTAAGTGGGGGACAGACACATTCTGGGCAGCATGTGCAAAGGTATAGAAGTATAAAAGGGTATTATTGCTGAAGAACTCTTAAGTAATTTTATGTTCTTATAAGTAAATAGGTGTAGTGGGAGATGAGACAAGAAAGACAGGCTGGATCCAGACTGTAAATGGCTTTGTGTGTTATACCAAAGGATTTGTATTTTAACCTGGAAAGCATAAATAGCCAATTGAGATTTTTAGGTAGAGGTATGACATGAAGACTCTTGGAGCTTTTTGAAGAACTAAAATGAATATTGACTTTCTGCTATGGTTTGAATGTGTCCCCCCAATTTTTTGTATTGGAAACTTAATCCCAACGCAACACTGTTGGGAGGTGGGGCATTTTAGAGGTACTTAGGTCACAAGGGCTCTGCTTTCGTGAATGGATTAATGCCATTATAAGAGGGCTTGACAGAGGGAGTTTGTTCCTTTTTTCCTTTCTGTCATGTCAGAATAAAGTGTTCCTCCTCCTTGGAGGATGTAGCATTTAAGGCACCATCTTGGAAGCAGAGAGATTAGGCCCTACCAAACTGCCAGTACCTTGATCTTGGACTTCCCAGCCTCCGGAACTGTGAGAAATACATTTCTGTTTTTTATAAACTACCCAGACTATGATATTTATTCTAGCAGCACAAATAGACTAAGACACATTCTGAGATTGAAAGATCAGAACCTTTTCAAGGACTATTGGGTGGAGAAGATTAATCATAATGGATTAAAAAGCCAGTGTAAAGAAAGGGAGAGATTGTTTAGCTTTATGCTGTTTGTAAGAGATTACCTAAAACATAAGGACACAGAAAAATTGAAAGCAGACTGGATGCGGAGGCTAACACCTGTAATCCTAGCACTTTGTGGGGCCGAGATAGGTGGATCACTTGAGCTCATGAGTTCAGGACCAGCCCGGGCAACATGGTGAAACCCCATCTCTACAAAAAATATAAAAATTAGCCTGGTGTGGTGGCACACGCCTGGAGTCCCAGCTACTCAGGAGGTTAAGGTGAAAGGGATTGCTTGAGCCTAGGAGGCAGAGATTACAGTGAGCCAAGATTGTGCCATTGCACTCCAGCCTGAGTGACAGAGGAAGATTGTGTCTCAAAAAAGAGAAAAAAAGAATGGAAAGAAATGTTTCAGATAAATACTCACCAAAGCAAAGTTGATATTACTATATTAGGATCACACAGAATAGACTTCAGTGCAACAAGCATTACCAACATTAAAATGACTCATATAATGTTTAACACTTAACCAAGAAGATATAAAGACTCTAAACCAGCAAGATATAAAGACTCTAAACTTATATGTATCTAATAATTTAGTCCCAAAATACATAAGAAAAATAACACAATTTCAAGGAGAAAAGAACAAATCTGTAGTCATATGGGGAAAATTCTTTATACATTTATCAGGAATTGTTAAGTAACAAAAAATTAAGGCTTGAAGTGTTGAATAAGACAATTAATATTCTTGATCTAATGGATGTGTATATGGAACCATGTAGTCAACAGTTTGAAATTGACATTCTTTCAAGCAGATGTAATCTGTTACCTCACTATGCTAGAAAGCATGAATTTGAACAAATTCCAAAAGATTGATGTCGTATGTATTATCTTCTGCAACCACAGTTCAGTTAAGTTAGAATATAACTCCTTGAAATCCTGTATGTTTGGAAATGTAAAACCAGGCTTACTGGTGTTCATTGACCTACTGGTGTTCATTGACCATTGAATAAATTAGAAAACCTTTAGAACTGAGTGATATAAAAAATGCACATCACTGCATGTAGGCTGTACCTAAAGACACTCTTAGAGGAAAAAATTTAACCTTATATACATGTATTATATCATGACTGAAAATTAATGAACTGAAATAGACTATTGTGTGGTCAGGAAAAGGAGGACATCAGAAGAAAGAATGAACATCAAAAGAAAATAGAAGTAAGGAAATAATAAAGATAAGGATGAAATGGATGAATAGAAAACAGTGAAACAATATAAAGGATTACCAAAACCTAAATGTGGTTATTTTCACAATGAACAAGAAAATGGGCATCAGACAAGATTAATAAAGGAGAAAAGGCACAAGTGTTGGGATTGGCAAGGGACTCCCAAATTACAGATTTAGCTATAAATCGGTAAGCAATAAGAAATATATAAGAAATAAGGCCAATAACTGAATCATTTTAAAGATGATACATTTGAAAACTTAGACTAAATAAAATTCTCAGCAAAATAAAATTTAACAAAACTAACTTTAAAATAAATGAAAAACCTGAATAAATATATGTGTGTGTGTGTGTACATATATATGTGTGTGTGTATATATATAGCTATTAGGGTTATCAAATCAGTAATTAAAAATCTGCCCACAAATAACTAAACTAGTCAAAACAATGGTGACAAAAGGAAAGGAAACATCAGGCCCACTACAGCCCATGATGACTAAAATGGAAAAGACTCTCAAAAACAAGTTATGGCAAGGATGTGGAATTGAAACTCTCCTGCATTTCTTTTCTTTTCTTTTTTTTTTTTTTTTTTTTTTTTGAGACAGAGTCTCGCTCTGTCGCCCAGGCTGGAGTGCAGTGGCGCGATCTCGGCTCACTGCAAGCTCCACCTCCTGGGTTCATGCCATTCTCTTGCTTCAGCCTCTCTAGTAGCTGGGACTACAGGCGCCCACCACCATGCCTGGCTAATTTTTTGTATTTTTAGTAGAGACGGGGTTTCTCCATGTTAGCCAGGATGATCTCAATCTCCTGACCTCGTGATCCGCCCGCCTTGGCCTCCCAAAGTGCTGGGATTACAGGTGTGAGCCACCGCGCCCGGCCCACTCTCCTGCATTTCTAATGGAAGTGTAAATTGGTAGAACCACTTTGGAAAACTGTTTGTCAGTAGCTGCTAAAGGTAAACATAAGCCTGCCTTATGATCCAGCATTCATTTCAACAAAACTTAGTCCCTGTATTAAAAGACATGTACAAGAATGTTAGAGTAATTTTATTCATTGTTAAATGTTCATCAACAGTGTAATCTATAAACTGTGGTATGTTCACATAATTATACACATCAGTAAAAAAGAGCAACTACAACTATGTAACAACATGGATTATTATCACACATATAATGCTCAGCAGAAGAAGCCAGACACAGTAGAATACTGTATAATTCCATAGCAAATCAAGGATAGGCAAAATTAACATATGTTGTTAAAAGTCCAAATGGTGCTTACCTTTTTGGGGTAAAGAATATTCACTGGGAAGGTACACAGGGGTGCTGGAAGTGTTCTCTATTTGATTGGGTTAGTAGTTAAGTAAGTATACACATTATTATAAACTTCTCTCATTTAGGATTTCTGTACTTTACTCAATAAAAAATTAAAATCAAATAAGAAAAACTATAAGAAAAAATCTACAGAAGATATGTATAGTCTTAATTTTTTTTTAAAGAAATATGGTATTGCTTTGTTACCCAGGCTGGAGTGCAATGCTGTGGTCATGGCTCACAGTAGCTCCCAACTACTGGGCTCAAGTGATCCTCCCACTTCAGGCTCGCAGATAGTTAGGACTACAGGCTTGCCCCACCACACCCGACTAATTTTTAAATTTTTTTTACACATGGGTCTCACTGTGTTGCCCAGGCTGGTCTTGAACTCCTGGGTTCAAGTGGTCCTCTTGCTTTGGCCTCCTAAAGTGCAAGTATTATAGGCATGAGCCACTGTGCCTGGCTTTAATGCATGTTTTAAAATGTATTTGGGGTTTGTTTTAATCAGGTATGGTAAGATACAGACACAGGACTGACATGGAGAAAGAAATTTTTATACTTACAGATTTCTAGAAGTAGGAGGGGCACAATATGCTGTTTTGGGATCCTTGGGGTGTTGCTTCACGAGCCAGAAACCTCTGTGGCCAGTGGCACCTTTGCCCGAGTTTTACTCTGGCCCAGTGGGCTCATTCTGCCCACTCAGCCTGGCAGGCTGCGCTTGGCTCGTGCTACCACCCTGGATCCCACACCTGCCAAGGGTGAGCTAGGTGCAGAATGGCAAGGGGTGTGTGAACGACCATAGGGTCCAGCCACTATACATAGCCAGGCATGCCGGCTGTGGTGGTGTGAGCAGCTCCAGGCGCCAGCACGGGCGCCAGCTCCCTGTGAGGCTGTGGCTGGACCAGGTATAGCATAAGCAGCTTCTGTGGCTGACACCAGGGAACGGGGTGGTACTGGAAGCTTGGAGACACCAGGAACCACAGAGCCCTAAAGAGGGTGTCACAGCCCTGGCTCGGGAAGCTCATAGGTCTGGGCTCCCCTGAAGGGCTGTAGCTCTTCTCTCCTTCTCTTGTCTTTTCTTCTTGTTGCCTGCAACGTAGTGAGCAGGGGGCGTGTTTCAGCCATTTGTGTTACAGCATTTTAAGCCCCACCATTCAGTGGGTCCTGAGTTCTTGTCCTGCATCCAGGAAGAATGAGGTAAGCAAACAAGTGGAGGGTGAGCAAGAGAAGCTCTGTTGAGCGACAGAACAGCTCAGAGGAGACCCACAGTGGGTAGCTCCTCTGAATGGCTACCCCCACCTCATTTGCGTTCTGGTACATGTGGACACAGTCAATGCAGCAGTACCCGATGTCAATTGCCACCTTCACAGCTTCAGTTACCTGGCCCAAGGGGGACTTGCAGGTGCCCAGCCCCAGTATGAGCATCTAGGTGCTGTTGTTGAGCATGAGGTAGCTGGCCGTGGCTGCTGCACTTTACAGACCCCCACCTGGAACTGTCTTATTTTATTTTATTTTTTTTTAGAGATAGGGTCTTGCTCTGTCACCCAGGCTAGAATGCAGTGTTGCGATCATGGCTCACTGCAGCCTCAAACCCCTGCGTTCAAGGGATCCTCCTGCCTCAGCCTCTAGAGTAGCTGGGACTACAGGTGTGCACCACCATGCCCAGTTAACTTTTTGTAGAGACGATCTCACTACGTTTCCCAGGCTGGTCTCTAACATCTGGCTTCAAGCAATCCTCCTGGCTCAGCCTTCTAAACTGTTTGGAATACAGGCGTGAACCACCACACCCAGCACATAACAATTTTAGAGATGTTAAAAATGTGAAAACATGGTAAGACTATAGGAGATTATTTAAAAAAAAAAAAAAAGCGAGAACAGGCTGGACACAGTGACTCACTCCAGTAATCCAAGCACTTGGGGAGGCCAAAGTGCGAGTATTACTTGAGGCCAGGAATTCAAGACCAGCCCGGGCAAAATAGCAAGACCCCACACACACAACAAAAAGTGAAAACAATGTGTCTCTTAGAATAGATGAACTGTGATATATACTATTTGTGGGTGTAGGTTAACATGAATGTACAAAATAAAAAACACCAAAATCAGGATAGGGTTACCTCTGTTGGAAGAAGTCAGGGGAATGGGATTTGGAAGGGACACATAAGGACCTCAACTTTATTTGTAATATTTTGTTTGTCTTCTGTAGCCTTTTCAGACAAAGAGTGAAGATTCATTAAAACGTGATTGGGAGTACATGGTAATATTTATCCAGACTTTTTGATGTGGCTGAAATATGTCATTACTTTTTACAAATTGGAAGTGAGGAAGAGTAGATAAGTGTAAAGCGGATAAGTCTGGCTTGAAAAGAAGGATAATAGAGGAAAGCACAATACGTGGGAAGGTTTTTGTTTGTTTAAGTGAGAAATACAGGTATCCTTTGATCTGAACAGTACCTGTGCACACTCAGGAATTGATTATATTCCTACAGATTTTCAGAGAAGTCCTTTGTTGTCCTTACTTTCCTTTATCTGAAACTTTGGAGTCAAATAGACGTACTTAACCACATAGACTCAGAAAGTTAGGAGTACTTTTACTTGAACTTGTTTATACTTGTGGCAAAATAACCAACAGAGAGAATGAAAATACAGAAGCTAGAGTGTATTTCTGAAGGGTTAAGAGTTAAGATCTAGACTATAAATAGAGTAATTCACCCTGGATAAGAGGAGGGTCACTAACCTCACTTACATTAGAAAGAATATGATGGGAATAGGTTTAAATATTAAAATATTTTTAGGTGTGAGAGTGATATTGACCAAATATTCTCAATGTATTGTGCCCCAAATTTTCATTTCATTGCAAGAAGCATAAGGAACTAAGAGATGAGGCAACAAGGTTCGGCTTAAAGAGTGGTTGGTGGTGGTTGTGTTTTTTGTTGTCTAGATTTTTATATCTGGTATCAATAGAAGTTACCATTTTTTGAAATAACTATTTGAAATTTATTTGACCTTTGCAAAGGTCACAGAATTTACTGAGTATATTTAATATTCTAGACAATAGACTGATTCTGTAATACCTAACCTTTGAAAATGTATCATCCAGCCTCAGGCTATTTCCCTAATCTGTCTTTTCCAGATAGGGAAAAAAAAAATTGCCAACACATAAGAATTTATATATATTTCGACATTTATGTTTATTATTGTTTTGTGTTTTATTTTTCATATTGATAGAGTGAGAAAATTTTTGTAGTATGATCTACATTCTTCATTTTATACTTTAAGCCTAATACTCCTTTTTAGTGCAGAGAAATTTGTTTCTCTCCAATTATTCCTTATAATTAAAGATTACTTTGGAACTTAACTCTTCAAATGCAGAGCATTCTTCACTTTTATTCATTATCTCTTTTTAAATTTTAGAGCTGAACGACAAAGGAATGAAGCACTATATAATGCCGAAGAGCTGAGTAAAGCTTTCCAACAATATAAAAAAAAAGTGGCTGAAAAACTGGAAAAGGTAAAAGGCAGTTGTGCAAATTCAGTGTTTTGTATTACTGTCTATATTCCAACAGTAAAGGTAGGAATAATTAAAATATGTTTATGGTTGAGACAGAGAGTAATTTTTATGATCTTACAAAATCATTTAAATAAACAATTTGTAAATGTTAGTTAAGGATGATGTTCACCAACCCTTTTATTATCAGGAGAAACTTTTTTATCCAAAGAGGGAAAAGAGTAGAGAGAGGAGAAGGAACAAAATACAGAGAAGGATGGAATGTGTTAACAGAGACTGGAGCTAAAGAAGTAGAAAAAAGAAATTCATTTTTATCACTTCAATGAAAATGAAGATAGATTATGTAGCTTTCAACTGGTCTCCCTCAGTCTGCTACTCTGAGAGGGGCTTGCTTCTGCCTCTCGGAAGGTTCCTTGAACTGATTTGATATAGAAATAATAGTGAGTTTATTACATTCATTTATTATATTCATTTATTATCTTTAAGTAATATCACATGGTAATGAAATGTGTATGGAGGAACACCACAGTTGGATATTCAGATATTGAGCTCAAAAGAGAGGTCTGGTAAAGAGATACTAATATGGGAGACTTCCATCTTGAGATAGCAATGAAAGCAGAGGAAGTTTATGATTCTGATCCAAGAAAGGTAGAAAGGCAGAGGAAGGAATGTTCAGGTAGAAGGGTAGAGTAAGAAGATGGGTGTTCATTTATTAAACAATCATGAAATTCCTTTTACATGCCAGGTACTGTGCTAGTCTCTGGGAGATTCGGTGATACATAACACATGATACCTATCCTAAAGAGCTCACTGTCTAGTAAGATTGACAAGTATGTAAACAAATAATTTCAGTATTTTGGAATAAGTATAATATAGAAATAAGAGGTAGGTGTGGTAGGGTGGGTGAAGGTGGCAGTGGTTAATAAACTCTGGTGGGCCCAAAGAAGGCTTCACAGAGTAGGCAATGCTTGAGCTGCTAGGCTATCTCAAAGATTGTGATATATCTTTGAACAGTGTTAACCAGGGAAAATGATCAAAATCTATGTTCTAGGAAGCTCACCCTGATGTCATGTGAAGATGCATTTGAGAGGTGAGAGACAAGTCAAGGAGACTTTAAAAGACAAGGCAAGAGATATTGAAGATGAAGGAGCTGAGTAGGTAGCTATGAGGGATGTTAAAGTTGGGGAATCAGTGGGATCTAGTGACCACTTGAATGCATTAGAAGCGGGCAGTATGAGAAAGAAGAATATAGGATATTTTTAGGTTGCTGGTTTGAGTGACTGCTGGATGATTGCATCATGAATCAAAATAGACAGTTTAAGAAAAAAAGTTAATGAGTTCTATTTTGGAAATGTCTGTAGAATATCCAGTTATAGGTAGGCTTTTGTATCTATAGGTCTGGATTTAGACATACAAATCTGTACTAGGGCTGTAGTTTTGAGAATTAACAGTACTGAATTAAAGTGGTAGAAGCCTTGGACATTGACAGAGTTCATATAGAATGAGAACAAGATGAAAGATACCCTGGGAGATAAAGAACAGGTAGATTAGCTTTTGAAAGATATCGAGAAGTGATTTAAAAAAATTAGAGAATCAGGAAAGTATAATAAGAAAAGCCAAGGTGATAGAACATTTTAAAAAGAAGGTGGTGATCTTCAGTGCCAGATGTTGCAAATTGGTCAAGAAGAATGAGGACTGAACCAGGTGTGGTGGCTTATGCCTGTAATTCCAGCTACTCAGCAGGCTGAGGTAGAAGGATTGCTTGAACTCAGGAGTTAGAGGCTGCATTAAGCCATGATAATGCCACTGCACTCAGGCCTGAGTGAAAGAGCAAGACCCTGTCTGTAAAAAATCAGAAAAAAAAAATTTAGAAAGATGAGGAACAAGACAGGGCTATTGGTTTTTATAATCAGGGAGTCATTGGATACTTTGTAGAGAGCAACTTATTAAAGTAGAAGGCACAACCTCTGAAATGGGAGAAATGGAAAGGGAGGGGGTAGAGGTAGCTAACAGACAATTCTTTACATACGGTAGGTGAAGAGGAAATAAGTGTGTGTGGTGGGTTGGGAGAGGCAGCGAATGGAAGGGTAGAAAGAAGCTAAGTTAAGGTGAAGAAGCTGTGGTAAAGCACCTAAGGGTATCCTGAACATATTAGTAGGGGGAGATTGAAGATGCTAGAATTATAAGGAATAAAAGATGGCACAAGGGTCTGAATGATATGCAAGATGATAGTCCAAGAGCAGAAGTGAGATTCTTTTTTTTAATGAAATAGGACATTTCTTTATGGGAAAAAAGTGGATAAAAACAGAAAAAAGTTTTAGGTGGAAGGAAATTGAACGATTTTGAATTAAATGTCTTTGGTCTCATAAATTAAGATGTTGCTTAAGTGATTTTCATAGCGTAAGGAGGATAGGAGGGATTTTGGAAACTTGGGGTGAGTATTTCTCATAATATATTTGCAATAAGGAAAGCCAAGAAATTTGCTAAACTTTTGAGAGAATATATGGAAAGAAAAGAGCAGTCAGGAATGATGAGTTAATAAAAGGAAGCAAGGAAAACAAGAGTGGCCAGAGTCAAGTGTAATATTATCATGACAGCTACATGATAAAATATTTTAGAGGAGAAGTTACCAACAATATTAAATACTGAGATCAAGGAGAAAGTCTGCAGTTGATTACAAAGTGGTCATTCCTTTGCAGTAAAACTGTGAGTATCACTTGGCAGTGTAAAATATTAAGGTCTCACTAGGTACTGAAATCTTTTTTTTTTAAATTTTATTATTATTATACTTTAAGTTTTAGGGTACTGAAATCTTAAGTGTGAATTAGTTAATCAGAACGCTGTTTTGAGAGCTAAAGAGGGTCCTTGTGGGAATGAAATATCTTAGAAGGGATTTTTAATAAGGTGATCAGTAAGGGGAGGTAGAAGACCTAGTAGGAGGAATATGCTTGGGGAGAAGAAGGACTTTATGGAGAAGGAGAGAAGAATGTAAGAGACAGGTTTTGTTTTTTTACACTTAGGATTATCAATTGCAAACAATGCTCAGCAAAGCCCTATAGTTAGGTGGATGTAACAGGGTAACAAAGGAATTGGGGCAGATCTACCCAATCTTCTCCTCTCAACAGTGTATCTTGGGTGCTTTTTTCTGTTCTACATTTTGGGCTGTGGTTTCGTTGGTAAATTTTGTGGTTCAAATTTCAAAAGTAACTTCTCTGGAATATTTGCACTGAAATTAACCTTTAGTAACTCGGACGCAGCAGCTGTAGATGAATTTTTGACTTCAGTTGATGCAATTGCCTATCTGTTACAGGTTTTCTGGACAGGTAGTAGTGTCTTTTTCTCTGTCCTTTGCTACTGCCCAGGAACTTCACTTTGCTTCTTTTCACTACAAGGCTGGGGACTTAAATGTATGAAATTCTTAGTCTACTCTCCTGCTTATTTCTGAAATCACTACTGACATTTTTAGCTTGAAACACCTAAAACTTACAACCACATTAGTATGTCCACTTAAATTATTGTTTTAGGTTCAAGCTGAAGAAGAAATATTAGAGAGAAATCTAACTAACTGTGAAAAAGAAAATAAAAGGCTACAAGAAAGGTGTGGTCTATATAAAAGTGAACTTGAAATTCTGAAAGAGAAATTAAGGTACAGTATTCTGTTGTAGAAAAAGGATTTTTGTGTGGACATGGAAAAAACTGAAACACTTTAAAACACAATATTTTATTGTTGTAATTATAGGCTTACATTATATAGAAGGATAGGCTTCATGACTGAAACTGTTTTCTAGCTATAGAGTTAGAATTAGAAGTGAAGTAAAATGTGTTAATGCTAATAATATTTGTAAATACGGAGACATACTGATCAACATATTTGCTTTGCATATATTTAGAGAAAATTAATAGATATAATGTCCTTGATGTATAACCACATTAACTCACTAGTAAAATGTGTATAATATCCGATGTTCTAAAAAAAAGTGTTTTTCAAATCATAAAAAATTACCTAGTCCAGACTTCTCATTTTATAAGTAAACAGAAGCCCCGAGAGTAGCCAGAATTTACTGAAGGTCTGAAAGATCGAAGTCTTCTGACTCCAATGCTCTCTTTTAGTACATCATGTTGTCCTCTCAAAACTAACACCCATCAACTTTCAGAGGTTAATATTAACCAGTCTTTATCACTTCAAACTGTTAATTTAAAAAAAAGGGGGAGCAGGAAGCAATCAATGACTGATTTGTCTAATTTTGCCATACTTTCCTTAAGGTAGTCTGTTTAGTATTTTTGCCAAGGAGGAGGAAGTAAAGATACTTTTTACTAGAGTATTTTTTAGAATCGGTTATCGATTGCAAGATATACTTTTAAGAAAGAAAGATGCTGCCAATTACACTATGATGCAATCCTTTATCACTTAAAATTTTTATACTTCATGAAAGAATTCTTGTATTTGTAATTAGATATGATTTCTTAAGTCGTTATTTTCATATTTTTCAAAAAAGTTATTCTCATATTTCAAATATAAGTGAAATAAATTGGTTAAGATATTTTTAAAACTTCACATTTGGAGTCTAACCCTCTAAAATGTCTAAGTTTTTCCTCACAGTATCTCCCAGTGTGCCATTAAGACTTGTTGATGCAGTATTTCTTAAAAGAATCCTTGTAAGAACAGAAAGTCATTGATGCTGGGCTCTTAAGCTGGTTGTACAATTATGTAGAGCCAGTTTACTTTTTCTCCTGTTTTAGGAATCCAAAACTTTGTTGATAATGTGAAATGCTATGTCAGGGATTTTGAAGTTAGATTTCCTGTCTTATATAATTAAACAGGGAGCAGAAATGCTTTTAAGACAGTAGGGCTGTCCTTCCCTACCATTTACTGTGAGACACTAGGAAAGTTATATAACCTTTTTGTGCCTCAGTTACCTCATCTGTAAATAAGAAGTAATAATAGTGCCAACCATATAAAGTTGTGAGTGCCTGGCATGCAGAAAGTAGGTATTTAGTAAATGTGAGCAGGTATTATTTTAGAATTAAGCTTCAAAAAATTTTAAAAGTGAGATTAAATAAATATGATTAAAATGAATGCATATATATTTTATTTTCATTTTTATTCTCTTTTCTTCATAGGCAGTTAAAAGAAGAAAATAACAACGGAAAAGAAAAATTAAGGATCATGGCAGTGAAAAATTCAGAAGTCATGGCACAACTAACTGAATCTAGACAAAGTATTTTGAAGCTAGAGAGTGAGTTAGAGAACAAAGACGAAATACTTAGAGACAAATTTTCTTTAATGAATGAAAACCGAGAATTAAAGGTCCGTGTTGCAGCACAGAATGAGCGACTAGATTTATGTCAACAAGAAATTGAAAGTTCAAGGGTAGAACTAAGAAGTTTGGAAAAGATTATATCCCAGTTGCCAGTAAGTATGTGTGATTACGTAATGGAAAAGAAGAATTTTACTAAAGTGTTTTAGAAAAGACTATCATTTTGTGGTTGCTTTATTAGCTTCTAATTTCTTTTTCTCTATACTTTTAGTCATGAATTTCTCTTCTGTCTAAATCTCTATTTTTTTTCCTGCACTTACCATTCTACACTTTTCCCCAGTTTCTCAGATGCCATATATAAGAATGGCACAGAATTTTTTTTAAACAGCTTTGTTGAAGTATCATTTATATACCATAAAATTTGCCTGTTTTAAGTGTACTAATCTATGATTTTTAGTAAATTTATAAGTTTTGTAACAATCACCATGATCCAGCTTTGAAACATGTCTGTCATCCCCAAAAGGTATTTTGGACCCATTTATAATTAGTCCCTGTACTCACTTCTACCCCTAGGAAGACACTAATAGTTTTTGCATCTGTAGATTTGTCTTTTCTGGACATTTCACATAAATGAACTCGTATAATATGTGCTCTTTTGCACCTGGTCTTTTGCATTCTTAGAGTCGTTCATGTTGTGATATCAGTATTTCATTTCTTTTTATTGCTAAATAGTATTTCATTATATAGATATGTTATATTTTGTTTATCCATTCACTGGCTGATGGACATTTGGATTGTTTCCACTTTGGGATATTATGAATAATGCTGCTATGAACGTTTGCATACAAGTCTTTGGACATGTTTTCATTTCTCTTGGGTAGATACCTAGGAGTAGAATTCTTGGGTCATATGGTGAATTTATTCCAAACTGTTTTCCAAAATGTCTACACTATTTTACATTCTCACCAGCAATGTATGAGGGTTCCTGTTTCTCCACTTCCTTGCCAACACTTGTTCTTGTCTGTCTCTTTTATTATAACCATCTTAGTGGGTGTGAAGTGGTATCACATTGTGGTTTTTCTTTTTTTTTGTTTGTTTGTTTTTTTGACGGAGTCTCTCACTCTGTTGCCCAGGCTGGAGTGCAGCAGCATGATCTCAGCTCACTGCAACCTCCACCTCCCAGGTTCAAGCAATTCTCCTGCCTCAGCCTCCCTAGTAGCTGGGACTACAGGCACAAGGGACGGGGTTTCACCACATTGGTCAAACGGGTCTCGAACTCCTGACCTCATGATCAACCCACCTTGGCCTCCCAAAGTGCTGGGATTACAGGCGTGAGCCACCATGCCTGGCCCTAATTTACATTTTTTTTAATGGCTCATGATGAGCAACTTTTCATGTACTTATTAGAATGGCATAGAACTTAAAATTTTTTTTCTTTTTTTGAGATGGAGTCTCGCTTTGTCGCCAGGCTGGAGTGCAGTGGTGCCATCTTGGCTCATCGCAACCTCTGCCTCCCGGATTCAAGCGATTTTCCTGCCTTATCCTCCCAAGCAGCTCAAACTATAGCACGCACCACCATGCCCATCTAATTTTTGTATTTTTAGTAGAGACGGGGTTACACCATGTTGGCCAGGATGGTCTTGATCTTTTGAATTCGTGATCCCCCTGCCTTGGCCTCCCAAACTGCTGGGATTATGGGCGTGAGCCACCATGCCCGGCCTTTTATTTTTTTGAAACGAAGTTTCACTCTTGTTGCCCAGGCTGGAGTGCAATGGCGAGATCTTGGCGCACTGCAACCTCAGCCTCCTGGGTTCAAGCGATTCTCCTGCCTCAGCCTCCTGAGTAGCTGGGATTACAGGCATGTGCCACCATGCCCAGCTAATTTTGTATTTTTAGTAGAGACAGGGTTTCTCCATGTTGGTCAGGCTGGTCTCGAACTCCCAACCTCAGGTGATCTGCCTGCCTTAGCCTCCCGAAATGCTGGGATTACAGGCATGAGCCACCACGCCTGGCCTAAAATGTTTTTATAATAATGGTCTACCACCTTTTCTCTTTTAGTAATATTTGTGACCATATATATAAATGAGATTAAGAAGAAGGTAAGTAAACCTATTCAGGAATTTGTAATCAATAGGTGTAAAATGAAGGAAAGATCAGGGGAAACTATAGGTAAATATATTATGGTTGGTTTCAGATATGAATGTATGGTAGACTAGATGGTAGACTTACCAATGTTAAACTGTTATGAACTGTGGAATTATGAACCAAAAAAATCTCAGAAATCATCTGATTCAATACTATTTTATTGGTGAAGAAACCTAGACCCAAGAAAGTAAATAACTTGCCCAACTGGTAAGTAGTAGAATTTAAACTAGAACATAAGATCTTAGCTCCTCTGATATCTGCTTTCCCAGGATGCTGTTTATTTGCTTGGATTTTTAATGTACTGTTTGCTTTTGAAATTAGAAAGTAATCATATACAGATAACAATTTTAATTTGGCATTCTCATTTGTGTATCAAGAATTATTTCATATATGGTCAGGCACAGTGGCTCCTGCTTGTAATCCCAGCATTTTGGCAGGCCAAGGTGAGAGGAACTCTTGAAGCAAGAGTTCAAGACCAGCTTGGGTAATACAGTGAGACCCTGTCTCTACAAAAATGCAAAAATTAGCTGGGCATGGTGGCGCATGCCTGTGGTCCTAGCTACTCGAGAAGCTGAGGTAGGAGGATTGCTTGAGTCCAAGAGTTCGAGGCTGCAGTGAGCTCTATGATCATAAGCTCCAGTCTGGGTGACAGAGTGAGACCCTGTCTCTCAAAAAAGAATCATTTGAGATATGATTCCGAATGTGGTAATGTATGCTTGATCGTTTGTTTCTTGTAGTGCTAAGAATGACACGATTAGAAAATGTGATTTTTTTCTACTTCTAGGAGGTGTGATTCGGTTATAGTTTGAAGGTAGAAGTCATTAAATGCTAACCTTGCTCCTTTTTATAACTGTCTTTTAAAATTCTGTATTATCCAAACATACAGAAAGGTGCATATGCTAGTGTAGCACCTTATTTGTAAAATTTGGGACACATATTGTCTTATCAACTCTATGTTTTTTTAGAATAAAATTTTACAGGTAAATCTTCTTTGTGTACCTTGTCAGATCCCAATTATCTTCCTCTCTCCTCAGAAATGGCAATTATTCTGAAATTCATGTGTATCCTTCTCGTCCATGTTTTAAATATTGTCACATATCGATGCATCTAGAAATATATATATGTTGCTTAGTGTTTTTATGAAAATACTGTTTGCCACTATAATTTGTTTTTCACTCAATATTGTTATGAGATGTATCCATACTGATTTATGTGACTCAGGTTTATTTCTTTTAACTATTGTAGTTTTCCAATTATCTTAATATTTCTTAATGTATTTATATATTCTCCTATTGATGGACATTAAGTTGTTTCCATTAAATTCATACAGTTTTTAAAATTTGAAGTTCTGAATAAAAAAGCAAATGCATCTCATTTACATAAGTTTACATATGTTTGTTTTTAAACTTGCAGTTAAAAAGAGAATTATTTGGCTTTAAATCATATCTTTCTAAATACCAGATGAGTAGCTTCTCAAACAAGGAAGACCGTTGCATTGGCTGCTGTGAGGCAAATAAATTGGTGATTTCGGAATTGAGGTACAATTTTCAGATTCTGCAGTTATAGCAAATAGAATGTTTTTTATTGGTAATTAAGACCCTTAATTGGCCGGGCATGGTGGCTCATGCCTGTAATCCCAACACTTTGGGAGGCTGAGGCAGGCGGATCACGAGGTCAGGAGTTCGAGACCAGCCTGACCAACATGGTGAAACCTCGTCTCTACTAAAAATACAAAAATTAGCCAGGCATGGTGGTGGCACGCGCCTGTAATCCCCACTACTTGGGAGGCTGAGGCAGGAGAATCACTTGAACCCGGGAGGCGGTGGTTGCAGTGAGCTGAGATAGTGCCACTGCACTCCAGCCTGAGCAACAGAGTGAGACTCCATTAAAAAAAAAAAAAAAAGACCCTTAATTGAGGAATTTAAAAAATATACAGAAAAGCTCAGAGAATATTATAACAGGTATCTGTGATTCCACAACTAAGAATTGAATCTTCTTAACCAGGATTGATTCTCCTTAAAATTTGTGGTATTTGTTTTAAATCTGTTTCTCCAAATAAAAAATAAAACATTACAGGATGAATAATGCCCTTTGATCCTTATGACTAGTCCCATTTTTCCCCTAAGTATCCACCATCATGAATTGGATATATATTTCTCTATTCATTTTTGTATGTTTACACACATGTACACAAATATGTACCGTATACTGTGTGCAATTTTGCTTTTTCACTCAGCAGTATTTAAAAAATTCATTCATATTGAGATAGAGTAGATTAACAAATGGATTTGTGTAATTACTTTTAATAGCTGTATAGGATTCTGTCCTATAACAGTGTCATAATTTATTTGTTCCTTTATAGGTATCTTGTTTCTGTTTTCTGTTACAAACAGTGCTGCAAAGGACATCCTTGTACATGTTTTCTTATACATATATATGAGAGTTTCTGTAGTATATATTCCTAACAGTGAAATTGCTGGGTCATACAGTGTGTACATTTTCAATTTTACTAAATACCATCAAGTTTGTAAAGTGGCTGAACCAATTTATAATTCTACAGTGGTATATGGGAGTTTTCATATCCTGCCTAAAGAGTTGACTAATATTAGAATTCTAATTTTTTAAATCAACTTGAAAGGTGAAAAATAGTACAGTATGAGTTTTTTTATAGAATCTTTCTAATAATTTTTCCCTTCTTTTCTTTTGTGCCAGAATTAAGCTTGCAATAAAAGAGGCAGAAATTCAAAAGCTTCATGCAAACCTGACTGCAAATCAGTTATCTCAGAGTCTTATTACTTGTAATGACAGCCAAGAAAGTAGCAAATTAAGTAGTTTAGAAACAGAACCTGTAAAGCTAGGTGGTCATCAAGTAGGTAAGTATATTGAGTTATTTTAATAAATTATATTCAGAGTTTTGGATGATAGTTTTTTTTTAAAAAAACTTTTATTTAAATTTTTTTTTTAATTTAAGTTCAGGGATACATGTGCAGATTTGTTACATAGGTAAGCTTGTGTCATGGAGGTTTGTTTTACAGATTATTTCATCACCCAGGTATTAAGCCTAGTACCCCTTAATTATTTTTCCTGATCTACTCCCTCCTTCCACCCTCCACCCTCTGATAGACCCCAGTATGTGTTGTTCCCCTCTATGTTTCCATGTGTTCTCAGATGATAGTTTTTAAAGAACAAATTTATCAACTGTTTGGTTTCTATTATCAAACATACTTGATAATCTGTTACTAGTTGTGGTCTGATAAGACAGCAAAAGTTATTTCAGAATTATTAGACTTTGTATCATTCGTTAATGAAGTAAAATTGATATCCAATAGAACAGTGGTCCCCAACCTTTTTGGCACCAGGGACTGGTTTTGTGGAAGACATTTTTTCCATGGACCAGGGACAGGGTCAGGGTTGGTTTCAGGATGATTCAAACGCATGACATTTATTGTGCAATTTATTTATATTATTATCATATTGATGTTGAAATAATTATACAACTCATCGTAATGTAGAATCAGTGGTAGCCCTGACCTTGTTTTCCTGCAACTAGAAGGTTCCATCTGGGGGTCATGGCAGACAGTGACAGATCATCAGGCATTAGATTCTCATAAGGAGTGAGCAGTCTAGATCCTGCGCATGTGCAGTTCATAATAGGGTTTGTGTTCCTGTGGGAATCTAATGCTGCCGCTAATCTGACAGGAGGTAGAGCTCCAGCAGTAATGCGAGCGATTGGGAGTGGGTGTAACTACAGATGAAGCTTTGCTCATTCGCCTGCCACTCACCTCCTACTATGTGGCCCAGTTCCTAATGGGCCATGGACTGGTACCAGTCCGTGGCCCAGGGGTTGGGGACCCCTGCAGTTAAGATGCACCCATTTTAATATACAGTTTGATACGTTTTGTCAGGTGTTTGTGTTTTAATGTTTAACTCTTGTTACCATCACCACAGTCAAGACATAAGACATCTCCACCAGGATCCTTTGTACTTTTTCCCAGTTAACTTTTAGGCTTAATTTTCTCTCTTTTTTTTTTTTTCCAAAAAAACCACAAAACTTTTCTTAAAGTTTAGATTATTGATTTTAGACCTCTTTTCTTTTCTCATCTAAGTATTTAAGGATAGAAACTTCCCTTTAAGCGGTGCTTTGGGTGTATTCCACTACTTTTTTTAATGTGTTGTATTTTCATTTTCATTCAGTTCAAAATAGTTATCTCTTGTGATTTCCTCTTTGACTCATAGGCTGTGTGTGTTTTATTTCCAAATATTTGGAGGTTTTTCCAGATATTTTTGTGTCATTCATGATGATCAGAGAACATACTGTATAGGACTTCATTTTTAAGAATGTTTTGAGATTTGGTTTATTGTCCAGCGTATGATCTATCTTGGTGAATGTTCCAAGTTGAGAATACTAGTAATTAGAGGTGGTAATAAATATAATATGTTATAGATTCTTTTACATCAAGAACAGAGCCAATAAAAAGTAAATAGCCTAGAAAGTGAAATATTATAGATGTAGAGAATTTATGAGAAATGGCTACTGATGCAAATCTTGAAGGCAAAGTGTATCTTGTTTCCACATCTGTGTGTTCTCATGTAATCATCTACATTATGCTTTTTAAAAGCACTTCTGAAGGCTTACTTACCTTGGAGTGGGAGATGTGTATGTTTATAGTGGAGAAGGGGCATGGTCAAGTAACTACCTCTGATAACCCTCAGTAATTTTTTTGAGACAGGATCTTGCCATGTTGCCCAGGATGGTCTTGAATTGGGCTCAAGTGATCCTCACACCTCAGCCTGTTGAATAGCTCAGATAACAGGTGCCACTGTGCCTGGCTACCCTCAGTAATTTTTTTTAAAGCATCACTGAATTCTCATTAGCTAGTTTGGAGAGAAAGACGATGGGGTCGGGAAGGATTCACTCTTTGGAGCTTTTGAACCTGCTTCTGTGTGCAGTACATAAAAATGTTCTTAATGATCTCAAACTGTCCAAATAAATTTTATGATTACCTTCAGTTTAAGGAAACAGGGCAACTTAAAAAAAATTTTTACAATGATTTCTATTAAAAAATGGAATTTAAAAGGTGGAGAAGGATTCTTACATTTCTGGTACAAAGGAATAGTCTTAGCTACCTAGAAAAATGAGTGATTCAGAACTTTTCTCCTCTTTGTTACGTATTTAATTTAGAGAGCACATTACTTATTCTTTGATTTCCTTAATGAATGTCTCATTCTCTGTCCCTTTTAGTACTCTTTAGATCAGAAACTAAACTTTGTTTATGACTAAATCTTTCAACTATTTAAGTAGGTTTTTATTCTTGAAGTCCTATTCAGAACAATTTTCCTTTTATGTTTATTAGCAGAAAGCGTAAAAGATCAAAATCAACATACTATGAACAAGCAATATGAAAAAGAGAGGCAAAGACTTGTTACTGGAATAGAAGAACTACGTACTAAGCTGATACAAATAGAAGCTGAAAATTCTGATTTGAAGGTTAACATGGCTCACAGAACTAGTCAGTTTCAGCTGATTCAAGAGGAGCTGCTAGAGAAAGCTTCAAACTCCAGCAAACTGGAAAGTGAAGTAAGCTTGGAATTAGCTTGGTATATATGTTAATTTTTGAACTAGAACAAAAGGTATTATTTTAGGGTTTTATAAAAATTATATGTTTACATCCAGATTTAAAGTTTTTAAAAAATGGTACCACATAAGTTATAAATTGTTTTAAAATTATATTTGGAAACCTTTGTATTTTAACTTATTAAAAGTTAAAGTTATTAAAAGTAGGAAAAACTGTAGTGGGTAAAAGTCTCAAATTTGGTGGAAATAATATTGCATTGCAGCCTATTATTTCTTCCATAGTATAAGTTAATATGGTTAATATACATTTATAAATAAAGACTTTGGATTATGCTGTTGGAAGAAAAGGAGTGATAATAAAGGATTTCAAATTTTAGCAAACCCCAAACCACCTAGGAAGCCTGTTTAATATGCATATTTCTGGGTCCTGTTCCAGCAATTTCTGATTCAGTATATATGGGCACAAGAGTCTGCTTTTTTCTTTTCTTTTTCTTTTTTTTTTTTTTTCTTAGAGACAGGGTCTTGCTCTGTTGCCCAGTCTGGAGTGTGGTGGTGTGATCATAGCTCACTGTAGCTTTGAACTTCTAGGCTCAAGCCATTCTCCTGCCTCAGTCTTCCAAGTATTTGAGACTGCAGGCATGTGTCACTATGTCCAGCTAAGTTTTTTTATTTTTTATTTGTAGAGACAGTCGCTGTGTTGCCCAGGCTTGCCTCGAACTCCTGGTTTCAGGTGATCCCCACCTCAGTATCCCAAAATGCTGGGATTACTGGTGTGAGCCACCACACCTAGCCGGAATCTGTATTTTTATTTTTTGTGTATTTCTGCTGTTTAAAGAGTCTGTATTTTTAAACAACTGCATGTAAACCTGAAACAACTACGCAAGGAATTACATTCTGAAAAGGGGATAATGAGTGTTTTGTGAATATCTTGTCTTCATTTTCACTGAGGACAGGATAAGGGTGCCTCATTAGGTAATTGTGGACCAGGACCACATGTGTATATCTTATACTCGATCTTCAAACCAGAGGCTGCAGTCATCTATAGGTACACTTTTTAAATACCTGCTTTCTCAGCTTAAAGTCTATAGCCAAGGCTGAGGAAAAAGAACTATAAGATAGGAACTTATGTTAATAATGAAGATGGAGATTTAGACAGTTTATAACTATGGCTACCAGTTTACTTAGGAAATTGCCAAATACTGGGATTAATAAGTTTTTTAAATTACAAAAATAGCACAGTCTTGTTAATATAAAAGGGGAAAAAGAAGAAAATGAACCATTGATAATTCTACCACCAGAAATAACTGCTGATAACATTTTATTGTACTTATTTCAGTCTTTAACAGCTACGTAAAAATAGATTAGGGTATTGTCCTTTTTGGATATAGGGGTCTGAATTAAATGACTTATGTTTTACATAGATAGAAGAAGTGATCCTTTGTTTTCAGTATTTGTTTTTCTTCTTAATTGTCACTTATTTTGTAAAATACTTATAATTATGTGGGTTAAAAAGTTATTCACTTTGCATCCTAAATGTTTATAACTGTAAGTTTGCCCAATTTACCTAGACACAATGTATTTGAACTTTGAAAGAGGAGCAGGTGTTTGATCTTAGAATGCAAAATCATTACCTTTAAAAAATAATTTTACATTTATTTCAATGTGTTTTCAGATGACAAAGAAATGTTCTCAACTTTTAACTCTTGAGAAACAGCTGGAAGAAAAGATAGTTGCTTATTCCTCTATTGCTGCAAAAAATGCAGAACTAGAACAGGAGCTTATGGTAAAACTTATCTTTGTTCCTACAAATTTACTGTGATTTTTAGGCACTTAATTTGTGACAGCACATTTGTTTTAGCATCATTATTATAAAATATATAGGAAAGTATAAATTCTACTAAACTCTTCTGATCATTTCTTGTTTATATTTTTAAGTTAATAGGCTTATATGGCAAGTTATCCAAGTTTTCTCTTTTTTTTTTTTTTTTTGAGACAGAGTCTCACTCCGTCGCCCAGGCTGGAGTGCAGTGGTGTGATCTCGGCTCACTGCAAGCTCTGCCTCCTGGGTTCACGCCATTCTCCTGCCTCAGCCTCCCGAGTAGCTGGGACTACAGGCGCCCGCCACCACGCCTGGCTAATTTTTTTTGTATTTTCAGTAGAGACAGGTTTCACCGTGTTAGCCAGGATGGTCTCATCTCCTGACCTCGTGATCCACCCGCCTCAGCCTTCCAAAGTGTTGGGATTACAGGCGTGAGCCACCGCACCCGGCCGTTTTCTCATTTTTATCCTAATAGGATTGAAGATAATGGTAGTTCTTTGATATGCTTCTTGATATTTAAAATAGTTTAAATCTTCTCGTCTTGATAAAGTATTTTTAGCCATTTTGTTAAAGTTTGAAGTATAAACTACTGTGGTTCTTTAAAGAATGGAGTATGACATATTTAATGGTTGACTAATGTACTTTTATGTAAAACTGCTTTTCAATTATACTTTTTTTTTGAGACAAAGTCTCACTCTGTGGTTCAGGCTGCAGTGCAGTGGCACAATCATGGCTCACTACAGCCGTGTCCTCCCAGGCTTCCCCCTGAGCGTCCCCAGAAGCTATGACCACAGGCGCATGCCACCACATCTACTTAGCTAATTTTTTGTATTTTTCATAGAGACGGGGTCTTGCCGTGTTTCCCAGGCTAGTCTTGAACTCCTGGATTCAAGCGATCTGCCTGCCTTGGCCTCCCAAATCAATTATACTCCTTTAAAGTGTTTTGTGTTTCTAGGAAAAGAATGAAAAGATAAGGAGTCTAGAAACCAATATTAATACAGAGCATGAGAAAATTTGTTTAGCCTTTGAAAAAGCAAAGAAAATTCACTTGGAACAGCATAAAGAAATGGAAAAGCAGATTGAAAGAGTAAGTAATACATATTTAGAATATGAGTGCTGAAAAGAAACTTAAACATTACTAGCCCCAGCATTTTTTATTTTGTAGACGAGGACACAAAGATACACAAAAGTTAGTGGCAAGAGCTGTAATTAGAATCCCAATCTTTCTGAATAATTTTTCAGTGCTTTAACAGAATATAGTATGCCTTCTGTTTCAGCTGTAATCATTATTTTTGACATTATTAAAGTAAGAGTAATTCTGTAGACTCCATTTCCCTAAAAATATCAGTTGCTTGAAGATTGATTGAGAGGAAAAAGCAGAATAAGAGAAGCACTCTTGACCTTGGGTTAAAAGTAGAAAAGAAAATTTGAGACCAAAAATGCAAGACACAGTAAAAAAAAATAGATACAGTAGTCCCTGCTTATCCATGGGAGAGACATTCCAAGACCTTCAGTGAATGCCTGAAACCACAGATAGTACTGAACCTTATATATTTTTTCCTATACATACATACCTATTATAAAGCTTAATTTATAAATTAGACACAGTAAGAGATTAGCAAGAATTCTAATAAAATCGACCAATTGTAACAAAATACTGTCATAAAAGTTATGTGAAAACTTGTTCTCATAAAAGTGTGTTCTCTCTCTTATGCCCTAGTGCCTCCTTTGCACTTTTTTTTTTTGAGATAGAGTCTCGCTCTGTCGGCCAGGCTGGAGTGCAATGGTGTGATCTCAGCTCACTGCAGTCTCCGCCTTCTGGGTTCAAGTGATTCTCCTGCCTCAGCCTCCTGAGTAGCTGGGATTACAGGTGCGCGCCACCAAGCCTGGCTAATTTTTGTATTTTTAGTAGAGATGGGGTTTCACCATGTTGGTCAGGCTGATGTCAAACTCCTGACCTCGTGATCTGCCTGGCTCAGCCTCCCAATGTGCCTGGCTCACGCAGAGGTGTGAGCCACTGCGCCCAGCCTCCTTTGCACTTTTATGAATGTAGGTTCTGTGAGTCATCTTTGAGAACAGCCTAGTTTCGCTGCAATTGAAGTCTTGCTTTGGATGGTATCTTTTCTCCTTAGCTTCTTCATCTCTGCTGGAAATGTGACAGCAGCTGCTTCATCAGCAGACACAGCTTCTCCAATAATTTTAATATTTTTCAGTCTAACCCTATTATTGAATCTGTGTAATCATCCCTTATTTGCAGTAAATGACTTGGTGTCACTTGTTTCAGGGGATCTTTGCTGAAGTCTTAATATATACTCAATATTTTCTGGTGCAACACATTGCAGTCAGTTGGAACATGTTTTCTGTTAATGCCTTCCACCTACAAATTTAATGCCTTTTCTATTTTAACTAAGCACTTACGCATTGTGGTTGTAACTTTTGTAGTTTGAGGTACAACTGCCATACTTGCATGAATTTATTTTTCTTCACAATTTCATGGATAGATTTATTCTTTATTGTAGATCTTAGCAACCTCAGCATGCAGTTTTTTTTCTTTCCTCATTAAGTCAAGAACCTTCACCTTTTCACTTAAAGGAAGCATGCTATGTCTTCTCTTTGACATATCCAAATTGGATCTGCATCCAGATAGCATCACTACTCTTTTGCTTTGGGGCCATTATTAAGTAAAATAAGAGTTCCTTGAACACAAGCACTGTGATACCATGGCAGTTGATCTGATAACCAAGATGGCTACTAAGTGACTAACGAGCAGGTAGCTTATACAGCATGGAAAATGGATCATTCTTGTCCAGAGCTGGACATAGTGGGACGTCATGAGATTTCATCACGCTGCTCAGAACTGCAATTCAAAACGTATGAATTGTTTATTCGTGGAATTTTCCATTTAGTATTTTCAGACCAGGGTTGACTGCAGGTAACTGAACTGTGGAAAGTGAAACCACGAATACCACAGGGCTGCTGTAATTTAGATGAGCTTAACAGAAGAATGGAGCAGACAAGAGGAAAAAGACAGTGAACTTGAATGTAGATTAATAGATATTATTCAGTCTGAGCAACAGAGAAAAAATTTTTTTTCCAAGAAAAGAAAGATTTATAAAAATATTGAACAAAGCCTCAGAGATATATGGGGAAGGACCTGGAAGATCTGATATTCTTGTCTTCAGAGTCAAAGGAGAGAATGAGATTAGTGCAGGAAAATATTTGAAGGAATAATGTCTGAAAACTTCACAAATTTGATGAAGGAAATAAATTTACAAATTTAAAAAAATCAAAGAGAACTACTTCTAGACACATCAAAATCCTTGCCAAAAACTAAAACAAAAAACTTTGAAAGCACCCAGAGATAAATGACACTGCATATAAGGGAACAAATGTTAAAATTACTGCAGATTTCTCATCAAAAACTATGGACATAAGAAGATGGAACAACATTTTTTAAATGCTGAAAGAGAAAAAAACTGTCATTCTATTTTATATCCAACAAAAATACTCTCTAGGAATGAAGGTAAAATAAAGACATTCTTAGATGAAGGACCGCATAGAGAATTTGTCACCAGCAGACTTGTTCTAAAAGAGAATGCTAAAGAAAGTTCCTCATGGAAAAAAAATACCTGAGAGAAACTTGGGACCTCAGGAATAAAGGAAGAACAACAAAAACAGTAAATATTTGGTAAATATAGGATTTTTATAATATCTATGGCAGTTGAAAGAAGAAATTATAACATTTACTGATG
This sequence comes from Homo sapiens, assembly GCF_000001405.40. Taxonomy (NCBI): domain Eukaryota; kingdom Metazoa; phylum Chordata; class Mammalia; order Primates; family Hominidae; genus Homo; species Homo sapiens. The sequence continues at coordinate 93,220,535 of NC_000001.11, forward strand.
AGGTATATTGATATAATACATGTGACAACGACAGTGTAAAGGGGGAGGGGTAAAGGGGTCTATATTCTTAGTTTCTACATTTTGCCTTTTTTTCTTCAGCCGTTAAGTTCAGGGGTACACGTACAGGAGGTGCAGATTTGTCACATAGGTAAATGTGTGCCATGGTGGTTTGCTGCACAGATCATCCCATCACTTAGGTATTGAGCCCAGCATCCATTAGCTATTCTTCCTGATGCTCCCTCTCTCCCATCCCACTCCCCTATAGGCCTCAGTATGTGTTGTTCCTCCCCATGTCTTCGTGTGTTCTCATCATTCAGCTCCCACTTATAAGTGAGTACGTGCAGTATTTGGTTTTCTGTTCCTGTGTTAGTTTGCTGAGGATAATGGCTTCCAACTCCATCCGTGTCCCTGTAAAGGAAACGATCTCGTTCCTTTTTATGGCTGCATAGTATTCCATAGTATGTATGTACCACATTTTCTTTATCCAGTCTATCACTGATGGGCATTTAGGTTGATTCCATGTCTTTTCTATTGTGAATAGTGCTGCAATGAACATACACATGCATGTATTTTTATAATAGAATGACTTACATTCCTTTGGGTATATACCCAGTAATGGGATTGCTGGGTCAAATTGTGTTTCTGCCTCTAGGTCTTTGAGGAAATGCCACACTGCCTTCCACAATGGTTGAACTAATTTACACTCCCATCAGCAATGTAAAAGTGTTCCTTTTCTCTGCAACCTCTCCAGCATCTGTTTTTTGACTTTTTAATAATTGCCATTCTGACTGGCATGAGATGGTATCTCATTGTGGTTTCGATTTGCATTTCTTGAGCGATCAGCAATGTTGAGCTTTTTTTTTGTATGTTTGTTGTCCACATATATGTCTTCTTTTGAGAAGTGTCTGTTCATGCAAGTGATTTCATTTCTTCCTTAAAAAGAGAGAAGCTGAAGACAATTTGGCAAAATACAAAAATCTATGTAATTTCAATTATAGTGTCACATGTATTTAATATTTAAAATGTTTCAAAATTTTAAAATATTTAATATGAAAATTCTGTTTTCATGTTTAGCTTGAAGCTCAACTAGAGAAAAAGGACCAACAATTTAAAGAACAAGAAAAGACTATGTCCATGTTGCAACAAGATATAATATGCAAACAACATCATCTTGAATCACTAGATAGACTCTTGACGGAAAGCAAAGGGGTAAAATCATCCTTATAAAAGTGCTATTTAGAAGTTGACTAATATTTTATGTCTCTATAACTTGCCTTTAAATCTAATCAAATCTGCATACTTATACTTTTCTTACTGTTTTTAGGAAATGAAAAAGGAAAATATGAAGAAAGATGAAGCTTTAAAAGCATTACAGAACCAAGTATCTGAAGAAACAATCAAGGCTAGTATGCTAATACTTTATTTTTCTTTCTTTCCTTTTTTTTTTTTTTAACAGACAGAATCTCTCTCATTTGCCTAGGCTGGAGTGCAGTGGCATGATGATAACTCACTGCAACCTTGAACTCCTGAGCTCAAGTAATCCTCCCACATGAGCCTCCTGAGCAGCTAGGACAAGCGTGCTTCAACATGCCTGGCTAATTATTTTTTTCTATTTGGAGACATTCTTGTGGCTTTTTTACTTTTCTCTGTAAATTGTAAACATTGTACAGATAAAAGGCAATTCAGAGCTGACGATTTGATCTGACTCAATGAACTTAGTTCCTTTAAATGTATTTTCTTTAGAGCGAATTATGATCTTAATTATTTGATAGTTAATCATCTAGTTTGCAGGTTATCTAGCCTCTTTTTGTCTTAAAACAGTTTTTATAACCCTAAAAATTGTTTTAAATTTTAGCTATAATTGCTACTTATTAACATTACCAAAAAAAAAGAAAATTACCAGAGGAAGTGGAGGAAGAGAAAACTAAAAGTGATTCAATTTTGCTTGTTTTTATCAGTTGGCTTGTAAGATTAATTGAGATAAAGCCAGAATTTCTAGCTAAAATACGGCTTTCTGGCTAGTATATCTTCATGGTTAAAAACATGGGCTTTGTTGTTAAATTGGGTTTCAGTGTGGCTTCAAGTGCTTACCCACTCACTGTAACCTTAGCCAGGTTATTTAACTCTTTGAACTTTAATTTCTTCATCCACAAAATAGGAATGACAATACCCTAGAAGAGCATTAGTGTGAGAATTAAATGAAACAGGGTATATAAAGTGCTTAGCACATACTGAGTTGCCCGAAGTTTTGTAACTAACTGCTATATATTTAGTATTTTCTCTTGCATTTTTAGTGTTAAACGTAGGTCCAAATATGCTATGACGTTTATTCTGTCATATGTAGCTTGAATATAAAAGATTTGCTTTAAAGATACGATGTTATTTTTTCCCTATTCTGTTTTTAATTCATTTTGTGACTGTGTATGCCCATGTAGACATGTGTTTATTCATAAATATTCCTGTAGTATTCACCAAAACTCTTAACATTTAATGCAATGTCAGTTCATTTCCCTGTGTAAGAATAGCCCCAAATTTCATTAATATTAAAAAATGATTACTGTACAGAGATTGTAGGCATGAAATACTTTTATTAGATAAAACTCATGCAGCCACTTAACTCCTGGTTTTCATTAAACTACCTAACGTAACTGGGCAGTCATCTGGTGAGGTATTTCCGTGTGTTAATAGCCAGATATGAGATGGAAAAGAAATCAGCAAAAGAATGAAGTATGATGTTGGATTTTATTCCTTTAACATCTTTAGCAGGTTTGCTGTTTGGGGAAAAATCAAAATGAGTAAGAAATATAGAAGCCAAATTCCTATGATTTAAGCTATATTGACTGATTCTACACATAAGTTATTTATAGCAGCAAAATAGAAGCCTGAAGTCTACTTCTCTCCTGATTATGTCATTACTACCTTCCTTTCATGACTTTTGTTCATGTCTCTCAACATGCCTCAACTTGTTCTCTGCAAAAGAAATATGAATTTTTTTATCTATAGGAAAGTTATAAGGGTCAGTTTAAAGTTGTATCACTAAGCTAAAAGGTTGATGATAAAATTCTGAACTGGTAACAAGAAATCAGTAAATTAAACCAGTTGTTACCTGCTGTTAAATGGAAAATTGAAAAGGTGCTTATTAGACTTACAGATTTTATTTCTTTTGTTTTGTTTTCCTCTTATTTTCTACTTTAGATTCCCCAAAACCCCCACAAAAAAGTCTTAAACATAAAAGAAGAGTTTACCTTCTTTTTTTGAAGATGCATAGCCTAGGGCCCTATCTGGTTGTCTCCAGATTGTGCACCTGAGGAGCTTCTTTGGTTCAGCAGAGTGGTGTTTGTTTTTGTTTTGATTTCATTTATTTATACACACACACACACACACACACACACACACACACACACACATTTGCAAGTGGTTTGTATACAATGCAAGATGTTTATCTGTATGAGATTCAGACTTTCAAACTCTGTTCAAATAAGAAATTCAATAGAGTAGCGGATGTTTTGGGTTTTTAATTAGTTTTTTATTAGCTATAATTGATTTATTTCTAATTTATTTTTTAAAATTTCAAGCCCACAAAAAATTGAAAAAATAGTCTACTCCTCACCTAGATTCACTCTCTGTTAAACTCTATTAAACTCTAGGTACACTCACTTTATCTCTCTCTACACATACACATGCATGCATGCTTGTGTGTGTCCCTACCAACCCACCTCCCTTTTGCCAAACCGCCTGAGAGAAGGTACGGATGTCATAATACTTTACCCCTTTAATACTTAACATGCATCTCCTGTGAACAGAGAATTTCTTCTGTATGGCCACACCACCACTACACTACAGAGAAAGTCAACATTAAGTTAGTAATATCATTCAACATTGTCCGTACTAAAATTTCCCCAATTACTTAAAATTGTCCTTTATAGCCTTGCTACTCAAAGCATGGTCTGTGAACTAGCAGCATCAGCATCACCTGGAAGCTTTGAAGAGTATCTAGCCATGCCCCAGACCTGATTCACCCCAGTGAATCAAGTGTGATGACACAAAATTTAAGGAGACACTCTCAGGATTATATACCTTATTTAATTTGATGACTGCCAGATCTCATTATTTTAAGGGCATACATTTTCATTGATAATTAGCAAACTAACTTTGGGGTGAGTCTTTGAGGCCATGTGAATATCCTGTTCCTCAATAACCTTATAATCAATGGCTTTCATATCTAATGATGAATCTTGCCCAAATGAGTTATTACACTGTTAACTATTAGGTAGTGATATTCTGACAGAATCATAGGTTTTATTTATTTTCTCTGTGTGAAGGATGATACAAGTCCCAATGCCCATTCTCTTTCATAAAAAAGAAAATTTCTAAGTATTTATAATTTTCATAAAACAAATGTTAATTAGTCATTCAGAATTACAGATTTTTTAGCTGTTAATGATTTCATATACAGACTATAAGGGTGGTGTTCAAAAACTGTGTATCTTATAAGATTCCCTTTTTAGAAATAAGAGTGGCAAAGATAATTTCATGATGTAGAATAGAATCTGCAAGAGAGAATGTTTTTCTCGTTTTTTCATCTGCTAAGAAATCTAAGATTTCTTTCACTTTTTCAAGACTGCTTACTAGAACATTATTAGCATTAAGAGGAAGAACACCATTGAGAAGCTCAAATTTACAATAAAGAAAACAAGGAGCAAGACAAGAATCTTAATAGATGAGATGTGGAGCATGTATGCAATATGTGCGCCTTGAACGAAAAGTACCAAATTTGAGTTGCTCTTTGGTATTAAGGTAGTAAAGCAGTGGCAACTATATGAACACTTGGACCAAGTTAAATTGCTGCCTTTCTGAAAATATTTTCACTGTTTCAAAGCAAAGAAGGTTTCACTTCTTTTTTTCTAGCTGACAAATTATTTTCTTAGTAACTTCAGCATTTCAAAATATTCTCACTTAAGGCCAGGCAAGGTGGCTCACACCTGTAATCCCAGCACTTTGGGAGGCCAAGGCGGGTGGATCACCTGAGGTCAGGAGTTTAAGACCAGTCTGGCCAACATGGCAAAACCCACTCTCTACTAAAAATACAAAAATCAGCAAGACATGGTGGTGCATACCTGTAATCCCAGCTACTCAGGAGGCGGAGGCAGGAGAATTGCTTGAACCTGGGAGGTAGAGGTTGCAGTGACCCGAGATCGCACCACTGCACTACAGCCTGGGCTACACAGCAAGACTTTGTCTCAAAAAAAAAAAAAAAATCTCACTTAAGCATCATTAACAGTATGCTAGTTTGTACTCACTTTCCTATTTTTCTTATTCAAGGAGGCTTAAGAAGTAGGTTTAAATACCACTTACCTTTTAAAGAAAAGTTTTTAGAGTGTTTGGCCTACAGGTTCTTGACAGTTGGCCCTAGTTTATCTTGTCAATTGTGGCTCCCAAATAACCATTTCCTACAAATTCATCTTCTTACTACCCTAGGCTTTTGCCAACTTCTCACCACTCCCTTTCGCAGGGCCTTGCTTCTGAGCATACTCCCTTTTCCTGGAATGCCCTTCTAAACTTGTCCAACTCTTGTTTATTCTTCAGGATTCCATACCTTGGTTTTCTCTTTGGTTTCCTCATTTGCAATGAAGAATTAGTTTACTCAATAAATATCTTCTATAATGGCATTTTATATCCTAAGTAGGACTGTATATTCACTATTTGAAGCAGTCAGGTAACATTAGGAGATAAATCTGTAAAATATTGAGTATATCGTTTTGTGTTTTTTTTTTTTTTTTGCTTTTTTTCCTGCTTAGGTTAGGCAACTAGATTCAGCATTGGAAATTTGTAAGGAAGAACTTGTCTTGCATTTGAATCAATTGGAAGGAAATAAGGAAAAGTTTGAAAAACAGTTAAAGAAGAAATCTGAAGAGGTAAATTAACATTTACTTTATATATAGCATATATTTCAAGTGATTTTTTTTAAGAAGCATGAGATGTAGGACAAAATATATATATATATATATATTTCTTTTGAGACAGCGTCTCCCCATGTTGCCCAGGCTGGAGTACAGTGTCGCAATCTTGGCTCACTTGAACCTCTGCCTCCTGGGTTCAAGCAATTCTTGTGCCTCAGCCTCCTGTGTAGCTAGGATTACAGGTATGCACTACCATGCCTGGCTAATTTTTGTATTTTTAGTAAAGATGGGATTTCACCATGTTGGCCAGGCTGGCCTTGAACTCCTGGCCTCAAGTGATCCACCCACCTCGGCCTCCCAAAGTGCTGGGATTACAGGTGTGAGCCACTGTGCCTGGCCAAAATAATATCTTTTATGTATCTGATATAAAAAAGTATTTCCAATAAAATGTAAATTCCAATTTTATTTTCTTTAAAGAGCAAACATTTCAATGCAAAATAGAATATACCTTAAAATTCTAATTCTTTTATTTTTAGGGAATCAGAAGAATAAATTATTAATATTACAGTCATTCTAATATAATATTACATGACACCTTGAACATTGTTTTAGATTTAGAGGTTTAAAATTCTTCAAGAATTTTTCATTTTGTTTTTGTTCTTGTTGTCTGTAGGATTGAGAATTAACTTTAGAATTTCAACTTTTTTAAGATAAGTTTCTCAGATACTGCATTGGAAACCTTTTTTTTTTTTTTTTTTTTTTGAGATGGAGTCTTGCTCTGTCGCCCAGGCTCGGCTCACTGCAACCTCCACCTCCTGGGTTCAAGCAATTTTCTTGCCTCAGCCCCCTGAGTAGCTGGGACTATAGGCGCATGCTGCCACGCCCGGCTAATTTTTTGTATTTTTTTTTTTTTAGTAGAGACGGGGTTTCACCATGTTGCCCAGGCTGGTCACAAACTCCTGAACTCAGGCAATCCTGCCACCTTGGCCTCCCAAAGTGTTGGGATTACAGGCATGAGCCACTGCACCCAGACTTGGAAACTTTTCTTGAACATCTTACTCATCTCTGTATGCTCAATTTGTAGCACTTTACTTTGGTTAGGCACTCACTAAACATTTGCTCAAATGGATAATCGTAATGAAGAATGTATTTGTTAGAATTTATAATGTATATATTTTAAGGTTAAAATTTATTTTTAGAAATCGTTCCCAATGAATCTTCATCAAGGTTGACTTTTGGCCACTCATTGTTGCTCACGCCTATAAGCCCAGCACTTGGGGAGGCCAAAGTGGGTGGATCACTTGAGGCCGGGAGTTCAAGACCAGCCTGGGCAACATGGGGCAAAACCCCATCTCTACAAAAAAATTAAAAACATTAGCCAGGTATGGTGGTGCATACCCGTGGTCCCAGCTACTCAGGAAGCTGAGATGGGAGGATCACTTGAGCCTAGGAGGTCGAGGCTGCAGTGAGCTGTGATCACGCCACTGCACTCCAGCCTGGGCAGCACAGCGAGACCCTATCTCAAAAAAAAAAAAAAATATATATATATATATATTTATTTATATTTACATATTAGTCAAGATCGATTTGACTATATCAGAAAGGTCCAATGAGAAAAACAGAAGCCTTTATATCTTTTAAATAGAGCAAATTTATACAGAGAATTAGATACACAGGTGATGAAAGGGTAGAGAAGCCAAACAGTATACCACAGTGACTCAGAGATTATTATAAGCAGGGACCCGCTACCATTGTTAAGGTTAGAGGAACATCAGGAAAAGATGGTGTGATCATAGTCTAGAAGCAGGGCTGCCTATCTGGAGCTGGGGCCAAAGAAAAAAGGTCTGTCCAATAGGAACTGGGGCAATAGAGGAGGAGCACTGCAGCTACTGGCCATTCCCATTGGCCAAACCTATTTGTAATCTAGAGGGCAAAGGAGGCCAAGAAATGCAGTTTCCTGCAATACACAGAGCAGAACAGGGGAAAGCCATAGGTAAATCTAAGAGTAAATAATGTAGTTGACCAGCACTCCAGACTTAGGTGCATCAAGTAATTATATAGCCTTAGAAGTTTAAAAAAAAAAAAAAAAACTTCAGATTTAATACGGTCATGTCTTCTTCTGTCTACCTTCCCTTATGAAGGTTTTTATAGCATCTTTGACAGGCATATATTTTTCTACTCCAATACATAGAAACTAAATCATCTAAACTGTATGTACTTGGATTTTTAAAAATAGGAATGTCCTTTTTTTTTTTTACTATGATCATCTTTAAAGTAGTATACAAAATACATTATTTTGGCATTTATTCTACTGCCCATACCCACACTCCGCTTCATAATAAATAGACTTGGCAGAGATGGAATCTACCTGGAGGTAGGCAGCATTTGTAACAGGAGAATCTGTTGAGCTTTAGACTTTGCATTCATAGAAACAACATCAGAGACTAGGGTGGATAACAGATATTTACACACAAAATAAATAGAACGATTTTTTTTTTCTTTTTTTGAGACAGGGTCTTGCTTTGTCACCCAGGCTGGAGTGCAGTGGTGCAATCTCGGCTCACTACAACCTCTGCCTCCCAGGTTCAAGCAATTCTCCTGCCTCAGCCTTCCCAGCAGCTGGGATTACAGGCATGTGCCACCACACCTGGCTCATTTAGAATGATTTTTACAACTGGAAATACATACCTAGGCTCAAACTGAATTAGAAACCAGAAGTGGTAATCAGGTATATTTGACCAGACTAGGGAGTAAGTAAATTAGAAAGATTTGCAAGCTCATTTATTGCCGCTCAATCCTTAGCTCAACTGCACATGCATTGGCTTGCTTACTTAAAAGGTCATCTGTCACATGTTCATGTGTATTGATAAAAAACGTGGAGAAGAATCCAAGTACTAACTGTTGACTTATTTGCCTTTACAGCAAATTATGTCTTACAGAGAAAATTCTTTCTAATGTTGGTTAATATAATTAACACCTTGTAACAGCAGAGTTGTGAAGTTTTCATCATATATAGCTACATTTTAGAAAATCTGATTTGAGTAATAGTGCATCCATTCCGTTAATAATAGGTGATATTATAAAGATGTTCTTATCTTTTAAATCAGGGAATATGCCCCAATCATATAACTCACTGAATAATTAAGTGGCCCTAGGGCATATAGGTAGAAATTTAGCCAGTTGTAAAAACTACATGTTGATTACCCGTTGCAAAAAGCTAATATATGTTCCTCTGAGCTTTTGCCTCAGCCACATATTCTTTTCCGGATGTTGAAATAAATATATTTATGATGAAAATAATACTTTGGGGTTCTGAATTTTTGGAAGATATTTAATTTCATATTAAAATGTTTTTAACAATGCTTTTAAAATAATAAAGTTATGTGTTCATGCAAAATTACATTGTCAACATGATAAAAGAAACTCAATACAAAGTAGATGCGACTAAGCCTAAATGTTTTCTGCATAAAGATTTTATTCAATAAAATCAGTCGTTTCATTGATAAATATCTTCATTTAAATGGATGGACTTAGATTTTGAGAAGCTGGCATCATATTTCTGCATTATATTTTATTTTTAAGCAACAATTATGAGACTTTCTGCTTTGGGTACATAGTGATACTAGATAAAGTTAAGTGTAAGGTAGATTTTATCATCTAAATTCTACTTTCTTATTTACTTCAATTATAAAATATTAAGTACTCTGGGAATATAATAATACATTAGTAGAAAATATGATGTAAAAACAATTTGTTCTGTATTTACTTTTAAACTAAAGCCAACTGGCCAGGCACGGTGGCTCATGCCTGTAATCCCAACACTTTGGGAGGCTGAGGCAGGCAGATCACAAGGTCAGGAGATCTAACACGGTGAAACCCCATCTCTATTAAAATTAAAAAAAAAAAAATTAGCCGGGCGTGGTGGTGGGCGCCTGTAGTCCCAGCTACTTGGGAGGCTGAGGCAGGAGAATGGCGTGAACCTGGGAGGCGGAGCTTGCAGTGAGCCGAGATCGCATCACTGCACTCCAGCCTGGGTGGCAAAGGAAGACTCCATCTCAAAAAAAAAAACAAAAAACTAAAGCCGACTGGAGTTAAAGGTCAGTACAATGAAATGTCAGTGTAAGTTTGATAGATATATGTTCTATTTTGTAAATATTTGTGATAACTAATTTTAGCTATTTCAATATATGTAATTGAAATGTCAGTGACTAGATTACTGAAATAAAATTTTGTTGTTATTATGTGGTAAGGCTTTGTGTTTTGGTTAGATCTTATTTTTTTCTTCTGTTTTGTCTTATTTTAATATTTTGTCCATTTTTTTCTCTGAATAGGTAAGTATGAAACAGGATGTTCCAATAAAGAAAAAAAGAGTATTTAAACCTGTCTTGCAGGCAAGTCAGTTCTATCTAAAATAAACCAGTGCAGAAGTGTGATCTGCAGGTTTGGTCAGGAGCTAAGAGAGAAAACAAAACAGGTGATACTGACACATATTTACACTAAATTATTTTCATGCAGACAGAATTAAACAAAACATATTTGCATGAAAAGGGATTATAATTCAGGATTAGAGATCAGTTAGTTGCCTGTGATATCCAGGGTTACTTCGAGTATACAACATCATCATATAATTAAGAAATCTGAAATCTCAGAGCTTCTCATAATGAGCAAAGAATATTTGGCCCTGAAGGCCTTAATGTTCACCTGCTGGATAGTTAGAAAAAAGAAGCAAGTCGTGATTCTCTTCCGCTATTTACTATAAGGAGTTTAAATTTCCTTTTGGAATGATATTTACTGGAAAGATTCTTTGCTTTAAAGGAATGGCTTTATTTTCCTTCACTTAAAAAATTTATTATATAAGCAACAACAAGAAAACTTCTAAAGAACATTTACCTACAGCCCATTCTCTAATACTTCAGTTTTCATTTTTCTGTTTGCATGTATATTTTTCAAAATTATATTAATGAAATGTGATTTTTTAACTTTATAAATTTTTATGTTAGCTGTCTTTTTAATTATTTTAAATGGTTGCACATTTTAAATCACATTGACAATCATCACTTATTAAATCTTCCATTCACTTTGGTAGGAGATGAAGAATATTATAAAATATATTTTAAATTATGTTTCATTGTTGATAGTATTTTAAAAATAATTTCTGCTGGCATATTTTTAGAATTTGGATTACTAGGACAAAGGGAATTTATTTTTCTTCTTAATAGGTGCTCTTGGATAAAAGTATCTTAAAGCAATTTTGGAGACCATCATATTCAAGTCCTAAATATATAGAGTAATTAGTGAAATTTCTTAGTTGTTATTGTCATTCCTTTATGTGTTTTTTTGTAGCATAAATATTCAGCAGTGCTTTGCTGGGATATTATTATATAAACAACAGCAATAATAGCAACAATAACAATAAATAGCACCAAACATCATATAGTGCTTTTATGGCTCTAGTTTATTATTAGAAAGGGTGAAAGAATCAGGTGAAGTGCAGATAAAACCATGGCTGCCTATGCTGTTCCCTCCTTCTGGGAGAGGTCAGACAGAACATGCTCCTTTTTATAGCAGTAAAATGTGGCAATATCTGTTTCTGCCTAGGGAAGCCTATTTATGACTCAAAGTTCAGGGTTTTTATTGGGGGCTTGTCACACAGGAACAATGACCAGCCTACAAGTATCAAAAATTCCAGAATTCTAAAGGAAGGCATGTTTCAGTGCCCCAGCCAGGCAAAACAACCTCATCACTTAGGAACATTTTTAAAGCCACATTTCCAGACACCAACCAAGAGCAATCCTATAAGCAAGCCCTTCCAGTACATCTCCCCATTAGAAAAATGAATACTGTCCTTCCAATGACAAACTATAGACATGAATGCAATTGTCCCACATGACAAGTGGATGGTTATCTAATAAGGAGGACAGCTTTGACATTTTATTGCCATTTATTTGAAACATTGCATTGTATTGAGAGATATATATATATATTTGCCAGGTATATTGTTTACAGAAAGAGCTAAAGATAAAAAATCACAGTCTTCAAGAGACTTCTGAGCAAAACGTTATTCTACAGCATACTCTTCAGCAACAGCAGCAAATGTTACAACAAGAGACAATTAGAAATGGAGAGCTAGAAGATACTCAAACTAAACTTGAAAAACAGGTATATATTATTAGCCCAAGATTGTTTTATTTGTATGAAATAGAAATTTTTAAAATCATGAATAGATTTTTCGTTAGTTTTTTAAATTGCTGTTTGGCCAGATGCCGTGGCTCGTGCCCATAATTCCAGCACTTTGGGAGGCTGAGGCAGGCGGATCACCTGAGGTCAGGAGTTCGAGACGAGCCTGGCCAACATGGCCAAACCTCGTCTCTACTAAAAATACAAAACTTAGCCAGGCATTGTGGCACATGCCTGTAACCCCAGCTACTGAGGAGGCTGAGACACAAGAATTGCTTGAACCCAAGAGGTGGAGGTTGCAGTGAGCTGCAATCGTGCCCTTGCACTCCAGCCTGGGCGACAGAGTGAGACTCCGCCTAAAAAAAAAAAAATTGCTGTTAAACCTCAAGGATTTTGCATTATAAGAAATACTCTATACTGATATTGTAAAATAAAGTTCTATTCCTATGTAATCTGACCTCCATCTCTTATACCATGATTATATGTTTGCTGTTCCATACAATTTATAATTCATGTTTCTTTATTCAATCTCTCTTCTTGTACCTAATCTGAATACCTATAATTTTTCCTTTTTGGATCAGGACATGGTATGTGATATTCCTTAAAGAAATGGCAAAGCAGTGCACTAAAAGAAAAATCCCAAGGGAAAATACCCCTGAAAGTTCTAAAATTAAAAATTATTACTTACTTGAATGTAAGAATTCTAGAGAATTTTATACTAGAATCTAATCTTTTTCCTTTAATTCATTACTGAATTTATCTGAATTCTTTAGATATTTTACATTCTTATTTTGTTTTTTCTTTGAAAAGAAATCAAATTTACAGTAATGTGTAAATTAGAAAATGATCGTCCCCTGTAATCTTACTGTATTTTCCTTTTTTGTCATTTTTTCGGTCTTTTATCTACTTGTTCTGAAGTCCTCCTCAGCCTGTCCAGTGGAACTAAAGTATCTTCCTCTCACTACATTTAAACACATCAGGCAGGTATTCTGTATTTTTTTTTTGAGACGGAGTTTCACTCTTGTCACCCAGGCTGGAGTGCAATGGCGCGATCTCAGCTCACTGCAACCTCCGCCTCCCGGGTTCAAGCGATTCTCCCACCTCAGCGACCTGAGTAGCTGGGATTACAGGCATGTGCCACCACACCCAGCTAATTTTGTATTTTTAGTAGAGACAGGGTTTCTCCATGTTGGTCAGGCTCGTCTCAAACTCCCTTCTCTGGTGATCCACCCACTTGGGCCTCCCAAAGTGCTGGGATTACAGGCGTGAGCCACTGCTCCTGGCCTCTATTTTTTTTCAAGAGACATCTTCCTGTGACTCTCCATCCCTTTTGTTAAAATTTAGACCTACTGCTTGCTATGCCTACTATACAGCTTCATCCTGAAGCATTTCTTCTTCTCATCTATGTTTGATTCCCACTGCCTACATCCTTTGTCATTGACTCTGGTTCTTGCAGGATTGATTATGATTCTTGTTCCTAACTCACTTCTATAATGGTTGTATGGTTTTTTCTGTTTTGTTTTGTTTTTTTTTAACAAGTTCACTTTTTTTTCTTTTTTTTCTCTTTTTGAGACGTAGTCTCACTGTGTCGCCAGGCTGGAGTGCAGTGGTGCGATCTTGGCTCACTGCAACCTCTGTCTCCCAGGTTCAAGTGATTCTCCTGCCTCAGCCTCCCGAGTAGCTGGGACTACAGGTGCGCACCACCACATCCAGCTAATTTTTGTTTTTTTAGTAGAGGCGGGGTTTCACCATGTTGGCCAGGATGGTCTTGATCTCTTGATCTTGTGATTCGCCCACCTCAGCCTCCCAAAGTGCTGGGATTACAGGCGTGAGCCACTGCGCCTGGCCTCATTTGTATTTTTTATTTGGTGATTTTCTTTGTGATCTTGTTTTAAAAGATTTTGTGTTCTCATTAGCTTCACTGAGGTCTACAGAAGTTTATATCTAAAAATTTCTTCAGTATTTGGAGTAAATTTTTGACTTGGTATTCCTTTTCTGCCTTTCATTCATATTACACTGTGCATAGGTTCCATTTTGCATCTTCAGATTTCTCTATTTAATTAAGAATTGAGTAGGTGGATTTTCCTTGGTTCCTTTCCCTTTTTACCTGGGTACTGTTTTAATTTTCTTCTTGAAACTTGAGGTGGAGGGGTGGATATTAATGGGGTTTTCTTGTTTTGTTTTGTTTTGAGACCGGGTCTTACTTTGTCACCCAGGCTGGAGTGCAGTGACATGATCATGGCTCAGTGCAGCCTCAACTTCCCTGGGCTCAGGTGATTTTCCCACTTCTGCCTTCCAAGTGCATACCACCATGCCCAGCTAAGAGTGTGTGTGTGTGTGTGTGTGTGTGTGTGTGTGTGTGGCTTTTCTTTTTTTTTCTTTTTTTTTTTTTTGGTAGAGACAGAGTTTCACCATGTTGCCCAGGCTGGTCTCGAACTCTTGGGCTTAAGAAATCCACCCTCCTTGGCCTCCCAAAGTGCTGGGATTATAGGTGTGAACCACCGCACCTGGCAAGATATTAATGGTTTATGATCTATATTTAGTTCTTCAGTGAGGGATTTTAGAAGAACGGGGGATATGCAGGTCAGAGTTGAGAGGTTAACTTTGAGACCACAGTCATATAAATATTCATGAAGACATGGAGTGACTGAAATTACCTAGGGAGAGAATATAGAATGAGAAGCAAGAAGATTGACTTGGACAGATCCCTGAGGGATGTGATACATGGAAGCCAAAGTAAGTATTTCATTAAGGAAGGAATGAATGTTGCTGTCATGGGCTACTGGAATCAGTGTCAAGTAAAATGAAGGTTGGGAAATGTCCATTGGAATTAGCAACTTGGAAGTCACTGGTGTTGTAATCCCTGTTTCTGTGGAATGGCCTCTGGCTATGGGTTGAAGAATGAGAAGTGAGACAGTGATACAACATGCATAGAAAACTTTGAGAAGTTGGGCTATATATGGGAGGAAATAAAGGGTAGTAGGTAGAGGGAGGTCAAGGTCTGAAGAAAAGCTTTTTACAGTGGGAAAGTCTTTTAACATGTTTAAATGCTAATATTAAAAAAACAGTAGAGAGACTGAAGATATTGGAAAGAGGAGATAGTAGTATGAAGTTCCTGAAAAAATGAATAGGAATTGAATCCACAACACCTATGAAGCAGTTTGATTTATATAAAGGAGGAAGAATACCTCCTTTATTGTAGTAGAATAGAGGAAGAATGAATAGGAACAGATTCAAGTTAAGATGGGAGCAAATGCAAATTAGCATTTGAGGTCATGTGGAAATCTAGGAATCTATTGAGTGAGCCAATTCGTGAAGAAAAGAAAGGAGCAGTATGGTAAGAGAAGAAAGGGCATTTCAAATGGGGACAATGAAAAGGGGAATATTTACTATCATTTTGTTCAATTATTTTAACACTTTAGTGTTATGATGTGGCCACTTCCCTAAATAGTAATATGTATGTGAAGTATCTTTATTATTAGAAAGTAAGCCTTGCTTTTTATATTTTCCAAACATTACTTCTTGGTCTATATGTTGATTTTTATGATACATCTTGAAACTGATAAGCTAGGTTACATATTTATAAAAGTATTTTTCTTCTGAATTTAAAATGTTTACTGAAAACTGCTTTACAAGGTGTCAAAACTGGAACAAGAACTTCAAAAACAAAGGGAAAGTTCAGCTGAAAAGTTGAGAAAAATGGAGGAGAAATGTGAATCAGCTGCACATGAAGCAGATTTGAAAAGGCAAAAAGTGATTGAGCTTACTGGCACTGCCAGGTAAAATGTGAATATGTTTTATTTACCTTCCCACTTCAATATCAGTGGTATCTGAGTTTTGAAATCAGATAATGTTCAGTGGAGCATTTGCTTGAGGAATTAATGTCTCCATAGTCTGTGTTCCTATTGCATTTTGTTTGTATTTCCTTCATATCTCTCATTATGCTTTTTACTGTATTACAGTTTAATGCTTTTAACCTTCCTACTATAAGTTTCTTAAGGCAAGGATCATACCTGGTTTATTTTAGGGTCTTACACAACAACTGGCACAGTTCCTTATACCTCATAGGCACTCAGCAACTGTTAATTGTGAATAACATTAAAAGTTGTAGGCAAAAATGTAAATGTACTCACATAGAGGAAACTTTCAGGCAATCCAATTATATAGGGGAAGAATGACAATATAAAAGTGGTTCTCAGCCTTGAGTGAATATTAAAATCACCTCAAGAGCTTGTAAAAAAACATACTGATGACTGGGTCCCACTTTTAGATTAAATAAAACCTAAAGATTCTGATTTAATTTGGCTAGGCTGGTCCCAGGCATCGATACTTAATTGGTCAAGAAAGGAACCCATGAGCTGAAAGCAGTACCCAGCCTCTTCAGATCTCTTCTACTTTGTTGGGAAGAATTGACATAATTTATAACATAATCAGCCCACCCTTCTACCAACAGGAGTCAAGAGTGAACTTAGGCACTGGCACTAAAACCACATGTCCCCAGGTTCCCTCTCCTCCATTGACAGGGGTCCTTTGTGCTCAGAGGAGCAACTTGCTTCCTCAGATGTCTGTCACCCTCTCAGCAGGGTTGAGGGCTTCCCAAGTTTAAGACTAAGACCAAAGTATTTCACACCTTCTTTCTTCCATTGACAGATGTTCTACTCACTAACATGGCCTCACCACTGGTGTCCACCTTGAGTCTGTGAAGACTGACTGCATTATCACTTTATCCTTGTTTATGCCAGATACCACAAGAAACCCTAGATTTCCAGGTCAGCTCTCATATCTCACACTAATTCCCAAAAAACTCTCCACACATTCTGTTTCTTTCTCCAACCCCATCCCAACTTCTGAAAGACTTCTACTGTGCCTTTTGAACTTCATAATCCATTCTCTGTATTCACTACTTTTTCTTTTCTCTTGCTGTAATAGAAACCTGGCCCTCCCCTAAGGACATTGCTTCTTCCCCTGTAGCCTTCTAAAGTAAAAAACTTTTCCCCATAGCTCTTGTACCACAGGGTCCAGGCAAGGTGTGAAGTATATACTATACTTGGTGAACCTCATGCCATCAGAACCCTTACTGGTGCTGATTTCTTTAGACGGCCTGACTTACTGTTGCCCTCTCCAGCATCACTTCTGTCATTCTTCTTGGGGATTTCAGTACACCTCTGAAGCTGATCCTTCTGACACCTTGGCTTCTCATTTTTAACAATTTCTGTACTCTAGTGATCCTGATCTTTAACATACCTCAGCCACTTACTCCCATGGAATTTATCTTGTGCTGAAAATTTAAATCAAAACCAAATAACATTTTTTGGTAGAAATTTTCTAAAATGTATATTTTCTTGGGGTTTTTACTTTCTCTGGGTATCTCAGGGTTATCATTATATACATCATGCTAAAATGTAGTGATACCCTAATGAAACTTTGAGGCATATACAGTTCTGTTTTTTATAAAATGTCTGTAGGCTGCTAATGCTTTTTGAGTCCTTGTATATTTTCTATAATTTTCCCCTAACTCCTTTGCTGACAAGCCATCTGCTCATGGCTCTATGCCAATCTCTTTTGATTATTCTTTTCTAATTATCTGTTTTATATCTACTTTAATATTAGAGCTAATTGGTCAAGCTAAAAATTATTTACTTGGGATTTTAGAAATGTAAAAGTGTCATTAGCACTCATCTAATCTAGTACTTAATTGGTCTATGGACATATTTGAGGATCTGGTAAAAAGCTTTAGCTTGTCTTCTATACATAGATGTATACATGTACATTATACATGTATAATTTTGCATACTGTTTCAGGGGTTTTATAGTTTTCCTTAAGTTTACTCATGGACTTCCAATTAAAAAACTCTTGAACAAATCCAAATTTGTTGAAGTTTTATCTAGAAAAGAAATGCTCCTACTTGCAAACTCAATTTAGAAATTTCAAAGATCAAACAACAGAAAGTGTTGACACAAAGGAACATGAACTCTTCCTACCATTGAGGGTAACATTAACAATTGTTTAATTAGTAAATATCACTTTAGAATTACCAACAAAGGGACTTAAAACTGGCTCTTAGTATGTTGATTTGTCTGTAGGGGAGCTGCCGTATTAGAATAAGTTCAGGACTGACAAAGTTAGTAAACCTGGCCCTATCACTATTAACAGCTAGTTGTATTATCTCAGACAACTCACCTAGTCTTCAGTTTCCTCCTCTGTAAAGCAGGGAAGTTGCACTAGTCTAGGAATCTCTAGTTCCTTTTAAAGCTAAAAAAAGGATAGAACCAATAATAAAACTGAGTAAAAGCAATTGACTTGGCTCTCCAGTGAGTAATATGGTTTTTATGGTGAATAATTTGATTGTTTGGCTTATTTATTTTCTTTGTTGCTAATAACAAAAATTCCTAGATGAATGAGGTCCTTGGATATTTTCAATACATGCAAAGCTAAAGTTAAATGTGGTTAGAGTGAAAAGAATGCTAGGCTTGTTAAATATTACCAGGTAGTAGTAGTAAAGTTGTATTTAGTGGTATGTAATGTGTAAAGGAATAGTTTTTAGTTGGAGAATTTTTAAAAATAGGTGATTTAAAATTCCAACTAGATATTTTGCTGATATTTGTCCTTATATAACTTGCAGGCTTTTTTTTTAGTCAGAGACAAGTTAGTTGGTTAAGTTTCTAAATTACCTGTTTTATTATTTGTTTTTAATTAGGCAAGTAAAGATTGAGATGGATCAGTACAAAGAAGAGCTGTCTAAAATGGAAAAGGAAATAATGCACCTAAAACGAGATGGAGAAAATAAAGCAATGCACCTCTCTCAATTAGATATGATCTTAGATCAGACAAAGACAGAGCTAGAAAAGAAAACAAATGCTGGTAAGCAAGTGGTTAGATGAGTATAGCTGCCTATGTATTTGTACTTAACGAAGTGAAATAATGTGAGAATTTGAGATGGTGGGGCTGGAAGGGAAAATAAGTGGTATTTTGCCTCTCGTAGATGAATATAATTGAATATTCTTAATATATACAAAGTTTGTAATAAATGGTTTACATATAGTTATAAAATTATTCTCTCCTCTTAATAGTAAAGGAGTTAGAAAAGTTACAGCACAGTACTGAAACTGAACTAACAGAAGCCTTGCAAAAACGGGAAGTACTTGAGACTGAACTACAAAATGCTCATGGAGAATTAAAAAGTACTTTAAGACAACTCCAGGAATTGAGAGATGTACTACAGAAGGCTCAATTATCATTAGAGGAAAAATACACTACTATAAAGGATCTCACAGCTGAACTTAGGTGAGTTAAATAATAAGAAATTATATCACAGTTATAAGTCCTTGGATAATACAATAAAATATGTTGTTGCATTCTAGACGTCTAAATTTCTCAACTGTCTTTGGCTCACTTTGGCTCATCCCAGCCAGCCTATCCCATGCCTTATCTAACTAATTCAGCTGTCTTTGTTGGCCGCCAAAACTTTCATCCTCAGTCTTTAGACCATTTTATACTAGCCCTAGTGGTAAAAAATCATTGGGCATGCATACAGCAGTGGCTAACAGCAGGAGGATATTAATAATGATAATATTGTTCTTTGTATTAAGTCCTTATTTTATGCTAGGACTACGCCAGGGACTTCACATATGATCTCACTCATTTCCTTACAACACACCTATTAGAAACATATATCACCTTTTTAATAGTTGAGAAACCTGAGGCCTTGAGAAAAATAAAATGCCCCAAGTCATACAGGTAGTAGAGTCTAGAGAAGGGAGTTAAACACAAGTCTGTCCAACTCTAAAGTCTGGGATCTTAGATTAGCAGTATAACATAAACTGTTATGCTGACACACATGTATAGTGAGTGGAGGTGTACAGCCAGATTAGAGCCAAAGTATGAGAAATAGGTTCAGAAAAGGAAAATAGAATTACAAATTAGGATGTAAAATGTGAAATAAAAGAACAGGATAAAGAGCAGCAAGATAACCCAGAAACTTAGATACTGTACCACAGAATTCAGTGTAGGGCCTCCTTCTCTTCTGTATCCACAAACTCATCCTTAGTAAATTTCATGTAGCTTTAAATACTATGTGTCAGACACTTCCAAACCCATTTCTCCAGTATTGACCTTTTCCTGTAACTCCAGATTCAATATCCAACTAGTTGTTACCTCCATTCGGATATTTTTAAGAGGCATCTCAGACTTAGCCAAAATAGGACTCATATTTTCTCATAACCCTACCCTTCTCCTAACTCAGTATCATGCAGTTGCTCAAACCACAAATATATAAGATTTTTCTTGTTCTCTCTTTCCATCCCTTTTTTCATCCAGTGTATTAGCAAGCCATGTCAACTTTATTTCCAAAACATATATATATATTTTTTTTCAGACAGATTCTTGCCCAGGTTGGAGTGCAGTGGCATGATCTCAGCTCACTGCAGCCTCCACCTCCTGTTCAAGCAATTCTCCTGCCTCAGCCACCAAGTAACTGGGATTACAGGCACCTGCCACCACGCCTGGCTAATTTTTGTATTGTTAATAGAGGCGGGGTTTCACCACGTTGGCCAGACTGGTCTTGAACTCCTGACCTCAGGTGATCCATCCACCTGGGCCTCCCAAGGTGCTGAGATTACAGACATGAGCCACTGCACCCAGCCCCAAAACACATTCTTAAATCCATTGATTTCGTGGCCTCTTTTCTGTTATCCTTAGCACAAAGCATCATCTCTTACCTGGTCTGTTGCTGTGGCTTCCTAGCTGGGCTCTCTGCTTACAATCTTGACCCCCTCCCAACAATCCATTTTCCAAAAATAGATTTAAGTTTATTATTTAAAACATAAATTAGACCAGGCGCGGTGGCTCACGCCTGTAATCCCAACACTTTGGGAGGCCGAGACAAGCAGATCACAAGGTCAGGAGTTTGAAACCAGCCTGGCCAATATGGTGAAACCCCATCTCTACTAAAAATGCAAAAATCAGCCAGGTGTGGTGGCAGGTGTGTGTAGTCTTAGCTACTCAGGAGGCTGAGGCAGGAGAATTGTTTGAACCTGGGAGGTGGAGGTTGCAATGAGCCAAGAATGAGCCATGATCCATTCCAGCCTGAGTGACAGAGTGAGACTCCATCTCAAAAAAAAAAAAAAAAAAAAAAATAGATCATATTGCTTACCTACTTAAACCTTCTAATGGCTTTCTAAAACCTTCAGAATAAAATCCAAACTCCTTCACAAATGAAAATAAAAACTACATTGATATATCACTTCATACCAAGGATGGTCATTTTTAAAAACCAAAAAATGGAAAAGAACAAGTGTTAGCAAGTGTAGAAAAAAAATGAAACCCTCATTCATTGCTGGAGGGGATCTAAAATGGTGCAGCCACTGTAGAAAACACTTTAGCCTTCCTCAGTAAGTTGAACGTAGAATTACCATATGACTCAGTAATTCCACTCCTAGTTTTGTACTCAAAAGGGTTGAAAACAGATATCTAAGCAAAAATTGTATACAAATGTTTACAAAGTAAGCCAAAAAGTGAAAACACCCCAAATGTTCATCATCAGATGAATGGATAAACAAAATATAGTGTCTTAGTCCGTTTTCATGCTGCTGATAAAGACATACCTGAGACTGGGCAATTCACCAAAGAAAGAAGTTTAATGGACTCACAGTTCCACGTGGCTGGGGAGGCCTCACAATCATGGTGGAAGGTGAAAGACACATCTCATATGGTGGCAGACAAGAGAGCTTGCGCAGGGAAACTCCGCTTTATAAAACCATCAGATCTCTTGAGACTGATTCACTCTCATGAGAACAGCATGGGAAAGACCTGCCCCCATGATTCAGTTACCTCCCACTGGGTCTCTCTCACAACACATGGGAATTCAAGATGAGATTTGGATGGGGTCACAGCCAAACTGTATCATTCTGCCCCGGCCCCTCCCAAATCTCATGTCCTCACATTTCAAAACAAATTATGCCTTCCCAACAGTCTCTCAAAGTCTTAATTCATTTGAGCAGTAACTCAAAAGTCCACAGTCCAAAGTCTCATCTGAGACAAGGCAAATCCCTTCTGCCTATCAGCCTGTAAAATCAAAAGCAAGTTAGTTACTTCCTAGATACAGTGGGGGTACAGACATTGGGTAAATACACCCATTCCAAATGGTAGAAATTGGCCAAAACAAAGGGGCTACAGGCCCCATGCAAGTCTGAAATTCAGCAGGGCAGTTAAATCTTAAAGCTCCAAAATGATCTATTTTGACTCCATGTCTCACATCCAGGTCACACTGATGCAAGAGGTGGGTTTCCTTGGTCTTGGCAGCTCCACCCCTGTGACTTTGTAGGCTATAGCCTTTCTCCTGGCTGCTTCCACCGGCTGGCATTGAGTATCTGTGGCTTTTCCAGGCTCATGGTGCAAGCTGTCAGTGCATCTGTTATTCTGGGGTTCTGGAGGATGGTGGCCCTCCCTCTTCTCACAGCTCTACCAGGCAGCGCCCCAGTGGGGACTCTGTATGGGGGTGCCCACCCCACATTTCCCTTCCACACTTTCCTAGCAGAGGTTCTCCATGAAGCCCTGCCTCAGCAGCAAACTTCTGCCTGGAGAACCAGGCCTTTCCATATATCCTCTGAAATCTAGGTGGAGGTTCCCAAACCTCAATTCTTGACTTCTGTGTACTCACAGATTCAACATTGGGTAGAAGCTGCCAAGGCATGGGGCTTGCACCCTCTGAAGCCACGGCCTGTGCTCTATGTTGTCCTTTTTCCGCCACAGCTACAGTGACTGGGATGCAGGGCACCAAGTCCCTAGGCTGCACACAGCGTGGTGACCCTGGATCCCACCCATGAAACCATTTTTTCCTCCTAGGCCTCCAGGCCTGTGATGGGAGAGGCTGCTCCAGAGACCTCTGACATGCCCTGGAGACATTTTCCCCATTGTCTTGGGGATTAACATTTGGCTTCTCATTACTTATGCAAATTTCTGCAGCCAGCTTGAATTTCTCCTCAGAAAATGGGATTTTCTTTTCTATCACACTCAAGTCACCTCTGGAGTGCTTTGTTGCTTAGAAATTTCTTCCACCAGATACGCTAAATCATCTCTCCGAAGTTCAAAATTCCACAAATCTCTAGGGCAGGGGCAAAATGCCACCAGTCTCTTTGCTAAAACTTAAGAGTCACCTTTGCTCCAGTTCCCAACAAGTTCCTCATTTCTCTCCAAGACCACCTCATTCTGGACTTTATTGTCCATATTGCTATCAGAATTTTGGTCAAAGCCATTGAACAAGTCTCTAGGAAGTTCCAAATTTTCCCACATTTTCCTGTATTCTTCTGAGCCCTCCAAACTGTTCCAACCCTACCTGTTACCCAGTTCCAAAGTCGCTTCCACATTTTTGGGTATCTACAGTAGTGCCCCACTTTACTGGTACCAATTTACTGTATTAGTGAGTTTTCACGCTGTTGATAAAGACATACCTGAGACTGCACAATTTACAAAAGAAAGAGGTTTAATGGACTCACAGTTCCACGTGGCTGGGGAGGCCTCACAATCATGGTGGAAGGTGAAAGGCACATCTCACTGGTAGCAGACAAGAGAACTTGTGCAGGGAACCTCCCATTTTTAAAACCATCAGATCTCATGAGACTTATTCACTGTCACAAGAATAGCCAAGGAGAGACCTGCCCCCATGATTCAATTACCTCCCACTGGGTTTCTCCTAAACATGTAGAATTCAAGATCAGATTTGGGTGGGAACACAGCCAAACCATATCATATAGTGTATCCATACAAAGAATATTATTCAGTCATAAAAACGAATGAACTACTGATACATGGTACAAAGTGCATGAACTTTGAAAACATTATGCTAAGTGAAAGCCAGACACATGTTGCATAATTCCATTTATATGAAATATTCAGAATTGGCAAATTCATAGAGAAAGAAAGATTAGTGGTTGCCAGGGACTAGGGGAAGGGAAAATGGAAAATAAGTGCTAATGAGTAGGAAGTTCTTTGTGGGGGACTGATGGAAAAATACTGGACATAGATAGTGGTGATGGTTACATAACATTATGAATATACTTAATGCTTCTGAACTGTGCACTTTAAAATGGTTAAAATGGTAAATTTTATATTATATGAATTTTACCACAGTTAAAAAAATCCAAGTTCCTTATCTTGAATACAAAGCCTTATGTGGTCTGGTTCCTGTCCTTGTTCCTGACATTTTTCTTATACTTTACACTTACCAAGTTTTCTTCTACCATGGAACCTTGGCCATAGCTGTTTCTTTTTACTGGAATAACAGTTACATGGTCAGCTTCTTCTTGTCCTTCACATTACTTCAGAGAGAAGCCTTCTCTGACTACCCACTCTAAAGTAGCCACCCAGTCACTACCTCATCATGCAGTTAATGCTCTAACATAGCATTTAATATTATATTTTTCTTACTTAGGTGTCTGTCTTTTCTTCTGGACCTATTACAATGTAAACTCAGATCAGAGACATTTATCTTTTTTACTATTAAATCCACAGCACTTAGAACCCTGGCATATAGGAAACATCCAGTAAATATTTGCAAAATAAATAAGTGAATGAAAACATGAAAGATGTAAACAGTGAAATCTTAAGTTCTAGCTAACAGATGAATTGTGGAAGCTCCGCTATTTGCATAGATAGAAGTTAGAGTTTTCTTTAATTTCATACTATTTTTAGAATATTAGTTTTAGCCTTGTGTTATATACCTCTTGAGACTTTTAGAAGAATATTAAAAACAACTCATTAAAGAAGTTCAAAATCTTCTTTTAAAAATTAGTACCCTTATCAGTACTATTTCATATTTCAGACTGGAAAATCATATGAAGATTTTCAAGATCAACATTTTCAACCTTTGTCTTATCAGAACTTAGAGTTTCAAATTATTCTCTGATCACAGGCTTCACTTTGGTAAAAGCCTTAAAATTGTGTCAGTATTAAGCATTTTATAATATAAGGTTATACATAAATTAGGGTTTAAGAGGGCTTAGAATTTGTAATATTTTTATATTAGATTTAAGTGCTTTTTTATATGTAAGGCATCGTTTTGAGTAACATCCTCATGAGAAATACTATGGTTAAATGCCTCATTCAATTGTAATGAAGTCACAATTGTTACATGTAAAAGACTTTGAAACACTCCTTTGATCTGTGTATGAAAAAATGTGGATATGTATTTTTAAAAATTCTTATAATCATTCAATCTTGGAGTCCTGGGAGTGTTTTAGCAATTAGCTTAAATTATCTGTAATACCACAGTGTGAGTTAACTTTTACCCTTTTAGAATACCCTTTATTAAATTAATTGTATTGATGTCAATCTTTTTCTTTATCTATTATTCCTTAAATTTGACCCTTTCAATCTGACTTGATTGCATATATTATTTTGCTTTTAATTTATAGAAGAGGTAACCTGGTTGACCTAACTTTTTAAAATTATACTCTTCTACTATCTGCTTTGATCTTTTTCCTTTGATAAATTGTAGAGAATGCAAGATGGAGATTGAAGACAAAAAGCAGGAGCTCCTTGAAATGGATCAGGCACTTAAAGAGAGAAATTGGGAACTAAAGCAAAGAGCAGCTCAGGTTGATTTTTCTTGATTATATTTTAATGGAGTTTTCTGTTATGACACAGTCACACAGGATTTGAGAGGTCACCAATTTTTTGTAAAATGGGCATTTTTATAGCATATCTTTTCTCTGCACATAGGGTTTACTAAATTAGAGATATGTCATCTCTCTTTATCTTGATATTTTTCTAGCAAGTAGATTTTGAAAATGAGGATTAGCTTAGTATCTGAGCCTTTTGATCTCTTATATTACCCCGTATCAGAAGAAGCTAAGTGTTGGAGGAACAAAAATATTTGGAAGGCGTTATTTAGCACTTTTTGTCCAGCATAAAATGAAGTCTGAATTATTTGTCATTTATGAACACAACTATATTTTATTGTTTCTATAATGTATATGGGATTGAATGTCACTATGTATTGTTAAAAAAAATGCATATGGGGCTCATGAGCCAGTATTAGTAAACAATGATTATTTTTCCCATTTAAAAAATAATTTGAGTTTATACTAAAGCAAAGAGCATTAGTATATTAGCTATACTAATGAGTTTATACTTGTTATACTTGCTATAAACAATTACAAAGCCTATTCTAAGCATACAAGTTTTTATATCAGAATAAAATTGAACAACAGTTTAAGGTTATTTTTTAGGTTACACATTTGGATATGACTATTCGTGAGCACAGAGGAGAAATGGAACAAAAAATAATTAAATTAGAAGGTACTCTGGAGAAATCAGAATTGGAACTTAAAGAATGTAACAAACAGGTAAATTATTTTAAAATTACGTATTTTAAATTATTTTTTAAAAAATTCAAACTGTAACTAAAAACACCCCTTCAAATAGTGGGTGTTTTTTGTTATTGTTGTTTTGTTTTTTGTTTTTTTTGGAGACAGAGTCGTTCTCTGTCACCCAGGCTGGAGAGCAGTGACACGTGATCATACCTCACTGCAGCCTCGAGTTCCTGGGCTCAAGCAATCCTCCTGCCTCGGTCTCCCCAAAGCTTTGGGATTACAGGCGTGAGCGACCACACTCTGTGGATCTTTCACTTCTTTGATTAAATTTCTTCCTAGATACTTTATTTTTTTGTAGCTGCTTTAAATAGGATTGCCTTCTTGATTTCTTTTTCACATTGATTGCTTTTAGTGTATAGAAATGCTACTGATTTTTGTATGTTAATTTTGTATCTTGCAACTTGACTGAATTTATCAGTTCTTTTTTAGTTTTTGTTTTTGTTTGTGTTTTGAGACAAGATCTCACCCTGTCATCTGGGCTGGAGTGCAGTGTCATGATCATAGCTCACTGCCGCCTCAACATCCCAAGCTCAGGTGATCCCTCCACCTCAAGTCTCTGAAGTAGCTGGGACTACAGGCGTGCACCACCATGATTGGCTAATTTTTTAATTTTTTGTAGAGATGGGGTTTTGCCATGTTGCCTAGGTAGGTCTCAAACTCCTGGGCTCAAGCGATCTTCCCCCCTCAGCTTCCCAAAGTGCTGGGATTACAGGCATGAGACACCACGCCAGCCCTGTTTATCAGTTCTAATAGTTTTTTGGTGGAGTTTTCAGGTTTTTCCAAATACAAGATTATATCCTCTGCAAACAAGGATAATTTAACTTCTCTCTTTCCAATTTGGATGCCCTTTCTTTCTCTTGTCTAGTTGCTCTAGTCAGGACTCCCAGTATTATACTGAATAATAGTGGTGAAAGTGGGCATACTTGTCTTGTTCTATATCTTAGTGGAAAGACTTTGAGTTTTTCCCTATTCCTATGATATTAACTATGGGTTTGTTGTAAATGATCTTTACTGTGTTATTTTCCTTCTTTTTTTTTTTTTTTTTTTTTTTTGAGATGGAGTCTTGCTCTGTCACCCGGGCTAGAGTGCAGTGGCTTGATCTCAGCTCACTGCAACCTCCGCCTCCCGGGTTCAAGCAATTCTCTGCCTCAGCCTCCCCAGTAGCTGGGATTACAGGTGCCCACCACCACGCTCAGCTAATTTTTGTATTTTTAGTAGAGACGGCGTTTCACCATCTTGGCCAGGCTGGTCTTGAACTCCTGACCTCATGACTTCACACACCTCAGCCTCCCAAAGTGCTGGGATTACAGGCGTGAGCCACTGCGCCCAGCCTGTTATTTTCCTTCTATACCCAATTTGTTGAGAGCTTTTATAATGTGAAGATGTTGAATTTTATCTGATGCTTTTCAATAATGCTTTTAATTTTAATATGAAATTATTATATGGTTTTTGTCCTTGATTCTGTTGATGTAATGTATCATGTTTAATGATTTGTGTATGTTGAACCATCTTGGCATCCCTGGGATGAATTCCACTTGGTTATGGTGAATGATCTTTTAAAAATGTCTTTGAATTCAGTTGATAGTATTTTGTTGTGGATTCTGCCTCTGTGTTCATCAGGGATATTGGCCTGTTGTTTTCTGTTTCTGTTATGTCCTTGTCCGGTTTTGGTATCAGGGTAATGCTGGCCTTGTAGAATGAGTTTAGAAGTGGGCCAGGCACGGTGGTGCGTGCCTGTAATCCCAGCACTTTGGGAGGTCGAGGTGGGCAGATTGCCTGAGCTCAGTTCAAGACCAGCCTAGACAACCTGGAGAAACCCCATCTCTATAGAAAGTAGAAAAATTAGCCAGGTGTAGTGGCATGTGCCTGTAGTCCCAGCTATTAAGGAGGCTGAGGTGGAAGGATTGCTTGAGCCTGGGAAGTAGAGGCTGCATTGAGCCATGAGTGCACAACTGCACCCCAGCCTGGGCGACAGAGTGAAACCCTGTCTCAAAAAAAAAAAAAAAAAAAAAATGTTCCCTCCTCTTCAATTTTTTGAAATAGTTTGAGTAGAATTGGTATTAGTTTTTCTTTAAATGTTTGGTAGAATTCAGCAGTGAATGTATCAGGTCCTGGGCTTTTCTTTGATGGGCGACTTTTTATTACTGCTTTTATCTCATTACTTGTTATTGTTCTATTCAAGTTTTCTGTTTCTTCATGGTTCAATCTCAGTAGGTTGTGTGGGTCCAGGAATTTATCCATTTCTTCTAGTTTTTCCAATTTGTTGGTATGTAGTTGTTCATAACAGTCTGTAGTGATCCTTTGTATTTCTGTGGTATGAGTTGTAATGTTTCCTTTTTCATCTCATTTTATTTATTTGGATTCTCTCTCTTCTTAGTCATCTAAAGGTATTTGTTAATTTTGTTCATCTTTTCAAGAAATTAACTCTTTGTTTCATTTATCCTCTGTATTGTTTTATAGTCTCAATTTCATTTATTTTTGCTCTGATCTTTATTACTGCTTTCCTTCTAATAATATTGGGTTTGGCTGTTGCTATTCCAGTGTGGGAAAGGCAGTTCAAGACCAACTTGAACTTACCTTTTGTAGAGACAGGGTCCCACTATGTTGCTCAGGCTCACATTCTTATCAGCACATGGAATTATCCAGAATACATAAATGTATTATGTATTATCCAGAATATGTAATATGTTAGGCCACAAAATAAGTCTCATCAAATTTTTAAAGGTAGAAATCCTATCAAATATATTCTCAATGCAATTCTAAAAGCATCATTTTCAGTAATATGTCCAATAATATTTTCAATAATGCTTTTAACATGCACCTTTAGGTGCATTGTTTGTTTGAAATTTTTGTATTTTTTTGATGTAAGCAATTATTGCTATAAACTTTCCTCTTGGTACTGCATTCACAGTAGCCCGTAGGTTTTGTTATGTTGTATATCCATTTTTATTTGTTTCAAGACATTAAAATTTTTTTTAAAATTTCTTCACTCACCCTTTGTTCATTCAGGTGCATTTGTTTACATTTTATGTATTTATATAATTTCTAAAGTTCCTCTTATTATTGATTTCTATTTTTATTCCATAGTGGTTAGATAATATATTTGATAGGATTTCTACCTTTAAAATTTGATGAGACTTATTTTGTGGCCTAACATATTTATGTATTCTGGATAATATTCCATGTGCAGATAAGAATGTGAGCCTGGGCAACATAGTGGGACCCTGTCTCTACAAAAAGTGAAAAAAAATTAGCCAGGTGTGATGATGAGCACTTGTACTCCCAGCTACTTGGGAGGCTGAGGCGGGAGGATCACTTGAACCCAGGAGGTCGAGGCTGCAGTGAGCTATGATTGTGCCACTGCACTCCAGCCTGGGCATCAGAGTGAGACCCTGTCAAAAAAAAAAAAAAAAAAAGAAAAGAGAGAAAAAAAAGAATATGTATTCAGTAACAGTGGGTGAAATGTTCTGTAAATGTCAGTCACAAAATGCCTCCTTGGCCTAGTTTGTAGTTGAACTCTGATGTTTCTTTGTTGATTTTTTTAATCTGGACAATCTGTTCATTACTGAGAGTGGGGTATTGAAGTCCCTGTCGTTTTATTGCAACCACCTATTTGTCCCTTGAGATCTATTAATGTTTGCTTTATATACTCGGGAGCTTTATATGCCTGGGTGCATAGATATTTATAATTTTTATATCCTCTTGCTAGCGTGACACATTTATCATTAAATACTGGCCTTCTTTGTCTCTTTCTACTGTCTTTGATCTGTAGTCTGTTTTGTCTAAGTATAGCTATTTCTGCTATACTTTTGATTTCCATTTGAATGGAACATCTTTTTACATTATTTTACTTTCAGTCTATGTGTGTCTTTATGAAGTGAATTTCTTTTAGGAAGCATATAGTTGGATTTGTTTTTTAATCCATTCACCCACTCTATGTGTTTTAAATGGAAAATTTAGTCCAGTTACATTCAATGTTATTATTAATAGGTAAGGATCTGTGCCTTTCTGTTACTTGTTTCTTAGTTGTTTTGTAACTCCTCCCTTTCTTTCCCACTTACTGTCTTTCATTGTGGTTAAATGATTTTTTCTGGTAGTATGATTAATTGGTTGCTGTTTATTTTTAGTGTATCTCTCACAGGTTTTTGCTTTGTGGTGAGACTTATAGAAAACATCCTATTGTTATAACAAGCTATCAAAAACTGATATCAACTGTGATAGCAAAAACAAAAAAAAGTAAAAACTTGTATACTTTAATCTCCTTCTCCTTCCACATTTTGAATTTTTGGTGTTCCAATTAAATTGTTATATTGCCTATCTCTGAATAAATTGTTGTAATTATTATTTTTAATAATTTTGCCTTTTAGTCTTACTAAAGATATAAGTGGTTTACACACCATGATTTCAGTGTTGGTGTAACAGTCACATTAGTGGCGGTTTTTCTTTTAAGTTTGAAGTATTCCCTTTAGCATTTCTTGTAGGACAGGTCTAGTAGCGACAAATTTCCTCAGCTTTTCTTTGGGAAAGTGTCTCTTCTTCATTTCTGAAGGATAACTCTGCTTGGCACGGTATTCATGATTGACAGGTTTTTTTTGTTCAACACTGAGTATGTCATCTTACTCCCTCCTGGTCTGTAAATTTCTGCTGAGGTGTCTGCTACCAGGCATACTGGATCTTCCTTATATATTATTTGCTTCTTTTCTCTCACTGCTTTCAGGATCCTGTGTTTGTCTTTGATCTTTGAGAGTTTCATTATAATATGTCTTAGGGTGTTATTATTTGGGTTTAATCTGGTTAGCGATCTTTGACCTCTTTATACCTGCATACTTATATCTTTCCTCAGGTTTGGAAATTTTTCTTTTGTTTCTTTAAAAAAGCTTTCTACCCCTTTGTCTTTCTCAGTTCCCTTTTTAACTCCAATAATTCAAAGATTTGCTCTTTTGATGTTGTCCCAAAGATCCCATAAGCTTTGTTTATTCCTTTTTATTCCTTTTTTCCTCCTCTCACTGTGTAGTCTATTTATCTATCTATCTGTCTGTCTATCTATCTATCTATCTATCAAACTAATTAACTAACTAACATGGGGTCTTTGTTACCCAGAGGTGGAGTGCAGTGGCACAATCATAGCTCAATGTAGCCTTGACCACCTGGGCTCAAAGAATCCTCCCACTTCCGCATTGTGAGTAGCTGGGATTACAGGTGCATGCTGCCACACCTGGCTAATTAAAAAAAAATTTATTTTAAGTGATGGAGTTTCACTATGTGACTCAGTCTGGTCTCAAACTCCTGGGCTCAAGTGATCCTCTCAGCCTACTGAGTATCTGGGATTACAGGTGTGAGCCACCATCCTCAGTT
The DNA here is from genome assembly GCF_000001405.40 of Homo sapiens. NCBI lineage: Eukaryota > Metazoa > Chordata > Mammalia > Primates > Hominidae > Homo > Homo sapiens. The sequence goes on from NC_000001.11 coordinate 93,252,337, forward strand.
CTGATTATATATTTTCAAATAGTCCATCTTCAAGCTCACTGATTCTATTTGACCCATTCTGCTGTTGATGCTCTTTATTTCATTTTTCACTTCATTTATTGTATTTTTCAGCTCCAAAATTTTTGTTTGATTTTTTAAAAATTATTTTATTCTCTGTTAAGTTTTTTTGATAAATTTCTCAATTGATTCCCTGCGTCGTCTTAGAGTTTGTTGAACTTCCTTAAAATACCTATTTTCAGTTCTTTGAGAGATCACACATCTCCATCACTTCAGGGTTACTCTCTGGTGCCTAATATTGTTCATTTGGTAAGGTTGTATTTCTTTCAATGTTCTTGATACTTGTAGATATGCAACGACATCTGCATATTCAGGGACTGGGTATTTATTTTAGTCTTTGCAGTCTGGCTTAGTTTGTGCTTGTCCTTTTTGGGAGGCCCTTCCAGGAATTTAAGCAAACTGGCTTTTGTGTTCCCTGAGGCTGTGATCACTGCAGCTGTTGAACACTAGAGAATAATCTACATCCAGGCTTGCTGCAGGTCTTACAAGGGCTTCAAGGTTGACATGGCTTTCTGGCCCACATGGACCTGGGAAGGGGTCAAGTTGCGTACTAAGGCTGTGGGAATGCTTGCCAGGGACCCAGGTCCAGAAGGCTGTCCTGGTGGCCCAGATGGGCATGTTTCCCAGCAAATCTTTTGACAGGTGAGATGAGTCTCTAGTTGCAATGAGAGGGGCTGGAGTTGAGACTGGCCCTCTTGGGATATATTGTGGAATGGAGGCTGAAGAGCCCAGTCTCAGCTTAGAGGGGCACACATAGCCCAGCAAGCTCCTTCACAGGATATTTCCCCAACGACAGTGTGAGGAGCTAGAGTTGAGACTGGGCCCCCTTGGCATCTGCTGTGGGATGGAGGCTGGAGAACCTATCTTGTTGGCCCAGACAGGGCCAGCAGGTCTCAGCTCAGATGGAATAGTTCCCTGTCTGCAGTGGGAGGTGCTGGAGCTGAGATTTAACCCCTTTAGCATCTGCTGTGGGACAGAGGCTGGAGAGCCTATCTCATTATTTCAGAGGTGCATGTGTCTCCCAGCAAGTCCCTGCACAGACAGGATAGTTCCCTGATTGCAGCAAGAGAGTCGGGGCTGAGACTGGGTCCCCTTGGGATCTGCTCTGGGACAGAGGTTGGCAAGCCTTTCAAGGAGGCTTAGACTCCTAGGCAGCAGGATAAGGACAGGTCTCCCTTTGGGTCTGTGTGTGAGTAGCTCTGAGCTGGGACCTTTGCTGAGGGGAGTTGGAGCAGAGTCACCAGGCAATTTTCCGGTCCACTGCTGAGACTGATGTCAGCAGGGAGAGAGCCTTTCCACTAAGGCACTAGTATGCATGATTCCTTATGGACCCCTTTTCAGATGGTTGTGCTTGTAGGCTCAAGGCCAAATGGGGCTGTAGCCAAGTCCCTTGGGGACGTGGGCTGTTTCCAGGCTTGAACCCAGAAGCAAGCTTGGCATATCAGCCACCTGGGTTTCTGTCTGTGCTCTCAAAATAACACTCCCACATCTTCGTCTCTACCAGGATTTCACAAACTCCTACCTGAATCCTGAGGCTCCTGCAAAGAGGCTTTTGACTATAGAAAGGTGCAGGATTCTTTTTTTATTTTATTTTATTTTAAATTAACAGTGTTTATTTACCTCTAAGTATTGTTGAGAGACTGGGGTGAAGACACAATTTTCATTTTGTAATTTACAGACTTCTATAAGCTAAAACAAAAACAAAAAAGTCTTCTCTATTTAATATAATGGTAGAATACAACTTCTACTTTTATTTATTTTAATTTTTTAAATTTCAATCGCTTTTGGGGTACAAGTAGTTTTGGTTACATAGATACATTTTATAGTGGTGAAGTCTGAGAGGGTGCAGGATTCCTGTTGTTGTGGGGGAATATGAGTGGGTTACCCTCTATTCTGCCTTTCTGGTAATGTCCAAGAACAAGAATTTTTGTGCTTATTTCCAGGATACGATTGCCTTAACCTATTTATATTTTGCTTTTAGATATGAGTGTTTAAAGCTTGACTTACTTGGAACACAGCATTGATTAAATTACATTTCATTAATTTTACTGATACTGCTTATCTGTTTAAAATTCAGATAGAAAGTCTGAATGACAAATTACAAAATGCTAAAGAACAGCTTCGAGAAAAAGAGTTTATAATGCTACAAAATGAACAGGAGATAAGTCAACTGAAAAAAGAAATTGAAAGAACACAACAAAGGATGAAAGAAATGGAGAGTGTAAGCAAATTATTTCCACCTAAGGAACAAGTGGTAGTCTCTGTTGAGTGAAATGAATCTTTATGTTTTAAACTGGTTGGTTTTAATATACAGAAACTGTGCCATAACTGTTTTTAGGCTAGTTTTTTGTGCCAGAAACCTGTTAGTTTCTTTGACCTTTTAAAATATTTTTCTGATGGTCTAGGTATAGGCAAAGACAGTGTCTTATTTATCTCTGTATACAGGCCTTTGCATGGTATCTTTCATATAGTAAATCTACAATATATGCTTATTTGGTTGACAAATATTTATTGAGAAGCTGCTATGTAATAGAATTGAGGAGTCAGCTTTTTTTTTTTTTTTTTTTTTTTTTTTTTGAGACTGAGTCTCTCTCTGTTGCCCAGGCTGGAGTGCAGTGGCTCAATCTTGGCTCACTGCAACCTCTGCTTTCCGGGTTCCAGTGATTCTCCTGCCTCAGCCTCCCAAGTAGCTGGGATTACAGGCACCTGCCACCACGCCTGGCTAATTTTTGTATTTTTAGTAGAGATGGTGTTTCACCATATTGGCCAGGCTGGTTTTGAACTCCTGACCTTGTGATCCACCTGCCTTGGCCTCCCAAAGTGCTGGGATTACAGGCGTGAGCTACCGTGCCCGGCCGAAGAGTCAGCTATTAATAAGATACAGTGTTTTGTCTGTTAGGAACTCCATCAAAAGAATGGATAAATAAATAATTGTACATTGAGACCAAGTGCACTGAGTTGCCAGATGAAGTTTGATGACTTCATATCATCAGTATGCATGTGTGTTGACTGGTGAATTCATTCCTCCACTTGCTCTTTTAAAAAGTGAATTTAGGGTCAGGCACGATGACTCACACTTATAATCCCAGCATTTTGGGAGGCCAAGTTGGCAGAATCATTTGAGCCCAGAAATTCAAGACCAGCCTGGGCATCGTAGCAGTGGGACCCCTGTCTCTACAAAAACATTAAAAAACTAGCTAGGTGTGGTGATGCATGCCTGTGGTCCCAGCTACTTGGGAGGCTGAGATGGGAGGATTGCTTGAGCCTGGGAGGTCAAGGCTGCAGTGATTTGTGATCACGCCACTGCCCTCCAATCTGGGCAACAGAGCAGGAGCCTGTACCAAACGAAGAAGAGGAAGAAGAGGAAGAAGAGGAGGAAGAGGAAGAAGAGGAAGAAGAAGGAGGGGGGAGGGATAGTGGGGAGGAGGGGGAGGAATACTTTATTAGAAATTTAATTGAGTAATATAAAACCATTTCAGTGGGAGTAGCAGCCCCAGTGACAAGTTTTACTTTCACAGAGAGTAAGACCTTAACCCAGCTGTGTGGATTAAATGGTGGATTTTAATTATCTATACCAATATATTCTCTGTCTTTGACATAGATAATCAAATGTTAACTTCTCTTTTCTCTTTATGTTTTCTGTCATAAATGTTACATTTAAAATGATAAAAGATTATATGGCTTGTGTATGTTACAGTGATGTAATATATATCAATAAGAGTCCCAATTATGGTATTTTTGTCATTTTCTCATTAGATTTTTTTCTTGAATATCAGTTTCACAGTGGGTGATACTCATTGTATGTTAAATTTTAACATACTCATTGTATGTTAAAGGATTTAGTTGGAAGGTGGAAATTTACGTATTAAGCAAAATCAGAATAAGAAATAGGTTATCTATATATTTCATTCTGAAACCTACAAATACCTTATGCTTTTCAGGTTATGAAAGAGCAAGAACAGTACATTGCCACTCAGTACAAGGAGGCCATAGATTTGGGGCAAGAATTGAGGCTGACCCGGGAGCAGGTGCAGAACTCTCATACAGAATTGGCAGAGGCTCGTCATCAGCAAGTCCAAGCACAGAGAGAAATAGAAAGGCTCTCTAGTGAACTGGAGGATATGAAGCAACTCTCTAAAGAGAAAGTAATCCCTATTTTAAATAATCTTATGTATCTGAAATCTTACAAATATTAGCATTTTTTTTGAACTGTAGAATATAGTTCTTTCAAAAATGAACTGTATTGCACAACAGTGTGAATGTACTTAATCCCACCGAATTATACACTTAAAAATGGTTAAAATGGTCAATTTTGTGTGTATTTTACCACAATTTTAGAAAATAATGAACTGTGTTATATATAGATAACTTTGTAATATAACCAGGAAGTCCTTCAGAACTGAGTTTTGGCTAAACTAGTTCTCAAATTGAGTTATAAAGCACTTTTAGACTTTTAAGTGAGTTCGAGCTCTTACTTGAAGAAAAAATAAAGCTAATCTTTTTTGAGTAAAAATTTTTACATTTGTAGTGACTCTTAAAAATGAAAACTATTGGCTTGGCACGGTGGCTCATACCTGTAATCCCAGTACTTTGGGAGGCCGAGGCAGGCGGATAAGTAAGTCAGGAGTTTGAGACCAGCCTGGCCAATATGGTGAAACACCATCTCTACTAAAAATACAAAAAACAAAATTAGCCAGGCATGATGGTGGGCACCTATAGTCCCAGCTACTCGGGAGGCTAAGGCTGGGGAATCGCTTGAATCCCGAAGGCAGAAGTTGCAGTGAGCTGAAGTCGTGCCACTGCACCCCAGCCTGGGCGACAGAGCAAGACTCCATCTCAAAAAAAAAAAAAAAAAAAAAAAAAAAACATGAAAACTATCCAAATTTGTAACTATTAAATTTGTAACTTTTAGGAAACCTGTAGTTCAAAACCCTTGGTTGATAAAGTAACTTGGAGGTAAAGTGCTTTTAAAAAGCAAAAATACTAATATAAATTTTATTTTTCCAGTATTTGGTAGGAAGTTAACTACTTGGCTTAAAAATATTTACATTGGTATACTTGGGTTAATTATTTAGACTTTAAGAAAAATGTGTTTATTGATGTTGCAAAAAAAAAAAATTCAGCTTTCCATTGTGGTTTCCATGGTTTAATTCAATTCCATAGGAACTGAATTAAAATATTTTTACCTTTAATTTTGGTTAAGCCTACCTATGTTGTTATTCACATTTCTGGATGGTTAGACCAGTAAAGCATACATAGAGAATGTTTATTAGAGATATATTATACATTTGGGGTTCTAGGAAAAGGAAAGCTATCTACTTTTATCTCATTTCTGCCTTTATCAATAGTGTCAAAGTATAGTACAATTGGTTTTTATTTGATAAGCTAAGCTCACTTTAAAAAGTGAATTAAAGTTAGGAATTTTTTAATTGACAGTGTTTTAAATACTTATTTTAACCCAAAACTAAATATATATTGATATGTTTTTCCTTTGATGTAGGGCCAAACCTTGGTTCTTTTTGTATGAGTCATTTGATTAGAATTCTACCTAGTCTTTCTCACATAACTAGACTCCTACCTGGTCTTTCACCACACTATATTCCATCATCTATAGTTTCCAATTCTGCTTTCTTTAAAGTGGAGGAAGAATTAATTAAAAGACATTAATTAAAATTAAAATAATTAAATTAATTAAAATTAAATTAATAAAAATTAATTAATAATAATTAATTAAAAGACATTTGTAAGTGAACCATGTTATATTTTTATGGGACCTCCTACCATATTTTATAACAATTTTGAGTGTTTCTAATTGGATAGCAAAATGTTCATGACTTACTTATTAAGCTGGTTCAAAACATATAACTTAGTTTTTGGATAAAAACTTTGCATTTGCTTATTTCATCATGTTCATAATCTATAATAAAATTACACAATTAAAATTACAAGCACAGTTAGCTAAATTAGCATAAATAAGTTTGAATAAAAACACAACTGACTCTTGATAAACAGACAATATATATAGTGAGCAAAAATATACAGGCATACCTAGCAGTAGACTGTTATCTGCCAGAGTTCAGTGTCCTGAGGTTATTATTAATAGTTCATTTTATAGAAAGCATTGGTTAGTGAACATCTATTTTATGATGACAGCAAACAATTATATTAATACTCTCCCATTAATAGTCTCTGAAATGTCTAGATTTTAAAGCATACTATTTAGTAAGTTAACTTTGTGTCTGTGTTTATATAATATAAAAAATTAAACTACTTCCAATAATGCACTGGATTAGTTTAGCTATAATAACCAAATAAACAAGTTTTATAGCTTTTACTCAATATGTCATTTTTAAGGATGCTCATGGAAACCATTTAGCTGAAGAACTGGGGGCTTCTAAAGTACGTGAAGCTCATTTAGAAGCAAGAATGCAAGCAGAAATCAAGAAATTGTCAGCAGAAGTAGAATCTCTCAAAGAAGCTTATCATATGGAGGTAAAGAAAAATTTAATTTGTTTTGTTAGTGCCCACTAAAGTAGGTTGACCTATCTGGACAAAAGTATGAGTCCAGCTCTTAAGTGTTCATTATTGAATAATACATTGTGGTCTTCATTTCTGGTAGCCTAAACATACAGCTTTCACTTTAATATACTGTGGGGTTAAGAGCTTGAATTCCTGAGCCAGGCAACCTGGTTCTAAACCCTAGCTCACCACGGAGCCACCTGTATCACCTTGGGTAAGTTACTTAACCTGTGTCTAAAATGGATATAATAATAGTATCTACCTCATAGAACTGTGGTGAATATTAAATGAATTAATATATAATATAAAATAGCATTTGTAAAAGATTAACTGGAAATATTTAATAACTGATATAAACCGTTTCATGTGATGTAAATCTATAATGCTTTGCAATTTTCAGCATTTCTTCTTATAATAACTTAGCTAGAGAGATAATACTAGAGCCTTTTTATCTGTCAGCATGTCTTGAGCCTTCACAGAAATGGGCAGTATTATTGACTAGAATAGCATTTTTCATCTTTTTAAAAACTACATTTAAAGATATTACCCAAAATCTCTGTATATGATTTAAATAAATTACTTACGTTTAGTGCTAATAAAGCGTTTTTTCTAATACGGCAAGGGTTGCAAATATTTATGTTAAACTCCATTCAAGGGAGTTTGGTGACATTTTTGTGAGTGATTGGTAGGGCTTGTGGGGACCATGTCTTGCTTAAATACATTTAGAATCATATCTCTTTGAAAGCATTGTGCCTGCCAAACAAAACATATTTACAAGCTGAATCTAATCCTAAGGCTAAGAATTTGCAACCTTTGATCTTTAGCGACAAACCTGAATGAATGCTGTTGGACTCAGCATAATTATATAATTGTTATTAACAGCTCAGCTTAGTAACTATCAGTAATAATTAGGCGCTTTCAAGTGTTTGCCCTTAACTACTCATTACACTTTCATTATATGGCCTCTGTTCTGTTTTTAAGTATAATTATCCAATTGTTTCTTTTAGTTTTATAAGCCACCTGAAATTATAAATAGATTGTACATAAAATAAATTGTAAAATTAGTTCAGTATTGCTATCTTTTTAAAAAAGTGATGGGGTCTGTGTTGCTCAGACTGGCCTCAAATTCCAGAGCTCAGATAACCCTCCCCACTCAGCCTCTAAGTAGCTGGGAGTAAAAGCACACGCCAGCCGGGCGCAGTGGCTCACACCTGTAATCCCAGTGCTTTGGGAGGCCAAGGCAGGTGGATCTCTTGAGGTCAGGAGTTCGAGACCAGCCTGACCAACATGGCAAAACCCCGTCTCTACTAAAAATACAAAAATTAGCTGGGTGTGGTGGCGCATGCCTATAATCCCAGCTACTCAGGAGGCTAAGGCAGCAGAATTGCTTGAACCTGGGAGGCAGAGGTTGCAGTAAGCCAAGATCGCGCCATTGCAGTCAAGTCTGCGTGACAAGAGTGAAACTCCGTCTCAAAAAAAATAAGTACATGCTGCTGCATTTTAATATTTAATATTACTATTTAATATTTGATACTAATATTTTGTCTATAATATTGAAGTATATATTTTTACCTGTTTGGAAGTTGATAAAAATTTACTTTTAAAATATATATGTTGTTTGAATATAAAAATGAGAGGATATGGTATTAAAGTAATAGAGAGCTAGAAAAGAGGATCAATAATTTTTAACAGTTTTTTTTATTATACTTTCTTTTTTTTTTAATACATTAAGTTCTGGGGTACGTGTGCAGAACATGCAGTTTTGTTACATAGGTATACACATGCCATGGTGGTTTGCTGTACCCATCAACCTGTCACCTACATTAGGTATTTCTCCTAATGTTATCCCTCCTCTAATCCCCCACCACCCAACAGGCCCCGATGTGTGATGTTCCCCTCCCTAGGTCTATGTGTTCTCATTGTTTAACTCCCACTTATGAGTGAGAACATGCGGTGTTTGGTTTTCTGTTCTTGTGATAATTTGCTGAGAATGATGGTTTCCAGCTTCATCCATGTCCCTGCAAAGGACGTGAACTCATCCTTTTTTATGGCTGCATAGTATTCCATGGTGTATATGTGCCACATTTTCTTTATCCAGTCTATTATTGATGGACATTTGGGTTGGTTCCAAGTCTTTGTTATTGTGAATAGTGCTGCAATAAACATACATGTGCATGTGTCTTTATAGTAGAATGATTTATAATCCTTTGGGTATATACCCAGTAATGGGATGGCTGGGTCAAATGGTATTTCCAGTTCGAGATCAACAGTATTTTTTAATATATAGGTTTCCAAATTGTCAGAAAATCACTTAATAATAAATGTAAAACTCCTGACTTATTGGAGGAGAATGAGATTGTTTTAACCTTTAATTGTGAAAAATTTAAATATATTTAAAAATAGAATAGTATAAATAGTATATACATCCTCATATTTATTTTTGAACGTTAATAATTTTCAATGCATAGCCAATTTATTTCATCCATAAATACATTGACCATTTTCTTTATCTAAAAGAGAATACTTTTGAGAATGAAAAGGAATGCTATAGTAATTACATGAGGGTACCAGGCATAAAACCTAGACAGTCCTAAGCATTCTCGGAAGTGTGTCAACATACCTTTAACCTTTGAAAGCACAGTGCTTTCAAAGAGATATGATTCTAAATGTATTTAAGCAAGACATGGTCCCCACAAGCCCCACCAATCTAAGCAAGACATGGTCCCCCAAGCCACATCAATCACCCACAAAAATGTTACCAAACTCCCTTGAATGGAGTTTAACATAAATGTTAAACCCATTCCCAACCCATCCCCCATATTCACATATTATTTGAAGCAAATTTTAGACATAATTATTTCATCTGTAAATAATTATGTAGACATAATTATTCTATATTCAATAAGTATCTTGTATTAGTCCATTTTCCATTAGTCCATTAGTCCATTTTCACACTGCTATAAAGAAATACCTGAGATTGGGTAATTTATAAAGAAAAGAGCTTTAATTAACTCACAGTTTCACATGGCTGGGGACACCTCGGGAAACTTACAATCATGGCAGAAGGTTAAGGGAAAGCAAGGCATGTCTTACATGGCAGCAGGAGAGAAAGAGTGTGTAAATGCCACACTTTTAAACCATCAGATCTCATGAGAATGAACTTACTATCATGAGAACAGCTTGGGGGAACCACCCCCATGATCCAATCAGCTCCCACCAGGTACCTTCCTCCACATGTGAGGATTACAATTTGAGATGAGATTCGGGTGGGGACACAGAGCCAAGCCATATCATTCCAACCCTGGCCCCTCCCAGATCTCTTGTCCTTCTCACATTTCAAAACACAATCATGCCTTCCCAACAGAACCCCAAAGTCTTAACTCATTCCAGCATTAACCCAAAAGTCCAAGTCCAAAGTCTTATCTGAGACAAGCCTTCCATCTATGAGCCTATAAAATAAAAAACAAGTTAGTTACTTCCAAGATACAATGGGGGTACAGGCATTGGGTAAATGCTCCCCTTCCAAATGGGAAAAATTTGCCAAAACAAAGAGGCTGCAAGGCCCATGCAAATCTGAAACCCAGTGGAGCAGTCATTAAATGTTAAAGCTCCAAAATAATCTCCTTTGACTCCATGTCTCACATCCAAGCTACACTGATGCAAGGGGTGGACTCCCAAAGTTCTGGGCAGCTCCACCCCTGTGGTTCTGCAGGGTACAGCCCCTGTGGCTGTTTTCATGGGCTGGCGTTGAGTGCCTGGGGCTTTTCCAAGTGCACGGTGCAAGCTGTTGGTGGATCTACCATTCTGGGGTCTAGAGAATGGTGGCCCTCTTCTTACAGCTCCACTACCCAGTGCCCCGGTGGGGACTCTGTGTGGGGGCTCCAACCTCACATTTCTCCTCTGTACTGCCTTAGTAGAGGTTCTCCATGAGGGCTCCACCTCCACAGCAGACTTCTGCTTGGACTTCCAGGCATTTCCACACATCCTCTGAAATCTAGGCAGAGCCTCCCAAAGCTCAACTCTTGTCTTCTGTGCACCTGCAGACTTAACACCACATGGAAGCTGCCAAGGTGTGGGGCTTGCACCCTCTGAAGCAATGGTCTGAGCTGTACCTTGACCCCTTTTAGCCATGGGTGGAGCTGAAGCAACAGCAATACAGGTCACCCCGTCTTGAGGCTGCACAGAGCAGTGGGGCTCTGAGCCTGGCCCACAAAACCATTTTTTCCTCCTAGATATCCAGGCTTGTGATGGGAGAGGCTTCCTTGAAGATCTCTGAAATGGCCTGGAGTCATTTTCCCCATTGTCTTGGCAATATTTAGCTCCTCATTACTTAAGAAGATTTCTGCAGCGAGCTTGAATTTCTCCCCATAAAATGGGTTTTTCTTTTCTACCACATGGCCAAGCTGCAATTTTTTTTTAACTTTTATGCTCTGCTTCCCTTTTAAACATAAGTTCCAATTTCAGATCATCTCTTTGTGAATGCATATGACTGTACACTTTCACAAAAGCCAGATCACCTCTTGAATCCTTAAAAATTTCTTCTCTCAGAGACCCTAAATCATCTCTCTCAACTTCAAAGTTCCACAGATCTCTGGGGTGGGGGCAAAATGCCACTGGTCTCTTTGCTAAAACATACAAGATACTCTAGTTTCCAATAAGTTTCTCATCTCCATCTGAGACCACCTGAGCTTGCACTTCATTGTCCATATCACTATCAGCATTTTAGTCAAAACCATTTGACAAGTCTGTAGGAAGTTCCAAACTTTCTCACATCTTCCTGTCTTCTGATTCCTCCAAACTGTTCTAACCTCTGCCCATTACCCAGTTCCAAAGTCACTTCCACATTTTCAGGTTATCTTTATAGTAGTACCCCACTATTCTGATACCAGTTTTCTGTTATTAGTCCATTTTCACAGTGCTATAAAAACTGTGAGTCAATTAAACCTCTTTTCCTTATAAATTACACAGTCTTAGGGCTGGTGTGAGTGCCTGAGGCTTTTCCAGGTGAAGGTGCAAGGGCTGTCGCTGGATCTACCATTCTGGGGTCTGGAGAATGGTGACAGTTGCAGGGTAATTTATAAAGAAAAGAGGTTTAATTGACTCACAGTTCCACATGGCTTGGGAGGCCTCAGGAAAATTACAATTCTTATGATTATGGCAGAAGGGGAAGCAAGTCATGTCTTACATGGTGGTGGGAGACAAGAGAGCAAGAGGGGAAGTGTCACACTTTTAAACGATCAGATCTCATGAGAACTCACTATCATGAGAACAGCATGGGTGAAACCATCCCCATGACCCAATCACCTCCCACCAGGTTGCTCCTTTGACATACAGGAATTACAATTCAAGATGAAGCCTGGATGGGGATACGGAGCCAAACTGTAACATAGCTCTAAAAGATAAGGGCTATTTTTTGGAACAGAACCACAATACCATGATCACACCTAAAAATTGACAGTGACTCCTTAATATCATCAAATACCCAATCATTGTTCACATTTCCCCAATTGTCTCAAAAATGTCTTTATAGTTTATTTGTTCAAATCAGTACCCAAATAGAGTCCATTGCATTTGGTTAATTAAGTTCTTAAGTAAATTGAAGATTATGGATTCCTTTGTTCCCTTTTTCCTCTAGTATTCATTGAGAAATCAGATGTTTGTAACTATAAACAGAATTTACTTTTTTTAAAGAAAAAGTAAATAAAAGTAGAAAGCATTAGACTGTTGTCGAATCCAGTTTCCTTCCATTTTTTTATTTTTTTTCTTTTCCAATTCTGGGGCTATATAGATGATTTCACATCAAGAGAACCATGCAAAGTGGAAGATTTCTGCTGACTCTCAAAAGTCTTCTGTTCAGCAACTAAACGAACAGTTAGAGAAGGCAAAATTGGAATTAGAAGAAGCTCAGGATACTGTAAGCAATTTGCATCAACAAGTCCAAGATAGGAATGAAGTAATTGAAGCTGCAAATGAAGCATTACTTACTAAAGTAAGTAAACATATAAAAGTAATAAAGCATATCTATGAAAACATAAATGTCTGACTTATTTACCTGTCTTAGTAGTTTATAGAGGACTATATGACCAAATATTGGCCTGTTTGAATAAAAACCATTTGATTTAGAAGATGTTGAATTTAGGAAATTATTAAGATGATGTACATCTTATTACCGTAGAAGATATAATTTATAAATGTTCAAATATAAACTCATCTAATCATAATGTTTAGAGGGTTTTATACTTGATGTACCTAAAAAAAGGTAGAAACATTTTTCAAAATCAGCAAAGTTCTTTTAAAATCATAAAGTAGGCCGGGCGTGGTGGCTCACTCCTGTATTCCCAGCACTTCAGGAGGCCGAGGTGGGCAGATCACTTGAGGTCAACAAGGGCAAAGACAATTTTTTGAGAGCCATGAAGGCATCATTATATTATGGCTCACTACAATTACGTTCACAACAGTGACCTTCTTTGAGTCTTAAGAAAAAGTTGAATTAATTTAATGTATTCAGTGTACTATATTTAATTGTAAAAGTTATGTGTTAAACTGTAACTTAAATAAAATCCTACTTATATGAGATACCACATATCAATTATGGCTAGATAATGCAGAATAGGAAAAAGAAAAAGACTGCAGCTGTGTACAGTCCTATTCTGTGCCAACTCTACAACTGTTTTGTTAATTGTGATTTTAAGAATGTGAATGTAGGATTTACAACAAAAAATTGGCACTCTAGCCACTTTAAACCAACAGGCTTTAAACCAACAAAGATCAAAAGAGACCAAGAAGGCCATTACATAATGGTAAAGGGATCAATTCAACAAGAAGAGCTAACTGTCCTAAATATATATGCACCCAATACAGGAGCACCCAGATTCATAAGTCAAGTCCTTAGAGACCTACAAAGAGACTTAGACTCCCACACAATAATAATGGGAGACTTTAACACCCCACTGTCAACATTAGACAGATCAACGAGACAGAAAATCAACAAGGATATCCAGGACTTGAACTCAGCTCTGCACCAAGCAGACCTAATAGACATCGACAGAACTCTCCACTGCAAATCAACAGAATATACATTCTTCTCAGCACCAAATCACACTTCTGCCAAAATTGACCACATAGTTGGAAATAAAGCATTCTTCAGCAAATGTAAAAGAATAGAAATCACCACAAACTGTCTCTGAGACAACAGTGAAATCAAATTAGAACTCAGGATTAAGAAACTCACTCAGAACCACACAACTCATGAAAACTGAACAACCTCCTTCTGAATGACTACTGGGTACATAACGAAATGAAGGCAGAAATGAAGATGTTCTTTGAAACCAATGAGAACAAAGACACAACATACCAGAATCTCTGGGACACATTTAAAGCAGTGTGGAGAGGGAAATTTATAGCACTAAATGCCCACAAGAGAAAGCAGGAAAGATCTAAAATTGACATCCTGACATCACAATTAAAAGAGCTAGAGAAGCAAGAGCAAACACATTCAAAAGCTAGCAGAAGGCAAGAAATAAGTAAGATCAGAGCAGAACTGAAGGAGATAGAGACACAAAAAACCCTTCAAAAAATCAATGAATCCAGGAGCTGGTTTTTAGAAAAGATCAACAAAATTGATAGACCGCTAGCAAGACTAATAAAGAAGAAAAGAGAGAAGAATCAAATAGAGGCAATAAAAAATGATAAAGAGGATATCACCACTGATCCCATAGAAATACAAACTACCATCAGAGAATACTATAAACACCTCTACACAAATAAACTAGAAAACCTAGAAGAAATGGATAAAGTCCTCGACACATACACCCTCCCAAGACTAAACCAGGAAGAAGTTGAATCCCTGAGTAGACCAACAACAGGTTCTGAAATTGAGGCAGTAATTAATAGCCTACCAACCAAAAAAAGTCCAGGACCAGACAGATTCATAGCTGAATTCTACCAGAGGTACAAAGAGGAGCTGGTACCATTCCTTCTGAAACTATTCTAATCAATAGAAAAAGAGAGAATCCTCCCTAACTCATTTTCTGAGGCCAGCATCATCCTGATACCAAGGCCTGGCAGAGACGCAACAAAAAAAGAGAATTTTAGACCAATATCCCTGATGAACATCGATGCAAAAATCCTCAATAAAATACTGGCAAACCGAATCCAGCAGCACATCAAAAAGCTTATCCACCACAATTAAGTTGGCTTCATCCCTGGGATGCATGGCTGGTTCAACATACGCAAATCAATAAATGTAATCCATCACATGAACCAAACCAAAGACAAAAACCACATGATTATCTCAATAGATGCAGAAAAGGCTTTCAACAAAATTCAACAGCCCTTCATGCTAAAAACTCTCAAACTAGGTATTGATGGGACATATCTCAAAATAATAAGAGCTATTTATTACAAACCCACAGCCAATATCATACTGAATGGGCAAAAACTGGAAGCATTCCCTTTGAAAACTGGCACAAGACAGGGGTGCCCTCTCTCACCACTCCTATTCAACATAGTGTTGGAAGTTCTGGCCAGGGCAATCAGGCAGGAGAAAGAAAGAAAGGGTATTCAATTAGGAAAAGAGGAAGTCAAACTGTCCCTGTTTGCAGATGACATGATTGTATATTTAGAAAACCCTATCATCTCAGCCCCAAATCTCCTTAAGCTGATAACTTCAGCAAAGTCTCAGGATACAAAATCAATGTGCAAAAATAACAAGCATTCTTATACACCAATAACCGACCAACAGAGAGCCAAATTATGAGTGAACTCCCATTCACAATTGCTTCAAAGAGAATAAAATACCTAGGAATCCAACTTACAAGGGATGTGAAGGATCTCCAAGGAGAACTACAAACCACTGCTCAATGAAATAAAAGAGGACACAAACAAATGGGAGAACATTCCATGCTCATGGATAGGAAGAATCAATATAATGAAAATGGCCATACTGCCCAAGGTAATTTATAGATTCAATGCCATCTCCATCAAGCTGCCAATTACTTTCTTCACAAAACTGGAAAACAACTACCTTAAAGTTCATATGGAACCAAAAAAGAGCCCACACAGCCAAGACAATCCTAAGCCAAAAGAAAAAAGCTGGAGGCATCACGCTTCCTGACTACAGGGCTACAGTAACCAAAACAGCATGGTACTGGTACCAAAACAGAGATATAGACCAATGGAACACAACAGATCCCTCAGAAATAACACCACACATCTACAACCATCTGATCTTTGACAAACCTGACAAAAACAAGAAATGGGGAAAGGATTCCCTATTTAATAAATGGTGCTGGAAAAACTGGCTAGCCATATGTAGAAAGGTGAAACTGGATCCCTTCCTTACACCTTATACAAAAATTAATTCAAGATGGATTAAAGACTTAAATGTTAGACCTAAAACTATAAAAACCCTAGAAGAAAACCTAGGCAATACCATTGCCTAGGCATGGGCATAGGCATGGGCAAGGACTTCATGACTGAAACACCAAAAGAAATGGCAACAAAAACCAAAATAGACAAATGGGATCTAATTAAAGAGCTTCTGCACAGCAAAAGAAACTACCATCAGAGTGAACAGGCAACCTACAGAATGGGAGAAAATTTTTGCAATCTACTCATCTGACAAAGGGCTAATATCCAGAATCTACAAAGAACTTAAACAAATTTACAAGAAAAAAACAACCCCATCAAAAAGTGGGAGAAGGATATGAACAGACACTTCTCAAAAGAAGACATTTATGCAGCCAACAGACACATGAAAAAATGTTCATCATCACTGGTCATCAGAGAAATGCAAATCAAAACCACAATGAGATACCATCTCACACCAGTTAGAATGGTGATCATTAAAAAGTCAGGAAACAACAGGTGCTGGAGAGGATGTGGAGAACTAGGAACACTTTTACACTGTTGGTGGGACTGTAAACTAGTTCAACCATTGTGGAAGACAGTGTGGCGATTCCTCAAGGATCTAGAACTAGAAATACCATTTGACCCAGCCATCCCATTACTGGGTATATACCCAAAGTACTATAAATCATGCTGCTATAAAGACACATGCACATGTATGTTTATTGCGGCACTATTCACAATAGGAAAGACTTGGAACCAACCCAAATGTCCATCAGTGATAGACTAGATTCAGAAAATGTGGCACATATACACCATGGAATACTATGCAGCCATAAAAAAGGATGAGTTCATGTCCTTTGTAGGGACATGGATAAAGCTGGAAACCATCATCCTGAGCAAACTATTGCAAGGACAAAAAACCAAACACCGCATGTTCTCACTCATAGGTGGAAATCGAACAATGAGAACACTTGGACACAGGGTGGGGAACATCACACACTGGGGCCTGTTGTGGGGTGGGGGGAGGGGGGAGGGATAGCATTAAGAGAAATCCCTAATGTAAATGACGAGTTAATGGGTGCAGCACACCAACATGGCACATGTATACATATGTAACAAACCTGCACGTTGAGTACATGTACCCTAGAACTTAAAGTATTTTTAAAAAATCATATAAATCAATTTTAGATGAAGTAGTAAAAAAAAAAAAAAAGGAAAATACCAAAATATGCGTGTTAAACTTTTATTTTGTAATGCATTCTGTGGTTATGACAGTTTTAGTTATGAACACAGTATTTTTGAAAGCTACTTTAAGAATAGAAACTATCAGAGTAAAACTGACAGGATTTAGAAATATATATCTTATGGATACCTTTAAGAAAAGGCAAATGTATTTGAAGAGGAGACTACTATACTTACATTATTAAGCTTTTGAAATTAAAATATCATCTCTTTTTTTAGGCTTTTTGGTTTTTTAGTGTATGTAGTCTCATTCCTAGGATCCCAAAGTTCAGTCAGAGGACCCAAATGAAAGACATGAAAAAAATTGAAATGAAAAGTTTATTTAACAAGGATTGATTTATTAAAAATTTATCACTTTAAGTTTTTGAAAAATTTCTAATGCACTAAAGCTTTCTTGTAATGAGAACACAAAAAGCAGAATAGCTTATCTATTTATTCCCTACTGGAAATTCTGAAAGGGGTCTTTTTGTGTCTATATGTGTTAGATTAACAAAAGATAGCGTACCTCTACATCTTTGCAGAGAAATTTTTAGGTGTAAGATTTCAATCTTGAATAGAAATTGATATTGTCATTAACACCAAAAATATATATATAAGGAGAATCTAGTTTTAATGGAATTTCTTAGAATAAGCATATTTCAAAGGAATATGTGTAATTTTCCCAAAGTGAACCTATCTTAAGTAAAGGTTTTAAACAGAGCTTGGAAAACTCTCAAGAATTATAAACAGAATTCCTATAGTGGGACAAAGGTTGACTTTCTAAAAGTCTATGATTTTCTAAGGAGTTCATTCATTTAACAAAAATGTATTGAGCACCTACTATGTACCAATTTATCTGCAGGAATCAGAATTAACCAGATTACAGGCCAAAATTTCTGGACATGAAAAGGCAGAAGACATCAAGTTTCTGCCAGCCCCATTTACATCTCCAACAGAAATTATGCCTGATGTTCAAGATCCAAAATTTGCTAAATGTTTTCACACATCTTTTTCCAAGTGTACAAAATTACGTCGCTCTATTAGTGCCAGTGATCTTACTTTCAAAATTCATGGTGATGAAGATCTTTCTGAAGAATTACTACAGGACTTAAAGAAAATGCAATTAGAACAGCCTTCAACATTAGAAGAAAGCCATAAGAATCTGACTTACACCCAGCCAGACTCATTTAAACCTCTCACATATAACCTAGAAGCTGATAGTTCTGAGAATAATGACTTTAACACGCTTAGTGGGATGCTAAGATACATAAACAAAGAAGTAAGACTATTAAAAAAGTCTTCTATGCAAACAGGTGCTGGTTTAAATCAGGTATGTATTTTATACACTGTAAACTGTAATAATTTGTTTCCAAAGAATATCATTTTATTACTTGGAAGAAAATTCATATATTTAAATGAAAAACTACTAATATTTGAAGAAGGAAGATTTTACATTTTATACATTAAGTAAAATCAATACCAAAAGACATTTTCTCTATTGCATGGTGTGAGACAATACGGGGAAAGAGAGAGGCAGAGGGAGACAGAACAGGAAGTAGAACGAAAAATAGGAAGATAGACATGAAAGTGCTTAAAAATAAAAAAATTAAAAAACTGAAAAAAAGAAAAATGGTAAGAAATATGCAGTGAGAGGAATCCAGAGAAAGTAGGTTCTGAGGTGAATGTTCTCATAACTTCGTCATAATTTACTGTTCATTTGGGCTCTGTATGTCAAAATAAGTTATTGCTGGCTATCACTGATCCTTGGAAAGTTGATTTACTGAATTAGCCATTATTTAAAAGCATGAATAAGGCCAACTGTCCTCATCCTTATAATTTTTCACCCTAAAATATTTATATTCATCTTTCCTTCTTTTGTCCCTTTTCTCTTTAAAAGAAAGATATATCCCTCTTCTTTTTTAGAGAGAAATTCTTGAACATGTACTTTCAAGCCTTTAATATGCTTGCCTGTTTTGCTTCTCTGCTTCCTGATTTAATCTGTATCTTCAGGCTTCTTTATTTCCCTCTTCCTTTCATTTCCAGACATCTTAAATTCATACCCACTCTAAGCTGGGTGCAGTGGCACATGCCTGCAATCCCAGCTATCCAGGAGGCTGAGGCAGGAGGATTATTTGAGCCCAGGAGTTTGAGACAAGTATGGGCAACATGGAGACCCCATCTCAAAAAAAATTTTTATTCATTCTATTTCTCCATTGTTGCTACCTCCTTACTACCCTTCCCACTTTGTAACTTACTGTATTTGTCTCTTGAATATTAAATTTACTGTTTTCTTGAAAGTCACAAAAAACTCTTTGTATAATAAACAAATTTAGTATCCTCTTTTTCTTCAGCTTTTGTAGATTTAACTGTCCATTCCCCCTTTTGATATTTTCTCTTCTCTTGACTTTTATGATTTAATATTTTTCTGGTCCTCTTCTTATTTTGAACTAATTACTTTCTCACTTTTCTGCTCCTCGTATTCCTTATGTTCCACAATATAGGATTTAATCTGTAGTTTGAGAATGGAAATAATCTCCTTTAGATAATGTCAGCTTTTTAAAAAATGCCTAACATCATTTTCAAACACATCAAGATAGCTTTGGTGGCCTGAACAGTTAAAAACTATTTTTTTGGAATAGATCCAAGACAAAGAAAAATTGTTGAGTGAGTTTTTCTTCATAATACTTATTTTTGCTGGCTTAAGTATATGTCTATCTACTTGTTTATTGATTGTCTCCCCCACTGAAAATGTAAGCTCTGTGTGGAGAGGGTATGGTCATTTCGCTTATTTCTATATTTCTAGTGCCTGGTATATAGTAGATGCTGAATGAATATTTATGAATGTATCAAGTGGCTAAATAAATTATATACAGTAAACACAACTGTAGTTTTAAATGCTAGATTTCATCAGGCTGTGCTGGCCAAAATTTCACTTTTAGCATATTACTTTTAGCACCCAAGAAGTTAAAGATTCAGTAAAGGTAACTGAGAAGTAATCAGTGAAATAGAAGAGAAATTAGGAGAGTATAATATTTCACAATGTATTTCAAGGAGGGTGAGATCAATTGTGTCCAGTGTTGCTAAGTAAAGTGAAGGTTGATTATTGACTATCATATTTGGTAATGTCGAGGCTTTTATGACCCTCATAAGACTGGCTTTAGCCTAACAATGGGAATGAAAGCCTGTTGTAGAGTGGGTTTAGCATAGAATGGAAAGAGAGGAAATAGAAACATCAAGAATAGACAACTCTTTGGATAAAGAGTAAAGCAGAGAAATGAGGGAGATGTGATGTCAAGGGAGAGTTTTTTGTTTTGCTTTTTAACATAAGAGAGAAAACAGCTGTTGGATATTGATAGGAATGATCCAGTAGACAGGGAAACAGCCATTCAAGACAGAGCAGAAGGAGTAAAATCCTTAAGGTAGGCTTAAGAAATGGGATACAGGAGAGCAGTAGAGGAGTTGGTCTTGGATAAAAAGGGGCAGTTCATCCACTGTGGTGGGAAGGCAGGCAGAATATGGGAGCACAGAAACACATGGAATGGAAGGTTTGATAGTGGGAGAGAAATTTCTTTATCAATTGCTTTTCTTTTCTTTTTTTTTTTGAGACGGAGTCTGGCTGTGTTGCCCAGGCTGGAGTGCAGTGGCGCAATCTTGGCTCACTGCAAGCTCCGCCTCCCAGGTTCACGCCATTCTCCTGCCTCAGCCTCCCGAGTAGCTGGGACTACAGGCGCCCGCCACCACGCCCGGCTAATTTTTTGTATTTTTAGTAGAGACGGGGTTTCACTGTGTTAGCCAGGATGGTCTCGATCTCCTGACCTCGTGATCTGCCTGCCTCTGCCTCCCAAAGTGCTGGGATTACAGGCGTGAGCCATCGTGCCCGGCCAATTGCTTTTATTTTCTTAGTGAGATAAGAAGCAGGGTTTTTAGTTAAGGCACAGTAAGATATTGGATATTTAAGAACAGGGAAGGTATGTGAAATGGTTACTTACTTTGGAGAGTAGGAAAGCATAAACAGACTAGCAAAGTCTAGTAGAATTGCCAGCCAGATAGTTCTGTCATGTGGAACAACCGTGCAAGATACAGGACATCTGGCATCATTTGTTTCTGCCTGTTGTATATCAGCAGCAGCATGTCCCTTTCTCCCCTATCACAATGACAAACAAAAAGTACCATCACAAATTTCTAGAATGTTCTGTAGAGGATGGTACTGCACCCTTTAAGAACCTCTGCTCTACTCCAGTGACCCTTGCAGTCATAGATATGCAAGACTCTCTTTTTGGTAAAAATCGCACCTAATTTATGCAGGATAAATTTGATAAGTACAGTGACAGACTGTGATCATAACAATACATAGCCTTTACTGTATGTCAAGCAAATCCTTTACATAAATTAACTCATTTAATCCTTATAACAACCCCCTGATAGGTACTATTATCTGAATAGTACCAAATAATAGTACCTAATAGTTCTACTGTAGTGGGTACTATTATTATCCTTATGATATGAGGAAACTGAGTCCCTGCTCTTAACCACTATATATAATCTTTACATAATTGTATTGGTATTTTCTTCAGTATGTCTAATTACATAGTTTGGTCTTGCAGTTGCTTAGCCAATTAAGGATTAAGAGTAGGAGTTAGCCAGGCGCGGTGGCTCACGCCTGTAATCCCAGCACTTTGGGAGGCTGAGGCAGGTGGATCACGAGGTCAGGAGTTCAAGACCAGCCTGGCCAAGAGGGCAAAACCCCATCTCTACTAAAAACACAAAAATTAGCTGGGCATGGTGGTGCGCACCTGTAATCCCAGCTGCTCAGGAGGCTGAGGTGGAGAATTGCTTGAACCCGGGAGGCAGAGGTTGCAGTGAGCCGAGACTGCGCCACAGCACTCCAGCCTGGGTGACAGAGCGAGACTCCATCTCTAAATAAATAAATAAATAGTAGGAGTTAAAAGTTACTACATAACAGATAGAATAATTTCTTACTCTGTAGGTTTTTGCAATATATATTTGAATTTTTCAAGTCATTTCACCTATTCAATTATCATTGAAGATCAATGCCAAATTAAAATATTCAAAATACTGGCCGGGCAAGGTGCCTCACACCTTTAATCCCAACACTTTGGGAGGCCAAGCAGGAGGATTACTTGAGACTAGGATTTCAAGGACAGCCTGGGCAACATAGCAAGACCCGATCTCTACAGAAAAATAAAATGAAAAACTAGCTGGGCATGGTGGCGCACATCTGTAGTCCTAGCTACTTGGAAGCTGAGGTGGGAGGATTGCTTGAGCCCAGTTCGAGGCTGCAGTGAGCTATTATCATGCAATGCAGCAAGAACCCATCTCTAAACAAAACAAACAAACGTAGCCTATTGTTAAACTTAAAGATTGGATTCTTAAAATCCTATCAAAGTTATATTCTGTATAAACATAGTTTTCTTGATTGTCAATGATACTCTACTGAGTTTTAAATGCATTGACCACTGTCAATACTCATAACTTTAAGCTCACATGGAACTCCTACAGCGCATGAGCCTCAGTTGCATTACCTGTGGTAGTGACCACCTCATAGTCATTTATATGTATGTTGCATTAATAAATATATACTACTCTGTAAAATTTAATGAAAGAGATGTATTTTTATTTTTTTGAGGCAGAGTCTTGTGCTGTCACCCAGGCTGGAGTGTAGTGGCACGAGAGCTCACTGCAACCTCCGCTTCCCAGGTTCAAGCAATTCTCATACCTCAGCCCCCTAAGTAGCTGGGATTACAGGCGTGTGTCACCATGCCTGGCTAATTTTTGCATTTTTTAGTAGAGATGGGGTTTCACCATGTTGGCCAAGCTGGTCTCAAACTCCTGGCCCCAAGTGATCTACCCACCTTGGCCTCCCAAAGTGCTGAGATGACAGGCGTGAGCCACCGCACCTGGCCTGAAAGAGACATTTTAAATTGGGATGTAGAGCCATGATCTGTAGCCTAGTTCAGGTCCTCGGCTTATTTCACCTGCCACTTAAGTATGACATTGCATTGGTCTCCTATTTAAAAGCAGGATTTTAAAACTCTTTTAAACCAAATAAATTATTATTTAAATAAAGAAATCCAGTATGTCAAATAGATTCAAAGGTAGTTTATCTGATTGGGGGTAGGATATGTCTGACCTTTACCCAGTTACTTAAATCTACTCATGGCTGCTCATGCAAAAGCTCCAGAGCAGCCCTGGATTAATCATTAAGGAAAATAAGCAGGAGCATAGGGGACTAAGGGGAATGCCACAGAGTTGTTTGCCCTAGCTATCATCCTCTTAATTCGTTCACTGCCACACTTGACTTTAGTAGAATTTTTAGTAACTGTCTTTATCTGCCAGTTCAAATTTAATCTGCACTATTAAAAAATCATTTTCTTTGGTATGATGAGTGACAAAAGTTTAAAAGTTTGATTTGAAAGTGTCATCAGGTATTACATTTGTTTCTTTACACATGGTGTGAGTTTCAAAACCAGCTACCTGGGTCTGGATAGCATTTGACTCATCAGCTGATTCGTCTAAAGGACTCTTAAGCAATTTTTTAAAGCAGTGGTAGGGCCAGGAGGCGCCATTGTTGGGCTGTGCAGAGGGTATCAGCTGGCCTAAATCCAGCTCTGCTTCAGAAAAGTGCAGTTTTAAAGTCCACTGGTACAATGAAAAGAATGTGGAAACCGATACATGAGAAGTGTTTAATAAGTGTTAGCTCCCTTGTGTTGCAGCCCAAATACTATTTTCCTAATGGTTAAGTACGTTGGCACTTCCATTGAGAGTAAAGCCTCTTAACACTGAAGTATTCTGCTTTCAGACTAACAAAAGCTTCAGAACTCAAAAAATTACACCTGTACACAATTTAGAACACAATATCAGCAAGTTCAGAGACTTCATATTAACTCCTATTCTAATCCTGTTTTGGATTAGAGCAGTGGAAGTGTTGTGAATACTGATTAATTAGCTAATTCACCATTTATTAGGAATTTATAAAAAGTTATTACTTCTATTTCTCTTATTTGTAAGTAGTTTTCAAGATATGGTACATATATCATGCAGTAAGATGAAAAATAAGAAATTAGGAAATTAGCTATAGGGAAAACAAAGATGAAAAAAAAATGTTAAACCAGGAGTACAGGTAATACCTAGAGACATGATAATATTTTCAAATTCACACCCTCAGTAAAGATGAAGGTATGACAAGAAAATTTGGCCCATATTTTTTTAAATCCCCTGGGCCTTTTTCCTCTATTTTTCTACTTTATGTTAAACTGCTTTTATATGCAAATAATTGTGTAGGGGTGGGTTGCCCCTACACACCTGTGGGTGTTTCTCGTAAGGTGGGACAAGAGATTTGGAAAAGAAAAAGACACAGAGACAAAGTATAGAGAAAGAAATAAGGGGACCCGGGGAACCAGGGTTCAGCATATGGAGGATCCCGCCAGCCTCTGAGTTCCCTTAGTATTTATTGATCATCTGTGGGTGTTTCTCAAAGAGGGGGATGTGTCAGGGTCACAAGACAATTGTGGGGAGAGGGTCAGCAGACAAACACGTGAACAAAGGTCTTTGCATCATAGACAATGTAAAGGATTAAGTGCTGTGCTTTTAGATATGCATACACATAAACATCTCAATGCTTTACAAAGCAGTATTGCTGCCCGCAGGTCCCACCTCCAGCCCTAAGGCGGTTTTTCCCTATCTCAGTAGATGGAGCATACAATCGGGTTTTATACCGAGACATTCCATTGCCCAGGGACAGGCAGGAGACAGATGCCTTCCTCTTGTCTCAACTGCAAGAGGCATTCCTTCCTCTTTTACTAATCCTCCTCAGCACAGACCCTTTACGGGTGTCGGGCTGGGGGACGGTCAGGTCTTTCCCTTCCCACGAGGCCATATTTCAGACTATCACATGGGGAGAAACCTTGGACAATACCTGGCTTTCCTAGGCAGAGGTCCCTGCGGCCTTCCGCAGTTTTTGTGTCCCTGGGTACTTGAGATTAGGGAGTGGTGATGACTCTTAAGGAGCATGCTGCCCTCAAGCATCTGTTTAACAAAGCACATCTTGCACCTCCCTCAATCCATTTAACTCTGAGTTGACACAGCACACGTTTCAGAGAGCACGGGGTTGGGGGTAAGGTTATAGATTAACAGAATCTCAAGGCAGAAGAATTTTTCTTAGTACATAACAAAATGGAGTCTCCTATGTCTACTTCTTTCTACACAGACACAGTAACAATCTGATCTCTCTTGCTTTTCCCCACATAATTGTCTTTTGTCTCTGTCTGCTCTTTTTTTCTTCTTTTAATCTTCCTTTTTCATTGATTTTTTCATGTAGCTATTCATCATCCTTGTTTATTGTGCTCTCAAACTATAACATGACACTGATGCCAAAATGTTATATTTATGTTCCTTTTTTCGAGTTTTAAAATTAGTTTAACCCCATATTCACACCCACCTCATCAAGCCAGAATTATTTGCTTTTATTTTTTATTTTATTTATTTTATTTTATTTTTTTGAGATGGAGTTACCCTCTTGTCTCCCAGGCTGGAGTGCAGTGGTGCGATCTCGGCTCCCTGCAACCTCCCCCTCCAAGGTTCAAGTGATTCTCCTGCCTTAGCCTCCTGACTAGCTGGGATTACAGACGCTCGCCACCACACCCAGCTAATTTTTGTATGTTTTAGTAGAGACAGGGTTTCACCATGTTGGCCAGGCTGGTCTCAAACTCCTGACCTCAGGTGATCCATGCACCTCGGCCTCCCAAAATGCTGGGATTACAGGCAGTGAGCCACTGCACCCGGCCTGCATTTTATATTCATGTGGTTCATTATTGACTTTTTATGATTCATATTTTTCAGTAGACTAAATATTTCTCACTCTCGCTTTAAATTATACTCCTGTTATTATGGTAGACTTTTAATGCTAAATCAGTTTAGGAATATTTCAAATATTAATCTATTATTTTGCATTATTCTAGGGAGAAAATGTGTAATTCAAAGAAGATACTGATGTGTTGAAAAAATGGAATTTTTGGTACTGTGCTGTTTACTTATTATATGTAGCTCATACTTCATAGAAGCTGTTATTTTGCTTTTGAATAAATTTTATATTTCAATATTTTAAAAGAAAGCCCTTCTAAAACTTAATTATATTTTTAAAGAAAATTTATTATTTTATTTATTGTTTTTTGGCTTAAACTTGCTGCTTTCTTTTGCTTTTTATATAAAAATCATTGTTAAAATGCATAAGTACATTGAGGAATGCAAATTTTTTTTTTTTTTTAATGAAAGGCCTCACATATTTATTACTGAACCCAGCCAACCAATGCGTTCATAACAGATGCAGAGAGACAAAATATATTCCCAACAAAACATGTCAAACTCTCCGGATAGTGGTGACATTTTCAGCCTGATATGGTAACATGATTGTGACCTTCAGACAGCATAAATATGTGTGCCATCTCATGTGCAATTCCTTATAGACCCAGCTTGGTTCTTCTCCATTGTCTCCTTTTGGTTTTATTTTATTAATAAAATCCTGATTTTATTACCAGTTTTCATCTGAATCCACTGGGGAATGGGACAATTTTGCTTTTGTTTCTTGGCCAGCAATCACTTAATCCTGAAAGTCTTGTGAGAAGACATGGCAAGAAGCAAAGTCAAGCACACACCATGATGGCAGAGAAAGGAAAAGAGGCGAGGAATGTCAGTTCTTAATCAGACTATTATTTGCTAATTTTTCTAGTATTACTTAATTTTTAAAATTAGTATAAATTTATAAGTCATTCTGCCACAGGTTTATAATTGTACTAATAATGGCTGACTTTCATTGAGTCAGTTTACTGTTTATCAGTGACTATTCTAGGCAGTTGTATTAGTCTGTTCTCATGCTGCCAATAAAGACATACCCCAGACTGGCTGGGCGCGGTGGCTTACGCCTGTAATCCTTGCACTTTGGGAGGCCGAGGCAGGCGGATCATGAGGTTAGGAGATCGAGACCATCCTGGCTAACATGGTGAAACCCTGTCTCTACTAAAAATACAAAAAAATTAGCCGGGTGTGGTGGCAGGCACGTGTAGTCCCAGCTACTTGGGAGGCTGAGGCAGGAGAATGGCATGAACCCGGGAGGCGGAGCTTGCAGTGAGCCAAGATCGTGCCACTGCACTCTAGTCTGGGCAACAGAGCGAGACTCAAAAAAAAAAAAAAAAAAGACATACCTCAGACCTCAGACTGGGTAATTTATAGAGAAAAGAGGTTTTTTGGTTTTGAGATGGAGTTTGCTTTTGTCACCCAGATTGGAGTACAGTGGCACCATCTTGGCTCACTGCAACCTCCGCCTCCTGGGTTCAAGCGATTCTCCTGCCTCAGCTTCCTGACTAGCTGGGATTACAAGTGCCCACCGCCATGCCTGGCTAATATTTTGTATTTTTTAGTAGAGATGGGGTTTCACGATGTTGGCCTGGCTGGTCTTGAACTCCTGACCTCAGGTGATCCACCCACCTCGGCCTCCCAAAGTGTCAGGATTACAGGCTTGAGCCACTGTGCCTGGCCAGAAAAGAGGTTTAATAGACTCACAGTTCCACATGGCTGGGAGGCCTCACAATCAATCATAGCAGAAGGCAAAGGAGGAGCAAAGTCAAGTTTTGCACAGCAGCAGGTAAGAGAGAGCATATGTGGGGGAACACCCCTTTATAAAACCTCAGATCTCATGAGACTTATTGACTATCACAAGAACAGCATGGGAAAGACCCACCCTCATGATTCATATTTTTTGAGGATTTAAAGGAAAAGATGGCCATAATGAGTGAATAGATGGGGAGGAATCTTAGACAAATACAAATCAATGAGTGGTACAAGGTAGAAACTTAGGGAGTCCCAATATTTTACAGGCAGGCAGAAAAGAAAATTGAGAATGGATGTTTAGAGATAAAATAACCAAATGGAAATTCTAGAACCAAAAAGTATAGTAGCTGAACATTTAAAACTCCCAATATTGGCTTAACAGCAGATTGGAGGTGACAGAAAAGTCAGTTGACTTGAAAGCAGATAAATAGTAAATTTCCACTCTGAAGAACAAAGAGAAATATGATTGAATAAATATAAAAAGAGCATCTAAGACCTGTAAGATAGTATTAAGAGAAGAAAGGGAAAATGGGGCAGGAAAAAGTTCTTATAGTTATGGCTGAAAATATCACAAATGTGGTGAAAAGATGACAACCTATAGATTTTCTAAGCTCAGCAAGCCCTAAGCAGGATAAAAAAAAAAATCCTGCTTAGTAATATAATAGTGAAAATTCTGTAAACCAAACACAGACATACCTTAAAAACAGAGACAGAAAAATCCTCATGTAGGGGAACAGTGATCCAAAAGAAGGCAGATTTGCCATGAGAAAGAGTGAGACACACTTTTAAAAGGACAACTGTATTAGTCTGTTCCCACACTGCTATAAAGAACTATGTGAGACTGGGTAATTTATAAAGAAAAGATGTTTAATTGACTCACAGTTCCACAGGCTATACAGGAGGCATGGCTCAGGAAGCCTTGGGAAACAAAATCGTGGTGGAAGGTGAATGGGAAGCCAGCATGTCTTACATGGCAGGAGCAGAAGGAAGAGAGAGCAAAGGGGGAAGTGCTACACACTTAAACAACCAGATCTTGTGAGAACTCTATCATGAGGCAGCACTAGGGGGATGGTACTAAACCATTAAAAACCACTTCCATGATCCAATTACCTCCCACCAAGCCCCACCTCCAATACTCAGGTTCACAATTCAACATGAGATTTGGGTGGAGACACAAAGCCAAACAATATCATTCCAACCATGTCCCCTCCCACATCTCATGTCCTTCTCACACAAAAGTTCAATCATCCATTCTCAACAGCCCCCTAAGTCTTAACTCATTTCAACATTAACTCAAAAATCCATAGTCCAAAGTCTCATCTGAGACAAGGCAAGTTCCTTCCACCTATGATCTTGTAAAATAAAAAACAAGTTAGTTACTTCAAAGATACAATGGGGGTACAGACATTGGGTAAATGCTCCCATTCCAAAAGGGAAAAATTGGCCAAAAACAAAGGGGCTACAGGCCCCATGATCCAATCACCTTCCACCAGGCTCCACCTTCAACACTTGGGATCACAATTCAATATGAGATTTGGGTGGGACACAGAAGCAAACCATATCAACAATATAATGAAAGTTAAAAGTATGGACAAAGATACCAGGGAAACAAGCATAAAAAGTGCTTCAGGGCTATATTAATATCTGACAAAGTAGATGTCAAAAATGAGTTTTGCCAGAGATTAAAAAAGGATGTTTCGTAATGGTAAAAGGATCCATTTAATAGGAAGACATACTCCTAAATGTGTATACACCAAATAACAGACTTCAGATACACGAACTGAAATCTAACTGAACTAAAGGGACAAATATATCCACATAGTGGGATAGTTTAACCTCCAGTTTTCAGTAATTAAAAGAATAAGAGACCAAAAAAAAAAATCAGCAAGGATATAGAAGTTATGAATAATATCAAACTGACTTGACTTAACTGACATTTAAAGATACTGTAGAGCCACACGTGGTGGCTCATGCCGGTAATTCCAGCAATTTGGGAGGCCAAGGTGGGAGGACTGCTTTAGCCCAGAAGTTTGAGACCAACCTGGGCAACATGGCAAAACCCTGTCTCTACCAAAACAAACAAAAAAATCAACCAGGCATGGTGGTGTGTGCTATAGTCCTAGCTATTCAGGAGGCTGAGGTGGGAGGATTGCTTGATGCTTGAGCCCAGGAGGCAGAGGTTGCAGTGAGCAGAGATCACACCACTGCACTCCAGGCATGGTGGTGTGTGCTATAGTCCTAGCTATTCAGGAGGCTGAGGTGGGAGGATTGCTTGATGCTTGAGCCCAGGAGGCAGAGGTTGCAGTGAGCAGAGATCACACCACTGCACTCCAGCCTGGGCAACAGAGCGAGACCATATATATAATTATTATATATAATACATATTTTATAGATTAATTTTTACATATATATAAATTATATAAAATATAAATTAATTATATATATATATTATATATATAAAATTATTATATATATAAAATACATATTGTAGGCCGGGAATGATGGCTCACACCTGTAATCCCAACACTTTGGGAGGCTGAGGCAGGAGGATTGCTTGAGCCCAGCAGTTCAAGACTGGCAAGAAGAACATAGTGAGACCCCATCACTACAAAAAAATTTAGAAACTAGCTGCACATGGTGATGTGTGGCTGTGGTCCCAGCTACTCAGGAGGCTGAGGTAGGAGAATCTCTTGAGCCTGAGAGTTCAAGGCTGCAGTGAACCATGATCACTCTACTGCACTTCAAGCTGGGCAACAGAACAAGACCCCATCTCAACAACAACAACAAAAAGCAGATTGCTATTAAATATGAGGGTCATCAGTGCATACAGACTGCCTAAATTAAAAAGCCTGACAAAAGCTACAAATCAACAGTTTTAAAATATTGGACATGAAGCAACAAAAGACAGTGATTTCTGAGAGATGGTTGAGCCCTTTATTTCCCCCATCTTATTACCTGGAGTAAGTTTCTAGGCTGTGACCTTGAGTTGAAGAGACAGAGCTAGGAATCTGGGGAGGCTAAGAAGGCTAGAATTCACAGGGCACAGTAATAAAGAGGAGAGAGCTACACAGAGAACTCTGGAAATTAAAGGATCTCCCTCAAATTTTCAGATGAGACATCATCAGTGACTATATGTGAGGAAACTACACAAGGCAAGGGAAAGAACCACTTGAATAATTGGAACAATCCTCAGAGCTCAGAAAGCTCTGAGAATAGATTTGTTTCCATGACTAGGAGTGAGAAAATCTCATCATTTTCAGGGCATCAGGTAGAATTCTCAAGAATGGTGCCTCAATAATGGGGAAATAAACTCTAGACTAAATGCCTCTTGGGTACTAGTTTAGAGTCATTTAAAGCAAAACCTGAAAGGATAAAACTGTTTCCAAATAACCATGCCCAAGAACAAAAGCTCAAGAATATTTATAGGAATAAACTATTTATCTAATAATGTAAAATTCAGAATGTG
The DNA here is from genome assembly GCF_000001405.40 of Homo sapiens. Classification (NCBI taxonomy): domain Eukaryota; kingdom Metazoa; phylum Chordata; class Mammalia; order Primates; family Hominidae; genus Homo; species Homo sapiens. The sequence continues at coordinate 93,283,574 of NC_000001.11, forward strand.
TTTAATCAAAAGTTACCAGGTCCAGGAATGGTGGTACACAGCTGTAGTCCCAGCTATTCAGAAAGCTGAGGCAGGAGGATCACTTGAGCCCAGGAGTTCAAAGCTGTAGTGTGCTATGATCACACCTATGAATAGGCACTGCACTCCAGCCTGGGCAACATAGCAAGACCCCATCTCTTAAAAAATTATCAGGAATGGAAAGAAGCAGGAAAATATGACCCAATAATGATAAAAAGCAATGTAAACCAACCAGAAAAGACATAGATGATCAAATTAGTAGTCAAGGCCACTAAATTATTACAACTCTATTCCGTATGTTCAAGAAGCTAGAAGAAACACTGAACATGTTGAGTAGAGACATGGAAAACATAAAAAAAGAAATACAAACAACTTTGGGAGATTAAAACAACAATATTTGTGATGAAAAATAAATTGGATGAGATGAACAGGAGATTATATATTGTAGAGGAAAGATTAATGAACATGAATAGAAAACTAGAAACTATCAAAATGAAACAAATAAAAAATTGTAGAAAAAAAAGTGAGCATAGCATCAACCAGCTGCAGGAAATCTTCAAGTGACATAATATACTTCTAATTGAAGTCCCTACAAAACAAAAGGTAGAGGGGAGGGGACAAGGGGAAACAAAAATTCTTAAAAAATGTTTTCAAACCTCTTGAATACTATATTAGAAACTAGTGTGTAGTGTGTTGTGGGGTTTATAATCTATGTAAAGTAAATCTATTCCAATAACAGCATATAGGGACTGTGAGGAGGGAAATGGAAGTATACTGTTTTTGTTTTTTGTTTTGTTTTGAGATGGAGTCTCGCTCTGTCGCCAGGCTGGAGTAAAGTGGCGCAGTCTCGGCTCACTGCAATCTCCACCTCCTGGGTTCAAGTGATTCTCCTCCCTCAGCCTCCTGAGTAGCTAGGACTATGCACGCCACCATGCCCAGCTAATTTTGTTATTTTTAGTAGAGATGGGGTTTCACCATGTTGGCCAGGATGGTCTCAATCTCCTGACCTCGTGATCCACCCGCCTCGGCCCCACAAAGTGCTGGGATTACAGGCGTGAGCCACCACGCCTGCCCAGAAGCATACTATTTTAAGGCTATTTTAAGGCTCTTATATCTTATCTCAGGTATAAGAGTGAAATATCACCCGAAAGTAGACTGTGATAAGTTAATGCTCTATATTATAAGCCCTAAAGTAACTATTAAAATAACACAACAAAAAGTTATAGTGAATAAACCCAAAAAGAAAATAAAATGGAATCACAAAAAATAATTTTTCCAAAAGAAGACAGAAAAAGAGGGAAAAGGGAGCAAGGAATAACTGGGACAAATAGAAAATAAATAGCAAATGGTAGATTAAAGACAACTAAATCAATCATCATATTAAATGTAAATGGCATAACCATCTTCATTAAAAGAGATCATCGGGTTGTATCAAAAAATAAGACTCAGCTATCTGACACCTACAAGAAACAATACTACCTACAAGAAGTACAAGACAGAAATAGATGAAAAGGATTGAAAAATATTATATGCTAACACTGATTAAAATAAAGGTGGGGCTGAGCATAGTGGCTCACACCTGTAGTCCCAACATCTTAGGAGGTCGAGGCAGGCAGATCACTTGAGATCAAGAGTTCGAGACCAGCCTGGCCAACATGGTGAAACCCTGTCTCTACTAAAAATACAAAAACTTAGCTGGGCGTGGTGGTGTATGCCTGTAATCCCAGCTACTTGGGAGGCTGAGGCAGAAGAATCAGCTGAATCCATGAAGTGGAGGTTGCAGTGAGCTAAGATCACACCACTGCACTCCAGCCTGGGTGACAGAGCAAGATTCCACCTCAAAAACAAAAACAAAAAAAAAACAAACCCAAAAAATAAAATAAGTAAATAAATAAATAAAGGTGGAGTGACTATATTAACACCAAAGGTCTTTCCAGGACAAGTATCACCAGAGATAAAGAGGGTAATTTCATAAAGGCAAAGAGGTCAAGTGATCCAGAAGACACCAATCCTAAGTGTATAAGTAACTAATAACAGATCTTCAAAATACGTGATATAAAAGCTAATAGAACTGCAAGGAAAAATAGACAAATCCAGAATTAAAGTTAGATATTTCAATACCCCTTTCTCAGTAACTTATAGAAAAAGTATCCTGAAAAATAATAAGATATAGAAGACAGGAACAACAACATAAAACAATTGAACCTGACATTTCTAGAACACCTCACCCAACAACAGCAGAAGATATATTTTTAAACTATGCAGGAAACATTTACCAGGATAGACCATGTTCTAGGACATAAAACAAGTCTGAGTAAATTTAAAAGGATCTAAGACATACCAAGTATGTTCTCTGAACACAATGTTGAGTTAAATTATAAACATAGAGCAGAAGGCGGTATCTGGGAAAACCTTAATTTTTGGAAATTAAGTAACACACATCTAGGCAGGTGCAGTGGCTCATGCCTGTAATCTCAGCACTTTCAGAGGCTAAGGCAGGAGGATCACTTGAGGCCAGGAGTTTGAGACCAGCCTGTGCAACACAGTGTGACCCCCATCTCTACAAAAGTAATAAAGTTTACCCAGGCACGGTGGTGTGTGCCTGTCACATCAGCGGCTTAGGAGGCTGAGGTGGGAGGATCACTTGAATCTGGAGTTCGAGGCTGCAGTGAGTTTTGATTGTGCCACTGCATTCCAGTCAGGATGAAAAAGCAATACCTTTTCTCTAAAAGACGTTAAAGTTAACAAGAACTTCAGTACAAAAATCCACAAAAAAGCTTCACCAGAGCATCCATCTCCACCAGGACAATGTTCCTGCTCGTTCCTGTCATCAAACAAGAGCAATTTTGTGAGTTTCTATGGGAAAGCATTATGCATCCACCTTACAGTCCTGATTTGGCTCCTTCTGACTTCTTTGTGTTTCCTAATCTTTAAAAAAAATCTATAAAGAGCACCCATTTCTCTTCAGTTAATAATGTAGAAAAGACTGTATTGACATGATTAAATTCTCAGGACCCTCAGTTCTTTAAGGAGAAACTAAATGGCAGGGATCGTTGTGTACAAAAATGTCTTGAATTTAATGGAACTTATGTTGAGAATTAAAAGTTTTATATTTTATATTTTATAATTCCATTTTTCATAATAATTGGAGACCTCCTCATATCAGAGAAGAGGAAAGGTCTCAATGACTTCAGCTTCTACCTTAGGAAAGTAGAAAATAAAGAATAAACTGCTTCCCAAAGGAAGCACAAGAAAGGAAATGTTAAAGATCATAGTGAATTTTAATGAAATAGAAAACAAAAACAATAAAGAATAAGGCACATCAAGATAGCCATATAAAAGCCTCCACCAATCATCTTTCCTTCAGGAACATCAAGTATAACGACTGTCTACAAAAAAAAAAAAAAGAAAAAATCTTCGTACAAACCAAAAAGCAGGTGAGCATTCCCAATACCTGGTTTTTAACTTCATACTGCTGAAAGAGGCACTGAAGAGGGTGGGAAAGATAGTCTTGTATTGCTGATGCCACTCCTCTCCCATCTCCAGGCAGAGGCTGCATGGCACAGGGAGAATCTGTGCTCTTGGGGGAGAGAAGGAGAATGCAGTGATTCTGGGGCTTTGCATTGGAACTCAGTGATGCCAGCACCAGACAGAATTCAGCCAATGCCCACAAAGGGAGTATTTAGCCCTAACCAGATGGGAATCACCCATCCCAGCAGTTGGAAGCTGAGTGATATGGTTTGGCTGTGTCCCCAACCAAATTTCATTTTGAATTGTAGTTCCCATAATCCCCATGTGTCATGGGAGGGACCCGGTGGGAGGTAATTGAATCACGACGGTTACCCCATGCTGCTGTCCTCGTGATAGTGAGTTCTTACCAGATCTGATGGTTTTACAAGGGGCTTTTCCATCTTTGCTTGACATTTCTCCTTCCTGCCATGTGAAGAAGGATGTGTTTCCTTCCCCTTCCACCATGATTGTTAAGTTTCCTGAGGCCTTCCCAGCCATGCTGAACTGTGAGTCAATTAAACTTCTTTCCTTTATAAATTACCCAATCTTGGGCATGTCTTTATTAGCAGCATGAGAACAGACTAATACAGTAAATTGGTACCAGTAGAATGGGGCACAGCTATATGGATACCTGAAAATGTGGAAGTGACTTTGGAACTGGGTAACAGGCAGAGGTTGAAACAGTTTGGAGGGCTCAGAAGAAGACGGGAAAATGCAAGGAAGTTTGGAACTTCCTAGAGACTTGGAGGGCTCAGAAGACAGGATGATGTGGAAAAGTTTGTAACTTCATAGAGATTTGTTGAATAGTTTTGACCAAAATGCTAATAATGATGTGGACAATGAAGTCCAGGCTGAGGTGGCCTCAGATGGAGATAAGGAACTTATTTGGAACTGGAGCAAAGGTCACTCTTGCTATGCTTCAGCAAAGAGACTGATGGCATTTTGCCCCTGCCCTAGAGATCCGTGGAACTTTAAACTTGAGGGAGATGATTTAGGGTATCTGGTGGAAGAAATTTCTAAGTGGTAAAGCATTCAAGAGGAAGCAGAGCATAAAAGTTTGGAAAATTTGCAGCCTGACCTTGAGGTAGAAAAGAAAAACCCATTTTCTGGGGAAAGAGTCAAGCCTGCTGCAGAAATTTGCATAAGTAACAAGGAGCTGAATGTTAATCAACAATACAATGGGGAAAATGTCTCCAGGGCATGTCAGAGACCTTCCCATCACAGGTCCAGAGGCCTAGGAAGAAAAAATGGTTTTGTGGGCTAAGCCCAGGGTCCCCCTGCTCTGTGCAGCCTAGAGGCTTGGTGCCCTGCCTCCCAGCTGCTCCAGCCATGGCTAAAAGAGGTTAATGTACAGCTCAGGCCATGGCTTCAGAGGGTGCAAGCCCCAAGCCTTGGCAACTCCCATGTGATGTTGAGCCTGCAGGTACACAGAAGTCAAGAATTGAGGTTTGGGAACCTCTGCCTAGATTTCAGAAGATGTCTAGAAATGCCTGGATGTCCAGGCAGAAGTTTGCTGCAGGGGGCCAGGCCCTCATGGAGAACCTCTGCTGCGGTAATGTGGAAGGGAAATGTGGGGTCAGAACCCCCATACAGAGTCCCTATTGGGGAACTGCTTAATGAAGCTGTTAGAGTGTTTTGGCAAACGGCCAACAATGTGCCTAATGGAGAGGATTCCTATTCTACTAGGTGGTGCTGTTGACTCTGAAATACCATGTGCTCTCCAGACCAAATATAAAGAGAGAGATGCTTGCTGCAGGGGGTTGGGGGGCCCTCTCTTCCTAGAAAATCTCAAAAACGGCAATCCCTTAAGCTTGAGCTGTATTCCCAATTACTACAGCATTTCCTGATCTTACCTAATATGATTACTTCCCTATACTGTAAAAATTCCCACAGCATTGCATACAGAGAATGGATATAAGAAATGAAGGAAAATTGCAATAGAGAAAGCTTGGAGATCCTTTGCCATCACACACTGAGCTGTCAGAGGCTGGAGTTAGTTCAGAAGCCTTCAGGTAACACTAGGATGTTGCCCTGGCCAGAAACCCTCAGTTGCCTCTGGACTTCTTCTAGCCCCATGTGATGGCTAGGCTCTCCATGAAATGAAACCAGTTCAAAACAAAGTCAACATTCCTAGTACCCTGAGGATACTGGGTGATTTGCTAAGTTCCCCCTGGCAAGCCTGTCCCCTGAGTCTTGTAAGACTGGCAGCCAGGCTAACCATTTTTAAATGGCTGACAGGGTCCCAGTGTTTAGTTTGATTTTAAAATGGAGGGCAGAAGGCCTTGAAATGAAAGAAAAGAGTTGGGGTCTCATCCTATACTCACCCTTCTGATGAATCTACCTCAGATCCCAAGCAGGCCCCCACAATGAAGCAGCATCATTCATCTGGGATAATACCTGAGGTTAGTTGTCCCATGACCACAGAAAACTAGGATGCAGACATACCAGAGTGAGGTTAAGAGCAGAAGCTTAATAGGTGAAAGAAAGAGAAGCGCTCTCTGTGCAGAAGGGTCCCAGAGAAAAATGTATTGCCAGTTTTCTGGTGAAGTGCAGGAATTTTTATAGATGAGCTTGAGGAGGTGGTGTCTGATTTACAGAGGGCAGAAAAGATTGGTCAGACCAGGTGTGCCATTTGCATAGCATGTGAAGAAGCTGGCTGTCCCATCCTAATCTTTTATTATGCAGAAGGGTTCTCTACCTGGCCGGTGCCATGTTGCCTGCTCCTTACTGTACATGTGGTGACAATGAAAAGGGAAGATGGAGCCCCCATGTTGAACATACCTGGCTTCCAGGTAGCCCTTTTCTATTGGCACAGCTGTTGGCACTCACCCATGCAAAGCTTTCAGCTTGCTTATCTATGTCTGCAGCTTGATTTTTCAGGCTGCTCTTTGTTAGAAAAGAAATGATTTGGGAGCTGCTTTTTGTTAAAAGAGAAGCCTTGTCGAAGACTCCTTTTATGCACACTATCTGCCTAGATAATTTCTTTCTAGCTCCCGTATCAACAGTAGAGAAAATCACCTTCACTAAAAGGGAGACAAGAAGGAAGAGAAGGAGAGAAGACCACAAAACAATAAGAAAACAAATAACAAAATGGCAGGAACAATTCCCTACTTATCAATAACTGCATGTAAATGGACCAAACTCTCCAATCAAAAAAGACCCAACGTTCTGTTGCCTACAAGAAACACACTTCACCTATAAAGACACACATAGACTGAAATAAAGGGTTGGAAAAAGATATTCCACGCAAATTAAAGCCAAAAAAGAGTAGGAGTGGCTATACTTCTATCAGAAAAAATAATTTCAAGGCCAGGTGCAGTGGCTCACACCTGTAATCCCAGCACTTTGGGAGGCCGAGGTGGGCAGATCACTTAAGATCAGAGTTTGCAACCAGCCAGGCCAACATGGTGAAACCCCATCTCTACTAAAAATACAACAATTATCAGGGCCTGGTGGCACATGCCTGTAATCCCAGCTGCTCAGGTGGCTGAGGCAGGAGAATTGCTTGAACCTGGGAGGCAGAGGCTGCAGTAGGCTGAGATTGCACCACTGCACTCCAGCCTGGGCAACAGAGCAAAACTTCTCCTGAAAAAAAAAAAAAGAAAGAAAATAAAATATAATTTCAAGACAAAAACTATAAGAAGAGAGACAAATCAGGTCTTATGATAAAGGGGTCAATTCAGCAAGAGGCATTAAAAATTGTAAATATATATACACCCAAAACTCAAGCACCTAGATATATAAACCAAATGCCATTAGAGCTAAGGGGAGATGTAGACCCCAATATAATAATAGCCAGACACTTCACCACCCCACTTTCAGCATGGGATAGATCATCCAGACATGAAATCAACAAAGAAACATTAAACTTAATCTACCCTATAGACCCAGTGGATCTAATAAGTATTTACAGAACGTTTTATTCAATGGCTGCAAAACGCACACTCTTCTCAGCCCATGGATTATTCTCAAGAATATACCACATGTTCAGTCACAAAACAAGTCTTAAAACATTCAAAAAATTGAAATAATACCAAGTATCTTCTCCAACCACAATGGAATAAAACTACAAATCAATAAGAGGAATTTTGGAGACTATACAAACACATGGACACTAAACAATATGCTTCTGAATGTCCAGTGGGTCAATGAAAAAATTAAGGAAATTGAAAACCCTTTTTACACAAATGATAATGGAAATACAACATAACAAAAACCTATCAGATACAGTGAAAACAGTACTAAGAGGGAAGTTTATGTCTATAAGCGCCAACATCAGAAAAGAGAAACTTCAAATAAACAGCTTAATGATGTATCTTAAAGAATTAAAAAAACAACAGCAAGTCAAACCCAAAATTTGTACAAGAAAATAAAGATCAGAGCAGAATTAAATGAAATTGAAATAAAGAACACAATACAAAAGATCAATGAAACAAAAAGTGGCTTTTTGAAAAGATAAAGTTGATAAACCTTTAGTCAGACTAGCTAAGAATAAAAGAGAAAAGATTCAAATAAATAAAACCAGAGATGAAAAAGAAGACATTTCAACCAATACCATGGAAATTAGTGGCCATGGTATTGGATCATTAGTGGCTACTATGAGCAACTATATGCCAATAAATTCGAAACCCAAGAAGAAATAGCTCCTAGACAGATACAACCTGCAAAGATTGAACCATAAGAAATGCAAAACCTGAGCAGAACAATGAGAAGTAATGAGACTGAAGATATATTTAAAAGTATCCCAGCAAAGAAAAGCCAGAGACCTGATGGTTTCACTGCTGAATATTTTTTAAGAGATGGAGTCTCTTACTCTGTTGCCCAGGCTGGAGTGCAGTGGCATGATCTTGGCTCACAGCAACCCTCACCTCCCAGGTTCAAGCAATTCTCCCACCTCAGCCTCCTTAGTAGCTGGGATTACAGGTGCCCGCCACCACTCCCAGCTAATTTTTGTATTTTTTGTAGAGATGGGTTTTCGCCATGTTGGCCAGGCTGGTCTCACACTCCTGACCTCAAGTGATCCACCTGCCTCGGCCTTCCAAAGTGCTGGGATTACAGGCATGAGCCACCATACCCAGTCACTGCTGAGTAATTCTACCAAACATTTAAAGAAGTACTAATACCCATCGTACCAAAAAATGGAGAAGAGAATACTTCCAAATTCATTTACAAGGCCAGTTTTACCCTGATATCAAAACCAGACTAAGACACATCAAACAGCAACAACAACAACAACAACAGAACTACATGCCACTATCACTGATAAACACTCATGCAGAAATCCTCAACAAAATACCAGCAAACTGAATTTAACAACACATTAAAAATAGTATTCATCATGATCAACTGGGATTTATTCCCAGATGCAAGGATGGTTCACCATATGCAAATCAATGTGATACATCATATCAACAGAAAGAAGGACAAAAACCACATCATAATTTCAATTGATGCTGACAAAGATTTTGATAAAATTCAACATCCTTTCAGAATGAACCCCCTCAAAAAACTGTGTTTAGAAGGAATATACCTCAACATGAAAAAAATATGTACAACAGAGCCACAGCTAGTATCATAGTGAATGGGAAAAATCTGAAAGCCTTTCCTCTAAGATCTGGAAAACGACAGGGATGCCCACTTTCACCACTGTTATTTGACAAAGTACTGGAAGTACTAGCTAGAGCAATCAGACAAGAGGAAGAAAGAAAAGGCATTCAAATTAGAAAGGAAGAAGTCAAATTGTCCTTGTTTGCAGATGATATGATTTTATATTTGGAAAAACCTAAATACTCCCCTAAAAAACTATTAGAACATATAAATTCAGTAAAGTTTCAGGATACAAAGTCAACATACAAAAATCAGTAGCAGTTCTATATGCCAACAGTGAACAATCTGAAAAAGATATCAAGCAAGTAATCACATTATTACTAGCCACAAATAAACAGAAATACCTAGGAATTAACCAAAGAAGTGAAAGATCTCTGTAATGAAAACTATAAAACACTGCTTCAAAAAACTGAAGGGGACACCAAAAAATGGAAAGATATTCCATGTTAATGGATTGGAAGAATCAATATTAAAATGTCCATACAACCCAAAGCAATCTACAGACTCAGTGCAGTCCTTATAAAAATACCAATGACATTCTTCCCAGAAATAGAAAAAACAATCCTACAATGTATATGGAACCACAAAAGACCAAAGTTATCCTAAGCAAACAGAACAAAACTGGAAGAATCACATTACCTGAGCTAAAATTATACTACAGAGCTATAGTAACCAAACGGCATGGTACTTGCATAAAAAGACACACATAGACCAATGGAACAGAATAGAGAATGCAGAAACAAATTCACACCCCTACAGTGAACTCATTTCTGACAAAGGTCCCAAGAACATACACTGGGGAAAAGACAGTCTCTTCAATAAATGGTACTGGGAAAACTGAATATTAATATGCAGAAGGATGAAACTAGACCCCTGTCTCTCACTGTATACAAAAATCAAATTAAAATGGATTAAAGACTTAAATCTAAGACTTCAATCTATGAAACTCCTAAAAGAAAACACTGGGGAAACTCCTCAGGACATGAGACTGGGCAAAGATTTCTTGAATAATATCCCACAAGCACAGGCAACTGAAGCAAAAATAGACAAATGGGATCACATCAAGTTGAAAAGCTTCTGCACAGCAAGAGAAATAATCAACAAAGTGAAGAGCTAATCCATAGAATGGGAGAAAATATTTTCAAACTATCCATCTGACAAGAGATTAACAACCAGAATATATAAGGAGCTCAAACAACTCAACAGGAAAAAATCTAATAATCTGATTTTAAAGCAGGCAAAAGATCTACATAGACATTTCTCAAAAGAATGCATGCAAATGGAAGCAGGTATATGAAAAAGCATTCAACATCATTGATTATTAGAGAAACACAAATTAAAACTACAAGATATCTCACCCCAGTTAAACTGGGTTTTATCCAAAATACAGGAAATAATGAATGCTAGCAAGGATGTGGAGAAAAGGGAACCCTTGCACTGTTGATGGGCATGCAAATTAGTACAATCACTATGAAGAACAGTTTGGAGGTTCCTCAAAAAACTAAAAATGGAACTTCTATATGATCCAGCAATCCCATTGCTAGTTGTATACCCAAAAGAAAGGAAATAAGTATATTAAAGGAATATCTGCACTCTTATGTTTATTGCAGCACTATTCACAATAGTCAGGATTTGTAAGCTACCTAAGTGTCCATGACCAGCTGAATGGGTAAAGAAAATGTGGAGTATTTATACACAGTGGAGTACTCTTCAGCCATGAAAAAGAATGAGATCTTGTCATTTGCAACAACATAGATGAACTGGAGGTCATTACATTAAAGTGAAAGGAGCCAGGCATAGAAAGACAGACTTTACATGTTCTCACTTATCTGTGAGAACTAAAAATTAAAACAGTTGAACTCACGGAGATAGAGAGTAGAAAGATAGTTACCAGAGGCTGGGAAGGGTAGTGGTGGGGGTGCAGTGGGAAAGTGTGGATGGTTAATGGGTACAAAAATATAATTAGAATGAACAAAACCTATTGTTGGATTAAATAACAGGGCGATTACAGTCAACAATAATTTATTGTACCTTTAAAAATAACTGAAAGAGTATAATTGGATAGTTTGTAACACAAAGGATAAATGCTTGAGATGATTGATAGCCCATTTACACCAATGCCAGTGTGATCATTATACACTGTTTGCTTGCATCAAAATATCTCATACTGGCCAGGCAGGTTGGCTCATGCCTGTAATTCTTGCACTTTGAGAAGCTGAGGTGGGAGGATCATTTGAGCCCAGCAATTTGAGACCAGCTTGGGCAACATAGTGAGACCCCATCTCTAAAACGAACAAAAACAAATTAAGTCTCATATACACCATAAACATATACACCTACTATGTACCCCACACAACTTAAAAATTAAAAGTTAAAAAAACAGAGAAAGTTAATGAAGCCAGAAACTAGTTACTGGAGTTGATTAATAAAATATATAAATTTTTAGCCAGGCTCACACAAATAGAAGATACATAGTATCAATATCAAAAATAAGACAGGTAACATCACTTCAGATTGTGCACTTATTAAAAGGATATAGAATGTTATCAACAGTTATGCCAATAAATTTGGCAATTTCAAATGCACAAATTTCTTCAAAGACACAAACTACCAAAGCTTCCTTAAGAAGAAACTGATGACATGATTAGCCCTATATCTATTAAATAAATTTAACTGAAGTTTAAAAACTTTTCCACAAAGAAAATTTCAGATTATGACATTTTAATTCTTTTTTTCCCCTATGGAATATGCTAATTTTATTCTATGAGCAATGGGGACTTCATACATGTTTTAAAAATAACTTTTTTTTTAAATTTCAAATGTGCATTACGGGGAATTGAAAAACACAAGAATCAAAGAACAAAATAATCCACAATAACAAGCATCTTACAGTTGGATGTGTCCTTCTAGGTCCTGTGTTGTCTATATACAACATCCAATTTTATGTGGTTGAGATCATGCAGTATGTATCATGCCTTTTCACACATTATGAATATTTACCAATTCAAAATCTCAAGTATTTTGATAACTGAGAATATACTACACCAACTCAATCTATATTAAAAAATATATAATCCTGCCTTTCTTGGGGACAAAAATTTCACAGAAGCCCAAAATGGCAATAGGCGTCTAGATAAAGGTATCGGCAAAGTTAATAAAAATTACTGCATTCCCTTAATGCTCTATTTAAAATGAGACATAAAGCAAGAGTACACTAGTATGTTTCTAAGAGAATTCATTATCAGAACTATATTATTAGAATATTAGTGAAAGGCCGGGCACTGTGGCTCATGCCTGTAATCCCAGCATTTTAGGAGACCGAAGCGGGTGGATTGCTTGAGCCCTGGAGTTTGAGACCAGCCTGGGCAACATGGTGAAACCCTGTCTCTACTAAAAACACAAAAACTAGCCGGGCGTGGTGGCGGGCGCCTGTAATCCCAGCTACTCAGGAGGCTGAGGCACGAGAATCGCTTGAACCTGGGAGGCAGAGGTTGCAGTGAGCCGAGATTGCACCACTGCACTCCAGCCTGGGTGACAGAGCGAGACTCTGTCTCACCAAAAAAAAAAAAAAAAGAATATTAGTGAAAAAGCATGTTTCCATTGGATTACTGAGTGTGTTACTATAGTAGAACCAAAAGAGATGCACACACATAAATGGCTATCATCAATATGTAAATATAAACACATCTACATACATCTCTCCCTTTAAACTTCTTTCTGTCCTTTTGCTGCCAACCTAATGAGCAAGTTCTGATATACACTACTCAGAGGTGGTTTAACAATTCCATGTTCAAGATGCATTTTTTTCTATCCATTTATAACAAATATATATTTAGAAACTGATTTAGCTTTACTTTTTATCATCACCCCAAGACACCTATAAAACTTAACTGTTACAAAATAAAGAATGGACACTGCTGATGGGAATGTAAATTTGTTTAAGACTCTTTCCTGTCTCAAGTGAAGGGAAGGAGTATTTCCTGGGGCTTGAGCTGTGCTAACTGGAGTTGGGGGAGGGGTGGCACAAACACTCCCTTGATTGCCCCAGCTGGTGTCTCACTGGGTCGTATGCCCCCCACATCCACTGGCTCCCAGCCCAGCACAGCACCAGGACTTGCCCAGGAATTGCAGTCCTTGTGGCCTAGACTGCTTTTCAAGTTTATTTAGGACCCCAGAGCACTTTAGCTTGTGTTGGTGAGGCTTGCTGAAACTCAGGTTCCAACCACTGGAATGGGTGATTCCCCTCTGGCTAAGGCTGGTCTAGATGCTCCCTTGTTGGGTGCCAGCTGAGTTCTGCCCAGTGTTGTTTTCCACTGTGATAGGGCTGTACTGAGTACCAATGCAAAGTCCCAAAATCACTGCGCTCTTACTCCCCAAAATGCACAGATTCTCTCTCTGCGCTATATAACCTACTGCTGGGGGATATGGAAGCAGTGGCATCTGCAATTCAAGACTGTTTTTCTTACCCTCTTCAGTGCCTCTTTCAGTGATATGAAGTTAAAACCAGGTACTGTGACTGCTGACCTGATTTTTGGTTTTTATGGTGCTTTTTATGTGGATAATTGTTAAATTTAGTGTGCAGAGGGGCTGATTGGTAGAGGCTTCTATTCAACCATCTTGCTCCACTTCCTCCCATTATGTTGTATATATCTTCAACAGACACACACACACACACACACACACACACACACACACACACCCCAACAATCTAGAAATAGAAGACTAATTCCCTTAATATGATAAAAGGCATCTATGAAGAACCTACAGTTGACACCATACTTAATGGTGAAAAACTGAATGGTTTCATGCAAAGATTAGAAACAAGGTAAGGATGTCCACTCTCACCATTTCTTTTCAACATTTAATGGAGATGTTAGCCAGTGCAATAAGGTAAAAAAAACAAAAAGGATAAAAGGCCTCCAGATTTGAAAAGAAGTAATAATACTTGTTATTTGCAGATGAAAATCCCAATCAAAATCACAGCAGGATTTTTTGTAGAAATTCATAAGCGAATGAATTTTAGATTCATGCTGACACTTAAAAGACCTAGAAAGCCAAAACAGCTTTGAAAACAAAAACAGAATTGGAAGACTCAATATCTGAATTCAAGATGAGTATCCAGAAATAGACCCACACATATGTGGTCAATTGATTTTCAAGAAAGTTCTAAAGGTGATTCAGTAGAAAAAAAGACATCTTTTAATAAACTGTGCTGGTACAATTCAATATCCATGTGGGAAAGAAAACTCAATCCATACCTCACATCATAAACATTAACTAAAAAATGTATCCTATATCTAAATGTAAAATCTAAATGTAAAATCTAAAGCTTTCAAGTTTTAAATATAAAATTTAAAACTTCTAGAAGAAAACAAAGGAGAAAAATCTTTGTGATTTTGGATTAGGCAAAGATTTATTTGATGTAACACCAAAATTATGATCCATAAAAGAAAAAAGTTTGTAATTTTGACTTTATCAAAGTTAAGAACTTATGTTCAAAAGACTTTTTTTTTTTTTTTTTTTTGAGACGGAGTCTCGCTCTGTCGCCCAGGCTGGAGTGCAGTGGAGCAATCTTGGCTCACCGCAAGCTCCACCTCGTGGATTCACGCCATTCTCCTGCCTCAGCCTCCCGAGTAGCTGGGACTATAGGCGCCCGCCACCATGCCCAGCTAATATTTTGTATTTTTACTAGAGACAGAGTTTCATCATGTTAGCCAGGATGGTCTCGATCTCCTGACCTTGTGATCTGCCCGCCTCGGCCTCCCAAAGTGCTGGGTTTACAGGCATGAGCCACCGTGCCCGGCCTAAGACATTGTTAAATAGAATGAAAAAAACAAGCCATAGACTGGAATATTGACAAATCACATATTTGAAGAAGACTTGTAATCTTAATATATAAAGAACTCTTAAAACTCAAGAATAACAAAACATCTCAGTTTGTGTGTGTGTCTGCGTGTGTGTGTGTCAGCGTGTGTGTGTGTGTGTTTTTTTTTTTTTGAGACAGAGTCTCACTCTGTCACCCAGGCTGGAGTGCAGTGGTGCGATCTCGGCTCACTGCAACCTCCGCCTCCCGGGCTTAAGCCATTCTCCTGCCTCAGCCTCCCAAGTAGCTGGGATTACAGGCACCTGCCACTACGCCCAGCTAATTTTTGTGTTTTTAGTAGAGACGGGTTTTCACCATGTTGGCCAGGCTGGTCTCGCACTCCTGACCTCATGTGATCCACCTGCTTCAGCCTTCCAAAGTGCTGGGATTAACTCAGGCCTGAGTTTCCTCATTTATAAAATGAAAAAGGAGACGATATTTAAGTCCACTTTAAAATGAATACATTGAGCTCCTTTGTAAAAGTTTTAAAAAGGTAATTAAACAATTCCATGTGGATTAAAAATCTAAATGTGAATGGCAAAATTATAAAACCTTCAGAAGATATTTGCAAGAGAATATTCTTATGATTTCAGGGTAGGAAAGGATTTTTAAACAAGACACAAAATGAATAAACTATGAAGGAAAAGATCAAACATTTAAATTAAGAACCTCTGATCTACAAAAGATACCAGTGGAAAACAAATGCCATAGACAAGAAAAAGATATAACCACCAAAGAATACAAACCAAGAACAATGAACTACTATAAATCAGTTTTTTAAAAGGAAAATGTATGTCCACTTTGGAAAATAATTTGGCCTTACTTAGTACAGTAAGTATGCACCTACTCTATAGCTAATACTAGATACATACCCTAAAAAATTATTTCACATGTACTTCAGGAGACATTCATTTTACTTCCAAGCTCCTTTGGGTTGTTGTTAGAATTCAGTTCCTTATGGTAGTAGGACTGAGGTTTCTGTTTCCTTGTTATGTGTTCCCCTCCATCTTCAAGCAAGCAACAGTGTCAGGTCCTCCTGATGCTACAAAGTGACTTTATCTTTTGCCTTTTATTCTGCAGCATCTATAGAACATTCTCTACTTTTAAGACCTCATATGATTAGATTAGCTCCACCCCTGCCCTTTTTCTTAGGCAGGGTCTCACTCTGTTGCCCAGGCTGGAGTGCAGTGGCATGATCATGGCTCACTGCAGCCTTCTCCCACCTCAGCCCCCCGAGTAGCTGGGACTACAGGTGTGCACCACCATAACTGGCTAATTTTTTAATTTTTTGTAGAGACAGGGTTTCGCCATGTTGCCCAGGCTGGTCTCAAACTCCTGAGCTCAAGCAATTCTCCCTCCTCAGCCTCCCAAAGTACTGGGATTACAGGCATGTGCCACCACACCTGGCCGGGCCCTTTCTTAAGATGAACTAATTAGTAACCTTAATTGCAAATGAAAAGTCTCTTTATGGCAATACTTAGAATAGCGTTTGATTGAATAACCAAGGGACAGGAATCTTGGCAGGACATCTTTATTTTATTTATTTATTTATTTATTTTTAATATTTTTCTGAGGCAGGATCTTGCTCTGTTGCCCAGGCTGGAGTGCAGTGGCCTGAAGTTGGCTCAGTGTAGCCTTGAACTCCTGGGCTCAGGCAAGCCTCTGGGATAGCTGGGACTACAGGCGTACGCCACTATGCCTGGCTAATTTTGTTTATTTTTTGTAGAGACAGGGTCTCGCTGTGTTGCCTAGGCTGGTCTTGAACTCCTGGGCTCAAGTGATCTTCCTACCTCAACCTCCCAAAGTGCTCGGATTACAGGCATGAGCTGCTGCCCTGGCCTTGGCAGGACATCTTTAGAATTCTACTTATCGTAGTTATTATTCATGTCAACAAAGGTTTCAGTAATTGAGGACTTACTATTTTGATGACATCGTGCTGGTAGCTGAAGATTTAAAATATGTAGTCAACCAAGTTCAAAGAATATAATATAGTTGTGTGCCATCAATACAAAAGAAGCACTTGTATAGAATGTGGTTCTGTGAGGCCAGGAGCGGTGGCTCATGCCTGTAATCCCAGCACTTTGGGAGGCCAAGGCGGGCGGATCACCTGAGGTCGAGAGTTCAAGACCAGCCTGATCAACATGGAGAAACCCCGACTCTACTAAAAATATAAAATTAGCTGGGCATGGTGGCACATGCCTGTAATTCCAGCTACTCGGAAGGCTGAAGCAGGAGAATCACTTGAACCCAGGAGGCAGAAGTTGTGGTGAGCAGAGATCATGCCATTGCACTACAGCCTGGGCAACAAGAGCGAAACTCCATCTCAAAAAAAAAAAATGTGGTTCTGTGTAGGATTTGTTTTAAAATACTTTTCTAATTATTTCATCTGGGTTTAGCCAATTCTTCAAAATTATTCTGTTCAGTTGTTTTTTTTAATAAACCCCGCATATTGTCTGGATTTATTAATATTTATGTACCTGTACTGACAAACCATAGATTAACAGTTTTTCAAAAATCCCGTTTCAATAAGTCTGGGGTGGGGCATGAAAACCTATAAAACAAAATTTACCCAACTGAGATTTAAGACTTGAGATAAATCTCTCTTGATGCCAATAGTATTATTGCAATGCAGGCATTTCAGTAAGCTCCTATACAATATGCCAATTTTCTCATCTTTAAGTGGACTAAAGAGAAATGTTCTACAACAGTAGAAGCATTTTAACGTGATAACCAAATCAGCTAAGTGTTTAGTGATTTAAATGTATTTCTCAATAATATTTTCATAGTCTGACCATAATTCCATTCACTTTATTGTGTTTGGATATCCTCTTATATTGTGATTCATTTGAGAAGTTAATAGGCTCAACATTTTACAATAGTCAGTCTGTTGAGAGTAGTTAGAAAGACAGAAGGCTTTTGGTTCAAGTCATTTTTCTTTAAATAGCTCAATAAGCCACCTCCTCATGTTGAAATAAAAGCAGTTTAAACTCTGTTTAATACAGATTAAATTCTGGTCTAGAAAAGACAGAGACAGAGAGTATGTGTGTGTATAAAAGGAGCCAGGCAAACATATTTGTTACATCTAAACTTTAGTAAAATAAAAGAATTTTGACAAGCTTTTAGGATTCATTTTGGCCTATATTATATCAGTATATTTATTTGCTTTCTGAGAGAAACTTTGCTTGTTTTCAAATGTGAGGGAGATCAGAGGAAGCCTCCCCAAAATATGTCACTTTGGCATAATGATTACTTTGAGCTGAAGGCAACTGAGGAACAGAAGATGCAGAAAAAGTTCTAAAAGCAGAGTATAAATTTCTATTTTTGTAAAGGCAATTTCTATTTATAAAGGTATCCTCCTCTCTGGTACCAGAAAGAGGATACCAACTCTGGAGACAACTCTCATCACCTGAGATGACTTAAATCTGAGTAAGTCTCCTTCCCACACAACCTATCCCTCACCTCAAGTTCAAAATCCCTTTGTCCATACTTTGTTAAAATGATATGTAAGCCTCTGGGTCTACTGGCCTTTGGAGGCTTTCACAACTTTTCTATGAAGCTCCAATAGGCTCATGTAATAAACTTTTCACTTTTGTTAATCTGTCTTTTGCTAGTTTAATTTGTACGGCCCCAGGTACTGAACCTAAGAGGATAGGGAAAAGTTTTTTTCCTCCTCTACAAGTGGTAGTTATTTTAACCTGTTGAATTCATTGCAAAACGGCTGGCTTTTTTTTCTGCAGTCTACTTGACTTTTCTGCCCCATTTAACACTGTAGACTACCATGCCTTGATGCTCTCTCTTCTGTGATCTTCTCAAATGCCATTTTCCCGTCACTCCGATAATTCTTATTTTGGGCTTTCTCGCTGCCTTTAGATGTTGCACTGCTTTCCTTGGACCTCTTCCTTTTTCTCCAGTGTGCTTCCTTGATGGCCTTATCTATTCTCATAGCTTCATTTATTAATTCCCAAATCTGTTTCTCAAATGCCAATCTTAACCTTGAATTCCAAATTTGTATTTGTACAAATACAAATGATCTTATATTCCTGTTCTTAGTTAATGGTGTCATCATCCACCCATTTTCCCAAGCCGGAGATCTCAGAGTTATTCTTAATTCCTCCCCCTCTCACTCCTTTCATATTCAGTTACTAATCTTGAAATTCTCTTTCAGAAATATCTTTGGTCTAACCCATCTTTTCCATCCTATGTGCCAATGCTCTAGGTTAGGTTTGCATCCTCTCTCCCTTGGACTAACAAAACAGCCAGCTAACTTTTTACTTGCCCGGATCTAGTCCATTCTTTACAGTACCAGAAGTGCAACAGTGAAAGGATCTTGTCAATACCACAGCTTGCTTTTGGCTATTGAATAATGCCTTAGGCTAGCAAACAACTCACAACATGGTTAGTTATCTCATGATCAGTTTGGATTATTGTCGCTATATCAAACATACTACTCTTTCCTGATCACTAAAAACAATGTAAAAAAAGAAGAAAAGAGACTTTATCTTAGGAATGTAAGCCCTTTTAAATTATCAGGCCCAAACAGGCATTAGAATGAAACAGCAGTTACTTCACTTCACTTCCCCTTGGGCTAAATAATTGTCTTTTTTTTTCTTTTATATTTTCTTTTCTTTTCTTTTCTTTTCTTTTTTTTTTGAGATAGTGTCTCATTCTGTCACGCAGGCTGGAGTACAGTGGTGTGATCTCGGCTCACTGCAACCTCCGCCTCCCGGGTTCAAGAGATTCTTATGCCTCACCCTCTCGAGTAGCTGGGACTACAGGTGCATGCCACCACACCTGGCTAATTTTTATATTTTTAGTAGAGGCAGAGTTTTGCCATATTGGCCAGGCCAGTCTCAAACTCCTGGCCTCAAGTGATCCATCTGCTTGGCCTCCCAAAGTGCTGGGATTATAGGTGTGAGCCACTGCACTTGGCCAAATAATTGTCTCTTGATGCCACCTGCTACGTGGGCCCGAGGCTGACACCAAGAAGCCATGAAATGCTACAGCTGGACACCAGAACTCATATCGTATCGTTCAACAATGTACAGTCAAACACTTAATGTTATCTCTGTAAACCAATGAGAATTCCTGTCAAACAACTTTTTTTTAAATTATTATTTTTTGAGACAGGGTCTCTGTCACCCAGGCTGGAGTGCAGTGGCACAATCTGAGCTCACTGCAGCCTCAACCTCCTGGGTTCAAGCAATTCTCCCACCTCAGCCTCCTGAGTAGCTGGGGATACAGGTGCCCACCACCATGCCTGGCTT